>NC_000003.12:22510000-23760000 GCF_000001405.40 Homo sapiens
TCTGAGATACATGTGCAGAACGTGCAGGTTTGTTATGTAGGTATACATTTGCCATGGTGGTTTGCTGTACCCATCAATCCGTCATCTACATTAGGTATCTCTCCTAATGCTATCCCTGCCCTAGCCCCACGCCCTCCAGCAGGCCTTGGTGTGTGATGTTCCCCCGCCATGCCCATATGTTCTCATTGTTCAACTCCCACTTATGAGTGAGAACATGTAAACCAGCCCTAGCCAGAGAAGAATCGCTGATCCAAGTAGTCCAAACTTGAGTTCCCACAAGCCTCACTACTACAGGCTAAAGTGCTCTGAGACCCCAACTAAACTTGAAAGGCAATCTAGGCCACATGGAATGCAAGTCCTAGTGCTAAACTGGGACCAGTAACAATGGACTGGGGGGACACATGACTTGCTGAGACACTAGCCGGATCAGCTAAGGGAGTGCTGGTACCACCCCTTCTCTAACCTCAGGCTACACAGCTCATGGCTCCAAAAGAGACCCTTTTCCTCTGATTGAGGAAAGGGTAGGGGAGAGTGAGGAGGACTTTGTCTTACATCTTGTATACTAGCTCAGCTAGAGCAGGATAGGACATCAGTCAGAGTCATGAAGTCTCCTTTCCAGAACCTAGCTCCCAGACAACATCTCTAGACAAACCCTGGGCTAAAAGGGAACATGGTGCCTTGAAGAGAAGGACCCAGTACTGGCAGGATTCATAATCTGCTAACTGAAGAGCCCTTGGTCTGTGAATAACCAGTGATACCCAGGTACTACGTTATGGACCTTGGATGAGGCTCTGAGACTTCCTGGTTTCAGGTGAGACTCAGCACAATCCCAGCTATGGTGGCTATGGGGCAACTCCTTCCATGTAAGAAAATCAGAGAGAAAAGTAAGGGGGTCTTTTCTTACACCTTAGGTACAGTTGGGCCACAGAGTTGTAGATCACCAAGCCAGCACTTGGGGTCCCTGATTCCAGAACTTGGCTCTTGAATGGCATGTCTGGACCTTCCCTGGGCCAGAGCGGAGCCCACTGCCCTGAAAGGTGAGTCCCAGGCCAGGAAGCACTCACCACAAGCTGACTTAAGAGCACTTGGGCCTTAAGGGAACATCGATGGTAGTCTGGCAGTACTTCACAAGGGCTTGTGGTGGCAGTGGCCATGGGGTGAGGCTCCCCTGCCTATGGAAAGGAGAGGGAAGAGTGGGAAGGACTGCATCTTATAGTTTGAGTACCAGCTCATCTACAGTTCAATATAACACTGGGTAGACATCTAAGAATTTCGACTCTAATCTCTGGTTCCTGCATGGCACCTCTGGACCTACCTGGGGCCTGGGGGAACTCATCAAACTGAAAGCAAGAACACAGTCTTAGCTGCCTTTGGCCCATGATGATTGTAAATCCCCCGGGCCTTGAGCAAACGTAGGCCATAGGCCATAGCCAGAGAGTGGTTACAGCAGGCTTTGGACAAGACCAAGTGCTGTACTGGCTTCAGGTTTGACCCAGCGCAGTCCTAGTGGTGGTGTCCACAGGAGTGCTTGCGTCACTCCACCCCAGTTCCAGGTGGCTCAGAACAGAGAAAGAGACTCCATTTGCTTGACAGAAAGTAACCGAAGAGAATAAGACTCTCTGCCTGGTAATCTAGAGAGTTCTCCTGGATCTTGTAAAAGACCATCAGGGTGGTACCTCAATGAGTCTACAAGAACCACAGTGTTACTAGGCTTGGGGTTTCCCCTAAAGCAGACACAGCTTAGATCACAATATGTAAGTCCTTTCAAATACCTAGAAAGCCTTCTCAAGAAGGATGGGTATGAACAATCCCAGACTGAGAAGACTACTAAGAATCCCTAATTCTTCAATGCCCAGACACAGACCAACATCTACAAGTATCAAGACCATCCAGGAAAACATGACATCACCAAATGAACTCAATAAGGCACAAGAAACCAACCCTGGAGAAACAGAGATATTTGACCTTTCAGACAGAGAATTCAAAATAACTTTATTGAGGAAACTGAACAAAATGTGAGAAAACACAGAGAAGGGATTCAGAATTTTATCAGATAAATTTAACTAAGAGATTTAAATATTTGTTAAAAGTCAAGAGAAATTCTAGAGCTGAAAAATACAATTGGCATATTGAAGAATGTATCAGAGTCAAAGTAGCAGAATTGATCAAGTGCAAGAAAGAATTATTGAGCTTGAAGACAGGCTATTTGAAAATACACAGTTGGAGGACACACATACACAACAAATAAAAAATAAAGAAGCATGCCTACAAGATCTAGAAAATAGCCTCACAAGACCGAATCTAAGAGTGTTGGCCTTAAAGAGGAGGTTGAGAAAAAGATAAGGGTAGAAAGTTTATTCAGAGGGATAATAATAGAGAACTTCCCAAACCTAGAGAAAGATATCAATATCCAATGAAAGTTATGGAAAACCAAGCAGATTTAACTCAAAGAAGACTACCTGAAGGCAGTTAACAATTAAACTCCCAAAAGTCAAGGATAATGAACAGATGCTTAGCAGTGCAAAAGGCTTATTGGAAAAAGAAAGGATTCTAAGAGCAGCAAGGGAAAATAAAAAAAAAAAAAATAACATACAATGGAGCTTCAATACATCTGGCAGCAGAATATTCAGTGGAACCCTATAATCCGGGAGAGAATGGCATGACACATTTAAAGTGCCAAAGGAAAAAAAAAAAAAAACCTTTTACTCTAGATTATATGTGGTAAAAATATCCTTCAAACATGAAGGAGAAATAAAGGCTTTCCCAGAGAAACAAAAACTGAGGCATCTCATCAATACCAGACCTGTCTTACAAGAAATGCTAAAAGGACTATTTTAATCAGAAATAAAATAATGATAATAAGCAATAAGGAATCATCTGAAGATAAAAACTCACTGGTAATAGTAAGTACACAGAATATTTTACACAAACACAAAATATTCTAACACTGTAACTGTGTTGTATAACCTACTCTTAAGTACAAAGGCTAAGTGATAAACCAATAAAAATAATAACTACATGTCACTTTTAAGACATATACAGCACAATAAGATATAAACAGAAGCAACAGAAAGCTAAAAGGTTGGGGGGACAAAGTTAAGGCATAGAATCTTTATTAGTATTCTTTTTGCTTGTTTGTTTGTTTGTTTATGCAAACAGTGTTAAGTTATCATCAGCTTAAAATGATGGGTTATAAAACAGTATTTACAAGCCTCATGGTACCCTCAACCAAGAAACATGCAATGAATGCACAAAACATAAAAAGCAAGAAACTAAATCATATCACCAGAGAAAATCACCTTCACTAAAAGAAAGATGGGAAAAAAGAAAGAAAGAAAATAAGACCACAAAACCATCAGAAAACAAGTAACAAAATGGCAGGAGTAAAGTATTTACTTATCAATAATAACATTGAATATACACAGACTAAACTCTTCAATCACAACACATAGAGTGGCTTAATGGATAAGAAAACAAGACCCAATGATCTTTTGCCTACAAGAAGCACACTTTACCTAAAAAAACACAGATAGACTGAAAGAAAGGAATGGAAAAAGATATTCCATGCCAATGGAAACCCAAAAAGAGCAAAAGTACCTATACTTATATCAGACAAAATAAATCTCAAGACAAAAACTGTAAGAAGAGATAAGGAAGGTCCCTATATAATGATAAAGTAGTAAATTCAGCAAGACGACATAACAATTTTATAAATATATATGTGTGTGTGTGTATATATATATATATATATATATATATATATATATATATATATATGCAGTCAGCACTAGAGCACCCAGATATGTAAAGCAAATATTATTAAAGCAAAAGAGAGAGATAGGCCCCAGTACAATAACAGCTGGAAACACTTTCAACATTGGACAGATCTTCCAGATAGGAAATCAACAAAGAATTATCAGACTTAATCTGCACTATAAACCAAAAGGACCCAATACATATTTATAGAATATTTTGTCCAAAGCTGCAAAATAAATATTCTTTTCCTCAGCGTTTGGATTATTCTCAAGGATAGATCATATGTTAGGTCACAAAACAGGTCTTAAAATATTAAAAACAATAAAATAATATCAAGCATCTTCTGACCATGTGGAATAAAACTAGAAATCAACAATAAGAGGAATTTTTGAAGTCATACAAATATATGGAAATTAAACAATATACTCCTGAATGACCAGTGGGTCAATGAAGACATTAAGAAGGAAATTGAAAAATTTCTCAAAACAAATAATAACGGAAATGACATACAAAAACCATGGGATACAGCAAAAGCAGTACTAAGGGGGAAGTTTATAGCTATAAATGCCTACATCAAAAAAGATAAAAACTTCAAATAACCTAATGATACCTCTTAAAGAACTAGGAAAGCAAGAGCAAACTCAAAATTAGTAGAAGGAAAGAAATAATAAAGGACAGAGCAGAAATAAATGAAATTGAAATGAAGAAAGCAATAAAAAGAGCAATACAACAAAAGTTGGTTGTTTGAAAAGTTAAACAAAATTGACAAACCTTTAGCAAGACTAATAAAAAAAGAGAGAAGATTCAAATAAAATCAGAGATAGAAAAGGAGACATTACAACATACCAAAGAAATTCAAAAGATCATTAGTGGCTACTACAAGAAACTACATGCCAATAAATTTAAAAATCTAAAAGTAATAAAGTCCTAGATACATATAACCTATCAAGATTGAACCATGAAGAAACTTAAAATTTGAACAAACTAATAACAAATAATGAGGTTGAAGCCATAATGAAAAGTCTCCCAGTAATGAGCAGTCCAGGACCTAATGGCTTCACTGCTGAATTCTACCAAACATTTAAAGCAGAACTAATACCAATCCTACTCAAACTATTCCAAAAAATAGAGGAGGAGGGAATACTCCCAAATGCATTCTACGGGGCCAGTATTACCCTGATAAAAAGTAAGCAAAGACATATCAAAAAAAGAAAACTACAGGCCAAAATATCTGAAGAATATTGGTGCAAAATTCTTCAACAAAATACTAGCAAATCACAATAAAAAGGTCATTTATCATAACTAAGTGGGATATCTCCCTGGGATGCATGGATGGTTAAACATACACAAATCGATCAATGTGGTATATCATATTAACAGAATGAGGGACAAAAGCCATGTTATCACTCCAATTGATGCTGATAAACATTTGAGAAAATTCAACATCCTTCATAAAAAAAAAATTTGAAAAAACTGGGGATAGAAGCAACATACCTCAACATAATAAAAGCCATATATGATAGACCCACAGCTAGTATCATATTGAAGGGGAAAAAATTGAAAGCCTTTCTTCTAAGATCTGGAGCACAACAAGGATGCCCACTTTCACCACTCTTATTCAACATATTACTAGAAGTCCTAGCTAGAGTAATCAAACAAGAGAAAGATATAAATGGCATTCAAATTGCAAAGGAAGTAGTTAAATTTTCCTTTTTTGTAGATAATATACTCTTATATTCAGAAAACCCTAAAGACCCCACCAAAAAACTATCAGAACTGATAAATTCAGTAAAGTTATGGGATACAAAATCAACATACAAAAAATCAGTTACATTTCTATATGCCAACAGTGAACAATCTGAAAAAATAATCAATTTTGTATTACTATAATCCCATTTACAATAACCACAAATAAAATTAAATACCTAGGAATTAACTTAACCAAAGGAGTAAAATATCACTATGATAAAAACTATGAAACACTGGTGAAAGAAATTGAAGAAGACACCAAAAAATGGAAAGATATCCCATGTTCATGGATTGGAAGAATCAATATTGTTAAAATGTCCATACTACCCAAACCAACCCACAGATTCAATGCAATGTCTATCAAAATATCAATGTCATTTTTCACAGAAATAGAAAAACTATCCTAAAATTTACATGGAACCACACAGGACCCAGAATAGCCAAAGCTACCCTAAACATAAAGAACAGAACTAGAAGAATTACAATTCCTGACTTCAAATTATGCAACAAAGCTATAGTAACCAAAACAGCATGGTACTGGCATAAAAACAGACACAGAGAACAATGGAACAGACCAGAGAACCAAGAACTAAATCCATGCACCTACAGTGAACTTATTTTGAACAAAGTTTCTAAGAACACACACTGGGGAAAATACAGTCGCTTTGATAAATAGTACTGGAAGAATTGTATATCCATATGCGGAAGAATGAAACTAGACCCCTGTGACGGTTAATACCGAGTGTCAACTTAATCAGCTTGAAGGATGCAAAATATTGATCTGGGTGTGTCTGTGAGGGTGTTGCCAAAAGAGATTAACATTTGAGTCAGTGGCTTGGAAAAGTCAGACTCACCCCTTAATTTCAGTGGGCACAATCCAATCAGCTGCCAGCATGGCCAGAATAAAAAGCAGTCAGAAGAATGAGAAAAGGCTAGACTGGCTTAGCCTCCCAGCCTACATTTTTTTTCCCATGCTGGCTACTTGCTACCCTCGAATATCAGACTCCAAGTTCTTCAACTTTGGGACTCAGACTGGCTTGCTTGCTCCTCAACTTGCAGATGGCCTATTGTGGGATCTTGTGGCTGTGTGAGTTAATACTCCTTAATGAACTGTCATTCATATATATATATATATATATACACACACACACACATACACTTCATATATATGTATATATGTATACACATACACTTATATACTTATATACATATATACTTATATATACAACTATATACATATATGTATATATATAAGTATATACATATATGTATATAATGTAGGTATGTGTATATATGCACTGATATATTCATATATTATTCGTATATATCTATATATATACACATACATATATACACACACACACACTTAACTTATATAAGAAGAAAACTTCCAGGTGGAGTGTACAAAAGGCTAATTTGAATTATAAAAACAGAAAATCATGACCTCTCAATCAATTTCCAGATTTGAGCCAGCTTACAGACCCAGAAGCCTTTGAATGAAGGGAAGGCGGGGTCGCTTTGAGGAAGGACCCCACTACACTACTGATAACTTATACTATTAATCTCTTTCCCGTCCTTCCCCAAGGAGACCTCCAGCCTTTTACCAGGTTAACTGTGCATTGGGGAAAGGGAAACGATCAGACATTTCAGGGACTACTGAACACTGACTCTGAGCTGACGTTGATTCCAGGGTACACAAAATGTCATTGTGGTCCTCAAGTTAAAGTAGGGGCTTATGGAAGTTAGGTAATTACTGGAGTTTTAGCTCAGATCTGACTTACAATGGGTCCCTGGACTCATCTTGTGGTCATTTCCCCAGTGCCAGAATGCATAATTGGCACAGACATACTTAGCAGGTAGAACCCCCACATTGGCCCCCTCACTGGTAGCATGAGGGCAATTATGGTGGGAAAGGCCAAATGGAAACCATTAGAGCTGCCTCTATCTAGGAAAATAGTACATAGTAGTATTGTCTTTATTTGAAGATTATGTATGATCTCAGGAGATGTATATGGGTTCAAGTTGACAAGCGGTGGACTTGTGATGGTTAATACTGAGTATCAAATTGATTGGATTGAAGGATGCAAAGTATTGATCCTGGCTGTGTCTGTGAGGGTGTTGCCAAAGGAGACAATCTAATCAGCTTCCAGTGTGACCAGAATAAAAAGCAGACAGAAGAATGAGAAAAACACCAGACTGGCTTACCCTCCCAGACTACATCTTTCTCCCATGCTGGATGCTTGCTGCCCTCGAACATCGGACTCCAAGTTCTTCAGCTTTGGGACTCAGACAGGCTTCCTTGCTCCTCAACTTGCAGATGGCCTATTGTCAGATCTTGTGATTGGGTGAGTTATTACTCCTTAATAAACTCCCTTTTATATATATATATATATATATATATATATATATATATATATATATATATATATATATATACACACACACACACACACACACCCTATTAGTTCTGTCATTCTAGAGAATCCCAACTAATATAAGCCCTATATGTCACCATATACAAAAATCAAATCAAAGTGGATTAAAGACTTAAATCTAAGACCTTAAATTATGAAACTACTACAATAAAACACTGAGGCAACTCTCCAGGACATCAGTGTGGGAAAAAATTTATTGAGCAATGCCCCACAAGCATAGGCAACCAAATAAAAAATGGACAAATGATATCAAATCAAGTTAAAAAGCTTCTGCACAGCAAAGGAAACAATCAACAAAATGAAGAGACAACCCACAGAATGGAAGAAAATATTTGCAAACTACCCATCTGAGAAGAGGAGATTAATAACCCAAATATATGAGGATTTCAAAACAACTCTATGAGAAAAAAAAATCTAATAATCCAATTGTTATAATGGGCAAATTGGTTTCTTAAAGAACTAAAAGTAGAATTACCATTCAATCCAGCAACCCCACTGCCCGGTAACCAAAGGAAAAGAGGTCATTATATGAAAAAGACACACGCACATGCATATTTATAGCAGCACAATTTACAATTGCAAAAATATGGAGCCAATGTAAGTGCCCATCAACCAATAAGTGGATTAAAAAATGTCTTTTGAAGCAACTTGGATGTAGCTGGAAGCCGTTATTCAAAGTGAAGTAACGTAGGAATAGAAAACCAAATATATGTTCTTACTTATAAGTGAGAGCTAAGCTATGACAGTGGTCCCCAACCTTTTTAGCACCAGGGATCAGTTTCATGGAAGATAATTTTTCCATGGACCAGGTGGAGGGGGGATGGTTTTGGGATGAAGCTGTTCAACCTCAGATCATCAGGCATTAGATTCTCATAAGGATCATGTAACCTAAATCCTTCACATGTGCAGTTCACAATAGGGTTCATGCCCTGTGAGAATCTAATGCCACTGCTGATGTGACAGGAGGCAGAACTCAGGTGGTAATACTCACTCACCCACTGCTCACCTGCTGTGCAGCTCAATTCCTAACAGGCCATGGGCTGGTGCTGGTCCACAGCCGAGGGGTTAAGGACCCCTGAGCTATGAGGATGCAAAGGCGTAAGAATGATATGATGGACTTTAGAGACTTGTGAAGGAAGGGTGAAAGGGGAGTGAGGGATAAAAAAATACTACATACTGAGTAGAGTGTACACTGCTTGGGTGATGGATGTATTCAAAATCCGAGAAATCACCACTAAAGAACTTATCCATGTAACCAACAACCACCCCCGTACCCCCCAAAACTAGTGAAATGAAGAAAAGTGTTTAAAGGAGGCAAAAGATTTGAATAGACATTTCTTCATTTTTTTTTTCTTTTGAGACTGAGTCTCACTCTATTGCCCAGGCTAGAGTGCAGTGGCATAATTTCAGCTCACTGCAACCTCCACCTTCTGGGTTCAAGCAATTCTCCTGCCTCAACCTCCCAGGTAGCTGGGATTACAGGTGCCTGCCACCCCCCTCCTGGAAAATTTTTGTATTTTTGGTAGAGACAGGGTTTCACCATGTTGGCCAGGCTAGACATACAAATGGCAAACAGGCATATGAAAAGGTGCTCAACATCATTGATCATTAGATAAATGGAAATCAAAGCTACAATGAGATGTCGTCTCACCCCAATTAGAATAGCTTATATCGAAAGACAGACAATAACAAATACTAGTAAGGCTGTGGAGAAAGGGAACCCTTGTACACCGTTGGTGGAAGTGTAAATTAGTACAACCACTATGGAGAACAGTTTGGAGGTTCATCAAAGAACTAAAAACTGAGCTACCATATGGTTCAGCAATCCCATTGCTGCGTATATACCCAAAAGACAGGAAATCAGTATGTCGAAGAGATATCTGCACTCCCATGTTTATTGCTGCACTGTTCACAACAGCCAAGATTCAGAAACCACCTAAGTGTCCATCAACAGATTAATCTATAAAGAAACAAGTGATACTTATACACAATGAAGTACTATTCAGCCACAAAAAAGAATGAATTTCTGTCATTTGCAACAACATGGATGGAACTGGAGGTCATTACGATAAGTGAAATAAGCCAGGCACAGAAAAACAAACATCGCATGTTCTCAACTATTGGGGGGATTTTGTATTTAAAACTATTGAACTCATGGAGATGGAGAGTAAAAAGATGGTTGCCAGAGGCTTGGAGGGGTAGTGAGGGGTTGGTGGTTGAGGGGGGATGTAGGAATGCTTAATGGGTACAAAAAACTACTTAGAAAGAATGAATAAGACCTGGTATTTGATAGCACAACAAGGTGATTATAGTCAATAATCATCTAATTGTACATTTTGAAATTACTACAAGAATATAATTGGATTGTCTGTAACACAAGATAAATGCTTGAAGGGAAGGATGCCTCATTTTACATGAGGTAGTTATAATGCATTGCATGCCTGTACGAAAATACCTCATGTACCCCATAAAGATATATACCTATAATGTATCCACAATAATTAAAATAAATTTTTATAAAAGAGGTTCTGCATTCTGTCTTCCAGATAAAATTCCACCTGGAAGCACAGGGAGGTGAGAGGTATTTACCAGGTTAAAGCAAAAATGGAAATAAAAATGTGGCTTCACCCAATACCAGAATCCACAGACTATGCTAGAACCTTAGGCAGAGTACTGCTCCACTGCTCCTGCCAGAGTACCCCTTTTCTCTTACAAACATCCTAAGTCCCTTTCAGATCAAGAGTGTATAGTCCTAAGGCCTAAAAACATTTTGCCTCAGCGTCAAACTATACATTATTACTCCCACCTGTTTTAGCAGCTCTTCAACTCTATTTCTAATCATTTCCAAACTCCGTACATGAATGAAACACTAAAAGAACTCAACAAGACTTAAGTCTCATGTCATGTTGAGCATATGTAGTTGTTTAGAAGATTATCTCTGTGAATTCTACTCCTTACAGATTCTTTATAGTTAGAGGGGAAAGAAATGAAGGGAGAGGGGAAAACATAAGATAACACTTTTATCACATTAGGCTGGGGAGTATTAGTTGCTGAAACAAGAGAAATAAGCATACCTGCCCTCATATCAGACTGCTCATTCCCCGAAGGAGGCACAGTTCAGAACAGACATCACTCTTTGCCTCACCATTGCCCCAGAATAGAATCATGTTTTGCATGCTGGTTACACATGTCCATACAGAGTTAGAGGCCAAAATATTGAAAGATTATGGATAAAATTTGACATCTGGAAACCATCATTCTAAGCAAACTATCACAAGGACAGAAAACCAAACACTGCATGTTCTCACTCATAGGTGGGAGTTGAACAACGACAACACATGGACACAGGGTGGGGAACATCACACACCAGGGCCAGCTGGGGGAGGGGGGCTGGGGGAGACATAGCATTAGGAGAAATACCTAACGTAAATGACGAGTTGATGGGTGCAGCAGACCATCATGGCTCATGTATACCTATGTAACGAACCTGCACTTTGTGCACATGTACCCTAGAACTTAAAGTGTAATAAAAAGAAAGAAAGAAAAAAAAACTTGACATCTAATATTCCAAAGGTCTAAAAAATACTTAAGGTCAGGAACCGTTTCTGCTACATTTCTTAGGTGTTGCGAGCAGAGAATATTTTTTTCCTCCATAAGGCTGGGTTTATACTGGATTCTTTCAGATGCTTTTTTTTTTTCAAATATACAGACGTAAAGCCTTTTTAAGAAACTCCAAACTTCTTAGGCTTCTCATTTTTTCATGGTGTCAGTGATATGAATTAGCAATATTTCACTCAATTTATATAGTGTTATGTAACAGAGTAAAGTATTTTTGGGCACACAAATGACTCATTTGACAGTATTCAGTCATTTTTATAAGTAGAAACTAGTTAACCAGTCTTTCTTCCTGGAGCATCAAACCGCTCCTAAAAGATTGAACATTTTACTTGCAATGTTCAACAAAATGCTTACTTTTCCAACCGTATGTAGCAAGCATTTAGGAATGACACTTGGGTAGAAAGTGAGAACCTTCAGCTTCTGAGAAAGCAGAGAACGTCATTGCTCTACTTGACAAATTGATAATCACCATTAATCAATCATACCGTCATCTACATTAACAATTCAGACAACTGAAGTGAATAAGTCACACACACACACACAAATACACAGATATGCGTGCACACCTTTAAACATGTCTACTGCTACTACAATATGGAGACATGCAGTAGTAGAACTACAATTACAGTTCTACATTGTCAGAACTACAATTAGTTCTGACCATGGAAGTTGCAAGATGGCTAGAAGTTTGTAGGCAGTCCCAACATAAAAGACAATTTTGTTCTATTTTGGTATAGCTATACAAAAATGTCTTATCCATAGGTTAAATTGCCAATCATTAATCCAAATAGACTACAGAGATATGTAAGTCACATCAACCATTGTTAATGAATCCAGCTTTTGTTGTGTTGTTGTTTAAAAATGACAGATGGATCTGTTATAACCATTCATCTCCTCTTATTCTGTGGTAGATAGTCCCATAAATGAGTTAGTGATATTGTGAATAAATCATAGTTGCTCAATAGGTAAAAACTCTAAGTTAGTGCTTTTCTATTTATGTTGCATTTTTATTCATATACTGTATACATTTCTTTTGAAGCGCTAATCTTCATTAAATCAAAATGTTATATTTTTGTTAATTTTATAGTACTTGTAGTAAACCAAAGAAATATTTTTAATTACTTGTACATTTCTTAAGAGACTGACAATTTTTGAGAAGAAGAAAAGTGTTATTGGTAGATGATACCTTCACATATTTAAGCTGAATGCAAGAACTCTCAAAATTTATGAAAATAGGAAAAAGGAGGCCAGGGAAGACTTTTTTCAAAGATTCAATACATACCAATAACAAAGGAAATGACTTATTTTAAAAAAATAGAAAAATGAAAATGAAACGTGACAATTCCTATACAACAAAAGACAGTGTAGACAGTGTGGAAAATTGCAATGGATGAGAAACAAGAATATATAATAACAATTACACATGAAGATACGAACAGGCACCTCACCTGAAAGGAATCACAAAAGGCAAATAAACACAGGAAGTGAAGATCAGCATAAATATATGCACACTAAAGGCAAGTCAGGTAATGAACAAGATTTCAAATCAACAAAGTTGAAAAAGACTCACAATATCAAGTGCTGGGAAAGAAATAGGAAGATATTTTTAATTCTCACAGGTAGTATTGATGATAATGTAAATGGATTTAACCATGTGAGAGAACAATTCAGCAATATCAAATATAATTGAATGTGTACACACTTAGTTTATATTCTCCTGATTATAATTTAGAGAACTCTAACACATATTACCAGGAAACATACAAAAGGATGTAAATTCCAGCATTGTGGGCAACGTTAATATTTTAGAACAACTTGAAAGTAAAGCATATGGGAGATGATAGTATTTTGCTTCTAATAACAGGGAAGTTTAAATATTCAGAAGGGCTTTATGCTGAAATAAAGAAGATCACAGATTATAACAAACATATGAGGGGAAAGACTATCAAGAATGAGTTAACGGAGAAGGAACAGGTGATTCAAATATTTTGATCATAGCCATATTTATATAAATTGATTGATTAGACCCTTCAGTTAAAATGTGAAGATGGACAAGTTGCATTTTAAAAAGTAGAGAAACAAACAAACAAAAACCACAGAGGAAAAAAAACAAATCAGCAATATACTATTTATATAAATTACACTTTATAAACACAAGAACATATTTGATATTGTAATTTTAAAAAATGTATTGTGGCAAGTATTTATTGGTATCTCATTTGGTATTAATTAACATCATGTTTATTGGTCTTTTGGGTATCCTCTTTTTTGAAATGTTTCTTCAAGTGTTTTGCTATTTTTCTATTGTATATTTTTATTGATGTGTAGAAATCACATATTATAGATATAAATGCTTTGTAAATAATTATATGTACCAAGGATATATACTTTTACCTGTTAATTGCCTTTCTACCCTCTTAAAATAGTACAATTCTTATTTTAATTGCAATGTTTCAATATAGCCTCATACATTACTTGTTGGTATAAAAATTGACATTATGGAAAAACTGTTTGTCCGTGTCTCTAAAACTTACCATAGGCCTACCCTATGACTCAGCAATTCCACTTCTCGGTAAATACCCAATAGAAATGTATGTATACGTTCACCAAAAGACATGTATGAAAATGTTCATTGTAGCATTATTCATTGTAGCCAAAACTGAACATAATTAAATGTACATCAACAATATGAGTAAAAAAAGATGTTTTATTCACAACATGGACCATACCTGCAAAATTGCCACCCCACATCCAGGAATGATCAGTGCAGGTAGAACCCCATCCTTTGCCCCCGATCATGCAGGGGGAAATACATATATTTTCATATATATATATATGAATGAACTCTTTTTGCAGGCAAGAACTTAAATAACTTTCACTTACACAATGTTAAGCAAAATAATCCAAGCCCAAAATATATATGGAATATATATGGTTCCATTCATATAAAAAATTGTAAAAGAATCGAAACTCTTCTACGGTGTCAGATGTCAGCATAGTGGTTGCTTTGGGGAAGGACTGGGTAGTAGTAACGAAATATATGTACAAGGAGGGCTTTTGATTACCGGTAGTGTTCAATTTCTTGAGCTTGGTGGTGGTTACATGAGTATGTTCATTTTATGCTGTGTCATACAACTATGTGTTTTTGATTAATGCTTTCCTTTTTCTATGTTATGCTTCAATTAAAAATTATTTTAAAAAATGGTTAATTGATGTTAACATTTGTCAAATATGTGGCCTGATAGATAGGTATATCTTTTATTAGGATCTGCACCTTTCTCAATTTCTGAAATAATTCAAAATAATAAGTAAAACTATTAATCATCAATCATTCTCTTGAAAGGATTGAGCTTTAAAGTGCAGATAATGTTACCTTTGAAGGTGTCAGTGATCAATTAATTTATTATATCAATTAATTTAATAGAATTTAACCTAATCCTTAATTGTCCTTCCCTGCCCATTGTTTCACTCTGTTAAAAATATCCATCACATCATTGTTTGAGTACATATCTATATGCATATTTATGCCTACCTATATGTAAATCTTCTTTTCTCCACAAAATGATAATCTTTGTGGAGACCTGCCTCCTCTAGAAAGCATGTTCACACTCAGGACTTTTTTGGAAACTAATTTTCAGAGCAAAAGAAGCATTAATGCTTCTTAACTGCTGACCTTCTTATGAAACACTAACTACTAGTGAGCTAAGAATTCAAAAAAAGGACAATGTCAGGCCAGAGAAATATAACACATTGCTTTTGTTTTTAAACATCGAAAAGAATATATATATTTTACTGCATGGAAAGATAATTATCTTAGTCTGTTTTGGCTGCTATAACAAAATACCATAGAAGAGGTACTACAAACAACAGAAATTTATTTCTCTCAATTCTGGAGGCTAGAAACCCGAAATCAGGGTCAGGTTCTGGTGAGGGTCCTTTTCCAAGTTGCAAACAGCTAAATTCTCCTTGTAGTCTCACATGGCAAAAAGGGCAATAAATAGCTAGCTAGCTGGACTCTTCTTATGAGGGCATTAATCCCAATCTTGAGGGTGCTGCCCTCATAATCTAATCATCTCCCAAAGGCCATTATGCCATCCAATTGGAGGTTAAGGTTTGAACATACGAATTTTGAGAGAGACAAACATTCAGCCTGCTGCAATAATCATTCATATTCTTATATAGTCTACCAATCTTTTTTTCTTAGGTACGTGCTGATTTTTTTTAGAAATATAACTATCTAAATGTAAAACACAGGCTATATGTAAATTGTTTTATAGTTTTCTTTTTTCACCCAATAAAGCATGAACTTTTTTATGTAATTAAGGTATGCATGATAATATTCCTTAATCCAATGTTTCACAATCTTCAGAAGTATGACAACCATATAGAGTATAACTGGAATATAATCTTTATGTTGTGGTTATTTATCTAGCACTCATGAGTGTTTGGCTGCCTTAGGGGCAATATGAAGTATTCGTTATTAAGTTCTGTATTTTTACTTTTCTTATAAAATGGGTCCAACTCTACAGTAAACCTTGGATCTCTTCTCCATTTTAAAGAAATGCCCTGTAACCTCTAAAGACAGAAACCGAACTTAATCCAGGAGGGAGTAGAACTTTCACTGAGAAAGTTGCATGATGGGTGGGTCTTCAGTGAATTTCTTTCCCACTTGCCACGGTTACTGCCCCATTAGTGTTTTCTAATTTACCTTTCCCCTCCTGTCTACTGACTTCAGATTTTCTGTTTGTTCATTTGTTTGTTTTTACCCTGTCACCTCCTTAATGATGATCATGATGAGAATTGCTATGGGATTCACTTACATGAACTTAGAAAAACTAATCTCACTTCTTTCCAAAACTAAAACCATGGGAGAAAAAATAGTGTTCTAAAGTTATTCTTTGGCTGACTTCTGCTTAACTTCTCTATTTACAATTTCAGTTTATTTTTAGAAGGCTTTAGAGCTGATGATTACATTCTTTATGCTTAGCTTGACAGAAGGACAGATAAACTGGTTTACTAATACCACATTATTTTACTATTATAATAAATGCATTTAAATTGTAATTTTAAGGCAGTTTGTGAGCCAACCCAAAGGTCTTCATGTGCTCTTTCAAAGTGTATCATCTGCTTCAAATTAAACTATAATTTGGCAATCCTCTCTGGTAAACGTACAAAAAGCTAGTTAGAAGAATATAACCTGAAAAGTTTAGTGCATTTTGGCAACAAAGAAAAATTATCTGTGGGTTTACATTCTCAACTTACTTGATTCTTTTTGACAGATTTAGTACATGGGTTATATAAGTGAAAATAATGAAAAACTAAATGCATATAAAGAAACTTCTGACCCAATATGTAGAATATAATAGTATTATAGTTTATAATATTTTTTGTAAGAAATTACATATTTTTTAGGAAATGAGAAATACAAAATAATCTAAAATGGCACTGTTCTTTTTTGGCAATGATGAAATGTCTAAGTGAATTCTGAAAATTTGCTTTAGGAACTTCAAAACTTTGTGTTATCTATGATGTGTTTCATTATTAATGCCCTGATGTAGCTGGCAATGTTTAGTCTAACTGGGTTTAAATAGCTTATTGTATGAAACTTTCATTTGGGGTTATTTTTCCAGGCTCAGGAATATCTTGAGTAATTGAGAATTTTTCCTAAAAATCTTTGCCAAGAGATAAATATTGTCAGCTGAATAGTTGTATCTGCTCATGTCTGTGAAAGGATAGATAAATCTAGTAACCTTACTTAATAATGATGATTGTGGTTTTTCCTAAGTATACATATATCAGGGAGAGCTGGTTCATAATAGTTAATCTGTCCATAAGATGTTGGATTATCCCTGGGTGGTTAGGCAGAAGGAAAGAATTACTAGGAAGTATCATATGTACCTTCATCTGAACAAGAAACGTCATTACCTTTGATCCTGCCTCATTGGGGAAAGAAAAAAATGGACTGCTGAAAAACTTGGTATAATTGGGGCAGGATCAGAGCTCCACAGCTCAGAGTCATTATTCATAAGGAGAAATGAATAATTTCTATCTCCCTCTCCTTCTCTCTCTTTCTCTCTCTATCCATCTCATTCTGAGCCAATCACTGTTCTAAGTGCTTTGAAATATTTACTCATAGGTGAAAGAAGTGAATTCACAATGGGAATAAACACTGTTTTGTTTTACATTTTAGCCTTAAAAATGCCAACAGTAACACAATAAATTTAAAAATCAGGGAGACATGGGGTCTAGGTAGAGAGTCTCTAACCATTCTTGAAATAATTGGCAGAACCTACCTTCTGCTATGAGCATAATATATTGTCTCTGGCAAAGTACTAGACAGCTTCTGGGAACAGCTGATAAGGAGTAAGGGGAATGAATAAAACCCAAATTTTTCTACTTTGCTTTATTGATCACTGCATCTTACAAGGGTGGCAGAACTCATTGGTTATTTAGGGTAGCCTCTCTGGTATTCAACAGAAGATGACGACTAATGTCCATATTTTACCTTTTGTTATTTATTTATTATACTTTAAGACCTGGGATACATGTGCAGAACGGACAGTTTCGTTACATAGGTATACACGTGCCATGGTAGTTTGCTGCACCCATCAACCCGTCATCTACATTAGGTATTTCTCCTAATGCTATCCCTCCTCTCACCCTCCACCCCCCAACAGGCCCCAGTGTGTGATGTTCCCCTCCCTCTGTCCATGTGTTCTCATTGTTCAATTCTCACTTATGAGTGAGAACATGCAGTGTTTAATTTTCTGTCCTTCTGTTAGTCTGCTGAGAATGATGGTTTCCAGCTTCATCCACGTCCCTGCAAAGAAAATGAACTCATCCCTTTTTATGGCTGCATAGTACTCCATGTTATATATGTGTCACATTTTCTTTATCCAGTCTATCATTAATGAGCATTTGGGTTGGTTCCAAGTCTTTGCTATTGTGAACAGTGCTTTATTAAACATATGTGTGCACGTGTCTTCATAGTAGAATTATTTATAATCCTTTGGATATATACCCAGTAATTGGATTGCTGGGTCAAATGGTATTTCTGGTTCTAAATCCCTGAGCAATCACCACACTGTCTTCCACAATGGTTGAACTAATTTATGCTCCCACCAACAGTGTAAAAGCGTTCCTATTTCTCCACATCCTCTCCAGCATCTGTTGTTTCCTGACTTTTTAATGATCGTCATCCTAACTGGAGTGAGATGGTATCTCATGGTGGTTTTGATGTGTATTTCTTTAATGACCAGCAATGATGAGCTTTTTTTCATATGTTTGTTGGCTGCATAAATGTCTTCTTTTGAGAAGTGTCTGTTCATATCCTTTGCCCACTTTTTGATGGGGTTGTTTTTCTCTTGTAAATTTGTTTAAGTTCTTTGTAGATTCAGGATATTAGCCCTTTGTCAGATGGATAGATTGCAAAAATTCTCTCCCATTCTGTAGGTTGTCTGTTCACTCTAATGATAGTTTATTTTGCTGTGCAGAAGCTCTTTAGTTTAATTAGATCCCATTTGTCAATTTTGGCTTTTGTTGCATCTTTTACTTCTATAGTAAGTACACTCTGGGTTCCAATTCCAAAGACACCCTAAAGTTACAATTGGAATTAGTGATTATTTAATTGTTTCCAGCTTTTTTTTCCCTTTCCAGTCCTCTAATGTGGGTTTTATTTTCCTCGTTAGTGATCACCCTTAATTGTCAACTCCTAGATTGGATGAATCCTCTTAAACATTCTGAAGTAAAGTTGAAATTATTTTAATGCAATAGCCAGTGACCTTCTCAGAGACTAGGATGATGGCAGGGTCACTAGGTAGGACCTAGGGTTATCTTTATGAACATCAATTCTGAAAACTACCAGAATTAGAAAAAAAATCTCATTGACAAATGATTACAATGGTCATGACCAACAATACTGTTTTTCTGCATTCTGGAGTTTTTTTTAAAGTAGTAGTAAAAATCCAGACACTTCTCAAAACAAGACATACAAGTGGTCAAAGAATATATAAAAAAATGCTCATCATCACTGATCATCTGAGAAATGCAAATCAAAACCTCAATGAGATACCATCTCACTCCAATCAGAATGGCTATTACTAAAACGTCAAAAAATAACAGATGGTGATGAGGCCCTGGAGAAAAGAGAATGCATATACATTATTGGTGGGAATTTAAATTATTTCAGCCACTGTGAAAAGCAGTTTGGAGATTTCTCGAAGAACTTCAAACAGAGCTACCATTCAACTCAGAATCTCATTACTGTGTACATACCCAAATGAAAATAAATCATTGCACCAAAAAGGTACTATTCACAATAGCAAAGACGTGGAATCAACCTAGATGCCCATTGATGGTTGATTGGATAAAGAAAATGGAATACTCTGCAGCCATAAAAAGAATGAAGTCATGTCCTTTGCAACAAACATGGATGTAGCTGAGGCCATTGTCCTACGTGAATTAACACAGGAACAGAAAATTAAATACCACGTATTCTCACTTATAAGTGGGACTTAAATATTGAGCACACTTGAACATAAATATGGGAACAATAGGCACTGGTAACTGCTAGACAAGGGAAGGAAAGAGTGGAACATGGGTCAAAAAACTAACTATTGGGTATTGTGCTCATTACCTGGGTTACAGGATCCATACCCCAACTTCAGCATCGATATACCCATGTAAAAGACCTGCACATGTACCCCCCGTACCTAAAAGTTGAAATTTAAAAATAATTACAAAGAACAATAACTAAAATGCCTTAAAACGTGTGAATTATGATGGGAGGACTAAGTCCCAAAGCAGTTTATCTGTGTACCCCAAGACTGCAAATAAATTTATAGAACGGTGTTGCCTGGTAGAATTTTCTATAATGATAGAAATGTTTTATGATCTGTACTGTCCAATACTGTAGCCACTGGCCACATGTGATTATTGAGCACTTGCTATGTGGCTAGTGGAATCAAGGAACTAAATTTCATATTTTATTTTAATTAATGTAAATGTAACTATAAATGTATTAACATGACAGTTCTACTAATCCCTTTTCTGAAATTTTAAATTATAACTACTTCTAAATTATGACAAAATTTTACACTAAAGAAAATTCTTATATATTTTATACTATATACTATATATCATGATATTTTAAATATCATATACAAACTATAAGAAGCTAAGGAAGCAAATGCCTGGTTCTATATATATATATATATATATATATATATATATATATATATGTACATTTCTAAAATTATATTCAATACTATGGTTTAGAATTTTAAGTATTTTCCTCATTGGCACTGAATTTTAATTAAAAAAATAATTTTTATTTAAGCTAAAACATGATAAAATATGGCTGTGCCAGTGTTAAAATAGTCTTAACTTGAAGTATTATTTATTTACTGAGAGTTCATTTTTTGAAATAGATTTATGGAGATACAATTTACATATCTCAAAATTCACTTATTTAACACATAATGTTTTTCAGTATATTTACAAAGTTGTACAACCATTATAATAATCTAATTTTTAGAACATTTTCATCATCCGCAAAGAAAACCTTGTACCCGTAGTAGTCACCTTCTATTTCCCCTACAGCCAGCTTTCTGTGTCTACAGATCTGCCCATTCTAGACATTTCACATGAATAGGTATCATATAATGTGTAATATTTCGTGACTTCAACTAAGAGAATTTTTTTTTTTTTTTTTGACATGGAGTCTCACTCTGTCGCCCAGGCTGGAGTGCAGTGGCGCGATCTCAGCTCATTGCAAGCTCCGCCTCCCGGGTTTCCGCCATTCTCCTGCCTCAGCCTCCCAAGTAGCTGGGACTACAGGCGCCCGCCAGCACGCCCGGCTAATTTTCTTTGTATTTTTTAGTACAGACGGGGTTTCACAGTGTTAGCCAGGATGGTCTCGATATCCTGACTTCGTGATCCGCCCGCCTTGGCCTCCCAAAGTGCTGGGATTACAGGCGTGAGCCACCGTGCCTGGCCAAGAATAATTTCTTTATCCAAAAAAATATAGCTTCACCTGAAAAAAAAAAGTAAATATGGTTAAAAACAATAAATTTCACTTAAAAGAATGTCCAGAAGTTTCTGGAAAAGAACATCCAATAAATGTTAATAAAATAAAAAATCTAATAAATGTTAATAAAGAGAAGTGTAATGATTAATAAAATGTCTACCAAACCAGTACCTAGAAACATAGTCCATAAAATATTTATACTTTCCCTAAAGTCACTACAGCTGAAAGGTACGGAGTGCAGATACAATGATGTAAGGCATTGTCGTGGGAAAGTTTTTAATTTTTTTAAGCAATGTTTTTCTCTCTCTCGGGATCCTTATACAATCTACCCTCATTTGCAGGTGCTATCTGTTCTGCCAGGGGTGTTCAGAAAGATCTCTTGGAGCATCAACGTTCTGTTGTCCTTAGGGAAGGATTCATCCTTTCCTTTTCTAATGGTTTACTCTTTTAGAGGGAAACAAAGACAGGTCTGCTTCTGTCCTAGAGTCTTATGATGTTTTAAGTGGACACTTCCTTTAGCTTTTGCCTACTGCTTCCTTCTGCACTCTTGCTTCTCTTACTCCTGGCATTCAGATATATGCACATAAAGGAGTGATGAAGGAAAAATGCATTATATGGAAATTATGATCTACTCAGAATTTCTCCTCTTTTCTGTGGAATAAGACCATACTACTGAGTCCATCTCCAGAAAGCATTTCCATCTAGAAGCCACTTTGAACTCTCATGTAAATTAGCTTCCAACAAGTCAAACTCCCCAGTTTGTCAGACGTGTTCAGATATTTTGGAACACCAAATCTATGTAGAGTTCAACTGAAGTTGGGAAATGCAATCCATTTCTCTCTGCAGCACCATAAGGCGTCTCAGAGAACAGGAATAGAATCTATATGGTAGTGGACTATCTAGACCCACCTTCCACCACCCCAGATTTTGGCTACTGTGGAATTCTCAGGTTCTATCACTATTTTTTTTTTTTTTTACATTTTTCCATCTGTGATGGTAGTTCCCAATTCTCCAGAAGTTGAAAAGTCATCATTTTTCTCATATCCAATAAGTCAACTTCTCAAAACTCTATTTAAAGTAGAAACAGATATATTCAAATGTTTGTCTCCACGGTTTATCTTGAAAAGGGCTATATACCCCATCAAAAAGTGGGCGAAGGGTATGAACAGACACCTCTCAAAAGAAGACATTTATGCAGCCAACAGACACATGAAAAAATGCTTATCATCACTGGCCATCAGAGAAATGCAAATCAAAACCACAATGAGATACCATCTCACACCAGTTAGAATGGCAATCATTAAAAAGTCAGGAAACAACAGGTGCTGGAGAGGATGTGAAGAAATAGGAACACTTTTACACTGTTGGTGGGACTGTAAACTGGCTCAACCATTGTGGAAGTCAGTGTGATGATTCCTCAAGGATCTAGAACTAGAAATACCATTTGACCCAGCCATCCCATTACTGGGTATAGACTGAAAGGATTATAAAACATGCTGCTATAAAGACACATGCACACGTATGTTTATTGCGGCACTATTCACAACAGCAAAGACTTGGAACCAACCCAAATGTCCATCAATGATAGACTGGATGAAGAAAATGTGCACATATACACCATGGAATACTATGCAGCCATAAAAAAGGATGAGTTCATGTCCTTTTTAGGGACATGGATGAAGCTGGAAACCATCATTCTCAGCAAACTATCGCAAGGACAAAAAAGCCATACACAGCATGTTCTCACTCATAGGTGGGAATTGAACAATGAGAACACTTGGACACAGGAAGGGGAACATCACACACTGGGGCCTGTCGTGGGGTGGGGGGATGGGGAGGAATACATTAGGAGATATACCTAATGTAAATGAGGAGTTAATGGGTGCAGCACACCAACATGGCACATGTATACATATGTAACAAACCTGCACGTTGTGCACATGTACCCTAGAACTTAAAGTATAATAATAATAATAAATAAATAAAAATAAAATACTAAAAAAGAAAAGAAAAGAGCTATATGTCAGTGGCAACCAAACAACCAATGTGGTTCCCCTCCTTATGTTAAATTCAATATAATGGATCAAAAAACACTAAAACTTTGGGGTGATGAAAACGTTTTGGAACTTGGTACGGACAGTAGTTTTGAACCATTGTAAACGCACTAAATGCCATTAAATTGTACACTTTAAAATTGTTCATTTAACTTTATATAAATTTCACACCTCCAGAAAAAAAAGATGCGTGCAGAGTTAAACTATTCTGTGTTCTAAGCACAGCAACAGTTCTCATTTTCCAAATAAAATATTGAGAAGTATTTCACCAGTATTTTGTAATCACTAGTAGTCAAAGTATAAAATTTGTGAAGATTGATGTTTGTATAAATTGGTACTAATTCAAGATTAGTCTTATTCTTAGAATAATATCATCCACATATTTGCATTTTAATATGCATTCTCCACTGTTAGAGAAAAACTAGAGTTTCATCAGCTACCATTTGTAATTGCATACAACCCGCAGTCTGCTTCACTCATCTGACCATCTTAGGGATAAAACTCCACAGGCACACCTTAGCAGCAGTGGGATATTTTCAATATTACTGTCCCTTTTAGCTGTGATTTTTTTATTTATTTCTAGACTAATTTTTATTTCACCCATGGAAAAATAGCTAACAGGAAGAAGGCAGAAGCAGATGAGACAGGGTGATTAGAGCATATACATTCACATTCCCTTTCAGGGATAATAATGCTAGAAAATCTCTATAAGGCAAAACAGTTGTAAATCCCATCAAAAGTAGGCAAATTAACAATACAAGTAAAATTGACAAAAGCATTCTTCATAGTGATAACTGTGTTAAAAATCCACAAATTCAATATAGTCTCATTTTAATCATAAAAAATTATTTTGCTTCTTTTATAGGAACTAATCTTCATTAACATTATCTGAGAGAAAAATCAAGTTTTATCAAAAGAAAATCCAACACTTTTAAATTCATGTAGCCATATTTTTTCTTGTAAACTTCTATTTTTAAAACTTGAAATAAATAATTTTGTGACTCGTGCTTACAGAATAGTTTTTATAAATATAATTTCAAAAGGGAAAATGTTTATAAGCCTCTGTCACACTTTCCTACAAATTTCGAGGTGATTTTATTAAAATCTGTGCATGTCATTAGAGTATCACATGTATGGTTTTTAGGATGAAAGAAAGAGATTTGCAAAGGCAGAGTTAACACCATTATCCAAAAAGAACCAATAAATCATAAAAGCTGTTTTCATTATTTCAGCAAACATTTGTTAACCAGCTATTATGTGTTCATTCTTTTCTTGTCCTGCCATTTGCATGTTCCAGTAAAGTTGTTCCTCCCTTTGCCTTTCAGGGCTTTACACTACTTTTGGCCCTGAGATTCCTGATGTGGTAGTGACTTTCTATTATATACCAAGTCAAGCCTTCTAGTCTATCTTCTTTATCCTGCCATCTTCTGCCTTCTTCCAAAGCCCCAATTTTATTAATTGTTTTTAGCATACTCATGTTTTTAAGAGGAAGCAATAACCCAAGCCCAAGAAGACAGCTTCTTTGTTCATCTAAGCCAAACATAGGCGTGTCATTCACCTTCCAAAGTGATTGGCTTTAGTCATTGGCTCGTGACACAATCACAGCTAATAAAAAACAGAGGAGGTCTGCTGAATGGTTTCTGGGAGGGATTTTCTCACTGTTCAAATGGGACACAAGAGAGGCATGTACCCTTTTCTGCTTTTGGATTAGCTGCTTATGCCAGCTAGAATTGGGCAGCAATTTCAGGAGCATGAGGGGTCCCAGAATTAGAAGCTGTGGCAGGGCAGCTATGTCAGAAACAGATATTAAGACAGAGGCTGGAGTGCAATGAGTTTCTTAGGGATCAGTATCTGTAGGAGGAAGGGGCAGGAAGCAGGACTGAGCTAAGGGAGAAGCTGAATAGTAATGCAGGTCCAATAAAGCCTCAGTCAACTCTGCACATGCTCCGGGCCAGTGTCATCCATAGAAATTGTCCTGCTTTGGGCTGAAATGGTCATTCCTTTATACTCCGACTTTACTCAGTCATCTGAAGAGAGAGCATGACCCATGGCCATTCCCTGCAGCTGAGACATACTGTCTTAAAAAAAGCTGACAGCTGAGACTGCCTATTGACCTTACTTCTCAAAGCTGGGCATCAAGACCTTCATAGAAGGGGGATCTGGGTAGCACATCTTCCTGTCTACCATGGAGT
This sequence comes from Homo sapiens, assembly GCF_000001405.40. Taxonomy (NCBI): domain Eukaryota; kingdom Metazoa; phylum Chordata; class Mammalia; order Primates; family Hominidae; genus Homo; species Homo sapiens. The sequence goes on from NC_000003.12 coordinate 22,535,832, forward strand.
ATAAGCCAGTCCACTGAGAATTTCATGTGAAATGATGCAAGATGTCTGAGTCCTTGTTAATGTCACTGATCCACTACATTAACCAACCCTGGAAATTTCCTACCTTCAGGCTTCTTCTTATATGAAATTATAAGGTTCAAGTTTTGCTAAAATTTCCATGATTTGCAGGAGGAAGCATCTTTCTTGATACACTAAAATTTGCATTGAGGCTCTTGACTTTCACAGACTTTTACAGAAGTTGGGACAAACTTCTTCAGTCTGATATTGAAATATTTCTTCAGGCAGAATTCTACTACTTCTTCAATTGCACTTGCTGTGACCAAGACATGCTGCCTATTTTCTGCAGTTTCCTTCCTAGAAGAAAGGGCTCAGACTCCATACCAGGCCTTGTGTATGTTCTGGGGAAGAAGAGAAGAATGGGACAAACTCCTACCTTAAGAAACTCAGGGGCATCAGGAAAATCCTGTTTTACCTTGAGTAAAAAATAGACATTGCTAGAGCAATAAATACATTTTAATGATAGAAAGTGTGCCCTATCTCCCTACATTGAATTTACTTTTTCTCACCACTTAATCTAATTCTTATTAAGTATATATTCAAGATCTATTTCATTAGCAAGCTTTGCAAACTTTAGAAACACAGTATCTCACTAAGCTTCAGTTTTCTTGTTCATAAAATGAGATGTTTAGAATAGATCATCTCTAGGGCCCCTTCTAACTTTAAGATCCTACAATTCTATGAGCCATATGTTCATTTCTGCTTATGACTTTCTGTTTCCTGAAGTACATTTCTGATAACAGCCACCAAATAATAGCCATCCAGACACTTTCTGTTTAAATTCTCCTTTCACCAGATGTCACCCTGAGGGCCTCTGAATACCTCAGTGGAGCAACACACACAAGGGAAGCTGACAGACAGCTCCCTTCTGAGCTGTCTTCCACTAAAATGGCTAATCATATCTGCTATGTGCAAGCAGCCATCCAGCCCCAGGCACAAAACAGAGGCTAGCAATAAAGCATTCCCCAGTGACGCCTGTGTTTCAGCAGGCTGTGAGCAGTAGAAACATCTTATTGCAGAATCTGTTGGGGACCAGCTGAAGGAGACTCCTGTGTATTTTTTTAAAGGAATATATAGGCTTTTTTTTTTTTTTACAGCCAATTAGCCTTGATCTAGGAAATGAAATTGTATTTGTATTGATTTGGTTTCTTTTTGAATCAGTTACTTGGAAAGGAAGCACTTACCTATTCTGGACACAGGAGGACCTCCCCAAAGTGCAATTGGTAAACAAGTCTTTGGTTCAATCAACAGGCAACTCACAAAAGAAGATATCTAAATGGCCAATAAATGTATAAAAAGATACTCAACTCCATGAGTAGTCAGGGAGATGTAAATTAAATGCACAATAAGATGATACCATAAATTCACAAGAAATGTTTAAAATTTGAAAGAATGACAATGTAAGTGTTAGGAAGGCTGTGGAGTACCAAAACTCATACATTGTTGGTGAAAGTAAAAGTTGGAGCAATCACTTTGGAAAACAATTTAGAAGATTCCAATAGAGTTAAACATATGCTTCCCCTATGACCCAGCCAATCCTAGGTATATGATTCAAAGAAATGAGAAAACATATCACAAAAAGCCTTGTAGGTGAATGTTGAGAGCAGACCTGGTAATAACAGTGAAGAGCTGAACATAACCCAAATGTCTATTAAGAGGAGAAAGGAATGATACATGGGTGAATTTCAGAAACGTTACATTGAGCAAATGAAACCAAACACAAAAGATTGCATACTGTATAATGCTACTTATGTAATTAGGAACAGACAAAGTGAAACTATGATTATAAAAGCCAGAATAATAGTTTCCTCTAGGTGAGGTGGAGGACATTGACTGAAAAGAGGCATCAGGGATCTTTCCAGGGTACTGAAATCCTTCTAGATCTTGATCTGGGTGGTGACTACACAGGTACATACATACATAAAAATTTACTGAGCTATAACTTAAGATTTGTGCAATGTCTTCCAGGTAAATTTTACCTCAATTAAAAAATTTTTTTTTGTTCCCTCAATAAGGACAGATGAGGCCAGCTTTATTTCCTCATGTAGACCCTGTCCTAGAAATACTGCTTTTCTCCTCAAAGCAATCTTCCCAGGCAAGCTGGACCCTGTTAGTACCACCTCACAATAAAGGAACATCTGCAGCCCAGACTGACTGCAATTTAATGGAGAAGTAAAAGGCTACACCAACTACATAAGCAGCTTTCATATATCAAAAGATTTCCATATACCACACACAGTGTATGTCATGATTTTTGATTTTCAAAACCATCATGCAAGGCAGGTAATATTAACTACATGTTCTAGATGAGAAAACCAATGCTCACAGCAGTTAAGTAACTTTCCCAAGTTAACACAACCACTAAGTGGTAGACCTGGGACTCAAACGGAGTTTGATTTGGAGACAAATCTGAGATCTTTTTAATTTGTCCTGCCCCTTTTAGTGGGAGAAGTGCAGGAGGCCACATAACCCACCAGGAGATATGTCTTTACTTGTTCCCTTATGCTATTTTGAGGATGGTTTCATGGGCTTTGGATAAGGCCAGAGTGGGTCAGAGTGTAAGCACCTCAGGAGTGAGAGAAAGCTCCCTTGCATGAAGCGAGAAGAAGTTAATGAATCACCCAGGCTCCTGCTGGCAAAACATGGCCTTCACACCTGTTCAGAGGAAAAATGAGCAACAAAGCCCCTGCCCACCCCCCCACACCACACACACACACACACACACACACACACACACACACACACGGACACACACACACACACAAACTCTAAAGTAAAGCTTAAAATCTTTATGAGTGTGTTCCTAGGTGCTTCATAAGATATATACTTTTTTCATTTAAAAAATATGACAACAATGTTTCCAACTATAATCCTTATTTTTCTCCACTCCAGGCTGCCAAGCATTCAGATCAAGGAACTTTTATGTCTGAAATTGTTTCAAGCCAAATAGTTCCTTGGGGTTGGATAGGTGTGATTAAATCTGGCAACTCTTATGAACCTTATGAAAAGGACACTGAAATTAATGTCATTATATTACCAATCTCTGTTATTCTACTCTTCGTGCCTTTAAAACAACTTTTAAAAAATTATTAAAAATATATTGAGGCTTGGTGTAATTATAAACCCAGAGAAAAATAATGAAAGCAAAACATAACAAGTACCCGTTGTAATTTGAACATACCACTGCTGCTTAAATATATGTGCTAGAAAATATACAATAAAAGGCTTGATTTTTAAGTAAGGTTTATAATCTTTTGGTTATTATCTGGTGCTTAGCAAAACCCAATGGTAATAAGGAGCCCAAAGTGAATACTAACAACGTCTTCTGGCTTAGAAAAGCACAATCACAAAATACACAGAAGTGTGTCAAAAGCCTCATGCAAACAAATATGTAATCATTATACTAAGCTCACTACAAGTCCCATGAACTAAGGTTGTGAATATGAGCCTGTCTTAGTCTTATATGAGCTGTAACAAAATACCATAGACTGAGTGGCTTATAAACAACAGAAGAATATTTCTCACTGTTCTGGAATCTGTGTATTCCAAGATTAAGGTATCAACAGAATCAACAGATTCAGTGCCTGGTGAGCGCTCGCTTCCCCACAGATAACTGTTTTCTTACTCTAATGTTATTGTGGCAGAAGGGTGAGGGGTCTCTCTCAGGATTTTTTTATAAGGACCTTTTTCTCAGGGCTTTTATAATCCCATGCGGGAAGATTCTGACCTCATGACCTAATCACCCCGCAAAAGTCCTACCAACCTCCTAATACTATCACTTTGGGGGGTTAGAATTTAAACATATGAATTTGGGGGAAAGGGAAATGCAAACATTCTGATCTTAGCAGAACCAAACATATCTGAAGGAAAATCACCTAAAGTAAATCCTCCCATCAGACAAGTTTATGAAAATCATATAATAAAATATAAACTGTGCTTATTTATTGGAAGTACTGTGTCACTAACCCCTGTAGATTTATGTTCTCAAAAAAAAAGTATGGTCTGCTATAAAAAAAAATCTCAAAAATTAGGTCTGCCATTTACCAGAATTGTGAGTTTGTGCAAGTTTTAATATGTTAAAGACTCAGTTTTTTATCTACCTAACAAATGTGATAGTGAGGATGAAGGAAATTAAATACATGCAAAGACAAATGCAAAGGCGTTCTCACTTATTTGTGGGAGCTAAAAGTTAAAACAATTGAACTCATGGAGCTAGAGAGTAGAAGGATGGTTACCAGAGGCTGGAAAAAGTAGTGGGGAGGCTGAGGAAAGGGGGAAGTGGGGATGGTTAAGGGGTTCAAAAAATAGAATAAATAAGACCTAGTATTTGCTAGCAAAACAGGGTGACTATAGTCAAAAATAATTTAATTGTACATTCTAAAATAACTAAAAGATTATACTTGGATTGCTTATAACACAAAGGGTAAATACTTGAAGTAATGGATGCCCCATTTACCCTAATGGGATTATTAAGCATTGTATGCCTGTATCAAAATATCTCATGTAATCCCAAAATATATACCCTACTATGTATCCATGAATATTAAATTTTTTAAAAAAAGGATAAATGCAAAGGAATATTGTAGCTACAGCTGCTAAGAATAAGAATGCTTTGTTTCAGCAAGAGCTGAAGATGTCCTTCGGAGCACAAAATAGTAAAACCAGCTCCCTGATGGGTGGGTTGGAGCAGGCTCGCACATGAGGCAGAAGACAACAAAACATTTTCTTTTTCTGATTATAGCCTTCATCTCCAAGGACCACTTTATCTTTGACCTCCAAGACACTTTAGGCAAATGAGCAAAACGAGTGACTGCCTACCCTTAAAAACAGACCAGGATATTTGAATAAATTAGAAATGCCTTTCATACTGTAATCGTCCACTTAGAATTTTAACTGCATTTTTGTACTGCATTTTAAGTGGACATTATTTACAACTGACAAGAATCTGACCAGGTGAGTTGCAGGCTTCCAAAATCCCACCAAAGTTTATTCTTCCAAAATTTTGGAGCAATCTAGTACGCTTGCATAAAAACACAAAGTGTATGTTGATTTGTAACAGAGTATTTTATTATTTTCTTCTCTTCCTTTTTTCTTTTTTACTCTATCTTTGGCTATATATATATATACACACACACACACACACGTGTACATATATGCATATATGCACATATATGTGTACATACACACACATATATGTACATATATGTATACATACACATATGTATGTACACATATATATGTGTACACACACATATGTATGTACACATATATATGTGTACACACACATATGTATGTACACATATATATGTGTACACACACATATGTATGTACACATATATATGTGTACACACACATATGTATGTACACATATATATGTGTGTATTTTGGAGCAATCTAGTATGCTTGGATAAAAATACAAAGTGTATGTTGATTTGTAACAGAGTATTTATTCTCTTTTGCTTTTTCACTCCATCTTTGGCTATATATATACACACATATATGTGTACATACATATACACACGTATATGTGTACATGTGTACACACGTATATGTGTACATATGTTATATACACATATGTGTACATGTGTGTATATGCATATATGTGTACATATATGTACACATATATGTGTGTATACGCATATATACATGTGTACTTATATATACACACTTATATGTGTACCTATATATGTATATATGTACACATATGTGTACCTATATATGTATATACACACATATATATGTACATATATATGTATATATACACATATATGTGTACCTATATGTACATATATATGTATACACACATATGTGTACCTATATGTGTATATATACACACATATATATGTGTGTATATATACACACATATATATGTGTACATATGTGTATATATACACACATATATATGTGTGTATATATATGCATACTGCTCAACACCTTTTCCATCTGTGGGCCGCTGTGGGGTTTTATCTTTTTTTAGACAATCTCTTTGGTCTCTCCTATGTGATCAACATATCTGATTACATAAAAACATCCCTACCTGAACCCAGACATACCGCCTCCCACAGATCTGGGCAGCCACCCACACAGGGACAAGGGGACGTTAAAAACAAGCTGGCTGTATTGAACTGGCCTGGCTCCTGCAACTTACAGGAACGAAGTGTCCGTTAGCAAGAACACTGAAAATTGCAGCCATTCATTCTCAGGCCATTTGACACTTTCGATCGCCTTACAGATCAACGGTTACACAAGGACAGACTGAAAGCTGTCACTGAGCTAGAAACCAAACCTGCAACCCTCCCTTCCCTCTATAAAGACCCACCAGCTAGACTCATGGAGCCCAGGATGGAGGAACACAGGTTACCTGGACTGAGAAAGTAGGGTATTTCCAAATGTCAGCATCTCATTAGCAGATTAGAAATAACATACGCTTGACTAAATTTAGGTGACTCTTATTTCATGTTTAACGTGGCTACACTGCTACTCTTGACCATGGCACATCCTGCCTGCAAGGGGGGAAGAACATAGCTCTAGCCTCCCTGATAATTGGCTTGCATCTTTACTTGTTAGTTATCATGATAGCCCCAGAAGGTGTATTGTGAAATCAGGCTCATGGGGGTAAAATGCTTCAGGTTATGAGTCATGGGTAAATAACTATGTGATATATGTTTAGTTGCTTTCAGCTGAGAAACTTTGTATCTCTGGTAGTAACCTGATCCTTCTGATTCTTCTCCCTGGGAGTTTATTGACTGGACAGTGGGGGATATCTGTGGGGGTCAAGAGAACTAAATGGAACCCTCACATGGCTAAGAGATCTTCTGATATCATTTTATAATAAATAGTAGAAGACAAATTCTATACTCCACAAAGACAATGTATTAGTTTCCTATTGCTGCTATAACAAATTTCCGCAAACTGAACAACTTAAAACAATACAAATAGATATTACAGTCCTGAAAGAAATAAATCTAAACTCAGTTTTCATAGCCTAAGATCAAGGTGTTAGCTGAGCTGCATTCCTTCTGGAGGCTCTAGAAGAAAATCTTTCCTTTCCTTTCCTAGCGTCTAGAGGCTGTCTTCATTTTGTGGTTCCTGCTTATGCATCACATCACCATTTTTCCTTGATATCACCTTCTCATCACCTTCTGTTTTTTCCCAGATCTTCTTATCTCCCCTTTGTGAGGACCTCTGTCATTACGTTGGGGCCAGCTGGATAATCCAGTGTACTCTCCGCAACTTAATCACATCTGCAAAGTTCCTTTGCTATTCAAGGTAACATAGTCACAAGTTCCAGGGATAAGATGGGAACATCTTTGGCAGTATATTATTCAGCTGGCCAGTCATCAAGCAAACGTAGTCCATTTTATAAAACTGTTATTATTCATTAAAATTGAACACTTAAGTTTAAGAGAAAAACAATTTACATGGTTGATATGGTTTGGCTTTTTGTCCCCACCCAAATCACATCTTCAATTGTAATACCCAGGTGTTGAGGGAGGAACCTGGTGGGAGGTGATTGGATCATGGGGCCAGTTTCCCCCATCTTGTTCTCATGATAGTGAGTGAATTCTCACAAGATCTGACGGTTTTATAAGTGTTTGGCAAGTTCCTCCTTTGCTCACTTTTCTCTACCTGCTGCCTTGTGAAGAAGGTGCCTGTTTCCCCTTCACCTTCCACTATGATTGCAAGTTTCCTGAGGCCTCCCCAGCCATGTGGAACTGTGCCAATTAAATCTCTTTCCTTTATAAATTACCCAGTCTTGGGTACTTCTTTATAGAAGTGTGAAAACAGACTAATACAATGGTAGAATAAAATACTTGCATAGTAGACAAAACTCTCTGGACTATTTACATACATAACATGAATAGAAAACTTTATGCATTTTAATGGCCCCGAATTAATTAGCAGGAAAGCTTCACTTTTAATAATCCTGTATTAATGCTACAAAAAACTATCTCACAGTTTTTGATTTTTTAAAGTTTGTTTTTCTCTGATTGCTGAGATTGAATTTTATCTTATGTATAATGTCCATTCTGGTGTCCTTTTCCTGATGCTTTGCTTATGTTTTGTCTGCTTTTCTTTTGGGTTGTTCATTTCTTCACTCATTGAATTATATGTATTTTTATATGTTCTTAATATTGAACTTATTCAGTATTAGATATGTTGCAGATGCCACTTTTCTGTCTATAAATTAACCTTTAAATTTGTTTATAATATTTTATAGCAGAATTTCTTTTCTTTTTTTTTTTTTTGGCTTAACACGATATAGATTTATTTCTCAGTCATATCAAAAAACAGTGCAGGCTGGAAGGGGGTTCCATCTCAGATGGATACACAGGTCCAGCCTCCTTCCATCAGGCTCCACGCTCTCCTCAGAGTTCTCCGCTGGATTCTCTAAGCCAAGCTGGAAAAGAGAGAGCATGGAGGATTGTGCAGAAGTTTTTATGAGTCAGGCCTAGAATGGCATGCATTACATCCAGCCATAGTCCACTGGACAGAATTCAGTGACATGGTTGCCCGTAACCACAAGGGAGGATAGAAAATTGTCATCTGGTTATACGCTTAGGAGGAAAATGAGTGATCAAATAAACAATTATTCAATCTCTGCCATAGACCTCCAATCTGGTCATCAAATATTTGTGTAATCTTCCTCTCATAGGCAATCCAAAGGAGACAACCCCAAAGTCCCTCAAAGCCCCACCCAGTCTCTGCACCCAGATTAAGTCTAGGATCTCCAAGGACTGCATGGTCCCCTCCATCACATCTAGATGTGACCTCTTCGAGTCTAGAGACCTGTCACTTTGGATTAAAAAACGAATTTACCTGCTTTGCTTTGCATTAGCCCTCCCCCATATCAACCCAATATACTATGATGGGTTAGGGGCAGGGTATTCTCAATAGAAACTCTCACTTATAAAGGGATAGAAGAGAGATACAACAACATTGGCCCTTAGCTAGACAGTCAGTAAAAAGGCTCCCTCCCCTGGGATAGAAGAAGTACTTTAGTTACACCCTAATTCTGCAATCTGGGAAGAACTCATTTCTCCTTCATTCTCTAGGGCCCCTGGTTTGGCCCTTTGTGGTGTTTTTTTCTAGTCTATAATTTCTCTGTCCCTCTCTGAAGTCTGGAGAGCTGGAGTATATGTGCTTATGGAGTTTATGTGCTTAGAGCTTTTACAGGAGTGAGGCAAATCTGGAAGTCCACCCTGGCCTCTCAAAGTGCTGGGATTACAAGCGTGGGGTTTCACCATGTTGGCCAGGCTGTTCTCAAACTCCTGACCTCAAGTGATCTGACTGCCTTGGCCTCTCAAAGCGCTGGGATTACAGGCCTGAGCCACTGTGCCCAGCCTATTATTCATTTTCACAAGAATCTTGTGAAGTAGATACTTGTATCAGTTAGGGATACTTGTATTAAGTCAGAGATACTTGATACTTGTATTAAGTCAGAGAGGCAGGACCTCTAGGAGCCATGCAGAATAAGGAATTTTTATTGGGATTTGGCCTTATGCAATTGTAGGATCTGGTTAAACAATGTATGTGTGACGGTTTTTTGTTTGTTTTTGTTTGGTTTTGTTTTTTTGCATCTGGTGCTGGGTCCTGAAGTGAGTAGGACAAGCATTAGGGAACTGTGGCTGTTAGTCTCTACGATGATGGCCCCAGTGATTCCTGCTTCCTAGTATTTACACCCTTGTGTAGTCCCGTCTCATATGGTACCAGTAGCAATCTGTGTGACCGACAGATACAGCAGTAGCGATGGCATGTCACTTCTGAGATTGGGTTATAGCAGAATTTCTAATATTAACTTGGTCAGATTTATCCATGTTTTCTCTACACTATGTGCAATGTGCTATCTTTAAAAAATCCTTTCTACCCTCAGGTCATCAAAATTTATCCTACGTTGTTTTTGCAAATTTGGGATCCTTTTTGTTGTTTTTAAAAAATTATAACTATAATATTTTTATATGATCTAATACTGACATAATTTTATTTCTGATAAGATACCCAGCCAAGGCCGTGCACAGTGGCTCACGCCTGTAATTCCAGCACTTTGGGAGGCCGAGGCGGGCGGATCACGAGGTCAGGAGATCGAGACCACCCTGGCTAACACGGTGAAACCCCATCTCTACTAAAAAATACAAAAAAAATTAGCCAGGCATGTTGGTGGGCGCCTGTAGTCCCAGCTACTCAGGAGGTTGAGGCAGAATAGGGTGAACCCAGGAGGTGGAGCTTGCAGTGAGCCAAGATCGCGCCACTGCACTCCAGCCTGGGTGACAGAACGAGACTCTGTCTCAAAAAAAAAAAAAAAAAAAAAAAAAGCCTAGCCAAATTTTCTAGCATCTCCCTAGGTGACTGTCTCCTTGGAAATTTGAGCACCACCTCTATTCTCTGCAATTTTTCATATTTGCCTCTGTTTTGAGTTTCTATATAATGTTCTGGTAATCTGCTTGTCACTGTTTCAGTCACTGTATCTTTCCAAAAAATAAATAAATAAAAAACAAACATAAGGTTTTATTCTCATAGGATTTGTCTCTTTTTTTCTGTTTTCCCCTTAAGAATTACTTCAACTTTTATTGGAATTTCAACCAAACCCACTAATTTTAGAATTACTTTGTCAGGTTTCATGAAAAAACACTTAAAATTTCCACTGAAATTACAATGAATTTATAGATTAGCTTGAAGTGAATTACAACTAGTCTCGTCACTCCATCCACAAATGTAGCTAATCTCTAAACTTATCACTTTTTATATATTTTAAAACCCTTAAAGGCTTGACATTGTCTTCATAAAGTTTTTGTAACTGAAATTTTAGATGGATTTCTCAGTACCCTGTCATTTGTTGCTATTACTAATGAAATAGATTTTCCTGACTACCCTTGCAATTGGCTATTCCTGATGTATGTAAACACTATCAAATATTATATATTGATCCTTTCTCCAAAAACTTTACTGAATTAACACTAATTTATAAATTTGGCTAGTAAATTTCTTAGATTACAATGTACAACCTTTTATCCACAAATAATAATTGTATCTCCTCCTTTTAAATAGCCTGCCTGTTTTCCTTCCTTCCTTTCTTCCATTTTTTTTGCTTATTGTGTAGGATGTGACTACCAGTAGATTAAAGAACAATGGTGATGATGGCAGACATACCCCTATTGTTTCTGATTCTAATTTGATTTGTCTTCTAAATTTAGACCACTAACTGTGATGTTAGTAGTTACCATGTATCAGATTGACATGATTTGGCTCTGTGTCCCCACCCAAGTCTCATCTCAAATTGTAATCCCCATGTGTTGAGGAAGGAACCTGGTGGGAGATGATTGGATCATGAGGGCGGTTTTCCCCATGCTGTTCTTGTGATAGTGAGTTCTTACAAGATCTGATGGTTTAAAACTGTGGCACTTCCCCCGCTCTCTCTCCTGCTGCCGTGTAAGACATGCCTTGCTTTCCCTTTACCTCCTGCCATGGTTGTAAGTTTCCTGAGTTCTCTCCAGCCATGGGGAACTGTGAGTCAATACACTTTTTTGTTTATAAATTATCCAGTCTCAGGCAATTCTATACAGCAGTGAGAAAATGGACTAACACACAGATTAAGGACAATGCTTTCTATTTCTGTTTGGGATGAGATTTTAACAAGTATGTTACTGGATTATATTAAAAGCCTTTTCCATATCTATTTAGGAGATTACTAGACTTTTTAATACATTACTTTTAATATATTAATGAAATGATTACATTTGTTTTTCATGTGAATTATCCTTATGATTGTGGATTAAAATCTACTTATTTATTTATTTATTGAATTTATTTTGAGACAGAGTCTAGCTCTGTTGCCCAGGCTGGAGTGCAGTGGTACAATCACAGCTCACTGCAGCCTCAACCGCTTGGGTTCAAGCAATCCTCCCACCTCAGCCTCCCTAGTAGCTGGGACTACAGGCATGTACTAACACAGCTGGATAATTTTTGTATTTTTTTTTTGCAGAGACAGGATTTTGCCATATTTCCCAGGCTGGTCTCAAACTCATGGGCTCAAGTGATCCACCCACCTTGGCCCCGGTAAAGTGCGGGTATTACAGACATGAGCCACTGTGCCTAGTCTGTGTTTCTTTTAGACAATGTTAGATTTTACTTGCTAGTGCTTTGTCTAAGAATTAACATAAAATTTTTATCCTTTATAATCCCAGTTGGGTTTTGATATTAGTTTTACGATCCTAAACAGAATAGGATACATTTAGCAAATACTGTGACTGTTCTATGAAGCCTAGTAAAGTGAAACTGTGAAGCTGACTGAAGTCTGATTTTTTTATGTGGGGTGAAAAAAAAGAGAGAACAGAAAGTTTAACTAAGTCACTAGTTCTCCAGCATTTGGTCTTATGACCATTTTACATGCTTATAAACTCTGAGGACTTTAAAAAGTCTGTTTCTGCTAGTTATATCTATGAATATTTGCAATATTAACTTTAGTCAGAGACTATCACTTATATAATACTGTTTTTCTGAAATTTTTTGAGAATCTCTTTGTGGCCTTGTAATAAATAAGTTTATACAAGTGTGTGAATAAGCACTAAAAAGAATGTATATTCTTTGGGTGTTGGATGAAAGATTTTATATACATTTATTAATTTAAGCTTATTAATTTTGCTGTTCCATTATGGTATAGCCTTACTAACACTGTTGTCACTTTCTGCCTTCTTTATATGTTTCTAAATTTTCCAAAAGTATAATTATTTTCATTTTATATGTCATAAATCCTGGTTAGGTTGTTAAATGCATAAAAGTCTTGAGAGTTATATATTCTTAGCAGATTGTTTCTTTTAACATAAAGTGATGTTCCTATTTCTTTTGTATTTTTGGTTCCTATGTACTAGACATTTCAACTCTTTATTTTCAAAATTTCTCTAGCCTTAGATTTTAGTTGTCACTTTTATTAACTCCATATAGCTAGTTCTTTTTTAATCTTATTTAATGCTCTGTTTTAATAGGTGAATTTAGTAATTTTACTTTTATTGTATTACTGATATATTGGACCTTGACCGAATCTCCAAGTAGTTGTTGTAGCCTTTACTTCCACAGTCTGTACAGATATACCAATACACCATTTCCTGGGCTAATATTTTCATTTGCACATCTCCTATTGTTTATTATCCAAGCTTCATATAATATATATACACTTCTCAATACAATGGCTTTGTCCAGTGTTTGCATAGAATAAAATTATGTTTCATCCACAAAACTCATACAATGTTTTTCACAAAATTAAGTAGGGGAGAAATCTAGAGTTATTTTTCATATACATTATTAAATGGGATGACCTTATTACTATAGATATTCTGAAAAGTATTTGGAGTGTCAAGAAAGCAGATTCACATCCTGGATGTCAATGGCACTGAGAAGGCAACTTGTACATGTTACTGTGTAGAAGACTACTGGTTGTTAGCAACCATATTAAAGTTCATAAGCAATGTGTATAGCATGGTTTGTTATTGGAAAGCACATTGCCATATTGTGCACATTTTAGGAAATTGATAAGTTCACAGGTAAAAGACAATAACTTCTTCCCGTTTAAAAAGTAGGAAATAGCTTTCCAATTAGCAAATTGCCTAAAATGTGGGCAAAACATCTGATTTTTAAAAACAGATTACAGATATTAGGTAACAGATGTCTGTATTCAGTTCTGACATTTCAATTGCTCAAAGTGGTTTCGTTTCTCACTCACTGCTGTAGTTTTGTAATCCACTAAAGTAACGGTACCCCAAAATGTTTCTTTTCTAACTTCTGACCTCTGCTATTTGTTTTAACAAATTTTATTATATTTTATCTCACCTGGTTAGTAAATCACCTTGAAAAAGTGTGAAATTATTTTAAAAAAAATGAAAGCTAAATAAGCCCTTTTAAAAAAGAAAATGAGAAGCTGGGCTTTTATATAGGAAATTTAAACAAAAGAGCTTGAAATTCTACAAGAGACATTTGAATAAGTGAAGCAGAATTTATATAAGATACATTTAACGTTTCGTTATATGATGCATAGATTTTGAAATGTTTCTGCCACATGTTTAAAAAAACTAATAGTATGAAAATTGGATTCTAGACATAATATCAAGTAAAAATAATGTAGTTTCAAATGTTGATTATAGACTGCTAGAAGACAATAAGATTGAATATCTTCAAGAACTTGGGGAAGAAAAAGATAGCTTAAACCGGATGAAAAAAATAGTAATAACTATAGTGAAATCAATGAATTGAACTACATTAAAATTAAGAACCATCGATTATTAAAAAGACACCATTGATACAGGGGAAAAGAAACTGACAATGTGAAAGAAGATATTTACAACAAATATAATTGGTAAAAGAGTTATATGCAGATTATGTGAGGAATTCCTTCAAATGGACAAAACAATGAAGCCATTTAAAAAGAAAGTGGGAAAATATTTGAACAAGTCCTTCACAAGAAAAGGATTTCAAAACTTCACAAATGTATGTATAAACATCCATGATCCAGTTGTAGCCAATGGCCATATGAGGGCAAGTCTTATTCTGGGGATTCTCAAAGAGTTTTCTCTACTTCTGAAAGAGATGCACAGAAAGATGAAACCATTCTGCAGATGAATGGTGGTGATGGTTGCACAACCACAAACAGTATGAATATACTTAATAACACTGAAATGTACACTTAAAATTGGTTAAGATAGTAGATTTTTGTGCATTTTTTCACAATAAAATTGGGAAAAAGAGAGCTGCATGGAAAAAAACCACACTAAAAAATGCCCAACTTCACTAGTCATTAGGACAGTGCAAATATAAACCCTAACAAATATGTATCTACAACAATTACTAAACATTTAAAATTTAGAAACCCTAAATTCAGGCTGGGCGTGGTGGCTCACACCTGTAATCCCAGCACTTTGGGAAGCTGAGGCGGGTGGATCACCTGAGGTCAGGAGTTCTAGAACAGCCTGACAAACATGGAGAAACTCCGTCTCTACTAAAAATACAAAATTAGCTGGGTGTGGCAGCACTTGCCTGTAATCCCAGCTACTCAGGAGGCTGAGGCAGGAGAATCTCTTGAACCCAGGAGGTGGAGGTTGCAGTGAGCTGGGATTGAGCCATTGCACTCCGGCCTGGGCAACAAGAGTGAAACTCCATCTCAGAAAAAGAAAGAAAGAAAGAAAAGAAAGCCTCAATTCATTGCTAGTAGGAGTACAAACTAGCACAATCACTTCAGAAAATCTTTTTGTAGAATCTACTGAAGCTGAATACACAAATATCCAATGACCTAGCAGTTCAAATCCTACATACATGCCCAACAGAAATATGTGTGTGTATATATGTGTGTACATATACGTAAATATGTGTGTGTATATTATAAGCTCTTTCTACACATAGACACACACACATATAAATAAATATATATATAAATATACACACACATACATATGTACAAATATATATGCTGGAACACATCCACACATATATGTGTGGATATACATATGAATGAGTATCAAAAGGCATATACAAGAATGCTCATACTAGAAACATTCAAAATATCCTCATGAATAAATTACAAATTGTGATATAGTTACACGATGAAATACAATGTCAGTAAAAAGAATAAACTTGCTACACAAAATGAAACAGATGAATCTCATGAACCTAATTGAATGAAAGAAATCAAAACAAAAGAAAACACTGCATAATTCTATTTATATAAACTTAAAAATGGCAAAGTATCTATGGTATCAGAATAGTCATTATCTTTGGGCAGGAAGAAGAGTATAGTCCTTGAGAAGGGGCACAAATAGACTTCTGGGATGCTGATAGCATTCTGCTAGTATTCTGCTTCTTATCTGGTGTCTTAGCTTGGGCTCTTCTCGAAAGTAGACCCTGAAATAGGGATTTGGATGCATGTAATTTGAGAGTTGATCACATAAAGTACAAGTGAGGACATGGAGAAGGTAAGACAGGGAAGAAGGGAAAGCAAGCAAAGAAAGTTGCACTAATGAGCCGATGCCACTGCAGACAGTATGGGCTTATTCTTGCTGCTGTTAACTCTCTGAGAACCATTTGGAACAGGTTTGTCCTGCTCATGTTTCACTGGAGGATGAGGATGGAGGATGAGGATGAGGAGGATGAGCAGTCTGTGCCACCTAGGACCAGACTCCCAACCTGTTGTTTGAGGGTTGCCCCATGGGAATTAACCACCCACGTCCTCTTTCTATCAACAGTTTTTCATTGTGACAGAGAAAGTGCAAGACCCCATCTTTCCCACATGCAGTTGAATCCAGGTGGGCTGCAGGGCTATGATGCACAGCATCAGTAATGCCTGTTACAGGCTGTGTGCTGATTGCCTGGCTGTGACAATTTCTCATGCCATCTCCTTATGACTAGTACGCTTTTATGTATAAGTGTTACACTTCAATAAGAAGTTTATTTAAATATTGTTCAAAGTAAATGCATGAACTATGAATGCAGTGTCATTCCAGAAAAAGGATAATAGCTGAGATGCCTTATATTTAAGAGCAAACCCTTCTCCCAACTACTCTGGCTCAAGTTTCAAGGTGATCCAATCAGCTAGTGTTTGTCTCAATAATAGCAGCATCTCAGAGTCCCTTACATGACAAAGTTTTGCCAATATAGAGAATGATGCTGGCCATGCAATTCAACCTGTGCTTACAAACATAATTATTCACTCGGTCACTCAGTCACTCCCTTGTTCATCGAGTATTGAATACTCATTCAGTGAGTATTCAACTGACCATGCAGTTGGTCAAACACTGCATGTGGTTCTGGTGATAAAATGATGAGCAAATTCTTCCCCCACCTTCAAGGCATTCATAGACCAGTAAGGAGGAGAGATATGTCACCAATTAAATATGACAGAAATAGTTTAGAAATAAAACAGCAAGCCTGGGTGTGGCGGCTCACGCCTGTAATCTCAGCACTTTGGGAGGCCGAAATGGGTGGAACTGCTTGAGCCAGAAATTTAACACCAGCCTGGGCAACAGGGCAAAATCCTGTCTCTACAAAGAAAAAAATATATACAAAAATTAACTAGACATGGTGGGGCATGCCTGTAGTCCTAGCTACGCAGGTGGCTGGGTCAGGAGGATCACTTGAGCCCAGGAGGTTGAGGCTGCAATGAGCCATAACTGCACCACTGCACTCCAGCCTGAGCAATAGAGCAAGACCCTGTGGGAAGGGAAGGCAAGGGGAGGGGAGCGGAGGGAAAAGACAAACAGGTAGGCAAGAAGGAAGAACAGCAGCATAAGCAAAGTTCCCCGAGCATCAGTTTTGTCCAAGACGTCTGAGAATGGCATTGCAGAGACACTTGAAGGAGGAGAAGATTTTGGTGAGATGAAAAAAGCAGGCAAAGACGACAAATGTAAACAAAGACAGGAGGCTGCGGGTGCTTTCGATTGAAGGAGGATGTAATCAAGTATGGCCCAACTCTACACGGTGGTGTGGGTGGTAGGGAAATGAGTTATGGAGCTGATGTGGTAGGGAGAGTCAGATGGTAAGAGGTCTGAAATTGTACATTATTGTAACCAATATTTATTTTATACATAAGGTAGAATCTTCAAAAGTTTTGTAAGTAAGTGAGGAAGTGACATCAGCAAACCCCTGTCTTAATAAGCAGAGACATTAAGTGGAGGATAACTTGGAATGAAGAAAAACTATAGACAATGAGGTCAGTTGAGAGGCTACTGAAATACTTCAAGGAAAGGCAATATGGGCATCTACTTAGTAGAGTCTAGAGGTAATATCTCTATAAACGTCCAAGTTTTACCATTATGTGTGGTCCTAGCACCAGACAGACTATAATGTGCTATTCAAGTAATAAGCACCCTTGACAGACAAGTAAAGGGAAAAATAGCCCTCTCTAGGAACCTAAAATATATTTACAGAAGTGAGACAAGGCAAAGAAGCACAATTTAAACACCCTGATACAAAATCCTGTAAAATAATAAAAGAGAAAATGAGCAAATAAAATAGAGCTGAATGTGTAAGGAACCAATAAAGCTATCTCTAGTGACTAAGTTATTAAATTAACACACACACACACACACACAAACACACAAAGAAAATGAAATTTTTGTGAGAAAAATTTCTTGGTGCATTTTTTTTTGTTTTTTGTTTTTACAAAAAAAGGAAAGGTCTAAAATATAATTAATAGCAGATTAACAAGTCAGAAAAGCACAGGGCTTTGCACGGAATTTTAGGAATATAATTCGTATATATAAAATGTATAGACTAAATAAAAGAAAACAAATTACTAATATGCTTTGGGAAAAAAGTTGAACTTCCAATAAATAGAACTATTTTCTAGGGGAAAAAATAAGTACATGCAGCAATTCTAGAAGGGGAAAAGGACACTTAACAAAGCTGTTAAAAATCATAAGAACAATGGCAACAAAAGCCAAAATTGACAAATGGGATCTAATTAAACTAAAGAGCTTCTGCACAGCAAAAGAAACTACCATCAGAGTGAACAGGCAACCTACATAATGGGAGAAAATTTTTGCAACCTACTCATCTGACAAAGGACTAATATCCAGAATCTACAATGAACTCAAACAAATTTAAAAGAAAAAAACAAACAACTCCATCAAAAAGTGGGCGAAGGATATGAATAGACACCTCTCAAAAGAAGACATTTATGCAGCCAAAAAAAACACAGGAAAAAATGCTCATCATCCCTGGTCATCAGAGAAATGCAAATCAAAACCACAATGAGATACCATCTCACACCAGTTAGAATGGCAATCATTAAAAAGTCAGGAAACAACGGTGCTGGAGAGGATGTGGAGAAATAGGAACACTTTTACACTGTTGGTGGGACTGTAAACTAGTTCAACCATTGTGGAAGTCAGTGTGGCAATTCCTCAGGGATCTTGAACTAGAAATACCATTTGACCCAGCCATCCCATTACTGGGTATATACCGAAAGGATTATAAATCATGCTGCTATAAAGACACATGTACACATATGTTTATTGCGGCACTATTCACAATAGCAAAGACTTGGAACCAACCTAAATGTCCAACAACGATAGACTGGATGAAGAAAATGTGGCACATATACACCATGGAATACTATGCAGCCATACAAAAGGATGAGTTCATGTCCTTTGTAGGGACATGGATGAAACTGGAAACCATCATTCTCAGCAAACTATCGCAAGGACAAAAAACCAAACACCACATGTTCTCACTCATAGGTGAGAAATGAACAATGAGAACACATGGACACAGGAAGGGGAACATCACACACTGGGGACTGTTGTGGGGTGGGGGGAGGAGGGAGGGATAGCATTAGGAGATATACCTAATGCTAAATGACGAGTTAATGGGTGCAGCACACCAACATGGCACATGTATACATATGTAACAAACCTTCACGTTGTGCACATGTACCCTAAAACTTAAAGTATAATAATAAAATTAAAAATAAAATAAAATACAAAAAAAATCATAAGAACACACACACATACCTATCTGTACATTCAACAGGTACTTCTCACACACCTCTTATTTGCCAGGCACTGTTCCAGGGCTGGAGATACAGCAGTGAATGAAACAGATACAAATCCCTTCCTCACGAAACACACATTATCATCCACTTTGCAATCAATCTATTCCTTACATTTCTAAAACGCAGTCCGATCTCACCCCCTGCTTAAACCCTCCAGGGGTGTGCCAGCATGAACCCTCACTATTCTCTATGTAGCCCAGCCAGACCAAGCCCTCCCATACCTCTCTAATCTCATTTTCTTCCATCTACTTCCTTGCTTTCAATAGTCCCACTATACTAGCCTTCTTTATGTTCTTCAAATACTTCAAGCTTATTTCTATTTTAAAGCTCTGTCTCTTGCTTTTCCCTCTGCCTTGCAAGACTTGCCCCAGATATTCACATGATGCTGCCTAAGCCCTGCAGACTCAGCTCAAGTATTCTCTCCTTGGTGACATTTTCTGGACTGCACAAGCTCAGAGCACTTAGCACTTTAAAATTGTTTTATCATCTCCTCTAAGCTCCACAAGAGCATGGAGCATGTCTATCACATTCAACAGTAGAGATGCCTAGTGCCTGTAAGTGCTTGACAAACAGTAGATGTTCAAAAAGGACTGCTGTTACATGACCGAGTATGTGTGCATATGGTTTAGTGAGAGAAGGTCACTTGAAAATTGCAACTTAGCCAATTGCCCAGCCATGAAAATTTAAAGAAGAATAAGCTCTTTCTGCCAATTCATGCTGTTTGTGCTATGCCCTTATGTGGCAGGTTCTCAAATCAGCAACGGGTATTTGGTGGCAGAATGGCAGTGGTGATTTTGGTGATGATGATGATGACTAAATGAGTTTTCCTGCACTGTACCCTCAGATAACAAGTCTGTACACAGGCCAAAAACCTCAACCAACCAACCTCCAACTAACGGTCAGAAAAGATAGAAAGTAAATTCTTTTCTGCTCCTGAATTTTAATTGTGACTTGCAACGTACATGTGTTTCTCCTTTATCTTCTCTAAGCGCAAGGCACTGTCAGTTTTCCTCAGCGGCTTGCTACAATGAAGTGTGTATGTCTATGCATATATGTATTCATTCCTCAGGATTTTGAGTGAAACTCCAAGTTTTATTTACACTCGCAAAGCTTCTACAAATTTGTAAAGCCACAAAACTCAAGGCTGACTCTAAAATCTTTAGACATGCCATTCCAATTTGGTGGCAATCAGAGTTCAGGTCATATTTATGTGGCTTCTTAGTCCCAGCAATATTTAAACTTCAAATGCTGAGCATCGTATGTACAAGCATGATGCAGTGCAACCTGAACCTGGAAAAAAAAACACTCCAGCACCTTTGATTGTCCTGTTGATTGCAGAGTGGTGAACCCATGTACACTGACTTTTCAATCAACCACTTTTTGCCTCAGTCGGCTCAGAAAGAGAACTTCAGCTAAATAAATATTTCTGACAATTGACCTGCAGTGCAACAAGACGCTCACAAAAGAAAAAGGAAAAGATACATCTAAACTGCCTGTCAGCTTTTCTTTTTCTGATAGAAAGTAGAGCTTCAGATACTCTGAGAAAGATTCCAATTTGTACAATTTGTACATACTGGTGGTAGCAGAAAATAAAGCCAAACTATAAGGGAGTTCAAAGTGTCACTCATTTTACAATTAAAAATCAAGGACATCAGGAAGGAATGAAAATAACTCACTTGTATAGAGGCAGTGAAAACAACATTCACGTCACAGATATAGCCATTTCCATCTCCACCCTCCTCATTACTCAGGCTGAAAAATGGAAGAGTGAGGCTGTCTTACCCAGGCTGAACTCTTCCCTGCAGCCAGAGAAGGGGAGACAGTGGAGGAACCTAGCTGTGTCAAGCTAGCTCTGTGACCTTGGTAGGTCACCTCATGGCTGCACCTCTCTTTTCCCATCTACGAAATGCGGAGGTGGAGATGAGGATTGTAATTCCTGTTAATTCTAATATTCTAATAGTTTGTTTTTCACAACCTGCAGAAAAACATAAGGGAAAACAACTTGATACTTCTATTCTCTCCTTTCAATACAAGTAATACATGAATCACTTAAATTCAAATTGAAAAAGAACAAATAGAATTTCACCCCTTCTCCCTATTCCTAGTTTTCTCAATAATGTGTTTTAAATCTATTTCCATATCTTTCAGGACCCAAGGATATTTCTTCCTAATTTCCACCTCCAAATTTGCTACTTCATGGCACTTACTTTTTAATGAGTAAGCTTCTGCTTTCTTCAAGAAGCTATCTGAGAAGGTGGGGTCAGAGAACCAAAAGATATCATTTATTCTCTTAGGAATCTGAGACTATAAATATTTTGTTATGGGTGCAGATTCTTTTAACCTGAAGTTTAGATCATGTTAAATAGAGAGTATCTGCCTTAAAACAGCTTGACATGTGACCCCTATATTTATAACCCTTCTAACTTAAAACTGCAGTACTCACCAAAACTCACATATACCATTGCCAAAAGATTGCTACTTAAGTATGTTTTCCATATTGGGACACATAAGCCAATCTACAACCATGTATATACAATGCAAACATTTATTTCATAATTACTTTTTAATTTTGTAGATCTTCTTCAATTTGTGAATTTCCTTTGCTTTGCTGTACTTGAAATGGACAGCACATGCATGGCCCATAAAATTAAAAACCAAAAAAAGTCAATGAAATCTTTTATTTGGGAAATTAATTCTTGATGGTTTGAGTCAACAAGAATCAAGAATAAAAGATTCTAAATCTACTCTGTGAGATAAAATGGTCCCATTGCACAGTGAGTGCTCTCCTTCAAGGCAAGCAAAGAGATGCTTGAAGCCCATGATAGTGCTAGGCCCATAGAACCAATGATGATAAGAAAGCTGTTTTGCTAATGTAGGAAATAGGAAAACTTTTTATTCTATTGTTCTAGAATCAGATGATGTAAATTCCTATACCTGTATACTAGACAGTTGAAACAGTCTTGGTGACACTGATACCACAAAATTTTCTCACCAAACAACAGAACTTGGCAGGCCTAGTATCATATTCAGCCATAGTTCAATCATAAAGGAATTTGGAAAAAACTCTGCCCTAAGTTTGGTCAAGATCTTGAAACTTTATGCTATAATAAGTATCACTGAAACTGTGACAAACATTACACACATTACACATATCCTAGAACTAAAAGTTTCTTTCGTGGTTTGAATTATTGGATCCAAAAATTTTAGCATTGAAATTCTTATTGAAATGGAAAAGTAAGAACTGTTGAAGATTTTTTTAAAAAAGAACTAAGCATGAAAACCATACTTTAGCTAACAGAAAACTTTTCAGTATTCTCCTAGATATAGATACAAGTAAAATAAGCAATGCCAGCATTCTGGAGAATAGTTCTCCCCTTCTCTGTTGCTATTCCTACTTTATTGCCTTCATAGAAACTTTCCCTCTCTGACATTGCCAGATTTGCTTACCTATTCCATGTATAATATCTATCTTCCCCTAATAAAATGTAAGCTCCATGAGGACAGACACATTATGTCTCTTGTTCACCATCATATCCACAGCAAACATTTGAAAATAAAATAATTGAATAGACGAATGTATAAATGTATGAGGTAAAATTTGAATGTAGTACAAAGTTTCTTGACATGATGAAGCATGCCTGTATTGCTACAAATAAGGATAAGTAGAAATACAAATAAGTAGAATAAATAGGAAGAGAGTCATCTTTAATAAAACCTGCCTAGCATTTTAAGAAGCCTCAAATAACTTGTGCAAAAAAGTTACCAATATTATTATCCAATAATATGTTGGATAATATATTACTACATAAATAAATGTATTGTGCCTTATAATTTAAATACTTGGTGGTATACGATTAAAGCATTCTTTAAAAAGCATGTATTTCTGTTTGACTTGTTTTCTGATAAACTATTCTATTTAAATAGTGTGAAATGTGCTTTTAGAACCTAAGTACAGCATACATAACATGAACACCGTCTATTTCAGAAATAAAAATTCAGTTTACCATTGTGGGACTTAATTCATTAGTTTTTGATGTTTTAAATTAGGGATTTCTTATTTACAGTTTTTTTTCCTACTTTTTCCGTTAACATGATCCTATTCATGTTATACATTTTATAACTATCATTGCACTGTATTCTAAATTATGTTAGGTAAGTATGTTATGAAAGCATAACTAGATAAACTGGACTACATCAAAATTTAACATTTCCTCATCAAAGGACACAATCAACAGAGTGAAAAGGCAACCCATGGAATGAAAGACAGTATTTATAAATCATATATCTTCAAATCACCAAACAAATGAAGAGCTCCTACAACTCAAAAACAAATAGTTTAAAAATGGGCAAAGCACTTGAACAGACTTTTCTCCAAAGAAGATATACAAATTGCTAAGAAGCATATGAAAAGAGGCTCAACATCATTGTCATTAGGAAAACGCACAACAAAACCACCATGAGTTACTACTTCATACCCATTAGGACATCCAGTATGAAAACAAAAAAAAAAAACAGGACATACCAAAGGATGACGAGGATGTAGAGAAATTGAAACTCTTGTACATGATTGGTGGGAATGTAAAATGGTACAGCCATTATGAAAATCAATATAACAGTTCCTCAAAAATGTAAAAGTTACCATATAATCTAGCAATTCCATTTCAAGGTATATGCCCAAAATAATTAAAAGCAGGGTTTCAAAGACAGACTGTACACCAGTGTTCATAGCAGCATTATTCACAATAGCCAAAAGGCAGAAGTAACCCACGTGTCCATTAATGGATGGACACATAAAACGTAGCATATACACGCAATTGATTATTTAGCCTCAAAAAGGAAGAAAATTCTGATACTTGCATGTATCACATATGTCAGCTCTATGTATCAGCATTTATTTGTTACCCATTATCAGACTTTGGTTTCTTTAGGTCATGTGTAATGTTTATCTATTAAAAATAATGCAGCAATAAATATTTGAATGACTTAAGCCTTTCTCTGGATTTTGTATTTGATTTAACCTTAGGCTAGCTTCTTCTCGGGCTAAATTAGTAGGTCATAGACTATAAACATGTTTGAAATTCTCTACTCACAAGAATTTATTTTTAAATGTGTTAAATTAAGGTTTAGGAAATTTGCCAGGACTTACTGGCTACAGGAGGTATCAAATATTAGATAAATATATCTGCAATCGTTTTTCAGTATTTCCAGAAGATACTATGTTTTGAATTTAAAAATCTTTAATGAACCTTTTATATAGAAAATATATTTTGATAGAATTGTTATTAAAGATATGCCTCAAGTTATGCAATGTTATGTATAAAGACTCTACTGGTGAGATCTATAGGTGACTTATGGTCAGAAAAATATCTGTCTCTTTTTCGATTTTGCTACCGGGCAGCACCAAGTTGGGCCTATTTTTGTGTTTAATGACTGCCATGTTCTTCGCTCAGAGTTTTGTTACAATATTTCCCTGTCTTCCGTTTTTTACCTGGGAGGATAGAGATGGGAACTACAGACCACGAACAACGCAGGAAATTTTATATACATCATTCCATATAATCCACTTGACAGCTGTGTATTATGTTTTTTTCAGATTCCCTTTCCACCAATAAAACTGATGCACAAAGTTTGAGTGGCTCGACTTTTATTACAGAGTGATTCTTGGCCTTATTATATTCAAGTTTTTATTGTATGTTGCTCCAGGCCTTTTTGGAAATAAAGAGGGTGCATAAATAAATAATGTAAACTAGTATTTTCAACATCAAAACATCATTTCATTTAACGCTGAGCACTGAAGACTAGTAGAATGTTACAGCCAGAAGAAAATCAATCATCTTTTCAGCCCCATCCTTTGACAAGCAAAGGCCCAAAGACATGACCTAAAGGACCCATAGCATATAACGGGCTGTTAGCTACATTTCTGGGTCTTCTTTTTCAAAATAGAGTAAAATTATTTTTTGTAGCTCATTTTCACTTCCTGTGCAAGAATCTCATTGCCTATTAGTCTCAGGATGCACGTATTACTCCCAAGGAAAGAATGAAAGTGAGATTTAAACAAATTAATAAAATCAGTTTGTACTAGAGTATAATGCAACTACATGAACAATAGACATTCAAACTTTATGTGCAAAAGTCTTTCTTCTATTCTGCAATACATTTTACATCATCCAATGTTATAATAAAATCTCTATTCTCCAGGCTTGTTAGCTGTTTTATTCATTTATATCCTTGAGAAAAAGGGACAATTTAAATTGATACAATTTAACCTACTTCTAGAATTTATCCTAAGGAAATCAACAGAAAATGTACCAAATAAATATCCATAAAATGTTAATAATAGTATTTACTTTATTTCATTTAATTACAGTATTTTTAAAGGGAGAAAAGTAAGAATTGTGTAAAATCTCAAACAATAAGATTATTTAAATAATGATACATCACACAAAGGAGTCCTGAAAAGCAATAAAAATCATGATGCAGAACTATATTTATTGACATGAATAAAGGATAAGCCCATTTATCTAAACAAACGGATATTGCTATATGTTTTTAGGCCTATCAGTGTATCTTCAAAGAAACTCTAAAACACACTTTGAATTGTCTATAACAGGACTATGAATGAGTTGCCTTTATTTTTTATGTTTCTCTTTTTTTCTGAGACAGGATCTCACTCTGTCACCCAGACTGGAGTGCAATGGTGCAATCATGGCTCAGTGCAGCCTCAACCTCCCAGGCTCAAGTGATCCTCCCACCTTAGCCTCCTGAGTAACTGGGACTACAGGTGTGTGCCACCACACTCAGCTAATTTGTTAAGCTTTTTTTGTAGAGATGGAGTCTCACTATGTTGCCCAGGCTTGTCTCAAACCCATGAGCTCAAGCAATCCTCAAACCTCAGCCTCCCAAATTGCTGGGATTACAGGTATGAGCCACTGCACCTGGCCTTCTTTATACCCCACAAAACTTTTCTATTTCTTACCTTTTCTGTTTCTCTGTTATCTTCTTGTAATTATATAAAGAGCAGATATTAGTTTATAATCAGTAAAAAGAAAATAAATCTACTTTTATCCAGATAAAATTATATTAAGTATTTAAAAACCTATCTAAAACTAACTTACCATATTATCACAATGAACTTGATTTGAAAAATCCCGGCCGGGCGCGGTGGCTCACGCCTGTAAGCCCAGCACTTTGGGAGGCCGAGGCGAGTGGATCACGAGGTCAGGAGATCCAGACCATCATGCCTATCACGGTGAAACCCTGTCTCTACTAAAAACACAAAAAATTAGCCGGGCGCAGTGGCGGGCGCCTGTAGTCCCAGCTACTCAGGAGGCTGAGGCAAGAGAATGGCGTGAACCCGGGAGGCGGAGCTTGCAGTGAGCCGAAATCGCGCCACTGCACTCCAGCCTGGGAGACAGAGCGAGACTCCTTCTCAAAAAAAAAAAAAAAAAAAAAGAAAGAAAGAAAAATCCCAAGTAGTAATCACAGATTTTTACAAACACAATGCACTAAAAAAAGTCAATGAAGCCAATAAACAGAGTTAAAAATTGTATATGCTATTTTTTGATCCAGTGAAACATACTCCATGTTTCTCATATGCTGTCTTGTTCAACCTGCCTTTGTGACTGGTAGGAAGAATAATGTCCCCACTCAAAGATGTCCATATTCTAATCCCTGGAAACTATGATTATGCTATTTTACATGGCAAAGTGAAGTTAAGGTTGCAGATGGAATTAAGATGGCTAATCAGCTGACCTTAATATAAAGAAATTATCCTGGACTACCCCAGAGGGCCCAGCGTAATCACAAGGATCAAATGTAGTAGAATGAGGCAGAAGGTCAGTGCCAGAGTGACGCAGCCTAAGGAAAACTGGACCAGCCACTGCTGGCTTTAGAGACAGAAGGGGGCCATGAAATGAGGAATTCAGGGAGATTCTAGAAGCTAGGAAAGGCAAAGCAAGGAAATGGATTTTCCCCTAGAGCCTGCAGAAGAAAGGCAGCCCTGCCAAAATCTTGATTTTAGCTTAGTGAGACCCATTTCAGAGTTCTAATCTCCAGCACTGTAAAATAATAAATTTGTGTTGTTTTAAGCCACCAAATTGTTGGTAAATTGTATTACCGTGATAGAAACTAATACAGACCCTGGTATATTCATGTGATGATTTTAAAATTAAATGTAAAGGTTCTACTCCTCCGATAATACTAATTAATACTAACATATTATTGTCATAAATATGAAATACACCCTTGGACTAGTCTTTATGCTATTACATATCATCTTACCTCGAAATCTACACACATACACACACACTCATAGCTTGGATTCATTCCTTTATCATTCATTCATCTCCTGAGCAAATTTTTTATATTATCTTAAAAGCTTCCACTCATTCTAAGTATTCTGATCTTTTACAGAATGTTTGACAATGACATTTCTCTAACTTTCCATTACTACCCGTATCATCTCCTCAGTTCTTCTATTAAGCCTGACCAAAGTACGCTCCTGACACCAGATTCTCCCTGACATAAAAACCAGGGGAGTTGGCCGGGCACGGTGGCTCACGCCTGTAATCCTAGCACTTTGGGAGGCCGAAGCGGGTGGACTGCCTGAGCTCAGGAGTTCGAGACTAGGAACACAATGAAATCCCGTCTCTACTAAAATACAAAAAAATTAGCGGGGCGTGGCAGCGTGCGCCTGTAATCCCAGCTACTCGGGAGGCTGAGGCAGGAGAATTGCTAGAACCCGGCAGGCAGAGGTTGCAGTGAGCAGAGATCGCACCACTGCACTCCAGCCTGGGCGACAGAGGGAGACTCCGACAATAAAAACCAGGGCAGTTAGAGGAATTAATGTGCATCTCCTGATAAGAGCACAAGGGGGAGCACTGTCCACAGAGTAGCACTTGGTCTGAAAGGCGGAGGCAGGAGCAAAGCGCAGCTTTGGTTCCTAGATTCCTGTTGGCATCATGGGTTCTGACACAAAACCACCCACAGAGGTCCCCCACGTTTCCAGGTGCTGTCCCAGGCCAGGCTGCAGCCTACTGCAGAATTCTTGTTCAGGGTGAGTGAAGTAATCACAAAACCACAAATTCAGAGCCCAGAACCACATACATCTTCCTTCTCACAGTCTCTTCCTGGGCTTCTCCTTCAAACCTTACATATCTAAAATGTAAGACTACTGTCCCTTCCTTGAACAATGAGGTTACTTGGTCACCTTCCTAACAGTAAATTTAAATGCTTCCAAAATTCTGTACCATCTAGAATCCCCTGACTCTCTTCAGAAAACTTTCTGGTATCTCTCCCTAGACCAAAACAAACCAAATGGACAAATAAAAGCAAAAAGAAATTCTCCACAGTGCATCTCATTACACATGCTTACTAGAATATTTATGTAGCTTTAAGCAATAATTCATACCTCCCAATGTGTCTCATTTGTATTATTATCTCAAAGTAATTGTGTGATTTGTTACCTTTTTCTTTTAATAAAACATTTCATTTCCTCATTATGCTACCTATATAAGGCCAAACAAGTTTCAGAAATAAGGCAATGCTTCATGGTTTTTTTTGTTTTTTGTTTTGTTTTGTTTTGTTTTGTTTGAAACAAGAGTCTCACTCTGTTGCCCAGGCTGGAGTGCAGTGGCACGAGCGATCTTGGCTCACTGCAACCTCCGCCTCCCAGGTTCAAGCGATTCTCCTGCCTCAGCCTCCCAAGTAGCTGGGATTACAGGCCCATGCTGCCATCCCAGCTAATTTTTGTATTTTTAGTAGAGATGGGGTTTCACCATGTTGGCCAGGCTGGTCTCGAACTCCTGGCCTCATGTGATCTGCCTACCTTGGCCTCCCAAATTGCTGGGATTACAGGTGTGAGCCACTGCACATGGCCTTATGTCTTTACTCACCCTGTTCATGAAGGATAGTGTTTAACAGTTGAAAGTTTAAGAGTGTCCTTATCTTTCTTTCCTACATTGTTGTGGAAACTTTCAATGGTAAGTAAATTTTCATTGCCAAGCTTAATTTTCAAATAGCTAAAAGCATTTTACAAATATACAATATATATATCAAAGACTTATTTATTTCACAAGTGAGGCAACCAGGAGGATGATAAAGCTGGTTCAAATAGCACTTGAGAAACAGAGATTCATATATCCTGTCAAAGAAGATCTGCTGAAATAGGCTTGCTAAGTTAGAGAAGAGATGGGTTAATCTTCTACAGGACAATTAAACTATAACCATTGGGGTTATCTATTCATTTGCATCTGTACTAGAAAATTTCTTCTCTATGAGACAAAAATCTACAAATTAACATGTCAACTTCATAAAGCCTGGGCCATAATCAATAGTAATCAATCAGTAGTAATAAAACAAGGATATATTCTCCTAGGAAATTAAATAATCCTTGGGTGGGCTTGTTAAACAATGCTCAGGTATGATGTTGAGAACACACGTCCTGCTTTTGTTTTATTGCCACTTTTAAGGTGATTTTTCTTATGAGAATTAGATAAGACCTCTTTTTGTATCCATACCACTCTTTTCCTGGGTTGCTTTCTTCCCCAATTAATGTTTTGAATTTGTACATCTTTGGTCTGCTTTTCTATTAATGGTAAAATAATTCACCTAATAATTTTTTTAGTATCTTCCATTTACCACGCTGTGTTCTAGATACATTTGTATAATAATTTATATTTCAAAAAGTACCTTCATCTCGAGTCTTATTTTTCTTTCAAGTTTAAAGAGATATGGGTACTTTAGTAAGAACTGAATAAATTCAAAAATTTATTACTGAGTAATTAGATTTTAGATTAATATAAAATAGTTACTATTTGTTTAATTCTCACAATAACTTTAGAAGGTATATTTTGTTGTAGATCAGGAAACCGAGGCTCAAAGAGGGGATTTTCCTTATAAGTGAGCAGATGGGTTTCAAAGCTGGTATTTTTCTCTAGGCCTCACTATTTTAAGCTATTTTTTTTTTAAAAAGCATGAAGATCAAAGTTTTTAAAGTTTAGGTTTATCTTATTTATACTTTAAATGCCAGTCTGTGATAAAAAGCTGAAGACACAATTCAAAACCACTTGCTAAATAAAACTCTTTTAACAGATAGGTCTATAAAATTAGAATTAGGGTAAGATTCTATCCCCACAAATAATTGCTAAAATGCTGGTCTTTCCTGACACCCATTAAATCTGTACCTTTCTGTGAGATTTACGGCCCAATAATGTATAATTTTATTATTGGATTTTAATTATCAATTCTGTGTTAATTAACCTCTCCAGGTGTCTCTCCTGAGGTTGGTGTCTCACAGTCCCTAGAAACAGTCTTTTTTTTTTTTTTTTTTTAAAAAAATGTGGAGGAAGAGGTAACTGCTGAATAAATAACTAGATTTCATTAAATTCTAAGAATGATTGATGATTTCATATACATTGAATGGCATATACATTATTTATAAATATTCAAGGACAATATACTAGAATACAAAAGATAACAATAGAATGAAATGTGAATTCAGCACGAGAAAGTTGAGGTTCAACTGTAATTTTGAGCAAGGAATTTACTTCATCTCTATTAAACTTACTTACATGTCAGCTGAGATTGTCCTGAGTAGTAAGCTAGATAATGCATGAGGATGTGGTTGTAAACTTTACAAATGTCAGGTGTTATTACCTCTAGGACATACCCTCCCACCACATTGAATTTCTTTTATGTCTTTAAACTTTCCATGTTCTCTCAGTGTAGGAGACTTGTACATGCTCTGCCTTCTGCCTGGGATCCATCCACAGCAGTTTCTATTCTCTGTCTCCTACTATTTTAAAGATGCCCACTTAGAGCACTTCTGGAAATTTTCCTCCATTCCCCATCCTGAGTTGCCGATAAGACCTCTCCTTTTTCCATCAGAATATATGTCACTCTGTTGTCTTCTTACTTGCCCATCTCCACCATTCACATTAAGCTCTCTAAGAGACAGGATCACATCTATCTTCTCTCCCCACCACTTAGGGCAGTCCATATTATATGGTAAATACTGAATAAATCTTTGTGGAATGAATTTTAAACTGCCAAGTAGCATATTTCCACCTCGTTACATCTAGGCAAAGTGTATTCAGCATCTAATACTACATAAGTAGTGTCTATGGGATTTAAATGATATGGTCCCCACTCAAAGGAATTGAAGTATTAAGATTTAGATTAAAAAATTACAGAATAAGGAAAGCATGTTTATGAGTAAATAGTGAATGCACTACAAAGTATTCATGTAGATAAGGGAAGTGTTTTATAGGAAGTAGGAAAGTTTCAGGCAAGCTTCCATAATCGCCCCAAATCATCAGTATTAAAAACCATAAACTCAAACAGACTACTCCTAACATCACACTGAGGCTACCTTTGGGAAAAATGACAACTGTGAGTACACAGAAGCGTCACAGAGGAGGTAAAGGAGAATGTTTCGTTATGGTCACTCTTTGGCATTGTTTTCATAGAGCCTTTGTTTCTGAGGTTAAAAGGTTTGATCTCAGCAAATACTTTGTCAGTTCATTATTTTTACAGGAGGAAATCTTCTAATATATTCTCTGTGCTTACTGCTTTTTAGTTCCAAACAACTTTCCCAGGAAGGCCGCAGATTCACCAGAACTCCCCATTCACCTTGGTACCATTGTATTGCTTTGAAACAAGCTCTTCTCATTGTGGCAAGTGCTGAAAGCAAATTTAGTGTATTTGATTCAGACCTGTCCTTCATTATTTTGGCAATAGGCCTAACTAAGTAAATTTATTATTATAGCTTTAAAATGATTATAAGACCTGAAAAGGAAAAAAAAACTGATTTAAAGCCATTCCTTCCTGCAAGGATTTTGATAAAACAATCACATTAGTAAACTGTGTTGGGTATTTTGTACTGATATCCATTTACAAGCACATACATCAAAATGTATACATGCATTTTTATTTGTGAATATATATGCATATATTAAATTACACACACACTTCATGTATGTATAATATACTTTGTCCATCTGTTTGGATCATTCCTTATGTAAATGGACATCAGTACATACCTGAGATGCCACAAGGTACTGTTTTATAACATCATAGCACAAATATGCACGTAAAACTGATAACATCATCCTTACAAAATGAATTATGTTGCCAAAGTAAAAAAAGTATAAAATACAATGTTAGCATATCTTCATCAAAAAGAGTTAAAGCTAAAAATAAATAAATAAAAGTTTATCTCCTAATTACAGGATTGCACTTCAGAAACATCAAACATCCCAGTTGCAGATTAACTGCGTGGGCCTAAATGTTCCATAGTAGATATTTGTTCCTTTTCTTGATTTCTTCCCTTCCACCTATATAACATTGGAACTGTATAAAGAGAAGTAGACTTGTAAGGTTATTATTTAAAATATTCTGTCCCTGAATGGACCAGTTTGGTATTTTGTAACTATGCTCTCTAATTTTTAAAAAATCACTGGTACTAAAAATACCGATTTGCAGAAACTGCCTAGTACATTAGAATCTGCAACAGAGGGCCTGACAATCAGTACTTTGAACAAATGTCTAAGGTCAATACTTCTCAAATGTTAATGCTCAAACTAATCACCTAGGGAACTTGTTAGAGTGTAGCTTCAGACTCAATGCATCTGCAGTGGCACCTAAAATCCGCATTTCTAGCAAGACCCCAGGGAATATGAAAAACACTGGTTACAGGACCAGACTTTGAGTAGTCAGCTCTAGCTGATGGTGACCATAAGGCATGATTAGGAAGTAGTAGTCTAGTCATTAGTTCTCAAAGTGTCAGATACTAATTTGCTTAGGTAAACAATTTGGAGTCAAAGTTATTTTACTAGTAATATTAATTAGTTTACAAAGATGAAGAAGAAAAAAAAAGACTTAGGAAGAAATACTGTCTTCTTAACCTGTTGGGTTACTGTTCCATACACCTCAGCTAGGCTAGTTATGGTAGAACTGAATAAATTGTAATAGGCATTTCTTAGCTCCATAGTTTTCTATAACTTCTATAGCAAATAAAACTTTATAATTATTCTCTGTTTGGTTGATTGATGGATTTTCTTGTTCTTGTTGTATAATTCTCAAAAGACACGTTTATTTCCTTTCGTAGATTCTTTCAGTCCATATGTATTGTGTACATACTGAACTAAATGGTATTGGGAGTTGCAAAA
Organism: Homo sapiens; assembly: GCF_000001405.40. Lineage (NCBI taxonomy): Eukaryota > Metazoa > Chordata > Mammalia > Primates > Hominidae > Homo > Homo sapiens. The sequence goes on from NC_000003.12 coordinate 22,569,588, forward strand.
GTAAATAAAACACTATTCTTATCCTTCAAAGCATATAGAGTCTGTCCAGGAGAAGAAACAAGATACGAACTCAAATATCCTAATTCAAGGTAACATGTTATGTCATTGAAACAGAAACACCAGGGCTATTGTTACAGGACTTCAGAGGAATGTGAAATTATTTCTTAGTGCAGTGCCAGAGCACGACACAAATTTGAACCAGGTCTGTCTTACCCATAATTACCACACTGTGCTGAAGACTGGAAACACTGGGGCCCAACTGTCAATGCTACAGGACTCTGAACTTGTCCTCAGGCAACAGGGTGCTGGCAAAGGTGTTTGTTTAAGCCTGACAATCATTCCTTCAGTCCTGAGTTTAAAACCTCAAGCTTCTCCTTGAGGCTAATCAGCTGAGTTTTTAATGGGCCTTTACGGGATCAGTGTTGAATGAATACAATTTTCAATATGTCCACTTAACATTCATTTCTCTGCTGCGTGATTTTCATCTGTTGACATCATTCCCCCCAAAAATATAGTTTTTAATTATATGTCTTTTAATCCTAAAACTTTTTTAGTTTATTTAGTCACTTTTTAGCACATAAAAGAAAACTGATATGAGACAAAGTTGTCATGTGGTATTTGGGAATTGCATTCAATTTGTTTTGCTCTATTGAATTATGACTATTATTATTATATAAAAAAGACTATAAGAGAATAATATAAGGCTATTTCTGACATAATTCAAAATATGCAAAACAAACAAATCTAATTTGTGTGAACCATTTTGACTCACAATTATACTTTTACAAGAAGCCTTAAAAATAAGTTATCAATTCAAAGGAAATTATCCTAGCAAGGAAACATTATGAAGCAATTTACCGGTTCTATGACTTAGAGAAAAAAAATTTACTTTTATTCTGTATTATGCACCTAAATCTGCATTATTATAAAAATGGACCATTAAATCATTTCATGAAATAGTGAATTGTGGGTTTTGTGCATAAAGCAATGAGTATTTATGGAAGAAAATATATGCAAAATTTGTATTGCAGAAAAGCAAGATGCCATAACATCTCAGCAATATGATCATATATTTTTAAAATCGTTATTTATGGTTCACCTGTATATTGAGATAAAACAGAAGGAATACATTTTTAAGGACCAATGCCCCATTCCCTTCCAAAATTAATCATCATTTGAGTTTTCCAAATTATAGACAAATAATAATGTTTGATTTTGACATTGTTAACCATGGGTTTGTACTGCAACCATGTGTTAACCAAGCAAAGTCACCTATCAAAAATAATAACAATTTGAGAACTGATTCCATTACATTTATACTATGACGGCTAAACTATCACATTGAGAGCTGGCCCCAAAAAAGTGTGATGCATACTTTGGATTTGGCACTGAGTCCTAGGACACCCAATTATTGTGATGAATGCCTACTTTATATGTCTTTAACATCCTTTAAAAAGTGATAGAAGGAGCTCTTGTCAATGCTGAGGAACATGAAGGGCAGTGAACAGGGTCAACACACACCAGTTAAGGTACTCAGAAATTCTTTGAATCATTCCCAGTATATGCTCAATAAACATCTGTGGATGGACCAATTCTGTACAAACTTCATGCTGACAATAGTTCTTCCAGCAACTGTACATAATCCAGGTCCTCATTCTGCTGCATGGCTGTGGTTTACTCTGGCCATTCCTCTGCCAAATGCACAAAGAAGCCTCGTCAGGTAAAACTCTTCCAACTCTCTAAATGTAAATGACTGGCCTCCAGAGAGGTTATCTATCATGCATTATGAAGACAGCCCTAGACTTCTCTGTGAAAATATGGAACTATTATAAAGACACAGAAACCAAAGGGCATTATGTTTTTCACTTTCTTTTGTAAAAAGGGTCCCAAAGGAGGAGTGTGGGAGAAATAGAAAAGTCACAGAGGAGGTACAATCATAAGTATGATTATTTCCACCATATGTTTGCATTATTTCTACCATATGCCTAAACATATGGTAGAAATACCCATACTTATGATTATACCTTCTCTGTGACTTAGCGAAGAAACTGTCTTTATTTAAGTCTTTATGAAGTTGTAGTAATAGTTGGAGAAGCTTTCTCAATTGCTTTATTATAAAGAACAAAACTGGGAAGATACATTACCATAAAATAACATCAATTTATGGCAGTTATTAGAGGTTACCTTGCAGAATCAGTTACCAAAAAAAAAGAACCAAGAAATTTTGCACATTTAGTAATCATAACTAGAGATGTGATATCACCATCACTGGATGTCATTGTAAAGAAGCCTTTGAGCAGTCATTTCAAAAGTCATTATAATAAGCAGTTACTTTAAGGAAGCCATGAATATCCACCCACAGAAACAATGAAAAAACAATAATGCTACTGTTATGCATATGGATTATTGTAGCATACCATCATTATCTCAACTTAAAAACAGTATTCTTAGTCTGTAAAACTTGTAGATGAATCAAAAAAATGGCTTTAAAACTGATTTGTTAAATTGTTATCAAAACTGCCTGTAAAAAGTATGAATTTTTTTTTTTAATGTGAGATTGAAAAAAAGGGATGGGCTGGGCACGATGGCTTATGCCAGTAATCCCAGCACTTTGGAAGGCCAAGGTGGGTGGATCACCTGAGGTCAGGGGTTCGAGACCAGCCTGGCCAACATGGCAAAAGCCATCTCTCCTAAAAATACAAAAATTAGCTGTGCATGGTGGCGCACACCTGTAGTCCCAGCTACTCAGGAAGCTGACGCAGGAGAATCACTTGAACCTGGGAGGTGGAGGTTGCAGTGAGCTGAAATTGCACCACTGCACTCTAGCCTGAGTGACAGAGTGAGACTCCATCTCAAAAAAAAAAAAAGGATGTTCAAAATTGATGTCATTAATGTATATAATATTAAATATGCACATGTGACTAAGTAAATTAAATATTATACCAATATAATAAATTTATCTACATTATTTAAAGTTTTTATTTCCATGAGAGTGAGATATTTGTATATTTTGTTTACTTTTGGACCTCATGTGCATCAGACAGGAATCGACATATTGTGGGCATGCCGTAAATATTTACCGAATGAATAAATATAGTTAGTTTAAAACTTTTCTTTAATCTATTCACTAGGAAAAAAGTAAATTTCACAATAATAATATAGTCAAACATATGTGGTAATACCTTGTTTTTTTATATGAAACAAAATCTATATTTTTATTAATTTATATAGAGAGAAACAATTATAGATTCACATGCAGTTGTAAGGAATAATACAGAGATCCTTTGCACACTTTGCCCAGTTTCCTCAGATGGTAATATTTTGCAGAATTATAGACTATTATGACAATAAGGATATTAACATTCATATAATTCACTGATCTTATTCAGGTTTCCATTCTACTTGTTGAGTCTGAGACACGGATTCATGAAGGAACAAAAGTGAAAATAGTTTTGTATTAAATACTTTTGTATTTAATACTTTTGTATTAAAGACATGTTAATGCAGTCATTAGTAACAGCTGTGTAATTTTTTTCTTAATCACTCTTTAAAAATGTTAGTATCATCCTCAAAATGCCTAAGTTCTCTGATTAGAAACATATAGGATGAGCTGAACCTATTAAATCGATTAGGTAGAACATATATGCTTTTATAGGCAAATATTCAATAAACAGATAACATGAGCCCTTCAAAGTTTATTCTCCTCTATTGTTTTAACAAAGAACAATGGGCTTTTCTGCATTCATGGAAGCACTAGTTTGGAAATAATTCTGTGTTATGGGCTAGGCCTATCTGCTTGATCAAGTTGGAAAGATTGCCTGCTGACTAGTAAAATTAATGAAGTGAATTCACACTTGGGACTTTAGAGAAGAAGAAAATATTCTGATCTATAGTTTTCTCACCAATAATGAAAAAGGGGTTGAAGTGCTCTATAAAGACCATTTAGCTCTAAAATTTCTATACTTCTAAGCTACTTGCCAGCATTTCCAGTGCATATAAAATGAGATTCTTTACATAATTGGCTGGTTATGTCTTGTACCTTCAGTACTTACCCACTTAACATTATTCTTTACTGTGATATTTAAAAAGTTCCATAAGTAATTTCCACTAAAAGCCAATTATTACACACCCGCACTTACAAAAAGCCTGTGGCTCTCTCTCATATTGCACAAAGCTGCAAAGAGTCCTGACTGCCTTCTCCTACTTGTACAATTTAGTTAGCATGCTCTTCAGCTCCAGTAGTTGTCACAAAAATGAGCGAGGCTCAATTTCCACATAGTCACTGAAATGATCCTTTTCATGTTAAACTGCTTCCAGGGTGCCAGTCTGGAAGGCAGATCCTATGTATTGAATATCTAATTTTCCCCATGGAAAGTTCTGTGTACCATGGGGAATCCAGAAAAATAGGCACAGTCCTTGAGCAGTATATTCTGAGACTGGAGTTTCTCTTTTCATATTTGGGTCTCTTTTTTAGACTATCAGTAACATTAGTTACATAGAAAAATAAACAGGGAGAACGTTGCTTGGCATAATATGCTAGGGCTTTTACAGTAATAACTCTTGAATTACATGGGGAAATTGCACTAAATGAATTCTAGTGTCTCTTTCAACTGTAAAATTTCATGATACCATCCTTTTTTGCCATCTTAAATAATGAAAAAAAACTGATGTATCAATACATGAAGCTTCTTTCTCAGACCTTCATTCTTTGGCCATTATTTTTATATTAGTAATGCCTGTCATACCTTCTCTTTAGGTAACCTTCAAGACTTACATCAGGTTTGCCTTCTAACTACGTGTCAGGTCCAGATGGGTGATTCTTTCTCTTCTCTGTTCCCATAGCAAGGTGTACACACACTGATGCTGTAGCACTCTTCATGTGTTTTTTTGACAAGTTAGCTTTTTTCTCTTCATATAACATTTGTATACTCATAGTTTATCAATCGCCCAATAAATTTATGTTGACTGGAATTTTAGAAATATTGACACCTGGTACAAAATTTAATCGGAATCTCTCATTTAAGAATTCCATTCTACCTGACTATGTCAATATTTTTCACTGTTCTAGTTGATTTTAAGGCCATTTTAAATTAGTGGCCATTCATGAGGCACCATGAACTTCAACAACAGCAACTACAAACAGCACACGCAGTGAGTTAATGAGAAGAACCACCATCAACATAAGCATATCTACTAATTTCTTCCCAAGAAGAAAAACCAAATAGCAACTGTAAGAATGATTTTTTTAATCTTTTTAATCTTTGACCAAACTTTAATCTGTATACTCAATTATTGATTGGAAAGGTAAGTAGAAAAAACATAAATGTGGGGCTCCAACATATCAGAGTTCAAATTCTAGTTCTACCAATGACTGACCATGTGAAGTTAGGAATATTTAGGATCTCTAAGACTTTGCTTTCAGGTTAATAAAATGATAATTGTAATCCCTACTTTGCATAGTTGCACTCAAGATTTGAGGAGGTAAAGCTGCTGACAAACAGTAGGCACTCCTTAAATGATAGCTATGATGGCTATTTCTCAAATTGCTCTTAAAAGTTTACTTGGTTCTTGGATATTGTTTCAAGGAAGTGTGATCATAAATTATGGAAAATAAGACTTATCTATATTAATGCATTCTTTTCAGAGGATGTACATGCTGATCAAGTTTAAATGCATCTTAAATATTCAATAGATCTTTTGCTATTGCCATGCTACTCTTTTATAGCATTAAGTAATTATACTTTGAGATATTTAGATTTTTAAAAATAGAACAGTAATTAAACTCTTATCCATGCTGAATTCATTGATGAATAAGTTAAAATTCCAGGGACAGGCCGGGCGCAGTGGCTTATGCCTGTAATCCCAGCACTTTGGGAGGCCGAGGTGGGGGGATCACCTGAGGTCAGGAGTTTGAGATCAGCCTGGCCAACATGATGAAACCCGTCTCTACTAAAAATACAAAAAATTAGCTGGGCGGGGTAGCAGGCACCTGTAATCCCAGCTATTCGGGAGGCTGAAGCAGGAGAATTGCTTGAACCCAGGAGGTGGAGGTTGCAGTGAGCCGAGATATCGCACTGTTGCACTCCAGCCTGCGCAACAAGAGCAAAACTTCAACTCAAAAAAAAGAAAAAAAAAAACAGGGACAATCAAAGAATGTCAAGAGGTGGCTCTCTTTGGGGAACTGTGTCCTATCTGGCCAATCTTGCGGTAGGATTTCTAAAGAAAGTTTGAGGGAATATATGTCATTGTCTTTATGAGGCATGTTCCAATTCATCAGAAATTCGTCAGAATGAACTAAAAACTAACAAGCTGGTTAGCACAAGTTGAAGGTCATTTTCAAAATGGTTTAATTTCACCCGTATCAATAGGCAAGGTTTAAGTATCTGGTCCCTTCTTACCTCACCATATTAAGTAAAGGCTTTCTCTTCCAGTTTCCCACCCAAATTAAGCACATGTGAACTGTTGGCCATCAGTCAAATTTCTGCTTGTTCTTTGATGCACTTTTGAAACGTGATACATTTATCCCTAGAGAGGAAAAATTTGAATCCCTCCTGCCACTGTCACTTAGGTCAAAATTAAATTAATTATCTTTACCAAATACAGACTGTTATTTGCATGTTACTTTTTTAGTGAATAATATCACCAAGTAGCATCAACATAAAAACCTGAAGTCCTCCTAGATTCTTCTCTCTCTCTCTCTCTCAGCTTTTTCTCACCTAATTGATGAATGAATCTTGAACATTCTACTTCTTGTTCCTTCCAAAAATAAAGTGATGAGAAGACGCAAAGATAGCTACATGTAGAGATTGGGATGCCTACAAAAGGGGACACTGGCATCTATCTCTCTTTCTCCAGCCAGACATGTTCTGAATTGTTGAATAATGATTTCCATTGCTGCCATGCAATTTGCATGAAGCCTTATGACAAAGTTCTTGGGAAAAATAATGATGTGTGTTCCTTCAAGCTTGTAGGCAAACATGAATAATGAAACACTTACTTTCTCATGGTCTTCAGAATTCTAAAGGCCAAAAACTGAGTAGCCAGGAATAGTAGCATAAAAAGAAAAGACACTAATGGGAGCTGCACTTTCAACATTTGTTGGCAAATATATATATCACTTAAGGTGGCTGAATTTGAGCCATCTTGAATTCTCTCTAACAGGCTCTCTGATAGAGTGAAGAGTCTCTAGAAGTATGTGACAGATAACCAAGATAGGCCTGAGGAGAAATGGTGGGGAAGAAGGCAGGCATGGAAGACCAGCTCAACAGGGCATCACCCAAGTCAGGAAGTGTACAGTATACACAGCTTCATAAAGGGCTTCTAATGACCCACAGATGTATACCCAAGAAGGCCTGGGTTTACATGTGTATTGAGGCCATTGAACAATATTTTTGTAAGATTATAATTCTTCTCCACTTACTCCCCAACCTCCATGGTCCGTGTGTGGAACAGCCAGTAGCAGAATGGTACTAACAAGTTGAAGGAAGAGTGAAGAAAAAATCCATGTCTTCCTTTCATACTTAAGGTCCCAAAGTCAAGGGATAAAGTGACTTCTGGAGAAAAGAAATGCTTGTAATCAGGTTGAAAATGAAAGATTTTAGGTAAACTGGCTTGGGATTTTTAACACCTATGGAATCTACCCAAAAAACTACCCGTGGACCCGAAAGTATGATCCAACCAAATATGTTTAAGGACCTTACTTGGAGGAACAAGAAGCCATTTCTTACATATACCAATTCAAATTCAGAGTCTGTTCAATAAAATATTAGCTTCAACAATTATTGTTACTGTGGTGGTTGTGGTAGTGGTGGTGGTGGTTGTTACTGTTATTGCCAGTAGCGATAGCAGTAATATCTATTTCTTCTATGTGGTAAAATTTTTGAAGGCAGAAAATGCCTTTGGTTTGTAACCTTATAACTTAATGCAAGACCAAGTTAACTAATTTTTTAATATCTGCTTAAGTATCTCATGAGACAGGAAAATGTGAATAAATTTTGACCCTGCTTCATCCTTAACTTGTTAAAGAATAAAAATTCATTCAGTCACTCATTCACAAACATTTATCATATGCCTACTACATTCCAGAAAGTATACTAGACACTGGAGTACAATTATAAGCCAAAGAAATGTGATCCCTGACCCCATGGACCCTGTAGTCTACTGGGAAATTCAGGAAGTTACTGGGCACCTATATTACACAATAGGAACTGATATGAGGAAAGTCTATAGGAACACTTAGAAGGGACACTTAATTCACACTGTGATATGGCCACTGAACCTAAAATATTTACTACCTGGCCCTTATATAAAAAGTTTGCTGACCTCTGAGCTAGAAGTTTGGTTAGGCTAGAATGTCCAAGATGGCCACATTTATACATCTGGGAGTTGGTCTCAGAGTTGGGTTGCCTCCCTTTTCTTCTCCATGGCCTCTTATCCTTAAGTAGGCTTCTCCATGCTTCTTCCGAACATGATGCTTGCAGGATTTCAAGAGTGTGAAGGTACACTTGCAAGAATTCTCAGAACAACATCACTATAATCACTTCTATTGGACAAGGTAAGACTTAAGACCAGTCTGCATTCAAGGAGCTGGACAAATGAACTTTCTTATCCGTTAGTGGGAGGAGTAGAAATACTGTATTTATTCCCCTTTGCAATAGTAATTGTACTGTCAGCAGTGTTTCAATCATACTACATAAATTTTTATATGTTTGTGATTTTATTATCTTAACTATCTACCACATTCAAGAGTAAAGTTCTTGCATCTTGATTGGGGTATAATTACAAATGTGTATACTCGTGTAAGTTTTTTGTCCCTACTAACAAAATCCAACTTAAAATTATCCATTTAAAGGCTATTTTTGTCTATTTATAGCTTTCTGTTCACAATGGCTAACTTTTAACAAATATTAAAGTCTTATTTTCTTTCCTTTTAGTTTATATCTCAAATCATCATAAGGATTTTGGTTTCTTATGGAGAATACAGTCAAATTAATGGTTCTTGAACTACTGCTCAATTAAAACATCTACTGTTAAAAAATAAACAGAAAATCAGTGAGGATACAGAAAATCTGAATAACACCACCAACCAACTTGACTTAAATGACATATATAGAACACCCCACCACCAACAGCAGGATATATATTACATATTATTTTCAAGAACACACTGAACATTCTCTAGCGTAGACCATAGTCTAGGTCATGAGACAAGTCACTGTATTTGAGAGGATTTAAACCATACAGAGAATGTTCTCTGGCTACAATTTAATATAATCATGAGTCAACACCAAAAATAAAACTGAGAAATCTTCAATTATTTGGAAATTGAAAAACATAATTATAAATTACTAACAGACCAAGAAAAAATAACAGAAATTTTTAAATATCAAACTAAATATGAACACAATAATTAAATAAAAATCATATCAAATTTTATGGGATGCAGTTAAAACACTGCTTAGAGGAAACTTTATAGCTGTAAACACTACTCTTAATGGAAAAAAATCTAAAATCAATTATCCAAGTTTGCCTTTTAAAAAGGTAGAAAAAAAGAGAAAATCAAAGCCAAAGTAAGCCAAAGAAAATAATAAAGATCAAAGCGCAAATCAATAAAATAGAAAACAGACAGCAATGAAAAATTGATACAATTAAAATTTAGTTTCCTAAATTTTCTTTAAAAAGGAAAATTAGTAAAAGTTCACCTAAAATGACCAAGAAAAAGAATAACATCAATTACCAAAATTAGGAACAAAGTAGAGTTTTTCACTATAGAACACAGAGCTATCAAAATATTTATAAGACAATGTTACAAAAAACTTTATACCAAATAGATTACATGAAATAGACAAATTTCTAGAAAGACACAAATTACCAAAACTGAGTTAGGAATACATAGAAAATCTGAATAGACCTATATAAAGTAAAGAAATTGTAATTTAAAATCTTCCCACAAAGAAAAATCAAAGCCCAGATGACTTCTCTGATAAATTCTATCAAACAAACATTTAAGCAAAAAGTAATACCAATCAAAACCCACATACACACGCACACACACACACACACACACACACACACACTCTCTCTCTCTCTCTCTCTCTCTTTCAGAAAATAGAAGCCAGAGGAACATTTCCCAATTCAATTGATGAGGTGACCACTACTTGGATACTGAAGTCAGACAATGACATCACAAGGAAGAAAAACAATATGGTACAATGTAATTTTGTGATAATTTTTAACATGTTAGCAATATCTGTTCTTTTACAGAGATAAGAAAAACTTTCACTTGGTTTTATTTATAGATACAGTAGAACTAATTTTTTTAGAGCTTGTTCTATACTAAGCACTGTGCTAAGCCCTGGGAAATCAAAAGCAAGTGTCAGTCCCTTTTTTAATTGCTCACTATCTTGAATAAAATGACAGAAATGTAAATGAGTAGCTGTTCTTATGTTCTAAAAGCTCTATGATGCTGTGAAATGCAATGGTACACACAAAAAAAATTCATCACACTCAATGGTATTAAGAATTACTTCATAAAGAAATGCTTGAACAGCCTTGAAAAATCTTAGAAGATGCTAAGTTTTATGAACAGGAATTTGGACTTTATCCTTAATGTCAGTGTTTCTGAAAATGTGGGAAAAATCACTTTGGCTATTAAAGATAACACTTCTGTGCTTGACTCTAGATAATAAGAACCTCTGTGGCACAAACCAGGAATTTTTAACAAAAGTAATTTCCTAAAGTCCGAGAACTCTGGAATTAGTAACAAAGTATCACCAAAGGATTTTGATGAGGTTTATGGTAACATCAACTAACTGTTAATCCTCGTTTGGCCTCTGCTCAGTCAGTTCTACCCAACTGGTCTCTTCTTGGATGTTCTTAACGTCCTCCTCATCTTGAGCTCCACAAGCACCAAGTCAGTCACTGTGGCCTTCAGTAGGCCTCTGCATCATCCACCAGGCCATTCTGATCTTCCACTACTTGGTCTCCATTCCTAGGGATCCCAGTTCTATTAAATAGATTGATCAGATCATACACACAAAGTTCACTATGTCCATGCCATTTGGTCTTAATCTGGGCCTTGATCTTCTTGGCACGTGCACTTTCTAAAGGCCCATAATCCTCTTTACAGTTATGTTTCCTGCAGATATCTTTCTATGTTACTAATGAAATTACTCCTTCATCAATTTTATACAGTCATGAATAAGAAATGTTGAACAAAAATACTTCATGTGGCTACGTAAGCTGAGAGATATTTGACAGTAACACATAAGAATTATCAGGAAGTGGTATGCAGGCGCCTGGGAAAAGGACTTTCACGATCATGTCAGGTTGGAAAGTGTCTTTCTATCAAAGGAACAACCAATGTTATTCAATGCAGAGGGATTTCACAGAGATACAAGCATTCAGAACAAAGAAAGAGAGCAAGCTATGATAAACCCTCCAAGAGGAAAGTCCTCTAGAGGGACAGATAGCAGCCATTTTCAAACAAGCCTTTTCAAGTCCCAGAACTAAATTGAAATTTCCAGTAGGAATTAATCAGAGGAGAAAGCTATTCACAGTGTTGATGAAGCTTTCCTATTATCAACATGAACTTTGAACAGGACTAACAAAGAACTGAAATGTCTGCAATTATAATGAGAAAGGGAAACATTCAAACACAGACATCTTGGGATTTAGAACAGATGGGACTTAGAAGAGACTCACTGGATGACTAAAAACCAGAACAAGAGAAAAGTAGCAGGGCAGAGATATTTCCCTAAGGTTTTTGCCCATTGTTTAGTGAAAATGTACTAAAAATTTAACATCAGAACCATACTATGTATTGGGGGAAGTTTTTTGTGTATAGTTTATAATCATGCTTATTTGAGTCACTAGGGAAATTGTATCTTATACATTCTACAGTAAAGTTGTAGTTACTCAAAGTCCTCTGATTGTCTTTAGAAAATCCTGATTTAAGATAATAATAATAATACATTCCAGAATTTTGTGGACTTAACAAAAGTCCTTGACCATCAAGGACAGGCCAGATAAACATTGAGATCTGAACTTTAATCAGGCCTACAGTGACTCTCATACAGCCTTAAATTCATCTCAACCACAAGCATGAAAAGATTAAGCTAACTGGCTTAAGATGTTACATAGACTGTCACTATCACCTCAACATATCTACACAGGGCATGAACTTCCTGGGCAAACTTGAGTTGTGTTACCTGGTCTCTCTGAGAAGCCAGAAGCTCTGATCATCTTATCCACTAGAATCTGGGGAGGGAAGTGGCTGAGGCTCCTAACAGGTGAGTTCAATGGAGGCCATAATAAATCCTGACCCTCATTCTTAGTGGAGGCTGAACTGGACAGAGGTGTTAGAGAGTGTTCAGCATGAACATCAGAATCACCCAGAGGGTTTGTTAAGTCATAAATTGCTGGATCCCACTTCAGAGTTTTTGATTCATCAAGTCTAGGATGGAGCCTGAAAACATGCATTTACAATAATTTCTCAGGTAACGCTGATGCTACTTACCCAGATACCGTACTTGAAGAATCACTGTGTTAGGAGTGAGGTGATAGCAGCTTAGGCCCTGGGGTTAAGTGGGACTGAGTAAATGTGGGGAGACACAGGAACCAGGTCCAATGCAGATGTGTTCCATTCATTCATAGACATCCTTAAGTTGATTTTACATCAACTTGGTTATCCAAAGTTATGCTATATAGTGTGACCTGGAAAAAGCTAACAAGACTGTCCTTTCATTCAAGACACGTTTATTGAGTGCCTACTGTGTAGCAGATGCTGAGCTAGGCACTAGGCATTCAGAAATGAAACATGATCTTGCTGTTATAAAGAGAATTCTATTTTGAGATGTTTAAAACAATGATTCTTCCATCCCCATAAATCATGTTGCCTCTGGCTTCTGATTTAATGGCTTCTTTTCATTTCTGAGGGAAGTCAGATGCTGCCTAGAATAAAGAAATCATTGTTCAGCTTTAAACACCAAAAAAAATATTTTCTTGCATCCATAGTGTAACAGTCTTACAAACCAAGCTTTGTTTTGAGGCAAAATGCTTTGCTAAATTCCAAAGCCTTACTTGTACATATCAAGGGCAGGAAATCTGGAAATCTGAGCATAGGGTTTTATTCTATAGAAAAGTGAGAATTTGATGGAAGATCACCTTCTATTACAGAGGAAATAAAAATACAAATCTCTCTGGCCTCTGGAAGGAAGACGCAATAAATTTAGAAAAATTTCAAAAAAGATAAGACCAGGGTAAGGTTGTGGATTTCTTGAAACTCAGTGCCCTAATGTCCTGAGCATGGTTTCAGAGGAGCAATAGATACATCATAATAGAAACTTCAAGCTGACAGAAACTTAAGAACAACAAACCCATATACCTTGAAGGAGAATCCAAGAGCATCTAAGTGGGGCTCTGCTCCCTGAGTCAAGACTGACATGTTGCAAGAATGATAGAGCATTATTTGTAGAGTGAGGTGTCTATATGGATGGTCCCAAAATACTGCTCCTGTCTTTCCCTACTGCTTGCTCATAGCATGGTAAGGATCCAGAAATCCCCGTGCAACTATATGAGGGATGCAGATGTCCAGGCTGAGGGCTGAAACATCCCAAAATCAGGAGGGAGGGGAAGCACCTGAGTCATAAGAGAGCCAGGAGCACCTGAGGAAGCTGACGTAAGGAGCCAAGCACCAGTGGTCATGGTCTTGGTGAACCTCAAGCCATGATTTCATTCACCACTGAGACGTCAAACACATCACCTGAAGATGAGCATGAGCAGACTCAACAGCCAAGCACTCTGGCTGATATGAGCTACCACTAACAGCATCAATATGTGGATCCAAGGTCTCCACAACTAACAATGTGAGTGGGGTAGAATTTTTTCCTGAACTCTGATGACACAAGGAGGAGAGAAAAGAAGGAGAGGAAAAGCTCTCAAAAAAAAAAAAAAAAAGACTGAGAGGTTACTAACAAAAGATTGAGTTTATGAAATGGAGACTCCTAAATTGAAGGAAACAACTTTATCCAAAAGAGACTAATTTAAACAGGAAGCTACTAATTTACATTTTAATGGACAAGCTTGAAATGTATTGGTGTTTTTGTTGTGGTGGTTGTCACTGTTGTATTTCCTGCTTATGAGCAGGAATGGAGATTCTAGAAGAATATTACAGAAAAATTTTAAACTGCAGATTGCTTTATTATGAGGAAGATGAAAGATTCCTGAGTTCCTTTGAATAAATTTTAAACCCACCACAGTCACAAGAAAATTCTAATGTCTTTGGCTTATCTCTATACACAGATAATTATTATAAAATTACTCCCTTATTGGTTAAGGGAGTAACTAATAGAGAGTAATTCTATAATAACTTCATAGTATCCTGGGAGCTCACGCTCCCACTGAGATTGAGACCTCTAGGTAAAACTGAACAAGGAAGTGGGACCCAGAGTTGAGAGCAAAACACAGGCTGAAAAAAAGAAGTGTTCATCCAAGCAGCTGAATAGATAGGTTAGATAATGATGATGATGATGATGTCGACGATGACGACAACAACAGAGGCATATAAGGCAACATGACAGTAACTAGAATCACCATCATCAGCTAGTGGGAATGAAATGGATGTCCTGGCACAGAGTAGGTATCATTCATACACATATATATTTAGTATCATACATATGCATATATATTACTACTACTAGAATGACGAGTAGGTGGAAAGTAGAGTGTGGAATTACTATATGAGTTCTAGATTATAATATCAGGGGCATGTGTAGACTGTACTTAAGCTCACAAATAATCTGGGAGGGAGATAATGGGGGCTATTAGCCACCCTATCCACTCTCCCTTATCCATATCCATTTTCCACAGGGCAGTGTTTGATGACAAGTATGAGGCAGGTTCTATTGATGATAGAAGGTAGGCTCCCACAGCCAACTCTTTTGGGTTGTATTTTCCCCAGTAAACTTGGTTCTGAATCTTAGACAGAAATCCAGCACCTCCTGGTAACCTGTTGTGGTTCCCAACTCTGCATCCTACGACCCAGAGAAGTCACGGGGACATCGAGGCGTCTCTGTGTCTGGCACAGTGGGAGCAGAGAAGCATGTGATGAATCTCCAAAAGGGAAGCAGGAGGATTCCCAAGGCCACTGGATTACGACCACTGTCACCTTGAGGAACGTCCTCCTGCTTTCACTGCTGGCTGGTAGAATGTGTACGATTGCTAGAGAGCCATCCCCAGGCTGCCAAGTTGGTGAGTGAACTTCCTGTATAAATCACTGGACAGGGAAGGACATCATTGTGATATTTCTAGACAACCAGAAATTACCTCCTTATATTCACTGCTGTTAATATCCCCAGAAGTTTCAGGTAATAAAGAAAGATGGAAACCACAGTGTAAAGGCTGTGTTTTTTTTTTTTTCTGCTCAACACTCTTTCCTTCTTTCTTCTCTCATTCTAACTTTTTGAACTCAGAAAAATAACACATAGTTAATACCTCCATCAGATTGTCTTACTGTAAGGAACAATGTTTTCCAGGTTACTGACACAACTGTAGCCCAGCACTCAGTGGTTGATCTGAGTGCTGAGATTGAGTTAATACCTTCTTAACTCCAAAATCTTACATTCCCCATGTATGCCATGCCTTCTCCCACAATATGGCTTAAATTCATGTAGATCATACCTTGCACTAGCATTTTGGTCACATTTGAAAAGAACCTGTGGCTTTTATTTAAAGCCTTCTTTGCGTTTTGGTTTTTATTTTTGAAAAAAAAAGTTTAAATTATATCCGAGATAAATGGTTTTAGAAAAATAAATGGTTGTATTTTAACGGGACTGATTCAGAATCAGAGATTCTCTGAGGATGAGAGCCCACGATGTCTGAGAACACGGAGAAAGCGAGTACCCTGCCCAGCCTAGCCTTTCAAGTAGCATTGGCTATGTGTTAGGAGGTAATTAAAGTTTGTCTGTGATAAGCAGCTGGGAAAAGGCTGAAGCCAACGATAAGCAGCTAAGGAGCTACAAAAAAATGACCAAGAACAATGCTGTCAGCAGAGGGAAGCCAGTGTTTAGATAAGCACCCTTGAAGAGTGTAGCAGGGTAGAAAGGATAGCAGATGAATTCAACAGTCCAGGTACTATTCTAGCCTCTGGCAGCCATTTCTAGGGTGACTCATCTATGACAGTACAACTTCTCATGCCTCAATTTCCACATCTGCAAAACAAGAGGACTGACTCATATGCCCCCTTCAGTACCCAAAGCCTCATCAAGCTTCATCATGCTCTGAATTCATAAAACCTGGACGGTGAATGTAACATCTTTTTCCAGGTGCTTTCTCCTTTAGAAACTTACAGCACCCATCATTAATTAGAAATTTAATTCATAGCTCCCATTTGGATTAGAATTATATTTTGGTAAAAAAAATGTATTGTTGATTTATTTTCTAGTCTCAGTTTTCCAAAGCTAAGAAAATAAGTGCTGCTAATGCCTTGCCTCCACCATCTGGGCTTTCTGGAAAAATGCCAATTATGTGTTATGTGAAATCCCCCCACCCCCACTGCAATTAGAAATTTCCTGCATTCTGTTATTCAAACTGTATCTCCCTAACTGCCACTTACCACCCAAAGTTGTACAGCGTTACTGTCAAAGGTGTTTTCAGCTTTTTGCCTTGGAAAATGTGTTCACGGTGTCTGTACTGATACACAAGTTCTGCCCATAGGGACAACAATAATCAAAAGAAGTGAGAGAATAAATTATGCCCATACTAATGTGGAAAACATAGCCTTGTGATTATTTCTATTAGCTATTAAATAAAATGTATGTGACCAAAATGTCCCTTTGAACTCTCCAACTTACAGGTACTAGGAAGTCTAACATTTTGTTCCTAAGTTGGGTCAATTGTTCCTACTTGTTCACTTGCAGGACCCCAGCGCTTTACAGTTGTAGCTGTCATTGGGAGGAGCATGTCTTATAGACAAGGCTGGCCCTGGCCTTGCGGGCTCACCAGCACCTCTGCTGCCCTCACCACCCATCCCTTCCAATGTCTGCTATGCTCACCACATTGCTGCAGCGCCACTAAAGCTGGGCAAGCGGTAGCCCTGACTTAGGCTGCAGTACCTCTTGGGGTGTATTTGCTTTCCACCATTACTGATATAGCTGCATCATTACCTATCTTTTGATTTCCGCTGTCCCCTTCCTTATGTGAAAAGCTAATGCCCTCCGTCTTGTGGCCTATTCTTAGAAGGTATCCTGTGACAGAGTTGGGTGGCTTCTTGGTAATCCATAGCTTTTTATTTTGCCAGCCAGTCTTGTATTCATTTTTTAGGACTGCTGTAACAAATTACCACAAACAGTGTAGCTAACAACAACAGAAAACTTTTTTTCTCACAGTTCTAGAGATCAGAAGTCTGGAATCAGAGTGTCAGCAGTGCTGTGCTTCCTCTAAACGTTCTAAGAAAGAATCTTTCCTTACCACCTCCAGCTTCTGCAGACGCCAGGTGTTCCTTGGCTTGTAGCAATACAATGTCTATCTGTTTTCACCGTCACTTTCATGCCTTATCCTCTTCTCTACGTGTCTGTTTCCCTTATAAAAATACCTGTTACCAGATTTAGGGCCCACCTGGATAATCCAACATGATTTTATCTGGAGACCTTAAGTACATTTGAGAAGACTTTTTTCCAAATAACGTCAAATTTCATGTTCCACGAAGTGGTGAACATATCTTTGCCACCCTCTGACCCACTACAAACCCTCACACTGTGAGAGCGTGTATTAATCTGTTCTCACACTGCTATGAAGAAATACCCAAGCCTGGGTAATTTATAAAAGAAATAGGTTTAGTTGACTCACAGTTCTGCATGGCTGGGGAGGTCTCAGGAAACTTACAATCATGGCAGAAGGCAAAGGAGAAGCAGGCACCTTCTTCACAGGGTGCAGGACGGAGTGAGTGCAAGCAGGAGAAAGGCCAGACGCTTATAAAACCATCAGATCTCATAAGACTCACTAATTATCACGAGAACAGCATGAGGGAAACTACCCCCATGATCGAATTACCTCCACCTGGTCCCGCCCTTGACACGCGGGGATTAGAGGATTACTATTCAAGGTGAGATTTGGGTGGGACAGAGCCAAACCACATCAGAGGGTTTCCCAGAGAAAGAGCTTAGATTTGTAGCAATGCTTCTGTAATTTCACATGCATCTCTTCCTCACAGAGCATGCAGGCATGTGGACCATAGCTCCAGACTACTTAGAATTACTGCTTCTTCTCAGCCTTTAGATCGCAAAGCTGAATGTAAGCTGCCATAGCAGATGTCGCCTTCTGGGGTTATGTTTTGCTCGGGAGTTGTCCCTCTGCAATATGATTTTTACCTCTCCTCAAAAGCCTGTTAGAAAAATCTTTGTCTGAATTCCAAAAAAAAAAAAAAAAAAAAAAAAGACTTTCAAATTCTTTTCCATTAAGCTCCTGGGCCCTCGAAAACCAGAAAATAAAGGAAATACATATACGTAAATATAAAAAATATGTATTTAAGGAAACGTTTATACCAATTTATATATAATAAATATTTTATATAAATATATGTGTATGCATATATATATACATATATATAGTGTGTGTGTGTATATAAATGTATATATACAATAAAATATAAGGGCATTGTTGCCAAACCTCACAGATTGGCTTCTCCAAGTCTGTGCTCTAATCCATCCGTGATACCCAGTTACCTGTCATACATTTCAGAAGCTAAGCAGGAAGCAGGTAAAAGTCATGCTGATTTTCTTGTATCAAATAATGATAAGACAAACCTCAAAATATCTTCTGAATGTCTTGCTCTCAAGATACATAACTGTGAAAACTGATGTACTAAGGAATAAAATCTGAAGTCTTTTCTTTAAGCTATTTGTCAGTAAAACATTTATCTTGTGATTTTCATAAAGTTCTTTTGGATCAGGATGGAAAAAATATTGTAGTTCCATATCTGATCTCTCATCTCCCTCAATCCAACTAATGACTTCATCTTTCTTCTCTTTCTGTACTTACTCTTACATTAAGAAAGAAGCTTGGGCTTGTATCAAATGATGATTAAAGATCAATAAATGAGACCACAAAACCTGGGTCATAGGAGTTTGTAAAATATGGGCAGGAATAAGTAGGGTTTGATCTTGTCACCCATTGTGTCATGTTACGACTTGAATTATACTTAATTTTTACTTAGGGTACTCAGAGCATGGAAACCCAGGGTCAGCATGGGTCTGAGAGAAATAGACCTTGGAACCTGAGCTCTAGCTATGAGTGGAATTGTCATACAATTAGAACACCACCCATGCCCCATCATTTCAGCAGCAGGAACTTGAATGAAGTGGGGCACTGCAGAGGCAAGGATACCATCAGCCTTGGTTAAACAGTTCTAAACTACATCCCTGTGTATAATGTATATGGTGGTGTGCTGCTGCTGGCTTATACCAGCTCATGCATTTTCAAGAAATTTGTGAGTCAGTTAAACACCACAATTAAAAATAAATTTATATAAGCTTGCAATTAAATAAATTATATTGAAAACAAAGGCAATAAATACTCAAAACTAATCATTTCCTAATTATTTCATTACCCTTTACTAGTTCACTTGTATAAGAAAAATCTCTAAAGGCTCAGGATTTATTTTATTTCACCACTAAGGGCTCCATGTCACATGGCACAGGAAAACAGAGTCAACTCCTACATGTCTCAAAGGCAGATTTAAGAATCCATGGATATTCTGCAATAGGTACATTTAATTCATCTGTAATTTTCTCCTTCAAAGTACTGATGGAATTTTTCTCTGACCCTAATATCCAAATTTTGGGTCTTTTTGCTATCATATTATATGAGAGACACAAGGAGGAATAAGAGAAAGAATAAAGGGAGTAGTGGAAGCATGTGAAATAGAAAATCTTGCCTCTGTAGATACCAAGTCCTTGTCATCCTGCTCTAGCAGCCCTTCTCACCCAGGTGGTTAAGCATGAAGCCCCTCTTCTAATTCATCTTTTGTAAGAAAATCAAAACTCAGAAGCCCTGTGTCTAACAAATTAGGTTAGATGTTATTTTAAGTATGTCAAGTACAATTCATTTCCAGCTAAGGGAAATCAACTACTTCACTGGAGCAAGTTATGCTTTTCTTAGATTCACCTAATTACATTAAACTGTCACAGGGTCGAATACTCTGCTAACTGGGACCCTCATCAGGTAGCAGACAGAATGCACTTTGGGTCATATGTTTTATGACTGAACTTACTTTAATCATCAAGCTAAACTGTAAAAGATTGTAAGTGTCTAGTAGAGCATATACTATTGGTGGCCAGCCCCGAACTCTTTGCCCAACTCTTCCTTGCTGACCAAGTCATGATTATGTTTGAATGTTCACCTTCCTCCAGTTGGCAATGTGCCTAGGAAGGTGACCCCATCTCCTACTTAGAGGTAAATCTTAATACATCCAAATCTAGCACAATCTCATTCCCCTTCTTAGTGACTGGGTATGTGACACATTTGTTGCCAATGAGAGATCCTCTAAAGGCACCCAGGAAGGGTTTTCCCATGGTTTAAAGGACACACACCAGAAAAAATGACTCCTCTACTTTCCCTGGACATTCTTACTTCCTCATAGGGTACTTTGTACTGGAGTAGCTGGATTGTGACCATGACAGAAGGCATGAAGGCAAGGCTGATAAATTGAGAATATCTGAACTGCTTCATTATCCATCTCTGGAACTGCCCTACCCAAGGCTTTCTTATTATTTAAAATAATAAGCATCTTTATTGTTCATGCAAGCAATTCTCAGTGTGCTGTCCCCACATGATAAGCACCAGCATCACCTGGAAGCTTTCTAGAAATACAGAGCCTCAGGGACTATGTCAGAGTCGAGTCAGAACCTCTGGGGAAGGCACCCAGAAATCTATGATTTAATAAGCCCCTTGGTGTTTCTGGTGCATTTTCAAGTTTGAGAACCACCGGTTTAAGCCATTGGATAACACCTGGCAATGGGGCTTTGAATTTATTTGAGAGGTACTGAAGAATTCATGGATAATTTTTAATAGAAAACAACATAATATGTCTTGCAGGTGATCTATAGGAGCTACTCTCCAAATGTCAGTTAATAGTTGGTGACCATGAGCAAATCACTTAACATCTTTTTGTCCTGGTTGTATTATAAAATGAGGTGATGGTAGCTCCTAGGCTATGTAGGGAAATTGTTAGCATCCTATACTAAAGACAAATGATATATACACCAATTATCTCGTTTGATGCTTTTATGTTTTTTCTCTTGGCTAGATACTAAAATGTTCTATTACATCTATTGTGATTATCTAAACTACCAATTATACAGTGAGGAATGATAATTACTAAAATACTCTGCCCTCTTGTTTTACTTCAGAACTAAGGTGAAGTGAAAAGCTGGCATGCAGTTTCTAAGAAATTTTCAGGCAGAGCACTGGAGAAAATGTATGAAACACTCATAATTAAAATGCTTAAAAAGATAGGCTTTCAGAATATAGGAGACAGGTGAGGATATAGAGTCCAGCTTTAAACTTGCCCACACATAATATATTGAAATAACATAGGACCCCTTTCATTTTGGTAATAAATGGACCAATCAATGTTCTACAAAGAATGCTAGTAAGGTTGACATGTGCACAGAGAAAAATAAGATAATATAATAGATACGACTTGGATGCTAATTGAGGTTACATCCCTTTCTTCATTGATTTTAAATTATATTCAGCTGTATAGTTAACCAATGACAAAAAAATTATCAAAAATAACAAGTATTTAGCACATACCAAACAATCAATGAGAAAGTACACATAGATTCACCAAACTGTATGAATTTGTGATTAGAGGTCTAACAGGATGAAAATCAGCTTGTAACAGTAGCTTAACTATAGCAAAACCTAACTTTTGCCACAGCTTCTTTTGATTTATTCTATTTATAGAAACATAATTATGACATTGCTGTCATACAGGCCACATTGCAAGATCTACCATTTTCTCTTCCAGGTTGTCTTTCCTATGCAACATGGTTTCTAAGTGTAGTGTAATAATCCATTCATCTTCATTCAGATCAAGGGAAGAGGCAGTCAGTGTAAGGTGTTTGAGCACTGGGTCTGGAGCTAGACTTCCTGGGTTCCCCACCTCATGGTGTAATAGGGATATGTGTAAAGTTCTTAGGATAGTACCTGGCACAGTAAGTGCTCAACTTATGTTAATTCAGTAATATTAGAGAGTGGTTTTAGTCTCTCTCCTTATGAGAGTGTATTGAAATTACCAGAAGATCTATTTCTTTCAAACTATAATCTATTGAAAACTAAAAACCTATTACTCAGGAATTTTGAAAAACACCAGTAGGGCACATGGCTATCCTTTCTCCACAGCCCCACAACACACAGACACTCCCCTTCTCCTCTTGCAAATCATTATTAGACTGAGCTGCTGTTACTGTTCCGCATGTTTTCTGTCACAGGAGATAATATGAATTTGATTTTAGGCTTTATTAGGTCAAATTTTGCTTTATTTGCCATGTATCCTTAACACTTAGGAGAGTGTTTAAAAAATAAAATGTTATTATATGAATGAGTGTGACATACTCTCTTTAGCTTCTAGACTACAATTTGGCCTTCAGACTATTCCCGGGTGTTTTTTGTTGTTTTTTTATTTTAGGTACAGAAATGCCTTGCAGAACACTTTTTTTCCTTGTGTAACACTTCCTTGGAACATAATCCAAAATAGCGTTACCAAGGCAAATGATCATCTCTAGGATTCTTACCTCATATTGCCAAACTGCTATGTATAACCATTGAGTTCATTCATAGTCCTTCTAGCAGTGCATAAGTATACATGCTTCCGTTATCAACAGTAGAAGGATATTTTCATTTTGCCAAATTAATAAATGTAAATTCTGGTTATGGTTCCCAAGTTTGGGAGTATAATTTCTAAGGGTACCTCTGGAGCAACTGGAAAAAAATCATTTGCCCTCAGAATTGGTCTGGCACAATCAGGGCACTTTGTTAGTGGGTTTAGTTGCTTTGTAGCCTTTTGAAACTTAAATTCCTTTCATTGCTAATAAAACTAGATACTTATGTCCACATATCCACATAATGCATATGGACACTGGATTGGAAAGATACGCCTTAAATACACTAAATTTGGAGCCTGAGATGTAAGTAGACGTTAGTTTCCAAGGCTGTTGTAACAGATTACCACAAGCTGGGTGGTTTACAACAGAAGTGTATTCTCTCACTATCCCGGATGTGAAAAAAATCTCAAATCAAGTATCTCCAGGGCAACACACCTTCCAAAGGCCCTAGAGGAGAATCTTTCCTTACTTCTTCCACCTTCTGGTGGCTCCAGGTATGCCTTGGCCTGTGGCTGCATAATTCCAATTTCTGCCTCCATTTTCACATGCCGGTCTCCTCTTCATCTATTATCGTTCTGTATTTTTCTTATAGAGACACTTGTCATTGAATTTAGGACCCACTTGGATAATCCAGAATGATCTCATATACAGCTTCTTAATTACATCTGCAAATAACTTTTTTTCAAATAATGTCATATTCACGTGTTCCAGGGATTAGGATATGGACATATTTTGGGAAGACCCCATTCAATCCATTACAATATAGATGTATGTTAAATTAGAGAAATAAGATAAAATAAAACAGGGACTCTGCACAGACCCACTTGTCAAAATATGGTGCCATGAACCTAGCAGTATGCTAAACTCAATTCTAGGTAATTAAGATTTGAAGGGGAAAATTTTAAGGCAAAACAGTCTATATAGATCTGTATTATTCCTGTCAAGCCTAACACAGAGAGGCTTCAAAATAGTGCATTTTACAACAGTAGACAAAAAAATAATATCTGAGAGATCGGATCTTCTTAATCTGGAAATCAGTAAGCTCTTTAAAGTCTTGAATACAAACATAATTTTGAATTCTCCATGAGGAAAACAGGTTATCCACCCTGATTTGGGAAATGCTCAAAATGAATATAATCTACAAAAAAGATTTTAGATTAACATTTGGCAGTTATTAAGCTACCAACTCCCAGGCAATTCCACCCCACACCACCGTCCCCAACCTCCAACCCTTCTAAATTCTGCTTTGTGATGCTGGAGATCTCACACTACATTTCTCCTTTGGTCTTTGCTAAATAACTGGTGTGGCCTCTGTCTGCACGACAGGATACTGAATGGATGATTAATTAATAGTTCTTTTATTTATTTGTTCAACAAACATGACTTGAGGCCTTCTGCATGTTTGTAACATCATAGCCACTATAACACAAAGATGAAAACAATAGTCCAGGAACTGAAAGTCTCCTGGAAGCCTACTGAGAGGCTGAGTGAAATGCTACTGCCCTTTCTCTCACAATAACAAACGTAAAAGACCCAAGATGTTCCTTTTTATCCCTTCAATTATTTTCCTTCTATTTCAAAATAGTCTGCAAAACCTGTTTTGTTTTTCAAAATACTGATTAACATATGCTATTAACTACAATTGTACTCTGATCTTTACCTGTGTTTCTTTAGTTGACATTTAAGCCTTTACTTTAAACCTAAAGGTTCAATTTGTTAGCTCATTTATCATCTGTTTTTTTTTTTCTTACTAGATGAAAAACAATTCTACTAAGTGCCCACAGATACCTTTGGAAGGGCCAACCCTGTATATCTCCAACTCTGCCGTCAAACTTTCCCAAAGATATGGAAATGGATGCCACAATCAATCACAGGGTTGAAACCAGTGCTTCAGAAGTAAATCTAGTTTTCAAACTGTTACTTCTGAAACTATGGACTCTTGCTGGAAGTTAGGTCAGTGTCAATTATTCTTATTCCCAAATTGGGCACATTTTAGAAACTCTCAATTAATAAGAGGTAATGCTGAGACAATGTCACAGAAATAACTTGTGTTCACTTATTTATTTAAAATTTTTTTCAACTTTTAATTTAGATTCAGGGGGTGCATGTTTGTTCAGGTTTCTTACATAGGTATATTGTAACATGCCGAGGTTTGGAGTATGAATGATCTCATCAACCAGGCACTGAGCATAGTACCTAATGGCTTCAATCCTTGCCCCACTCTCTCCCTCCCGTTCAGTAGTTTCTAGTTTCTATTGTTGCCATCTTTATATCTCCGAGTACCCAATGCTGAATTTGATTTGCTAGTATTTTTTTGAGAGTTTTGGTGTCTATGTTAATAAGAGATACTGGTCTGTAGTTGTCTTTTTTTGTTACGTATTCACTTATTTTAAGGGCAGTAGGGTATCTTCAAATTAACTGTAGAATAAAAACAACATAAGGGAGAGGCAGAGCTTCCAGAATGACAGAATAAGGAGCTCAGTGGAGACTGTCCCTAGCAAAACAATTTAACTGGTAAAGATTATATTTTTAAAAAATGATTTGAATCTGGAAATTGTCTTAAGGGAATACATCAAATGGAGAAACATTTATTTATGAAATTCACTAAATCTTGTTAAAAATAATGAGTTTGTGCCACTTACATCATGATTCACTCTCCTATAGCCCTCCCCACCCAGCTCTATTACAGATCTTTCCCTCAGACACTCTACTCCAGGCAGGTAGAATCCAGAAGTAGGTGGATTACTTCAGCCACTAAACAAACAAATGACTAAGCAAACAAAACAACTAGTCCTGGGAGAATCAGTATACAGAGATGCCACAATATGTTATCTAAAATGTCTAAAATGTTCAGTTTTCAACTAAAAATGTTAAGACATGTAAAGATAAAAAATATATCCCATACACAGAGGGGAAAAGACAGGCAATAAAAGCTACCTTTGAAGAAGTCCAGATAGTAAACTTACCAGCCAAAGACTTTAAAGAAACCATGATATAGATGTTCAAAAAACTAAATGAAATCATGCTTAAAAAAGTAAAAAAGCTATTATGACAGCGTTTCATCAAATAAGGAAGATTCATAAAAATTATCTAAAAAGAGGAAGACAGAAAAATACATCTCCCTCCCCCAACCAAAAAAAATGACTGGAGGGGCTTAGTACATATGAATTGGCAAAACAAAAAAATTTAGGAAACTTGAAGATAGATCAATAGAGATTATGTCATCTAAAGAACAGAGAGAAAGAAATATGAAAAAAGAAGATGATTGGAGTCTCAAAGAAATAATGGATGCCATATAAACAAACCAACATATGTATAATGTGTGGGACAGGAGAGAGAAAGGAAAAAAATTTCAAAGAAATAAAGACTGGAATTTTTCAAAATTTGATTAAAAAAAAAAAACACTAACCTACACATTCAAAAAGCTTAATAAATTCCTAGTAGAGAAAATGCAGAGATTCACATCTAGATACTCCATATTTATAATGTTGAAAGTCAAAGTTAAAGCAAATGTCTTGAAAGCAGTAAGATAAAAATGACTCACTGCATAAAAGAGGAATCTCAATAAGAATATAATACAATTCGGATTTGTGTCCCCACCCATAGCTCATGCTGAATTGGAGGAAGGTCCTGATGGGAGGTAACTGGATTAAAACGGAAGACTTACCCCTTGCTGTTCTCATGATAGTGAGTTCTCATGAGATCTGATGGTTTAAAAGTGTGCAGAACTTCCCTGTCTGTTCCGTCTTTCTCTCCTGCTCCACCTTGGTAAGTGCTTGCTTTCCCGTCACTCTTCTGACATGATTGTAAGTTTCCTGAGGCCTCCCAGCCATGCTTTCTGTTAAGCCTGCAGAACTGTGAGTCACTTAAATCTGTTTTCTTCATAAATCATCCAGTCTCAAGTAGTTCTTTATAGCAGTTAAGAATGGACCAATACAGAAAATTGGTACCAGTAAAGAGGACACTGCTATAAAGGTACCTGAAAATGTACAAGTGACTTTGGAACTGGGTAACAGGCAGAGGCTGGAACAGTTTGGAGGCATGAGAAGAAGACAGGAAGATGTGGGGAAGTTCAGAACTTCCTAGAGACTTGTTGAATGGTTTTGACCAAAATGCTGATAGTCATATGGATAATTTAGTCCAGGCTGAGGTGCTCAGATGGAGATGAGGAGCTTACTGGGAACTGGAGTGAAGGTCACTCTTGGTACACTTTGGCAAAGAAACTGGCAGCATTGTGCCCCTGCCATAGAGATCTGTGGAACTTTGAACTTGAGAGAGATGATTTAGTGTACTTGGCAGAAAAAAAATTTCTAAGCAGCAAAGCATTCAAGATGTGACCTGGCTGTTTCTAAAACTGTATGCTGATATGTGTGAAGAAAGAGATATCTGAAATTGGAACTTATATTTAAAAGGGAAGCAGAGCATAAAAGTTTGGAAAATTTGTAGCCTGATCATGCAGTAGAAAATAAAAACCCATTTTCTGGGGAGAAATTCAAGCCAGCTGCAGTAATTTGCATAAGTAAAGAGGAACCAAATGTTAATGACCAAGACAATGGGGAAAACGTCTCCAGGACATTTCAGAGACCTTCACAGCAACTCCTCCCATCACAGGCCCAGAGGCCTAGGAGGGAAAAATGGATTTGTGGGCTAGGCCTGGGGCTCAGCTGCTCTGTGCAGTCTCAGGTCATGGAGCCCTGTGTTCCAGCCCCAGCCATGCCTAAAAGGAGCCAAGGTACAACTTGGGCTGTGGCTTCATGAGGTGCACGCTCCAAGATTTGGTGGCTTTCACCTGATGTTGGTCCTGTGGGTACACAGAAGGCAAGAGTTGAGGTTTGGGAACCTCTGCCTAGATTTCAAAGGATGTATGCAAATGCTTGGATGTTCAGGCAGAAGTCAACTGCAGGGGTGGAGCCTTCACAGAGAGCCTCTACTAGGGCAGTACAGAGGGCAAATCTGGGATTGGAGCCCCCATACAGAGTCCCCACTGGGGCACTGCCTAGAAGAGTTGTGAGAAGAGGGCCACCATCCTCCAAACCCTAGAATGGTAGATCCACCAACAGCTTGCACTGTTGCACCATGCACCTGGAAAAGCCACAGGCACTCCATGCCAGCCTGTGAAAACAGTTGTGGGGATGGTACCCTGCATATCCACAGAGGTGAAGCTCCCCAACGCCTTGGGAGCTCACCACTTTCATCAGCATTCCCTGGATCTAAGATACGGAGTCAAAGGAGATTATTTTGGAGCTTTAAGATTTAATGACTGCCCTGCTGGGTTTTGGACTTTTGAACTTGCATGGGACCTGTAGCTCCTCAGTTTGTGCCAATTTCTACCATTTGGAATGGGAGTATTTACCCAGTGCCTGTACTCCCATTGTATCTTGGGAGTAAATAACTTGATTTTTGTTTTACAGGCTCATAGGCAGAAGGGACTGCCTTGTCTCAGGCGAGACTTTGGATGTAGACCTTTGAGTTAATACTGAAATGAGTTAAGACCTAGAGACTGTTGAGAAGAGATATTTGTATTTTGCAATAAAAGAAAGGCATGAGATTTGGCAGGGGACAGGGAGGAATTATGTGGTTTGGATTTGTGTCCCTTCCCAAATCTCATGTCAAATTGGAGGAGGGGTCTGGTGGGAGGTGATTGAATCATGGGGGCATATTTCTCCTTTGCTGTTCTCATGATAGTGAGTTCTCATGACATCTGATGGTTTAAAAGTATGTGGCATTCCCCACTTCACTCTCTTTCTCTCTCTCTCTCTCCTGCCACACCATGGTAAGGCATGCTTGCTTCCCCTTCACCCTTTTAACAAGATTGTAAGTTTCTTGAGGCTTCCCAGCCATGCTTCCTTTTAAACCTGCAGAACTGTCAGTCAATTAGACCTCTTTTCTTCATAAATTACCCAGTCTCAGGTAGTTCTTTACAGCAATATGAAAATGGACTCATAGAGAACATAAGCTAACTTCTCATCAGAAACAATGAAAATGATGCCAAACAATGAAAACTCAAATCTACATAAAGAAATGAAGGGAACCACAGAGGGTAAATAAGATTAATATTAACAAAAAGAAAGTGGAGGGAAAGAATCTGTAAAAGAGTAAAGTTTCTCTATTTAAATGGAACTAAGTCAATGTAAATATTAAGTAGATTGCAATATGTTAAAAATGTCTATTATAAACCCTAGTGCAACCACTAAGAAAATAACTCAACAAAGTATAAAGAATCATTAATAGGAATTATGATATTATACTATAAAATATGAACTTAATATAAAAGAAGATAGTTCTCAAATCACTAATCTAATCATCCCCCTTAATTTGAGAAAAAAAGAACTAAACCCAAAGCTAGTAGAAGGGACACAATAATACAGAACATGTATATATTAAATAGAGAATAGAAAAAAATCAATAAAACCAAAGCTTTTTTCTTTGAAAAGGTCAACAAAATTGACTAATCTTTAACTAGATTGACAAAGATAGAGAGAGAAAAGATTCAAGTAACTACATTGAGAATGAAAAAAGATATGTTAATTACTATTAAGCTTATAGAAACAAAAATTATATATACAGTATACTATAAAAAATTTGTCAGCTAATTAGATAACCTATAAGAAATAGACAAATTTCTAGAAATATGCAAATAACCAATACTGACTCAAGAAGAAATAGAACATATGGATAGACATATAGGTAAAAAGATTGAATTAGAAATCAAAACACTTTCCACCCAAAAAATGTCAGGACCAGCTGACATCACTGAACAATTCTACTAAATGTTTGAAGAAGGTTTCATACTAACTCTTCACAATCTCTTCCAAAATTAAAAGGGAAGGGAACACTTCCAACGGATTCTATGAGATACCATAGAATTCTCTAGAATTCATAGAATCGTAGAATTTATTCTATGATACCAAGTTTGTCATGGTAATATATAAAAAATACATTATCTTGATTTAAAAATCACAAGGAAAGAAAACTGTAGATCGATATTCTTTATAAGTATCGATAAAAAATGCTATCAACAAAATGCTATCAAACCAAACCTTGCAACATATCAAAACCGTGTATATACCATGATCAAGTGGCACTTTATTCCAGGAGTGCAAGTTTGGTTTAGCATTTCAATAAATTAATGTAACATACCATGTTAATAGAATGTACGAGAAAAATAACATAATTATCTCAACAGATGTAGAAAAAACGTTTAGCAAAACTCAACAATTCTTTCATAATAGCAATCTCAACAAACTAGAAATAGAAGGAACACCTTCAGCTTTATGAAGCTCATCAACCAAAAACTCACTGCAAACATCATACTTATTGGTAAAAAGCTGAATGCTTTGCCCTAAAAATCAGTAGCAAGAATGTCCACTATTGGTACTTCAACAATTGTACTAAAAGTTCTCGTCAGAACAGTGGCACAATCTTGGCTCACTGCAACCTCTGCCTCTCAAGTTCAAGTGATTCTCCTGCCTCAGCCTCCCAAGTAGCTGGGATTACAGGCTCCTGCCATCATGCCCAGCTAATTTTTACATTTTTTGTAGAGGCAGGGTTTCACCATGTTGGCCAGGCTGGTATCAAACTCCTGACCTCAAGTGATTCATCCACCTTGGCCTCCCAAAGTGCTGGGATTATAGGCATGAACCACCACACCTAGCAAAAAAAAAAGGTATTCATATTGGAAGAAGTAAAATTATCTTAATTATTTCTAATTTTGGATAATAATTTTGTATATCGAAAATCCTTAGATGTAGAAAGAATAATCCATTTTTTAAAATTGAAATAAATAAGTTTGGCAAGGTTTCAGGATTCAAGAACAATATACAAAAATGAATTGTATATCTATATAATAGCAATTAACATTTTGAAATACGAAGTTAGAAAAACAATTACATTTACAATAGTATCAAAAAGAATACAAAAGTAAAGCTTCAAATAAAATTAACAAAATAAGTTTAATGCTTTTATGTGGAAAACCACAAAACATTTCTGAAAGACCTAAATAAATTGAAAGTCATCTAATATTAAAGATTCAGAAGATTCAATATTGTTAAGGTGGCAATACTACCCAAATTGATCTATAAATTCACCACAATCCCTGTAAACATCCAAGTTGGATTATTGTTTAGAAATTGATAAGCTGATCCTAAAATTTACATGGAAATACATGAGACTCCAAATAGCCAAAACAATGTTGAAATAGAAAAAAAAAACCTGGAGGACTGCAAAACTTACTATAAAGGTACAGTAATCAAGATTCTGTAGTACTGGCATAAGAATAGACACACACATCAGTGGAATAGAATTGAGAGTACAGATGTAGACAGACCCTTACATCATATATGACCAACTGGTTATTGACAAGAGTTTGGTGACAAACAGGGAAAAAAATAGCCTTCTCAATAAATGGTACTAGAAAAATTTGATATTCATATGAAAAGAAAATCTAAAGTTGGATGCTCTCACTCTGTATAATAAAAATTAACTCAAAATGAATCACGAACCTAAATTAAGAGCTAAAATTATAAAATTCTTACAACATAACAATAAATGTTTATGACCTCGGGTTAGGTATTGGTTGGTTAGCTACAACAGCAAAAGTACAAGCAACAAAAGAAAAAAGTAGATTAAATCTCCTTGGCCAAAACTAAAAACTTTTGTGCTTCAAAAGACACCACCAGGAAAGTGAAAAGGCAATCCACAAGGTTATGGACTGAATATTTGTGTTTCCCCAAAATCCATATATTGAAACCTAATTCCCCAATGTCATAATATTTGAGGGTGAGGCTTTGGGGAGGTAATTAGGTCTTGAAGTAAGTAATGAGGGTAGAGCCCTCATGAATGGGATTAGTGTTCTTATAAGAAGAGACACAAGAAAGATAATTTCTCTTTCTCTCTCTCTCTGTCTTCCATGTGAGGATTCAACAAGAAGGCACCCCCTACAAACCAGGAAAACAGCCCTCACAAGCCCCTTGATCTTGGACTTCCCAGCCTCCAGAATTGTAAAAAAAATAAATGATTGGTTTTTTAAGCCACCAAGTCTATGGTATTTGTTATAACAGCCCTGGCTGACTAAGACACACAGAATAGGAGAAAATGTTTGCAAATCATATCTGATACGCAACTTGGGTCCAGAATAAAGAACTCTGACAACTGAATAGTAAAATAACAAATTTTAAAATGGGCAGAGAATGTGCATAGACATGTCTCCAAAGAAGATATGCAAATAGCCAATAGGCACATGAAAAGATGCTCAACATCATTGGCTATCAGTTAAATAAAAATAAAAGCCATGATAATACCATTTCACACCCACTAGGATAGATATAGTAAAAAAGACATAACTGCTGGCAAGCATGTGAAAAAACTGAAACCCTCATATACTGATGGTGGGACTGTAAAATGGTGCCAATGCTTTGATAAACTGAATGGCAATTTATCAATACTGAAAATAGAGCTATGATATGACCCAGAAATTACACTCCTAGGATTCCCAAGAGCAATAAGAACATACATCCACTCAAAATTAAGAAATAGAATGTAACATATCCACACAATGAAATATTTTTAGGCAATAAGAATGGAGTAGCAATATATGCTACAACATGAATGCGCCTTGAAAATATCATGGTATGTGAGAGAAGCCAGTTATAAAAGACCACATATTGTATGATTCCATTTCTATGAAATGTTTATAATAGGCAAATCTGTAGAATTAGAAAGTAGATTCATGGTTATTTGGGGCCAGAAGTGGGGTGGTGTTGGGGAAAATTAGAAATGACTGCTAACAGGCACAGCATTTCTCTCTGAGGGAGCAAAAGTGCTCTAAAAGTATAATGTGGGGTTGTACAACTGTGTGAGTGTAGGAAAAAGTACTCAATTGTATTCTTTAAATGGATTAATTATAATTTATATCAATTACTTCTTAAATAGATCTATTATGAAAAATAATAGAACATTCCGCTGGAAATCATTTTGGCCTACTTGAGTTCAATGTATTCATTTAAGTTTGGGGAAAACTGAGACTGGCAAGTCACGTAACATGTCTGAAGTCACACAGCTAGAAATGAGTAAAGCTGGGAATGGAATCCAACTAATAAAAATGGTAATTATATTTACTGAGATACCATTAGATATCTGCACTACTTGTGCCTCCTGAGACACTCCTCCACAATTATTGGAGGCCTCCCACTATCTCTGCCTTTGGAACTACCTCCAGGATCTGCACTCCTGAACCTATTTCCTAATCTCACCAAGCTGGACTGCTAGTCCTTTGCTCAAAGTCAGTTATTGCCCCTCTGCCTTTCCTTTTGGGTTTCTTATTATCTGTTTTCTTCCCAAGCCCATATTTACCTGGCATCTTACAAGCCTCAGCTTTCCCTTTGTTCTACATTTCACAGCTTTCCAGGATCAAGTCCTTGCTCTTCAGTGGTACCAGTGCCACCCCTGGAATCCCACCCTTGGTCAGAGCTCATAATAGAGTTCAGACATTATGAGCTAAGTACCAGGTTGTCTTGTTTTTAGAAAAAAGTCTATAAGGCAAGTATCTTCTGGCCATTTTGGAGAATGTTGAAGTTTAGAAAGACTAAATAATTTGCCAAGGGTCATTTTGACAGAAAATGGTAGAGCAGGGAAATGACCTGTCTGATTCTGTTCTCCTTTCTCCTGTGCAGACAACCTGGAGGTCTTATGCTCCCGTTTATTGTTTTTACTATATTCATGGGTTATAGGATCTGATAGTTTTCTGTTGCTGCTATAACAAATTATCCACTAACATACAGGTTTAACACAACATAAATTTGTTATCTTACAGTTCTGTGTCTCAGAAATCTGATGCAAATCCCACTGGGCCAAATCAAGTGTCGCCAAAGCTGCATTCCTTCTCTAGGTCTAAAGAAGAATCCATTTCCTTGCCTTTTTAGCTTTTAGAGGCTGCATGCATTCCTTGGCTTACAGTACCTCTCCATCTTCAAAGCCAGTCATAGCTAGTCAAGCCTTTCTCAAATTTCATTCCTCTGACATTGGTTCCTTTTCTGCCTCCCTCCCCTTAATAGATTAAAGACCTATTAGATTATATTGAGCACACATGGATAATCCAGATTAATATCTCTCTATTAAAGTCAGCTGATTAGCAAGCGTGTCCCTTCTTGCTGTGTAAGGTAACATATTCACAGGTTTGATAAATAAGGGACATCTTTGGGGGCCATTATCCTGCCCATTATGTAGGATGAGAATGGCTATTCACTAGAACAGTGTAGTAATCTCAAGTATCCTTCCCCAGCCCTCCTTATTTTACCATTCCATACCCTAACTATTTCCTTCATCCTCCATTAGGATCTGCCCTTTGACACATCTAATGGATTGCTTCATGTCCAAACATTTTTCTCATTCATCCTTGCATCACAATTCATGTTGTCTTCCTCATTCATTTGGATTTCCACATATCCCTGGCTCAATGGATAGTCTAAGTTGAACTCAAACGTTTATGTTGGATAATAGTATAATAAATTACTCCTACAAGAAAATGCTGATATTTTAATATGGCCCCTACCCCATGCTTTATTGCAAAAGAAGTAGAGTCAATCCTTCAGGGATTCTCTGGATATACTTGGAAAGCTCAGGTTTCAAATCAGATCTAACTTTTGTTTAAATCTGCCAGAGTGCTCAGGGGCTGTATCAGTTAAGGTTTTTGTTGTGGTTTCAAGTGACAGAATTGAATTTGATAGTCATTTTCATGCTGTGGCCAAGCAAAAGAAAAAATTAATTTTAAAAAATACAATAATTAGAGTTGAAATAGAGCAAAATAAGAAAAGAAAGAAGTATAGAAGGATCTTGTTAAGACATTTCTATTAGAAAAAAACTTGAAAATGTCAGAGTTTTTTTGTTTGTTTTGTTTTATTTTTTATGTTACTCCCCTCAAGAGAAAGACTATCAAAGTAATTAGCTGGCCAAGTTTAGCTTCCTGTCTTTCCTTGGCTCTACTATGGCAACGAAGGAAAAGATCTGGCAAGGAATAAACTAATGGATTGTAGGACATTTCTTTAGTTTCATTTGTGAGAAAATAGGGATTAAAGGCGTTATCTCTCAGGGTTCAACCAGAAAAGAAGAACCAATAGGAGGTATAGATTAATAGATGTATATGTAATGCAAGAAATTGGCCAGCTTGGTGAGATTAGGAAATAGGTTCAGGAGTGCAGATCCTGGAGGTAGTTCCAAAGGCAGAGATAGTGGGAGGCCTCCAATAATTGTGGAGGAGTGTCTCAGGAGGCACAAGTAGTGCAGATATCTAATGGTATCTCAGTAAATATAATTACCATTTTTATTAGTTGGATTCCATTCCCAGCTTTACTCATTTCTAGCTGTGTGACTTCAGACATGTTACGTGACTTGCCAGTCTCAGTTTTCCCCAAACTTAAATGAATTATTGAGGGCTGGCTAAGTAAGTTCAAACTCTGCAGACCATCAGGAAGGGAGGCTGGAACTCTCAATACAGGCTGGAGCTGCAAGCCATGGGCAGAATTTCTGAGGGAAGCCTCAGCTCTGCTCTTAATGCCTTTCACTGATTGAATCACACCAACCCAAACTGTCAAGCATAATTTCTTCACTTAAAGTAAACTGATTATGTACTTTAATCCCATCTACAAAATGGCTTCACAACACTTAAATTAGTGCTTGATTAAATAACTGAAAACTGTAGCCTAGCCAAGCTGATACAGCAAAAAGAGCATCACAGAAGAGGAGTAGCAGAACAGGTCATCTCAGTTTATAGACTCATCGAAAACTGTTCACAATGTAGGAGAGATAATTCACCAGAACAAAATAATGGGAGAATATTGGAAAGGGGTAATATACTCTGGAAAGCCAAAAGCAATGCCCCTAAAGAGACTGGAGAGATTGGCAAGAGAGGTTCTTGCAGAGTAAGTGGACAGTCTAAGATGGTAAGAGGGCTTTTTTTACCTGTCTGGATCTTTCTATCAAATTGCCTTCTGCATGTGTCCATCCGATGAGCTACTACTCTGTGAGGCACCATAGTCCTTCTTGTTATCTTTCATCTCTGTAATGCAGAGTAACTTTGATGTGGTAAGTAATTTAGGATTATCAGGTACAGGAGAGTTTAGTTGGAAAAAATATTTTGAAGGCATAGATGCCTATGGGAACCCTCAAATTACAACATATGGGCAGCTACTGTTTTAGCCTATGGTCAAGTGTGGCCTTAGTGATAGGATCACTAAGATATATCAACCTTCTAGTAACAACATGCCCACAGGGACTGAGAGAAATTTACTACACTCAAGGAAAACAACTCATTGCCATCAGCACAAAACAAACTTAAGATGGAAAACATGATAAACATGAAGTCAAAACTTTAAGAGATATATCTGTCAAATAATACATCCAATTGATGTCTAAATTCCTCAGGATTTCTGAAAACACAGAGGTTAAAGTTGAGCTGGAGCCTCTCCTTTGTCTGTTCCACCACCTGAATTGTTGGGGTTTTTTTCCTTACCATTCATTTTGCAAATTTGTATAAGCTCTCCCTTTCTTGGTTACCTAACATCTTTCCCACCTTCATTCCCTCTATAAATACCATTTCTGCAGCATCTTCAAAAGCTTATCTCCTCTCCACAGCTGTCTGTTCAAAGTTGAGAGTCTGACACTGATTTAACCAGCTTGAATTGCTCTGAAATAAATTTCTCAGGGTAGAGACCAATTGCTTAAGCATTGTCAATAGCTGAATATAACGTTGGTGCTTCATAAACACAGAATGAACATAAATAACAGAAAATCTAAAATAGAGTATTAACTTCTGTATTTTGTACAATTAAAATTTGATGTTGGGGATTGAACTATGGAACCCCCCCAAAATTTATCAGTAAGTGGGTGCTGTCTTCTGTTATATAGGAGACAGATTTTTACAAATGGAAAGGCGGGGATCCTTTCAGCATTATATGAATGCACAGGAATACTGACTTTTTATTCCACTGCGCCTAGACTCTCCATAGAAGAGAATATTAGCTGTTCACAATTATTCTTTCCCCTGTGGCCTCCCTCTGGGTAGAAAAGACTTCTCAATTCTATTGACTTTGAACTTGCCCATGTGATTTCATTTGGCTAACGAACTGTAAGTGGATGTGGCTTGAACAGAGGTCTTAAATGTGCTTGCATGTATTGCTTTGGCCTCTAGAGGTACGGAATTTTATGAGTTCAGAATGAAACTGTCATGTTTCCAGAATGAGGAGACCTGTGGAAAAAATCTGGACTCATTCACAGCCTAAAACGAGTCCGTCTAACCCCAACCGACCCTAGTCAAGCCCAACAGGGTCACAGCTGACTCTCAGATGTGAAAGCAGGAAATAAATGTTTATTATTATAAACCACTGAGATTAAAGGGTGGCTTTTTACATAGTATAATCAGAATGATAATAAGTAATATATTCCCAGATCCTCAAATAATTTCAATGAGAAGAAATGAAACATTAGGAAATATTGAGAGTCTAAAGAAAAGTTTGCTCCTACATTATACTTCCTGGAATCTCTCAGGTCAATTTCATCCCACAGATGAGATCTCAGAAATGTGATGAGTCTGTAGTTCTTTTTTTCAAGCATTTTTTGTAATAAGGCACCTTGGACGTATGCCCAACCAATGTGTAATGATTAGTCTACCCACAGGTATAAATGAATACCTCTGGAGGAAACACAAATTATTCATTGTGGTATAACTTGGTTCTAAGACAATCCCCTAGGGAATCACATTCCCTGTATTCATGCACTTGTGTAGTCCCTTCCTACATTAAATGAAGAAATGAAGCACATGTGACACTTTGTGACTTCTGAAGCTGTTATAAGAAGCCCTGAGGCCGGGCGTGGTGGCTCACACCTAGAATCCCAGCACTTTGAGAGGTCAAGGCAGGCAGATTGCCTGAGTCCAGGAGTTTGAGATCAGCCTGGGCAACATGGCAAAACTCTACCTATAGAAAAAAATACAAAAATTAGCTAAGCATGGTGGTGCACACCTGTGGTCCCAGCTACTTGGGAAGCTGAGATGGGATGAGCACTTGTGCCCAGGAGGCAGAGGTCACAGTGAGCCAAAATAACACCATTGCATTCCAGCCTGGGCAACAAATTGAGACCCTGTCTCAAAAAAAAAAAAAAAAAAAAAAAGCAGTTTTAAGTCTCTTCCTTGGTCTCTTAGAGCACTCACTCTTGGAATCCTGAGCTGCTCTGTGAGTAGTCTGACTATCCTGCTGAAGAGACCATATGAAGAAGGCCTGGAGCCCTATGGAGAAAGAGAGAGACCAAGCTGAGAACAGCCTTTCAGCTGTCTCTCCCAAGCCACCAGACAAATGAGACCTCAGACAAATGGAACCTCTGTGAACTGTCCAAGACCATCCCAACTGCCCCACCCTGCCCAAATTCTTGATTTATGGCTCATGGGCATAATAAAATGGGCTTTGTTTTAAGCCACTGGATTTAGGATAGTTTGTAACACAACAATAGAGACCTGGAAGCTTCATTTACATGATTTACCAAAGTGACATAACTAGTTATAACAACAGGCAACATTTATTAATATTGTCAAATGTATGCTATGCACCATGTATCATTATTTAATTTCTTCCTCACATTGAAAATAGTACTAATGAAATGCAGATGATACAATTTTTCAGCCTTATGAAGGTGTGAAATTGATATGCATTTGGCAGAACCCATACTTAGAATTTTTCAATTTCGATCTTTTCCTGGACTAGCATTATGAGGTACAGTACTCTCTCTCTCTCTCTTTCTCTCTCTCTCTCTCAAAATGCTGGACAGTGACAGCAAGCCATTCTGCCTTTCGCTTTCAATACAGTGATATGCCCAGTGAGGGCCCGGAAGCTCCACACCCATTTCCCCATATTTCATCCTATGCGCCTCTTTTTCTGTGTCCCTTCAATAACCTTTCTAATAAGCTGGTAAACATAAAGTAAGTAAATTACATTAGATATTCAACACTGTATTATAAAATAGGCTTTGCATTAGATTATTTTGCCCACCTGTAGGTTAATGTAAGTGTTCTTAGCATGTCTGAGGCAGGCTAGGCTTACGCCATGATGTTCAGTAGATTAGGTGTATTAAATCCATTTTAGACTTAGGATATTTTCAACTTATGGTAAGTTCATCAGGATATAAACCCCATCATAAATCGAGGAGCATCCATATGTAACATCATTATTGCTGTTGAGCAGGTGAGAACGTTTAGACATAGAGATATTAATTAAATTGCCCAAAGTCAGATGGGTGGTAAAGTAGTGGAACCAAGATCTAATCTAAGTATCGCTCCAAGCCCCAATCTCTTAACCATACTAATTAAAAGTTAGGAGAAACCCAGGATCTGGTTTCCTAGGGCAGTGCTCATTTACTTCAGCCCATCTGCAGCAACCAGGCAGTCAGTTTAAAGCCTTTTGATAAATCGTACAACATTGGCATTTGTATGAAGAAACAGGCAGGAAATTAAATTACACCTATTAAAGTAAAGGCTGATTTAGACCAGTGGAAAGTCTGGCCCATGCAGTCTTTTAGGTGTTGGAAAAGGAACAGAAGGCCAAAATAATTTATGTTAAAAAAAATTGCCAAGAGCCATAAAAACCTGAGTATTCACAACAAAGACAACTACTATCTGCCAATTCAAGAAAAGCTAGCAGAATTAAGTAAAAGGATAAAGCAAATAACTTTTCCTCTCTAGGTGGACTTGTCTTTACGGGCCTGATTCAGTTGGATATGAAATTGGATTATGTAGGTGACTAAGGTTTTCACAAGGGTGTTCCCTCAAACATAACTGTCTTTATGGCCAACAAATAACCAAAAAATTTTCTAGTCATTTATAAAAAATGTGAATCCAAGAAGAGTATGAGGGAAAGGAATCTAAATAATATGGAAATGATAAATGTCTTCTATTGGCTGTGGCTGGTAGCAGGAGATCTGATTATTATCAGCAAGTGGCCTTGACAAAAGGGCCTCTGAACCTGGGTGCTAAACAATTTTAGGCAGCCTCAAATCAGTGGTATAAGCTATTGTTTGAAGGTGACTATCAAATATATGAAATAATAGGTCTATCAAAAGCATAGTTAGGAATGTCTTCAGTTCTATCAATCAAACAAACCAATTTGAGGAACAATCTGCAAAATAACTGGTTCGTACTCCTCAAAAATGTTAAGGTGATAAAAGTCAAAGAATAACTAAGAAACTATAATAGACCAAAAAAGACTAAAGGGACATGACAACCAAATGCTACATGATATTCTGGAATGAATCCTGGACCAGAAAAGGGAAATTATTTGTTCCCGTTTGCTTAAAAGGACAGTAAGAAAACTAGTAAATTTGGTTTATCAAATACTATAGATAATACGGTATCAATTGTAATTTCCTGATTTTGGTTGTGATTTTGATTATACTATAATTGTTTGTAGGAAATACATATTGAAGTATTTAGGTAAAGGGATATTATACTTGCAACTTTCTCTGACATGATTCAGAAAAAAAATACTCCATCTGGAATTTATTTTTGTACATAATATCAGATAAGAGCCTAATATTACTTTTTATATGCATAGGATGTAAGTCCAGCACAGCTTATTAAATAATTCATCCTTTTGTACTAAATTATAATATTGCCTTTGTCTTGTATTATCATATATAACTAAGATCTATTTTTAATCTTTATTTTAATCATGCATCTACTTTCCATTCCTTTGCCAATATCATAGTGACATGATTGACTTTATGGTATGTTTTAATTCTTGGAAGACAAGATCTACCCTACTTTTCTTTTCTCTACACCCCCTTTTATGTATATATAATGTATATATATGCATATAATACATAACTATTCACATATACATGAAATATTTATATATGTACATTGTATATATATTTAAATATACATATTTATGTGTATATATACATTGTGCATATTTATGTATGTACTTATATGTATGCAAGTTTGTATGTACATATATGGGTGTAGATACATATTGTATATATTTGCGTAGATATATTGCATATACATAAACACATATATATGAAAGTATATGTGTATTGCTACAGTAAATCATTTTCCCCCATATTTTTTAAATTGCTCTATGCATGGTTGCTCCTCTTTATTCCATTTTTTATAATTTTGCTTTCTCGCCTTTTTCCATAGACTCTTGAGGGATCTAACCAGTATTTCAATCTTTCCAAAAATGACAATATCCTTCCCAGTATTTTGTTTCCCCCCCCATTATTTTCATTTTTACTTTATTAATTCCCTATTCCTGCTCTCTGGTTTATTTTTTCTTTCTTAATGTTTTAAAATTGATAAGTTAAATTCCGATGTGGAGAAATAGGAACGCTTTTATACTGTTGGTGGGAGTGTAAATTAGTTCAACCATTGTGGAAGACAGTGTAGCGATTCTTCAAGGATCTAGAACCAGAAATATCATTTGACCCAGCAATCCCATTACTGGGTATATACCCAAAGGATTATAAATCATTCTACTATAAAGACACATGCACACGTATGTTAATTGCGGCACTATTCACAATAGCAAAGACTTGGAACCAACCCAAATGCCCATCAATGATAGACGGGATAAAGAAAATGTGGCACATATACACCATGGAATACTATGCGGCCATAAAAAAGAGGATGAGTTCATGTCCTTTGCAGGGATATGGATGATGCTGGAAACCATCATTCTCAGCAAACTAACACAAGAACAGAAAACCAAACACCGCATGTTCTCACTCATAAGTGGGAGCTGAACTATGAGAACACACGGACACAGGGAAGGGAACATCACACACTAGGGCCTGTTGGGGGGTTGGGGGCTAGGGGAGGATAGCATTAGGAGAAATACCTAATGTAGATGATGGGTTGATGGGTGGCGCAAACCACCATGGCATGTGTATACCTATGTAATAAACCTGCATGTTCTGTACATGTATCCCAGAACCTAAAGAGTAATAAAAAAAATAAATAAATAAATGGCAAAATTTTATATAAAAAATAATAATTTTTATTTTTATTCCTTAATATTAAAGGCATTCAAGGCCACACTCAGTTGCTCTCCGTACAGCTTTGGCTGTGTCATGTGGTTCCAATTTGCATTGCTT
Organism: Homo sapiens; assembly: GCF_000001405.40. Taxonomy (NCBI): domain Eukaryota; kingdom Metazoa; phylum Chordata; class Mammalia; order Primates; family Hominidae; genus Homo; species Homo sapiens. The sequence continues at coordinate 22,611,602 of NC_000003.12, forward strand.
TCTGTACAGCGATTTTCTTTCAATTCCAAGTTTCATTCAATGGTTATCTAGAAATATATTTGGAATTATTACATATTTAGTATGTGGGGGTTATCTTCATGCCATTTATTCCTAATTTCTAATATTTTTTTCATTCATTGTATAATATTCCTTGCAGCATGATCAGAAGAGATGGCCTGGAAAAAAAAACACTTTTTTATGTGCAAAATTTATTTGTGGCCAAGTACATGATTAATTTTCGTATATATTTCATGGCTAGTAAAGTATATTTTTGGAACACATAAAAAGTCTCCTCTTATTAATTGTACTATTTTTTGTGTAGTTACTTAATATTGTATACAAGTTATACATGCACAATTCAAAAAGAGGTGTACTGAAGTAACTGTTGTATTTGTACTTTTATCAAGTTCTCACAATTCTAACAGTTTCACTTTACGTCTACTAAAAGCTGTTGGGTTGTTCGGTGCATACTAGTTCCTGGCTGGTATATGTCTTTCATAACTCTGCTTTTCATCATTATCCTTCCATGACCTATTTAGTGCTTTTAACCTAGAATTCTGTGTTGTCTGATACTACCTTTGCCTTTCATGCTTTCTTTCTTCTTTGCATTTTCTTAGCATTGCTCTTTATTGTTTTAATCATTTTAAGTGTCTTTTTTTCCTGTAATTAACATTAACTGTCTTTTTTAAAGGCAGTTTGACACATTTAACTGGAGAATTCAGCTTTCAAATTTAGTGCAATCACTGGCACATGACATGTTATACTTTCCCCTTTCATCGTTTATTTTATATTATTGTTCGTCCTTTTTTCTGACTTATTTTTCTAGTTGATTATTATTGCTATTTGGTCTTTACCTTATGCCTGTTTGTAAATTCTGCCAATAGATTTTTTAATTTTTTAACGATTATCTATTTTCTTTGTTCATACCAAAAACTTATTTCTCTACAATTGTTTGACATAAAAATAAAAACTATTTCCCCCAATGAGATGTTCTATTTCCTATCTTTTTCCACCTGTCCATACAGTTACAGGTTTAGCATACAGTAGTGGTCTGAGGGAGGTATGTTCCAAGCCCCCAGTGGATTTCTGAAACCACAGATAGTATCTAACCAGATTACCGTAAACTGGAACACACTTCTGTTCATGTCTTCCACCCATAAATTTCTTGTCTTTTCCATCTTAACTAAGCACTCATCACACATTGTGGCCATAATTTTTGCAGTTTGAAGTGAGACAGCAAAACTAGAACAAATTTCTTTTTCTTCTTCACAATTTCACAAATGGAAGATTTGTTCTTACAATTGATCTCAACAACCTCCGCCTATGATTTTTTTCTTTCCTTGTTAAATCAGAGAGTTCACCTATTTACTTAAAAGAAGTACTTTACGACTTCTCTTTGGCATGTTGGAATTGTCAAGTTTCCTGCACTTTAGGACCATTTTTAAGTAAAATAAGGGTTATTTGAACACAAGCACTGCAAAACTACCAAAGTCCACTTGATAACTCAGGCGGCTCCTAAGTGACTAATGGGTGGGAAGTGTCTACAGTGCGGACAAAGGGACAATTCACGTCCTGGGTGGGACAGAGCTGGACAGTGTGAGATTTCATCACACTACTCAGAAAGGCAGGCAACTTAAAACTTATGAGTTGTTTATTGCTGGAATTTTTCATTTAATAATTCTGGACCACAGTTGACTGTGGGTAACTGAAACTGCAGAAAGCAAAACCGTGGGTAAGGGGAACCTACTGTATATGCATTTCTCTAGAGCATCCTCCCCCAATGTTGAGAAAGAATTTGAAATGATTTACTTCCCTTATCTTTTTTCCCCACCTCAATCGTAGGAGTTACTAAAAAAAATTTAGTAATTTTAAATCTAAACTATTACATGAATTTTTATTGCAGTGTGTCTCTTCTCTTTATTTATACTTTTATCATAGTATATTTAGCATTTATATAACATATACTCAAATACTCTATATTATGATCCATTCATGTCTAAGTAAACACAAAAACAGCATTTATCTACCATTCATTGTTCTCAGTTTCTACACCATTTCACATTTCCCTGGCTTGATTTCTTATTTCTCCTTTACTTGTTCACTTAGAATCTCTTCTAGACCATTGTGTTTTCCTGAAAAATATACTCTATGAATTATTATAAAATATTAATAGAATAATTTGACCTTCCAGATGAATTACAGTTTTGCAAAGTAAGAGAGTCTCAGGTTGAAATCCTTTACACTGCGTTGTCGTGAAGAACTATACCACTGTATCCCTGACTCCTATATTGCAGATTCAAACTAGGAAAATAGTCTAAATCTCTTCTCTTATTTGTGACCTTTTCTTTCTGGCTGGAAGGTTATAAGAATTTCTTTTTGTTCTTAAAATTCCAGAATTTTCCAAGTATACTCATGTATATTTTATCTCATCAATATTCCCTAGCCCTCACAATATGCCCTTTCATTCCATGACTTGGGTCTTTGATCTCAGAGAAATTGTATTCCTAAATTATATGTGCATTTTGATGTCCAAGATCTGTCCTCCGTGTCTCTTATTTTTGGTCATAATTTCTCTCTTTATATTTTTGTTCTTTATTTTAAAAAAATTTAGCCCAGTTAATTTCCTGGGTCATCAATTTATTCTCAACTCTGATCATTCTTTCCTTCAATTAAACCAAAAACTCTTGCACGAAACTTGTTTTTAATTCCAGAAATTTTACTCTTATATTGCCTTGAATGTTTTTTTATTTTTAAGCTGTCATTTGGCTCCTCTGTTCTGACTGATCTTCATATCTCTAGCTTCTGGTCATTTTTAATATTGTTTTTCCATGGAGTCTAAAGGTTTGATTGCTGGAGACCACTATGCCCTGTAAAGAGAGGAAGCTAAGTATTCTCTACTCCATAAGTCTCTGCCAGTGCACCAAAAACTAATTCTTTGCCTAATCCCTAGCCTACTTTCACTCTCTCTGCCTGAGAAGCAGGGAGGACTTCATCCACCCATCAATTTCTTTTTGGCCTCCTAAGCACCAGTGAGACCAGCCATACACCCATGGACAATGTTGACCATCTATCAGGAAGGGGGTCCACACATTGCTGAGGCCCATGGTTTCCACAGGACTTTCAATTTTCAATCCTCCCTGCAATTCCTTCTGATGGTCTTTGGGTTATCATCTATCCATAAAGGCAAAAAAAAAAGAAAAAAGAAAATAAAACTCCATTCTCCTTTGACCCACCCTAACTCCTGCAGAATTCAAATCTTACTAGCAAATAGCTTCCTCTGAGCCCCAGCAAGCTTATTATTCAAGAAAGACAGATTAGAAATAAAATAAAAAGAAAAGGAGTCATAAGTTTCCCAAAACACCCCTTTTCTTTACAGTTTTTAAATTTTTCCTCATATTTTATCTTGTTCGATCCTTACATTATGCAGTAAAGGTTCAAACCCTGAAATTACAGGCTCAAGGTTATTTCCACATTTTAGAAAACTGTAATAAACAGAAAAACAACACTTAGATTGACCTTGCTTAGACATACATGGTCACATTCCAACATAAACATGCTCATGTTTCAAAGCCTGCAAATAATCATTATATCCTTCCAAATTTTTAAGAACATGATCTCCAAAGGGAGGAATATCTGAGATATGGATAATAAAGAATGGAACAGCTCACATGGTCTGGGGCTGTGGGCTCAGCGCCATTAACATATGCTCTCCTAACAGGACTGTACCAATGCATAGTCACTGTCAGCTTTTCTGAGCTTCTTGTTTGCACCAAGCACAGCTGGAAGTACAGATGTAGGAAGCACACCGGCAGGCTGGAAAAGGATCAAGACAGGTACCGATAAGGCTCTTTTCCTTTAGATCTTAAAAGGAAGATGTACGTCCTTTTCCAAACTCCAAATGACATCTAAAAAACCTTCGGTCAACACAGTGTTAGGAAAAACATGTGTTAACTTTTTATTCATTTATTTTTCAGTTACAGACTACATGCTAAAATTCAAATGTGACTGTTGTGTACTCTCCATGTAAAAAAATTAACAGGAACTATACTTCCTCTGACACAATAAAACTTTAGTCATTTTTACAACGCTCCAATGTGTGAACAAGTATGAGAACTAGACTAGACAACCCTTTCTTTTCGACATATATCTCTCACTGTAGTCTTGAATGGTATAATAACTCTTATTCTTTTACTTCCCTTTTTCCCTTAGCCACTTCATGCTCAGAGTTATCACCCTGGAGAATTGCCACTGCATGCCCAGGTTATAACTTGGATGCTGATGACAGCTTAAAGGGGAATGCCTCTTATCAGTTCGTATTTTAAAATTTCCCGCCCTTTGTTCTCACAGGAGCCCTCATTAACCAGTTCTGGGTCTGCACAGTCCTGTAGAAAACACATCTTTCAAGTTTATGGGCAGAATACTACAGGCTGGTGCTTTCACTAAGTAGCCCTCTCTAATCACTTTTATAACTTATTGTCCCATCAGCAAGCAAAGCTTAAGATAAACTGCAACCTCTGATATGGTTACAACAAATCCAGCTTGCAAAAGTGCCTCCTCTCTTTTCAGGAAATTCCATTCAACAGTGGTACAGGCAATCATCCATCCATCTTCCTTGACTTTTTTCTTTCCATTTCTTCTTAAGCAGTGGATACAGTCACAGATTTGAAATCAAGGAGACTCAAGTCTTCCCTTTTCTATTTACCATCTCTAAACTAGAGTTTCTTATACCGATGCCTACTCCCTGGGTAATCAGGTATGCAAAGAGCTCAATACATTTCCTGGCATATATTAGGTGTTCAATAAGAGGTGGATTTTTATAGTAGAAGGCTCTGGGATCAAGGATGTATAACTCTTCACAGGAAGGAAGAATGGAAAGATGAGGGATGGAAGGACGGAAGGAAGGAAGGAAGTCTGGTTTATTAAAAATGAAGCCACAGTTCAGAAACGTTTACAGTTCTGTAGTACTGCCTCAGACTTTTCGCAGCATTCTTTGTGCCACCACTCTAGATAACTTTAATAAACCAGTCAGGGAAAATGCCTTTGGCAGTTGTATAAAAAATATTTTTGTCTATTTTGTGGAGATGATTTTTGCCAAATTGAGTTGGTTTGTAAATACATAGCTTAGTACTACCAAGGCATGTCTTCCTTCTGGGACAGTCATGACACAAAATATTCCTTTCTAGGATAGGCCTGGTGTTACAACTCATCTTTTATAACACAAACACAAACTCCTTGATTAGACTCTCTCTTATATCCAACAACATCTCTCCTCATCCCCATTAGCCAAAAAGCAATAGAAAATGCTGATGATAGCAACAAATATTACTTTAATATTTAGGAGTTCTTGGTCTCCGAGGAATTTGAGATCTGACATATAGAAATCACTCAGTAACTATTTACGGGAAGGAGGGAGGAACGGAGGGAGGGAGAGAAAGAGGGATGGATGGATGGCCGAAAAGGGTTTGAAATCATCTGGGATAGCAATGATCTTTTTCTCAGTGCTACTTGCACAGTGGCCACACTCTCCAACATTGCCCTATATTTTTCTCAGATTTTTTAGGATATACCTACTCTAAGTTCAATGGAAACAAACTCAACTGTAGGATATCACACACACTGAACATTATGGCAAGAATTAGTACTGTGGAAAGAAGTATAACACTAATAATAAGTATAATACTAATGATAATAATAACAACAATAATACAAGGTGCAACTAAAATTAATTTTATACTTAACATCCGACAGTCACTTTCCTAATTCCCTTACTTAGGAAAGGGCTTTTATTTTAACTTTCTTATTCCCTTTTTTGCAGTTTGGGAAAATAGAAGCCCAGAGAGAATTAAGTTACTCACCCAAGGTTACCAGCTAGACAGTAGTGGCTGGCATTTGAACCTAAATCAGTCTGACAATGGAACCCACACTCATATTCATCATACTGTCATTTTGTAGTCATCACAACATATCAACCCTCAACTTCTTGATGCTCTGACAGCTATCACTGAAAATAAGCAATATGACTGTATTTATTAGTAAAAGCTAACCCGAATTTTTCTCCTGCTTCTACTGGTAATAAAACATGGTAATAAGTCCAAGACATGGTTGTGAGCCCAGGTATAAAATCCTAACATTGCTACATGATCTCCAATCCTCCCTTCTACCTTTAACACACTAAGATTCCATGTAATCAAAGATCAGTGTGGAAGGTCTATGTTGATGAATCATGATGTTAAAATAAAATTTAACCATAAACAAGAAGAAAATAACAATATGAAAAATACATGATGTTAGTAAAAAATCTTTTTACCTTAGGAGATGGAAGCCCTGTGTACAATGTGCTGTGTGTACATTTCCCAGATTTTAACTATGCTTGCTGTGCTTTATTTATGAGCCATAAAACAGTAATCCATAAGTGAAGAATGAAACACTCATAGTGCTGTTTAATGTGATATTTACACTCTTAGAATCAGATGCCCTTTTGTCATCATAATGGGGCATATTATGAAAAAAAAGGGAAGTAAAGACTGAAGAGATTTACAGGCAGAATTACCAAAAGTGCTCTGCAAGAGGCTGAAAATCACTATCAGATTAATTGTAATAATAATTAAAAATCTCTAAAAAGCTATGATTATTCACTGAAAAGAACGAGTATGCTACATAATTTCTTTTTCAGCAAGAATGGACGACAAAATTTGAAGAAAAACAAAAAGTAGGGGGACAAAACAACAGAAAAGGGAGGAAGGAAGATGGAAAAAGGAGCCAGAAGAAGCAGCAAAGAGTGGAAGATGACAAAAGAGGAAAGAGAAGAAGGAAGGGTGAAGAAGAGGAAGAAAAAAGGAGGAGATGGAGGACAGAAGTGGCGAAGGAAGATGGAGAGAGAGAGAGAAAGGAAAAGAAAGAACCTTCCTTTTGGCCATGGATATAGAACTCACATTTGCAGCTATTTCTTCAGCTCCAGTGTTCCTTCATGCAGATTACAACTAAATCTGAGATAAAATGAATCTTAATGTTTCCCCAATGTTCAACCTTCTTACAGATGTTAAGATACCATCAGAGAGGGCTACACTATTTAAAATTTAGAGAGAAGGGAAAAAATATAAAAATGCACACATGCATACACACATTTATACCTTATATTTGACAAGAAAAGAATTTCCATAACTTTATCCCAAGCTGCCGTCACTGTGAAATTATCCATCATCTATGAGGTCATGAAAAAAGGCAGGGATTGTCAAATTTTCTCATCTCAAGTTATTTCTTCAGATATCAGCTTTGTAACACAGAGCTTCTCCATAACTGTAAATTAAGATGTGTCAGTAGCATCCAAAACAAATGTGAAATATTTGCTTTTGAGATATCTCTTTGCATTTCAAGGAGAGAGCATAGAAGTGCTCTTTCTCTCTATATCTCACTGCTCCAATAAGACATAGAAGAATCCCTTGTAGAAAAAAACTAGCAATAGTGTCATCATTTATTTAAGAGTAAGCACATTAATTTTTTTTTTTTTTTTTTTTTTTTTTTTTGAGATGGAGTCTCCGTCTGTCACCCAGGCTGGAGTGCAGTGGCCCGATCTCGGCTCACTGCAAGCTCCACCTCCCCGGTTCATGCCATTCTCCTGCCTCAGCCTCCTGAGTAGAGCACATTAATTTTCTTTTTGGGAACTGATGCCAGCAGGAGTTAGCTCAGTGAAGGTAAGAAATAAGTTATGAGGGCAACAGGAAGATAACACAGCAAGAGGGCAATTTAGGATCTTAAATATTTAAAAGTATATGATTTGAAAAATCATACAAGATGTTTTTAATCCTAAGTTCATGTCTACCAGAAGCAAGTATTTCTAAGCATATTGTTCTATTCTTCTTCTCCAGATGAATTATTTTTATGATTAACTAAGTATATTCATATATTTATTCCTTAAACAAATGTGGTTTAGGGATCTACAATACAGATCAAAGCTATAAATGTGATAAACCAAATATAATTCTCCTAGATAATTCATATACAAGGGAGGGACAAAATTTAAGAAACTACATACTAAGAAGAATAACAGCTAATGTTTGTGGGTATTTACAATATGTCAGGCAAGTAGGCACTATTTTATTATCCCCATTTTAAGAATAAGAAAACTGTGTCTAAGAGAAAGTAACTGTTTCCAAATTTGTAAATTCTATTTTAAAAATTGGCACATAAACTCTAATCTTTCACCTGTACTTTCAACTGCTGTGCTACTATATATTTATGTAAAAGATTTTTATTATCAGAGAACAATCAAGCATTATGTGTGTTTAGATAATAGAGAGAAATTTGCAGCTGGAAGGACCAGAAAAGATTTCATGGAAGAAGTAGCATTTAAGCCAAGTAAGTTTCAGTTCTTTGAAGATGGAGCACCATGTAAATCATTCCAAGTGAAGCAATTCTATCTACCTCGTGTTTTTAGAATTACTCTACTGGGGCTGGGCAAGGTGGCTCATGCCTGTAATCCCAGCACTTTGGGAGGCCAAGGTGGGCAGATCACTTGAGGTCAGGAGTTTGAGACCAGCCTGGCCAACATAGTGAAACGCTGTCTCTACTAAAAGTACAAAAATTAGCAGGGTGCCGTGGTGGGCACCTGTAATCCCAACTACTCAGGAGGCTGAGTCATGAGAATCACTTAAACCCAGGAGACTGATATTGCAGTGAGCCGAGATCACATCAAAAGCCTGTCAAAAAAAAAAAAAAAAAAAAAAAAAAAAAAAAAAAAAAAAACCACCTCTATTGGTATAGGAACTCCTGTCATTTCCTCTAAGAAGTGTGTATCAGAATCATCTATAATGAACATCGATGTTCATTTAGAAATTGGGGCTTGTAGCTTTCTCTCCTTTATCCTCCCCTGCCAACATCCCTGAGCAGAAAATCACATCTCATGGTGAGTCCCTATGGCTGATAGGAACACTCAGGTGTGCTGGGCCTGTGAGGAGGAGTGCTGCCATAGCTATGCAAAGTGGACCAGAACAGAGAATTGAGTGAAGCTGAAGAGACCATGGCAGAGAGGCAAGCACAGGATAGTGGCAGGAAATTTCAGCTGTTAAACATCCACTCCAGCAATGCCAAGCATATTAATCATCCCAACAATTCCTAAGTAGGCATTGTTTTCCGTGCAACATATGGGATCATGCAGAATCTGAAATGGAATTTGCCCAGGCTTACACAGAGAGTGAGAGGATTTGAATCAAGATGGGTCAAACACCAATACCCAGGGCTTGTACCTCAACAGACTGTGGTGTCAGTTGCCTCCCTACTGTCCTCACTCCAACCACAGTCTCTGTCAGGTTTTTATAACAAGGGAAGGTGAAAAAGCAAACACATGTTTGCTGTTTGAAAGAGTATGTCTGTCTTACTTGCAGAATGGCCCGGTAGAATTATTTTGTCAAAAATATACTACCAGTCTCCAGCTTTAGATAAATTATAAAATAATACTACTAATAATCAAGTCCATTCTAAAATTGAGAAAGGAAATTAATGAACTAGAGGAGATAGAAAGGATCATAAATGCAGTCAGTGGGCAAAATATTTAGTGGCAAATACTTAGGGCTAGCCTAAGAAAACCTCACACCCTTCTGGACTTTATTCTCTAAGAACAGTCAAGATTCACTCAAGAAAGCATAACTGCAATAGAATAAGGAGTTTATCATAGGAATTAGACCGTAAGCAAGTGTCAGGGGGTCTGGAGGAGGAAAGCTCCAAAAAATGAGAAATTCACTCACCAGCCATGTTGTGGGTGAAAATGTTCAGACTTCAGAGATCTGGAACCTTAGCATGTTCACATTCTACAGTAAGAAAGTGAATGAGGCTGGTTCTACAGAAGGTTTCTGTTTGCAATGAGTTCATAGCAAACTGTCTCTGAGTGGGATGGGGTCACAGTTGGTCAAAGAGCCTTCCACATAAAGCAGAGTTGGACTTTCAACAGAATGAATTGCAATTGCCCCTCTCTCTGTCTCTCACCATCTCTAACCACCAAAGCCCTTCAGAGTTTGATATACGCTGCTCTGTTTCACTTTTGCTTTACAAACTCTCACACCAATTCTAATCTAACACCATCCCGGCAGGGGTTGTGGAAAATGTAGTACCAAGAGAGCTAGGGCAACAATGGGGAAGAGGCCAGCAAAGTATGTACAGCCTATGGAACAAATCCATCCCACCTCCTGTTTTTGTAAGCAAAGCTTACCGAAACACAGCTATGCTTATTTACTTATGTATTTTCTGTGGCTTCTTCCATGCTAGAACAACAGAGTTGAATAGTGGCAACAAGACCAGAAGGCTTACAAAACCTAAAATGTATATTCTATGACCCTTTACAACAACAAATTTGTTGACCCTACAACAGAATAACCCAGGAGAACCTTCATCACATTTGTAATCATTTATTCAGTGACAGAATTCCCATTTAAATAGTAAGCAGAACTCTTATTGCCCATCTCTAAGTCCAGAGCTTGGGTCATAGAAGTACTCAGTAAATGTCTCTTAGATCACAAGTCAATTGAGGTATCTATTAGACTTGGGCTCTGACTTGAAGTGGTAGGAATCTGAACAGGAACCCCCTTGGGGTAGGCACAGTTAAAGTCTAAGCAAGTGGTCAACATGGAGGAATTCTGCCCAGATAGAAGAGCTCCACCCCTCTCCAGGGATCGGGAACAGGACGCTAGCCCTTTGAAAGAGCAACTGGTGGTGGCAAAATAGAACCCCAATCAAAAAGAGATAAGGATGCTAAACATCTATAAGGATGCTATAGAGAAAAAAAAAGTTCTTGTTGATAAGGTGACACTTGATCAGAGACCTGCAGGCAGTGAGGGATAAAGCCATGCAAATACCTGGAGATGAAGCATTCTGGGCAGAGGGACCAACATGTGCAAATAATATAAGAAGCAACTTGTTTGGCAAATTCAGAAATAACCTATTTCTTTAAATATTGATGCTAGGCTTTAATTTTGAGATAGACATACTTGATGTACTTGCCTAAAGTTAGAATTATGTCCAGATTTGGGGGGGAGAGTAAGGAGATATTGGTTAAATGGCTATAGGCTTAGAAATTGGGCAATGCCCAATATACTAAAACTAGAATTTATTTGCATAGAATTTCTAACCAAAATGCAAATTTATTCATTTATTTTTAATTTAATTTGATTTTAAGTTCCAGGATATATGTGCAGGATGTGCAGGTTTGTTATATAGGTAAATGTGTGCCACGGTGGTTTGCTACACCCATCAACCCATCATCTAGGTATTAAGCCCCACATGCATGAGCTATTTATCCTGATATTCTCCCTCCCCACACACCTGCCACCCCCAAACAGGCCCCAGTGTGTGTTGTTCCCCTCCCTGTGCTCTCATTTTTCAGCTCCCACTTATAAGTAAGAACATGTGGTGTTTGCTTTTCTGTTCCTATGTTAGTTTGCTGAGGCTAATGGCTTCCAGCTCCATCCGTGTCCCTGCAAAGGACATGATCTCATTCCTTTTTATGGCTGCATAGTATTCCATGTGTATATGTACCATATTTTCTTTATCCAGTCTATCATTGCTGGGCATTTGGGTTGATTCCATGTCTTGGCTATTGTGAATAGTGCTGCAATGAACATACACGTGCATGTATCTTTATAACAGAATGATTTATATTCCTTTGGGTATATACCCAGTAATGGGATTGCTGGGTCAGGTGGTATTTCTGGTTCTAGGTCTTTGAGGAATCACCACACTAACTTCCACAATGGTTGAATTTCTTTACATTCCCTCCAACAGTGTAAAAGTGTTCCTATTTCTCCGTAGCCTCACAAGCATCTGTTGTTTCTTGAGATTTTAATAATCACCATTCCAAATGTCATGAGATGCTGTCTCATTATGGTTTTCATGTGCATTTCTCTGATGATCAGTGATGTTGAGCTTTTTTTCATATGTTTATTGGCCGCATAAATGTCTTCTATTTAGAAGTGTCTGTTCACGTTCTTTACCCACTTTTTAATGGGGTTGTTTTTTTCTGGTAAATTTAAGTTCCTTGTAGACCCTGGATATTAGACCTTTGTCAGATGGATAGATTGCAAAAATGTCATCCCTTTCTGTAGGCTATCTGTTCACTCTTATGAGAGTTTCTTTTGCTGTGCAGAAGCTCTTTAGTTTAATTGGATCCTAAATTTTGCTTTTGTTGCAATTGTCTTGATTTTTTCATCATGAAATCTTTGCCTGTACCTATTGTCTAGATTTTCTTCCATGGTTTTTATAGCTTTAGGTTTTACATCCATCTTGAATTAAGCCTTTAATCCATCTTGAGTTAATTTTTGTATAAGGGGTAAGGAAGTGATCCAGTTTCAATTTTCTGCATATGGCTAGCCAGTTTTCCCAGCACCATTTATTAAATAGCTTGTTTCATCAGGTTTGTTGAAGATTAGATGGTTGTAGATGTGATTCTTATTTCTGATATCTCTATTCCATTCCATTGCTCTATGTGTCTGTTTTTGTACCAGTACCATGCTGTTTCGATTACTCTAGCTTTGTTGTACATTAATAGTTTGAAGTTGGGTAGCATGATGCCTCCAGCTTTGTTCTTTTTGCTTAGGATTGTCTTGACTATATGGGCTCTTTTTGGGTTCTATATGAATTTTAAAGTAGTTTTTTCTAATTCTGTGAAGAATGTCAATAGTAGTTTAGTGGGAAGAGCATTGAATCTATAAATTACTTTGGGCAGTATGGCCATTTTTATGATATTGAGTCTTGCTATCAATGAGCATGGAATATTTTTCCATTTGTTTATGTACTCTCTTACTTCTTTGAGCAGTGGTTTGCAGTTCTCCTTGAAGGGGTCCTTCACTTCTCTTGTTAGTTGTATTCCTAGGTATTTTATTCTCTTTGTAGCAATTGTGAGTAGGAGTTCATTCATGATTTGGCTCTCTGCTTGTCTATTGTTTGTGTATAGGAATGCCTGTGATTTTTGCACCTTGATTTTGTATCCTGATAATTTGCTGAAGTTGTTCATCAGCTTAAGAAGCTTTTGGGCTAAGACGATGGAGTTTTCTAGATATAGGATCATGTCATCTGCAAACAGAGACAGGTTGATTTCCTCTCTTCCTATTTGATACCCTTTTTTTCTTTCCCTTGCCTGAGTGCCCTGGCCAGAATTTCCAATACTGTGTTGAATATGAGTGGTGAGAGAGGGCATCCTTGTCTTGTGCTAGTTTTCAAGGGGAATGCTTCCAGCTTTTGCCCATTCAGTATGATATAAGCTGTGGGTTTGGCATAAATGGCTCTTATCATTTTGAGGTACGTTCCATCAACACCTAGTTTATTTAGAGTTTTTAATGGAAGGATGTTGAATTTTATTGAAGGCCTTTTCTACATTTATTTAAATAATCATGTGGTTTTTCCCTTTATTTCTGTTTATGTGATGAAGTATGTTTATTGATTTGCCTATGTTAAACCAGCCTTGCAGCCTGGGGATGAAGCCGACTTGATTGTGGTGGATAAGCTTTCTGATGTGCTGGATTCAGTTTGCCAGTATTTTATTGAGGATTTTTGCATTGATATTCATCAGTGATACTGGCCTAAAGTTTTCTTTTTATGTTGTATCTCTGCCAGGTTTTGGTATTAGAATGATGCTGGCCTCAAAAAATGAGTTAAGGAGGAGTCTTTCCTTTTCATTATTTGGACTACTTTTAATTATTTTGAATAGTTTCAGAAGAAATGGTTTATAGTATTCTCTGATGGTTGTTTGTATTTCTGCGGAGTCAATGGTGATTTCCCCTTTATCGTTTTTTATTGTTTCTATATGATTCCTCTCTCTTTTTTCTTCTTTATTAGTCTAGCTAGCAGTCTATCTATTTTATTAATTTTCTCAAAAACCCAGGTCCTGGATTCATTGATTTTTTGAAGAGTTTTTCGTGTCTCTATCTCCTTCAATTCCACTCTGATCTTGGTTATTTCTTGTCTTCTGCTAGCTTTGGGGTTTATTTTGGGGTTTGTTTTCTCTTAGTTTTAGTTGTGATGTTATGGTGTCGATTTGAGATATTTCTAGCTTTTTGATGTGGGAATTTAGTGCTATAAAGTTCCCTGTTAACACTGATTTAGCTGTGTCCCAGAGATTCTAGCATGTTGTCTCTTTTTTCTTATTGGTTTCAAAGAACTTCTTTATTTCTGCCTTAATTTTTTATTTACCCAGGAGTCATTCAGGAACAGGTTGTTAAATTTCCATGTAGTTGTGTGCTTTGAGTGAATTTCTTAATCTTGAGTTCTAATATAATTGTGCTGTGGTCTGAGATACTGTTATAATTTCAGCTCTCCCACATTTGCTAAATAGTGTTTTACTTCCAATTATGTGATAATTTTTAGAGTAAGTGCCATGTGGTGCCAAGAAGAATGTATATGCTGTCTTTTTGGTTGCAGAGTTCTGTAGATATCTATCAGGTTCACTTGATCCAGAGCTGAGTTCAAGTCCTGAAAAACCTTGTTAATTTTCTGTCTCAATGATCTCTCTAATATTGACAATGGGTTGTTAAAGTCTCCCACTATTATTGTGTGGGAGTTTAAGTCTCTCTGTGGGTCTCTAAGAACTTGTTTTATGAATCTGGGTGCTCCTATATTGGGTGTATATATATTTAGAATAGTTAGCTCTTCTTGTTGAGTTGATTTCTTTACCATTATGTAATGCCCTTCTTTGTCTTTTTTCATCTTTATTGGCTTAAGTTTGTTTTTTCAGAAAGTAGGACTGCAACCCCTTCTTTTGTCTGCTTCCCGTTTGCTTGGTAAATTTTCCTCCATCCCTTTACTTTGAGCCTATGTGTGTCTTTGCACATGAGATGGTTCTCTTGAATACAGCACACTGATGGGTCAAGACTCTTTACCCAGCTTGCTATCCTGTGTCTTTTATTTGGAGCATTTAGCCCATTTACATTTAAGGTTAATATTGTTATATGTGAATTTGATCCTGTCATCATGATGCTAGCTGGTTATTTTGCAGACTTGATATAGATGCTTCACAGTGTCATTGCTCTTTGTACTTCAGTGTGTTTTTGCAGGGGCTGGTAACAGTTTTTCCTTTCCATATTTAGTGCTTCCTTTAGGAGTTCTTGTAAGGCAGGGCTAGTGGTGATGAATTCCTCCAGCATTTCTTTGTCTGAAAAGGATTTCATTTCTCCTTCACTTATGAAGCTTAGTTTAGCTGGATATGAAATTCTGGGTTGAAAAATGTTATCTTTAAGAATATTGAATATTGGCCCCAATCTCTTCTGGCTTGTAGGGTTTCTGCTGAGAGGTACGCTGTTAGTCTGATGGGCTTCTCTTTGTAGGTGACCTGGCCTTTCTCTCTGGCTGCCCTTAACATTTTTTTCTTCATTTCAACCTTGGAGAGTCTGAAGATTATGTGTATGGGGTTGATCTTCTCATGGAGTATCTTACTGGGGTTCTCTGGATTTCCTGAATTTGAATGTTGGGCTGTCTTGCTAGGTTGGGGAAGTTCTCTTGGATGGTATCCTGAAGTATGTTTCCCAACTTGGTTCCATCCACCCCGTCTCTTTCAGATATCCCAGTCAGTCTTAGATTTGGTCTCTTTACACAGTCCCATAGTTCTCAAAGGTTTTGTTCATTCCTTTTTATTCCTTTTTCTCTAATCTTGTCTGCCTGTCTCATTTCAGCAAGATAGTCTTCAGGCTCTGAAATTCTTTTCTCTGCTTGGTCTATTTGGTTATTGATACTTGTGGTTGCACTGTGTAGTTCTCGTGTTGTGTTTTTCAGCTCCATCAGGTCATTTATGTTCCTCTCTAAACTGGTTATTCTGGTTAACAGCTCCTGTGATGTTTTATCATAGTTCTTGGCTTCTTTGTACTGGGTTAGAACATGTTCCTTTAGCTCAATGAAATTCATTATTACCCAACTTCTGAAGCCTACTTCTATGAATGCAACTGTCTTAGCCTCTGCCCAGTACTGTGCCCTTGTTAAAGAGGTGTTGCAATCATTTGGAGGAGAAGAGGCACTCTGGCTTTTTGAGTTTTCAGCATTTTTTCATGGATTCTTTTCCATTTTTGTGAGTTTATTGAGCTTCAGTCTTTGATGCTGCTGACCTTTGGATGGGGTTTTTTAAGAGACTTTTTTTGATGCTGCTGTTGTTGCTTTCTGTTTGTTTTTCTTCCAACAGTCAGGCCTCTCTTCCATAGGGCTGCTGCTCTTTGCTGGGGGTCCACTCTAGACCCGAGTCACCTGGGTCCCTCCCACACCTGGAGGTGTCACCAGTGGAGGCTGAAGAACAGCAAAAATGAATACATGCTCCTTCCTCTTGGATCTCTTTCCCAGAGGGGCACAGACCTGATGCCAGTGGAAACTCTTCTGCATAAGGTGGCTGGTGACCAGTGTTGGGGGGTGTCTCACCCAGTCAAGAGGCAAGAGATCTGGGGCCATCTTAACAAAGCACTCTGGCCGCTCCTTTGTGGAAGCGGTATGCTGTGCTGGGGGATATCCCAGTAGTCCAGACTGCCTGGATTCCTCAGAGTCCACAAGGGGAAAGACTAATTCTGCTGATCCTAGAAGACTGCAGCTGCGCCTCCCCCAAGGGGCTCAGTCCCAGAGAGATCAGAGTTCTGTCCCTAAACCCCTGGCTGCAGTTGCTGAAATTCCTGCAGGGAGGCCCTGTCCAGTGAGGGGGGATGGGTCAGGGTCCAGCCTAAAGAGACAGTCTGGCCATGACCTGTCACAGTCTCTGTGCTGTGCTGTGCTGTGCTGTGGGGAATTCCTCTTGGGTCTAAACTGTACAGTCTCCCTGGCACTGGCAGGAGAAAAACAGCAAACTGGAGCTGCAGTGATGGTTGCTGCCCCTCCACCTAGAGTTTGCAAATTTCTTATATACCTAAAAGATCAAGTCTAGCTACCTTATCACTCTTATTTTAAATAATTATCAGGTGCTTACAATATGTCAAGCACTTTCCAGCTGCCAAATGCTTGGAAGGGCTGCTCTAAGCTCCTTGAGGGCAGGAAGCCTCATATCCATGTATATTTCTTAGTGAGAAATTGCACATCTTCTCTTAAAATAAAAGTATACCCTTTCGTACATTCTGTATACTAGGGCATATGAAGTAATTTTATTTGTGTTTAGTATGTGGTTTAACAAAAATCTCTAACATCATTTTTTTTTTGTTTATACTTTGATCTCAGATCATTACCACTTGAGTGGCAAATTGATAAGTTTTCTGGATTCCTCTGAGATGACAAAAGGGCATCCAGGCAGTCTGATAGGAGTTTATAGCACGCCTTAGTTTAATAAGCTATTAAATTACACTGCTCTCAGTCAAAGCAGTGTACCACAAAACCTGAACAAACATGAGCAATGCTCAGGAGCCTTAACCTGTTTGGGGGAGTGCCCCCCCCAAAAAAAAATACTGGAATATTTGATACACCTTCACCAGGTTGTCAACAGCACTTCCAATAACTCTGACCTGACCCATAAAGCACATTGAACTACAAATTGCCTTTGGTCCCTTCAAAAATCCAGAAGACACAAAGTGATATCTTCAAAACATTATCACCTAAATTTTAAAATGTGATTGCCACCTCCAGCATAAATTGCTTATACAATATTCGATCTATTCAATAAACACTCAGAGAGCACCTAAAATATACTAGGCTCTGTTTTAAGTGCTTTAAAATATTAACTTATTTAATCCTTACAAAAATCCTTTAAGTATTGTTACATACTCATTTTATATATGAGGAAACTGAGGCATGAGGAGACCAAGTAGTTGCCCAGGCTTACATAGCCAAACAGTATCTGAACTGGAATTTGAACTCAAGAAGCCTCACTCTTCATTAAGATTCTCTAAGATGAATCACTTGGTGGCTTTTCCGATCTTTTTATTTTTTCTTCTGACTCCAGTTGTTGAAGTTTGGGGAGGGGGTAGTATCTAGAGGGAAAACTAGAAGGGGAATAAGAGGAAGGGATTTTACAGTAATTTTTCCTGAGTATAAAATTCATATTTATTCATGGCAGAAATGGCAAATTATAGAAACAATATAGAAAATAAAAAACCACTGTTTTAGATAATTATCATTAATATTTTGTTGTGAAATCATTCAGGTTTTTTTCTGCATATGTGCAAACAAATGTGGGTTTCAGAGACTTGGTATCTTTTTGATTTTGTCCATTTTATATCAGGGACATTAACATCATTATTAAATATTCTTTTGAACATTATTTCCAGTGGCTACATAGCTTGAATTCACAAGGATATGTCATAATGTATTTTCTTGTTGAGTATTTATATTATTTCCATATTTTGTCTTTTTAAGTTATAAATACCACCACAATAAATGTTTGAGCCCATCTCTGCTTATTTCTTCAAAATATGTCTCCAGGAATGAAATTACTGGGTCAAAGGATATACAAGCTTTTAAGGCTTATGATAAACTCCTTAATAAATTGCCTTCCAGAAAGGCTGTAGCAATTTGGAAGAAAAGGATAATTATTTTCTCAAGCCTCAAGCTTTTTCTTTAGATGGGGTCACATTCCATCTAAGAGACATCCCAAGACAGATACCCATGGGAAATATACTTCCACGCAATTCTCTTTTGCATATCGTCTCTCTAGAGTGAATCAAATTATCTTTTATTCTATGGTGACAAACTGTAAACAGTGCAAAATAGAACAAAGTGGGAGGTGGAGAGACAGCACCTGTACAGGCTGGGTTCTGCATAGTTAGGGCTTATGGTTTAGAAAAGCGATAACTTAATTGTCATTAGCCATCTCCACTTTCCAAAGTAATTTACATTCATTCATTTGGGATTTTCTACATCGATTTCTATAGGATCCAGGAAGGTTAACTAGACCTACAGTGCTGCAGGGGTAGGAAAGAAAACTGATGTGGGGAACTTTTTGCACTTGTCAGGACTGATTCTTCTGACGGGCAGCCCTGCTTAGCAACAGCTGGTCGTGGTCATCTGAGACAGCAACTCCGGAATTACAATTTTCCAATTCTTAAAGAGAAGTAAGAAATTTGGTATTTTGTGCAGTCTTCCGGTTTTTAAATATTGGCAATGAATTCAATTCAAAAAATGTTGCCCTAAATATAGGACATATTGTTATTAATTTACCTCTTTAGAAATCATTCCATCTTACTGTACTCCCTTAGTCTTATACCAGAATCTTCGAAGTAGTCAAAGGAGTAGCTATAGAAGAGCAGCTTTGTACTAGCACTCTACCTAGGAAGAAACTGGTACAGGTACTTGGAGGCTCTGCCACCTGTCTTCCTCCCAGGTATTGATTATTTAGATGAAATGGCCTAAAAAGGGTAGCAGGCTCAACTGAGTGACAGGAGAAACTAACTTTAAAGAACCCCATTACCACCCATAGGTTTATGAATGACTGCCACTTTTAACCTATCTAGGTATAGCTGAAACTTCCTAGGACAAAGACCCATATTATCTGTGACATGCTGCTGCCACCTAGTCCATGACAGCCATGGCGAAGAGCCTGTACCATGATCTATTTTAATATCTCTTGACCTATTTTTATATTCCAGCACTAAAAAGTTAAACTGCTAACTTACCAAGCCTGAGCATGCCATTTTCCAATAAAATACATTTTTACAAGAAGCTTTCTATCCCAGTTCCGTTTTATGGGATAGTTTCCATTGTACAGAGGTACTGACTGATCTTCAGAAAGTTGAGAAATGGAAAGAGTCTTTAATGCGTTGTAGCCCAGAGGTGATCCTTAACTACTGACAGCTTGGAAATCATTTGCACTCCCAGTGTGTGCAGTCTCCGATCTTAACTCCCCCTTTTGTGGGAATGGCATTATGTGGGTTATAAAAACAAACACAACACTTAACAAAGCTACTAACATTAGTGCTCAGGAAAAAGTGAACACATTGATTTCAATTCTTGGCCATAAGAATTCTTTCCTTAGCACTCTTCCAGATCATTATTCACTCCACTCACTTCTCCATTACAAGAATACCCTTCAGATATTGAGCTGTCTAGCTTCCAGAAAATGTAGGGCAGTAGACTTTTTACTGTGACAATTACTACCCTGTTTTATTCACATTTCTTTGGGCTTGTCTAAAAGTCTCACAATACTGATTGAGGGAAGAGAGTAAAATTGATGTGATGTAACACAAAACTAGTTCATCAAAATGGAAAGCTACTATTTCAGTCCATTTTCTGCTGCTATAACAGAATACCACAGATGGGATACATTATTTAAAAAATAAATTTATTTGGCTCATGGTTTTGGATCCTAGGAAGTTCAAGGGCATGGCTGTGGCATCTGCTCGGCACCTGGTAAGGGCCTTCCTGCTGCATCATCCCACAGTGGAAGACAGAAGAGCAAGAGGGCACATATGCCAGAGAAAGCAGACAGAGAGAGAAGGAGAGAGAGAGCATGAGAGAGAATGAGAGAGATATCAAACTTGCACTCAGGCCCTTTTATAATTAACAGTAATCCATTCATGAAGCTGGAGCCCTCATTATCTAAACACCTCCCATTAGACCCCACTTCACAACACTGTTGCCGTGAGAATTAAGTTTTTAACACATGCTTTTTGGGGTACATATTCAAGCCATAGCAACTGCTGAATGCAAATTATCTGGTATTGGTTTCTTTAAACAAAAGGATTTAATTACTTGAAAAAGATAAGCTTTATCTATTTTTAAATTTTTGCTAATAAAACTCAAAGAAACGAAGAACAATTCAAGCCTTTCTTGTGGTTTTAACCATACTTTGTTTTGCAGAAGTTCAAAATGATTGATATTATCTGTCCCAGTCCTATTCAGTGTTAGGAGAAAAGTTGTAAGTGATGGCAACAGATAAGAAGCTTAAGAAGGACACCTCCAGCAAAATTCTCAAATAAAGGGGTCATAAGACTCATCTTGAAATGGAAAAACAACCATATGGGCCCCAAGTGAATATCCAAAACAAAGAAATGTTTAAGAAATGTTTTACACATTTCTGGCAGCATCTTCAATTGCCTGTAAAATATCTAATTATTAAACCACTGTTTCCATTGTAACCATAAAGGACAGGAGAGACAATAGAACTATTATGTACCCTTTGTTTCCTCTTCCACTAGCAGAAACACTGATGAAAAATTATCATCAACAAAATAGGCAGCTGTCAGAGTGGAGAGTAAATCAAATTGCCATATGGTTCCGACCCACCATGTGGCCCTCGATTGAGGAAAATGTATCCTGGCCCACACAAAAAGAGGTTGCTCAGTGGGTGTACAGTGCTCTTCAGCTCCCATTTAGAAATGACCCATTTCATTTGCTTGCATCTCACTCCTCAAACTGCCTTCCCACTTTCATTTCATTCCTAAGAAACGAGCTATTACTTCACCTTAGCCCAAGGCACCATCATCTCTTGCCTCTTCTAGAGCAACTGTGTTGTCTTCTTCATTCTCATCTCTGCAGACCATACACAGAGAAACCAGGAAGTTTTCTTAGATTTTTAAATTGAGATGAAATTCACATAACATCAAATAAACGATTTGAAGTATACAGTCAAATGGTATTTAGGACATTTATATCTTGCACACCATCAATTCTAAAACATTTTCTTCACCCCAGAAGGAAACCTAGTACCCCATAGCAGTAATTCCCCATTTCTTCTTCCCTGACCCCTGGCAACCGCTAGTCTGCTTTCTGTCCATATGGATTTACCTACTCTAGATATTCCATATAAATGAAATGATAAAATGTTACCTTTTGTATCTGGTTGTTTTCACTCAGCATATTTTCAAAGTTCATCTATGTTGCAGCATGAATCTGTACTTCATGATTTTTTATGGTTGAATGATATTCCATTGTATGTATATACCACATTTTGTTTATCCCTTCATCAGTTGATGGAAATTTGGGTTCTTTCTGCCTGTTGACAATTATGAATAGAGCTATAAATATGTTTTTATATATCTGTTTTGAATTCTTTTGAGTTATACCTGAGAGTGGAATTGCTGGGTCATAGGGTTTAGCTTTTGAGGAAATGCCAGTTTTCCACAGCAGCTAAATGTTGTTTTCACTAGCACTGTACAAAGATACCAATTTCTCCACATCCTCACTGATCCTTTTTTATTATTATTACGGCCACAAAAATCTTTTTATAGCTGTAGCTCAGATGATGTAACTCCCCTCCAGGGGTTTCACATCATTTAGAATAAAATTCAGAGTTCTTATCATGCCCACAGGCCCTGAGCGATCAGGGATATTCTTCCCTCACTCTTCTCATCTCTCATGACTTGTTTTCTTTCTCACTCCAAGCCAGCAACATTATCCTGCCTGTCAATCCTCAAAAGCACCAAGCCTGCTCCCATCTCAGGGTCTCTGCACTTGCTGTTGCCTCTCTCTGGAAAGTCCTCAAAGATCTCTGCATTCTACTTCCTTATTAAAGCTTCAGCTCAAATAACATATCTCCTAAAATGTTTGGTCTGAACATACCATGTAGCACAAACCCACAGCATAAGCCTGGGTTCCCTAAAAAATAAAATGAGAATCAAGAGCTACATGCTAAAAAGTATCGGGAAGGGAAGTAAAATCCTAGAAAAGAGAATGAGCATAATAGGGATGTGGGATAATTAGTAAAAGAGAATATATGCCAGGGGTTGCGTTATTGAGTGGCCCACAATTTCTCAAGAAAAAAAAACACCTAGTTACTTGATCTCACAGAAGTCCCCAGAAGAGCTACATGAAATTATGTGGTCTCCTAACAGTTTGTCAGTGTAGGGCTCAGTAGAGAAAGAGTGAGCAATTTATCTCCTAGCTTCTTCCAATACCCAACTTGTCATTATTGAAGTCTATCCCCAAAGTTTTTTGGGGTTTTTTGGCGTTTTTTAAATTGTGGTAAAACACACATGGAATAAAATTTAACCACTTTAAGTGTGCAGTTTATTTGGGTTAAACACATTCACATTGTTATGTAATCAATCTCCAGAAGTTTTTTGTCTTGCAAAACTAAAACTCTATACACATTAAGGAACAATTCCCCACTTCCCCCTCTCCCCAGCCACTGGAAACCACCATTCTACTTTCCGTCTCTATGCATTTGACTACTCTAGAAACCTCATGTAAATTTAATCACACAGTATTTTTCTTTCTATGACTGGCTTATTTCACTTAGTATAATGTCCTCTGGGTTCATCTAAGGTGTCACATGTAGTGAGATTTCCTTCCTTTTAAGGCTGAGAAATTTTCCACTATAGGTAGTGGAATTTTCCACATTTTGAGAAATTTTCCACATTTTGTCTGTTCATAGGTGGACATTTGGGTTCCTTCTACCTCTTGGCTATTGTGAATAATGCTGCTGCAAACACAGGTGTGCAAATATCTCTTTGAGACCCATTCTCAATTATTTTTTATACATACCAGAAACAGAATTGCTAGATCATATGATAATTCTATTTTTAATTTTTTGAGAAATCACCATAATGTTTTCCATAGAAGATGCACAATTTTACATTCCTACCAACAGTGCATAAGTGTTCCAATTTCTACACATCCTTGCCAAGAGTTATTTTGTGGGGTTTTTTTAATAGTAGTTATTCTAATGGGTGTGAAATCCAACAACATTTTAACTCCCCCACACTTCCAGTTTGTGTAAAGCAGCTGTTTCAGGAAGCTTCTGAATAAGTCTAAGACTTCAAGCATACATTCCAGGTAAGGCATGGAGAGGGGGCCTCTCCTCTTAAAGTGGCATCATGTATGGGGGTCTCCTTAGATGGTGATGGTGGCGATGGTAGATTTATAACCCTGGGGATGATACAAGCAATCATTAGGTCCAGCTGAGTCAAAGAAGCAAGGTAAGTAATCAACACCAGAGTAAGTATGCAGGTAGGTAATGCTAGGCAGATCCAAGATCGTGTTTCAACTGGGTCTAATATATCCATTTACTTTGCTTTATTGCTTCAGTGTATTTACCATTATCTAAAACTAGATGTTTGAACATATATGTTTATTTTCTTCTTGTTCATCTCTCCTAAAATATGTAAGTTTCATGAAGGCAGAGAATTTATCTTGTTATCCCTGTATTTTCAATGCCTAGAATAATTCCTGATACCTACTAGGGAAATACAAAAATATTTATAGACTGAAAATTAATAATTTATCTAGCTTTATTTTGTCTTATATCCAAATTCCCCCAAATCTTTGTCCACGAGTTATGTCTAAGAGACTGGGTTGCAAGGCTTCCACTTCCAATTAATATTAGAGAAACATGAAAGACTATTAAAGGAAAACATATATGTATCTATCTATATCTATAGATAGATACAGAGAGATATAAATATATAGATATATATATTCTACAGAATAGAATATAGTTCTAACACAGTTCTATAGAACTATATATTCTAATACGTAATTGTTTATTTTAAAATTTATCATCTGTTTCTTCCTGTCAGAATGCAAGCCTATATTAAGGAATGTATATTGTTCATTGCTCCATCCCTAGTACAAGAGATATTCTCTATTGAGAATGCCAACATTTATTATTTTTTTATTTTTTTGATCATGGCCATTCTCGCAGGCATGAGGTGGTATTGCATTGTGGATTTGATTTTCATTTCCCTGATCATTAATGATTTTGAGCATTTTTTCATATGTTTGTTGCCCATTTCTGTATCCTCTTTTGAGAACTGTCTATTCATGTTCTTAGCCCACTTTTTGATGGGATTGTTTGTTTTGTTTTTGATGATTGGTTTGAGTTCCTTGTAAATTCTGGATATTAGTCCTTTGGTGGAGGTATAGATTGTGAAGATTTTCTCCCACTCTATGGGTTGTCTGTTTACTCTGCTGATTATTTCTTTTGCTGTGCAGAAGCTTTTTGGTTTAATTAAGTCCCATCTATTTATCTTTGTCTTTGTTGCATTTGCTTTTGGTTTCTTGGTCATGAATCTATGCCTAAGCCATTGTCTAGAAAAGTTTTTCCAATGTTATCTTCTAGAATTTTTTTTCCTTTTTTTAATTTTTATTTTAAGTTCAGGGGTACATGTGCAGGTTTGTTACAAACATAAACTCATGTCATTGGGTTTTGTTATACAGATTATTTCATCATCCAGGTATTTAAGCCCAGTCCCCATTAGTTATCTTTCCTGATCCTCTCCCTCCTCCCACCCTCTATCCTCCAATAGGCCTCAGTGTATGCTTTTTCCCTCTATGTGTTCTCATCATTTGACTTCCACTTATAAGTGAGAACATGCAGTGTTTGGTTTTCTGTTCCTGGATTAGCTTGCTAAGGATATGGCCTCCAGCTCCATCCATGCCCCTGCAAAGTGCATGATCTCGTTCTTTTTTCTGGCTGCATAGTACTCCACAGTGTACATATACCACATTTTCTGTATCCAGTCTGCCATTGATGGGCATTTAGGTTAATTCCATGTCTTTGCTATTGTGAATAGTGCTGCAATGAACATACACATGTCTTTATTTTTTTAATTTTTTAATTTTTTATTTTTTATTATACTTTAAGTTTCAGGGTACACGTGCACAATGTGCAGGTTAGTTACATACGTATACATGTGCCATGTTGGTGTGCTGCACCCATTAACTTGTCATTTAACATTAGGTATATCTCCTAATGCTATCCCTCCCCTCTCCCCCAACCCCACAACAGGCCCCGGTGTGTGATGTTCCCCTTCCTGTGGTTTATATTCCTTTGGGTATATTACCCAGTAATGGGATTGCTGGGTTGAATGGTATTTCTGTCTTTAGGTGTTTGTCTTCCACAATGGTCGAACTAATTTACACTCCCATCAACAGTGTATAAGTGTTCCCTTTTCCCCACAACCTCACCAGCATCTGTCATTTTTGGACTTTTTACTAATAGCCATTCTGACTGGTGTGAGATGGGATCTCATTGTGGTTTGATTTGCGTTTCTCTAATGATCAGTGACTTAAGAGTTTTTTTCACATGAATGTTGGCCACATGAATGTCTTCTTTGAAAAGTGTCTGTTCATGTCCTTTGCCAAATTCTTAATGGGGTGATTTGTTTTTTTCTTGTAAATTTGTTTAAGTTCTTTTTAAAATTATTATACATTAATTTCTGGGGTACATGTGCAGAACATGCAGGTTTGTTACATAGGTATACATGTGCCATGATGGTTTGCTGCAGCCATCAACCCGTCATCTACATTAGGTATTTCTCCTAATGCTATCCCTCCCCTGGCCTCCCACCCCATGACAGGTCTTGGTGTGTGATATTCCCCTCCCTGTGCCCATGTGTTCTCATTGTTCAACTCCCACTTATGCGTGAGAACATGCGGTGTTTGGTTTTCTGTTTTTGTGTTAGTTTGCTGAGAATAATGGTTTCCAGCTTTATCAGTGTCCCTCCAAAGGACGTGAACTCATCCTTTTTAATGGCTGCATAGTGATCCATGGTGTATATGTGCCACATTTTCTTTATCCAGTCTATCATTGATGGGCATTTGGGTTGGTTCCAAGACTTTGCTATTGTGAACAGTGCTGCAATAAACATACATGTGCATGTGTCTTTATAGAAGAATCATTTAAAATCCTTTGGGTATATACCCAGTAATGGGATGGCTGGGTCAAATGGTATTTCTGGTTCTATATCCTTGAGGAATCGCCACACTGTCTTCCAAAATGCTGAATTAATTTACACTCCCACCAACAGTGTGAAAGTATTCCTATTTCTCCACATCCTCTCCAGCATCTGTTGTTTCCTGACTTTTTAATGATTGTCATTCTAACTGTCATGAGATGGTATCTCATTGTGGTTTTGATTTGCATTTCTCTAATGACCAGTGGTGATGAGAATTTTTTCATATATCTTTTGGCTGCATAAATGTCTTCTTTTGAGAATTGTCTGTTCATATCCTTCACCCACTTTTTGATGGGGTTTTTTGTTTTTTTTCTTGTAAATTTGTTTAAGTTCTTTGTAGATTCTAGATATTATCACTTTGGATGGATAGATTGCAAAAATTCTGGATGGATAGATTGCAAAAATTTTCTCCTATTCTGTAGTTTGTCTGTTTACTCTGATGATAGTTTCTTTTGCTGTGCAGAAGATCTTCAGCTTAATTAGATCCCATTTGCCTATTTTGACTTTTTGTTTACCATTGCTTTTGGTGTCTCAGTCATGAAGTCTTTGCCCATGCCTATGGCCTGAATGCTATTGCCTAGGTTTTCTTCTAGGGTTTTTATGGTTTTACGTCTTATGTTAAAATCTTTAATCCATCTTGAGTTAATTTTTGTATCAGGTGTAAAGAAGGGATCCAGTTTTAGCTTTCTGCATATGGCTAGCCAGTTTTCCTGACACCATTTATTAAATAGGGAACCCTTTCCCTATTGCTTTTGTCCAGTTTGTCAAAGATCAGATGGTTGTAGATGTGTGGTGTTATTTATGAGGGCTCTGTTCTGTTCCTTTGGTCTATATATCTGCTTTGGTACCAGTACCATGCTGTTTTGCTTACCATAGCCTTGTAATATAGTTTGAAGTCAGGTATTGTGATGCCTCCAATGTTGTTCTTTTTGCTTAGGATTGTCTTGTCTATGCAGGATCTTTTTTGGTTCTGTATGAAATTTAAGGTAGTTTTTTCCAATTCTGTGAATAAAGTCAATGGTAGCTTGATGGGGATAGCATTGAATCTATAAATTACTTTGGGCAGTATGACCATTGTCACAATATTGATTGTTCCTATTTATGAGCATGGAATATTTTTCCATTTGTTTGTGTCCTCTCTTATTTCCTTGAGCAGTGGTTTGTAGTTCTCCTTGAAGAGGTCCTTCACATCCCTTATAAGTTGTATTCCCAGGTATTTTATTCTCTTTGTAGCAACTGTGAATGGGAGTTCACTCATGATTTGGCTCTCTGTCTGTTATTGGTATATAGAAATGCTTCTGATTTTTGCACATCAATTTTGTATCCTGAGACTTTGCTGAAGTTGTTTATCAGCTTAAGGAGATTTTGGGCTGAGATGATGGGGTTTTCTAAATATACAATGATGTCATCTGTAAACAGAGACAATTTGACTTCCTCTTTTCCAAATTGAATACCCTTTCTTTCTTTCTCTTGCCTGATAGTCCTAGCCAGAACTTCCAATACCATGTTGAATAGGAGTTGTGAGAGAGGGCATCCTTGTCTTTGCCAGTTTTCAAAGGGAATGTTTCCAGTTTTTGTTCATTCAGTATGATATTAGCTGTGGGTTTCTCATAAATAGATCTTATTGTTTTGAGATACATTCCATCAATACCTAGTTTGTTGAGAGTTTTTAGCATGAAGGGCTGTTGAATTTTGACGAATGCCTTTTCTGCATCAATTGAGATAATCATGTGGTTTTTGTCACTGGTTCTGTTTATGTGATTGATTACATTTATTGATTTGCATATGTTGAATGAGCCTTGCATCCCAGGGATGAAGCCGACTTGGTCGTGGTGGATAAGCTTTTTGATGTGCTGATGGATTCATTTTGCCAGTATTTTATTGAGGATTTTCGCATCAATGTTCATCAGGGATATTAGCCTAAAATTTTCTTCTTTGGTTGTGTCTTTGCCAGGTTTTGGTATCAGGATGATGCTGTCCTCATAAAATGAGTTAGGGAGGAGTCCCTCTTTTTCTATTGTTTGGAGTAGTTTCAGAAGGAATGGTACAAGCTCCTCATACCTCTGGTAGAATCAGGCTGTGAATCCGTCTGGTCCCGGCCTTTTTTTGGTTGGTAGGCTATTCATTTTTGCCTCATTTTCAGAACTAGTTATTGGTCTATTCAGGGATTCGACTTCCTGGTTTAGACTTGGGAGGGTGTATGTGTCCAGGAATTTATCCATTTCTCTAGTTTATTTGCATAGAGGTGTTTATAGTATTCTCTGATAGTAGTTTGTATTTCTGTGGGATCAGCAGTGATATCCCCTTTATCATTTTTTATTACGTCTATTTGATTCTTCTCTCTTTGCTTCTTTATTAGTCTGTCTAGTGGTCTTTCAATTTTGTTGATATTTTCAAAAAACCAGCTCCTGGATTCATTAATTTTTTGAAGTATTTTTTGTGTCTCTGTCTCCTTCAGTTCCCTGTGATCTTAGTTATTTCTTGTCTTCTGCTAGCTTTTGAATTGGTTTGCTCTTCCTTCTTTAGTTCTTTTTGTTGTGTTGTTAGGGTACCAATTTTTTGTATTTCCTGCTTTCTCTTGTGGGCATTTAGTGCTATAAATTTTCTTCTACACACTGCTTTAAATGTGTCCCAGAGATTCTCATAGGTTGTGTCTTTCTTCTCATTGGTTTCAAATAACTTATTTATTTCTGCCTTCATTTAATTATTTACCCAGGAGTCATTCAGGAGCAGGTTGTTCAGTTTCCATGTACTTGTGTGGTTTTGAGTGAGTTTCTAAATCCTTAGTTCTAATTTGTTTGCACTGTGGTCTGAGAGACTGTTATGATTTCCATTCTTTTGCATTTGTTGAGGAATGTTTTACTTCCAATTATGTGGTCAATTTTAGAATAAGTGTGATGTGGTGCTGAGAAGAATGTATATTCTCTTGATTTGGGGTGGAGAGTTCTGTAGATGCCTATTAGGACTGCTTGGTCCAGAGCTGAGTTCAAGCCCTGGATATCCTTGTTAATTTTCTGTCTTGTTGATCTGTCTAGTGTTGACAGTTGTGTGTTAAATTCTCCCATTATTATTGTGTGGGAGTCCAAGTCTCTTTGTAGGTCTCTAAGAACTTGCTTTATGAATCTGGGTGCTCTTGTATTGGGTGCATATATACTTAGCATAGTTAGCTCTTCTTGTTGCATTGATCCCATTACCGTTATGTAATGCCCTTCTTTGTCTCTTTTGAGCTTTGTTGGTTTAAAGTCTATTTTATCAGAGACAAGGATTGCAACCTCTGCTTTTTTTTTTTTTTTTTTTTTTTTGCTTTCCATCCCTTTTTTTCCCTCCATCCCTTTATTTTGAGCCTATCTGTGTCTTTGCATGAGAGATGGGTCTCCTGAATACAGCACACTGATGGGTCTTGACTCTTTATCCAACTTGCCAGTCTGTATCTTTTAATTGGGGCATTTAGCCCATTTTCTTTTAAGTTTAATATTGTTATGTGTGAATTTGATGCTGTCATTATGATGCTAGCTCATTATTTTCCCCATTAGTTGATCGCTTTCTTCATAGTGTTGATGGTCTTTACAATTTGGTATGTTTTAGCAGTGGCTGGTACCAGTCATTCCTTTCCATGTTTATTGCTTCCTTCAGGAGTTCTTGTAAGGCAGGCCTGGTGTTGACAAAATCTCTCAGCATTTGCTTGGCTGTAAAGGACTTTATTTCTCCTTCACTTATGAAGCTTAAGTTGGCTGGATATGAAATTCTGGGTTGAAAATTCTTTTCTTTAACAATGTTGAATATTGGCCCCGACTCTCTTCTGGCTTGTAGGGTTTCTGCAGAGAAATCTGCTATTAGTCTGATGGGCTTCCCTTTGTGGGCAACCTGACCTTTCTCTCTTGCTGCCCTTAACATTTTTTCCTTCATTTCAACTTTGATGAATCTGATGATTATGTGTCTTGGGTTGCTCTTCTTGAGAAATATCTTTGTTGTGTTCTCTGTATTTCTTGAATTTGAATGTTGGCCTGCCTTGCTAGGTTGGGGAAGTTCTCCTGAAGAGTGTTTTCCAACTTGGTTCCATTCTCCCCATCAAACATATATTTGGTACACCAATCAAACGTATATTTGGTCTTTTCATATAGTCCCATATTTCTTGGAGGCTTTGTTCACTTCTTCTCACTGTTTTTTTCTCTAATCTTGTCTTCTCCTTTTATTTCATTGAGTTTATCTTCAATCTCTTATATCCTTTCTTCCACTTGATCGATTTGGGTATTAATACTTGTGTATGCTTCACAAAGTTCTTGTGCTGTGCTTTTCAGCTCCATAAGATCATATATATTCTTCTCTAAACTGGTTATACTAGTTAGCAATTCCTCTAACCTTTTTTCAAGCATCTTAGCTTCCTTGCATTGGGTTAGAATATACTCCTTTAGCTCAGAGGAGTTTGTTATTACCCACCTTCTAAAGCCTATTTCTGTCAATTCATCAAACTCATTATCTGTCCCATTTTGTTCCCTTGCTGGAGAGGAGTTGTGATCCCCTGGAGGAGAAGAGGCGTTCTGGTTTTTGGAGTTTTCAGCTTTTTTATGCTGGTTTCTCCCCATCTTCATGGATTTATCTACCTTTGGTCTTTGATGTTGGTGAGCTTCAGATGGGGTTACTGAATAGACATCCTTTTTGTTGATGTTGCTACTAATCCTTTCTGATTGTTAGTTTTCCTTCTAACAGGCCTCTCTTCTGCAGGTCTGCTGGAGTATGCTGGAGGTCCACTTCAGAACCTATTTGCCTAGGTATCACCAGTGGAGGCTGCAGAATAGCAAAGATTGCTGTCTGTTCCTTCCTCTGGAAGCTTCATCCCAGAGGGGCACTTGGCAGATGCCGGCAAGAGCTTTCCTGTATGAGGTGTCTGTCGGCCCCTACTGGGGGTTGTCTCCCAGTCAGGATACATGGGGGTCAGGGACCCACTTGAGGAGGCAGCTTGTCCCTTATCAGAGCTCAAACGCTGTGCTGGGAGAGCCACTGCTCTCTTAAGAGCTGTCAGGCAGGGACGTTTAGGTCTGCTTAAGCTGCCCCACAGCCACCCCTTCCCCCAGGTGCTCTGTCCCAGGGAGATGGGGGTTTTATCTATATGTTCCTTACTGGGGTTGCTGCCTTTTTTTCAGAGATGCCCTGCCCGGAGAGGAGAAAATCTAGAGAGGCTGTCTGGCCACAGTGGCCTTACTGAGCTGCAGTGGGCTCCATCCATTTTGAAGTTCTAGGAGCCTTTGTTTACACTGTGAGGGTAAAACCGCCTACTCAAGTCTCAGCAAAGGTGGACGCCCCTCCTCCCACCAAGCTCGAGCATCCCAGGTCAATCTCAGACTGCTGCTGTGCTGGCAGCAAGAATTTCAAGCCAGTGAATCTTAGCTTGATGGGCTCCATGGGGGTGGCACCCACCAAGCCAGGCACCGGAGAGGATCTCATGGTTTGCTGGTTGCAAAGACTGTGGGAAAAGCATAGTATCTGGGCTGGAGTGCACTGTTGCTCCCAGCACCGTCTCTTACAGCTTCCCTTGGCTAGGAAAGTGAAATCCCCTGATCCCTTGTGCTTTCTGGGTGAGGTGATGTCCCCACCCTGCTTTGGCTCACCCTCCATGGGCTGCACCCACTGTCCAACCAGTCCCAATGAGATGAACTGGGTACCTCAGTTGGAAATGCAGAAATCACCTGAGTTCTGCATCGATCTCACTGGGAGCTACAGACCAGAGCTGTTCCTATTCAGCCATCTTGCCAGCACCTCTTCTAGAACTTTTATGGTTTCAGATCTTAGATTTAAGTCTTCAATCCATCTTGAGTTGATTTTTGTATAAGATGAGCGAAGAGGATCCAGCTTCATTATTCTACACGAGGCTTGCCAATTATCCCAGTATCATTTGGTGAATAGGGTGTCCTTTCCCCACTTTATGTTTTTGTTTGCTTTTTTGAAGATCAATTGACAGTAAGTATTTGGGTTTATTTCTGGGTTCCCAATTCTGTTCCATTGGTCTATATGCCTATTTATGTACCAATACCATTCTGTTTTGGTGACTATGGCCTTACAGTATAGTTTTAAGTTGGGCAATGTAATGCTTCCAGATTTGTTCTTTTTCCTTATTCTTGCTTTGGCTATGTAGGCTCTTTTTTGGTTCCATATGAATTTTAGGATTTTTTTTTCTAACTCTGTGAAGAATGATGGTGGTATTTTTATAAGAATTGTTTTGAATTTGTAGATTGCTTTTGGCAGTATGGTCATTTTTACAATATTGATTCTACTCATTCATGAGCATGGGATGTGTTTCCATTTGTTTGTGTCATCTATGATTTTGTTCAGCAGTGTTTTGTAGTTTTCCTTGTAGAGGTTTTTTGTTTTTGTTTTTTTTTACCTCCTTTGTTAAGTACATTTCTAAGTATTTTCTTTTGTGTATTTATTTTTATTTTTTGCAGCTGTTGTAAAGGGGTTGAGTTCTCGATTTCATTCAAACCTTGGTCACTGTTGGTATATAGCAGAGCTACTGATTTGTGTACATCAATTTTGTATCCTGAAATTTTGCTGAACTTTTAAAAGACCTTATTGGCTAGATTTCAGATGGCTTCAGGCTGGTTCTACCATATGGCTCTCCTCAAACCCACAAGCAAAGTTCCTACACCCTTTGCCCAGAGAAGCTCAGAGCACAGACTGATCCAAAGCTAGCCACAGCAACTCTACTGGCAAAGCAGCTAATGATCAGACGCCAGTCCTCTAGGGGAAATCCCATCTCAAAATCTCCATGGTCCCGATGAAGTGCTTTTCACTAGAGATACTCCCAACACCCTTTCCCCTTGGTGAATGGCAGAAATCACTACACAGCTTTACCAAAGAAATTCTCTTCACCAAATCCTGCAAAAATCCTCAACAGCCTAATTCTTGTATTACCCTTTTTGAATGAAGGTATTTAAGAGCTATGAAACTTCTCTTTCCTTTGAAAATTTGTATCTTCGTTTGGTAACTCACATTAGAAATGCCTATTGATTATACCTTGATTCTTCAACTGAAACTTCCAGTTTCAGAAAGATAAAGATGATAATACATATTACCCTAATTTTTTTCTTAAAAATTTTATTGGAACAATTTTTGTTTTCTTGTGCCTCTGGTTAATAAGTAACAGAAACTTTTTGTTTCCTTGACATTGTGATGCAAGGAAAAAATCTCGGAGGAAAGAAAGGAGATAAATATAGGCTACAAATCAATAAAAACTTATTATTTCAATGCAGTAGAAGAGTGGGAAATTGTATAGGGTCACGTCTCTGAGGTATTGTTCATACAGAATGTTGCAAAGAGCATGTAGCTCTTTAATTCAGGCTTTCTAAACACAAGTTTTGAAAGAAGGAAGGCTTTCTTCTTTTCAATGTTTAGGTGCAGAGGCTGTATGGTGGCAAGTGAGGAGGAAGCATAATATCTCCTAATTCGTAAATTGTACTTAGTTTTGTTGTTTTTAATTTTTGTGGGCACATAGTAGGTGTATATATTTGTGGGGTAAATGAGATGTTTTGATACAGGCATGCAATGTGAAAAAAGCACATGAAGAATGGGGTATCCATCCCCTCAAGCATTAATCCATTGAGCTGCAGACACTCCAACTACACTCTAAGATATTTTAAAATGTGCAGTTAAGTTATTATTGACTATAGTCACCTTGTTGTGCTAGCAAATACTAGGTCTTATTCATTCTTCCTATTTTTATGTAGCCATTAACCATCCTCACCTCTCCCCCAGGTCCCCACTACCCTTCCCAGCCTCTGGTAACCATCCTTCTACTCTATATCTATATCTCTATGAGTTCAATTGTTTTGATTTGTAGATCCCACAAATAAGTGAGAACATGCAATGTTTTTCTTTCTGTGCCTGGCTTATTTCACTTAACATAATGATCTCCAATTCCATTCGTGTTGTTGCAAATGACTCAATCTCATTCTTTTTTGTGGATGAATAGTAACCCCCTGTGAATATGTACCAGATTTTCTTTACTCATTCATCTGTTGATGGATACTTAGGTTGCTTCCAAATCTCGGCTATTGTAAATAATGCTGCAACAAACATAGGAGTGCAGATATCTCTTTGATATACTGCTTTCCATTCTTTTGGGTATATACGCAGCAGTGGGATTACTGGATCACATGGTAGCTCAATTTTTATTGTTTTGAGAAACCTCCAAACTGCTCTCCATAGTGGTTGTTAATTTACATTTTCACCAGCAGGGTATGAGGTTTCCCTTTTCCCTGCATCTTTGGCAGTTTTTGTTATTGCCTGTCTTTTGGATACAACCCATTTTAACTTAGGTAAGATGGTATTTCATTGTAGTTTTGATTTTCATTTCTCTGATGATCAATAATGTTGAACACTTTTTAATATACCTGTTTGCCATTTGTATGTCTTCTTTTGAGAAACATCTATTTAAATCTTTTGGAGATCTTTTGATCAGATCATTTGATTTATTCCTGTAGAGTTGTTAGGGTTTCTTATATTCCAGTCTTTAATCCTGTGTGAGATGGATAGTTTACAAATATTTTCTCCCATTTAGGGAATTGTCTCTTCACTTTGTTGATTGTATCCTTTGTTGTACAGAAGCTTTTTTCCTTGATGCTATCTCATTTGCCCATTTTTTCTTTGGTTGCCTGGGTTGGTGGGGTAACCCTGTGCTCAATGTGCTCAAAAAACTTTTGCCCACATCAATGTCCTGGAGATTTTCCCCAATGATTGTTTGTAGTAGTTTCATGCTGTTAAGGTCTTAGATTGAAGTCTTTAATCTATTTTTATTTGATTTTTGTATACAGTAAGAGATAGGGGTCTAGTCTCATTCTTCTGCATATAGATATCCAGTTTTTCATTACTTTATCCAGCACCATTTATTGAAGAAACCGTATTTTCCCCAGTGTATGTTCTTGGCACCTTTGTCAAAAATGAGTTCATTGTAGGTGTGTGGATTTGTTTCTGGGTTCTCTATTCTGTTCCATTCCTCTATATATATGTCTGTTTTTATGCCAGTACCATGCTGTTTTGGTTACTATAGCTCTGTAGTATAATTTGAGGTCAGGTAATATGATTCCTCAAGATTTGTTATTTTTGCTTAGCATAGTTTTGGCTATTCTGAGTCTTTGTGGTTCCATATAAATTTTAGAATTGTTTTCTATATTTCTATGAAGAATGTCATTGGTATTTTGATAGGGATTATCTTGAATCTGTAGATTGCTTTGGGTTGTATGCACATTTTATCAATATTGATTCCTCCAATTCATGAACATGAAATTTTTTTTTTGGTGTCCTCTTCAATTTCCCTTATCAGAGTTTTATAGTTTTTATTACAGAGATCTTTCATTTCTTTGGTTAATTACTAGGTACTTAATTTTATGTGTGACTATTGTAACTGGGATTTCTTTATATTACTTTTTCAGATTGTTTGCTGTTGGCATCTAGAAATACTACTTATTTTTGTATGTTGATTTTGTATCCCACAACCTAACTGAATTTGTTTATCAATTCTAATAGTTTTCTTGTGGAGCCTTTCAGTTTTTTTAAATACAAGATCATATCATCTGCAAAAAGGATAATAATTTGGCTTCTTCCTTTCCAATTTGGATGCCCTTTATATCTTTCTGTTGTTGGAATGCTCGAGGTAGGACTTCCAGTATTAGGTTGAATATCACTGGTGAAAGTGAACATCCTTGTTGTGTTCCAGATCTTAGAGGAAAGGCTTTCCATTTTTCCCCACTCATTATGATACTAGCTGTGGGTATGTCATATACAGTTTTTATTATGTTGAGGTATGTTTCTTCTATCCCCAATTTTTTGAGGGTTTTCATCATGAATGGATGTTGAATTTTTAATTAAAGCTTGATTTTGTCAAATTCTTTTTGGATTTTGTCAAATTTAAAAATTCAAACTGTTTTCCATAGTGGTTGACACTCCTCCCCAGATGCCCGTGGTGGTGGCATGGCGCCGTATCCTGCCTGGGCTCTGGCCTCTGCTCTGGCCTCCTTCTTGCTCTATCTGCCCCGTTTCTGAGAAGCCTAGCGGCTTCTTAGTCCGGCCCATCTCTTAATCAGATGATTAGAGTTTATCCTATAGAGTTATTTGTGCTCCTTGTGTATTCTGGTAATTAATCCCTTCTCAGATGGGTAGTTTGCAAATATTTTCTCCCATTTTATGGGTTATTATTTCACTGTGTTGATTGTGTCCTCTGCTGTACAGAAGCTATTTAACTTGATGTGATCTCATTTATCCATTTTTGCTTTGGTTGCCTGTGCTTGTGTTGCACTACTCAAGAAATTTTTGCCTAGACCAATGTCCTGGAGATTTTTCCCAATGTTTTCTTGTGGTAGTTTTATAGTTTAAAGTATTAGACTTAAGTCTTTAATCTATTTTGATTTGATTTTGTATACGGCAAGAGATAGGGGTCTAGTGTCATTCTTGTGCATAGGGATATCCAGTTTTTCTGGAACCATCTATTGAAGAGACTGTTTTTTCCCCAGTGTGTGTTCTGGGAACCTTTGTCAAAAATGAGTTAACTGCAGGTGTGTGGATTTGTATCTGGGTTCTCTATTCCAGTGACCCTCAACCTTTTTGGTACTAGAAACTGATTTTGTGGAAGACAATTTTTCCATGGACCGGGGTGGGGGTGGAATGGTTTTGGAATGAAATTGTTCCACCTCAGATAATCAGGCATTAGATAGATTCTCCTAAGGAGCACGCAACCTAGATCCCTTGCATGCTCAATTCACAGTACGGCTCACACTCCTATGAGAATCTAATGCCACCACTGATCTGATAAAAGGTGGAGCTCAGGCAGGAATGCTCACCTGCCTGCAGCTCACCTCCTGCTGCATGGCCCAGTTCCTAACAGGCCACAGACCAATGCCAGTTTATGACCCGGGAGTTAAAGGGCTCTCTCTGTTATGCTCCATTGCTCTATGTGTCTGTTTTTATGGCAGTACCATGCTGTTGTGATTACTATAGCTTTATAATATAATTTGAAATCAGGTAATGTGATTCCTCAAGATTTGTTCATTTTGTTGAGAGTTTTAATCATAAAGGGATGCTGGATTTTGTTGAATGATTTTTATGCATCTATTGAGATGACCATGTAATTTTTGTTTTTAATTCTATTTATGTGGTGTATCGCATTTATTGATGTTATAATATATATGTGGTGTATCACATTTATTGGTATGTGTTGATATATGTTGATATTTGCTAATATATGTCGATATGTGTTGATATATGTTTATGTGGTATATCACATTATATTGATATTAATGTTAAACCATCCCTGCGTACCTGGTATAAAACCCACTTGATCGTGGTGGATTATCTTTTTGATATGTTTTTGGATTTTGTTAGCTAGTATTTTGTTAAGGATTTTAGCATCTGTGTTCATCAGAGATATTGGTCTGTAATTTTCTTCATCAGAGATATTGGTCTGTAATGACCTTTCTTGGTTTTAGCATTAGGGTGATATAGGCTTCACTGAATGACTCAGGGAAGGCTCCCTCTTTCTTTATCTTGTGGAATAGTGTCTATAGAATTGGTACCAATTCTTCTGTGAGTGTCTGGTAGAATTCTGCTGTGACTCCATCTGGTCCTGGACTTTTCTGTGTTGGTAACTTTTTTATCACAGTTTCAATCTCACTGCTTGTTATTGGTCTCTTCATGGTATCTAATTCTTCCTGATTTAAACTAGAAGTGTGGTATCTTTCCAGGAATTTATCCACCTCTTCTACGTTTTCCAGTTTATACACATAAAGGTGCATTGGCATACAAGGGACACACCTCAATATAATAAAAGCCATCCATGACAAACCCACAGCCATTGTAATACTGAATGTGGAAAAGTTGAAATCATTCCCCCTGAGAACTAGAACAAGACAAGGATGCCCACTCTAACCACTCCTCTTCAAAATTGTACTGGAAATCCAAGCCAAAGCAATCCCACAAGAGAAAGAAATAAGGGGCATCCAAATTGGTAAAGAGGAAGTCAAACTGTTGCTGTTTGCTGATATGATTGTTAACCTGGAAAACCCTAAAGACTTTTCCAGAAAGCTCCTAGAACTGATAAATTCAGTAGTTTCCAGATAAAAAATTAATGTACACAAATCAGTAGCTCTTCTATACACTAAGAGTGACAAAGCTGAGAACCAAATCAAGAACTCAAGGTCTTTTACAGTAGCTGCAAAAATAAAATAAAATAAAATAAAATACCAAGGAATATACCTAACCAAGGAGGTGAAAGATCTCTACAAAGAAAACTACAAAACACTGCTGAAAGGAATAATAGATGACACAAACAAATGGAAACACATCCCATGCTCATGGATGCATAGAATCAATATTGTGAAAATAACCATACTGCCAAAAGCAATCTACAAATTCAATGCAGTTACCATCAAAATACCACCATCATTCCTCACAGAATTAGAAAAAAAATAGAAAATTTATAGGAAACCAAAAAAGAGCCAGCATAGTCAAAGCAAGACTAAGCAAAAAGAACAAATCTGGAGGCATCACACTACCTGATTTCAAATTATACTATAAGGCCATGGTCACCAAAACAGCATGGCACTAGTATAAAAACAGGGACACAGACCAATGGAACAGAATAGAAAACTCAAGAATAAATCCAAATATTTACAGCCAATTGATCTTTGACAAAACAAACAAAAACATAAAGTGGGGAAAGGACACCCTTTTCAACAAATGGTGCAGGGATCACTGGGAAGCCACATGTAGAAGAATGAAACTAGATCCTCATCTCTCACCTTATACAAAAATCAACTCAAGATGAATTAAGGACTTAAATCTAAGACCTGAAACTATAAAAATTCTAGATTATAACATTGGAAAAACTTTTCTAGACATTGACTTAGGCAAGGAATTCATGACCAAGAATCTAAAAGCAAATGCAATAAAAACAAAGATAAATTGCTGAGACTTAGTTAAACTACAAAGCTTTTGCACAGCAAAGGGAACAGTCAGCAGAACAAACAGACAACCCACAGAGTGGGAAAAAGTATTCACAATCTATACACCTGACAAAGGACTAATGTCCAGAATCTACAATGAACTCAAACAAACCAACAAGAAAAAAAAAAAAATCCAAAAGTGGGCTAAGGAAATTAATACACAATTCTCAAAAGAAGATATACAAGTGGCTAATGAACATATGAAAAAATGATCAACATCACTAATGATCAGGGAAATGCAAATCGAAACCACAATGTGATACCACCTTACTCCTGCAAGAATGGCCATAATCAAAAAATAGTAGATGTTGGCATGAATGCAGTGAACAGGGAACACTTCTACACTGCTGGTGGACATGTAAACTAGTACAGCCCCTATTGAAAACAGTGTGGAGATTCCTTAAGGAACTAAAAGTAGAATTACCATTTGATCCAACAATCCCACTACTGGGTACCTACACAGAGGAAATGAAGTCATACAAAAAAGATACTTGTATACACATGTTTATAGAAGCACGATTCACAGTTGTAAAAACGTGGAACCAACCCAAAAGCCCATCAATCAACGAGTAAAGAAATTGTGGAGATATATATATAAATATATACATATATGATGGAATACTACTCAGCCACAAAAAGGAATTAATGGCATTCGCAGTGACCAGCATGAGACTGGGGACTATTATTGTAAGTGAAGTAACTTAGGAATGGAAAACCAAACATAATATGTTCTCGCTTATAAGTGGGAGCTAAGCTATAAGGATGCAAAAGAATAAGAATGACACAATGGACTTTGGGGACGCAGGAGGAAAGGGTGGGAAAGGCGTGAGGGACAAAAAACTACAAACAGGGTGCAGTGTATACAGCTCGGGTGATGCATGCACCAAAGTCTCACAAATCACTGAAGAACTTACTCATGTAACCAAACACTACCTGTTCCCCAATAACCTATGGAAAATAAATAAATAAATAAATAAATAAATAAATAAATAAAAGATTTATTCTTTTTGCTTAGGATAGCTTTGGCTATTCCGAGTCTTGTGTGGTTTCATATAAACTTTAGGATTGTTTTCTCTATTTCTGTGCAGAATATTATTAATATTTTGATAGAGATTGCATTGAGTCTGCAGATTGCTTTGAGTAGTATGAACATTTTAACAATATTGATTCTTCCAATTCATGAACATGGGATATCTTCACATTTTTTGGTGTCCTCTTCAATTTCTTTCATCAGTGTTTTATAGTTTTCATTATAGAGATCGTTTACTTCTTTCATTAATTCCTAGGTATTTAATTTTATGTGTGGCTATTGTAATTATGATTACTTTTTATTTCTTTGTCAGATTGTTCACTGTTGGCATACAGAAAGGCTACTTTTTTTTGTATGTTGATTTTGTATCCTGCAACTTTACTAAATTGCTTATCAGTTCTAGTATGTTTTTGGTGGAATCTTGAAGTTTTTCTAAATATGAGATCATGTTATCTGCAAACAAGGATAATTTGAATTCTTCCTTCCAATTTGGATGCCCTTTATTTCTTTCTCCTGTCTGATTGCTCTAGCTAGGACTTTCAGTACTATGTTGAATAATAGTGGGAAAAAGTGGGCATCCTTGTCATGTTGCAAATCTTAGAGGATTGGCTTTCAATTTTTCTCCATTCAGTATGATACTAGTTGTGGGTCTGTCATATATGTCTTTTATTATATTGAGGCATGTTCCTTCTATCCCCGGTTTTTTTAGGTTTTTTATCATGAAGGATGTTGAACTTTATCAAATGCTTTTTCAGTATCAATTGAAATGACAAAATGATTTTTATCCTTCATTCTACTGATATGATGTATCACATTGATTAAGTTGCACATGTAGAATGATCCTTGCATCCCAGGGATAAATTCCACTTGGTCATGAAGAATGATCTTTTTAATATATTGTTGAATTCTATTTGTTGGTATTATGATTCATATTTTTGCATAAATATTCATCAGAGATATTGGTCAGTAGTTTTCTTTTTTTGATATGTCTTTCTCTAGTTTTGGTATCAGGGTAATACTGGTCCTGTTGAATGAGTTTGGAAGTATTTTCTTCTCTATTTTTTGGCACAGTTTAGGTAGAATTGGTATTAGTTCTTATTCAAATGTCTAGTAAAATTCAACAGTGAAGCCATGGTGTCCCAGTCTGTTCCTTGGTAGGAGACTTTATTATGGCTATGATCTCATTATTTGTTAATGGTCTGTTCAGGTTTTGGATTTCTTCATGGTCCGATCCTAGTACTTGTATGTGTCTAGGAATTTGCCCATTTCCTCCAGGTTTTTAAATTTATTGGTCTATAGTTGCTCATAGGAGCCACTAATGATCCTTTGAATTTCTTCAGTATCAGTTGTAATGTCTCTTCTTTCATCTCTGATTTTATTTATTTAGGCCTTCTCTGGTTTTTTTTTCTTAGTTAATCTGGCTAAAAATTCACCGATTTTGTTTAAGTTTTCAACAAACAATCTTTTGGTGTCATTGATCTTTTGTATTATTTTCTTATTTAAATTTTATTTATTTCCACTATAATCTTTACTATTTCCTTCATTCTACTAATTTTAGGTTTGGTTTGCTCTTGCTTTTCTAGTTCTTGAAGATGCATTTTTAAATTGTTTATTTGAAGTTTGTTCTCTTTGCTAATGTAGGCACTTATAGCTATCAGCTTCTCTCTTACTACTGTTTTTGCAGTATTCCAGAGGTTTGGGTATGATGTGTCATTATCATTTTTTTCAAGAAATTTTTATATTTCCTTCTTAATTTCTCGATTTACCCACTGGTCATTCAGGAATATGTTGTTTAATTTTCATGTATTTGAATAGTTTCCAAAATTCCTCTTTTTAATTTCTAGTTTTATTCCACTGTGGTCAGAGAAGACACTTCATGTTATTTCAATTTTTTGAATGTTTTAAGACTTGTTTTGTGACCTAACACATGATACATGATGTATCTTTGAGAATGATCTGTGTGCTGAGAGGAGAATGTATATTCTGTAGCTTTTGGATGAAATGTTCTGTAAATATGTATTAGAATCACTTGTTCTGTAGTGCACATTAAGTCTGATGCTTCTTAGATGATTTTCTGTCTGTAAAATCTGTCCAATGCTGAAAGTAGGGTGTTGAAGTCTCCAGCTATTATTGTACTGGTACCTGTGTTAGTCTGTTTTCATGTGCTGATAAAGACATACCCCAGACTGGGTAATGTATAAAGAAAAAGAGGTTTAATAGACTCACAGCTACACATGGCTGGGGAGGGGCCTCACAATCATGGCAGAAGGTTAAAGGCACATTTTATATGGCTGCAGAAAAGGGAGAGAACTAGTGCAGGGAAACTCCCCATTATAAAACCATAAGATCTCATAAGACTTATTCACTATATTGAGAGCAGCATGGGAAAGACCTGCCCCCATGATTCAATTACCTCCCACTGGGTCCCTCCCATTACACATGGGAATTGTGGAAGCTACAATTCAAGATGAGATTTGGGTGGGGACACAGTGAAACTATATCAGGGTCTGTCTCTCT
Source organism: Homo sapiens (assembly GCF_000001405.40). Lineage (NCBI taxonomy): Eukaryota > Metazoa > Chordata > Mammalia > Primates > Hominidae > Homo > Homo sapiens. The sequence goes on from NC_000003.12 coordinate 22,654,684, forward strand.
CTTTAGCACGAATAACATTTGCTTTATATAACTAGGCACTCCAGTGTTGGGTGCATATATATTTAAAATTGTTATATGCTCTTGCTAAATTGATTCCTTTATTATTAGAGACATTCTTTGTCTCTTTTTATAGTTTTTGTCTTGAAATCTATTTTGTCTTATAAAAGTATAGCTACTTCTGCTCTTTTTTGGTTTCCATTGGCATAGAATATATCTTTTTCCATTTTTTTTTTCAATCTATCTGTGTTTTTATAGGTAAGGTATGGTTCCTGTAGGCAACAGATTTATGGGTCTTGCATTTTTATTCAGCCAGTCTATGTCTAAATGGAATGTTTAATCCATTTATATTTAATGTTATTACTGATAACTGAGGACTTACTCCTCCAATTTTGTTACTTGTTTTCTGGTTGTTTTGTGGTCTTCTCTTCCTTATTTCTCTCCTTCCTGTCTTCCTTTAGTGAGGCTGATCTTCTCTAATGATATAATTTAGTTTCTTGCTTTTAATATTTTATGTATCTGTTGTATATTATTTGGTTTGAGGTTATCATAAGGCTTGCAAATACTATTTTATAACCTATCATTTTAGCAAAGAGAAAAGTAATGAAAACTCTACAATTTATCTTCACCACCCCACTTTTTAACTTTTCATTATTTCTATTTTTATTTTATTTTACTGTCTATGTCTTGAAAATTTGTTGTGGTTATTGGTTTTGATTGGTTCATTTTTTAGTGTCTCTACTTAGCATAAGGGTAGTTTATACACCACAATTACAGTGTTATCATATTCTGGGGTGTTTTGTCTACTTCCTATTTCCAGTGAGTTTTCTTAGGTAATTATTTTTGCTCATTAACATCCTTTCTTTAAGATTGAAAAAATCCCTTTAGCATTTCTTGTAAGACAGGTCTGGTGTTGATAAAATCCCTCAGCTTTTGACTGCCTGGGAAAGTCTTCATTTTTCCTTCATATTTTAAGGATATTTTCCCTGGATATACTATTCTAGGGGAAGGGTTTTTCTTCAGCAATTTAAATATGTCATGCCACTCTCTCCTGGCCTCTAAGGTTTCCACTGAAAAGTCTGCTACCAGATGTATTTGAACTTCACTCTATATTATTTGTTTTTTTTTTCTCTTGTTTCTCTTAGGATCCTTTCTTTATCCCTGACTTTTGGGAGTTTGATTATTAAATGCATAGAGGTAGTCTTTTGTGAGTTTAATCTACTTGATGTTCTATAACCTTCTTGTACTTAGGTATTGCTATCTTCCTGTAGGTTTGGGAAGTTCTGTCACTATGCCTTTGAATATACTTTCTATATCTATCTCTTTCTCCACCTCCTCTTAAAGGCCAATAACTTTTAGATTTGCCCATTTGAGGCTATTTTCTAGAACCTGTAGGAATGCTTCATTGTTTTTTATTTTTCATCTTTTGTCCCTCTGACTGTGTATTTTCAAATAGCCTGTCTTGATGCTCACTAATTCTTTCTGCTGCTTGATCACGTCTGCTATTAAAAGACTCCAATGCATTATTCAGTGTGTCAACAACATTTTTCAGCTCCAGAATTTCTGCTTGATTCTTTTTGGTTATTTCAATCTCTTAGTTAAATTTGTCTGATTGAATTCTGAATTTCTCCTTTGTCTTTCCTCAAGACACTTATTTTGAATTGCATGTCTGAAAGGTCACATAATTCTGTTTCTCCAGGACTGGTCCCTGGTGCCTTATTTAGTTTGTTTGATAAGGTCATGTTTTCCTGAATTGTTGTGACACCTGAGAATGTTTGTCTGTGTCTGGGCATTGGAGAGTTAGGTATTTATTGTAGTCTTCACTGTCGGGGCTTGTTTATTCCCATCCTTCTCAGGAAGACATTTCAGATATTTGAAAGGACTTGGGTGTTGTGATCTAAGCTGTGTCTGCTTTATGGGGCAAACCAAGCCCAGTAACACTGGTTCTTGCAGACTTGTAAAGATACAGCCTTGATGGTCTTGAATGAATATGGAAGAATTACCTGGATTACTAGACAGAGAGACCGTTGTTCTTTTCCCATACTTTCTCCCAAACAAACGGAGTTTGTCTCTTTGTTCTGAGCCACCTAGATCTGGGAGTTTAGTGACACAAGTGCCCCTGTTCACACCACTAAGACTGTGTTGGGTCAGACTAGACACCAGCACAGCACTGGATCTTGTCCAAGTCCTGCCACAACCATTCTCTGGTTACTGCCTATGTTTGCTGAAGGGCCTGGGGCTCTACAATCATCATATGGTAAAGCCACCCAGTGCTATGTCCTTCCCTTCAGGGTGCCAAGTTTTCCTAGGCCCTGTGCAGGTCCAGAGGTGCCATCCAGAGTCAGTGACTAGAGTGAAAAACCTTAGAAATCCCCCTGGTGCTCCATTGTATTGTGGCTGAGCTGGCACTCAACCACAAGATGCTGTCCTTCCCACTCTTCCCTCCCCTTTCCAAAGGAAGAGGAGCTTCACCTGTAGCCACTTCCACCACAGGTCACAAGAAGTACTGCCAGACGACCACTAATGTTCCCTTAAGGCTCTTAAGTCAGCTTGTGGTGAATGTTGCCTGGCCTGGGACTCACCTTCAGGGCAGTGGCTCCTCTTTGGCCCAGGGCAGATCCAGAAATGCTATCCAAGGACCAAACCCTAGAATTGAGAACCTCAAGAGCCCATATGATGCTCTACCTTCCTGTGGCTGAGCTGGTACCTAAGGTACAAGACAAAGCCCACTTTTCTTTTATCCCACTTTTCTCAAGCAGTAGCCTTGCCTTATAGCCACCACAGCTGTAAATGTGCTGAGTCTCACCTGAAGCCATCAAGTTTCAGAGTCTCACCTAAGGCCCTCGACATAGTACCTGGTTATCGGGGTGGGCTCGAAAACCATTCTTTTATGTCCTTATAGGAGATAACAAAAGACACACAGAAATAAGGAGGAAAAAAAGTGATGTGAAGATAGAGACAGAGACTACGGTGATGCATCTATACGCCAAGGAATGCCAAGGATTGCTAACAACCACCAGAAGATAGAAGAGAGGCATGGAGTCGTTCTTCTTCAGTGCCTCCAGAAAAAAACAATCTTGCTGACACTTTGATTTTTGACTTCTGATCTCCTGAATTGTGAAAGACTAAATTTCTGTTAGCTTAAGCCACCAAGCTGTGATAATTCGTCATGGAAATTGCAGAAAACTAATGTATAAAGAATATTAGAAAATAGTCTGAAATTAATGAAAATGACAAAATGTATGAAGTACAGCTAAAACAGTCGTTAGAAGGAAATATATTGCTATAAAAGCCTATACTTTTTTAAAAGTGAAGAAAATTCTCAAATCAACTATCTAATTTTCTACCTTAAGATTCTGGAAAAAGGAGAGCATGCAAAAAAGAGAGAATGAAATGCAAAGCAAATAGGAGAAAAGAAATAATAAGAACTAGAATGAAAATTAATTAAATAGAGAATAGACAAACTGAGAAAAATCAATGAAACTAAAATTGGTTCTTTTAAAATAACAACAGTGCTGAAAAACCTTTAGCAAGACTAATGAGAAAGACAGAGAGAGAAAGAGCATATTCAAATGACTAGAATAATAAAGTAAAAAGGGGATATTACCGTCAATTTTACAGAAATATACAGGATCATAAAGAAATACCATAATCAATTGCATGCTAATAAGTTAAACAACTTTGACGAAATGGACAAATTCCTAAAGGAGACAAACTACCAAAACTGACTCAAGAAAAAGTAACAATCTGAACAGACTTGTAATAAGTAAAAAGATTGAATAAGTAACCAAAAATACCTCCTACAAAGCAAAGTTCAGGCCAAGATGACTTCACTGATGAATTCTACCAAAAATTCAAATAATTAACACCAATCCTTCAGAAACGCTTCCAAAAAAAAAAAATACAAGAGGAGGGAACAATTTCCAACTTTATTCTGAGGTCAGTATTACCTGATATCCAACCCAGAAAAAGGCATCACAAGAAAAGAAAGATACACACCAATGTCTCCTATAAACAGATATATTTTAAAAGTCTCAACCAAATACCATAAATCAAATCCAAAAACTTATCAAGAGGATTGCACATTATGACCGTGAGGGATTCATCCCAAGAATGCAAAGTTAAGGTAACAACCAATAATCAATTTATGTAATACATGACATCAATAGAATACATGACAAAGATGTTATCATCCCAATAGACAACAAAAGTATTTGACAAACTTCAACACTCATCTATGATTTTAAAAAAATTCAACAAAATAAGAATAGAAGGCAATTTCTTTAACTTTACTAATGACATCTATTAAGAAAATACACAGCTAGCATCATATTTAGTGATGAAAGACTGAATGTTTCCCCCCAAGATCAGAAATGATACAGCATGTCTGTTATTGCAACTTCTACTCAGCATTGTACTAGAGGTTCTATCCAGGGCAATTAGGCAAGGAAATAAAATAAAGAACATCCAGATTGGAAAGGAAGACATGCAACTATTGCTATTGCTCTTAATACAGAAAATCTAAATACAGAAACCTAGGAAAAGATAATTCTATGGAATCTACTAAAAAACTATTATAACTAATTAAGAAGCTCAGCAAGTTTGCAGGATATAAGATTACCATATAAAAATGAACTGATTGTCTATACGATAATAATAAACAAAGTGAAATCAAAATTAAGAAAATAATTCCACTTACCAATAGCATCAAGAAGAATAAAATAATTAGAAATAAATTTAACAAAGGAATAATACTCCTGTGAAAACTACAAAATACTTTTGAAATAAATTTTAAAAGACATAAATAACTGGGAGGACATTCCACGTTCATGGATCAAAAAACTTTTTTAAGATGTCAATAATCCCCAAATTTATCTACAGATACAATGCAATTCTTATCAAAATCCCAGTTGGCTTCTTTCCGGAAATTGTCAAACTGATATCTGACAATTTATATGAAAATTTATATGAAAATTCAAGGGATGCAGGATAGCCTAAACAATCTTGAAGAAAAAGAATAAAGTTATTTGCCTCCATTTAAGCCTCAATGCATTTTCCATTCCTTCTTAAAGTATTGCAGTTTAGATTAATCAACACAATTTTACAGATTTAGATCACTTGGAACATCCTAAACAGGAAACCTCAAAGTAAATCATGTCCAAACACATCGTAATCAAACTGCTGAAAATGAAGTCAGCCAGAAAACAGCCAGAGAAAATAACACATTATATAAAAAGGAACAATTCAAATGACTACAGATTGCTCAAGAGATGCCAGAAAACAATTGCATCAGTTTTCTATTCCTATATAACAAATTGCCACAAATTTGTGACTTAACACAAATGTATCATCTTACAGTTCTGTAGCTAAAGGTCCAACACAGCTAACTAGGCTAAAATCAAAGTGTTTTCAGGGCTGTATTTCTTTTTGGAGGCTTTAGGGGGAAACCTCTTTTCTTGTATTTTTTAGCCTCTACAGATTGCCCACATATTTGGGATCATGGCTCCTTTCCTCCAGTTTCAAAGCCAGCAACAATGCATCTCTCTGTCATTCTTCTGTGGTCACATCTCCCTCTAATCACAGCTGGAAAAGATTGTTTGCTTTGAGGGAGGCTTGTGATTTGATTGAGCCCACCTAGATAATCCAGGCTAATCTTTCCACCTCACTGTCCACTTAATCACATCTGCAAAGTCCCTTTGCCCAGTGAAGTAACATTCACAGGTTCCAGGGATTAGAACAGGAACCTTTTTGAGGGACTATAATTCTCTCTATTGCAACAATGAAATACCAGTTTTAAAGTACAGAAAAACCTGTCTCAAGAGAATGAGAAGATAAGCCACAGACTTGGAGAAAGTATTGGCAAAGGACATATCTGATAAAGGACTACTGCACAAAATATATTTTTTAAACTCTTAAAATTTAACAAAAGGAAAATGAAAAATCATATTAAAAATGGGCAAAATATCTGAACACTTGCATCACCAAAGAAAGAAAAGAATATGTGCAGATGTTCAATGTCATGTCATAAAGAAACGGAATTAAAACAATAACATACCATTAAATCCCTATTAGAATAGCCAAAATCCAAAACACTGACAACACTAAATACTGGCAAGGATGTGGGACAACAGTAACTCATTCATTTCTAGTGGAAATACAAAATGGAATGGCCAATTTAGAGGACAATTTGGCAGTTTCTTATAAAACTACCATAGGATCCAGCAATTGCACTTCTTAGCATTTACCCAAAGGAGTGTAAAATTGTGTCCACACAAAAACCTGCACATGGATGTTTATAGCAGCTTTATTCATAATTACCAAAACTTGAAAGCAACCAAAATGTCCATCAGTAGGTGAAAGAATGAGTAAACTGTAACACCTTCAGACAGTGAAATATTATTCAGCACTAAAAAGAAATGAGCCATCAAGTCATGAAAGGAGATGGAGGAATGAATATTACTAAGTGAAAGAAGCCAATCTTAAAAGGTTACATACCTTATGATTACAACTATATGACATTCAGAAAAATACAAAACTATGGAAACAGTAAAAAGTTGAGTGGTGGCCAGGAATTGGGAGAGGGAGGGGTGAAGGGGCCGAGCATAAAGGATTTTTAGGGCAATTAAATTACCATTGTAATACTATAGTGATAGATACATGACATTATAAATTTGCCCAAGCCCATAGAATGTACAAGACCAAGAGTGAACTCTAATGTAACCTAGAGGCTTTGTATGATAATGATGTGTCAATGTAGGTTTATCAATTTTAATGAATGTGCCACTGTGATGTGAGATGTTGCTAGTGGGGAGGCTATGAGTGTGTAGGAGAGAGAACATATGGGAACTCTATTTTCTGTTCAATTTCTCTGTGAACTTAAACCTCCTCTACAAAATTAAGTCTATTAAGAAAAAACTGTTAACCCGGAATTGCATGTTTAGGAAAAATTTCCTCAGGAATGAGGAAAAAATAATAAAAGCAATACAGCTTGAAAAGAAAGAAATAAAATGGACTCTATTTGCAAATGACATGATTGTTCACATAGAAAATCTCGAGAAAGCTAAAATAACACTCTTGTAACTAATAAATGAGTTTTCACATGATAAAAGCACAATATACGAACACCAATTACATGTCTACACACCATCAATGAATAAATTAAAAGTGAAATTTTAAAAATACAACTTTCAATAGCTACAAAAATATAATATATATTTGCAAGTTTAACAAAATATATGGGGGATCTGTATGTTGAAAACTATAAAATGCCGATTAGAATTTGTTGTGGATATTGACAAGTTGATTCTAAAATTTATATACAAAAGCAAAGAAAGTAGAAGCCAAAATAAATTTTTTAATGAATAAAAATGTTATAGGATTTCCTCTACTTGATTTCAAGACTTACTATAAAACTACAGAACTCAAAAAGATGTCACATTGGTAAAAGAATAGACACAGAAATAAACAAAACAGACTAGAGGGTCCAGAAATAAGCCCACACAAATACGGTCAAATAATTTTCATCAAAGGTGCAAAGTCAATTCAGAGAAAAAGCAGTCTTTTCAACAACAAAAAGAAACTACTGGAATAATTGGGCATCTATATGTCCCACACCTTATACAAAAATTAACTCAAAATACATTATAGACTGAAATATAAAACATAAAAATATAAAACTTTAGGGAAAAATAGGTTTTCATGACACTGGCTTCAAAAAAGATCCTGAGATACAACATCAAATGCACAATCCATAAAAGAAAAAAACTAATAAATTGGATGTCATCAAAATTAAAAACTTTCATTCTGTGAAAGACACTTCTAAAAGAGTGAAAAGAAAAGCTACAGAGAAAAGATTTGCAAATCTGACAAAGAATATGCTAACAGAATATAAAAAGAACTCTCAAAACTCAGTAATTTTAATGAACGGTAAAAAGTCGGCAAAATGATTAACCAACATCTCACCAAAGAAGATGCACAAGTGAAAAATAAGTATATGAAAAGATGCCCAACACTATACCTGCATTAAGGAAATGCTAATTGAATCCACAACGAGATACCGCTTCACGACTATTAAAATAGCTAGGGAAAAAAAACTGACAATACCAAAGACCGGTGAGAAATCAGAACTGGGATTCTCATACATTCCTGGAGGAATATAAAATTTTACAGCCACATTAACACACAGTTTAACAATTTCTTGTAACATTAGACAAATAATTGCCATATAACTTAACAATCTCACTGCTAGGTATTTACCCTAGAAAAAATAAAATATTATGTTCACACAAAAACCTGTGTGAATATTTACATCAACATTTTGCAGTCACCCCAAACTGAAAGCAATACAAATGTCTGTCAGCAGAGAAATGGATGAACCATTGTACATCCATACAATGGAATACAACTCAGCAATAAAAGAAACAAGCTATCACATAGAACAGCACAGTTGAATCTCAAATGCATTATGCCAAGCAAAAGAAGCCAGATTCCTAAGGGCGTATGCTTTATTATACCATCTATGTGACATTCTAGAAAAGGCAAAACCATAGGGATGGGGAACAAAGCAGTGGTGTCTAGGGTTTGGGAGTAAGCGGCACTACAAGGGAATGATGTGAGGTGATGGAACTGTTCTGCATCCTAACTATATGGTAGTAGTTACACAACTCTACATATTTGTCAAAACTCATAGAATTGTACATCAATAAAAGTATATTTTAATGTATGTAAATAAAAAATAAACATTGGCAAAAAAGAGACCATGAATGGCTTTTCTTCAATAAGTTTGCAGTTGTATCATAATAGGTTGGTGCCAAAACATTTGAGACATTTATTTATTTCATTGCAATAATGCAACATAATTTTTTTTTGAGACAGAGTCTTGCTCTATCGCCCAGGCTGGAGTGCAGTGGCGCGATCTCAGCTCACTGCAAGCTCCGTCTCCCAGGTTCAAGCAATTCTCTGCCTCAGCCTCCCGAGTAGCTGGGATTACAGGTGCCCACCACATCGCCCGGCTAATTTTTTGTATTTTTAGTAGAGACGGGGTTTCACCATCTTGGCCAGGCTGATCTTGAACTCCTGACCTTGTAATCCACCCACCTCAGCCTCCCAAAGTGCTGGGATTACAGGTGTGAGGCACCCCGCCCGGCCAATGCAACATAATTTTACGGCTCCTATGATTTTGATTCCTATTAAACAAATATCAAAATGTCATCTGTTTCTACCAGTTGTGTGCTGTAAATATACACACATAATGTATACCAGTACACATACTTACATACGCACACACACACCACACACACACACACACACACACACAAATTCCTTAATGTTATCTACATGGTACTATACAATCTTGTTCTTACCTCTCTAGTCTCATCTTTTGCCTTGCTTTATTTACTTAAGTAAGGTATTCACTTCATAGCATACTGTATTCCATGCTGCTCCATTGAAATTTCAGTTTCTTAAGGACCACTTCTTAGTTAAGTAATCCCCATCTTTTTTTTTTTTTTTTTTTTTTTGCTGTACTCTGTGTCTTTTCTTTAGGGGCTCATTACAAGTGTGATTAATTACAATTGTTGTGATTATTTCTTGGATGCTTCTCCCCCTTCTCCACTTATTCAATGTTAGATCTATGATGGTAGAGACTGTTTGTGCTGGGAACTAGCACAAAGCCTGGCTGATAATAGATAATCAAAACTCCGTTAAATAAATGGATAAATGACAAATTGATTCAATACTTATCTCACAGGCTCTTTTGTCTGCAGTTCACTGATGATGAAAGTGTTTTATTCATGGGGGCCAAAAGCAAGTTAAAAAAAATTTTAAGTGAAATACAGATGCCTAATCTCAAAAATGGCACCAAACACACCAGGGGTGCTGTGACTCTCTGGGTTCAGAAACTTCTTGTACTCTTAAAAATTATTAAAGACCTCAGATAACTTTTATGTGGGCTATATCTATCACTATTTAATTAAAAATTAAAACTGATCATTTTATTTTTATATATTCTATTAAAGGTAAAACCACATGTGTTAACATAAATAACATTATTTTAAATTATATAGTGAAAAGTGACATTGCTTTAAATTTTTGTAAATTCCTTTAATGTCTGGTTTGATAGAAGACACCTGGATTCTCTACCTGCTTCTGTGGTCATTGTGTTGTTACAAATCCATTATACACATGAGTGAATGAGAACGATAAAGATAACTAATGCATGTCTTAGAAACATTATGAAAATAATTTTGATTCACAGACTCTCAAAAAGATCCCTAAATCACATTTTGAAAATCACTGATTCAAAAAAATCCAAGAAAATGCTTCATGTAGAAAAATATATATATTTTACAATGGAAATATCACTGTCTATTGACTGAGTACATATTTATACCCAAATCATAATTTGAAATGAAAATAACATTTAAGCTAAACTCATTAATTTTTTTCCTTAACTTTTTCCTTAGAAGGCAAAAGCAATGTGGCAACTTCTCTTTAGAAGCAACTAATCCACCAACAATTTCCAACTCTGATGAAAGAAATTAAGGTAGTGGTTCACAAAGCTGACTAGAAATTAGTGTCACCTGTAAAGCTGTTAAAACTGCAACAGTCCCAGCACAGAACAACTAACTCAGAAGGGGTGGGGTGAAATGCTGAAACATTGGAATTATTTTAAAGCTTTCCAGAGCATTCTGAAGACCAGCCAAGCACTGAGAATCACTGTTTCAGTGATTCAAAGGCCACAACTCCTAGATTATTTCATTCCTTCCTAGTGCCTCTCTTTTCTTATAAGTAGCCACAAGCAGGAATGAAAAATCTGGTCAGCAGCAACCCCCCACCCTTCATGAGTTATGGCAAAATATGTATTTTGCTTAAGACTTGCCTGTATCTTGGTAGCTTATGTCCAGTTGTATTGTTTTAAGTTGGTAGCTTTTACTCCTTATATTATGGATTTTAGGCAGAGCCAAATTCATAGGCATGTGAACTGCACTTGCACAGTGCCTCACACTCAGAAGGGCCCTGCACGTGGTTTATGGCTCTGCTGTTGCCATTTTACAATTATTAAGGCTTGTTTAACAGGAGGCCCTGCATTATCATTTTTCACTGAGCCCTACAAATTATGTAGCTGGTTGTAATTCCAGGCTAATTCATAAATTACAAAGATTTGAAAAAGAGCAAGCTGACGTAATTTTTATAAGGCAGACCTACAGTGGGCCTGTGATATAAAAAGAGATTTATAATCTATCCCCCTACATTCTAATCCCTAGATCTCACTCTTCCTTTCTTTAAATACCTCAAGCCACAATTCATAACCTCTTTTCTACCACAACTCTTCCCCATGGCCTATGTTCTTCTTGCTGATAAGAATTATAAAAGGGATTATGACTTTAGGTTCCCAGCTAGAAGCAAATAACACATTCAAATTAGGATACTTCGAGATGGGCTTACAAACATGTGCACGGGGTTTAAGAAAACTGGAAGGTGCTAGAGAACTATCCCAGAGTTGAGCTAATGACCTCTGGAGTTGGCAGGAAAGAGTCACATATAAGAGACTACTTTGAGTAAAGCATTGAGCTTTAGTCAAAAATTCAGCCAGCAAGAGGCAACTTCAGCCAGAAGAATAAGTACTCAGACCTCATTCTTCCCCCTCCTGCTGATCTGCCAGCCATGGCTACCTATTGGTCAAACCCAACCAGAAAGTGGAGGGCAAAGAAGACCATACATTGAAGCCTTACAAGTGATTGCCTGGGGCAGAACAAGATTGAAAAGTGGATCTTGAGATGAAGAGTGAAATTACATGTCACAGTTAACCCCTTTTTCCTCTAAACATTCATCATTGCCCCTTATCCAGGTGAAAAGTTCCTGCCCACAACACAGGAAATGTTTGGAGTCCCATTGATAAATGTACCATAGGGTGATGTCAATTCAGTCATACTCCCATCTCAGATCTTACATGCTAGTCAACACTGAGGTTCTCCATATAGAGGTAAGAAGCAAAAGTAAAAAATAATTAGGTAACATAAATCATAGCTTCTTTAATTGTTACTTCTGCACCTGCTTCATAAGACTTAAGTTTGTATTTACAGCTTTCTTCTTCTACTCCACAAACTTCATTCCCATGGGAAATGTCAGTGGTCTTATCCTTATTAGGTTGCCACAATTTTCTATTAGCCAGGACTGTTGGAAAAGGAAATATCAAAGGCACTTCAGTGAATTCCCTGGATCCCAGATATAATCATCCTTGCCCCTACCATGGAGGAGCAATCCAATTTCTCTCTGATAATTGCAATCTATTTCCCCTGCCAATACGATGATGCTATTCTCTGCCTGTGGATTCAATGGCAGAAAAAGCCCAGTGTGCACAGGACATCAGTTATAGCCTCCAATCCATGGGAACTATAACTATGTTACCTGAGGAAAGCATTCCTCCCTTGAGCATGAGGACCTACCTCCAAATTCTTTCTGAGCCCAGGAGCGCAGCAAAGAGAAAACAGAAATTCTTATAGTGGATTATTAAGCGTAATAAGGAAAGACATTATTCCCACCACCACCCAGTGGTTTCTGACCCATGCTTTCTGACTACAAGGGAAAGGGCATGACAAATGTATACACAAGTATATGTGTATGTGTATATGTGTGTGTTAATGCATATGTAAGTGTGTTTCTATATATGCATTTCCAATTATCTTTCTTCTTATCTAATTTAGGTAAAGAATCTTGATAAAAGGATCTTATAAAGACTTTAGTAAATACTGTATTTGCTAATTGTGTATGTTTTGTATGCGTGTTGTGTGTGAGAGAGAGACAAATGAAGAATCCAAGTTCATCAAGCCCACTTAAGATTAATGGATTTACTTAAAGATTTTTAATGTAATGAGTTCACAAATTTTTACGTCCAAAACACTGCACAAGCAATAATAGGTTTTATAAATTCTATTATATAGACAGAAGGAAAAAATGAGTAAATTGAGCAAGGAAAATGAAAATACAACAACGAATGCAGACTCCATGAAATGATTACAAGTTTATTAAGATTTTAAATAGAATAAATTTATCAAGTTACTAAGGTAATAAGACTGTCTGTCATATCAGCTTTGGACTTGTATGTCTACAAAAGCCCAAAATTGACCTACATTTCTTTCTTGCATATTAAATATTTAGTTATTTACAGAGAGAATGATGATTAAAATATACTTAAGCCCCTTTTCTCCACTTTCGTACTAAATTTTGCCAAATTTGCTTCCTTTACGGCCTTTACCCTTATGTCGTACTTTGCATATCAGCCTAGTTTTAGTACATTTTAATGATAATGTCTGGTTATAAAAAGGAACACTAAGAAATCTGTTAAATGTTATGTTCCAAGAATAGTATCTCCTATGGCAAGCAAATGGACAGAAATATATTGGGCTTTAAATTGTAATTTCACTTCTTTTTGGCCAGTGAAATGTGAGAAACAGGGAAAGCAATATCTGAGATGGTTTTCTTATTCATATATTAACCAACATATTTCTTACACATATTTTAACTCTTCCTTGTGGAAAATAAAACACATGCAAAAGTAGAGAATAGTATAAGCCTCTCTTCTTCCCACAATGTACCCATAACCCAGCTCCAGAAATGTTGCACACATGGCTGATCCTGCTTCCATTCTACCGCAACCCACTTCCTACCCACTCTCCCGTCACTGGATTATTTCAAACCAAGTCACATCATGTGACCGACTAATTTAATGTATATTTAATCTAAATTAATACATTTAATCTAATACTTTGGTATAAGCTCTAAAAATAGGTATCCTTTTAGTTTTTATAACAGCATAGCTATGAAACATTATCATTTACATCTAAAACATTCAATAATTTCTTAATATTAGTGTACAAATTTCCTTTAGTGTTTCATGAGTGATTTTTTTTCTTAACTTGATTTGTCAGGATCCAAACAAGGTCCACCCATTGCTTTTGGCTGATATAACTCAAGTCCCATTTAATTTGTAAATATTATCTTTCTTTTTTGTGTGGGGGGGTACATGAGGCAAATTAATACATTTATATAATTTGTAAAGGTCAAATCAGTGTAACTGGGATATCTATCAACTGAAATATTTGTCTTTTTTATGTTAGAAACATTCTTATTACTTTTTCTTCTTCTCTTTTTCTCCCTCTCTCCTTTTTTTTCTATTTCTTTTTTCTTTTGCCATTTATTTGTTAAAGAAATCAGGTCATTTGTCCTATAACAGTTTTTCTCTATTTGGATTTTGGTGGATGCAATCCCATGGTGTTATTTAACAAGCTCCTTTCTTCCATGCATTTGCTATAAACAGGTATTTAAATCTAAAGCCGTGATTGGATTCAGTTTTAATATTTGGGGCATGGATGCTTTGTAGGTGGTATTGTATGCTTCCATCAGGAGACCTATAATGCTTGACTGTCAATTTTTTATGTTAACTTAACCAGTAGGTGTATCATGAAACATCCATACAAAACAGTGGTTTCCTATTTCTTTCATTCCATCTTCATTTATTAGAAGAATTAATCTCACATTAACTATTTGGTAATGCAAAGACACAGTTCCTACTATGAAGAAGGAACCCTATTTCTTCTCACAGGGAATGGTATTTAGGGAATACAACCTCTGCAAGGAGTGCTTATTGCTAATGGGTTGGTAATTATTTCTAGACCTTTTCAGTGGACAGACTTAGGAAATACATATCTTTTTTTAAAAGACAGAGTTTATTATGAGTTTATATTGATATTTTCAATTCAAATTTAGGTTTGCAGAGTTACTTCACTTTTTAATTTTATATGTGTGTCTCTTTTCTCTAATGTTGCAAGACTTTGTTCTAATGACATTAACATAATTACCTTTTGCTTCTGGAAGCTGAGCCTAGAGCCTACATCTCCAGCTCTTCTGGTGATTTTGTAAAGTTCTCAATATCCTCTTTTAAATTCCTCTCTGTAAACCATTTGGGGTGGTTTCTTTTGTCTGCAACTGAATCCTGACAGTATAACCTGTGCAGGCAGCAATGAAGGGGCTTTGCATTGTCAGTGCAGTATCTGTGCAGCCACTCAGGGTTAAACCAACTGGCTCAAGTGATTCTCTAGTGAGAGAATTGTTGTTAATGTATTAAACAGAGATGGTGATCACTCAGTCTTTGTCATCTCTGTGCAAATCCAAATTTACCAAAATTTGTGCTTCTGTTTTTCAAAAACAGTCCTTCTCTCTTTTTATCTCTTTTCCCAAAATCAGACCCTGGGGGATATATTAGGTCAGGCCCTCCGCAAGTAATACAGGGTCTTCTCTTAACTGTGGATCGTGGTCATTTTAGTGAAGTTGTTCAGAGACCATTCCATCCCCACTGCAGAGGGAAAGAATGAGAATTCTTGGGAGTGAATGCACGTGGGTTAGAAGAATTGGAAAGCTGGAATGAGTTTGTTGCTTCAGGAGCCTTGAGGACTGCACTGGGCTGGGGCTTTGGATAAGGGACAAGTCAAATGAGTAGGACATTGATGTAACTTTCCAAGGTGTCTTCATCCTTAGAGCTAATCTTTCCAGCTGAGTTATCTGGGGGATGTGTCTTCATGTCAGAGTAAACAACTGAGACATTCTGGGATGGAAAGAAGATAGAAGAACTTATCCTCTAGAAATGTCCTGGAGGTATTGCCTTCTCCTTTTTTACCCAACTGAATAGTCAGGATCTCAGAATATACCAAGTCTCCCCCTGCACCCTTTAGAATGCATAATTCCATAAAACATCTACAGCTCCACCACGGCAGGGCAGCGCAGATGGAATGAGAGGACTTCCTGGACCACCAGTGGGAGGGCTCCTGGTTTTATCTCCCCAGAAACCATCTCCTGAAGAAAGTGGAGCCAATGGAGTCAGCACAAGATGGCAGGCTCCATCTCAGACCCAGAAAAGTCTTTGATTTTCACCAGCACCAGCAGTGAAACAGCAGGGCCACAGCCAGAAGAGGAATGCTGAGCAGCTCCGCCGTGTCTCTTGCAGCGATAAGGCCATCTCTGTTGCCTAGAGTCTCCAAGGAAAAATAACCTGTGTGAGCCTCAGCAGAGAGGTACAGAACTCGGAATTGCCTTTTCCTTAGCTTTGTTGGGTCCTGAGCCATGGGAGAGGAGGAAGCTAAGGGCCTAGGACTCATGAGGACATCCTGGTCCAGGTTATGGCCTAATTTAACCAATATTTTTGGGTGCCTTCTATGCACCATCCACTATGGCAGATAAAGTGTACACTGTAGGGAGCAATAAGGATGAGTGGGGTTAATAAATAAAACAAGGCATAGTCATAGACCTCAAGAGAAATAAAATCTAGTATGAAGGATTCAACATATACCTGATAAATGACTAATTACAAGTACATGACTGGTAATTTCAGAGGAATAATATGCTATTGGAGTTCAAAATAGGAGGAAGTCACCTTTGTGGGTTTAAGGAAACCCACCTTTGGGGAGAAATTTGTCTCTGAGGACAAAAAGTACCTGGTAGCTGAAAAATGGACCATGAATGAAGAGATTGCTGAGGCAGAAATATTGATTTCAAAGCCATTTGCTTTGAATTACTAGATAAAACTTAAAGTGTATAAAATCACCCATAGAAAATATATAAAGATAAAAAAGAAGAGGGTTAAATTGCTCAAGCCTTAACTTGGAAGATATGGACATTTGTTGGTGGGGGGTGGGGAGGGTGTCACTCAGGATTAAATGATTAAGTGAAGGGCACTGAGAAAGAAAGATGTAAAGATAATTAAAATAATATCCTATTATGAAAGTAAAAGTCAAAGAGAATTCAACTAGTAAACCCCAACTTAGTGCCTTTAAATGTTCTGGATCCTCTAAATTCCTTTCCACATTGCTGTTAATCTCACATTCTCTTTTATCATGATTATTTCCTAACTTATAGGTCTACTTCTCTTTGGCTGTACACCTACTTCTTAAACCTGACTTGTTATTCAGCTCAGTGTTTTTGATGATTCCAGCATCTGCAAGGCACTTATTAGGCAATTGGCACACACATAGAAAATCAATTTTAGACTATTTTTAAAACCCTTTTAGAAACAATAAAGCAATATTGTGAGCTAATACTATCACTAATAATAGTTTAATGTGATGAAGAGTAAGTTTTTTTTCAGCAAATTTTTCAGAGCAATTATGTATGATGTAATCCTGAATAGCTTGGAGTATAGATCAGATTTTATATCCAGGCAGTTTCAGTTTATTTTCTTACTCTTTATATTTGCTAATTATGAAACTTCAAATTTACATACATTATCATCAGTGGCAACAATGGCCCAAACATGGGCTTATAAATTATGGAAAGATCTCTCCATAACATACTACTTTAAGAGCGCCATCATGTGCTAAGTTAATGAATATAGCATACCTCCAAATAGAAAAATTGCCTATTTCAACTTGTAAAATAATGTAAACTGGTTTCTAGTTTCTGTTTTGGTTGCATACAGCTTTAGAAGGTTTTTCTAAGTTGTAATCTATAACAAGCTTTAGATATTGTTTGTAAATGTGACTAATATATTATTGTTTTGTTTCTCCAATGAGAAATGAAAGTCATAAAACACAAGGGAGTGTCAACTCTTAACTATCAAACCATTTTAGCTTTTGGTATCACAATGTGATTATTACAAATTCTGACTTTTTTCAGGTCTTCTAAATGTGACATTACATAAAAGTAACATGGTTTAAAACATTACCATTTTTATGAAAAAATTTTAAATCATTTTAAAAAGTCATGTTTTTGAAAACTTATGCCTACACAGAAACTTGCACCTGAATGTTTATAGCAGACTTATTCATAATTGCCAAAACCTGGACACATAATTGCCAAGATATCCTTCAGTAGGTGAATGGATAAATAAACTGTGGTACATCCAGACAATGGAATATCATTCAGTACTAAAGAGAAATTAGCCATCTTGCCATGAAAAGACATGTAGGAAAGTTAAATGTATATTAATAAATAAAAGAAGCCAATAAGAAAAAGCTACATACTGCGTGATTTTAACTATATGACATTCTGGAAAAGGCAAAACTATGGAGACAGTAAAAAGATCAGTGGTTGTCGGGGATTAGAGGGAAGGGAGGAATGAATAGACAGAGCACAGAGGGATTTTATAGCAGTGAAACTGTATGATACCATAATGGTGAATATACATCACTACACATTTGTCCAAACCCCATAGAATGTGCAACACCAACAGTGAACCCTAATCTTAACTAAGGAATTTAGGTGATAGTGATGTGTCAATGTAGATTCATTGATTGGAACAAATTACCACTGTAGTATGGGATGTTGATAGTTGGGGAGGCTGTGGGGTTGTGAAGGAGCACGTATATGGGAACTCTGAATTTTCTACTCGGTTTTGGTGTGAACCTAAAACTGCTATAAAAAAAAGTCTATTTAAAACAAACAAATGAAACCTCATGTGTGCTATTTTCCTCTCCGATATGGTTTGACTCTCTGTCCCCACCCAAATCTCATGTTGAATTGTGATCCCCAATGTTGGAGGTGGGGCCTGGTGGAATGTGATTGGATCACGGAGGTGGTTTCTAGTGGTTGAGGATCATCCCCCTAATTCTGTCTTGTGATAGGGTTCTCATGAGATCGGGTTGTTTAAAAGTGTATGGCACCTCCCCTCTCTCTTCCTTTTGCTCTGGCCGTGTAAGAACACTTGAGCCCAGGTGTTTGAGATCAGCCTAGGATACATGGTGAGACTCCTCATCTCTAATAAATAAATAAATAAATGTCTTTTAAAAAAGAAATGTTCTGTAAATATATATTGAGTTCATTGGGCCTACAGTGCCGATTAAGTCTGATATTTCTTTGTTAAATACCTGTCAGGATGATTTGTCCAATGCTGAAAGTGCGGTATTGAAGTCTCCACACATTATTTTACTACAGTCTATCTCTGTCTAAATTTAGCTTTAACAATATTTGCTTTATTAATCTGGGTACTCCAGTATTGGGTGCATATATATTTAAAATTGTTATATCCTCCTGCTGAATTGACCACTTTATCACTATATAATGACCTTCTTTGTCTCTTTTTACAGTTTTTGGCTTGTTATCCATTTTGTCTGATAAAAAGTATAGCTACTCCTACTCTTTTTTTTTCTTTTTGGTTTCCATTTGCATGGAATATTTTTTCCATCCTTTTATTTTCAGTCTATGTATGTCTTTAGAGGTGAAGTATGTTTCTTGTAGGCAACAGAGATCATTGGGTCTGTTTTTTTATAATCCATTCAGCCACTGTGTCTTTTGATTGGAGAGTTTAGTCTATTTACATTTAATGTTATTACGGATTAGTAAGGACCTCCTCCTGACATTTTGTTGTTTTTCAGTTGTTTTGTAGTCTTCTCTTCCTTCCTGTCTTTTTCCTGTCTTTCTTTTTCTGAAGGTGATTTTCTCTGGTGGTATGTTTTTTTCTTTTTATTTTCTGTATATCTGTGGTTTTTTGACTTAAGGTTACCATAAAGCTTGCAAATAGCATCTTATAACCCAACATTTTAAATTAACAACAACTTAACAATGATTGCATAAACAAATAAACAAACAACCAAAGAAAAAACTCATAAGAACTCTACACTTTAACCTCATCCTCCCCCTTTTAACTTTTTTTCATTTCTATTTATATCTTCTTATACTATCTCTGGCTTGAAAAGTTGCAGTTACTATTTTTGATCAGGTCATCTTTTAGTCTTTGTACTCAAGATATGAGTAGTTTACACATCACAATTACAGTGTTATAATATTCTGTGTTTTTTCTGTGTACTTATATTACTAGTGAGTTTTGTACCATCACATTATTTCTTATTTCTCATTAACATCTTTTTTTTTCAGATGGAAGAACTCCCTTTAGCATTTCTTGTAGGACAGGTCTGATATTGATGAAATTCCTCGGTTTTTGTTTTTCTGGGAAAGTCTTTATTTCTCCTTCATGTTTGAAGGATATTCTCAATGAATACACTATTCTAGGATAAAAGGGTTGCTGTTTTTGTTTTTTCTTCTGTGCTTGTAATATGCTACAACTCTCTCTCTGCTGACCTGTAAGGTTTCCACTGAAAAGTCTGCTGCCAGATGTATCGGAACTCCTTTGTATGTTTTTTTTCTCTCTCTCTCTCTCTCTTTCTGCTTGTAGAATCGTTTCTTTGTCCTTAACCTTTGGGAGTTTGATTATTAAATGTTTTAAGGTAGTCTTAATTTGGCTAAATTTGGTTGGTATTCTATAATGTTCTTATAGGCTATTGATACCTTTCTGAAGGTTTGGGAAGTTCTCTGTTATTTTCCCTTTGGATAAACTTTCTACCCCTATCTCTCTCTACACATCCTCTTTAAGGCTAATAACTCTTAGATTTGTCCTTTTAAGGCTATTTTCTAGATCCTGTATGCATACTTCATATTTTTAGTCCTTTTTTATTTTGTGTCCTCTGGCTGTGAATTTGCAAATAGCCTGTCTTCAAGTTCACTAATTCTTTTTTTCTGCTTGATGAATTCTGCTGTTAAGAAACTCTGATGCATTCTTCAGCTCCAGAATTTCTCCTTAATTCTTTTTAATTATTTCAATCTTTTTATTAAATTTGTCTGATAGAAATCTGAATTCCTTCTCAATGTAATCTTGAATTTCATTGAGCTACCTCAAAACAGCTATTTTGAATTCTCTGAAAGGTCACTTATCTCTGGGATGGGTCACTAATGCCTTATTTAGCTTATTTGGTGAGGTCATGATTTCCTGGATGGTTCTGATGCTTGTCAATGTTCTTCTGTGTCTGGATGTTGAACAGTTAGGTATTTATTATAAGCTTCTCAGTCTGGACTTGTGTTTACCTGGTCTTCTTGAGAAGGTTTTCCAAGTATTCAAAGGGACTTGGGTGTTGTGATCTAAATTGTTAATCACTTCAGCTTTATCTGCATTGGGGGCACCCCAAGTTCAATAATGGTGTGGCTCTTGCAGACTTGTAGCGATACTATTTTCTTGCTCTTGGGTAAGATCTGGGAGAATTCCCTGAATTACCAGGCAGAGACTTTTGTTCTCTTCCCTTATTTTCCCACAAACAAAGAGTCTCTTTCTCTATGATGACCTGCCTGGAGCTGGGTAAGGGGTGACACAAGCACCCTTGTCCACGACTACTAGAACTGTGCTGGGTCAGGCCTGAAGCCAGCATAGCACTGGGTCTTGCCCAAGGCCCACAGTGACCACCGCCTGACTGCTGCCTGTGTTCACTCAGGATAAAAGGCTCTACAGTCAGCAGGTGGCAAAACCCTCTAGGCTTGTGTACTTCTCTTCAGGGTGGCAAGGTCCCCCTTGGCCCCAGACAGGTCTGGAGATGCCATCCAAGAACGAGGGCCCAGGGTTATGAACCTTAGGAATATATCTGGTGCTGTATTCTACTGTGGCTCAGCTGGCATCTGGGCTGCAAGACAAAGTCCTTCCCCTCTCCTTAAGTAGAGAAGTGTCTTCCTACGGCCACCACTCCCCTAAGCCCACAGTGAATACTGCCTGGCTACTATTGATGTTCACTCAAGGCCTGAGGGCTCTTCAGTCAGCTTGTGGTGAATGCTTCCAGGCCTGTATCTCTCCCTCAGTGCAGTGGGCTCCCTTCTGGCTCAGGGCAGGTGTGTAAATGCCATTTAGTAGTCAAGGCCTGGAATCAGGGACTCCAGGAGCCCACTTGGTGCTCTACCCTACTGTGGTCAACCTGGTACTAAAGCTGCAGGACAAAGTCCCATTTACTCTCCCCTTTCCTTTCCTCAAGCAGAAGGAGCCTCTCCCCATAACCACCACAGGCTGGAATATGGTGGGTCACACCCGAAGCCTGTGTTGCTCTGAGTCTTACCCAAGGCTCATGGTGAGTACTGCCTTGCTACTACTGCTGATTATTCAGGGCCCAACGGCTCTTTAGTCAGCATGTGATAAATCCTGCCAGGACTGGGTCCTTCCCTTCAAGGCTGTGGGTTCCCTCTGGCCCAAGGTGTGTGTAGAAATGTGATCTGAGAGATAGGGCCTGGCATGGGGTCCTCAGGACACTGGCTGGCTTCCTCTTCTGCTGTAACTGGGCTGGTACCCAAGTTACAAAGTTTACTTTCTTCTCTTCTCTCCTCAAGCAGTAGAAAGGAGTCTCTTTTGGAGCCATGATCTTCCCTGCATGAGGTTGGGGGAGAAGTGATGCCAGCATTCCCTTGGCCACTCCAGCTGGTGTCTCACTAGGCCATGTGCACCCCAAGTTCTCTGGCTCTGAGCCCTGCACCACAAGATTTGCCCAAGAATTGCAGTCCTTGTGGCTTAAACTGCCTTTCAAGTTTACTTAGTATTCCAGAGTACTTCAGCCCATGGTGCTGGAGCTTACCAGAACTCAGCTTCTGACTGCTAGGATGGAAAATTTGCCTCTGGCTATGACTGGTCTAAATGCTCCCACTGTGGACACTGGCTGAGTTCTGCCCCATGATACTTTCTACTGTGACAGGGCAGCACTGAGTTCCCATGCAAAGTCCCACAATCACTGTGCTATCCCTGCCCCAAGCACACAGATTCTCTCTCCATGCCATGTGGCTGCTGATGAGGGATAGGGGTGGGGTGGTGTCAGCAATTCAAGGCCATCTTTTCTACCCTTTTCAGTGCCTCTTCCCTCTTCAGTGCCTCTTTCTTTAATATGACGTTAAAACCAGGTACTGTAATCAGTCACCTGATTTTTGGTTATTATAAAGGTGCTTTTTTGTGTGACCACTTGTTCAATTTGGTGATCCCCTCTGCAAGATAATTGCTGGAGGCTTCTATTTGACCATCTTGCTTTGCCAGTCCAAAATTAATGCACTTTGTAAACTGATTTTCTATGAAGAATAATACTCTGATTTATGCTACTGTAGTTTGGCATTTTCTGCATATCAAGTGACCAAGTTCATTAATTTCCTACTAAAAAAAGAGTGTTTTGCCCTTGTTTTGGAAAAAAAAGTATCAATTGGTTTAACAAAAACACTTAATTTGATGACTGTTTCATTTCTAAATGATGCTAAATATTCTGATAATTGGCTTCATGCCAGTGACTGACAGTCTTATACAAAGAAAAAATACCAGTCCAATAAAATACAATGTCCACATGTTGATTATTACATTTATGTGTTTACAGTCCATATTTGTGGGGGAAATAAATACATTCATCTTCAGCAACTTTCTTTGTCTATACAGTACGTGGCCAGACTCATCTATCTGTTGTGATCTTGTAAATTTCCTTATTCCCCACTATCTTATCCTATCTTTTAAAAATTCTTATCTTTGGTTCCTAACACTAGCCTTAGGTCTTCCTAATACTAACCCCAGATTTTCTGAATCTGAAGTTTAGTGCAGTCTCTGTTACAATTTTGAAATCACCCCCTGTCACCAGAGAATCACAGATGAATGTGAAAATTCTAGCAGTCCTTGAGGGCAAGGCATCGGAGCCCATGTATTCTGTGAATCCTCCCCACTAAGGAAGGAGAATCAGATAACCTCCATTAGTGCTTTGGCTCATCTATATTCAGTTTTTTTGCACTACTTGAGGAGGTTCTTTTACACATGTTAAGTCCAAGCTGACTATAATAACATCGTTCCAACTAGTAACGTAACTACCACTCGCTTAATCTTTTGGGATACTTTTCCTGCATGTATTAGTTCATTTGAATCATGTCCTTGAAAAAGTCCTTCCTCTATGTTGATAACCCAGCTATTTCCAATCTCTTTTCCACCCTTCATAGTTTGTGGCATTTAAAAAATATAATGCAATAAATGTTCATCATAAAAAATGTACAGAATGTATAATGGTTTTTAAAATGAAGTAAATGTTTGTTATCTTAAAAAGGTAAATTTTATCTTACCTGCCTGTGTCATCCTTCTTATTGGCATGTCTATATCCTACCTGAAAAAAATACACGGAAGTTATCAAGCACTATACTTTACTCTTTTTGAACATCTCTGTTGTTATCTAGGTAGAAGTTGATACATCCACTCTTATTGCTAACATCTTTTCACTAGAATTTGGATTTAATTTATTTAAAGGCCTGAGGGCAGAATAATCAATACAAAGTCCAATTGAAAAAGTTGTCAAGAACATGAGCAAGACAATATTTCTTTATCAGTCTACTTAATCACCCATCCTTACTGAGTGGACCAATTAGTTGGTCAAACCATTAATCAGTTCACTGAATTAAATTACTTTATCACATGGATGGACCAGGCAAGTCATTTAAGTAAGTGAACTAAGGGTAGGGAAGTGGAGAAACTATGGCAAATTACAGAAGGAAGGTTTCGTAGAAAGGGGGCAGAACCTCTCTATTCCCCCCGAGAAACTTGGAAACTAGGATTTGTCATACATTTAGACTTGTTGAAAGTCAGAAATCTGATTTTTAAGCAAAATATCCAAATTTTAAGTTGGCAATAAATTTATAATTTATAAATTATGACACTTTTCAATGAATAAATGACCTATAGATCAGACATACCGATCAGACCACTGGTTTCTGACTCATGATTATAAACTATGTGGCAACGCTAAGTATCTTTTCCAATGCACAGAGTGAATGCACATTTTTCAACAATACCTACCTCCACAGGCACACAGACAATGTCATTATAAAGAATATATTTGACATGAAGAATAAGATATACATACAACTATGCATACATGCATATACATGTGTGTATATGGGGATGTGTATGCAATCCTTCCTTAGCCATAGCCAGAACTAGGAAAATAAAATGGTGCTACCAACAAAAATAAATCTGATTCTTACCACATAATCAACAAGCCTTCCAAAACCTCTTCATGTTCCAGAGGGTCCATAGGGTGTATCGTATTCCAAAACTTCTGATCACAATCTTTCAATCTTTAGTTTCATCAATTGTTCCTTCCCTTCTTGTCCCTTTTCTCAGCAAAAGGCTATATCAGGTGATCCTTATCATGGAACCACCACAGCAGCCCAGGATTTCACACCATTCACCCTGACTCAATAAACTGAGGTGGGGCATGGGACTCTGCATTTTTAATAAACAACCTGGGTGGTTCTGAAGCAAGTGGTCCATCTATATATTTTGACAAATGCAGATATGTATTCCTTCCATTTCTAGCCCTATAGTACTCCCCACCTGTCTTCTTTCCTTGCTACTTATTTATCTCACCCAGAAATCCATACGATCTTTCAATCCAAAGGCTCCCTCATATTTCCTCAATTCTGTAAAATTCTACCTATGAGCTCTATGTCTTTCCTCCATTTCTTTAATGCTGTGAAATCAAGTACTGCTCCCGAACTTCAGCTCACCTGTAGCAGGATCCTTCTGACCCAGACTATCTGCCTGAATTGCCACTTTCCCCTTTTTGATATTATGCTCTCCCTATAATCAGAGTTATCTCTGATTGTCTACTTTTGGACTTCTCCTGAGATGAACAATGGGCTTATTCTCACAACTATTTCTGTGGCCTATCCCAACCCCTGCCCTGTCCATTCAGGCCATCCAATCTCTCTCTGGGGCCAAGTCATACCCATCCTGTCCCTTTAATAATGATAATAATAATTTTTAAAAAACTTCCCTTTCCAGTTTTATAAGCTCAACGGCCCAGCAATACAGCTGATCTTGGTGATCAGCAGAATTAACAATCAGAGAAAGACCTCAGGAAATAAAATTGGTGAAGTTACGATTAACCATTACACGTTAAAAAAAAAAAAAAAAAGAAGCTCAGTCTCACTTCATTTATTCCTTTGACAAATACAGATTGAGCATTTTGTCTAAAGGATACGCTACACTAGACACAAGGACAAAGGAATGAGCAAAAGATATAAAGTTCCGTGTCCTCAAAAAGTTTGTATTCTAGTGAGAAGACAGATAATAATAAAATAATAAATATTTAGTCTTTCCTTCATAGCATCATCTATCATAGTACAGGTTATACAGAGTGACAAGGGAAAGGGTGGGGATAAAGAAAAGGGTAGAATTCCACATAGGATCGTCAGAGATGGCTTAGTGGCATGGTGGCCTATCAGCAACAACACAAGGAAGTGAGGGAGCAATCCATGAGGATACCAGAAGAAAGAGTTAGAGCAATCCATGAGGATACCAGAGGAAAGAGTTTTCCAGACAGAGGAAAGAGCAAATGCAAAAGTCCTGAGGCAAGAGTGTATTTGGTGACTGAGGAACAGCAAAGGAGGCCAATATGACAGGAGTGAAGTAAGCAAGGGAGAGATGAGAAGGAGACAGGGTCAGAGAGACAGCAGGGGCCAGATCATACAGAACCCTGTCAGCCATTGTAAGCACTTTGGATTTTATTCAGAGTGGGATGGGAAATATTTAAAGTCATCATTTTGACCAGCAGATGACACAATGGGACATATTTAAATGGGAGTACTCTGGTGGGAGAGTAGGATAAGGACTGAAGGTGAGCAAAGATGGAAGCAAGGACTAATTAGGATAGTATGGCAAAAATCCGGGAAAGAGATAATGGTGGCTTGAATCAGAGTGCTGGCAGTAGTGGTGGTGAAAGTGGTAAAATTCTGACATATTTTCAAGATAGATCTGGCTGGATTTGCCAATGGATTAAATATGCAGTATGAGAAAAGAAAAATGTCAAAATGGCTCCAAATATTGACTTATGCAATTGACATGCTAGAGTTGCCTTTTATGTAATTGAGAAGCCTGGAGGAGAAGCAGAATTGAGTAAAAGAAAATAATTCAGTGTGGATATATTAAACTTGAGATAACCATTAGACATACAAATAGAAATTTTCATGAACAATTGGGTTTACAGGCTGGATTTCAGAGAGATTTCGGCTGAAAATGTGAATTGGGTGCTATCATCACATAAATTATATGAAAAGCCAAAAGAATTAGATGAGCTTAACTGGTGTTGACCGAAAAGAAAAGAGGTCCAAAGAATGAGCCCGTGAGTAATCCAACATTAAGAAAACAAATAAATGAAAGAGGAAGGTGGGGAAGAGAACCGGCAAAAGAGACGGGGAATGAGCAAACAGTGAGGCAGAAGGGAAACTAGGAAAGAGTTGGTGACCTGGTGACCCAGAAGCCAATCAGAGAACATGCAAGAAAAAGGACACAATCAGTGAGATCCAATGGTGTTGAGAAGTCAAGTAAGATAAGGACCAAGAATTGACCCTTGCACGGATCAATGTCATAGTCATTAGGGATTTTTATTAGAGATGCTTTAAAAAAGGTGATAGAGACTAACACCTATTTGGTTTTAGTTAAAAAGAGAAAAAATATATAGGCAACACTTTGAGGACTAGTTACAACTTTATTGTAATTACAGCTTTGTTCCACACAACCTCCTTGAAATGTTGTGCATTCATTAAGTGTTCCAAAGCTGTATCAGAGAAAAGGTGGCCTTGACATACCGTCCATGGAACAGGATGGCTTTATAGGACTTAACACTGGGTGAAATGCAGAGCTACAGAATAACTACAGTCATTAGTGCCATGAATATTTCATAACCTTTAAGGAATTGAATTAAATTTAATACTTCCTGCAACTGCATTAGATGCAAGAAGAGAGGGCAGTCTATAACTATTGCTTACTTTAATGAAATTACCTATAACCTGATTCTTTGCTAAAAGTAGCAGCCAATTACTCTGTAATCCACATGTATCTTAGGTAACAGTAGGAGGAAATTACTACGTGATGTTCTCTTTGGTAACTTGAAACCAACGAAAGCATATTATCCTCAAAAAGTGTATAGACTCAGTACAATGTGTGAAGCAATGATGTATTGACATATAGATATTTTTCCCTTTAAAAGCCTCCAAATGTCAAATTTCATTTATCAACTCTTAAGGTGCCATGGAGAGTAAAATAGGAATACCTACAGATATAAAATATGTTCTTGCATTAAGAATGTGAAAGAAGTCATTACTGCTTCCTATTAAATAACCATATTCTTTGTGGCTTACAGAAAAGAACAGTAGGCTCCTTATGCTCTCTCTGAAAATTTGAGCCCCTTCAAAGAGTTATTAGGTTGGTAGAGAAAAACCATCCATTAAACTCCTAAGAAGAGGGAGTATTGCTCAAATTGATGTTTTTCTGTCATGACTGTCTTTTTCTCTTCCCTCTAATTGTTCTACAAAACTGAATTTAAGGATAAACTCTTTAATCATAAGGATACTTAGGTCCCATACCCCCATTATCTCCAGAAAAATATATATAAGGAAGAGGCCTGAAGATATAGTTGCTAAATATCAACCTACCAAAAGGTAGGAGAGTACTAATTATATACCATGTTCTGCACTGTTTACTTTTATGTCTAGAATTTCATTATATTCCTCCCCAAACTTTACAAGTTAAATGTAATAGGCACTATTCTAAAAACAAGGAAGCTGAAGCTCACAGAGATTAAATGATCATCCAGTAACATACAGCTACTAA
Organism: Homo sapiens; assembly: GCF_000001405.40. NCBI lineage: Eukaryota > Metazoa > Chordata > Mammalia > Primates > Hominidae > Homo > Homo sapiens. The sequence continues at coordinate 22,683,092 of NC_000003.12, forward strand.
GACAGAGGAGTGGTAGTTTTGATACATAAATGAGAAAACTTTGATTTACATGTCCATGAGTACGAGAAAGGATTTTTAAAAATTAAGCTGAGCACAGTACTATAGAATTCTACGTCATCATGGCTGAGAGAAAACGTACCTGCTTTAATTCAGGAGACATATTTTGCTTTGAGTGAAAGGACATTACCAAATACTAAATACTAAATCATTCTGTTCTATTGAACCATGACCAGTGTTCTTTCTCCGAGTTTAGGTAAATAAAAATTAGAATTAGAGACTAAGGAAGAGATAACCAGAATCTCTCCACAAAATAAGATTAAGTTTATCAAGGCAGCCATCCCTATTTTTATTAGTCAAACTCCAAGATAAAAGCCCCAATGCTCTCTTGCCCCAGAAAGTTGATTCTTGAGCACATCATCCATACAGATGCTGCATGTTCTTACACTTGAGTTCCCTGCTTCCTCCTGCCTTCCGAGACCTTCACTCTGCCCTCTAGAGCACCAGCAACTATGTTCAACCTCTTCTCTGATGTTCTACTTTCTTGCCTTAAAAGCTCAGCTCTCTCCTCACATGTGATTCCTTCTATAGCTCTCAAAATAATGGATCTTTAGTCTGTGTACAGCATGTACGTCAGGGTTTAGTAGAGAGATTGTTATCCTCCTGCCTCCCAAATGCTGCTCACACTCACTACTCACACTCTTGTAGAAAATTCTGTCCCTCTGAGACTCATTCATTCATTTATGCCTTAACTCATTCAATAGATACTTAAAGAGCTAGTGTTGAGTGTCAATAGTTTTTTTTAAGCTCTAGGGATATGAAAGACATTATGTGACTTGATCATCCACTTTCCCTCCCAGCTGCAGTCATTATAAACTTCTAGATCATGGTGTATCACTCAGAGAAGGTTTTGACATCTAGCTTACAGTCTTGCTCTCCACCTCATATTTGTTTACAGGACAAGTTTTCTTCCCTCTGGGGAAGGAAAAGAAGGCAGATAACCTGGTCTAATTTCCTCTTCAAATGGACCTCTGGGTAAATAGACTAATATTTGCTAGTAGTCTTTATATATACAAAGGCCTTAGCAAGATGTCTTTGGTTAAGGATTACTGATAATAAATAAATCTAATATCAGTTATGTGAGGCATGGCTGCCTGGAGAATGTCAGGCAACCTGTATAATTATCAGCATTATAGAATTAGCCACATAAATACACTCTGCTATGTGAGGTAATTATCTCCTCACTTGGAGGTCCCATTTTTTACCCAGAACCAGAGAGCACAAAAGCAACAAAGGAAGAAAGTGCCAGTGTAACCATGTGAGATGTCTCAGACACCTCTCTTATTTGTCTCTGTTTCTTGATTGCCTACATCCCTGAATTATTTGGAAAGCTGGACATGGAGTATGATATCAGATATATATGAGTCTAATTTGACAATTCAATCCTGGTTTTAGCTAAGGCTCCCACCTCTATCATTCCATACGCATACACAGAATTCCTCATTAAATTTAATTTACCAGTTACCATCTTGTTGTCAAAACTACTGGGCATTCACAGTCATCTTACACGACCCATAACCTCTCCATTTTACTCAACACTGATGACTACGCCCTTCTGTCTGGAAAATATAATTCCTCGGCCTCTCTGCCAAATATAAACAGTTGAATTATTGCCTTCAATGCTTCACACTGCCCTGCATCGGTACCTTCCCCACAGTCTCAACATGGTCAGAGTATATTTCCATACCTCCTAGACTTTCGGTTTCTCTAAGTGTCTACTTTGGCCATGGAATGAATTATTTGGAAATGACAGTGCATCAGTTCCAATCTAGCAACTTATTCTCTTGTATTCATACTTCTGTCAAGGAAACACACTCCAGCTGGCCCTGTCTTACGGAGAGATACACAAAGCAGAACCTCAGCAGCCAACTCCAAGATTTTCATTCAAAGTAGAGCCACCCCAGTCATCACAGCCTGAAGCAGAGCTATCTAGCCACAGATTGGCCATATACCCCAGCCAAATTATAAGCATAAATGATGGTTCTTTTAACCATGGATTTTGGGGCTGATGTGTGTATTTCCACAGACTGACATAAAATACCACAGACTGGGTGATTTAAACAATATAAATTTATATTTCCCCAATTCTGAAGGCTAAAGATTCAAGATTAAGGTATTAACAGGTTTATCTGAAAATTGCAGATGGCTGCCTTCTGACTGCATCCTCTTGTGTTTTTTTCTTTGTGCATATGCATTTCTGGTGTCTCTTTGTGTGTCCAAATGTTATTGTCTTATAAGGACACCAGTCAACTGTCTAATTTTAACTTAATAACCTCTTTAAAGGATTTATCTCCAAACACAGTCACATTCTGAGGTACTGTCATTTAGGGCTTCAGCATATGAATTTTGGAAGGACACAAGTCAGCACATAACATTATGTTACATGGCATTATTATGACAATAACTGACTGGTACACGACAATCATCTGGCTTCTTCTACTTCTCTGACCTTTTCTTTTATTTCCTCTACTTAGCCATTTAAATGTAAGAGACCTCAAGACTCTATCTTAGGCCCCTCTTTCACACTATACTGTAACTCCAGGCCTGATATTCAACAGGAGGAGGTTTTTCCCCTCACCCCACCCAGGGACATTTGGCAATATCTGGAGACATTTTTGATGATCACAGCTGGGGAAGGTGTACTACTGACATCTAGGGGAGACAGCTGGGATCCTGCTATAAGATGCACAATGCACAGAGTAGCTCCCCTACAACAAAGTATTAACCAGCCCAAAATGTCAATGGTGCAGAGATTAAGAAACCCTCTTCTAGGCACTTACATCGAAGTTGTAGGCTCCACGCCATTGGCAATAGATTCACATCTCTGGCCCTGATATCTGAGTTTCAAACACACTTATCGTATTTAACCTCCCTTACTTGGATAATTCAAAAGCACTTCAAACTCAAATTATCCCAAAACAAACTTGTGGTTTTCCCTCCAGATATTGGTTCTCTTACTTGGTATTTCAGCTTAGCAAATTGTGTTCATCCAGAAACTCAGGAGCCAATAACTCCCTTTCCTCTAACCTATAAAGTTCATCACCCTGAGCTAATTTACTTTCTAAATATATCTTTGGTTCATCCATTTCTTTCATTTCCATTGAGAGTAACTTTTCTCCTCTAAGCTGTCATTTGTCTCTCCCTTGGAATGATGTCATTCAGTTTGCCAATTAGCAATCAAATGATTACTCTCAAAATTATTGAGCATTCTCTTTATAAAATACAAATATAAACATGACACTTCACTGATTCAAAACAAACAGAAAACATTCTCCATTGTTCTTAAAGATTGAAATCCTTAATGTTGCCTAAAAGTAAAATATCCATAAAATGTATTGTCAAAACCAGTACACTTTTAAGAGGAGTGTGTGCGTGCATGAGTGTGTGTGTGTTTGTGTGTGTGTGTGTGTGTGTGTGTGTGTGTGTGGTGGGGAAATATTAAAAATTATTCCAAGGCAAATGTAAACAGGGACTGTCCCTGTTTACATTTGCATACCCTGTTGCTACTTGCATACCCTGTTGATAAGTCCTTTGTTGCTTCAGCCCTGCCTGCCTCTCAAAATTCATCTCATATTATTTTCCTTTCCCTTTTGACTTTCCAGATAAATTGGACTTTATATGATGCTATCTTCTATGTGCCTCTTATGTGCCATATTCCTTCTACCTCAGTGGTTTTACATGTTTTTCACTCTGCATAGAAATTTCTCACCCCCAAATGTAAATTAGTACAGTCACTATGGAGAACAGTTTGAAAGTTCCTCAGAAAACTGAAAATAGAGCTACCATATGATCCAGCAATCCTACCTTTAAGGTACATACTCAACAGGAAGAAAATTAGTATATTGAAGAGATACCTGCACTCCAGTGTTTGCTGTAGCACTGTATACAATAGCTAAGATTTGGAAGCAACCTAAGCATCCATCAACAGATGAAAGGATAAAGAAAATGATGTACATATACACAATGGAGTCCTATTCAGCCATAAAAAAAAGAGAGAGAGAATGAGATCCTGTCGTTTGCAACAACATGAATGGAACTGGGGGACATTAAGTTATGTGAGATAAGCCAGGCACAGAAAGAAAAACATCACATGTTCTCACTTAAAAAAAAAAAAAAAGAATTGAACTAATGGAGATAGGAGAAAGACAATCATCAACATGGGGGAGGGAGTAGGTATGGTTAATTGGTACAAAAAATATATAAAGAATAAATGAAAATTAGTATTTGATAGTGCAACAGGGTAATTATAGTCAATACTAATTGCACATTTAAAAATAACTAAAAGAGTATAATTAAATTATTTGTAACACAAAGGATAAATGTTTGAGGTGATGGATATCCCATTTACCTTGAAGTGATTATTACACATTGCATGCCCATATCAAAATATCTCTTGTAAGTCCAGGACCAGATGGATTCACAGCCAAATTCTACCAGAGGTACAAGGAGGAACTGGTACCATTCCTTCTGAAACTATTCCAGTCAATAGCAAAAGAGGGAATCCTTCCTACTCATTTTATGAGGCCAGCATCATCCTGATACCAAAGCCGGGCAGAGACACCACTAGAAAAGGGAATTTTAGACCAATATCCCTGATGAACATTGATGCAAAAATCCTCAATAAAATACTGGCAAACCAAATCCAGCAGCACATCAAAAAGCTTATCCACCATGATCAAGTGGGCTTCATCCCTGGGATGCGAAGCTGGTTCAATATACGCAAATCAATAAATGTAAACTAGCATATAAACAGAACCAAAGACAAAAACCACATGATTATCTCAATAGACGCAGAAAAGGCCTTTGACAAAATTCAACAACGCTTCATGCTAAAAACTCTCAATAAATTAGGTATTGATGAGATGTATCTCAAAATAATAAGAGCTATCTATGACAAACCTACAGCCAATATCATACTGAATGGGCAAAAACGAAGTGTTCCCTTTGAAAACTGGCACAAGACAGGGATGCCGTCTCTCACCACTCCTATTCAACATAGTGTTGGAAGTTCTGGCCAGGGCAATCGGGCAGGAGAAGGAAATAAAGGGTATTCAATTAGGAAAAGAGGAAGTCAAATTGTCCCTGTTTGCAGATGACATGATTGTATATCTAGAAAACCCCATTGTCTCAGCCCAAAATCTCCTTAAGTTGATAAGCAACCTCAGCAAAGTCTCAGGATACAAAATCAATGTGCAAAAATCACAAGCATTCTGTTACACCAATAACAGACAAACAGAGAGCCAAATCATGAGTGAATTCCCATTCACAATTGCTTCAAAGAGAATAAAATACCTAGGAATCCAACTTACAAGGGATGTGAAGGGCCTCTTTAAGGAGAACTACAAAGCACTGCTCAATGAAATAAAAGAGGATACAAACAAATGGAAGAACATTCCATGCTCATGGGTAGGAAGAATCAATATCGTGAAAATGGCCATACCACCCAAGGTAATTTATAGATTCAATGCCATCCCCATCAAGCTACCAATGACTTGCTTCACAGAATTGGAAAAAACTACTTTAAAGTTCATATGGAAAGAAAAAAGAGCCCGCATCGCCAAGACAATCCTAAGCCAAAAGAACAAAGATGGAGGCATCACGCTACCTGACTTCAAACTATACTACAAGGCTACAGTAACAAAAACAGGATGGTACTGGTACCAAAAGAGAGATATAGATCAATGGAACAGAACAGAGCCCTCAGAAATAACGCTGCCTATCTACAACTATCTGATCTTTGACAAACCTGAGAAAAACAAGCAATGGGGAAAGGATTCCCTATTTAATAAATGGTGCTGGGAAAACTGGCTGGCCATATGTAGAAAGCTGAAACTGGATCCCTTCCTTACACCTTATACAAAAATTAATTCAAGATGGATTAGAGACTTAAACGTTAGACCTAAAACCATAAAAACCCTAGGAGAAAACCTAGGCAATACCATTCAGGACATAGGCATGGGCAAGGACTTCATGTCTAAAACACCAAAAGCAATGGCAACAAAAGACAAAATTGACAAATGGGATCTAATTAAACTAAAGAACTTCTGCACAGCAAAAGAAACCACCATCAGAGTGAACAGGCAACCTACAAAATGGGAGAAAATTTTCGCAACCTACTCATCTGACAAAGGGCTAATATCCAGAATCTACAATGAACTCAAACAAATTTACAAGAAAAAAACAAACAACCCCATCAAAAAGTGGGTGAAGGACATGAACAGACACTTCTCAAAAGAAGACATTTATGCAACCAAAAAACACATGAAAAAATGTTCACCATCACTGGCCATCAGAGAAATGCAAATCAAAACCACAATGAGATACCATCTCACACCAGTTAGAATGGCAATCATTAAAAAGTCAGGAAACAACAGGTGCTGGAGAGGATGTGGAGAAATAGGAACACTTTTACACTGTTGGTGGGACTGTAAACTAGTTCAACCATTGTGGACGTCAGTGTGGCAGTTCCTCAGGGATCTAGAACTAGAAATACCATTTGACCCAGCCATCCCATTACTGGGTATATACCCAAAGGACTATAAGTCATGCTGCTATAAAGACACATGCACACGTATGTTTATTGCGGCACTATTCACAATAGCAAAGGCTTGGAACCAACCCAAATGTCCAACAACGATAGACTGGATTGAGAAAATGTGGCACATATACACCATGGAATACTATGCAGCCACAAAAAATGATGAGTTCATGTCCTTTGTAGGGATATGGATGAAATTGGAAATCATCATTCTCAGTAAACTATCGCAAGGACAAAAAACCAAACACCACATGTTCTCACTCATAGGTGGGAATTGACAATGAGAACACATGGACACAGGAAGGGGAACATCACACTCTGGGGACTGTTGTGGGGTCGGGGGAGTGGGGAGGGATAGCATTAGGAGATATACCTAATGCTAAATGATGAGTTAATGGGTGCAGCACACCAGCATGGCACATGTATACATATGTAACTAACCTGCACATTGTGCACATGTACCCTAAAACTTAAAGTATAATAATAAAAAAAAAAAAGTTGACACACACACACACACACACAAAGAATCTAATGCTTGATGATCTGTCATTGTCTCCCATCACCCCCAGATAGGACTGTCTAGTTGCAGGAAAACAGGCTCAGGGCTCCCACTGATTCTACATTACGGTGACTTGCATAATTATTTCACTGTGTATTACAATGTAATAATAGTAGAAATAAAGTACACAATAAATGTAAAAAAAAGAAAAAAAAAAGAAAAATATCCCTTGTACCCAAAAATACATATACTTACTATGTACTAACAAAAATTAAACATTAAAAGAAATTTTCTACCCCCATCCCTATTAGTAAATCTCTATCATTCTTTACTATTTCTTCAGAAAAGTTTGCGCCCTGACTCTTCAAAAACCACAAGTTCCCCTGCTATATACCCTCACATCATTGTATACACTCCTTCAAAGTATTCAGAATCCAAAGTCACTTGAAGTAAAAATACATTCCTAATTGTGGGTTGTTGTTTGTCTGAGGTGGATTTTTCTTTGTCATTTGGGTTTTTTAAATTTGTTTTGAGTTTTGTTTTGTTTGCTAGGTAACACTTGAACTGTGAGGTCCATGAGGTATGTTATACTATGTCTCACAGATACTTGGTGGTGAAATAGTTGGATTAACTTATTAATTAACTTGGCCAATGTTACATAATAAGTAAAAACAAAATCTATATTGAACATTCTATGAGATATGTACAATATATTACTGCTTCTTACTTTTGCACAGATATAATAGACTCTTTAATAGAATATGTATCATTCTTTGTGTGTGTATATCTGGAAGGTAGTATTCTAGCAGTGTCCATTATTTGTTCATATTTTGAGAATAACATAATAAAAGGAAAAGTGTGTTCCATTTATTGAATACAAGCGCCTATTCTTAAGAGTAAATCTGAAGCCAGGAAGTAGTTAAGAATTTTTTCTAAGTTGTTAGAAGTTTCCTAAACTAACTTTAAAGATTTATTAGGGTTTTCCAGAGAAACAGAATCAACAGGATATATATACATATATGTATCTATCCTATTGGTTTTATTTAAATAGGCATATATTTACGTTTAAATATATATTCATATCTCTACCTATTATAAAGAATAAGAAATTGGCTTGTGCCATTATAGAGGCTGAGAAGTGCTATGATCTGGCATCTGCAAGCTGGAGACTTAAGAAAGTTGGTAGTATAGTTCCAGTCCAAATCTGATGATCTGAGTACCAGAAGCAGCAATGGTGTAAGTTCTAGTCCAAGTCCAAAGGCCTGAGAACCAAGAGGGCTGATGCTATAAATCCCAGTCCAGGGCAGGAGAACATGGATGTCGCAGCACAGCAGTCAGGCAAAGAGAGAGAATTCTCCCTTCCTCAGCTTTTTGTTCCCGTCAGACCCACAATAGATGGGATGAGGCCTATTCACATTGGGGAGGGCCATCTGCTTTACTTAGCCCACCAATTCACATGCTAATCTCTTCTGGAAACACCCAGACAGGCAAACCAAGAATTAATATTTAACCAAGTATTTGGGTGCACCATCACCCAGTCAAGTTGATAAATAAAATTAACCATTACAAAAAGTGGTGAAAATAACTCCTTTACACAAAACATTTTCTAATAGAAACAAGGTTGTGATGAAATGCAACAGAACTTTGAATTATGAAAATATTTTTTAAAACTGGAATGTAATCTATAAACATACAGGCTTTCACATCAATAAAATTGTTTACAATTTGTTTAAAAATGCTTCTGATATTCTTGTGTGATTTACACATCAGTTCATTAAACTAGGCCTGAGCCCTTCTTCAGTTAATATCCATTCAAATACCACACACACATTTCTCTTCTGTGACACCACAATTACTTTGGCATTCACAATAACTCTTCTGGAGAAAGAGCTTCCACAGGAGAATTTCTCCTTTATGTTTAATAACAGGAAGCAGATTGTTGATTAAGCAAGGCAATTAAAGCTTTTATTACAGCAGCCTAATACAGCTTTCTTTTTCTTCTAAGACCTAAGAATTCGATTTAAAAAGTACCAATTTTACGGTTCATCCATCTAGCTTCTCCTTGTATTTCTCATGTTTGTATATACTGAGCAGAGACATTTGCTATGTTTCTAAAAATATATGAGACTTTCTTAATTTTTGAAAATCTTTTGAATTGTATCTTTACTAGGTAGGTCCACTTCAAAGTAGAAGAGTGTTAGTCTGCAGCTATGTCTAAACAATTATGTTCCAGTCATTAAACATTAGGAGATGGCCTGTTTAGTATCAGCACTGCATTTTATAGCTGTCTAAAACTTTGAAGTAGTGATTTGAAAAGCAAAGGAAATAGCAGTGGAAACAGATAGAGAGTGAGTACTGAGAGCTTTCCTACCCCACACCGTCCACGCGACTAGCATTTATTTCTTATAAGAATTTTTGCTCATCTTGCAAAATGCCATAAGCATGCCTTTTAATTTAGAGTAATTTAATTTAATTTCTAACATTTTAACACAAATGGCTTTAAAAAGAAAAAGGAACAAAATAATTACATTTAATTTCATGGTTTCAGATTCCTAAAAGCCATCATATTCTTTGGTGTGATTGAAGACTTCCATTAAGGAGGGGAAGAAAAAAATTCGTGAAACTTTTACTCTTTTTTTGGAACACAAACAGAATTTATGGTGCCATTCTATTAAATATTTACTAGGAAAGATAGCTGTGGTGGTTTTGTGGTGCTTAGAAATGCAGAAATCATTCAAAAGAAGTGGGTCTAAATTCTGATGGAAGAATGCCTCATAATTTCTTTCTTAATGTCATTTCAAGTTGGAAAAAAGAAATCTCAGGATGAAGGATAGTCTATTTTTGTATGTCTCTTTGTATCTTACAGAATACAGCATGAGATTTTAAATTTATGAGAGTAAGCCCAGAGGTAGATTAATAGTTGGTTGACTTGGGACCTTAAAAGATCATCTAATAACCTTTATTCCTGCTAATCCATCTCTCCAGGAAAGCCCGAGTAGATTTTAAGAGTCAATTCAGCTTTCAAAATAAATCCATTTATTAGTAGCAAGCAAGCAGGTTTCTTCTTCAGCCTAGAATACCCTTTCCTGTAAAAAACTGTTTTTTTATCCATGGAATCTTCCTGATCATGTTTCAAGGCTTAACTGAAATTTATATCTAGTAGGGAAACTTCTCCTATTCCTCCAATTGGAATAAATCATCATTCTACACATTTCTATAACAATTTTATACCTCATTTTGGGTATTTATCATATATTTTTTATAAAATTATAAATATATTGTCTATGTACACACTTCTGGGTAAAAAGTAAATGAGATACATTATCTTATTCTATGGATAAGTTTGACTTTGAGTTGACTTTCTAGTTCTGATCCATTGGAAACCTAATAAAGATAGAATTTAATATTGGCTATGAGAGAAATGACACCTGGTTGATAAAATATTTTATTATTTAGAAGGTTGTAAATAAACTATCAGTACTTAGTGGGAAGCCATGGCTTTGGACTTGCCTGAGTGTGTGACTTATAACTGGACACATCGTTTGCATAGAGGCATACCTCATGTATTTGAAAAGCATGGTGTATTATTTTTTAAGTATTCCCCCACTTCTTTAAAAAAAAATCTTGTAAATTTCAATAGCTTTGGGGGTGTTTTTTTGTTACATTGATGAATTGTTTAGTAAAGTCTGAGATTTTAATGCAGTCATCACTGAGCAGTGTACGTTGTAACCAGTATGTAGCTTTTTATCCCTCACCTGACTCCCACCATCCCCTTTCCGAGTCTCCAAGTTTCATTATATCACTCTGTATGACTCTGCATATTCATAGTTCAGCTCCCACTTATAAGTGAGAACATAGAGTATTTAGTTTTCAATTCCTGAGTTACTTCACTTAAAATAATGGTCTCCAACTCCAACCAAGTTGCTGCAAAATACATTATTTCATTCTTTCTTATGGCTGAATAGTATACCATGTTGTATATATATCACATTTTCTTTACTCATCAGTTGATGGGAACTTAGGTTGGTTCCATATTTTTGCAATTGTGAACTGTGCTGTGATAAACATGTGCAGATATCTTTTTTATTTACTGACTTCTTTTCTTTTGGTTAGATACCCAGTAGTGCGATTGCTAAATTGAATGATAGATCTACTTTTAGTTCTTAAGAAATCTCCGTAGTTTTCCAGAGAGGTTGTGCTAATTTGCATTCCAATCATCAGTGTATGTGCTCCTTTTTCACAACATCCATGCCAATATCTATTATTTTTTGACTTTTTAATAATGGCCATCCTGACTGGGGTAAGGTGGTATCTCCTTGTGGTTTTCATTTGCATTTCCCTGATGTAGTGATTTTGAGCATTTTTTTATGTTTGTTGGCCATTTGCATATCTTCTTTTGGGAAATATCTATGTATTCATGCCATTTTTTCACTTTTTGACAGGATTATTTGATTTGCTGATTTGTTTGAGTTTTTTGTAGATTCTGTATATTAGTTATTTATCTGATGCATAGTTTGTAAACATTTTCTCCTATTCTGTGGGTTGTCTGTTTAATGATTATTTCTTTTACTGTGCAGAACAGCATCCCCCTCTTCTAAATGACAATTATTTTCACTAACAATTATGAAATAACATATTATGTCTTATAGTTTGAAAAAATAGTTTTAAAATAATAAATTGTAATTTTAAACATACTAGTCAAAATCAGTAAAATATTCCTATGGGAACTAAACTTTACACTTACCCAACAAAAATATTATCATTACAGTTCATACTATGTTTTACTCGTTTAAATTTTAAATACAAATAAAAACTCTAAGCTATCCTGTAAAATGATAGAATTGAAATAACTCGAGCTTTTTCCCTTGATCTTTACAATCTCTGTGTCATCACTTTATTTTTAACATATTGTTTAAATGCAGGAATATGTACTATCACAGGATTTAGAGACATGAGCTTTACCTTAAGCAAGCTTGAATGATTCCTAACCATTGTGGACTTCCTCTTGAAGGAAAAACACATGGAGTTGAGTCCATGAGTGTCAGAGGCTGGCCACATAACTGGAAGTTTGTTGAATTAATTTCCACAAAAAGGACAGTTTACTAAAGCACAAGTAATACAAATGTGCTAATTTGAAGCTTACATGTAGTCTTAGTGAACTTACACTTCTGTACAAAATGGAGTAGCAGATATTGGATTTACTTTCCTTTCTGAAACAATTTTTTAAAAACAGCAGAAAAATGTATAAAGCAATCATTTCCAAGACACTGGGCACCATGCAGTAAAAGACACTGATCTCTGAAGATGGAACACAAAAAATTTTGGCCCTAAAATTGCCTCTGCTTACTGCCTGGAAAGAAATTTCATACTCTTTAGTGAAAAGAGGACAGCCCAGGAAGAGTCCCAAATATTTCCAGAGTTGAGGAGACTTGGCTTAGAGTCTAGAGAGATTGTATTGGCTAGAGTTTGCAGAACATACTACCAGAAGAGAGTTTCATAGAGAGAGAACTATGGATGTCTTCAGAGAGCCTGCCACAAATATTCTAGAGTACTGATCAGCATGTAGTATTTGGAAACTACCCAAGGCTGGGGAAAGAATCGTCTAAGAGGATTAAAGGCAAAAGTGTTCAGCATTTACATGGGGCCAGAAACAATATGCGTTCCCACCAGATAAGCAAGAAGATTGATATTTTATGTGCCATTGGGCAGACTATAGAAAAGGGTCTAAAGCAACAGTGGACAATATTTATCCCTAGACTGATCACTGCTTTGGAGCTGCCTAACAACTAATAAATGCAAGATCAAAAAAGATAAAAATGTTTCCAAATAACTGCATTCATAAATAAAGCTCAAGAAGATTTAGAAGAAGACAAAAATATCCAGCACCCCAAAAAGTAAAATTTACAAAATCTGTCATCCAAGCAAACATTACTAGGTAGGAAAAGAAGCAGAAAAATACAAACCATAATAAGGGGAATAATCAATCAATCAAAACTGACACATGGCCAACCACAGTGGCTCATGCCTATAATCCCAGTGCTTTGGGAGGCCTAGGCAGAAGGATCACTTGAGACCAGGAGTTCAAGACCAGCCTGGGCAACATAGTGAGACCCTCTCTCTACCGAAAATACAAAAATTAACCAGGTGTGGTAGCATGCTCATGAAGTCCTTGCTACTCAAGAAGCTGAGGCAGGAGAATCGCTTGAGCCCAGGATTTTGAGGCTGCAGTGAGCTATGATCATGCCACTTCATTCCAGCCTGGGTGACAGAGTGAGACCCTGTTTTTTGAAAAATAAAATAAAATAAATAAAATAAAAATACGGTGGCAACTCTTGAAATTAGATTTCCTCTCAACTAATCAGGTGTGTTATTGTTGCTACTTGTTTTTATGTTATTATTTCTGTTATTTAGTAACATTCCCTAAGTAATTCTGCAAAAAGTATGCTTTTGGTCATATGCAGCCAAGCAGTCTCTACTCGGTTAGCCCATTGGTCACCTAATAATCAGACAGAAATTTCCTTACACGTCTTGAACCAGTAAGTCTTCCAAATTTTACAAGGGACTCTGTGTATGTATTGAAGTATGTGTATGGTGTTCCAGCAGGCAGGTTATAGTTATGCCTTAGCCTTTACTTCCAGCTTTCATAGAGCTTCAGTGTTAAACAGTCAGTATTCCTCATTGTTTTGTCTACATGCATATTTTCATCTGGTATCATTTTTCCTCTCCCTAAATTTTTCTCTTTAACAAATTTCTAGTGCCACTGAGAAAACTCAGACACTGGGTTTACTATACAAAGACTTTAAATCACATATGTTTTTATTTTATATATATATATATGTATATATATATATATAGAGAGAGAGAGAGAGAGAGAGAGAGAGAGTCTTGCTCTGTTGCCCAGGCTGGAGTGCAGTTGCGTGATCTTGGCTCACTGCAACCTCCGCCTCCTGGGTTCAAGCCATTCTCCTGCCTCAGCCTCCGAGTAGCTGGGAATACAGGCGTGTGCCACCACATCCCGCTATTTTTTGTATTTTTAGTTGAGATAGGGTTTCACCATGTTAGTCAGGCTGGTCTCAAACTCCTGACCTCAGGCAATCTGCCCGACTCGGCCTCCCAAAGCGCTGGGATTACAGGCATGAGCTACCATACCGGGACTATTTTTAAAGAATTAGGCTGGGTGTGGTAGCTTACACCTGTAATTCCAGCACTTTGAGAGGCGGAGGCGGGCAGATCGCTTGAAGTCAGGCATTCGAGACCAGCCTGGCCAACATGGCAAAATCCCGTCTCTACTAAAAATAATAAAATTAGCCACGTGTGGTTGTCATGGGCCTGTAATCCCAGCTACTCAGGAAGCTGAGGCATGAGGATCTCTTGAACCCAGGAGGCAGAGGTTGCAGTGAGCCAAGATCGTGCCACGGTACTCCCGCCTGGGTGACAGAGCAAGACTCTCACCAAAAAAAAAAAAAAAAAAAAAAAAAAAAAAAAAAAAAAAAAAAAAAACCAAAAAAAAAAGAAAAGAAAGAAAGAAAGAAAAGAAAGAAAGGATAATGTCTAAATAATTACAAGAAATTATGAGAATGGTGTATCACCAACATCAATAAAAAGGTAGAAAAATATAAAAAAGAATAATCGGATATTCTGGAGTTAAAAAGTACAATAATGAAAAGTTTGCTAGAGGGGGTCAACAAAAAAATTTGAGTTGTAGAAGAACAAACACGTAATTCTGAAGATAGGTCAATTCTGATTACGTATTCTGAGAAACAGAAAGAAAAAAATGAGGAAAAATGTGTATAGCCTCAGAGACATGACATATAATACCAAGTTTATCAACTTAAGCAAAATAAGAATTCAAGAAAGAGCGAAATAAAGGGGAGGAGGGAATACTAAAAGAAATAATGGCTGAAAACTTTCCAAATATGCTTAAAAACATTAAAATTATTTAAGAAACATAATCAGCTTCAAGTAGGATAAACTCAAAGAGATTCCCACCTAGACACCAACTGTTGAAAGCTTAAGAAAAGAGAGAATCTTGAAAGCAGCAAGAGAGAAGAAATGTACTACATACCAAAGACAAATAAAAACATTTTATAATGATAAAAGGGTCAATCCTTTTGGAAGATATAACAATCATAAATGTATATACTCCTACCAAGAAGCCCCAAAATACATCAGGCAAAAACTGAAAACAACTGAAGGGAGAAATAAACAATTCGACAAAGATAGCTGAAGGCTTTAATAGGTCAATAAAAACTTTCCAGTATGAAATTCAGAGAAAAAAAAATGAAAATAACCAAACCAAATATCCAATAGGTGGGGGACAAGGTCAAAAGGTGTAACATGCAAATTTAGCATACCAGAAAGAAAAAAGATGGATAATGGAACACAAGGAATATTTGAAGTAATAATGGCAAAGAATGTTCCAAATTTAACAATAGACATTAAACTAAAGATACAGAAAGCTCAAAGAACACTAAGTGGAATAAATATCAAAAACTAAACATAGGCACATCATGTTCAAACTGCAGAAAACCAAAGATAAAGGGAAAATCTTGAAAGACTCTAAAGAGAAAAAAGCACTTTACTTATAGAAGAACAAGGATACTTAAAACAAAATTCTCATCAGAAACCATGAAAGGACAGAGTACAGTGAAATATCTAAAGTATATTTAAAGCCTTTAATATTTCTTTAAATATTAAAGAAAACAACCATCAACCTAGAATTGTATATCCACTGAAATTATCCTTTAAAAATGAAAGAAAAATAATTTTTCAGGTAAACAAGAAATGAGAGAATTTATGACTAGCAGACCTGCCCTGCAAGAGATTACAGATGAAAGAGCTGCAAGACACACACTCTTAAAATGTGAAAAGAAAGTCTTCCCACAGAAAGAAAAGGATATATGTCAAAAACTTGGATAGGCGTACAGAAAGGAAGAACATCAGAGAAAAAAATCAACACAATTAAAACAAATGTTTTAAAATTATTAACTGATCTAAAAGATAACTGTTTCAATAAATAATAACAACAATATATTGAGTGATCATGGCATACACCTTTTGACCTTTTCCCCCACATCTTGGATATTTTGTTTGATTATTTTTATTTTTTCTTTGAATTTCATATTGGAAAGTTTCTATGAATGACAGTAATGTTGTAAGGACTAGGAAGGACAAATTGGGAATACTTCGTCATACGGTACTTGTGCTACATATGAAGCAGTATGATATTATTTGAAGGAGGATTCATCTTAGTCACAAATGTATTCTGAAAACTATATGGCAAAATATAAAAAATAAGTTTAAATATCATTCCTATGCTAAGAGACAAAATTAAATTATATTAAATGCTCAGTTAGGCCTGAAACACAAAAAGGACAATAAATTAAATTAGAGCAGACACAAGTGAAATTGAAAACAAGAAAACAATAGATAAAAATCAATAAAACCAAAAGCTGGGTATTTTAAAAGGTCAATAAAATTGAGAAATTCTAGCGAGGCTAACTTATAAATAAAGAGAAAAGACACAAAGAAAGTGAGATCATCACTACTGATCTCATGGACATTAAAAAGATAATAAAAGAATACTATGAACAACTCTCTATGCCAATGAATCTGTTAACTCAAATGAAATGTACCAATTCCTTGAAAGACACACAACTATAACAAAAGTAGAAATAATCTGAATAGGCCTATATCTAGCAAAGGAATTGAATCAAAAATTAATAACTTTCAAAAAGAGAAGGAATCCTGATTGAAAAAGCAGTAATACATCCTTATTTGCAGAAACATGGTCTTGTATACAGAAAATCTTAAGGAACCAACTAAAAAGCAAAGTTGCAGGATATAACATCACTACACACAAATCAACTGTATACATGCCACCAATGAAAAGTCCAAAACTAAATTTAAGGAAGCAATTCTATTTACAATAGCATTAAAAAATATATTTAGGAATAAATCTACCACAAAATGCATGGGCTGTAAACCAAAAGCTGCCAAATCTCTTGGAAAGAAATTTTAAAATACCTAAGTAAATTGAAAGGTATTCATGTTCATGCAGTAGAAGACATTCTTGTTAAGATGGCAATACCTTTCAAATGATATACACATTAGATGCAATTTGTATCAAGTTTTCAGCATCTTTTTTGCACAGATAAAGAGCTGATCCTAAGATTCATATCTAAGTGCAAGGACACCATATAGCCAAATCAATTTTGGCAAGGAACCAATCTGGAGGACTCATGTTTCCCAATTTGAGAATTTACTACTACAAAGCTAGAATACTTAAGACTTTGTGGTATTAGCATAATACTAGTCATATAGATCAACAGAATACAATAGACAGCCCAGAAATAAATCCTTCCAATGAGGACCAATTGGTTCTTCACTACGGTTCCAAGATATTATAATGGAAAAAGATTAGTCTTTTAAACCAACGGTGCTGGGACAACTGGATAGCCACAAGCAAAAGAATATATTTGAACCACTTAAACTAGGAAATAGTTTTTCTCAGGTGTCACACCAAAAGCACAAGCAACAAATGGAAAAACAGACAAGGTGAACTTCACCAAAATTTAAAATTTTCATGCTCCAAAAGATATCATCAAGGACATATAAAGATCACATATGAAATGTCCACAGAATAAAATAAAATATTTTCAAATCATATGTCTGATGAATAAGTTGTCTCTAGAATAAAGAATTCTTACAATTCAACATTAAAAACACAAATAACCCAATTATTAAATGGGAAAAGGATTTGAATAGAAGTTTCTACAAATAATATATATAAATGAACAATTAGCACATTAAAAGATTCTCAAAATCATTAGTTATTAGAGAAATACAAATTAAACCAAAATAAATACCTCTTTACAACCACTAGGATAACTATAAAAAAAAGAAAGATAATTAGAAGTCTTGGCCAACACATAGAGAAATTAGAGCCTACATGCATTGCTTGAAGGAACAAATTATGATTTATCCACATTGGAAGCAATTTGGCATTTCCACAAAAAGTTAAGCATACAGTTACCACATAACCCAGCAAACCCACTCCTAGGTATAACCCAAAAGAATTCAGAATACATGTCCACACAAAAACCCAAACATGAATGTTCATAGCAGCATTATTCCTAATAGCCAAAAAGCAGAAAGAACTCAAATGCCTATCAACTGACAAATAAGCACAATGTGCTATATCCATACAGTGAAATATTATCCATTCATAAAAATGAAGTAACATGTGCTACAACATAGATGAACCTTGAAAGCATTATGCTAAGTGAAAAAAAAAACAGTCACAAAAGATCACATTATGAGATGTCCAGACTAGGCAAATTCATAGAAAGGGATAGAAGATAAGTTGTTGCCAAGGGCTGGGAAGAGAGAGTAATGGGGATTGACTGCTAATGGACATGAGGTTTCTTTTGGCAGTTGTAAAATCTATAGGTAACGATAATGCATTGTGTATTTAAAATATGTCAACAAAGTACATTTTTACCACCAAAAAAACAATAACTATGTAAGAAAGCAGCTATGTTAATTAGCTTGATTATGGCAATCATTTCATAATGTATGCATATATCAAAATATCACCTTGTACACCATAAATATATCTAATTTCTATTTGGCAATTATGCCTCAATAAAGCTGGTGGAAAAGTAAAAATTTTTTCAAAGATCTTTAACAAGTTGGGTATTGGTGATTGCCACATAATTTTGTAAGTATATTAAAAACCATTGAATTGTACACTTCAAAAAGGTGACTATTATGGTATGCAAACTATACCTTTTAAAAAATCCACTCTTCCTGCATCAACACTTTACAAGGTCTTCCACATTATGGAAACTGTTATTGACTCCAACCCTATCTCCTCTACTCCCTACCACCATCATCCCCCTTTATAACCCAGGGAAATGGGATATTTTCTAATTTTCCTAGATTGAAACAAAAGGAAACTAGAATCACCTTAAATGATTGAAGAAATTTAATCCATAGTTTAAAAAACATTATAAAATATTCTTACCCAGGTTTTATAGGTGAGTTCTACCAAAACATAAGGAACAAATAAATCTAATCCTACATAAACTCTTCCCTAGAAAGACCAAACATTTTTCAGCTCATTCAAAGAGTCTAGTATAACCTTGATACTCAAACTAGACAATGACAGCAAAAGTAAAATTACAGTTCAATCTCATTAATTAGCACCTTGTTTTGTGGTCCAACTACAGATGCAGGACGGATTACCATCCAAAATTTTTTTTTGGCTGTCAACATTGATGATGCCACACATCCTCAAGTTATGAAAGGGTTTACATTCACATAATGAGGCTTTGCGGGGAGGCCAGGACTGGCTTTCCAAGCTGGTCCAAAAATGGCTGAAGAGAGAAAGGGAAGGAGACTGATTTGGGGTTTTTATTATGGTAGGAGGTGGTGCAGAAGTAACTGTTCTTTTGCACAAGCTGGAGCTTGCGTAGTTTGAATTTCCCATCTGCTCCAAAGAAAGGAACACCCAGGCTTTATTAGCACTTGACCAAACAAATATGGAACAGAAGGGGCAGGGAGAGGAATAAAACTCAATGCTATCACAAGTCAAACATCCAAAAATGAAGTCAGATTCTTTTTTACAACTCAGTCCTGATTGACTGATGTCTGAGACATGCCATCATCAGTTAAACCAAATTTTGGTACATATCCAAGCTATTTCTGCAGAGTGGCTTTAAAACAAATGTATGAAAAAAACTAAGCTAAATTTTAACTAATTATAAAAAGATAATTTATCATGACCAAGTTTGGCTTATTCCAGGAATTCAAAAATTTATTAATGTATTGCCTTTACCAATTAGAGAAGAAAACCAAATAATTATTTAAATAGCTACTAAAAACATTTGATAAAACACAACATCAACTCAAGGTATTTTTTATTGATTTAGAAATAGAAGAAAAAAATTAATGTGCTAAATATATATGCAAAGCAATCCTTAAAAATACAGACTTAGAAAAATATTTCAAGTATCCTGTTTAAAATCAAGAACAAAACAAAGGTACACACTATCTCCACTGCTAGTAAACATTGTACTGGAATTTTTATCTCTCACAGGGGAAGAAAAGAAACAAAAGATACAAGAATTGGAAAAGAAAAACTGATTATATTTATCGATAATATTCATGTGCACTTTAAAAACCCAAAACAATCTACAGATATGAGAACTCATTAGTAAGCTCTGTCAGGTGAATAAATATAAGATCAATAGTCAGTTTTACATCTAGTCAACAGTAACAAACTAAGAGAATATGAATAATGAATATAAATACTTAGCTCAAAAAGTATAATTAATATAAGAATAAATATAACAAATATACAAGATCCTTCAGGAGAAAATTATAAAGCTGATTAAAAGGCATTAGAGAAGACCCAAATGATTGAAGAGACATATTATGTCAATAAATAAGAAAACATTGCAGAGTTCTTGATTCTCTCCAGCTGCAACTCAAGATCTAAGTTAATTCTTGTCGAATTTCAATAGGATTTGTAGTTGAATTTGACAAGCTTATTCTAAATTTTTATTTAGAAGTGCAAAGATTTAGGACAGTCAAGAAACCACTGAAGAAGGAAAAAGAGAGGACAATTTACCTACCATATGTCAAGGTTTATGACAAATCTGTACTAATTAAGACAAAGTGGTACTAGAATGGAAATGTACATAATAGGTCAAGGGATAAAAAACACACAATAACCCCAAACAAATTCGCACATGTATGGATGCAATGTATAATGAAGGTGGCATCGCCTTTTAGTGAGACAGTGAATAGGGCTGGAACAACTGATTATTCATAGGAGACAAAAATTAATCCTTACCTTACTGTAAAAAGTCAATTTGAGACAGATTAAAAATGAAAAATAAAACTTTAAAGTGATATAACAAAATGAGAGTGATCCTTATAATCATGTAAGGTGGAGTGTTTATTAAACAATGGCTAACCATAAAAACGTTTACATCTCCACACCATCAGTCACTGGAGGTGGACCACCCTGAAAATGGGGCATGAACTTGGATGAAGCAGCTGACTTCAGCTGAGTCCATCTCTCAAAGAAGCTGGTAGCTGAAGGTAGTCTTTGGGCAGCACTCCTAGAAACTGGGAGAGAAATCCATTTCTGAAAAGGGGAAGGAAGGGTGAATCACTCAGTGTCCACTGTAGAGCGAGAGGGCACAGCTGTTAGATATAAGGAAATTGATTACTGATATTCACTGTGGTTTGAAGATTGGAGTTGTCTTCAGATTTCAAGCTCTTCAGTTTGGCCACTCACCATTTGATATTTCTGGAGCAAAATCTGGGGCCAGACCTGTAATATGTATCAACGACTTATACCTGCTTTCTCCTCTCTTAGCCCTGCCCTAGAACTGGCATATTGCCATCTGGCTCCATGTGGGGTTGGTGGTAGCCAAAATTAAGAATTTGACATGTGGAAATTTTTAAATCTGAATTTTGGTAGGTGCTAGCAGCAGTTTCAGTAATCACTGTCACTTCTGATCACGCCCACCAAGCCCTCTCTACCACCACCCATCACTACCCTTAGGATTAACCCAGCACTGCCCTCTGGAGTCATGGTTTATCTTACCTCTTCCTTTCTTCTCCTACTCTCTGCGGGTTGGAGAGTAAGATGAGACAATTTATTAAGCACAGTGGTGGTTAAACAAAGATTTGTTTTTTCTAGGGATGAATTTAATTATCTAAGAGGCTTTGGAAACAAGATCTATTCTTATCTAAGGAAGTAGCATCCTAAATAGCAATTTAATCCTAAGAAGGTATATTAAATTACAAACAAGAAGATTAGATCTTGGATGCATTTAGCTTTTTAATAGTCCTAATATATGAATTTGGTAAACAGGAATCAGGCTTAGGGGGCGGCGGCAGGGGGCTATAAGTGACTCTCTCAAGAGATTTCACAATAAGCCTGTGACAAATCCAAAAATAAGAGACTAGATGTTTTTCACTTCAAAGCCAAAGAGCCAAACATGTCACTGCTAATTTCAAAATCCTGAGTCTCCATAGAATACAGTCTCAATTAGTTTATTGTTTCCGTTTGCGTAAAGGATTCATGCCTTGACTAAAACCAATTCATTGTTGCCTAGAAAAATGGAAAGGATTAGAAAGGGCAAAGAAAAAAGATGAAAAGTTGTCATTCTACTTTAACCACAAACTATTTTTGTGATTAGAACACAAATTAATAGTTTATCCTTCAGCCCCAAGCAACTAGAAAAGTAGATAAGTTCTTCAATGAATAAAATTAATCAGTGACTTTTTTCACTGTTGGACAGACTTGCTTTCAGACAGAAACAGTGAGGAGAAATGTGCTGCATCCCAACAACGACTCAGGGTGCCACCTCGTTCTTCACAAAGAGGATTAGCTTAGTGAAACAAAGAAGTGGAAGATATTTGTTCCGCTTACTCTATAATGCACCATCTCAATTGTTCTCTTCTAGAGAAAAAATGATGGGTGCTTAGAGCTCTGAATCAACCATCCTATGGGGCTCTGTTCTGTTACCCATTGTTAGCACTAATCCCATTTGAATATGTTGGCATTGTTTTAAAGACAGTACAAAGAAATTAAACAGCGCTAATTTACTTGCTACCAGATTTTAAAGGTTTGAATGGCACTTGCTTTCTGATCTGGCTATATATAAAAACCGGACACTTTTTTTAAAGAAAAGTATTTTTCATATCAATTTCAGTTCCTTAAATTGACATTAGTAAACACAAAATTTGCTCATGATCTTTACATTTCTCCACTGTCATTGCTTTTTCATCTCCTTTCCTCAACTATTGACCTGTTCCTATATCCTTCTAAGACTAAAACCAGACCTCACAGATTATTCCCCTGTGCCCACACAAGGATTCGACAGTCCTGAGAATTCCATAGTCCTAAGAATCCATATTACCTGAAGCAGACATCCTTTTTCCTGATGGGTTACATGAGCATCTAAGTCAAAGTTTCTATATCTTCCATGTTGCCTAGTAATATTGTATGTATTCAGCAGGTACTCAATGTTGTGTGTTTGAGAATTTTTTCTCTGTTTAATTACAAATTAATAAATTTAAAATGAACATTAAGATTAATTTACAACTTTTCCTCCTATAGGACTCTGTAATTTAATATACCTTCTAAGGATTAAAGTGCCATTTGTACATAACTATGTTGGATGCTACCTCCTCAGATAAGAATATATCTCTCCCCAAAATTAAATTCATCCTAGAAAAAATAAATCTTTGTTTAACCACCACTGTGCTCAAGAAATTGTCTCATCTTACTCTCCAACCTGCAGCAAGGGGGAGAAGAAAGGAAGAGGTAAGATAAACCGTGACTCCACAGGGCAGTGCTGGGTTAATCCTAAGGGTAGTGATGGGTGGTGGTAGAGAGGGCTTGGTGGGTGTGATCAGAAATGACACTGATTGGAGTTTGCTGGAGGTCGACTCCAGACCCTGTTTGCCTGGGTATCACCAGCAGAGACTGCAGAACAGCAAATATTGCAGAACAGCAAATATTGCTGCCTGATCCTTCCTCTGGAAGCTTTGTCTCAGAGGAGCACCCAGCTGTATGAGGTGTCAGTCAGCCCCTACTGGGAGGTGTCTCCAAGTTAGGCTACACAGGGGTGAGGGATCCACTTGAGGAGGCAGTCTGTCCGTTCTCAGAGTTCACTGTGCTGGGAGAACCACTGCTGTCTTCAGAGCTGTCAGACATGGACGTTTAACTCTGCAGAAGTTTCTGCTGTCTTTTTTTCAGCTATGCCCTACTCCCAGAGGTGGAGTCTACAGAGGCAGGCAGGCCTCATTGAGCTGCAGTGGTCTCCACCCAGTTCAAGCTTCCCTGCCACTTTGTTTACGTACTCAAGCCTCAGCAATGGCGGACGCCCCTTCTCCAGCCAGGCTTGCCTCCTCGCGGTTCAGTCTTGGAATAGCAGTGAGCAAGGCTCCGTGGGCATGGGACCTGCTAAGCCAGACACGGGATATAATCTCCTGGTGTGCTGTTTGCTAAGACCATTGGAAAAGCACAGTGTTGAGGTGGCAGTGTCCCGATTTTCCTGGTACAGTCTGTCACGGCTTCCCTTGGCTAGGAAAGGGAAATCCCCCCACCCCTTGTGCTTCCCCGGTAAGGCAATGCCCCACCCTGCTTTGGCTCACCCTCCATGGGCTGCACCAACTGTCCAACCAGTCCTAATGAGATGAACCAGGTACCTCAGTTGGAAATGCAGAAATCACCCGTCTTCTGCATCAATCATGCTGGGAGCTGCAGACCAGAGCTGTTCCTATTCGGCCATCTTGTAACGGACCTATATTTCTTAATTGTTTAAGGCAGTCTGAGTTTTCTGATACCTAATGCCATCAACAGATTCTTGGAAACTGTGGCTATAGCATGGGACGCTGATTTGGGGGGGTTGCCCTTGACACAGTGCCCCTCTGACACCTGGCCAGAACCTCCCAGGGCGAAGGTCAGGGGCTGACAGGCATGGGGTTAATGGGGCAGTGAAGGACGGATCCCTAAGTGCAGGGTGCACACAGGGAGCAGAGACATGGAGGCAGCAGCATCGCACCCCCAGGGCTCTGCCCAGCAAGCCACCTGCAGCCCAGAAAGGCCTGTTGTAAGGAAAACTAACAAACAGAAAGGAATAGCATCAACAACAACAACAAAAATGACATCCACACCAAAATCTCATCTGTAGTCACCATCATCAAAGACCAAAGGTAGATAAAAGCACAAAGATGGGGAGAAACCAGAGCAGAAAAGCTGAAAATTCTAAAAACCGGAGCGCCCCTTCTCCTCCAAAGGATCACAGCTCCTTGCCAGCAATGGAGCAAAGCTGGACGGAGAATGACTTTGATGAGTGGACAGAAGTAGGCTGCAGAAAGTTGGTAATAACAAACTTCTCCAAGCTAAAGGAGGATGTTTGAACCCATCGCAAGGAAGCTAAAAACTTTGAAACTAGAATAAACAGTGGTGTAGGGAAGACCTTAAATGACCTGATGGAGCTGAAAACCATGGCACAAGAACTACGTGACACATGCACAAGCTTCAGTAGCCAATTCCATCAAGTGGAAGAAAGGGTATCAGTGATTGAAGATCAAATGAATGAAATGAAGTGAGAAGAGAAGTTTGGAGAAAAAAGAGTAAAAAAAAAATGAACAAAGCCTCCAAGAAATATGGGACTATGTGAAAAGACCAAATGTAAGTTTGATTGGTGTACCTGAAAGTGACAGGGAGAATGGAACCAAGTTGGAAAACACTCTTCAGCATATTATCTAGGAGAACTTCCCCAACCTAGAATGCAGGCCAACATTCAAATTCAGGAAATACAGAGAACACCACAAAGATACTCCTTGAGAAGAGCAACCCCAAGACACATAATTGTCAGATTCATCAAGGTTGAAATGAAGGAAAAAATGTTAAGGGCAGCCAGAGAGAAAGGTCAGGTTACCCACAAAGGGAAGCCCATCAGACTAACAGCAGATCTCTCGGCAGAAACTCTACAAGCCAGAAGAGAGTGGGGGCCAATATTCAACATTCTTAAAGAAAAGAATGTTCAACCCAGAATTTCATATCCAGCCAAACTAAGCTTCATAACTGAAGGAGAAATAAAATCCTTTACAGACAAGCAAATGCTGAGAGATTTTGTCACCACCAGGCCTGCCCTACAAGAGCTCCTGAAGGAAGCACTAAACATGGAAAGGAACAACCAGTACCAGCCACTGCAAAAACATGCCAAATTGTAAAGACCATTGATGCTAGGAAGAAACTGCATCAACTAATGGGCAAAATAACCAGCTACCATCATAATGACAGGATCAAATTCATACATAACAATATTAACCTTAAATGTAAATGGGCTAAATGCCCCAATTAAAAGACACAGACTGGCAAATTGGATAAACAGTCAAGACCCATCAATGTGCTGTCTTCAGGAGACCCATCTCATGTGCAGACACACACATAGGCTCAAAACAAAGGGATGGAGGAAGATCTACAAAGCCAATGGAAAGCAAAACAAAGCAGGGGTTGCAATCCTAGTCTGTGATAAAACAGACTTTAAACCAACAAAGGTCAAAAGAGACAAAGAAGGCCATTACATAATGGTAAAGGGATCAATTCAACAAGAAGAGTTAACTATCCTAAATATACATGCACCCAATACAGGAGCACCCAGATTCATAAAGCAAGTCCTTAGAGACCTAAAAGAAACTTAGACTCCCACACAATAATAATGGAAAACTTTAACACCCCACTGTCAATATTAGATAGATCAACCAGACAGAAGGTTAACAAGGATATCCAGGACTCGAACTCAGCTCTGCAGCAAACAGACCTAATAGACATCTACAGAACTCTCGACCCCAGATCAACAGAATATACATTCTTCTCAGCACCACATCACACTTATTCCAAAATTGACCATAGTTGGAAGTAAAGCAGTCTTTAGCAAATGTAAAATAACAGAAATCACAACAAACTGTCTCTCAGACCACAGTGCAATCAAATTAGAACTCAGGATTAAGAAACTCACTCAAAACTGTACAACTACATGGAAACTGAACAACCTGCTCCAGAATGACTATTGGGTAAATAATGAAATGAAGGGAGAAATAAAGATGTTCTTTGAAACCAGTGAGAACAAAGACACAATGTAGTGGAATCTCTGGGACACATTTAAAGCAGCATGTAGAGGGAAATTTATAGCACTAAATGACCACAGGAGAAAGCAAGAAAGATCTAAAATTGACACCCTAACATCACAATTAAAAGAACTAGAGAAGCAAGACCAAACACATTCAAAAGCTAGCAGAA
The DNA here is from genome assembly GCF_000001405.40 of Homo sapiens. Lineage (NCBI taxonomy): Eukaryota > Metazoa > Chordata > Mammalia > Primates > Hominidae > Homo > Homo sapiens. The sequence goes on from NC_000003.12 coordinate 22,710,026, forward strand.
GGCAAGAAATAACTAAGATTAGAGCAGAACTGAAGGAGATAGAGACACAAAAAGCCCTTCAAACAATCAATGAATCCAGGAGCTGGTTTTTTGAAGAAATCAACAAAATTGATAGGTGCCTAGCAAGACTAACAAAAAAGAAAAGAGAGAAGAATCAAATAGATGCAATAAAAAATAATAAAGGGGATACTGCCACTGATCCCACAGAAATACAAACTACCATCAAAGAATACTATAAACAACTCTATGCAAATAAACTATAGAATCTAGAAAAATGGAAAAATTGCTGGACACATACACCCTCCCAAGACTAAACCAGGAAGAGGTTGAATCTCTGAATAGACCAATACCAGGCTCTGAAATTGAGGCAATAATTAATACCCTACCGACCAAAAAAAGCCCAGGGCCAGACAGATTCACAGCCGAATTCTACCAGAGGTACAAAGAAGAGCTGGCACCATTCCTTCTGAAACTATTCCAAACAACAGAAAAAGAGGGACTCCTCCCTAACTCATTTTATGAGGCCAGCATCATCCTGTACCAAAGCCCGGCAGAGACACAACAAAAAAAGAGAATTTTAGACCAATATCCCTGATTAACATCGATGCAAAAATCCTCAATAAAATACTGGCAAACCGAATCCAGCAGCACATCAAAAAGCTTATCGACCGCAATCAAGTTACCTTCATCCCTGGGATGCAAGGCTGGTTCAACATACGCAAATCAAAAAACGTAACCCATCACATAAACAGAACCAAAGACAAAACCACATGATTATCTCAATAGATGCAGAAAAGGCCTTTGACAAAATTCAACAGCGCTTCATACTAACAACTCTCAATAAACTAGGTATTAATGGGATGTATCTCAAAATAATAAGAGCTATTTATGACAAACCCACGGCCAATATCTTACTGAATGGGCAAAAACGAAGTGTTCCCTTTGAAAACTGGCACAAGACAGAGATGCCCTCTCTCACCACTCCTATTCAACATAGTGTTGGAAGTTCTGGCCAGGGCAATCAGGCAAGAGAAAGAAATAAAGGGTATTCAATTAGGAAAAGAGGAAGTCAAATTGTCCCTGTTTGCAGATGACATGATTGTATATTTAGAAAACCCCATCGTCTCAGCCCAAAATCTCCTTAAACTGATAAGCAACTTCAGCAAAGTCTCAGAATACAAAATCAATGTGCAAAAATCACAAGTATTCTTATACACCAAGAACAGACAGAGAGCCAAATCATGAGTGAACTCCCATTCACAATTGCTACAAAGGGAATAAAATACCTAGGAATCCACCTTACAAGGGATGTGAAGGACCTCTTCAAGGAGAACCACAAACCACTGCTCAACATAATAAAAGAGGACACAAACAAATGGAAGAACATTCCATGCTCATGGATAGGAAGATTCAATATCTTGAAAATGACCATACTGCCCAAGGTAATATAAGATTCAATGCCATACCCATCAAGCTACCAATGACTTTCTTCACAGAATTGGAAAAAACTACTTTAAAGTTCATGTGGAACCAAAAAAGAGCCCACATTGCCAAGACAATCCTAAGCCAAAAGAACAAAGCTGGAGGCATCACGCTACCTGACTTCAAACTATACTACAAGGCTACAGTAACCAAAACAGCATGGTACTGACACCAAAACAGAAATATAGACCAATGGAACAGAACAGAGGCCTCAGTAATAATACCACACATCTACAACCATCTGATCTTTGACAAACCTGAGAAAAACAAGAAATGGGGAAAGGATTCCCTATTTAATAAATGGTGCTGGGAAAACTGGCTAGCCATATGTAGAAAGCTGAAACTGGATCCCTTCCTTACACCTTATACAAAAATTAATTCAAGATGGATTAAAGACTTAAATGCTAGACCTAAAACCATAAAAACCCTAGAAGAAAACCTAGGCAATACCATTCAGGACATCGGCATGGGCAAACACTTCATGACTAAAACACCAAAAGCAATGGCAACAAAAGCCAAAATTGACAAATGGGATCTAATTAAACTAAAGAGCTTCCGCACAGCAAAAGAAACTACCATCAGAGTGAACTGGCAATCTACAGAATGGGAGAAAATTTTTGCAATCTACCCATCTGACAAAGGACTAATATCCAGAATCTACAAAGAACTGAAACAAATTTGCAAGAAAAAATCAAACAACCCCATCAAAAAGTGGGCGAAGGATACGAACAGACACTTTTCAAAAGAAAACATTTATGCAGCCAACAGACACATGAAAAAATGCTCATCATCACTGGTCATCAGAGAAATGCAAATCAAAACCACAATGAGACAGCATCTCACACAAGTTAGAATGGCGATCATTAAAAAGTCAGGAAACAACAGGTGCTGGAGAGGATGTGGAGAGATAGGAAAGCTTTTACACTGTTGGTGGGACTGTAAACTAGTTCAACCATTGTGGAAGACAGTGTGACGATTCCTCAAGCATCTAGAACTAGAAATACCATTTGACCTAGCCATCCCATTACTGTGTATATACCCAAATGATTATAAATCATGCTACTATAAAGACACATGCACACGTATGTATATTGTGGCACTATTCACAATAGCAAAGACTTGGAACCAATCCATATGTCCATCAATGATAGACTGGATTAAGAATATGTGGCACATATACACCATGGAATATTATGCAGCCATAAAAAGGGTGAGTTCATGTCCTTTGTAGGGACATGAATGAAGCTGGAAATCATCATTCTGAGCAAACTATCACGAGGACAGAAAACCAAACACTGCATGTTCTCACTCATAGGTGGGAATTGAACAATGCGACCAGTTGGACACAGGGCGAGGAACATCACACACTGGGGCCTGTCGTGGGGTCGGGGTAGCGGGGAGGGATAGCTTTAGGAGAAATACCTAATGTAAATGATGAGTTAACGGGTGCAGCAAGCCAACACGGCACATGTATACATATGTGACAAACCTGCATGTTCTGCACATGTACCCTAGAACTTGAAGTATAATAAAATAAGTAAATAAATAAATAAGAAGTAAAAAAAGAAATGCCACTGATTACTGAAACTGCTGCTAGCGCCTGCGAAAATTCAGATTTAAAAATTTCCACTTGTCAAATTCTCAATTTTGATTCCTACTAACCTCAAAATGGAGCCAGATGGCAATATGCCTGTTCTAAGCAAGGCTAGGAGAGGAGAAAGCAAATATAAGCAGTTGACACATATTACAGGTCTGGCCCCAGATTTTGCTCCAGAAATATCAAATGGTGAGTGGCCACCATATTGAAGAGCTTGAAATCTGAAGACAACTCCAATTCTTCAAACCACAGCAAATATCAGTAATGAATTTCCTTATATCTAACAGCTGTGCCCGCTCACTCTACAGTGGACACTGAGTGATACACCCTTCTTTCCCCTCTTCAGAAATGGTCTTTCTCTCCCAGTTTCTAGGAGAGCTGCCCAAAGACTACCTTTAGCTACCAGCCTCTTTGAGAGATGGACTCAGGTGAAGAGAGCTGCCTCATACAATTTCATGCCCCATTTTCAGGATTGTTCACCTCCAGAGACTGATGAGTGTGGAGATGTAACTTCAAAGAGCTGTGTTAATGTAGGTTCTTCAGGTGTTTGGGAAACAGGTGTCTCACAGAGCACGCTTTGCAAGAATAGTTAGCGAAAAACATAGTTTCAGGATGTCTCCAAAGCACAGTAACTTCTTTTTTTCTTCTGAAACACTAAAAACTACAACTACTGTCGTACCAAGTAGGCCAGAAATCAAGACAACATTCTAGCTGCCTTTTCTGTGAGGAAGAGACAGCAAAATTTCATTAAAAGCAAGGCACCAGTATGTTTCTCAGGAACTCATTCTGTTACGTATTTATTGTTTTGCTAACTATATAGCTAGAGGGGAAGATGGAAAATCTTACAAGAATACAGTAGTCCCCTCTTATCTGTGGCTTTGCTCTGTGAGGTCTGAACATATAAAATGTGAAGTTTCAGCAATAAACAATTCGCAAGTTTTAAGTTGCATGTCATTCTGAGTAGTGTGATGAAATCTCACTCCCCACTACTTCCTCCTGCCAGGGATATGAATCATCCCTTTGTCCAGAGTATCCACGATGTCTACACGACCTGCCCATTCATCAGTTCATTCATCACTGAGACAGCTACTAAGTGACTGTTGCAGAATAACAGTGCTTGTGTTCCAGTAACCCTTATTTTACTTAATAATGGCCCCAAAGCACAAGAGTAGTGATGCTGGCATATTGTTTTAATTGTTTTATTTCATTATTGTTGTAGTTAATCTCTTACTGTGCCTAATTTATAAATTAAACTTTATCATAAGTATATATGTATAGGAAAAAGACATCATATATATAGGGTTCAGTACTGTCCACGGTTTCAGGCATCCACTGGGGGTCTTGTAATGTATCCCCCATGGATGAGGGGAGACTGCCATAGTCAATTTTGTTCCATTTATTTTTGTTTTATAAGTAATACCCATTTAACATACATAACTGTTCTAAATTTGAAAAATTTAGAGGAGACATTATCTGCTTTCACAGAACTTGAAATCTAAACATTTGATTTTTAGGCAACATTAGTTACTAGTACAAATGTGGGAGAGCTTTAGTGAAGATAGTAAGAAAAATAAATAGTGAGTGATGCAGAATTCATTATATTTTATTCAGACTGCATTACATCCATGTTTTATAGCAGATTTATTTTCCTAAACCTGTTAAGTTTCAGCAAGTATTAAACCTGATTTACATTCTACAGGGACATCTCCTTGGATGATTATGAAAATAGTGCCTGGAAGATACCAAGGAGACTGTGAGTAAACAGTGCTGCTCCTGTCCATGAAGAACCCTGCAGCAGCTGGTACTCAGTAGGCACTCAGCGACTATGCTGAAATGAATGAACACAAGAGAAACCACAAAGGGGTTCACAATAGCCTCCTCTTGGATTATCTAGGACAATGGTTTTTAAACTCTAACTTCCTGAGAACCACCTGGAGGCTTGTTAGAACACAGGTTCCTGGGCCCCTTTCCCAGAGTTTCTAATTGAGCAGGTCTGGGGTAAAGCCCATGAATTTGCATTCCTAACAAGGTCCCAGGAGATGCTGCTACTGCTGGCTTCGTGAGCACACTTTGTGAACCAGTACTCTAAAGATAGATTTATATCACAAGCTTGACTTCCCATGTCCCCAGATATAAAATATGCCCCTCATTCTTCATTTTCACACCAAAAATGAGAAAAAGCTGAGAAACTGGCAAGCCTACTGTATTGCTCATGGAGCCACCCTCAGTGTTGGACTGGAGTAAGCTGGGCAAGCTGGTTCCAGCCCTCAGTTCCCTGGGAACACAGCTATAGCTGAAGATCCTACTAGCTGTGTCCTTGACAATTCCACTTGGGTTCTCATAGTTACCCATTTCAACAAATGACATCTCTTCAGATGTACAAGCCAGCCATGATGTCATCTTTGATACCTCCTCCTTCCTTATAACTCATACAGCTTCATCTGGTCCTTGAAAAGGTTAAAGGAGCCTGAGTAATTGAGTAGAGAAGAGCATGCCATCAAGGTTAATGGAATGTAATTTGAGTGGGAACAAGCCTTACTTTGTCAGGACCCTGAGGTTTTGTGTTTGTTCTTTAACACAACTAGCATAAATTCTCCAATTTGTATAATCTGGGACCTAGGAGAAGTTATGACCTCATTGCTTTACTCTCCATAGCCCACTCTTCAAACGAGGATTTTGAGTTATCCCAGATTCCAGCTTCCTTCTACAGCTTATAGATATATACCTAAACATATGGATATACAGATAAGTCTATCAGTCAATAGATGTATCAATATATAGAGTCTCTTTTTATACAGGGCAGAGTCTCCTTCTACAGCTTAGTGAGATACAGATACACAGAGCAGAGTCTCCTCTAGGTCATATTTTCTCTATCCACATAGTTAATATATCTGAAGCTCCTACAATAGGAATCCTTGGAAATTCAGCAGACACAGACCCCAATTTCTATTTGAAAAATAAAATTAAGAACATTAATTAAAAATTAAAATCTATACACACAGGAGTATTCAAATTTCCAAGATATAGGAAAACATTTTTTTCATATGAAATAAATGAGCAGCTACACGGCTTTTGGTCTCCGAACTGAGAAGACAACACCAGAAACACTTTTTAGTTCTACGATGTTAATTTAGGCCTAAAATTAAAATTAGATGAGGGCCTGAAATTCGTACCAATGAAGATGAGAAAATATTTTTTAGTTATCAAATGATTTTATAAATAGCTATACAAAAGTTAATGGGAGGTGTGCAGATTCTTGGCAGCTAGGCACCTACTAAAACAAAAGAATTCAAGAGTTTTGTTTCTTTCTAAACACTGTTTATGAAAATTAGGAAAATGATATTTCACATACTTGTTTGGTTACCATGACATAATTTAAATATATAGACACAGATGCAATTCCAAATTACCCACAATATTAGTGATAGTAAGGAAGAGTTAAGGATTTATTAACTGGTATTTTTATAAAGGAATAGATAATTATATAAAACACTGGCTTTCAAATTTGCTTGATCACAACCCATAGAAATAACACTTTTTAAATGACCTAGTCCATACATGCATATGAATATATACAAACTATATGTATACCTGAAACAAAAAATTTACAAAACAGTACTTAGCCTTATATGTGCCATATACCCTATTTTAATCTCTATCACTTTTTCATGCTAGTCAAAACTCATTAAATGGATTATGCAATCCAATATTAAATTGTGACATGCAATTTGAAAAACAAATAATACAAAATATTGTCTTTGAAAAATGATATTTTTTCTTAGATGTCCTCTAGTTGTTAAACTATAATGATAAAATGGAAGATACCACTAGATTTACAAAAAGTTAAAAATCAATACACTCTTTGAATAGATCAACAAGCCAGGAGAACGAGGATGGGTAAAAGTGAAATCTCAAGATCAATAAGGCTTAAGTGGATTATAATCATCTATAATCCATGGTGTTGATCATAGTCTTCGTGAGACACATCTAAATTATCTGCCTTTGACTAGTTGATAGTAACAGGAAATAGAAATGTAGTTCTTTGTCCCACTTCCTTAAAAAAAGAAAAAGAGCAAAAGATTCCCTTTATTATTATGTAGATATTTCCAGATCTATCTAGTTATTTCCAATTATAAAAGTAATATATATTATTTGAAAACATTTTTGAAAATACAGAGGGATGAAAGTCTGAAGGAGTGCTAGGAGAGAAGAGATGGGCTGGAAGAGGGAAAAAGAGTGCCATCCACAGAAAAATTTTTCCAGCTTCTGGGAACTGAGTAGCAAAAATGCTTCTCTTTTTCCCTGGTAGCATTCATTCATACATGAAGTATTCTGGTTTACTATGTGCCAAACACTGGTCTATGTGCTGGCAATACACCAATGAACAAAACAGATAGATATCCGCACCCTCACAGAGTTTAAAAATGAAGGTAGTTGGTAGGCTCTTAGAAGCAATGTGGGGATGAGCTCACAGCCCTCACAGAGATTCCTATCACTGAGCTTAGCAGGAATCCTGGGTTCAAAAAGATAAGTGGGCTTGGACAAGACAGGTATTTAAACCAAGAAGCATTTCCCTGAGCACCTCGTAATCTTCTGGTATGCCTGGGTCCAATACACAAAATTAAAATAAAATTATTGGCAATGAATTTCCCAGCTATGTCCAGGCAACATAGCTTCTTGTAGTTAGATTTAATTACTCAAGAAAAGTGGGTAACGTGATAGCTTAGCTTAGCTTTTGCACAGCTAAGTTTGTGGAGTAAAAATCATGTCAACTATAAAGAGGAAGACAAAACAGACAGATTTAAATTTTTATTTGAATTCATTTCTCAATACCAGAAACTTTATTTTACCTTCTCCATTTATGCCTGTTTTGGAGTTACCCATTATCAACTGTGTGTGTGTATATGTGCATGTGTTTGAAGAAAGGCTCATGGGAGATATATCACCTGAGTGCATGTATGTTTGGAAATGTCTGCCTGTTTCCTTTCTCCACATCCTCTCCAGCACCTGTTGTTTCCTGACTTTTTAATGATCGCCATTCTAACTGGTGTGAGATGGTATCTCATTGCGGTTTTGATTTGCATTTCTCTGATGGCCAGTGATGATGAGCATTTTATCATGTATCTGTTGGCTGCATAAATATCTCCTTTTGAGAAGTGTCTGTTCATATCCTTTGCCCACTCTTTGATGGGGTTGTTTGATTTTATTCTCGTAGATTTATTTAAGTTCTTTGTAGATTCTGGATATTAGCCCTTTGTCAGATGGGTAGATTGTGAAAATCTTCTCCCATTCTGTAGGTTGCCTGTTCACTCCTATGGTAGTTTCTTTTGCTGTGCAGAAGCTCTTTAGTTTAATTAGATCCCATTTGTCTATTTTGGCTTTTGTTGCCATTGCTTTTGGTGTTTTAGTCATGAAGTCCTTGCCCATGCCTATGTCCTGAATGGTACTGCCTAGGTTTTCTTCTAGTGTTTTTATGGTTTTACATCTAACACTTAAGTCTTTAAGATGTGAAGGACCTCTTCAAGGAGAACTACAAACCACTGCTCAACAAAATAAAAGAGAACACAAACAAATGGAAAAACATTTCATGCTCATGGATAGGAAGAATCAATATCATGAAAATAGCCATACTGCCCAAGGTAAGTTATAGATTCAATGCCATCCCCATCAAGCTACCAATGACTTTCTTCACAGAATTGGAAAAACTACTTTAAAGTTCATATGGAACCAAAAAAGAGCCCACATTGCCAAGACAATCCTAAGCAAAAGAACAAAGCTGGAGGCATCCCGCTACCTGACTTCAAACTATACTACAAGGCTACAGTAACCAAAACAGCATGGTACTGGTACCAAAACAGAGATCTAGACCAATGGAACAGAACAGAGCCCTCCGAAATAACACCACACACCCACAACCATCTGATCTTTGACAAACCTGAGAAAAACAAGAAATGGGAAAATGATTCCCTATTTCATAAATGGTGCTGGGAAAACTGGCTAGCCATATGTAGAAAACTGAAACTGGATCCCTTCCTTACACCTTATATTGTGTCTCATTCTAAACTCAAACTTTAGGGAAGCAAAATACTTTTAAATGATAACTTGGAAGAAAAGTCTGAGTCCTTGAAGGAAAGAACAAAAATAAAAGGGAGTATCTGGACTCAACTAGAGAACACTCATTAGGGGTTCTCTATATTCAGTAGTATACATATCTTTGTATATGTCTCTGTATATTCTGGCTTGGGTTTTTTACCATCCTGTGATAAAATGGAATTATGATGCTTTATATGACAGGTTCTAAAATTTATCTTTGTAAAATAATTAACAGAAAAATCACTTTCTAGTATTTATTGAAAGAAAACTTATGTACTTGTTCGAAGCTTATTTTTCTTGCAGAGGTGTGGGCTATATAGGTCATGGAGTATTCTGGGCTTTATAACCTACTAAATTTATAATAGACCCACTGGGAGGGCATTAATGAATATCTGGTGATTGAATGAGCCTCAATTGTGTACAGTTTTCAAGAGCTGTCCATTTTGTTGGCTGTTCATATACCTGGAGGCCCGCAAATCTAGGTCTGAACATCCCAGAGTTGTGTCTAGAGACCTCTTCGACTACGAGGCTCCTAGGTTGGAAACCTTCCCGAGTTTGACAATCACCTTCATCTGGAGTTGTCAGCACCCTCCTAAGGGACCTGCTCATTTGGAAAATAGCTTAGCATCTGTGACAACCTGAAGAGCATAGACTTTTTTATCCATTTTATTAAGATATGTTTAACATTCTTAAAGTACATATTTAATGTATACAACTTGGTAAGTTTGGAGATAAGTATATACCTGTGGAACCATCACCACGATCTATGTCAAAAACCTATCCATCCAAAAGTTTCCTCCCACTTTCTTTCTTTATTGTTATTGTTGTTATTATTTGTGACAACATGGATAAACTTGGAGGACATTATTCTAAGTGAAATAAACCAGATATATAAGAAGCGTATCAATTTAAAAAAAAACTTTTAAGAGCTATACAGATGTGTGTGTTTTATTGTGAAGTGGTGTTTAATTTGTCTTAATTATTTTAAATTAGGATTAATCTTTTTAGTAATAATGTAGTAACTCTGCACTGACTCCTCAAAGTCATTTTGTGATAAGTGACTGTGATCTAAGTAATGGAGAAAAATTTCTAGACTGAAATATCTAGATCTTCATGTTATTACAGCAAATAAATAACTTTTGTGGTATTCATTTTAAAAGCAAGAGAGACTACCACTTGCCTTTGTTATTTGTTTTCCTTGACACCTACAGTCTTTTTATGAAATATTTGGTAGATTGATGTAGTGATTTATTTCCAGATTTGGCTTTTCCCATAAATTACATTTATGGCTGATCTACTAGGCTTGGGACAACGCTTTCTAAAAATCCGTAAAGGATATACAACTTTTCCCCAGTGAACAATTCTTTATGTTTTTTAATCATTGCCTGAAAAAGTACACATATTGTTAGTAGTGAGTATTACATAGTGACCTCGAATTTGGCTTTAAAAACATGCTGGCAAAGGTCCTAAGGGATAAAAGAGACTATAATAAACAGGTAGCAGGCATTTCAGCAGTTATTGTATTGAACTGCTTCTAGAGGAAGAGACCATTAAATTCATTTCCATTGCCATTGCTGTAAACATGGAGGACTGCATAACCTGAAGTCAATACCAGCTCCATTGTTACCCAGTGGATTCATCATCATTTCCTATGACCATATTTTGTGATGTGCCTAAGCAGAAAAACTGAAAAGTTGTTCATGTGCTTCCTGGATGGAAACATTGGGTTTTGTTTGGTACATCTATAAACAGTTGCTATCTTTCTATTGAATACATTAGTGGTACTCAATAAACATAAATGTACCATTTATGAGATGGCAAATATCCTAGCCCCAAGTAAGCATGAGTCAGGTTTGGGTTTGAGTATAGGACACTGATTCAAGGACACTGAGTGAGTTTAAAATAAAAACTGATAATATCTTGTTAGCACAACATGAGACTCTTTAGGAGCCATGACCCACAGCACTGCAAAATCCTGTGTGAAGATTTCTGAAAGTTAGAAAGAGACCCTTGAAACATAAAACTCTGGACCTGGGGAAGAATCAAGAAAATCCCTGGTTCACCCATGGAACATGGATGTAGGGATTCCTAAGGCTCTACTCTCCCACATCTCAACGTCTCAGTCAGGAAAACAAAATTCACTCAGATAGGAAGGGGTTCAATAAGACTGCTTATGAAACTTTTGGACGAGGTGGTAGAGCAAAGAGCATAGATAGTTATCTGCACTATAGGAATTTCAGGCAGAAAGCTTAGAAGAGCAGGGGTAGTACTATTTGCCAGTAGCCCAAATCCAGAACATTATTTGCACCTACTTTTTCAACTGATTTGACAAAAATTATCACTTAAAAGCCTTCTGTTGTACAGCCCATCATTGTTTTCTGAGAAATTCTTTCTGATAATTTGCTGGAGGTAATCTCCTTCTCGTTACCAAATACCCATCACACATAACTGTCCTATTGTATTGCACTTATTTATGTTATGTTATTTCCTCTATTAAGATCCTTGAGGACAGCATCTATAGCCCCACATACCTGTTTGAAAACATTACTTGTAATAATAGTAATATCAACTATTAAATCACCACCAGTCACCAAGCACTAGCTTCTTTCGTTTACTCACTCTTTAAATACCTATGACAAGCCTATGAAAAGTCATTGCCTGTTATAATTAGAAAGAAGACCCAAGAGAGACACCAGTTAGTGACACAGTTGAGCTAACAATTTTTTTTTTTTTTTTTTTTTTTTTGAGACAGAGTCTCGCTCTGTCGCCAGGCTGGATTGCAGTGGTGCAATCTCGGCTCACTGCAAGCTCCGCCTCCCGGGTTCACGCCATTCTCCTGCCTCAGCCTCCCGAGTAGCTGGGACTACAGGTGCCCACCACCACGCCTGGCTAATTTTTTGTATTTTTAGTAGAGACGGGGTTTCACCATGTTAGCCAGGATGGTCTGGATCTCCTGACCTCGTGATCCGCCCGCCTCAGCCTCCCAAAGTGCTGGGATTACAGGCGTGAGCCACCGTGCCCAACCTAAGCTAACAATTTAACTCCAGTTTGTCCAACACAAAACCCATGCTTTTCTGATTTTGCCTCATTACTGTGATGTCAGAAAATTATGGAGTTAAATGATGACCAAAATGTTTTCATAAATATCTCTAGTAATGGAGAAATATCTCTCAAGCAGCCTATTTGGTTATGGGAAACTATTTCTTAAAAGGTAGTTGCTTACAGCAAATCTTATAGGGAATGGCACCCTTCTTCATTTGGGTGTGCTCCAGCGCCCACAGAGTATAGAAACTCTATCAAGAAGGAAGAGAACTGTCTTTTCTTTAGCAAACCTTTCTAAACAGCATAATCTGTCCACTGCACTACTCCAAGGGACATCACTGACATGGATCATCATGTGATGATTCTGCCTTAAGCCAGCAATTAGAACTTACTAGGCATTTGATAAGTATTGACTGCTACTGCTGCGATGCTCTAATACAAAAGGAAAGAAGTTAAAAAATTATTTAATAATCTGTGAGCCTACTTTGGGAAGTAATAATAAGTTTAACTACTTCCAGGCTGGTGTGAGGACTAAATGAGTTATTATATGGAACCACCTGTAACAATGCCTGGCACAAAATAAGCACTGAAGATGTATGAGTTTTTGCATTGATATTAATTCTCATCAGACACAGACATATTTGTGGAAGATACAATGGGAACAAAGACATGGCCTCTGCCTTCAAAAGACTTTTTATTTTATTGTTCTCCTGAATTTTGTTGCCTCTGTAAGGAATGGGATTTCCCTCATTTACACTTTCTGAAGTCCATTGATACTACAACTGTGAAGAATTCTAGTCTTTCATTGAGAGGTGAGAATATAGGGTAGCCTACTTCATTCCATGATGTTTCAAAGAATAAGGAGAAAAGATCATATTTTCTTTCTGGGCTGCTATGATTATAAGGTATAAAGCCAGACACTTGACACTAGTTTTATGGTTATTTTTTCTAAAGTTGTACCTTCCAATATAACAACCAGACCCAAATGGCTATTTCAATGTAAACTTTCATTAATTCAAATGTAAAAATCAGCTCCTCAGTCATACTGGCCACATTTCAAGTGCTCAATAGTCACATGTAGCTGGAGATTACCCTTTTGAACAGTGCAGATAGAGAACATTTCTATCATTACATAGAGTTCTATTGCACAGCACTACCCTAAAGTGATAACAAGTCTAGCAAAAGTCTGAAGCTCCTATGGGATGCAGTTGCAAAGCTAGATCTCTATCCTAGCTCAATATTCCAAATGACTGAATATAAGCAATAAGCCCTCTGGATTCAGGCAATTCCAGGAATAACATCAGAAAGACAATTGCCCATTAAGTGTCTCTCATGAACTGATCATTTTTACTGCCTCTGCCAAAATAGATCACCTCACCCTGTTGTCCTTATTGAGTCTACCACAGTCACCCAGAGATATAAAGTGATAGGAATGCTAGACACAAACTCAGTTAACTCCCAAACTGTATTAGCAATGGAAGCTGGGGCACAGACACATTGAAAAAGTACTGATATCAATCTGGACTATGGGAAAAAGGACATCAACTCTGAGTTCCAAGAATTTGCATGACCTTAAGAAAATTATGTACTCTCATAGAGCTTCAGTATTTATAGTTATAACATGGAAGTATGATCAGTTGTTGAAAGAATAGAAATAAGCTAATGTGTGTAAAGCATATACCATAAAATTGTAAAAACCTAGAGGTGGAAAGAAGCAGAGATGGTCATCTGAAACTGTGAGAAAATCATTTATTTAACCTGTGCCTTAACTCTTCTGCTTTCCAAGAAATAGTGTCCCATAATCAGATGGGCTGCTTGAGAGATGTTTCCCCAGACCAGAAATATTTATGAAAACACTTCGATCACCATTGAATTTCATAATTCTCTGACACTACAATAATGAGGCAACATCAGAAAAGCATGGGTTTGGGGTTTAACAAACGAATTAAATTATTAGCTCAATTGAATTGTTGAGCTAAATTGTTATCATCTACTTTTCTTAGCTTTATTGAAATGATAAAGTGAGGTTATATACATGAAAGTACTTTCGAAATTTTCAAATAACATCAAAATATTTTTACTAGTTTTATCTCTTCAATGATGCTGGTTATTTTCGACATCTATCTCATATGAATTATTGGTATAAATGTAAACAATATGTATAATAGATTTATGGAAAAATGAAAAATAATTACCCCAATGATGGTTATGCTATCTATTATGCTTTATTTTATATGGGAAAACTTCAGATTAATACAAGAACTTAAGCTACCTCTTAACAACAATGAGCAGAAGTCAGAACAAACCAGTTTACATCTGGGGCCCAGATGTACAAAAGTCTCCCTGCCCCACCTTTCAAGGGGTTAGAAGCCTTTCCAGAAACAAAGAAAGTCATTAGTCCTTGGTCAGCAGTATTTTGCATTTGTTAAGATAGCAAATTCAGTTTGACATTTTCTATTTATTTTTTCTAGCAGAGTTAGAGAGCTCAAGGATAATTTGGAAAATTGGTCTAAAGTGACATCTGACCCATCTGCTGCTACAAATGTTGGACTGTCAGGGAAACCAGAGAACTGCCACAAGTCAAGGAGACATCATTTGAAAGTTTTGTTTCTCCTACTTTAAATAAAATAAAATATAAATAATTCCTGAATCTAGAATTAAAATGTGATTATTGCGAGTCACACATCAGTGTTAATTCTCTGGCATCCTATTAGTCTACTGGCTGATGTTACTCATACTCCTGTTCTTGTCACAGAAAGAAGATAAATGAAAAATGAAAGCCTTGCTAAGTGAAATGAAAAAGGTACCAGAGTCTAGGCCTTGGCCTTTATTAACAGCTCAGAAACTTCATTCTAGTGGGGAAAAAAATTGCAAGGACTTAAAGTAGCACAAAAATGATCATCCGTATCAAAAGGTACATACTTATTGTTGATTAGAAGTTAGAGGTTTATTCTAATCTGCACAATCCAACCCTTGTTAAAAGAAGATTCTGAATTATATTGAAATGTTACATGGAAATAGGTTGTCAAGAATGCCAAAATCTTTCAGGGTTGGTGTTTAGGGAATTTTTATTACATCTACGTCCTCTTGTCACCCCCGGAAACTCACCGTTCATCACTTTCTACTAAATTGGTCCCATATGTGATTCCCTGCCTAGAGTGAACTACCTGAATTCATTCATTCATTCATTCATCTATCAATAAATCCAACCACCATTTATTCATCCATACCTCCTACAATCCATCCACCATTTATTCATCCATACTTCTTTTACTCATTTCCTTCTGATGTGTATCACTAGGTGCTAGTAATAAAACCACATGCTAAAATAGCCCCTCTCCCCTATGCCTTTCTTTTCCCTTGTCCCTGGGATTTATTGCAGGCAATTTAAATAGTTCATCTTCAGAGTTGAATTTTAGATGGGAAAGCTGAACTTCACATTTTTTAAATCTTCTACTGATTCCCTAGCACATACCATCTAGTTTCTGCCCTGAGTTTTTTTTTTTTTCTCTCTCTCCACAAGCCCCCAGTACTGTTATTAATGAAACACGACTGTGCCCTCTATGTACAAAGAGGAGACTGGACTTCCATATAGACCTCTACATCCCCTTTCCTTAAATCATGCACAGAGAAGCCATGAATTGTTGCTATTATTCTTTGCCCACAATAAGATCACAAATTCCTTTGAAAGTCAGGACCACACATTATTAGCCTCTTTGTGAAAGTGATAATGCCAAACACAGGCCTGTGAACTAGTAACCTAATAGACACATGCTGCATAAAATAAATCACAGGCAAAACTCAGCCCAAGACCAGCAAGTCCCCCTAACAAGGCCAACAGGTATTTGCCATAAGAACAGACACAAGGACTGAGTTCCTAGAGCAGAATTTCATGCAGGACTATGGGTGGCTCAGAGAACAGAATGATGATCAAAACAGAAAAACCATAAGCCAGACCTCTGGATATGATGAATAAACTTTTAACACTTAATATTGTCAGGCAATTACCCCAGCTCCTCAGGAATGCTTCTCTCATTGTCAGAAACCCAAACTCAGATTCATGGTCTTTCCCCCAAAGCAGTGTTCTTAACCTTGGTGACAATATTAACATGCATTCAGCTGTAAGTCAGAATATCTGAGAGTTGCTCCTAATATTTATCTCTCCCTCCTCATCAACCCACTACACACCCCAATCTCTCACCAACGCTAGCCAGTTCCACCTTTTGGCTACCTCCTCAGCATGTTCCTCATGGCCCTGTCTAGGCTGCCACCACCCTAGTTCATGCTATTAACATCCCCTACCCAGATTACTCCAATAATCTCCCATCTTGTCTATCCCCCTCCACTCTTGCTCCCGCTAACCTACTCTCCCTACAATATCCACAGTGATCTTCTTAAAATGAAGATCTGACAATAGTTTTGCCCTACTTAATGCCTTTCTATGGCTTCCTATTGCTCTCTTTGGAAAATGTCAATCCTTAATTGGTCTGAGCATCTCCAAATGAGCCCACTCCTCTTCACCCTTGTTACAAAATGCCAGTCTTCCTTCTCTCACTGCTGTCCTCAAGGTCCTTCAACAGGCTGTGTTTCTTCCCATGCCAGGACCTTCATAATTCTGGTCTGGAGATTAGACAAGATGACTGCTAACGTTTACCCTTCTCTGCGTATATGAATGAGGTGGAATGGGAAGGCCAAAATCAGGATTTAGCTACCACCTGGCTCTAAGGAAGAGAATAACACTACCAGGAGCTACAGCATCACCTGCACCATGATCTACATTGAGCTTAGAAAGTTTAAAATGTTGTTTTTGTGTCCCACCTCCTCCCTCCTTTTATTTCCTCAGTTTTCATTTTACTTAAAACAAAGATTTACTCCACCTGTGCCTGTCACATATTACTTCTGAAATTATCTCCATTCCTTTCTTCCTTATTCTGCTTCCCAAAGGTCCTTTCTGACCCCATTCTTAAAAGCCCTGTTATCCGTTTCCCAAAGTAAACTGATGAAGTAGAAAGAATGTGGAGAATGATAAAATCAGGGTTATTGAGCCTCAAATACTGAGCTCACCTTCCAGCTCTTCTACATACAGGCTCTTGGCTACTAAATATATCACTTTTCCCTCATACTCTACATTTTATTGTAAAGAACCATTTTTATTTGCCTTATTAAGTCCTCTATGTTCCCAAGGCTCTCCCATGTTGTTTTTCCTGCCAGGATCATTGTTCCATTGTCCCTTTTGCCTGCTCTACTCATCTCATTTTCTTACTTTTGATGATCACTCCCTAAGGAGTTCTCTTAACCCCTAAGTCTATGTTGGCTGCCCTTGTGTGCTCTTGGCATTCTCCACGTCCCTTATCAGGGCACTTACCACACATGACAATTACCTTCTTTAAAATTCACTTTCCCTCCTTAGCCTTCAACTCCGAGAGGGCAAGAGAGATAAACATCTTATTCACAGTTGTATTCCCCAGGTCTTGGTGCCATGCCAGAATAAGTAGTCAATACATGTTAACTGAACACAAATGCCAAAGGGAGACTATATTCACTCACCTATAAACTCTACAGAGTTGTTGTAGAGATTAATTCATTTTATATTTAAATATTCCAAGTGCAGGGTCTGGTACAAAATAGCTATGCAGTTTTGTCTAGCAAATAGCAACGGCTCAATAAATATCATTAATTCATGTACCCACATGTATTTACGGCTACCAGCAGTCAAATTTATTATTCCCTTTACAATAACGTATTTTAAATTGATATATTCCCTTTTGGAAACACAAAGCCTTAATTCACTGGACAGAATTGAGGTATCGTGGCAGGCGATCAGTTTAACATCAAGACAGGTAGCCTCTTCACCCTTGGAGCGCAGCACAGTGGACACACATCTGTTTCTGTCTACCTGGGATCAGACTTTGCCAGATATATTTCCTGAAGTTACCAAAGTAGGGGTAGACCTTCCTGGTGTGAATGGCAGGGACCCTGGAAAAGCTCCTGGTACAGCTGCAGCACCCATTGGAATGCCACCGGGATGAGGGGAAAGGGAAATAACGAAGAGTCAGTGACAGTAGAAATTCATCATGTGACAGGCATGCTAATTCTGCCATCACTGAGTATTCTTGTCCTTTGTATTTTCATTTGCCCCATTCCTTCCTGTTCCATCCTGGCATTACCAGCTTCCCTCTCTTTCACAGCCTGGTCCTCCTTGCTGACTATATTTGCCCATCAAGCAACTGTGATCTTGACCAAATCAGTGGCAGGCAATGAAGGAGAGAAGCTGATTGGGCAGTAAGCTCCAGCTCTCCTAAAGAAGCTGACTGCTTCATTTGCAGTCCACTGCCTCTCTGGCTTCTCCCCTCGTTACTTCTCCCACCAGCTGTTCTCTCCTTCCCTCAAGCCTCCCCCCAGCTGCCTTTTAGCTTCCTCTTCTACTAATCCTCTATTTCCTCCTCCCTGTTATTGCTTTCCTTCAATCCTTTTCTCTCTGACACCCATTTTCATTTCAAATGCTATGTGGTAGACACATTGGACAAGATGGCAGAGAAAAAGATAAATCTAGCAGCAGCAAAAAGTATAACACTATGCCTTTTCTTTTCCCTATCTCTTTCCAGGGTTCTGAAAATAAATCACCTGTCTTGTTTCCACTTAAAGTTAGCATAATAACACAGTCATTGCCTAAAAGTGAAAACTTATCATTCTAAAAATTATATCTTAGCCAATTTTAGAATTAGAATCATGTCTTTTCTTAAAGAAAGGCTACATAACAAATAGCATCTAGCCATAATAATTTCTCACCCTTTTAGAAATTAAAGGAAGAGAAGCCTTGATCTGCCTCAATTGTTACATCCTTTTATATGTGGCTCAGAAACAAGAAAATTATAGCCAGGACCTGCAGAATAATTTCTTGTTGATTCCTGTCCCTCCACCCATCTATATGAGTTTCAGGAAGACCAGGTGGGCTACCATTCCAGGGAGATCAGAGGTGTCACTGATAACAGTGTTTAAAGACTGGAGACCAAGCCTGAGTAAAAGAAATGCTTATATAAAGTAGCAAGGCATGAAGCAGACAGAAAGATAAGCTAGTTCAGTCATTTCCAAAGTGTAATCCCTGGACCAAGAGTCTGACCATTCATCACCTGGGAACATGTTAGAAATGCAAATCCCCAGCTCCCATCCAAGACCTACTGAGTCAGAAACTGGTTCTGTGACTCATTGAGAACTCCTCATCTGGAGAAATCGAATAAGGTTTCATTTGCAGATGTAATTTTAAAATGAAGCTGAGCAATTAGCTGGACGTGGTGGCGAGTGCCTGTAATCCCAGCTACTTGGAAGGCTGAGGCAGGAGAATCACTTGAACCCGTGAGGCGGAAGTTGCAGTGAACTGAGATCGCGGCCATTGCACTCCAGCCTGGGTGACAGAGTGAAATTCCGTCTCAAAAAATAAAAATAAAAACTAAAATAAAAAATTAAGCTGAACAAATAATTATGCTTTAAAATGACCACAGAAAGAGAGATTAATGCAAACAAGGCCTTTTTCGCATACATTTGTGTTCTGAGCTTTTATACCTCTACTTTGATCCTTTATTTTATAAAGGTGATTGCTTTACTATTTTTTAATTCATGATGATATGTTTAGTCACAATCTACTCTGATGCAACAATTTTCTGATAAAAACTCTTATAATTTGATTTGTTATTTTTCTTCCTTTTGCCTTGTAGCATCACTGCATACATTCGGTGCTATTTTTTGGTTGTTGTTATTATTCATCTTTGATGAGATGAATTCCTCCTGGACCATTGGATGGAGGTTTTTGTCAAACAGGGGCTATGGTCAGTATTCTTTCTTAGCAATATTTTTTCTTATGATGAAGCTTTAGATGTGAGTGCTTTTAATATTTATGTTTGCAGCCAACAGAGATGAACACCACAGAGGTGACCACAAGGTGGACTCTTTCCCTTCCTCTCATTCATACTAATAGTTTGCTGCAAATATGACTTGTGATTTGCATCTTCTCTTAATCCTGCCTTCTCTGCCTCTTGCAACTTCACGTAAAACTGAATCCAGGGAAGGTCTTGCATTATCCTTTCCATCTATTTCATATTTAACCAACAGGGGATTATTGGTTTTAAGCCTCAGATTGTCCCATTACTTAAGAGAACAGATATATGTCAGTGTTGTCTGAGGTCTACAGCCACAGCCATCCTCTCTAGTACATTCTGACACCTTTCTTCTCGTTTAATTTTATACCATTTGGCAGCCTTTGTTTATATATCATAGTTTGTGGTTACCAAGACTTTTACTTTCATCAAATATACAGTGGCATATTTATGCTTTTATTCTTTGATGCTTTATGATGTTTTTCTGAAAGGAAAGTGAGAAATCCAGAATACTAGATCAACAAACAACAGGAAAACATGTCCAGCAGATTTCATCTTCTCTCCATCTAGGTTATCTGCTTTCTATTCCCATATCTTTAATCCAGACTCTTCACTTCTCACCCGGACTTTGCAGTGCCTCTTAACTGGTCTCCCTGCCTACAGTTATGGCTTTTACCATCCTTTCTCTCAATAATGCCAAAGTAGTTTCTTTAAAGGTCTGAATTGTCAAATTAGGCTCTTGTTTAAAATCATCTAAAGACTCCCTTTACCTTCCAGGACAAAGTTCAAATTTCTCTACTGAGCACCAAAGTCCATTCATGACTAATGAATTGCTTAACACTCTACTTGCATTCTTTCATTTTTTATTAAATACCTGCTGTGTGTCAAAATGAACACAGAAAAAGCAATCAAAAACAAAAAATATGTGCCCTGATGGAGCTTCTGATCTAGTGGAGAAGAAAGATATTAAATAAATAGATGCCTACATTTACATAATTCCAAATTATAATAAAAGCATTAAATGGTGAAGACAGGGTACTGTGAGCTGAAAAACCTGGTTGAGGGGAAACGTATGCCAATTACAGAGGGTTCAGAGTTTGTCAGTCTTCAGAAGTGACATTTGAGTCAAGACCTAAAGGATGACCAGGAGTGAGTTAGTAAGGTGAAGAGCCCAGTAAGGTATTCCAGGGAGAGCAAGACAAAGAGGCACCAGAGGAGCAGACTTTGAAAGGCAAAAGAACTTGGCATTTCCAAAATATCATTTCCCACAGGGATTTTCTCCAATCATATCAACCTCCTTGGAATTCCTAAGCTAGAAATATTTCAGGATTCAGTGTCATCATATGTGCTCAGATCTCTCCTTGGAATGTTCCTGGGATTCCTGTTTAACTTTTGTGTTAGTCTGTTTGCATTGGTATAAAGGAATACCTTGAGACTGGGTAATTTATAAAGAAAGGAGGTTTATTTTGGCCCACAGTTCTGTAGGCTGTACAGAAAGTGTGGCACCAGCATCTGCTTCTGCTGAGAGCCTCAGGAAGCTTATTATCATGGTGCAAGGTGAAGGGGGAGCTGCTACACATCACCTGGTAAGAGCTAGGGCACGAGAGAGGTGGGGGCAGGAGACAGGAAGTCCCAGACTCTTTTCATTAGCCAGATCTTGCATGAACTTATTACTGCTAGGAGGGCACCAAGCCATTCATGAGGGATCTGCTTCCATTAGGCCCACCTCCAACATTGGAGGTCACATTTCAACATAAGATTTGGAGGCGACAAAACATTCAAACCATATCATCTTTCAAATCTCAGCTCAGTCATTACCTTCTGTAGTAGACTGATGATGTTGATGGCCCCAATTCTTTACTCTTATTGTGGACACCATGCTCAACCCACACTGAATTTGACTGTAGGCTCATCCAGGTGATATTCTCTGGAATGTGGGCAAATGTGATACAAGCAAAGGTGTGAAAAGCACCTACACGTTGGGACCTGTTCTCTCACTTATTCTTGAACTTCTTCCTCCACTATGAGATCATGCCCAGGAAGCCAGATGGAAGGATGTGACAGAAACAAGGCAAAGAGTCAAAGCCATCCAGAGCAGTCAACATCCTGCTGTCCCCCAAACATGAGCAATCCCACAGCCAAGATCAGCCAAGCCACCTATCTGACCCTCATCTATGGTAGACATATAACTAAGTTGAGCTGAAACTAGCAGAACCACCCAACCAACCCTTACATTCATGAGCAATAATAAAGAGTGGCTGTTTAAGCACTGAATTTTGAGATAGTCTCTTAAGAAGCATCAATTTTGACAACAGTGAACTGATACCCCTAGTCTAAAAATATTTTGGATCTACTAAAGCAAAATTAATTCTCCAGTCTTCAGTCTCATAGCACTTTGAATTTCTCTTTCATTGCATTTTTCTCATTTTGCCAAAATAACTGATTGGCTTGTTCAGCTCCACAAGGGTAGTGTTGTTACATAATTTTCTTTTGTTTCATCAAGAATTACAAATATCTCCATTCTGGCATGTAATAAGTGACAGAGCAGGAGTATTGCCATCTTGGACAAGCATGGTCATTCTAAAATTCAGCTTGATCAAAAACTGCCTAAATCCAAATGGCATTATCCTAATGGCTAAGGTCAGCATGACAATAAACCACAAATAACATCTCTGACCAGATCCAAAACCCTCCCCAACCAGACACATGCCAGCCCCGAGATAACCTCCTGTCTGGCCAGAGAGATGTCAGCCCCAAGATAACCTCCCCTCTGACCAGAGACATTCCAACCCTGCCATAAACTTCTCCCCAACACAGAAAAATTCCAAGCTCTCTCACTAATAAATACTCTTAGTCTGTAAAAGAGAGCACTCCTGGCCAAAATTGGCCAGAAGCCCCTCTTAGATTTATTTTTCCAAAATAAACCTATCTTTGACTGTTAAGCTGCATATCATGTTTCTTTCCTCTTTCTTTAACTCTTACAATAAGCACTTACTAAGTGTATTTAAATTAAAAATAAATACATAAATTATTACAAGAGAAATAAATAAAAGTCAATCCTAGAAGAATCTTCGATGGCAGAGATGGTGCCTTTCTTGGTCACTACCATGAACTTAGAATCCTATGAGCCAGGTACTTAGTAGGTACTCGAATATTTGTTTATTATTACTTTTGTTTTCCTTTATTGTTTCCAGTGGGGTTGGATCAAATATTTGTTAAAGCACATGAATAGATGAAAGGGGGAATTAAAGAGGTGAACCATATGATGAGCTTTCCTCACTCCACTACCAGTCTTCCACAAGAGTCCCATTGAGTCAGCAAAAGAGCTGTAGGTGTGTGCTTAGTGACTCCATTTTTATTTCCCCAAATCTAACCCCCTTCCTTGTGGAGGTCACAGAGTCATCACCCTCAGACATGGAAGTAAGGACCACATTCCTAGACCCATCATGTAAATAAGATTTTTTTAAAACAAAGGCCACTTATAGTGTTCTACTATAAGTAACTCTGAGATACCTTTATGAAAAAGGGAAGAGAATAGAAGAAATACACATAAAGTGATGAGCTTGACTTATTAATTGCTTTCTTATAATGCTAAAGGAGGTATTTCAGGGAAGGATAAATCAAAGTGAGACTTTAAAAAAAAATCTAATTCCCCTAGGTTCCTGACCTATATTCAGTCCTATAAATAAAAGCAGTATATTTTATTTATAATTACAGATTAATGAAAATCTCTAGATGCTTATGAATATACAAATCCCTCATTATCTTCATTTATGAGAGAAACCTAGGATTACTTCTAACCTCCTGAATTTCAAATTTACCGAAGTCCCTATATTTCTTAAAGAAAACACTAATTGCCTTTTTTACACACTGTATTTACTTTCATCATTTCACATTCAGGAGCAAATTTGCTAACTCCACTCACTGGTTTTCAAGAAGAAAGCTACATGCAGTCACTTAAAGGAGGGGAAATTCTTTGATTGGAAACATCCAATTAGTTCTTTTTACTTGCTTTACTTCCAAAGGAGACACTAAGATTAAACACCATGAATAACCAGAAAAATAACTGCTCTGGCCATTTCCTCCTTCTCATTATAGGCACTACCATAAATAAATGAGTTTAGCACTGTAAAACATTTAGATGTATTACAACCATTAAAAGACCTATCAACAAACAGTAGGTACTTTAAGAGTCTCCAGGGAAGGTCATAAAAAATAGGGTTTCTTTTATACTTGATTTTTCTCCAAGCCTGTTGATATGGTTTGGCTGTGTTCCCACACAACTCTCATCTTGAATTGTAATAATCCCCACGTGTCAAGGGCAGGACCAGGGGGAGATAATTGAATTATGGAGGCAGTTTCCCCCATGCTGTTCTCCTGATAGTGAGTGAGTTGTCACAAGGTCTGATGGTTTTATAAGGGACTTCCTCCTTCACTGGGCTCTCATTCTTTCACCTGCCTCCATGTGAAAAGGTGCCTTCTGCCATGATTGTGTAAGTTTCCTGAGGCCTCCCCGGCCATGCATAGCTGTGAGTCAATTAAATCTCTTTTCTTTATAAATTACCCAGTCTTGGGTACTTCATAACAGTGTGAGAATGAACTAATACACCTGGTCTGACTAGATAAACTTAATTTCATATTTATTTAGCTAAGTATATTTTTGTCTTTATTCTCCAAAACTGTTTATTTAAAAGAAAATTGACATGCAATATTTGATTTTGTTTAGCGAGAATAATTCATAGTCTTGTCTTTTGAAGTGCTGTGGCTTCCAACTACAGTTTTTAACTGGTCACATCCACAGAGACTTATAAGAAATAACAACAGCAATAACCACCACTATTACCACAGAAAGGCCACCACACCCAGATTACTCAACCTCTTAGTGCTAAGCACTTTGCGTAGATGAGTTTCTTTAAGCTTTATAATCCAAAAAATTTAGTTTTATTGACCACAATTTATGGAGATAGATTTGATAGAATTCAATTTAACATATGAGACAAAGATAAGATCTTTATAACTGCTACCACTTTTGTAATTGTACAGATATTTTTCAATAATCTTAAAGGTACAATAAATAAAGAAACACAGTTGAGGAAAAGTGGTTATAAGAAGAGCTGAGAAAATTTGTTGCAAATATGAAGGCTCTGCTCATCTAACTGGTTTAGGACTAGAGTTTAGAATATCTAGAATATCTCTTGCCTGTCTCCTGCCCCTAAATCAAGTAGGAACATTACCCCCACATTTTCTACCTAATCCCTAATGATTACTAAACTATATCTCCAGGTTGACAAGGAAAAAGCCTTTAAGGTAAACAATAGGTCTCTTACATGATGGCAAGCCCATAGTTGGTGTGGATAAGTAGGTGCAACTGACTTAGTTGCAAACAGCAGCAGTCAGCTATAGGTTTATTCACTGGCTGTTTGACAGGTGTGCACCCATCAACCTAACAGCTACCTATAATGGTAACTTATTAAATTACACAGTCTTGATTGGTGTCCTGCCCTTCCCTGTCTCACTACCCTCCTGGTGTTCCTGGAATCACCTCCTGGAATCCTTATCTTGGAATCTACTTATGAGAGATATAGGGTTATTGTGACAATTAAATGTGTAACAAATTCAAAATTTCACTCTGAGTAAACTCAGATTGGCCAAAGTAAAATGAAACAAAATGTCACTGCTGTATATTTTATATCTTTTTTTTTTTTTTGACGGTCTCACTCTGTCATCCAGGCTAGAGTGCAGTGGGATCATGGCTCACTGCAGCCTCCATCTTCTGGGCTCAAGCGATTCTCCCACCTCAGCCTCCCAAGTAGCTGGGACCACAGGCATGCACCACCACACCTGGCTATTTTTTTAAAAAATTTTAATAGAGACGGGGCCTCACTATGTTGCCCAGGATGAACTCGAACTCCTGGACTCAAGCATTACTCCCACCTCAGCGTTCCAAAATGCTGGTAATACAGAAGCCACCACACTAAGTCTATTCAATAACTATTCTAATCTTCTCATAACCTTTAACTTGCTAGGTAATGGCAGAAGGAGAATCTAGAAACCTTTTTTTTTTTTAAATCCCAATGAACAATGAGTCTTCCTTGCTTTCTCGGTTGACACACAAAAAAATAATCCTTCGAATTCAAACATTGTCCATTCTTTCCATTTTTAATATTTTTACCATTTAACAAGATGGCCTCAGCTTATACTGGGTAGGATGTGTTTACTACGTCTCTGTAGAAGATGTAGAGATGGGAGCCTCTAAAACTTTAGTGGTTCTTTTGTAAAGTGGTTTAATGATGCTGCTCCCTTTGTGAATGACACTGCCATGCACTGGCCCCATTTGAAGCTTTGGGAAACCATGACATTACCTTTGACTGAAATCCTTATCCCAGCCATTTTTTTTCTGCTTACGAGTTTCCTGTTTACAGCAGCCTCTTTAGGACTAGTCTTTCCCCTGGGGTGCACTAAATGTATGACTCTCATGTGTACTCTCCACAGGTCACAGTAAGTCAGAAGGGTTTCCACTGTTGCATTCAAGAAGCCTTTTTTCTATGTCAATGTCATTTTAATCTAACTGTGGAATGTTGGACATACTGAGTGAGTATGAAGACTCTCCTAGAGGCTTATTAAGGAAACATACCACTAGACAATTCCCCAAATGTTTTCATGCTCCTCCATAATTATCTGGATATTTCTACCATCTGATATCCCATCCGGGTTCTACTCTGAAAGGCAGAAAAACCTGGACTCCTATCTCTTGCTTCTGTCCTATGTCTCTCCTACTTTTTATCTCTGTGATCCCAGCCAGATAGGATGAGCTTTCCTGTCCCTCTATGGCATATCAAGAGTTCTCTCAACCCCAGTGTATAAAAATTCTCCATGATTTAGGGACACAGATGTGGCTCAAGACTAGATAAATAAAGACATTTGGAATTGAGAAATCTCCACAAATCTTGCTTTTAAAGATCATTGTCTCAGTACACAGATCAAGAGACCACCCTAGAGGCTCAAAGTTGACCAATACCTCTATTCCTCACTCCCAGGACCCTGAGCCTCATAGCTCAGTCTTAAAACATAAGGCTACAATCTAATGTGACTGAAGAGGAAAATGGAAATTTATCAGTGTAATATATCTAAGATATTATCTATGTCATATATATATAAGGTGCCCAGAACACTATCCAGCTCATAGCAAGTGGACTCTTGGGTCCACTGCTAAGGTTTGAAAACATGATGGAAGGTCTAACTTTTGAATTGAACCCTGAAGGGATAAAAGTTGAATACAATGAGTTGGGCAAAAGCATTCCAAGCTGAAGGGAAAGTCTGAGCAGGAAATAGGGCATGAATTAGGAACCAAATCATTAGAGGATTTTGAATATCAGACAAGAATTTTGTACTTTATTCTGTAGGCAATGAGGGGCATTGAAAGTAGGTCCTTTAGCGAGAACGGGGCATAGTCAGAGCTTTAAAAGAAAGATCAATATGTCAGCAATTGTGAAATAAAATGTCATCATTACTATATAGCAAATAAAAATGGAAACATTAGAATTCCAATAGGTAAGATCCCAGAATACAATGATTCTTAAGTAAGATATTCACCTTTCCCAATTATTGCTTTTTTTTTTAAGTTTTTTTTCTTTTATTATTATACTTTAAGTTTTAGGGTACATGTGCACATTGTGCAGGTTAGTTACATATGTATACATGTGCCATGCTGGTGCGCTGCACCTACTAACTCGTCATCTAGCATTAGGTATATCTCCCAGTGCTATCCCTCCCCCCTTCCCCCACCCCATAACAGTCCCCAGAGTGTGATGTTCCCCTTCCTGTGTCCATGTGATCTCATTGTTCAATTCCCACCTATGAGTGACAATATGCGGTGTTTGGTTTTTTGTTCTTGTGATAGTTTACTGAGAATGATGATTTCCAATTTCATCCATGTCCCTACAAAGGACGAGAACTCATCATTTTTTATGGCTGCATAGTATTCCATGGAGTATATGTGCCACATTTTCTTAATCCAGTCTATCATTGTTGGACATCTGGGTTGGTTCCAAGTCTTTGCTATTGTGAATAATGCCGCAATAAACATACGTGTGCATGTGTCTTTATAACAGCATGATTTATAGTCCTTTGGGTATATATCCAGTAATGGGATGGCTGGGTCAAATGGTATTTCTAGTTCTAGATCCCTGAGGAATCGCCACACTGACCTCCACAATGGTTGAACTAGTTTACAGTCCCACCAACAGTGTAAAAGTGTTCCTATTTCTCCACATCCTCTCCAGCACCTGTTGTTTCCTGACTTTTTAATGATTGCCATTCTAACTGGTGTGAGATGGTATCTCATTGTGGTTTTGATTTGCATTTCTCTGATGGCCAGTGATGATGAGCATTTTTTCATGTGGTTTTTGGCTGCATAAATGTCTTCTTTTGAGAAGTGTCTGTTCATGTCCTTCGCCCACTTTTTGATGGGGTTGTTTGTTTGTTTCCTGTAAATTTTTTTGAGTTCATTGTAGATTCTGGATATTAGCCCTTTGTCAGATGAGTAGGTTGCAATAATTTTCTCCCATTTTGTAGGTTGCCTGTTCACTCTGATGGTAGTTTCTTTTGCTGTGCAGAAGCTCCTTAGTTTAATTAGACCCCATTTGTCAATTTTGGCTTTTGTTGCCATTGCTTTTGGTGTTTTAGACATGAAGTTCTTGCCCATGCCTATGTCCTGAAAGGTAAGGCCTAGGTTTTCTTCTAGGATTTTTATGGTTTTAGGTCTAACGTTTAAGTCTTTAATCCATCTTGAATTGATTTTTGTATAAGATGTAAGGAAGGGATCCAGTTTCAGCTTTCTACATATGGCTAGCCAATTTTCCCAGGACCATTTATTAAATAGGGAATCCTTTCCCCACTGCTTGTTTTTCTCAGGTTTGTCAAAGATCAGATAGTTGCAGATATGCGGCGTTATTTCTGAGGGCTCTGTTCTGTTCCATTGATCTATATCTCTGTTTTGGTACCAGTACCATGCTGTTTTGGTTACTGTAGCCTTGTAGTATAGTTTGAAGTCAGGTAGTGTGATGCCTCCAGCTTTGTTCTTTTGGTTTAGGATTGACTTGGCAATGAGGGCTCTTTTTTGGTTCCATATGAACTTTAAAGTAGTTTTTTCCAGTTCTGTGAAGAAAGGCATTGGTAGCTTGATGGGGATGGCATTGAATCTGTACATTACCTTGGGCAGTGTGGCCATTTTCACGATATTGATTCTTCCTACCCATGAGCATGGAATATTCTTCCATTTGTTTGTATCCTCTTTTATTTCCTTGAGCAGTGGTTTGTAGTTCTCCTTGAAGAGGTCCTTCACGTCCCTTGTAAGTTGGATTCCTAAGTATTTTATTCTCTTTGAAGCAATTGTGAATGGGAGTTCACTCATGATTTGGCTCTCTGTTTGTCTGTTGTTGGTGTATAGGAATGCTTGTGATTTTTGTACATTGATTTTGTATCCTGAGACTTTGCTGAAGTTGCTTATCAGCTTAAGGAGATTTTGGGCTGAGACAATGGGGTTTTCTAGATATACAATCATGTCATCTGCAAACAGGGACAATTTGACTTCCTCTTTTCCTAATTGAATACCCTTTATTTCCTTCTCCTGCCTAATTGCCCTGGCCAGAACTTCCAACACTATGTTGAATAGGAGTGGTGAGAGAGGGCATCCCTGTCTTATGCCAGTTTTCAAAGGGAATGCTTCCAGTTTTTGCCCATTCAGTATGATATTGGCTGTGGGTTTGTCATAGATAGCTCTTATTATTTTGAAATACGTCCCATCAATACCTAATTTATTGAGAGGTTTTAGCATGAAGGGTTGTTGAATTTGGTCAAAGGCCTCTTCTGCATCTATTGAGATAATCATGTGGTTTTTGTCTTTGGTTCTGTTTATATGCTGGATTACATTTATTGATATGCGTATCTTGAACCAGCCTTGCATCCCAGGGATGAAGCCCACTTGATCATGGTAGATAAGCTTTTTGATGTGCTGCTGGATTTGTTTTGCCAGTATTTTATTGAGGATTTTTGCATCAATGTTCATCAAGGATATTGGTCTAAAATTCTCTCTTTTGGTTGTGTCTCTGCCTGGCTTTGGTATCAGAATGATGCTGGCCTCATAAAATGAGTTCGGGAGGATTCCCTCTTTTTCTATTGATTGGAATAGTTTCAGAAGGAATGGTACCAGTTCCTCCTTGTACCTCTGGTAGAATTCGGCTGTGAATCCGTCTGGTCCTGGACTCTTTTTGGTTGGTAAGCTATTGATTATTGCCACAATTTCAGATCCTGTTATTGGTCTATTCAGAGATTCAACTTATTCCTGGTTTAGTCTTGGGAGAGTGTATGTGTCGAGGAATTTATCCATTTCTTCTAGATTTTCTAGTTTATTTGCATAGAGGTGTTTGTAGTATTCTCTGATGGTAGTTTGTATTTCTGTGGGATCGGTGGTGATATCCCTTTTATCATTTTTTATTGCGTCTATTTGATTCTTCTCTCTTTTTTTCTTTATTAGTCTTGCTAGCGGTCTATCTATTTTGTTGGTCCTTTCAAAAAACCAGCTCCTGGATTCATTAATTTTTTGAAGGGTTTTTTGTGTCTCTATTTCCTTCAGTTCTGCTGTGTTTAGTTATTTCTTGCCTTCTGCTAGCTTTTGAATGTGTTTGCTCTGCTTTTCTAGTTCTTTTAATTGTGATGTTAGGGTGTCAATTTTGGATCTTTCCTGCTTTCTCTTGTGGGCATTTAGTGCTATAAATTTCCCTCTACACACTGCTTTGAATGCGTCCCAGAGATTCTGGTATGTTGTGTCTTTGTTCTCATTGGTTTCAAAGAACATCTTTATTTCTGCCTTCATTTCATTATGTACCCAGTAGTCATTCAGGAGCAGGTTGTTCGGTTTCCATGTAGCTGAGTGGTTTTGAGTGGGATTCTTAATCCTGAGTTCTAGTTTGATTGCACTGTGGTCTGAGAGATAGTTTGTTATAATTTCTGTTCTTTTACATTTGCTGAGGAGAGCTTTACTTCCAACTATGTGGTCAATTTTGGAATAGGTGTGGTGTGGTGCTGAAAAAAATGTATATTCTGTTGATTTGGGGTGGAGAGTTCTGTAGATGTCTATTAGGTCCGCTTGGTGCAGAGCTGAGTTCAATTCCTGGGTATCCTTGTTGACTTTCTGTCTCGTTGATCTGTCTAATGTTGACAGTGGGGTGTTAAAGTCTCCCATTATTAATGCGTGGATGTCTAAGTCTCTTTGTAGGTCACTCAGGACTTGCTTTATGAATCTGGGTGCTCCTGTATTGGGTGCATATATATTTAGGATAGTTAGCTCTTCTTGTTGAATTGATCCCTTTACCATTATGTAATGGCCTTCTTTGTCTCTTTTGATCTTTGTTGGTTTAAAGTCTGTTTTATCAGAGACTAGGATTGCAACCCCTGCCTTTTTTTGTTGTCCATTTGCTTGGTAGATTTTCCTCCATCCTTTTATTTTGAGCCTATGTGTGTCTCTAGAAGTGAGATGGGTTTCTGAATACGGCACACTGATGGGTCTTGACTCTTTATCCAATTTGCCAGTCTGTGTCTTTTAATTGGAGCATTTAGTCCATTTACATTTAAAGTTAATATTGTTATGTGTGAATTTGATCCTGTCGTTATGATGTTAGCTGGTGATTTTGCTCGTTAGTTGATGCAGTTTCTTCCTCGTCTCGATGGTCTTTACATTTTGGCATGATTTTGCAGTGGCTGGTACTGGTTGTTCCTTTCCATGTTTAGCGCTTCTTTCAGGAGCTCTTTTAGGGCAGGCCTGGTGGTGACAAAATCTCTCAGCATTTGCTTCTCTGTAAAGTATTTTATTTCTCCTTCACTTATGAAGCTTAGTTTGGCTGGATATGAAATTCTGGGTTGAAAATTCTTTTCTTTAAGAATGTTGAATATTGGCCCCCACTCTCTTCTGGCTTGTAGGGTTTCTGCTGAGAGATCCACTGTTAGTCTGATGGGCTTCCCTTTGAGGGTAACCCGAACTTTCTCTCTGGCTGCCCTTAACATTTTTTCCTTCATTTCAAGTTTGGTGAATCTGACAATTATGTGTCTTGCAGTTGCTCTTCTCAAGGAGTATCTTTGTGGCGTTCTCTGTATTTCCTGAATCTGAATGTTGGCCTGCCTTGCTAGATTGGGGAAGTTCTCCTGGATAATATCCTGCAGAGTGTTTTCCAACTTGGTTCCATTCTCCCCATCACTTTCAGGTACACCAATCAGATGTAGATTTGGTCTTTTCACATAGTCCCATACTTCTTGGAGGGTTTGCTCATTTCTTTTTATTCTTTTTTCTCTAAACTTCCCTTCTCGCTTCGTTTCATTCATTTCATCTTCCATTGCTGATACCCTTTCTTCCAGTTGATCGCATCGGCCCCTGAGGCTTCTGCATTCTTCATGTAGTTCTCGAGCCTTGGTTTTCAGCTCCATCAGCTCCTTTAAGCACTTCTCTGTATTGGTTATTCTAGTTATACATTCTTCTAAATTTTTTGCGAAGTTTTCAGCTTCTTTGCCTGTGGTTTGAATGTCCTCCCGTAGCTCAGAGTAATTTGATCGTCTGAAGCCTTCTTCTCTCAGCTCGTCAAAGTCATTCTCTGTCCAGCTTTGTTCCGTTGCTGGTGAGGAACTGCGTTCCTTTGGAGGAGGAGAGGCACTCTGCTTTTTAGAGTTTCCAGTTTTTCTGTTCTGTTTTTTCCCCATCTTTGTGGTTTTATCTACTTTTGGTCTTTGATGATGATGTACAGATGGGTTTTTGGTGTGGATGTCCTTTCTGTTTGTTAGTTTTCTTTCTAACAGACAGGACCCTCCGCTGCAGGTCTGTTGGAGTACCCTGCAGTGTGAGGTGTCAATGTGCCCCTGTTGGGGGGTGCCTCCCAGTTAGGCTGCTCGGGGGTCAGGGGTCAGGCACCCACTTGAGGAGGCAGTCTGCCCCTTCTCAGATCTCCAGCTGCATACTGGGAGAACCACTGCTCTCTTCAAAGCTGTCAGACAGGGACATTTAAGTCTGCAGAGGTTACTGCTGTCTTTTTGTTTGTCTGTGCCCTGCCCCCAGAGGTGGAGCCTACAGAGGCAGGCAGGCCTCCTTGAGCTGTGGTGTGCTCCACCCAGTTCGAGCTTCCCAGCTGCTTTGTTTACCTAAGCAAGCCTGGGCAATGGCGGGCGCCCTTCCCCCAGCCTCGCTGCCGCCTTGCAGTTTGATCTCAGACTGCTGTGCTAGCAATCAGCAAGACTCCGTGGGCGTAGGACCCTCCGAGCCAGGTGCGGGATATAATCTCGTGGTACGCCATTTTTTAAGCCCTTCGGAAAAGCGCAGTATTGGGGTGGGAGTGACCCGATTTTCCAGGTGCCGTCTGTCACCCCATTGACTAGGAAAGGGAACTCCCTGACCCCTTGCGCTTCCCGAGTGAGGCAATGCCTCACCCTGCTTCGGCTCGCGCATGGTGCGCGCACCCACTGACCTGTGCCCACTGTCTGGCACTCCCTAGTGAGATGAAGCCGGTACCTCAGATGGAAATGCAGAAATCACCAGTCTTCTGTGTCGCTCACGCTGGGAGCTGTAGACCGGAGCTCTTCCTATTCGGCCATCTTGGCTCCTCCAGCCCCCAATTATTGTTTTGTGCCAAAATAGAAACTGGTCAAAATGCCAGAACCAACAGTGATAGCCATTATAAAAATAATCATATAGTATGAATAGATGACAGATAATTTATTAAAGAAGAATGTATTATTCTCCATCAATTGGTGTACTTTCCAAAATGAACTCTGCTTTCATTAATTTTAGTATTTACAATTATTTTCAATTGCAGCAACTTTTTTAAGAAAACATTTTAGAAGTAACTTACCAACTCCCTAAACCACTTAAAACATGTACCTCATCACTTGTCTAAACTCTTTCTGGTTAGTTGATCTCATGCCTAATAATTATGACAAAAGCAGACAGTCTCAACTTACTTGTCAGCAGACTTAAATATGACCAGCTGAAGAGATTTCACAGTACTAAAATATCCTAACAAATGTACATGAGACATCCACTAGTATAGTGTGAAATATTAACATAAATATTTTACCCATAAGTGGCATTTGTTAAAAATAAAGTGCACGGGTGTCCCGGATTTTCTGAGAGAGCTTTGCATAACTTCTAATTCACAACTTTGATAATTGCCAGAGTGGCCAAGAGCTCAGAAAAGCATTTTCCCACAAGGTTTTCAAATATAGCTGCCACAAATGTCAAAGATTCTTTTAATTTTAGTATCATCCCAGCTAATTCTGAGCATCAGAAAAATATTTTGTTTTATTTTGGATCTACTAAAAAGGAAATGCTAGCAACAACAACAACAAATCCTCCAGGGCATTCATTACCTACATCATGCATGGGAGAACTGAATTTAGCTTTTAAAAGTTAAAGTGGAACTTGAAACAGAGCAAAATGAAGTCAAGTGTACTGTGAAAAATTCATGATTTCAAAATGGAAGCAAGGTCATATTTTATTGGTAATCTTTAAATAGGTTTAGAAAGACTGCAATGTAGCATGGAGAATTTGGTATTTGGGCTCATCTGATTCCGCTCTTTATTCAGACAAAATCTGAGCTATAGAAATCAAATATAAAAGAGTGCTAATTTCTTTTTGTTGTTGTTGTTGGGGGGGACAGAGTCTCGCTCTGTCGCCCAGCTGGAGTGCAGTGGCACAATCTCGGCTCACTTCAAGCTCCGCCTCCCGGGTTCAAGCCATTCTCCTGCCTCAGCCTCCCAAATAGCTGGGACTACAGGCGCCCGCCACCTGGCCCGGCTAATTTTTTTGTATTTTTAGTAGAGACACGGCTTCACTGTGTTAGCCAGGATAGTCTCGATCTCCTGACCTCGTGATCCGCCTGCCTCGGCCTCCCAAAGTGCTGGGAAGGAGTGCTAATTTCAGTTGGCTTCCAACAAGACCTTATCCAAGCTACATATTGCTATTTTCAAAAATAATTGATATGTAAATTTAAAATCAAATAATTACATATTTACGTGAAGTATATCTGTATGTTAAAAGCAAACACACAGCATAAACAGATACAGTGTATTAAAATGGATTTTATTTTCACCATCTCACCCCACTGACATTAGCACGATATGACAGTAAATGTCTTTTTTGCTGGCTCAATATAACATTGTGTCAAAGGAACTAACAGCATACAATGCATAATATATCAATATTAGTCATTTTTCCCTTTATAAATCATATCTCAAAATGTATGCAATATTCTTTAAATATAACACTTAAAATGCATATGCAATGATGAAATATAGCAGGATTGCCAAAACTGATGAATATCTCAGAGATATTGCCATTGTTTTTCCTGGAAAATACTTCTTTGGAAAAAGTGAGACATCTTTGAGATCAAAATAAACACCTGTCAAAGGAATGTCTTGGGAACCCCAAATAGCATTTCTAAAGAGATAAAAGAATGTTGTAGTCTTCCAGAAAGGAAATCAAGTGGAAGTAGATATTAATTCAGCACTACAGAGACAATCTGGAGAAAACAGAGGCATTGTTTTCTAAAGAAATTGGCTTTTGTAACATAAAGGAGATACAACTCTGGGAGTGAAAGTTGTCACAGTGATACATATCACACAACGGAAATGCCAAACGAAACCATCACCACTTGAAATCAAACTTGATTCAAGTTACTCAGGTAAAATACCACCATGGGTGGCATCCTTTTTTTTTTTTTTTTTTTTTTTTTTTTTAACCAAGCAGCCTAACGGTGTTTAAGGAGGAAAACTTAATTGATAATGCACTTTGCTCAATTATAAATAAGCTGACTGGGAAAGAAGTGGGCATGATGGAAAGCAAAATTTGAATGAAGCTGTTATTCTTTTAATCTATAAAAACATTACATCCAAGTTTAGACTCATTGAGCTCTAAATATTTGGGAAAACATATTTAAAGAAATTATATAGGTTTGATCCAAAATCTCTTTGGCACAACTTGAAATATGGGTAATCGTCATGTGAAATTTGTGAATAGGAGAACCCACTGTAGGATACTTAACATAAATCAGCCACATAATTTCTATCACTGATATCCAGGGAATTTCAATGACAAATCTAGTGATAAAAATTGATAAAACATTTTTGATAGTTTTGATACAAGTGAAAGTCATGGGATATCAGACTTAAAAGAAACCTCAGTGCTATCAAGTCTGATGTCAGTAATTTTTGGAGGAGACTGAAGTGCAGTGAGACTATCCAAAGTCAGACATGGGGAAAAGCAGAGTCATCCCTCCTAGGCTGCCAAAATCCTCCCCATCCAAGCTCATCCTTGAAGCCCTCACTTAAGACAAAGTTCCTCCCATCCCTTCTGCCTGCTCTGGCATGGTCTGAACCATTTGCCTATTAATTGCCCTGCCTGGTTTCATTTGTTCTTTTTGCTGTATTTAAACTGTGGGAATTCTATTGTTAACCTTTTTCTTGCTCAACTGAACTGTGACACTGCTAGGAATGCCGAAGCAGGGTTTTAGGTTCTCAGGATGTTTAAGAGTTGGAGAAAGCACTCAATGAGTCTTGTGAATAATTTTGTGGAAACTGCACTCCCAATGACAGGCTCTGGCATCTCACTCTAAGGTAAGTAACAGGTGAGGCACTGCCCTTTGATAACCAGGACGTGGATTCTAGAATTGGTTATGTCCATTCACACAATGTGTTCATCTCCTCTCTGGCTATCCTTCTGATGACTCAGAAGTCGCAACCCCAAGTTGGTTCTTTCAGGGCCCTGGCTTGCTCATCCCCTTTATGATTCTCCTTTATTCTTCTGTACCTGGGTATTCATTTCATGTCCACCCTCATCATCATTCTGGAGACAAAGATGCAGACATGTACTGGCAGAATCTGAGCATGCAAAAACCTTCCGTAACACTCAGAGTTCTTATACCTTTCTCTCATCTGGCATTATTTACTATGATAGGGTGAAGGAAACAACTATGTCTGTTCTTTGCATTTGACTGCATTGTCCAGTTTCTAGAGGCTTAAGTACACTTTTTTTTTTTTTTTTTTTGAGACAGAGTTTCACTCTTGTTGCCCAGGCTGGAGTGCAATGACGCGATCTCAGCTCACTGCAACCTCCAACTCTCAGGTTCAAGTGATTCTCCTGCCTCAGCCTCCCAAATAGCTGGGATTACAGGCATCTGCCACCACACCTAGCTAATTTTATATTTGTAGTAGAAGCGGGGTTTCTCCATGTTGGTCAGGCTGGTCTCGAACTCCTGACCTCAGGTGATCCAACCGCCTCAGCCTCCCAAAGTACTGGGATTACAGGCGTAAGCCACTGCACCCAGCACCTAGTGGCTTAAATACATTTAAAGCATCATAGCTCAACCTCTAAATTGCACTGCAGCATACACAGCTAAATCCCCGTAGTTCTTCTGCAACAAAACACAGCAACCCAGCATGTTTTCTCATCTACATTCTACATTCATACCTCATTCTTAGGGACCAATTGGGGATACTAGGCTGTACCTCCCAGAACCCTTTTTAGAACTAAAGAATTATTTTCACAGCTGCTGAAAGTGCTGCAGGCTAGAAGTCTTCACCCTGAAGCCCTCTCTGGGACCTGCCCTTGACAAAAGATACCACCTTCTCCAAGGTCAAGCCCCCTTCCCAGAATCAAGAATTGCTAGAATCAAGAATCAAGAGAATCAAGAATCAAGGCTTCCTACCCTCACTTAAACTCAGGGCAATTCTGAAGAGCCAACCCAGCTTCAGAGCTCCCCTACAGCAATGTGTTACAATTTTGTTATAACTGCATCTTAGCATTCCAATATCTCTTTGTCTAGTCCTGGCTTCTTCCCTTCCCCACAGGGGAACACTACCTATAACAAGCCTTAGCATCCCTCCATTTTTAATTTTTCATATTAGTGACCTGCCTTTCATCCTCTGTTCATTCACTCAATGAATATTGTCAGAGTACCTACTATACACCAGGCATTATTTTGGGTGCTGGTTATTCAGCAATGAACAAGGCTAGAAAGGCCCTGCCATCACAGAGTTGCCATTTCAGTAAGGGAAGAAGGCAATAAACATATAATTTACTATCACATAGGGGTAATGCTTGAAGGAAAATTAATTGAACTGTAACAGTACAGAGTTATTGGGAGGAAGCATTTATTTAAACAGAAAAGACCAGAGAAGACCCCTATGGGGGGAGTGAGATGGAACTGATAACTGAATGAAGTGACAGAATGAACCATGCAAAGACATAAAAAATTGCATTCAAAGCAGAAGAAAGAACAAGTGCAAAGTTCCCAGGGCTCAAATAATATGTAATTTTGAAGAATGGTTAGGACAGTTTGGTTAGAGTAGAGTGAAAAGGGGAGAAATTGATAGGAGATAAACTCAAAGACAGAGGCAGCAGTTCCTGCAGAGCCTTGTAGAGGTAAAGAGGTCATATTTTATTCTGAATGTGATAAGAATCTACTGCAGGAACAGGGGAGGACACGGTCCAATTGATGTTTGAAAAGATTATTCTGGCTATTGTATGGAAAGAAACTGAGGGGGCAAGGGTAGGAGCAGGAAGATCCCCTAGGAGGATAATGCCTGTTGCCGAGGAAACACAGCCTCATTTGGGTTTCAGATAATGCCAAAAATGAAACAAAAAAAATTCACAGAAAATACAGAATGAGTTCAGCATGTGGACTACATTGATGTTGCCTTATACTCTGTGTCTTCATCTTCCTTCTCCTTTTCTGTTTCTTCACTTTTGATACTAATAGCCCAGAGCTGACCTCACTGTATAAAGGACACAGTGATCACCACTAGGGCAGGAAAATAAAATTAACACCCAACTCTTAGAAGACCCCCCACAGGAAACAAAAGTAGCTGATGCTGTGGTTTACAACACACAATCGCAAACAAATGGATAAGAAACAAAAAAAAAGAAATAGAAAAAAATCAGTTATAGATAAAGAAACATCTGCTCTCAGACCCAAATATGAGCCAAAGAAGAAAACTTAAGGAAAATATTAAAATATTTTGAACTAGTATAGCTAACCAAGAAAAAAAGAGAAGATACAAATTTGCATTGTTATAAATAAAAGAAGAACCATCACTGCTGATTCAAGGACACGTAAAAAATAAAAAGGGGATACTACAAACAACGCTATGCCTGTTCAATAACTTAGATCAAATGGGCTAATTCTTGAAAGACACAAACTATTGAAACTGACTCAGGGAGAAATAGATAATCTTTAAAAAAATTTTTTTTTATTCTAAGTTCTGGGATACATGTGCAGAATGTGCAGGTTTGTTACATAGGTATACAAGTGCCATGGTGGTTTGTTGCACCCATCAACCCATCATCTACATTAGGTATTTCTCCTAATGCTATCCCTCCTGTAGTCCCCCACCCACCAACAGGCCCCGGTATGTGATGTTCTCTTCCCTGTGTCCATGTGTACTCATGGTTCAACTACCACTTAAAAGTGAGAACATGAGGTGTTTGATTTTCTGTTCTTGTGTTAGTATGCTGAGAATGACGGTTTCCAGCTTCATCCATGTCCCTGCAAAGGACATGAACTCTTCCTTTTTTATGGCTGCATAGTATTCCATGGTGTTTATGTGCCACATTTTCTTTATCCGGTCTATCTTTGATGGGCCTTTGGGTTAGTTCCAAGTATTTGCTATTGTGAACAGTGCTGCAATAAGCACACGTGTGCATGTATCTTTATAGTAGAATGATTTATAATCCTTGGGGTATATACCCAGTAATGGGATTGCTGGGTCAAATGGTATTTCTGGTTCTAGATCCTTGAGGAATTGCCACACTGTCTTCCACAATGGTTCAACTAATTTACACTCCCACCAATAGTGTAAAAGCATTCCTATTTCTCCACATCCTCTCCAGCATCTGTTGTTTCCTGACTTTTTAGTGATCACCATTCTAACTGGCATGAGATGGTATCTCATTGTGGTTTTGATTTGCATTTCTCCAATGATCAGTGATGATGAGCTTTTTTTTCATATGTTTGTTGGCTGCAAA
Organism: Homo sapiens; assembly: GCF_000001405.40. NCBI lineage: Eukaryota > Metazoa > Chordata > Mammalia > Primates > Hominidae > Homo > Homo sapiens. The sequence continues at coordinate 22,750,170 of NC_000003.12, forward strand.
AATGTCTTTTGAGAAGTGTTTGTTCATATCCTTCACCTACTTTTTGATGGGGTTGTTTGCTTTTTCTTGTAAATTTAAGTTCTTTGTAGATTCTAGATATTAGCCCTTTGTCAGATGAGTAGATTGCAAAAATTTTCTCCCATTCTGTAAACTGCCTGTTCACTCTGATGATATTTTCATTTGCTGTGCAGAAGCTCTTTAGTTTGATTAGATCCCATTTGTCAATTTTGGCTTCTGTGGCCATTGCTTTGCTGTTTTAGTCATGAAGTGTTTGCCCATGCCTATGTCCTGAATGGTATTGCCTAGGTTTTCTTCTAGGGTTTTTATGGTTTTAGGTCTTTTGTTTAAGTCTTTAATCCATCTTGAGTTAATTTTTGTATAAGGTGTAAGGAAGGGGTCCAGTTTTAGTTTTCTGGATATGGTTAGCCAGTTTTCCCAACACCATTTATTAAATAGGGAATCCTTTTCCCATTACTTGTTTTTTTCAGGTTTGTCAAAGATCAGATGGTTGTAGACATGTGGTATTATTTCTGAGGCCTGTGTTCTGTTCCATTGGTCTGTCTATCTGTTATGGTACCAGCACCATGCTGTTTAGGTTACTGTAGCCTTGTAGTATAGTTTGAAGTCAGGTAGTGTGATGCCTCCGGCTTTGTTCTTTGTGCTTAGGATTGTCTCTATACAGGCTCGTTTTTGGTCCCATATGAAATTTAAAGTAGTTTTTTCTAATTCTGTGAAGAAAGTCAATGGCAGCTTGATGGGGATAGCATTGAATCTTTCAATTACTTTGGCAGTATGGCCATTTTCACGATATTGATTCTTCCTATCCATGAGCATGGAATGTTTTTCCATTTGTTTGTGTCCTCTCTCATTTCCCTGAGCAGTGGTTTGTAGTTCTCCTTGAAGAAGCCCTCCACATCCCTTGTAAGTTGTATTCCTAGGTAGTTTATTCTCTTTGTAGCAATTGTGAATGGGAGTTCATTCATGGTTTGACTCTCTGTCTATTAATTGTGTATAAGAATGCTTGTGATATTTGCACATTGATTTTGTATCCTGAGACTTTGCTGAAGATGCTTATCAGCTTAAGGAGATTTGGGGCAGAGACAATGGGGTTTTCTAAATATAAATCATGACATCTGCAAACAGAGACAAGTTGACTTCCTCTCTTCCTATTTGAATACCGTTTATAATGTTAATAGTCCTACATCTATTACATAAATTGAATTAACTTAAAACTGTTTTTAAAAGCCCAGACCCAAAGGACTTAACTGGTGAAGTTTACCAAATGTTTACAAAAAAAAAAAAATAGACCAATTCTGCATAATTTTGTCTAGAAAATTGAAGAAGAGAGAACACCTCCCAACTAATTTTATGAGGTTCACATTACTCTAATACCTAAACCAAGTAAAGATATTACAAGTAAACTACAGACCAATGTCTCTCATGAATGTGTATGTCAATTCCTTAATAAATTATTGGCAAATTTAACCCAGCCAGACATAAAGAGGATTGTGCCACACAATTTTGCAAGACTGGTTCAACATTAGTAAACCAGTGAAACTTATTGTATTAACAGACTAAATAAGAACAACTGTATAATCATATTAATGGATGCTGAAAAAAATTAATAGTATTCAATACCCACTCACGATAAAGATGTTCACAAAAAATAGAAAAATAGAAATAGAAGACACTTTCTTACCTAATAAAGTTTATATGTGAAAAACCTATAGCAAATATAATACTTACTAATGAGAGGCAGGATGCTTCCCCCTGAGATCAAGAACAAGGCAAAAATGTCCTCTCTCACCACTAGAAGGATTAAAAACAGATCAATGGTGCCCAGAAGTTTCTGAATGCAGGAATATTTGACCAGGGGAATCACAGCAAAGTTTGTAGGGTGGTGCAATATCTGCATGGTAAATATATTAAACTGCATTTGTCAAAATCCATAGGACTGTACAGCACAGAGTCAACCTCAATGCACGTAAACAAATTTTTTTAAACTTTCAGGAAATTGAGGGATCCCAGAATGGAAAGCATACTATGATAAAAGAACCTAATATGTATGTCATATATATTAGAAATATATTAGAAATATATATTAATATATTAGAAATATATTTCTAATATATATGACATAACCTCACCGAAGTGGGTGGGGAAAAAGTGCTCACCTAAGTAAGCTAGGAAACTGATATTTTGACTAAAAACTGTAAGAATAATACAGAAGGAATTGCACACAAATATTGTATTCTGGTTAATAAAGTTGTTTCTCACAAGGAATGGGTAAACAATTTTGATTGATACACATATATACTAAAATTAAACAAATAAGTAAAAAGATGGCAGATAATGGGAGCTAGGTTTCTCAGTTATTAGAGTGGGAGATTACACCTAAAAAAAAGAGGAACGCTAGAATGAACCATGTGGGACTAGACTAGAATTGGAGAAATCAGTATGAATTCACATTTAGCTTAACATAAATATAAGATTTATATATTATATATATATACACACAGTGATATATAGATAATATAGATACAAGTGGATATACACAGAAACAATTATACATATGTGTGTGTGTGTATATATATATATATATATATAACTGAATTAGTATTCACGTATATTATTTCCTAGCTCTGGCTGCTGAACATAGAAGCAATGATATTACAGTAACAATGAGCATGAGCACAACCAGAACTCAGACTTTGCTTTTTAATACTCTAACAAATGCTCAAATAAAAAGAATTGGGGATCCTTGGAAAAATGACTGATTCTAGGGCTGGGACATGAAACCCAGGTGATGAGCCTGGAACATCTTGTACTGCTAGAAAGTAAGGAGTGCTCAAAAGGCAAACAAAAATATCAGGGCATATCAAAAGGACAGAAGAGCCAACTGAAAGAACTCTCAGTGGTCAAAGCTAGAATAATTTGAGCAAAAAAAGCAAATAACACACTAATGGATTATAACCCAAAGTGTAAAATAATTAACTATAAATGTGTACTAATTGAAATAAGTGATTGAATACATTAAAAATGAGAAAGCAGAGAAAAATCTCTTGTGACAAAGAATCCTAAATAATTTGTGTAGATGATCTATCCTCAAAAAGGTGGAGTATAACTCCCCAACCCTTGACTGGGGACTGAATTTAGTGACTTGCTTCCAAAAATCAGAATTTGGAAAGGGGGAAGAAAACTTTACAGCAAAGAAACCTAACACGTGATACCTCAGCAAGATCATCAAGGCTAACATCATCAGTGAGAAGTCATGGTGACAGCATGTACCCTTGGTATGATATGATAAAAATGGCATTTCACCTTGCGATTTTCCTCCCCAAAACCTCTATCCCTATCCTAAGCACAACCAAAACGTCAGACAAATACCAATAGAAGGACATTCAATGAAACACATGACCAGTACTCCTCAAAACAGTGAAGGTCATCAAAAATAAGAAACTCTGAGAAATTGTCACAGATTAGAGAAGCCTAAAGAGACACAACTAAATGTAATGTGATATCATGTATGGGATTTTGTAACAGAGTAAGGACATTAGGAAAAAACTAGTGATATCAAAAGCCAATGTGGATATTGGTTCTTAGTAATGTACCAACGTTGGTTTCTTAGTTGTGACAAAGGTTGCATAGCAATGTAAAATATTAACAATAGGGAAACTGGTTGAGGAGTATATGGGAATCTTCTGTTTTATCTCTGTAACATTTTTGTAAATCTAAAGCCATTCTAAATAAAAGGGTTATTTAAATTAAAAACATAAGGGACAGACCTTGAGACACTCTAAAGAAAAATATTCTCTCAGGTCAAAATATAACACATAATCAACTTCCATTGTCTGAGCTCCAGTATTTTATTTCCTTCTCTTTCATCTTGTCCTTTTCTAGGGCCACAGCATTTTCCCTTATCAGTTAGTTTCTCTACAGGCCCAGTTTCTTTTTTTCTTCCCTTTAGATTTATCCTATAGCCCTCTTTTGGGATTTTTTTTCAAAGATCTATATTTAAAGCTGCACCAAATAGTCCCCAGATATTCCCCTAAGTCTTCCTTGTGTCAAGATCTCTGCTTCTCTAGGGATCCTGATCCCCATTACCAATTAAATGGACAAAGATCTATATCTAGGTCACAGGGGCAGAGAAACCATTTATGCTTCAGAAGCACTTTAGTGAAAAAGAGAAGGAGACAGGCAGTGAAATCCAGTAATAACCTAAAGCCTTATGGGGCCAACGATCCAAGTATTGCTTACAAAACAATTCCTATAGAACAGTAGGGAGTCGATAACTTTTTAACCTGACCACAATTTTGAAAATGGCTCCTACACGTATAATGCCACCTCTCATTTAATTTACAATTCTTCTTCCTACTTTTCCCAGGCTTCCTCAGTTCTCATGCCACTCTTATGTACATAATAATGAATAGTAATAACATGTTACATTTTAGTGATTACTATGTGCTATATAATATCTGAATTGTTTTATTTAATCCTTGTAATAAGATGGTTACTCTTATTATGGGTATCTATATATTGTGAATAATAAAAGTAAGTGAAAAGAGATTCAGTAAGTTTATACCAAGGTCATGTTTGTAAATGGTGGAACCAAGATTTGAACCAAGATACACATAGCTGCAGAATCATAATTTTAACCTCTATACATTCAGCTTCCTGTCTTTATAGCTCTTTCTTCTCAGTTACCCCTTTAGAGACCTTTAACATTTGTCATCTTAATAAATATAGATGCTAAAATCCTTAACAAAATACTAGCTAAGCAACTCCAACAACATATCGAAAAGATAATCCAGCCAGGCGCAGTGGCTCACACCTGTAATTCCAGCACTTTGGGGGACCAATGTGGATAGATCACTTGAGGTCAGGAGTTTGAGACTAGCCTGGCCAACATGGAGAAACCCCATCTCTATTAAAAATACACACACAAAAAAAGCTGTGCATGGTGGCATGTGCCTGTAGTCCCAGCTGCTCTGGAGGCTGAGGCAGAAGAATTGTTTGAACCAGGGTGGTGGAGGTTGCAATGAGCTGAGATCTCACCACTGCACTCCAGCCTGGGTGACAGAGAAAGACTCTGTCTCAAAAAGAAAAAAGATAATCTACCATGATCAAGTGGTTTTATACCAAGGATGTAGGGATGGTTTAACATACACAAGTCAATAAATGTGATACACCACATAAACAGCATTAAAAACAAAAATCACATAATCATCTCAATAGATGCAGAAAAAAAATCATTCAACAAAACCCAGCATCCATTTATGATTAAAACTCTCAGCAAAATTGGCATGCAAGGGACATAACTCAATGTAAGAAAAGCCATCTATAACAAACGCACAGCCAACCTAATACTGAATGGGGAAAAGTTGAAAGCATTCCCTCTGAGAACTGGAACAAGACAAGGATGCCCACTCTCACCACTCTTCTTCAACATAGTACTGGAAGTCCTCGCCAGAGCAGTCAGGAAAGAGAAAGAAATAAAAAGCATCCAAATCAGTAAAGAGGAAGTAAAACTGTCACTGTTGGCTGATGACATGATCATTTACCTTGAAAACCCTAAAGTCTCCTCCAGAAATCTCCTAGAACTGATAAAAGAATTCAGCAAAGTTTCTGGATATAAGATTAATGTACACAAATCAGTAGCTCTTCTATACACCAACAGCAACCAAATGGAGAATCAGATCAAGAACTCAACCCCTTTTACAATAGCTGCAAGAAAAATAAAATAATTAGGAATATACCTAATCAAGGAGTTGAAGACCTCTACAAGGAAAACTACAAAACACTGTTGAAAGAAATCATAGACGACATAAAGAAATGGAAACACATCCCATGCTTATGGATGGGTAGAATCAACATTGTGAAAATGATCACACTGGCAAAAGCAATCTACAAATTCAATGCAATCCCCATCAAAATACCACCCTCATTCTTCACAGAATTAGAAAAAACAATTCTAAAATTCTTATGGAACCAGAAAAGGGACTGCATAGCCTAAGACTAAGCAAAAAGAACAAATCTGGAGGCATTACATTACCTGACTTCAAACTATACTATAGGGCCATAGTCACCAAAACAGTGTGGTACTGGTATAAAAATAGGCACATAGACCAACGGAACAGAATAGAGAACTCAGGAATAAACCCAAATACTTACAACCAACTCATCTTCAACAAAGCAAACAAAAACATAAAGTGGGGAAAGGACACCCTTTTCAACACATGGTGCTGGGATCATTGGCAAGTCACATGTAGGAGAATGAAACTGGATCCTCATCTCTCACCTTATACAAAAATCAACTCAAGATGAATTAAGGACTTAAATCTAAGAACTGAAACTACAAAAATTCTAGATTATAATGTTGGAAAAACCCTTCTAGATGTTGGCTTAGGCAAGGATTTCATGACCAAGAACCCAAAAGCAAATGCAATAAAAACAAAGATAAATAATTGGGACTTAATTAAATTAAACAGCTTTTACATGGCAAAAGGAACAGTCAGCAGAGTAAACAGACAACCCACAGAGTGGGGGAAAGTCTTCATAATCTATACACCTGACAAAGGACTAATATCTAGAATCTACAACAAACTCAAATCAGTAAGAAAAAAAAATCTCATCAAAAATTGGGCTAAGGACATAAATACGCAATTCTCAAAAGAAGATATACAAATGGCCAACAAACATATGAAAAAATGCTCAACATCACTAATGATCAGGGAAATGCAAATCAACACCACAATGTGATACCACCTTACTCCTGCAAGAATGGCCGTAATAAAAAAATAAAAAAACAGTAGATGTTGGCATGGATGCAGTTATCAGGGAACACTTCTACACTGCTGGTGGGAATGTAAACTAGTACAGCCACTGTGGAAAACAGTGTGCAGATTCCTTAAAGAACTAAAAGTAGAACTACCATTTGATCCAGCAATCCCACTACTGGGTATCTACCCAGAGGAAAAGAAGTCGTTATATGAAAAAGATACTTGCACATGGATGTTTACAGCAGCACAATTGACAATTACAAAATCACGGAACCAACCTAAATGCCCATCAATCCATGAGTGGATGAAGAAACTGTGGTATACATATGTGATGGAATACTACTCAGCCATAAAAAGGAATGAGTTAACAGCATTTGCAGTGACCTGGATGAGATTGGAGACTATTATTCTAAGTGAAGTAACTCAGGAATGGAAAACCAAACGTCATATTTTCTCACTGATATGTGGGAACTAAGCTGTGAGGACGCAAAGGCATAAGAATGATAGAATGGACTGTGGAGACTTGGGGGGATAAATGAGATGAGTAGAGGGAAAAAAGACTACAAATATGGTGCAGTGTATACTGCTAGGTTGATGGGTGCACCAAAATCTCACAAATCACCACTAAAGAACTCACTCTTGTGACTAAATACCACCTGTACCCCAATAGCTTACGGAAATTAAAAAAAAAAATTTGTCATTTGTTCTCTGTTCACATCAGGTACAGTGGCCAATTCTTGATAATCCATGTTTTCTCAGACTATCATTGACGTCCCCGAGAATCTGATCAGAAAGAGAGTGAAAAAGAGGCATCAAACTAAACAAAATCTCATACTTGAGTTTCATCTCTTTCCATTACCAGCTCAATCCTTACCTCCTTAGTTAGAGCATACAGCTAAAATTCTCATTTATGTATTTTACATATATATGTATATATATTTAAATATATATTATATATAATAAACCTTGGAAAATTATATTTTTAAAAGAATAAAGTACACAGTTAGAGAATAGTAATCTATTAACTTGTCACTGCAAGTTCCATTACAGTGTATGTGCAAATACCTGAAAGTATACATCATTTGGTCTGTCTCACCCACTGTTGCCAAAAGATTTAAGGTGGAAATTCTAGGCATTTTTAATCTCACAAACCTAATTAGTTTGCTCAAAAGTTTTCTCCCCTAATCAAATTAGAATCAGCAAGAAAAGAATCTGGTCAATAAAGAAAAACATCAAACTAGAATAGTATTAATAAAAATTTATGTTCCCAACTTTATTAAATTTTAGTTATAAATTTATTATTTTTTAAACTTCATCTATTTAAAGTTTCCCCCAATTAACAGTTCTCAAGAGAATAGCTATGAAGGAACCACATCTCTTAGTTCGTTGGATGCCTCATAGAGTACAAAGTGCCTTGCTTATAGTAGAAGCTCAAAGAATGTTTTATCAATCAGTCAAAAAATTATTGTGTTTGCTCAATGTTTATGGATAATTGTGTCAAGAAAAGTCCTGAGCTCAAATTCAAAGTGTTTGGGACTCTTCCAGTCATTAAGCAATTTCAGGAGAAGAAAAATTATTTCGAGTATGAGGCATTGATTCCTTTCCCACACTCCTTCATAAACTGCTCTGTAAGAATTTTAAACAAACATGAGGCACATATAACTTTCTTAGAAATGCCAAAACATTCTACACTCTTCAAACATTAGAATTATAAAAACATTTATTAATGTTTTAGTAATTGAAGGTAGAAAGTAAATCTTTAATACTACCCACCCAGACAAATCAATACCCACTAGCTATAAGGTAATCCTACAATTGAATATGCCAAATGTAGAGCATGAAGTTTTCCATGAATATAGATTTTCAAACAATGAACACCCGGCACAGAATCTGTAACACCATTCCCCATCATCAGGCACTCTTGGCTGAAAAGGAATGAGAATATCTATTTATGTACTCAACTAAATGAGCTGTTCAAATATACTCTAATAACCAACCACTATATGGCCAAACAGGTAGTCAAACTAATTAGATGGCTGAAGTTACCAACTCTTATCTTGGATGTATTTTATTTCAGATGAATATGGGATAATATATTAAATCATATAATAAGCAAAAATTTTTATAATAAAAATGTAACTTACTTATTGTGTGTAGATTAACATTATCCTCAATTGATTTGAAATGGAAATATTTTTCAAAATGTCATTTTATTGCTAGTCTATTTAGAAAAATTTGGAAAAGTTTTAGCAAATTTCATGTTACTTTTCGCCATTTAGAACCCAGCTGTTTTCTTTATCCCACACTTCCAATCGTGATATTGAAGACCCTTGACAATTACCACATCAGATAAAACTGCCCAGGGGTGAGAAAACCACCACTAGGGATGATGTCAGTATACACAATTTGCAAACAATTTATCTGTACAAAAAGTAGATATATCTTGGGTATTATCTTACTTTTAAAGCACTTTAGTATACATTTTTTTCTTTTCTTATATATGTAATACATAAATATATGTTCATTTTTTTAAAAAATTACAATTGATGGATAGGTACATGTAAAAAAATTGCTTTTGTCACCCCTCTAACAGCAATATTGAATTCTAATTCCCTTACCAAACAAAATCTTTGTTAGGTTCAGTGGATATTGTTTCACAATAAGCATACAACTCACATATGCACACCTACTACATACATATTATTTTTCCTTTTTAAACTTTAAATCCCCATATATCATAACTGAATTAAAATGCCAAGACATATAGTCATACTCTACATAATGACATTTCAGTCAACAATCAACTGCATAAGATTATAATGAAGCTGAAAAGTTTCTATTGCCTAGTGATTTTGTAGCTGTCATAACATTCACAACGCAGTATATTACTCACGTGGTTGTAATGATGCTGGCGTAAACAAACCTGTTGTACTGCCAGTCATATAAAAGTCTATCCAATATGATTATGTACAGCATATAATACTTGATAATGATAAATAACTATGTTACTGGTTTTTGTATTTACTATACTTTGATAATTATTTCAGAGTATATTTCTCTACTTTTTTTTTTAAGTTAACTGTAAAACAGCCTCAGGCAGTTCCTTCAGAAGGAATTCCAGAAGCAGACATTGTTATCACAGAAGATAACAGCTCCATGTGTGTTATTGTCCCTGAAGACTTTCCAGCAGGACAAGATGTGGAGGTGAAAGACAGTGATATTTGATGATCCTGACCCTGTTTTGGCCTAGGCTAATGTATGTGTTTGTGTCTTAGTTTTAAAAAAAATGTTAAGTAAAAAGAGAAAATAAAAATGGAAAATATTATATATATTTCCTTTATAAAATAATGATTAAATCTTAAATCTTTATAAAATAAAGATTTAAAGAAAAAAATTTTGTATAATCGTATAATGTTTGTGTTTTAAGCTAAGTATCATTATAAAAGAGCCCAAAAGTTTTTTTAAAAGTAAAAAGTTACAGTAAGCTAAGGTTATTAATGACAACATTTATTTATAAATTTAGTACAACCTAAGTGTACATTGTTTATAACATCTATAGTAGTGAACAATAATGTCCTAGGCCTTCTCATGCACCCACTACTCACTCACTGACTCACCCAGAGCAACTTCTGGGCCCTCAAGCTCCATTCATGGTAAATGTCCAACAGGTATACTAATTTTTATCTCTTATCCCATATCTTTACTGTATCTTTTCTGTGTTTAGGTATGCAAACATTTATCATTGTGTTACACTTGCATACAGTATTCAGTACAGCAACATGCTGTATGAGTTTGTAGCTTGGGAGCAATTGACCATACCATAGAGCCCAGGTGTGTAGTAATTGTACCACCTACATTTGTGTAAGTATATTCTATGATGTTCACACAATTTCAAGATCACCTAACAACTAATTTCTTAGAACATACCCTCATCATTAAGCATTCGATGACTGTATATTTTGTTCCACAAATTTCCATTTAGTTTTCTCTTTAATATATTCATTCAGAGGTGGCAGTTGCTATTGCCATTTTGCTTTTAAAGTAAGTATCACTAAAAAGCTAACTGTTGCTACTTAGTAACCTTCATCCCTGTCACCCTGCCTTAGGCAGCACAGCACATAATGGACTCTCATCATGTAAGTGAAATGGATTTCTGTGTTTGTCCTGTGAACATGTACCCCAAGGATTCTCAAAGATTGAGCACAGTATTAGTGGACTGGGTTTTTATAGCTAAAGAGAACCAAATACCATGTGCAATTTGCTCAATGCCACTTGGTCGTCTTTTCTAACAGTTCAAATGTTTACGTATTTTACTTTGGAAGTACCAGCCACGCTCCCACTGCACATAACCCTTGCTCTCACATCATTCCATGTTTCTTTCCTCTCTTTATAAGTAACATCTTAATGAAAAACCAGAAAAAGACTCACAAAAGAGCCTCAGAGCTTACAGTTCTACACACCACAGAACATGGTGCAGACCCAGACAAAATGAAAACTGTGGAGTATACCCAGGACTCCCCACATTTACTGAATTCCATTCAGAAGAAACCCAGGCTCCCACAAACCCCATACAAGAGCATTTATTGCTATGGAATCCTAAAAGATCTGAATAAAGGCAGTCTCCACTAGGAGGGGTCTGGACACCCAGAGTCTGACTAATCAGAGTACTGATAACCCTTGATTAGCTTTCCAAATAAATTTGAGTAAAAGTAAACAAAAAGCACATTCTTCCTAATTCATAATAAAGAACAGTAATAGCTATACTGTTCTGAGTGCAAATGGAACTGGAAATGCCCTTGGAGCTCGGCTCAATCTCTTCAACTATTAAAATTAGAGTGACAAAGGTATGTACTGGATAAAGTCATTGCAAAAATTATATCATCCACATAAAATGTTTAGCATAGAATCTTCCAAATGATGGTTATAATTATTATACTTCTTACTGTTGTCATCATTTTGATTTTTCAGGAATTTAGTTATTTAAAGTGTGTATTAGAATGAGCCCAAATGTCTGACTGTAAGAAATAAGACTTTTTCCTTCCTAACACCTTAATCCTTCTATATGTTCTCTGCTGTCTGCGCAACACCTGGAAAAGTAACTGATGAATGAATGAATGATCAAATGAATATCTTTTAGCATTATTGCATTTTACATTATTTTTCCTTCCCATTCACCTCCTAGAATTTTGCATCTTTTATTGAAAAACATGATTCGTTTCCCATTTCTTCCCAGACTACACCAGACCACTTTAGTCTTCACGTACAGTGATAGCTTTTACAACATTTGAAACTTTAAGTGGGCTATTTTCCCCCTACTGCCAATAAGTATGTTCCTACTAAATCCATTTATCAGTTCTATGATGAGCATAAAGATGACTGGGAAAATGAGTAATAATAGCAGGCAAGCTGATCTACCTCAAATTCTCTAAAATTACTAAATGTGCTGTGCTTTTCTTTCACATAAAAGATTATGGGGTGACAGAACCAGTACATTAAATTTGGAAAGGCAGCTCAGTGATACAGGGGTAACCAGTTGAGTCCACAGTGCATCTTTCCCCTAAGCCTACCCTATAATCAATTACATATTTCCTTAAGGTCTAAATTACTGGAGAGAGAAGTGTCTGTTAATCTGATTAAATTATGATCATTACTTCTAACCATTCAGCAGCTTAAAGGAAAAACAGCAGTATCCATTTTAAAGTAGACATAACAAAAAGTTTTCCTATACTTCTCTTTAATTTCAAACTCTTGTTTTTCACGAATTAGAATAAAAATGAATAAGATTGTAATTCAAGCACAGCATTCTGAATTATCCCTGTCTCAATAGCCTCTCCTTTCCAAAACAATTCAAAAGAAGACAACATACTAATCCAATGCCACAAAGCATTTTCTCACGTGCTATTGAAAAAAACTTATCACAGAAAGCTAGTTTAATCTTTGATGTCCTACTAATTATTTCTGCTAAGAAGCTACTTTCTATATTTGAGAATGTTTGTTATTTCTAGAATCCTGTTGTGATAAAACACACAAACAACAAAAGTATAATAGAGGCAAAGGGAGATATTGAAGCCTAGTCTGAGAAATGATGCTTTTCATAGTTAGCAGGATAATGGAGTTGAAAGCAGTTAAGAGGAGAATAGAAAGGGACAGCTGACTCCTCCTGAGATGCCAATTTATAGTGTTTTTCTCTTATCACTTTTGAAGTGAGGCAAACATCAGACATTCTCATATGACACTGGTAGTATAGAAGCAAGTTTTAGGCCAAAAACGAAAATGAATTTGACCACATCCATCTAGGATTTTTCAAACCACTGCTCTGATACAGTCAGTAGGATAAATAAGGAGTAAATGAACATAAATGTCTTTTGTAATAACTGCTAGTTATTTTTATACCACTTTGTAATTTCTAATTATGCCATAGGAACAAAGGCATACTATGGCAACCATAAAAATGCACCTCTTAGATCTCCTACTGTTAGGAACATAATTGCCAAACAGCCCTAGCTGCTGCATTCTGAAACCATTCACTGTTTGTGATCGGGCATGCTTCCCATGGGCTATTCCCAGCCAATGACTAAGACCATCACTGCAAGATCCAAGAGTTCACTGATGGGAAGACCCTGTTAGCCTTGCTGAAACTGTCCTAAAACTATGCTGCAGTCTAAGACCTTCCTTCCACTCTTTCTCCCGTCAACCCTTCATCCCTGCCCTCTCTGTTTCAGAGAGATGAGACCTGCATCATGGTCTGAAAGTTCTTCTAGTCTCTTCTGGCTCCCTCCTCAATAAATATCTCTTCACATATAATCCTGTTTTGGCACCTGCTACTCAGACAACTGTTACCTACACCTATACTTTACACCAAAGAAAATTTGGGCAGATCCATTTTTATAAACAATCTTACTTTAAAGTAACTGGATAAATATATAAAGGAAGCAAGATAAACTTTTTTCCTCTAATTATCCTTAATTTATGTTTGGTAAGTTCAGATTTCTCTTTATGGGCTTTCAATCAAGTTTAATACCATTCTCATAATATCCCAATCCCTAATACACAGACATCTTGCCCCTATGAAACTCAAAAAAAAGTACCTTCAATTTATTTTAAAATTTCAATTAAAAGAGCAAGTTTCTCAGGTGGCTTTGAATAAACCAGTGCAGAGGCCTATATAACTGATATAGAAAGTTATTTCTCATTCTTTCCTATTTTGGAAATGGGGGAAAGACATGTGGCTAATTACCAAACCCCTTTCTGCTTTGGGCTACACAACCACTAGACATTTTCCAGCCTCCCTTGCAGCTAGGCATGACCATGTGACTGAGTTTCAGCCAGAGAAATGTGAGTAGAAATTAAGGGCACCATTTCCACAACGTGGCTCTTAAAAACCTCCCTGTGTGATGCTCCTTATCCTTCTATGATCACTGCCAACAAGCACAGGATATGTGAAAACCATATGATGAAGATGAAAGAGTGACCATACCATGGGAGGATGGGTCACTGAATTGCCAACTGAACAAGAGCTGCCTGACCTGGAACACCTGGACTGTCGTGTAAACAAGAAACAAGCATATTGCATTAATCCTCTGAGATTCAGTTCTGAGCTTGTTGCAGCAGCTGGCATTACCTTAATATATAGTTTTATAGCACAAGTATTCTCAACAGGTTCATAGTAAAGACTGCTCCTGCAAGGCAGTGATGATAAGAGTATGGCAGATGGTTCTGTTAACAATAAAGCCAGTCTCCCAGAAGATGGGGTCTTCCCCCTCTTTGATGTCATGAAGCCAACACACAAAACTAAAAGTGAGTGTCCAGCAGTACAGGCTTGATTCAATGGCCATGGAACTGAGAAGCAGGAGCAGGGCTCACAAATCAGCTTCTCAACCAGTGAGGAGGTTAAAATATAGGGTTTCTCTAATGAAGGGGTTGGATATTAAAAGCAGGGTGGGAGTGGTAGAATAGTAAACTTCTTAGAACCAGAGTGCTGCCTTTCTCTTTGTCCTTTTACAGCTTCTTCTGGTCATTGTGATGGCGATTGTCAACCTCTTGGTGCTGGTGGGAGTGTCATTTAGCGTGAAAATGAGATTATAATGAAGCTTGAGGTGTTTCTGAGGTCATTAGGTTGGCTATCTTGGTTCTAACCAGTCTCAGCTGGTCTGGTTACAAAGGGAGCTTTTTATCACAGGTATCTTGTTCCTTAAAGTTAAACAGAGTTAGGATAGGGTGGAAATTCAATTCTGTCACATAGACATTACACTAGGTAACAGTTCCAAACATGGCCACCAAAAGTTTGTTTAAACATGCCACTCCTCCTTTCAAGAAGTTGTTTATTTCCCCCTCTCCTTGAACCTGTAAGATCTTGTGACTTGTTTTGACCAATATAAAACAGTAGAAGTGTCCTTATACCACTTCAAGTCTAACCTTTAAAAGCCCAACAGCTTTTAATTTTAGTTTCATGAAATCCAGTGTTCATGCTGTAAGGAAGCGCAGTCTCTCCTGAAGACAGGGACCACTTGAAGGGGCCCTGGAGGATGAGATGCCATGTGGAGGAAGAGGCCACATGGAAAAGACTCAAGGTACCACAGCCAACTGCCAGCTGCAAGTACCCAGGCCTTACCGAGACAGCCTTCTTTCCAGCCCAGCCACGTGAGTGATACCAACTGAAAGCATGTGGAGAACTATCTAATCAACCACAGAATCACAATAAATAATGAACTGTTATTTTAAATGACTAAGTTGTTACAGGTTTTGCCAGGGAGAGGGGTATGGAGGAAGGATTGTCACACAATAAGAGGTAACAGATACATTGTGGTTTTTAATAAAGAAGTAAACAATTTACAGTAAGAGATACTCTGAGAAGTGATATTTCCTCTATTGTGTTTTCAGCTTTGAAATTCCAAAATATTAATATGTTCTCCTATAAAATAAATGCCAAATAAGCATATTTACCTGGTAACCAATATGCCCCAATTTCTACACAAAAAATACAAATAGTATATTTTTGCTAAAATAAAGGTCAACTCACATAGAAATGGGTGAAAACTGAAAATTTCCCTTTCATGCTTCTTTCACAGCTCCAAGTCACTCCCCTTCCTAGAGGCAATTGCTGAGGACATTTTAGTTTTTGGTGTGTTTTAGTTACTCATCCAGGTTTTTGTCTATGAAATGTCTATGTGTTTGTGTATGTATGTAGCTTTCCATATTTGAATATTTGAATCAGACTGTACATGTTCTTTTGCAACTCACAGAATTTATTTTCGAAGGAACAAATATTCCATAAGAGACTATATCAAGGGACATTACTTTTTCACACCTGTGCTTTCTTTTTGCCAAGTCTACATTTAGAAGCTTATCTCTGCTAGAACCAAGAGTATGCCACCAACTACTTCCCTTCTTTAAGTATACTGTATAACAAGAGTTTTGGAAATGCAGACAATCTTTCCCACAGAGCAGTTTCTTACCTCTTTGATTCTGAGGCATTTTCACTGCATGAATACTTGTTTTTCAGGTTTATGTTTTGACTATTTCACAATAGTCTTCAATTAAGAAAAAATGGTGATGGAGAGATAAAGCTTTAATGTTCACATTATCAACTTATTGCAAACAAAGATTGTGAGGGCACTAATAATCCTTTGCTGTCTCAAAATTGTAACATAGTCCCAAGCGTGGGAAGGGGAGAATGAGACAGACACGAACATGTATAAAAACTTTTCTCCTGGCCGGGCGTGGTGGCTCACGCCTGTAATCCCAGCACTTTGGGAGGCCGAGGCGGGTAGATCACGAGGTCAGGAGATCGAGACCATCCTGGCTAACACAGTGAAACCCCGTCTCTACTAAAAATACAAAAAATTAGCCGGGAGCGGTGGCGGGCTCCTGTAGTCCCAGCTACTTGAGAGGCTGAGGCAGGAGAATGGCGTGAACCCAGGAGGCGGAGCTTGCAGTGAGCCGAGATCGCGCCACTGCACTCCAGCCTGGGCGACAGAGCCAGACGCTGTCTCAAAAAAAAAAAAAAAAAAAAAAAAAAAACTTTTCTCCTTAGAGATCTCTTTGTTCTCAGATTCTTGAGTCAGTCAACTTTGAAAAAGCTAATAGCCCTATAGAGGAATTTCTTGGATCAAAACAGCCAGGTTTCTTGAATGCCAGACATCTTTAAAGATGGATAATTTTTGGCTTTTAATTCTAGAAGAAAATGAACATGGTCTTCTTTGAATACCTAGAGATAAATACAATGCCCTAAGGTGTTCCCAGTGCACAATCTTAAGAAGAAATGGATTCTCTATTTAGACAATGGATGAAATTAGACTTTTTCATTTCATTAACAAAATATGAAGTAGGATATCTTTGTATCTGGTATCAACAGCATATGTATCTTCTTTCAACCAACAATATAGAATATCTGCATTTGTGAGAGAATTCCACAGAGTTGAATGCTCTTTAGTATCAGGCAATGGCCTGGTTGAGACAGGCAATTTTCATTTCATGAGAGCAATATACTTAGCACTATGTTTCTTCAATTATTGGTACATATCCCTTTGGTGTATTTGACAGTATCAAGAAGCAATTGATAATAAATAACAACTGTAGCAGAGTGTATCTCCTAAGATGGTCTAAATAATACCGCTTACCTCACATAATCCCCTTATGATGCAACTCCATCCATTAAAACATGAGATCTACATTCCCTCTTCTTGAAACTGGCTGGACTTTTGTGGCTGGTCCAAGAAATAGGGTACAGTGGAAGAGATGCTGCACGACTTCTGAGGCTAGGTTCTGCCTGGCGGCTGGACAATCACGATTTGAACCCTGAGCCTCTACATATGCAAGATATTGGCCCCAAAGCAGCAATGCTGTGAAGAAGTCCAAAACAGCCCACACATGAGAACAAATGAAAAGCCCAGAAACATCATGAAGAGAAATGTCCAGTCAGCTCCCAGCTACTCCAGCCCCTCATTGTTCCAGCTACAGCTCCTCAAACCAGAATCATCCAGTCAAGCCCTTCCCAAACTCCTGACCCACAAAAAGCATGAGAGAGAATAAAATGGTTGCTCCTGTTCTAAGTCACAGGATTTCAGAGTGCCTTGTTACAAAGCAGTACATAACTAGAACAATACCTAATGTTTATTGAGCTATAGAATTGAGCATGTAATATTTTATTCAATTTATTGAACACATAGTATTTGTGTAGTCAGGATTCAAGGATTTCACATGTATTAATTTATTAATTCATTTAATGCTTTTATTAAACTCCTGTGAGGTAGGTATAAATTATTCTATTTCAAAGATAAGAAAACCGGAGCAAAGAGTGCTTTTGTAACATTTCCATGGTCATAGTAGTAGATGGCAAAGGAAGGATTTACCTCTGAACATCTAGCTCCTGAGCCAATACTTTATTGTATTATTTCTTTATTATTATTATATATTTAGAATTGTCACTGACATGTGCATTTATATATCAGCATACATACATACATATCAACATGCATCTATATCAACCACAGTTATATTATTGGATAGAATATAAATATTCAGAACTTTAAGATAACACACAAGACTTCAGAGAAATATCTGACTGAAGCTATTCATCCAGACTCTCTGGAAATCATGCCTCTTAAAGCATTTCCTGAAAAAGCATTTCCATTTTGTTCTGTTTTGTTATCACAGACTTGGCATTTCATTGAGAGTCATTACATGAAATTGTGATATGGAAACTACTTCTACATAATCAGTCAGAAGCAATATTGTAGATCTCTAACAATGCCTTAGAAAATATACCTGTTAGAATTTGTATTATGATAATGTACATAATATCTAGACATTAAATATTGTGCCTTTTTGAGGCACTTTTCTGCAATGAATTTTCTTGTCTGGTTTCTCCCACTTCAGGCTTTAAAATATTCACTGTAGATAGAATCCAAAGCATCAGAGTATAGAAATAACTAGAAGGGTTGTTTATCTTGGGAATACATATTTAAAAGTAGTGATTAAGAATTACTTGTATTGAGAGCAACAGAGAGTTTAACATACCAATTATTTATAACAAATTCTAAAGACTATGCAGCAGTACTCAAATCTTTAGTTCATCCTTACAACTGAGTTGATGATAAAACATAACTTTTGTGACTAGAACATGACCTCAGAAGTGGACCCATCTGCATCTTTTCAAACGGGCATTTGTTTCATAAACAGGACCACACCTAACATTTGTGCAGCCCAAGATGCGAGTACAAATGAAGACCTACCTACCATGTATCTAAATATGGAAAATTATACCTTAGGCTGCATCTACAGAATGGCCAGCATTTCCACCCACGGACCTCGTAGCTATTTTGGGGAGGTCACCATGAGGATTCAGGGGCTAACAGAGTCACATTATCCTTTGGTTTTTAGCCCTGCTGCCTATGAGCATGAGAGGCAATACAGATCTGCTAGGGCAGGATACCTATTTTCTACCACTTATATTTGCTCACCAAACTTATGAAAATTTGCTGTTGTTAGGCAATCTGTGATGGTTTTATACATCTACAATCTGCAAATCCTTTCATATTCCACCCATCAAAAGGTGGAGTCTAATTCCTTTCCCCTTGAATATGATCCAATCATGATGACTTGGTTCCAATAACAACAAAGTTATACAAGTAAACTCTGTATAACTTTCAAGGGTAGTTTAAAGGAAGCAGTGACATAACTTCCACCTGGATCCCCTGCCTTTTCTGTGTGTGTGCATGCGCACGTGTGTGTGTGTCCCACTGACTCTTGGAAGTCATAGCCTTAGAGAGGTCATGTGTAGGTGTTGCAGGTGACAGACCCAACTGAGATGCCAGGCTGTGGCCAGCATCACCGCCAGACATGTGAGTGAAGGAGGCTTCCGACTGTTGCAGCCCAACTGATACTGAGTGTAACAGAGACAAGCTCTTCCCATCAAGCTAACTCTGCTCAAATTTCAGATTTGCGAGCCAAACAAACGTTTCTGTTGTTTTAAACCCCTAAGTTTGGAGGTGGTTAAGCAGCAATAGATAGCCACAACACAAAGTTAAATATTACTTTTCCTAATGGCATGTTATAATGTAAAATACCCCAGATTTCTAAGTCAGAAGATCTGAGAATTTGAATCAAAACTCCAACATTTACTAGTGTGTGGATATAAGTTACTTATTTTAGCTTTTGTTTTCTCATTGATGTGACAGAACAACCCTCCCTCAGAGATATCAAGAGTATTCAAAAGGGAAATGTATGTGGAAGAATAGAATTCAGGACACTTCACATTTTGTAAATGTTTCTTGAATCCGTATCTCACAATTCCAGATACTTACTCTTTGTTCCTTCTCTATCTCTATCACTTTTCCACGAGGGCAGAAAATTGTGCGAGTTATGACTGCTACATCTGTATCTAAAAGTGTGAATAATCTATATTTTATTTTCTTAGTTAAAGTAATTTCTTAGTTTAAAGAAATTACTACTAGAAAATTCTTCAGACCATTACCCGATGAACCATTCAAAGAAGAAACTCAATACTGACAGGTTTTCCTTCTGGAAGTAATTAAAGACCCCAAAAAGAACAATATTATGTGTTCCACTGAGAAAGTACACATTGATTCATCTTCTATGTATGCCTTCTCCCTGAAATGTATGCCTGAGGGAGGAAAATGCTCCCGATTAATGCCTCCCACTTCTTGATTCTGTAACCTACTCATGCTATAATGTTAGAATGCTCTGCATCCTAAAGGATTATTCAAAAACAGAATCTGACTTGAAAGTCTGACTTTTCTAGAAGCTAAACTTCAGAGATACTAAGTCTTATTTTTTAAAAATTTTCTCTTAATGTTTTCTAAATGGCATCAGAAGATGAATTTCAAAGAACTATAACTGATTTAAGATTTCACTTACCAAACAAACACAGTAAAAGATGGTATCAAACATCTGCAGTTTTCAATCACATAGCTTGCAAAGAAGCACAAAATGGTTTTAGTGAAGTGCATAATTTGCCATCCTTGACATCAAAGGTAATTTTAAATACATAATTCACAATGCCCATTGACAGCAGGTCTCTTTTGCTGGGTATTAATCTGCCAGGATGAATCTTGAAACATCAATGTCTCTCAATTAAAAGCATAAACTTTAAAAATGAGAAATAAAATCATGGTGGTATGAACAGGGCACAGGTGGGTAATTGACAAGCCTACATAATGTGGAAAAATCATAGGTTAGAGGAAAAGTCATAACAATAATATAAAGCTTTGGATTTGCACAGCCACTTCCCCCAAAGAGATCAAAGCTCCTTATATACATTATCTCATTAATCCCCCTGCTACCTGCTGCTTTGGCAATGTCAGGGCAGACACCCATCAGTGACGATTCTGTGGCCATCAGTGTCCTATGTGGTAGCCTATTGTGAACCCTATTACTTTCATTCTCTTTTCTGTAATAAAGTCTGAGATTAGCGTTCGAGTCACAGCTGGAGATGCAAGGCAGCATCAGTTCCTAAACCAATTTATCCCTTTCCCCAATTTGTCACACTACACAGATAACTACCTAAAATATTTCCATCGACAGGTACGCTATTAATGGGCTGTAACTGTGTCTCTGAAAGAGAGTTCAAAGACATCAAAAACATCTGTAACTACTAATTAGAGACTCGCTTAACTACATGAGATTATTTCAGAAAGCAGGTTAGCTGTGGGACTCATTTGTTGCTCAACACCCCAGACACTTCAGACATTTGATTTTTTTCAACGTTCTCTTCCCACCTCCTGTTAGAAAGATTACATGCATGTTACAGTGCACGTATGTGTAGATTCATGAAAAACAAGAAACAAAAAACGCTATTTGGCTATCATGCATTCTAACCTTTCTGAAAACCAGATCACCAAAATCTTATTTTATTTCCCTTTATTTATTGTATTTCAGAAAAAATAAACCTCTGTGAAATATAACTGTTTTTTCAAATGCTACTCATTCATATTTCATCAACAAAATTGTCAAACTACAACTCATCTTTCTTGAGGAAGAAAAAAATACATTGGTTTAGTATCCTATTTCTATGACATATAAACCTTTATGTATGCTAATAATTTTACTATAGTGGAATATTTGACTGGGTATTTCTTTGATAATCAATCCAAGGATTATACCTGCCACCTCTAATTTTCTTTGAGAATAAAATTCAAAAACTATGTGTGCATTGAAATTGAAAATCAATAGCTTCACATCTAAATATAATTAATTATTAAGAAACATAACTAATGTTTTAATTTCCTGGAAAGAATACACCTTGATTCTACGGTATGTAGCCGAAGAAAGGTCACATGAAAGCTTTCAGATTATGCCTGCATAGAGCTATTACCTTTAATTTTTGTACAAAATAAAATGATTGGTATCCATGTGAGATATACCAACACCCATATTTGCAGGAGAAATTTTGTTTTCCTATGTAGATGCATTATGAAAAAGTTGAAGAAGCATTTAAGGATGGTGATGCCTAAGCTTGGGTACTCGCTGATTTTATTACTTCATACGCTATTACAAATATTGTATTTATACTAAAATTGTATTGCTCCATTTATTGAATAGGGAGTACTTTCCCAATTATTTTTGTCAACTCTGTCAAAGAACAGTTCGCTGTAAGTGTGTGGCTTTATTTCTGTTTTCTCTGTTCTGTTCCATTGGCCTATATGTCTGTTTTTGTACCAGTACCATGCTGTTTTGGTTACTATAGCCTTATAGTACAGCCTGAAGTTGGGTAATGTGATGCTTCCAGTTTTGTTCCTTTGTTTAGGATTGCTTTGGCAATTTGGGCTCTTATTTGGCTCCATATGAATTTTAGAATTCTTTTCCAATTCTGTGAAAAGTGATATTGGTAGTTTGATAGGGATACTTTTCACCAGATACAAAAATTAACTTGAAATGGATTAAAGATTTAAATGTAAGACCTTAAACTATAAGAAGACTAGAAGAAAACCTAGGAAACATCATTCTGGAGGATGGCATTGGGAAAGAATTTATAACTAAGTCCTCAACAGCAATTGCAACAAACACAAAAACTGAAAAGTGAAATTTAATTAAAGAGCTTCTGCACAGCAAAGGAAAATATCAATAGAGTAAACAGAAAACCTACAGAATGGGAGAAAATATTCACAAACTATGAGTCTGACAGAGATCTAATAACCAATATCTGTAAGGAACTTAATTAAAGAAGCAAAAAACAAATAACCCCATTAAAAAGTGGGCAAAAGATATGAACAGACACTTCTCAAAAGAAGGCATACATGTGCCAACAAACATATGAAAAAATGCTTATCATCACTAATCGTCAGAGAACTG
Source organism: Homo sapiens (assembly GCF_000001405.40). NCBI lineage: Eukaryota > Metazoa > Chordata > Mammalia > Primates > Hominidae > Homo > Homo sapiens. Next base: position 22,773,260 of record NC_000003.12, read on the forward strand.
CAAATCAAAACCACAATGAGATACCATCTCACACCAGTCAGAATGGCTATTATTAAAAGGTCAAAAAACAACAGATGCTGGTGAGGCCGTGGAGAAAAGGAAACAATTATACACTGTTGGTGGAAATGTAAATTAGTTCAGCCACTGTGGAAAACACTTTCAATATTTCTCAAAGAACTTAAAACAGAACTACGACTAGACCCAGCAATCCCACTACTGGGTATATACACAAAAGAATATAAATTATTCTACTAAAAAGACACAGGCAGTCATACATTCCTTGTAGCACTATTCACAATGGCAAAGACATGGAATCAACCTAGGTGCCCATCAATGGTGGATTGAATAAAGAAAATGTGGTACACATACACTATAGAATACTATGCAACCACCAAAAAAAGAACAATATCATGTCCTTTGCAGCAACATGGATGAAGCTGGAGATCATTAAGTGAATTAATGCAGGAACAGAAAACCAAATACCACTTGTTCTCAATTATAAGTGGGAACTAAACAATGGATACTTATGGACATAAAGATGGCAAAAATAGACACTGGGAACTGAGGTGGGAGGGAGCGAGAGAGAAAAGGTTGTAAAACTAACTATTGGGTACTATGCTAAGTACCTGGATAATGGGTTCAATTGTACTCTAAACCTCAGCATCATGCAATATACCCAGGTAATAAACCTACACACATACATCCTGAATCTAAAATAAAAGTTGAAATTATAAAACGAATGAAAATAATAAAAATTATTTGAAAATAAAAGTAAAATAAAAATAAAGGAACTGTATTGTTTTTACAAAAGGCTGGGTTAAGGCGAGGATTCCCCACCTGTCTGCCAGGTCCACCTACTAGTCATTAAGACCCTTGTACTCTAAGTGTGGTCCTGGGCATCATTGTAGGTTTATTAGAGATGCATGATCTAAGGCACCACGGAATATAAGTCCCCAACCTAATGGATCAGAATCTACATTTTCCATGATCCCAAAATTACTCCTAAAATTTGAGGAAGCACTAAGTTGAAATATTATCGGAAACCTAAAACACAAAATTAAAGAGATTATCTTAACATAACTGAAGTTTCTGCAGCAGAGTAAATATTTGGTCCAATCTATTTTCACCCGTCAGATCACCAGCACTACTACTCCTTGTTCCCTGTTCTCCATTTTCAAAATATGCCTTGTTCTGTTAGGTAAATGAAGCACAAATAGAGCAAAAAGGTCTATTGTTGGTCCCTTTTTGGACTTTAAACAATGACATTTTCTATCACAAAAATCAATAAGGGATACTTTGGATTATACAAAGCGGGAAAGGAAAGCAAATGGAGACTGTGGGGGTCCCAGTTTCCCTTTGCTTCAGATACTCTCCAGTTTTACTCTTCTCTATTTTAATTAATTGGCTTACCCTCCTCCGGTGTGACATGCTAATGTCATAAATTGAAATGAAATGCATTTAAACTCTTTCTGCTTCTATATTTTATTGTCCTCATGTAATTTTGCTATGAAAATGTCACTACCTAGCACTTTGGGAGGCCGAGGCAGACAGATCACAAGGTCAGGAGATCAAGACCATCCTGCCTAACACAGTGAAACCCCATCTCTAATAAAAATACAATAACTTAGCTGGGTATGGTGGTGTGCGCCTGTAATCCCAGCTACTCGGGAGGCTGATGCAGGAGAATCGCTTGAACCCAGGAGGCGGAGGTCGCAGTGAGCCAAGATCATGCAACTGCACTCCAGCCTGGGCAACAGAGTGAGACTCCACCTCAAAAAAAAAAAAAAAAAAGGAAAGAAAAAAAGAAAATGTCACTGAATCCTTCCAAATATTATAGTTTAAGCAGAAGCTATAAGTAAAGACCATCATTTTTCTGGATGTGAATGAATTCGTAAAGACATTTCACAGAAGACTCCTACTGATATGGAACACAGAGTCAATAACAAACTGAAAAGCTCCATTGGAGTAAGAAGGATCCTCCATGGCATCCAAATCATCCATGCAGAATTTTGTCCAACATAACCTCAGATGACAGGAAATAATTTCAAATGTTGAGTTTTCTCATCAAAGGTTTTTTAGAACTATATTCTAGGGAATTTTTAGTATTAACAATCAATCTTGTGTAATATTTGGAATATGTCTCCAAGTTACAAAGGTTATAGTTAATTCACAAATGGCCAATACTATTGGCTCTATTCTTTTCATGGTGTCACAGATCACAAGCAGTCTTCAGGGTGGCAATTTTCAAAATTCCATAGTTACTCCACTTCAGCCTAAGAAACTTCAATATTATGTTTATAAACTTGTTCTGGTCATCAATTGTTATTTAACAACTCAAAAACTAAATGAGATTTTTTTAAAGAAAACACCCATTTTATTACGCTCACAGCTTCTGTGAGAATCAGGAATTAAGACAGCACATATCAGGGATGGCTTTTCTCTGTGTTATGATGCTTGGGGCCTCAGATGAAAAGACTCATACAGTTGGGGGTGACTCAAATGGATGTGGAAGGAACCCCAGAGTCTGGGTTGAAAAGGTTTGACTGAGTCTATCAGCTACAATCCCTATACATGGCCTCTCCATGTGGCTTGGACTCTCTTACAGTCTAATGGTGTCAAGAGAGTCAGTCTTTTTACCCTAGTATGCTCAGCCTCACAAGCAAGTGCTCCAGATAACAGGGCAGAACTTGCACAGTCCCCTTTTATGGTCCAGCCTCAGTGATGCTGTATTGGTTGAAGTGGTCACAAATTTTCCCAGACTCAAGGAGAAGGGACATAAACATTAACCTCAAACTTTAATGGAAATACTTCCAAAGAAATATGAAGCAATATTTTAAAGGTGCCACATATCTACCAGTTATAAGGGCAATAGTTTCATGCAAGAAATGATTTTAAAATTAAAAATCATTAATCAAATCTAATACAAAAGGTCTTGATTAAAGGAAAATATTATGCTAAATGTTTGTTTTCTACTTGTAATTTGAACCAGGTGGCATGCAATTCTCTCAAATCGAATCTCAATATTCTTAGCACTATATTGAAGAGGTCTTTCCTTGTTAATGATAAGAATAAATTCTCATGTCCCACCTGGAAGCTCTAAAAAATGTACAAAGACACACCATCTTTAAGAGAATATTTATCTACTGAAGTCACTGCGGACACCCTGAAAGACAAATCGTCTGAATAAAATAATTTATTTATGAATATTTAAATTGTTCATTGCCCAGATATAGTAAGATACATTATCTTCATTCTCTGCATCACTGCATCATGTTTCTGCCCTCAATTACTCCTATAGAATAAAATAGAATTTTAAAATGCATTCAATCAGGAAAGAAAGTATAAAAACTATGAAAGTAAGCTCTCCTCAAACAGCAAAAACACATAGGAAGTCAGTAACATTTCTCAAGGTGAAAATGAGAAATAGAGAAGTTTCCTCTAAAAGGAGAGATAAGAATTTCATTGCTGGAAAGAAACATAATGAAAATTACATGGGGAATTTGTAAACCATTCAAGGATCGATACACTGCAACATAAAGATCTGAATAAAAAGTTGAGGCATTAATTGAAAAAACTCTGGGGAGCAATGAGGGGAGATAGCAACAACAGTTAGATGTTGATGCTGCCTTTCCCAGTCCTAGGGCCAGCACTTCTAAAGCACTCAGTGGACCCATTGCTCAGGAGACACCGGGAGAGGATCACTGAGAGTGGTCCAAGGAGCTGATGGGCCACGGAGCTTAGGAAACAGAGTTACCTATTTATGACAAACATAAAAGTTTGAAGTGCTTTTATTTGGGCATTTGAATTTCTAACAATAGGAAGAAAGGTTACCCTTAAATTGGGGGATTATGAGGTAAAAGTATGGCACCAGAATTCCATATGGTGATGAACTAAGAAATGATGTTTCTTCAGTAAGGAAAATAAGAAAACCTCCTTTGGAGTAGCAGGAGATGGTTCATGTAATTCTAAGCTTGCAAACTAAGTGTACACATAGACATTTAATGTATATACACGTCCAAATCTCCATTTTCAGTGCAGTGTTGAAAGCATATGCTTTAACATAAAAAAGAGTTTTAATTATTTTTTTAAAAAGTCTACGCTTTATCTTGGTGTGTACCTATGTGCGTATGTATGCATATGCATGTTAGACAGGTAAGTTAATTATTTTTAAATGCATATTTTAGAAAATGTACTTTTTAAATTAAGCTATTCTATCAGTTGTTGTTTTCTTTAAAAAAAAGAAAAGACTAGCCGTATATGATCAGTTAGTTCTGATTAGGCATCAGCCCACACCATCAGGAACCATGATGGACAGAGTGTCTTTTTCAAGAGGCATTTATTCCTCTAGAAATTTTTCCAGCTAAACAATAAAGAAACTTTGATGAAACTAGAATTGAAGTGAGGTGCTTAATGATTCATTAGTAAGTTAGTTTCTATAGAAAGTAATCCAACAAAACATATTCTTTTTAATTTTATGCTTTCTTTTTAAAAATATTTTATTTTAGATTCAAAGGGTATGTGTACAGGTTTGCTACATATATATGTTTTATAATGGTGAGGTTTGGGCTTCTAGTATACCTACCACCTAAATAATGAATATTATACCCAAGAGGTAATTTTTTTAACCCTCACCCAGTGTCTATAATTTTCATTTTTATATCTAATGCACCCATTGTTTAGCTCCCACTTATAAGTGAGAACATGTAGTATTTGATTTTTGTAAATTTTCTCGTGAAAGCTCAAAGAATCACAGTCCATAAAGCCTGAATTCATTATGATGTCATTGATTAAGTTCATTAATGACAAATCAAGTATAGTTTTGCAAAGGAAAAAAATCACATATTAGTTCTCAGCTTTGCTTCACATGCATTCTTGGAAAGACCCTTAACTAGAAGTATCAGTAATAAAAAAGGAAATAAATTAAACACCAAGGATATGTTGTTACAGAAGACCTATTAGTTCCACAGTTATACTTGTTCATGCCACAGCAGCTTGTTAAATGGTAAAAACAAGAGTGGGGGAAAATGGCTTCATGATAAACAATTGGATCTGATGGACTGTATCAACTACTTATTTGGATCCCAAGTGACCCAGCTTAAAAAAACTTTTGAGGAGCAAAATACTCCCCCTCAAGTTATGCTTTTGAAGCCATTGTATATGTATGTGTACATGCATATATATACACACACACACACATATGTATATATACATATATATACACACATATGTATATAAATGACTATCTGGTCAAAATTGCTAACAAGATAAATCATTTCAACATCATCCAAATCTTATTCTCATGGTTTGTCATAAAAGGGTACCTATTGCAATAAGAGCCATTGGGATCAAAGACATGAATTAGATGCCAAGGAGAGGACTAGGCCATGCTACCCTGCCTGATAGCTCAAAGAGAAAGACTAGACTGTTAACTCCATGAGGCTTGAGAGAAAACTTTTTGTTTGCTTGTTTTTGTTTGTACCAATTTGTGAGGGGAAAACTGGAAATAAAGCTCACCTAATTAAATATTAGTATTTGACTCCATTCTCTATTTATTATTCTTATCCAATCATATAGATATTTGACTGACAACTTTCCCTTCAGTCCATGAAGCTAGATGCTCCTCACTATCCCACATCTGAAGATACTAGAAGGAGAGGTTAGTACCAAATAACTGGCTCTTCTAAGGCTTCTGGTCTACAGCTACCCCAACTCGACTTCTGACCACAAATTCCTAAAAATTTCCTACTTACTCATAACTTCAAGTAAAATACCTTTTTTCCTCAAACTTACCAATACTTCCAGTCCTTTGACTCCTTCATGTTCTTCTAAGCTGTCAGTTCTGTCATAGCTTCTCTTCCTTTCATGTAAGTCTTGACCCCATGGCTAATTATCTGAACTGCACTGTCTCCAGCACTGTTAGTTTTCTCTTACCCCGATACCTTCTGAGAAATTGGTCATATGAAGTTCAACTTTAGCACAATGTAAAATTCGAGTGTTGGACACCAACTTTGGTCTAGATAATGGTGTACTAGATAATCCCGATACAGTATCAAATGGCACCTTGATAAATTCCCATTCTCTAACATCAGCTGGGACATAAGTAGCATCAACCAGTTCTTTTACATATTCTTGGTCAGCTTTCTTTCCCATTCCTCTCAATCACCATTACAGACTCACTCAGTCTCTCAAGTTCCCTACCCAGTCTAGGCAAAGAATATGCTTTAAGGAAATTGAAGCAATAACACACGATCTGGTAAGGAATTGGAATGGTGGAATGAGGAGCTCAGCAAATCCTCTGCACAAAAAGCAATGATAAAACTAGATGAATTTGTCAATACAAAGATTTCAGGACATAGAAATAGAACAAAGGCATAAAATGAATTGAGTTGTATCTATGCAAGAAAAACTACTGAACCACAGATAAAAGCTTCTTGTGACATTTTAGCCTGGGGTTGTATTATTCCTGTTCTCCATCCCCCTTCCCCACCTTTCCATTTGTGCTCAGCCATGTACTAGAAAGAGGCAAGTCACAGAAACAAGCAGCTTCTTAGACAGGAAGGGTAAGTGCTGACTTGGTATTTAGCAGGGCACAGAAAAATCCCCACACTCAGGGGCATGGTCAAAAGTAGCAGCAATTTAGGTGATGATAAGGGCCAATGTTAGTTAGCCTAAGGCATGATTTCAGTTGGGGCAAGCAACAATCAGACTAGGCAAAAATTTAACAGGAAGTTCCATGAAATGAGTCAGCCAGAGCAGGCCCTGATAAGCTTCCACCTAACCCTGATTGTCTGGAATGAAGTACGCATGTGCAAAGCTGCACACACTCTCAGGAGAGAAGAGAAGACAACTATCTGCTTGTCCCTAGATGACGGTGAGGCCTTTTGCAAGCAGAAAGGAAAAGCCAGGAAAACTTATTAAACCGTCTGAAATGTAAAAGTGTTCCCCAGCTCACACATAGATTCATGAACGAGAGCAGAAACCTTAGCTGTTCAAGGTGAGTAATCTGACTGATTATTGAAAGACTAAGCAATTCTGACATGAGAGCAACCCTTATGGAGTCAGGCATAAAAATAAAAGTAATAATAAAGAAGAAAACACCTGAGAAGAAACATCAGAGGTTACACACTGTAGAGGAAGACAGACTCCACAGAATTCATCTAAACAAGGCATTAACCAATAAACAAGCAAACACAAACAATACCTGGGAAAAAATAAATTGAGGTTTTCTCTATTATAGTATCTAGAATGCTCAGTTTTTAACAAAAACTTATGAGACTGCAAAGAAACACAAAAGTACAATCCATACACAAGAAAAAAGCAGTCAAGAGAAACTGTCTACTAGAGGACCTAGATGTTGGACTTAGCAGACAAAGATGTTAAACAGCTATTATAAATCAGTTCAAAGAACTAAAGAAAATTATATTTATAAGTTAATGGAAAGTGTGACAACAGTAACTCACTGAGTAGAGAATATCAATAAAGAGATAAAGATTGTGGAAAAAAAAAAGAAAGAGAAAATTCTGGAGTTAAAAAGTACAAAAACTGGCATCTTCAATTTCTACCCTGTGTGAAGAGCTTGGAAATCATCACTTCCATCATCATAACAAGAAGACAGCAGAAAAACTAAAAGTCAACAACTAGTCTTAGATTTATCAGAGAACTGAGGTCACAGGACAGACTGCTGCTCCAAAACCTAGAGAAAGAAGAGTTCACTGAGAATCACAGCTTACCACCAGCAGAAGCCAGAGAGGCCAGAAACTGGAAGGAACATTAAAATATGTAATTGACAAATTGCTGCATCCTGAATGTTGACTAGCATGAGAGTTAAAATTCCTGGGGGAAGCCCACAAGGTTCTCACTGGGAAAATTAGAGACAAATGTCCAAGTACTACGGAAGGGGGAGAAAGAAAGGTACCCATTTTGAAATATACCAAGAGTGTTCTGTTTTCTGAAACAAAGGCCTCCCCTGAAGCAAAAACTACAGATGTTCCTGAAGTTATAATGAGGTTATATCCCAATAGACCTATCATAAATTGAAAATATCATAATATGCCTAACCTACAAAGCTTGATAGCTTAGCCTAGCTTACCTTAAACATTCTCAGAACACTCACATTAGCCTACTGTTGGGCAAAATTATCTAAGACAAAGACTATTTTATAATAAAGTTTTTAATATCTCATGTAACTTATTGAATACAGTACTGAAAGTGAAAAATAGAATGGTTGTATGGGTACTTAATGCAGTTTCTACTGAATGCATATTGATTTCACACCATCATAAAGTAAAAAAAAATTGTAAGTCAAACCATCATAAGTTGGTATATTAGTCTGTTTTCATGCTGTTGATAAAGAGATACCTGACACCGGGTAATTTATACAGGAAAAATAGTTTAATGGACTTACAGTTCCATGTGGCTGGGGAAGCCTCACAATTATGGTGGAAGGCAAGAAAGATCAACTCACATCTTACACAGATGGCAGCAGGCAAAGAGAGCTTGTGCAGGGAAGCTCCCTTTTTAAAACCATCAGATCTTGTGGGACTCATTCACTATCATAAGAACAGGACAGGAAAGACCAACCCATGATTCCATCACCACCTATAGGGTCCCTCCAACAACATGTGGGAAGTCAAGATGAGATTTGGGTGGGGACACAGTCAAACCATATCATTCCACCACTGGCCCCTGCCAAATCTCATGTCCTCACATTTCAAAACCAATCATGCCTTCCCAACAGTCCCCCAAAGTCTTAACTCATTTCCGCATTAACTCAAAAGTTCACAACCCAAAGTCTCATCTAAGACAAGACAAGTCCCTTCTGCCTATGAGCCTGTAAAATCAAGAGCAATTTAGTTACTTCCTAGATACAGAGGCGGCACAGGCATTAAGTACAGTCATTCCAAATGGGAGAAATTGGCTAAAACCAAAGGGCTATAAGCCCCATGCAAGTTCAAAATCCAGCAAGCAATCAAATTTTAATGCTCCAAATGGTTTCCTTTGACTCCATGTCTCACATCCAGGTCACATTGATGCAAGAGGTGGGTTCCCATGGTCTTGGGCAGCTCCACCCCTGTGGCTTTACAGCCTCCCTCCTGGCTGCTTTCACAGGCTGGCATTGAGTGTCTGTGGCTTTTCCAGAAACCCAGTGCAAGCTGTTGGTGGATCTACCATTCTGGGGTCCAGAGGACAGTGGCCCTCTTCTCACAGCTCCACTAGGCAGTGTCCCAAGGAGGGACTTGTGTAGGGGCTCCAACCCCACATTTCCCTTCTGCACTGCCCTAGGAGAGGTTCTCCATGAGTGCCCCACTCCTGCAGCAAACTTTTGCCTTGACATCCAGGCATTTCCATACATCCTCTGAAATTTAGGCAGAGGCTCCCAAACCCCAATTGCTGACTTCTGTGTACCTGCAGGCTCAATACCACATGAAAGCTGCTAAGGCTTGAGGCTTGCACCCTCTGAGGCCATGGCCCAAGCTGTACCTTGGCCCCTTTTAGTCACAGCTGGAGTGGCTGGGATGCAGGACACCAAGTCCCTAGACTGCACACAGCAGGGGCCTGGTCCATAAAACCATGTTTTCCTCCTAGGCCTCCAGGCCTGTGATGGGAGCGGCTGCCGTGAAGATCTCTGACAAGCCCTGGAGACATTTTTCCCATTGTCTTGGGGATCAACATTCAGCTCCTCATTACTTATGCAAATTTCTGCAGCTGGCTTGAATTTCTCCTCAGAAAATGGGTTTTTCTTTTCTATTACATTGTCAGGCTGCAAATTTTCCAAACTTTTATGCTCTGCTCCCCCTATAAAACTGAATGCCTTTAACAGCACCCAAGTCACCTCTGGAATGATTTGCTACTTTGAATGGTATCTGCTTTCTGCCAGATACCTTAAATCATCTCTCTCAAGTTCAAAGTTCCACAAATCTCTAGGGCAGGGGCAAAATGCCACCAGTCTACTTGCTAAAACATAACAAGAGTCACCTTTGCTCCTGTTCCCAACAAGTCCCTTATTTCCGTCTGAGACCACCTCACCCTGGATTTCATCATCCATATCATTACCAACATTTTGGTCAAAGTCATTCAACAAGTCTACAAGGAGTTCCAAACTTTGCCACATTTTCGTGTCTTCTTCAGAGTCCTCCAAACTGTTCCAACCTCTACCTGTTACCCAGTTCCAAAGTCACTTCCACATTTTTGGGTATCTTTTCAGCAGCACCCCATTCTACTGGTATCAATTTACTGTATTAGTCTATTTTCACACTACTGATAAAGACATACCTGAGACTGGAAATTTACAAAAGAAAGAGGTTTAATTGGACTTACAGTTCCACATGGCTAGGGAAGCCTCACAATCATGGCAGAAAGCAAGGAGGATCAACTCATGTCTTACATGGATGGCAGCAGGCAAATAGAGAGAACATGTGCAGGGGAACTCCTCTTTTTAAAACCATCAGATCTTGTGAGACTCATTCAGTATCATGAAAACAGGACAGGAAAGACCTGCCCCCATGATTCAATCACCTCCTACCAGGTCCCTCCCACAACACATGGGAATTAAAGATGAGATTTGGGTGAGGACACAGGCAAACCATATCAGTTGGGTATTGTCTATACTCTACTAGAACCTTATCTGACCTAGGGAAGAGCGGTGAGCCAATCTCAGCCCCTTCTATCCTTCCTGTTTCACATACAGGGATTTTTAAAAAATGCTAAAAAACTATTCTAAATGTCACAGTCCAGGAACTTTGGCCCATTTTTTTTTAATGGAGATCTAATCATAGGATTATAGAAAGCTTCTTCTTTCCAGTATCTTACCATTCCAATATCTTACCACCACATCAACAGGTCTGTTGTACAATAATAGTAGATAACAAATGAGAGAACTTCAAGACACAGACTTTAAGGGGAAGTTTCTAGAGAGACTCAAAGACAAGAGAAAAGACAGTAACAAGGACATCAGAGTACACTGAAACCTTTGACACCTATAGCAATAGCAAACAATAAACACAGACTAACTTCTAGCCATATAAACATAAAACTTCACACTAAAGGCCTATGATTTCAATTCCCAATATATGATACTTCATGTCTGAATTTCAACAAAAAAATTATAAACCATACTAAAAGACAGGACATAAGTACTCTGGAGACATAAAGCCAGCATCAGAAAATAACTCAAGATATGGCAGGGATTTTTTTAAAATTATCAGGCCAAGAATTAATATAACTATAATTAATATGTGAAAGGCTCTAATGGAAAAAGTGGACAAAAAGCAAGAACACATAGATAATGTAAGCAGAGACAAAGAAAGATTCAAAAGTAAATGCTAGAAATAAAAACACTACAAGAAAAATGAAGAATGTCTTTGATAGGCTTATCAGTAGATTGAATATGGCTGATGAAAGAATTAGTGAGTTTAAAGATATGTCACTAGAAACTTCCTAAAGTGAAATGCTAACATAAAATAGTAGAAATAACAGAAGGAGAAAGAAAGGAGAAGAAGTATTTGAAGTAATAATGGTGGAGAATTTTCCAAGATTAAAGTCAGACACCAAAACAGATTCAGGAAGTTCAGAGAACACTCAGAAAGTTGAAAAAAAAAAAAAACACCTATACCTAGGAATATCATATTCAAACTAAAAATAACAAAAGACAATGAGCAAATCTTGAAAGAAGCCAAAGGAAAAAAAAATACCTTACTAATAGAGAAAAAGAGATAGGAATTACAATGGATATCTCTTCTGAAATCATGCCAGCAAAGAGAGAGTGGAGTAAAATATTTAAAGTGGTGAAAGAAAAAAAGTCGCCAAGGCCACAGAGCAAACTGGGTAAACTCAGCCATTCTCCTTCTCAGTGGAGGAGAAACAAAAGCTTTTTGAGATAAACAAAAACAGAGAATTTGTCTCCACAAATCTGCATTACAAGATATGGTAAAACTAAATTTTTCAGAAAGAAGAAAAATTACACAAATCAGAAACTCGGGTATGTATAAAGAAGAGCATTAGAGAAGGAATAAATAAATAAAATATTTTATTTTCCTTACTCTAATTGTCCTAACAGATAACATAATAATAGCAATGATTAATTGGGTGATTATACCTTATGGATTACTGAAATAAATGACAGCAATTTCGTAAGGAATAAGAGGGAGGAATTGGGCATACTTTGTTATAAGATACCAACACTGCCCATGAAGTGGTACACAGTTATTTTAAAATTGACTTGGTTTAGTTGTAAATTTATATTTTGAACTCTAGGGAAACTACTAAAAATGTATAAAGAGAATTATAATTGGTATGCTAAGAGAGGAGAGAAGACGAAATTACATAAAATGCTCAATTGAAACCACAGAAAACACAAAAAGAAGGAACGATAAACAGAACGAATGCAACAAATAGAAAAGTTACAAATATGGTAGCTAATAATCCAACTATATCAATAATTACTTCAGATGTGAGTGATCTAAATACAAAAATTAAAAGACAGAGACTGACAGAATAGATTCTTTTAAAGAAACAATTTTATATTGTTTCCAAGGAAGACTTCAAATATAAAGACATATAGATTAAAAATAAAGAGATAAAGGAAAATAAACCTTAGTAACACTGATCAAACAAAACTTTTTATTGCTTCATAGAAAGCAGACTTCAAAACAAAGAAAATTGTCAGTGGTAAATATGAGAGTTACATAATGATATCAGGGTCAATTCTCCAAGAAGACATGATGATCTTTAATGTGTATATGCCTAAGAACACACCATCAAAATACATGAGGCAAAATCAGATAGAACTGGAAGGAAAAAGAGATCAGTCTGTCATTATAATTCAGACTTCAACACATCTCAATCAGTAATTGACAAAACCACCAGGCAGAAAATCAGTAAAAATGTAGTTGAACCAAAGAGCACTATCAATCAACTTGATTTAATTGATGTTTATAGAACACTTCACACAATAACAGCAAAATACACATTTCTTCCAAGTTCACATAAAACATTCATTGAGATAGACCATGTTCCAGGTAATAAAACACACCTTTAAATTTTTTAAAAAAGAGAAATTACACAAAATATGCTCTCAAACTAAATGGAGTTAAACTAGAAATCAATAGAAATATAGTTGGAAAATGCCAAAATATTTAGAACTAAACAATCACTTTTAAACACATAGGTCAAAGAAAAAGTCTCAACGGAAATTTAAAAATACTTGAACTACATGAAAATGAAATTACAGCTTATGAAAATTTGTGGGTTGCAGCAAAAGCAGTGCTTAGATGGAAATTATAGCATTGAATGAATATATTAGAGAAGAACAAAGATATAAAAATCAATAGTCCAAGCTGCCACCTTAGGAAACTATAGAAAAAGAAGCAATGTAAACCTAGAGCAAACGGAAGAAATAATTTAAAAAGCAGCACAGAATAAATTTTAAAAAATGGGAAGGCAAACGCAGCAATAATAAAAGAATTCACTCACATCCTTTACAGCAATGTCAATGGAGCTGGAGGCCATTATCCTAATAGAACTAACTCAGAAGCAGGAAACCAAATACTGCATGTTCTCATTTATCAGTGGGAGCTAAACAATGGGTACTGATGGACATAATGATGGGAACAGAACTGGAGACTCCAAAAGCAGGGAGGCTTAGAGGACAATAAGAGTTTAAAAATTACCTATTAGGTACAGTGTTCACTACTTGAGTACTGGGTACACTAAAAGCCCAATGCCCACCAATATGCAATATAACCCTGTAGCAAACATGCAAATGTACTGTCTGATTCTTAAATAAATTTATTTAAATATATAATAATACACTGAGAAAACATGGCATTTTAGTATGCATAATCTGAATTTAATGATGAGGAAACATCAGACAATCCCAAAATAAAGAGCATTTTACAAATAACTGTCCTGTACTCTTCAAAAATGTAAAGCCATGAAAGATAAGGAAAGACAGAAGCACTTTCAGATCAAAGGAAACAAAAAAAAAGAAAGAAAAACAAAACATAAGAACCAATGCAACATATGCTCCTGGGTTGACCCCTTTCCCCATAAAAGACAATATTGGAATAATTGGCAAAACAAATGATGGGATCTATTAATTAATTGGTAATGTATCGGTGTTAATTTCCTAATACTCATTGTCATACTCATTAGGTGGGAGACTGATCTTGTTAGGAACTACAGACAGAAGTATTAAGGGCTAATAGAGTGTGTCTGTAATCCTCAAATAGCTTAGGGGGGAAATAAATGTAATGTACATATAACAGATATATAACTTATAGGTGTATGTGGATATATGTATACAGAGCCAATAATGAGGCAAATGTAGTAAAAAGGTAAATCTGGCAAATCTGTATAAAGGATATATAGGAATTTGTTGTGTTGCTCCTGTAATTTGTCTGTGTACTTAAAGTTATTTCAAAATAATAAGGTTTTAAGAAACCAAAAAATAAATAATTAAAATTTAAAAAATGGGAAGACAATAGAGAAAATCATTGAAACTAAAACTCATTCGTTAAAAAGATCAATAAAATTGATACCTTTCATCAGGAGAACCAGGAAATAAAGACAAAACACAAGAATTACTAATATCAGAAATGAAAGACAGACCATCAACACTGATATCAGGGATATTAAAAGGATGATATAAGAATATTAGAACTAGATGCCCATAAATGTGATAACTTAGACCAATTCTCTGAAAGACATAACCTACTGAAACTCATAAAAATCGGTAATTTGAAGAGGCCTATATTCATTAAAGAAATTGAATCAACAGTAATCTTCCAAAAAAGATAGTATCAGGCCCAAATGGTTTTATTGTGAATTCTACCAAACATTTAATGAAGAAATGATACCAACTCTCCATGATCTCTCCCAAAACATATAAGAAGAATGAATGCTTCCTAACTCATATTATGAGGCCAGCATTACCCTAATGCCAAAACCAGATAAAGACATTATAAGAAAGGAATACTACAGAATAATATGTCTCAGATGTAAAAATTCTCCACAAAATATTAGCAAACTGAATTTAGCAATTGATAAAAGAATTGCACACCACAACCAAGTGGGATTTATTCTAGATATAAAAAGTTGGTTCAGCATTTGAAAACTGACTAATGTCTACCATATAAACTAGTTAGATTAAAAATTATATCAATAGATGCAGAAAAAGCATTTAACCAAATCTAACAACCATTTATGATTTTAAAAAATTCTCAGTAAACTGGGAATGGGGAAATTTCCTCCATTTGATAAAGAATATCTACAAAAAACCTACAGCTAACTTCATATTTAATGGCAAGAAACTTACATGCTTTCCTCCTAAGATCAGGAGAAAGGCATGGGTACCCCTTCTCACAACTGATTTTCAACATTGTAAGGGAAGTCCTAGATGATGCAATAAGACAAGAAATAAGATAAAAAGTATACAGAAAGGGAAGAAATAAAACTGTCTCTTCACAGGTGACATGACCATCTACGTGCAAATTCTGAAAAAAAAATTAACAAAATACTCCTGGAACTAATACATGATTATAGCATGGATGCAGGATATAAGGTTAATATACAAAAGTCAATTATTTCCTCACACAGATCCACAATTAACAATTGAATTTAAAATTAAAGACAAAATACCATTTACATTAGCACCAAAAACAAAATATTTAAGTATAAATTTAACAAAATACCTGCACAATCTATGTGAAAAAAATAACAAAACTCTGATGAAATAAGTCAAAGAAGACTGATATGTTTTGGCTCTATGTCCCCACCCAACTCTCACCTTGAATTGTAATAATACCCATGCGTCAAGGGTGGGACCAAGTGGAGATAATTGAATCATGGGGGTGGATTTCTCATGCTGTTCTCAAGAATTGAATTATGGGGGTGGTTTTCTCCATGCTGTTCTCAAGATAGTGAGTTCTCATGAGATCTGATCGTTTTATCAAAAGTTTCCCCTTCACTGAGTACTTCTCCTTCCTGCCACCATGTGAAGAAGGACATGTTTTCTTACTCTTCCACCATGATTGTAAGTTTCCTGAGGCCTCCCCAGCCATGTTGAACTGTGAGTCAACTAAAACTCTTTTCTTTATAAATTACCCAGTCTTGGATATGTCTTAACTAGCAGCATGAGAATGGACTAATACAAAGACCTGTGTAACTAGATAGATACTTCATTTCGCTAATAGGAAAATTCAATATTGTTTAAAATGTCAATTCTTCCCAATTTAATCTATAAATTGAATGCAATTCCAATCAAAATCCCAGAAAGTTATTTTGTGGATATCCAACAGATTCTAATTCTAATTCTAAAGCAAAGAACCAAGAATAGACAATACAATATTAAAGAAAAGTAATAAAGTCAGGGGATGGAAAAAATGTAACTTTAAGACTTACTATAAAGCTACAGTAATCAAGTCGGTGTGATATTGGCAGAAGCATAAACAAATACATCAATGAAACAGAATAGACAGCCCAGAAATAGACTCACATAAATATAATCATCAAGTGATCTTTGAGAAAAGAGCAAAGGCAATACAATGGAGAAAAGAGAACCTTTTCAATAAATGGTGCTAGAACAACTGGATATTTACATGCAAGATTCAATAAGTGGTGCTAGAAAAACTGGATATTCACATGTAGGATAAATGAATCTAGACTCAAGGTCTTATATTCTTTGCAAAAATTAACTCAAAATGGATCATAGATCTAAATGTAAAAAACAAAACTGTAAAACCCCTAGAGGATAACATAGGTGAAAATCAAGACCTTGTGTTTTATGATGACTTTTTAGATACAACACCAATAGTATTATTCATGAAAAAAAGAATGATAAACTGGACTTCATTAAAATTAAAAATTTCTGGCCTGTAAAAGACATTGTCAAAAAATAAAAACACAAGAAACAGACTGGGAGAACATACTTGCAAAAGACATATCTGATAAAGGATTGTTATCCAACTATACATGTTACTCTTAAAACCTAACAATTGGAAAACAAAGGGCTTTTGCCCTTTATTCTGCTAATATGGTGTATTTTATTTGAATATGCATTTCTCCAAAATGATATATGTCTCACAAACACATAAAATATGTTAAACCTTATTAGTCACTAGGAAAATGCAAATTAAAATCATAAGAAACTAACACTTCATACCCACAAGAAGGGCTATAACTAAAAGACAAACAATAATAGTCTTAGGAAGGCTATAAATAAACTGAACTGTAACCCTAAAATTTTCTAATGGGAATAAAAAATTCTTCAGTCCCTTTGGAATTTAGTTTGGAATTTTCACAGAAAGTTAAACCTTAACATAATGTTCTCCAGTTCCATCCATGTCATTGCAAATGACAGGATTTCATTTATTTTATGGCTGAATAATATTTCATTGTGTATATGTACCATATTTACTTTATCCATTCATTTGTTTATGGACACTTAGGTTGATTTCATATCTGGCTATTGTGGATAATACTACAATAAACATGAGAATGCAGATATCTCTTCAATATACTGAAGTCCTTTCTTTTGGATGTATACCCAGCAGCGTGTTAAGTGAAATAAGCCAGACACAGAAAGACGATGTCACACGTTCTCACTAATACTTGAGAGCTAAAAAAATTTATCTAATGGAGTTAGCGAATAGAACGATGGCTACCAGAGGCTAGGAAGGGTATTAGGAAGGAAAATAAAGAGGGTTTGGTTAATGGGTACAAAAATGCAGATAGTAGGAATAAGATCTACTGGTCAGTAGCAAAATAGGGCAATTATCATTAACAATAGTTTATGGTATAATTCAAAATAGCTAGAGGAGTGGATTTACAGTGTTCCCAACACAAAGAAATGATCTGCATTTGAGGTGATGGACATCCCAATTATCCTGATGTGATCATTACACATTATATGCTTATGTCAAAATATCACATGTATCCTATAAATATGTACAACTATTGTACACTCATAAAAATTAAAAATAAGAAAAAATTTAAAACAATAAGTTAAACCTAAATGTACTGTATTATTCAAAATTCTGCCAAAGTATCAACCCATGAAAAATGGAAATACATGTCTACGTAAAGGTTTGTATTGAAATGTTTATAGAGATATTATTTGGAACAGCCTAAAATTGGAAATGTTCTTAATATCCCAAGAACAGGAAATGTCTACCTACAATGTGATACATCCATACAATGGCGTACTACTCAGCAATAAAACTGAACAAAGTACTCCTACGTGCTATAACACAAATAACTTCAAAAATATTATGCAGAGTGAAAGAATCCGGTCACAAAAGACTACATGTGTTACATCCAGAGAAAGCTAAATCTAAAGCAAATTAGTGGTCACTTGGGGCCAGGGGTAGGAATACGAATTGACTGTAGATGGACATAAGAGACAGTGTTGGGGTGATGAAAATATTTTAAAGCTGTATTCTGGTAATGTTTGTACAACTCTATGAACTTATTAAAAGTTATTTACTTGTAGTGTGTAAATTATATTTCAATAAAACCCTTCAAGAATAAAATGCAAATAAGAACTGGCTGAACACTGAACTGAACTGTAACCCTCAAAAATTTATAATGGGAATAAAAAATTGTTCCATATTTTTTCCACACACAAATTGTATCCATATTTTTTCAATTCTTGCTTTCCTTCCTCCAGAAGGCATGTTCTGCCTCATTTATTATTATCTCCCCGCCTGTACCCACGACATATCTCCTTCAAGCCCGTTCAATATTTCCCACTAACAATTCATTTCCTACTTCTCCTATATTTTAATCTTCTCTCTATTAGCTCCTTTTCCATGAATGTATATTAAGCTCATTTCTCCCATAATTAAACAAATAATAAACTTCCATTTTTCCTGAATGTGTCTCTAGTCTGCCTCCTTTCCATCTTCTAAAAATATGTTTAAAGACAGGTAGTTTTCAGTTGCTGCCTCTATCTCTCCATGCTCCTGTTGTCCATTTCTTCAACTCACTGAAATCTGGCTTCGTTTTCTATACTCAGTTACTCAAGTGAACTCAAAAAGGTCACTGATTACCTCATACTTCCTAATATAATGCATATGTATTAATCCAATCTTGTTGGACTTTTCTTAGGCACTTGACCTTATTTATCATTGCCTAATTAAATTTATCTATTATCTTTAGATTCTAGATAACATTTATCTTTTTTGAGCCTAACCATTCACTGTTTATTATATTCTTTTATATTTACTTTCCTTTAGAGTTCTATCCTCAGTCACTTTCATACTAATTATATATAGTCTCCTTAGATAATTCCATGAGCTCGTTTCTAACAATCATCTTACACTAGATTGATTGCATTAGTAGTTCACACGCTATGTTCACACCCTTTGTCATGTAACCTTGTAAAATGCTACCACTCCGACTCTGCACCTAGCTGTGCGACCTGCTTTACCCAATGGAATGTTAGCCAATATAATGAGTGCAGAAGCTTAAAAGCATTCATATGAATGGGCTGGGAAGCTCTAGCCCCTCACCCATTGCTCTGAGAATAAGCAGAGCAGCTACTAGTAAAAGGAGAGCACGTGGAAAGACTTCCTAGTTGTCTCAGCCAAAAGCATTCTAAATGGGCTCTCAGACAGAGAATCCCAGACAGAGAATGAGGCCAGCCCAGACAAGTCTCACAGATACAAATTCAACAAATGTTCATTATTGTATGCCACTGAAGTTTTTTTGTTACATAGCATTATAATAGCTATGGATAACTGATACACACCCTCTATGGTAGAAACGAGAAAATCTGCGTTTCCCCATGATGACTCTCTGAGCTTCACACCGGGGAATAGCTCGAGCTGAATGTCTCACAAGCATCTCAAATTAACATAAATATAACTGAGCTCATGATCTTTCCCATCTAATGAGACTGATTCTTCCTTAAATTATCTATCTCCACTTTCAGTACCACTATCCAATCCAGCCAACCAAGCTAGATCCAGGAGTCATCCGTGCTTGTTCACTCTCCCTTATCCTTTATCTCTAATTCTCTAATGATACAATATATGCTCCAGGGAATTGCAAGCAGCTAGCAGTCATAGGGAAAGGAATGTGTGTGCATGTTTGTGTGTCTATGTGTGTGTTCTGCTTTGGTTAACAAAATCTTCATTAGAATTGATACTGAGATTGACTGAAGTTTGCCTTTACCAAAAGGTCATTGTCTCTAAAAGCTTGAAAGTATTTCGTACGTTTCCCCTACTTGTTTAGATGGGGGTTAATTTGTAGTTAAAAATTGCAAAGGGATATAATTTTTGTGAAAATTCCTCCCAAATGTTAGATATGGAGTTAAAATAAATGATTGATTTTCTTAGCACCAATACTGTTTCTATGATTTTAATAGAAGAAAAATATCTCATTTCATAAAGCTATGTTTCCAATGACTGAAGTTTTGGGGAAATTTTTTGGTGGTTGTAAAAAATCTTCTTTTAACCTTTGGATATGCTTGGAAAAAATTAATTTAGGAAAAGATTAATGAAATGGCTACCAAGGTTGCATATAGGCTGAAGGTGACAATGACAAAATAATGTCTTTTTCAAGCAATATAAAATGTGTATAGGAAAGCAATAAGGCAGGGTAAAATGAATTAAAATGTGCTATACCCCCATTTAAAAATGTTCAGAAAATAACAGCAGGAGAATTTAAGCCTTTTCATGGAATCTAACAGAAAGTGTCCAGAGTCCAGAGATGATGGAAGACAAGTCAGAGGAAAAGCTATGTGAGTCTGAAAAGGAAAACTTTCCAAATTCTTCTGAAAAGAAAGTTAAATGACAATTAAGAAAAAGGCAAAATTTTTTCATTTAAAACTTTGAGACAAATGTAGAGATAGCATAAAAAACTATTAGGAGATGCCCTTCAGCACAGTCTTAATAAGCCAAATGACTTGGTCGAATACATTGTGTTTTATTAGAGTTCTGGTTGTTTTTTATAAAACTATCCAGGCAATACTTTTGTATATAAAAATATTGCCTTAAAAGAAAGTTATGAGTTAAGGAGGCAGCACAGCATAAGAATCGAATTTGAACAGACCTGGCTTTGAAACCTGTTTTCACCAGGTCCTATTTGTTTGGCTTTGACAAGTGTCTTAATCTTCCTAAGCTTTTGTTCTCTACTTTCAAAATAAATTTTAAAACATCAACTTTCAGTGTTGTTGTGAGTATAAAAGCAGATAATACCGGTGAGCTTATAAAAAAGGTGAGCTTATAAAAAAGCAGCTAAGTCACTATACCTCTTGGTAAAATCCAGCAGACTATATGTAAAGCACTTATCACAGTGCCTAGCACATAACAAGTGGTTAATAAATGCTAACTGCTATTACTATTTTTACTTGTGTTAATATAATTATTACTCAAACTCCCAAAAAATATAGTACTTGTAATCTGTAGTGGACATCTTTTATCTGTGGTCACCCAGTATCATCTGAACTTCCACTACAAACTGTGATAGTTCCCACATTGCAAACCCTGCCTTCTTTATTTTGGTGTCCAAAACATTACATTTCCCAAGACTCCTTGCAGTTATGGTACAGATGTGTGGCCAACCCATGTGAAATCAAGGAACTCATGTGAGACCAAGATTCAGAAGTGAGCTGTGAGAGGGAACAAGCTAATGGCAAGACATACATTTTGATGGTACAAAACATTTTGAAATCAGCAGAAAGATCCAAGTATTCTGCCATTGACAGTAACAGTAGGATACTTTCCAGTTCATGGAAAACACATCGTGTTTCTAGGTAGGACAGAGGTAGCAATCCCCTGTCTCAGTGGTGTTGTTCTGGAAGCGGTTCCTGGAAGCTCACCTAATAATTTTAGAGAGCTGGAGAAATAGACTACTGGCTACTGGATAACTCTTAACATTTTTGGTTACACTCATTAGAATGGATTCTGTTCTCTGGAACTAAGAATCCTGACCAATAGGAGTACCAACTTGGAAGTAAGCTCACAAAAGATTCCATCTTGTAAAAGATTCCATCTTGTTTGGCATCTATGAGTAGCAGTAAGGAAGGTTCAGTAGGTGACTATTTGCTATTCTAGGAAAGAATACATCTTCAGGGAATATAAAGAATCCAGATTCACAGGTATTGCTATGGTTTGGCTGTGTCCCCACCTAACATCTCATCTTGAATTGTAATCCCCACAGTCCCCATGTGTAAAGGGCGGGAACAGGTGGAGGTAATTGGATCGTGGGAGTGGTTTACCTCATGCTGTTCTCAGATGGTGAGTGAGTCTCACCAAATCTGATGATTTTATAAGTGCCTGGCATTTCCCCTGTCCTGCATTCACTCTGACCTGTCGCCCTGTGAAGAAGGTGCCTGCTTCTCCTTTGCCTTTCACCATGATTGTAAGTTTCCTGAGGCCTTCCCAGCAATGCAGAACTGTGAGTCAATTAAACCTAATTCTTTTATAAATTACCCCATCTTAGGTATTTCTTCATAGCAGTGTGAGAACAGACTAATACACATATGATACAAAAGAAACGCTTTGGTGTTACAGTGCATGGAAATATATGAATAAAGACAAAGGACAAAATGCCAGTCACTTGGAAGATCTCCTACTCCAGCCTCTGCTTTAACACTTGAGTCTTACAACCAGTGTTTTGAGGAAATACCGAAAATGCCCTTTTACAAATTTTATTTGAGACACTGGGGACAAGAATCAGCACAGGTTTAAGGTCTGCATGACAGAGTTCAGCACTACTGGAAAATGAGGTAGTCTCTCTCACTTGGAGATTTCTCTGAAAAATGAAACAGCTAGAGCAGATTTAAGGGCAAGTCAGATAGGTTCCTCCTGGACCAGTAAAGGAAGATAAGAGGATATGGCATTGACAGTTGAGCACCATCAGAAGATGGCGCTGTCAAGTTTCCACTGTAGCTTTACCCCACTTTTGAGTGGCTTGCAGGCATCTGAGTGCTTACTAAAAATTATGTTTCCCAGGAAACCCAAACATGATTGAAAAATCGATGCCTCATTGTAACCAACAGAATTAGTCATAAGCACATATGTTTGGGAAACAGTTCTGAGTGTGGGACAAGGAAACAACATGTGGAGGTGCTTAAATCTTGTTAGAATACCGTTTTCCTCCATTACTGTGGCTCAGTTTCATGCTTTGATTGGTAGGTTATGAGGGAACATAGGTTGTATTGTGTGCGTTTGTTTTAATGAAGCTCTTTTGAGAGAAAGATCATATGACTCTCAGAAACAGCAGGTCATAAATATATTCAAGGGCATGGTTTGGTAGAGGATATTGTCTCTTTCTCCTGTCACTCTGGGTTCTAGGCTGGGAGGTTCAGAGGTTTCATGTGGAACCGAATCAATAGATCATATAGTCTGCTGGATTTTACCATGAGGTATAGTGACTTAACTACTTTTTATAAGCTCGTCTTTATCCATCCCAGTGGAAGCCTTCAGCTGGGCCCATTTGCCTATAGATGACAACACGGAAGACTGTTATGGGACAGAGTTTAAACCAACTCACTGCTGAAGTACTTGCCCTGACCACACGATCCATCTTTGGCTTAGTCTCTAATCCCTTTTCTATTCAATACTGGCCATGGTAGCTGTATTAATTTTCAACCCATGTAGCATGAATGATAGAGACTTATCTGTGAAAGAATAGATTAGCAACACAAAGCATTAAGGATATGGCAGTATTTGAAACTGCATGGTCTTCTGCATAGTCTGCCAAGTACAAGCTTCATCCAGAAGAACTTAAAATTCTGGTGCAGCCATCTACTCTGGTCTAAAAACTACTTTTTTGGCATTTTGGCAATGACCTTAGTAGAAATCTAGCGGTCTTCACACCCATTGGTATAAACATAGACTGTTATATATCATTTCTTTTAAGAAATACATCAGTGAACTGTAATAGTTTGAACTAGAACCTTCCAATATCCACAGAACATTAATTCTATATATATTATTCTCAGAAAGGGCTCTATATTCAACTAACCCCCAACATGAGATGCTGAAGTCTGAAGGGACTGACCCTCTGCTAAAAAAGAAGACATAACCTCATGTGGCCTGATGAGAAGTCATCTTATACTTCAGTAATCAGGCCACATGAGATTATGTCTTCTTTTTTAGACATAAGGCCTAGATGGTAATATAAGAAAACATTATACTGGGGCAGCAGGCAGAAAAGGGGCATTAAGCTTCTTGTGGAAACATAAAATTCTAAAAACTACAGCACACTATACCGACCCCTGCAGAGAAACTTTTGAATTTTGGCTGTAACATACCACTGGGATGCTGAATGTATTTCTACTAGCTAAGAGAAAAAAGAACAGAAAGCCAATAAAAAACGTATTGCCTATCATCTGTGCATTCTGGATAGATAATTCTCCATAACTTTGATGGCATACTTATGGATGCTTAAACAGATGGTGACATGAGTCAATTTCCTTTAGACTCATCAAAAGTAAAGGAATATAATCATTGCTTATTTATTAGGACAATTCTAGTTGTTATAATGCAAAAAGCGTGATAAATAAAACACAACAATTGTTAATTTTTTGCTTAAAGTAAGTTCCAAAATGGGAAAGATTGTGAGAGGGAAAAGCCTCTGTCTGGTTTCTGAGATATGGCCTGTAACCCTAGTAAGAATATTCAATTCCCAGCCCCTGTAGCCGTCTCATCATACTGACTTTGTCCTGCAAAGGGGTTGCATCCTTAGAAAATTCCTATCAGGGCATGAAGTGGAAAGTCCCACCATTGTGCTATTTTTATTTTCAGTAGGGCCACAATATTCTGACATATTATAATGTATCTTCCTGGTAATCCAGAAAAGCACTCAATCTCAAAAGGGAACAAAAGTCACCCTGGACCAGAGATGATAATCACAATATTTAAAAATTGGCCCAACATGAGCTCTGAGCACAATTCAGATGTCACACAATTAAAAATGAGGCTAATCACAATCCTGCACCCATTTATATAAACTGACAGTAACCCTGCTCTCTTTTCACACTGGGGGATGATGAAGAAAGCCTCCAGGTACCTGGGAGCTCAGATTACAGAAGTGTGTCTGGAATCTGAGGATAGGTTTCTGATGTAAGGTAGAAAACCAGTCATATCAACCAGTCTCAACTGTATTCATTGTTCAGTTCCTTTAAGCCAAAAGCCTCTACCCGCCCCTAGTTCCTGAGGGAAATTTGAATAGGAACATGGCTGAATCTGGGAGCTTCCTGTTCAGGGAATATGTATCTGTTCCTGCAAGAACCTCTGCAGAGTTCAGAATTTTGGTAGGGAAGGAATGAGAGCTTATTCTATGTAGCAGAAGTTCATAAATACTGTTGGGGTCAGAATTGATGTACCTCGCACCTGGCATCAAGGAAAATAGACTCCTACACAGGCCCACCTTGTTTAGCAGATGGAAATCAGGACCACGGAGAGCCATGCCCAAGAAAATAATATAATTGTTTCAGTAAAAATTTTCTGTTCCTTTCCTATTCCCCATCTTATCTCTATCTTCTCTGAGATAAGAAAGAGTGGTGAGAGAGTGTGTCAGGAGTCATGCTTCAAGCCCAAGTTGTGCTGTCCTGGAGTAAACAAGATCAGCGCTCCCCCTGTATCTCCTAGGATCTCTATTATATCATTTTCATGCACGCTCACCCCCAGCTTTGGGATGCTTTCAACAGGAAGGGCCTTTGGAGGAGGAAGACTGCCCTCAGATCACTAGAGCCACTTTGCCTCCAGACACAGAGAGTTGGAAGTGCTTGGGATTTTATGTTTACATGGATCAGCCATTAGTCAATGACTAACATGTATGAGTGCCCAGCTCCCTTGCCTTGGTTTTTGACAACTCCGAGGTGTATCCTATACCCAGCATTCCACCAAAGGATCTAGGTGAAGCTAACCTCCATGGAATTTTGCCTGAGACCTCACTCTTCTTTAGCTTCTTCCTCTGTCCCAGGCCCCCATCCTTTTCTAGGTTATCTTGAACACTTCTGTAATGAATCAATTGCACACAAACGTCATCCCAGGATCTGTTTCTAGGGAACCTAACCTAACATGCTGGGATGCAAAAGGCAACTTTGGCCATAAGGGACGTATCTAATACTCATAAATTCAACAAAAGGTATCTAATACTCGTAGGTTCAAGACTGAGAAATTCATGGCATTTTTGAGAAGTCACTAGTTAGGTCTTCTTTGTTCCTTGGAAACAATGAAAACTAATTAGAATTTTTTATAAGAAGAAAAATGATACATATATTTTAAAGTCACAAGAATCATACTCTTTTGGCCTGGATTCTTGTATTCTTTCACTTCCCCTAAATTATCCAGCAAATAAGAAACCTTCCACTTGAAGATAAAACCAAGATAAATGTGTCTCCTTCAGTTTCTAATGAATAGAACTGAGAAACTGCACAAGATAAATATAAGCTCCAATGAGGCCTTTAAGCAAGGGCACTTAATTAGCTGGGTTAATAGAGGGAAGAAAGGCCATAGATAATCCAAATCAATATGTTATTCAAAAATAATTTATAATTGCTTTATTTAAACAAGTTTATTTTTCTATTTGTCTTGCTTTATGCAAATATCCAGGTAAACTTTCCTTCCCTAAGCACGTATTAGCTAGGGCCAAGAAAATGGCCAGAAACCACAATAAATAGTGAAGGTCTCAGGATATACTTTGCCATTGTGAGTGCATGAAGCAGATTTGCCTCATGTAGATTATCGAGAATTGAATGTAAGTAAACACCATAAACGACAACATTTCTCATTAGATTCAACGTTGGTTAGAATTATTTCACTCAAAACTCCAGGAACAGAGAAATGACTTAATGACGGAATACCTAATAATTTTCTTTCCTATAAGGAACTGCTAAGAACAGAAGCAGTAATTTCCAGAGAGGAGCTTTATTTTTACTCTTTAAAAAATGTTTTAATGGACAGTACTAAGTTACAAATAAAAAGTCTGAGTTATATATTGCATGGGTGTTAAAATTGTTAGCAATTTTTAAAATGTTAATGTGTGGACTAGTTACTTTATTTATTTAGATGGCATTTTCCTACGATAGAGTACTGAAATTGAAAGCAGATTCTCAATAGTGGATATTGTTAAAGACTGTCATTTTTAAACTCAATTATGAGAAAAGAAAACTGTTTCAGAAACTAATTGATTTGGGATATTTAATTACTAATAAAAGAACCTTTGGATGAATGTAGGCTACCAAAAGGACAGAGTTGACTGAGTCATATTAATTTTGACAAATTTATACAATCAACATCTTGCAGTGTTCCACAGTTAGAAAACAAACTTGAGACAAACTTGAAAAGCTGAAAAATAAACTTCAGAAAAAAAGATGCAATGAGAGATTTTGAGTGAGAATTATTAATAAATCACTATTACAAAAATAAAAAGCATCTGTGTTTTTAGCTTATAAACTTTAACTGGTTAGGGCATGCCAGTGAATATTAAAGAAGAGAATGCACTTGTATTTATTAAGTGGGGTATCATTTCACAATGCTCACCTCTTTGGGGAAAGTCTAATACCATTGACCATGGCACAAAGAAAACATCCTTGAGGAAGGTGGGATCATATAAAAGGATACATAGAATCACCTGTAGAGATTTTTAATTTATCTTCCCCTACTCCAGGATTCCAGGATTCTGAATCAGCCCGTCATCTCAGAGTGAGAATCATGTTCTAGAGGCCCCAGTATTACTGAGAGGGGGGTGCTATATTTGACATATTCGATGGGCAAAAGATTGAGAAACAAAGAAAGAAGCACACAGGTTAAAATTGCTAGCCCTTGAGATTGGGATTATACAGGAAGGTATTCAATGTGAGTCAAGCCTTGAGCACCTACAATGTTCTAGGCATTCTTCAAGGTGCTGGGATCCAAGTGCTGAACAAGAGGGAAAAGATCCCTGCTCTCCTGAAAGTTGTACAGTACTTTGTTAAAATTAAATTTTTATCAAATTCACATACTACTTATATATGCCAGGTACTGATCTATAAAAGTAATACTTTAATCCTTATAACAACTTTATTAGGTAGATATTCTAAATGTTCCCATTCTACAGATGAGGGACCTGAATCAAAGCTAGTAAGTGTCAGAGGCAGGATCAAAACAGAAGCCACAAATTGGGATAGGGAGGAGCCAAGATGGCCGAATAGGAACAGCTCCAGTCTACAGCTCCCAGCGTGAGCGACACAGAAGATGGGTGATTTCCGCATTTCCATCTGAGGTACCAGGTTCATCTCACTAGGGAGTGCCAGACAGTGGGCGCAGGCCAGTGGGTGCGCGCACCGTGCATGAGCCGAAGCAGGGCGAGGCATTGCCTCACCTGGGAAGCGCAAGGGGTCAGGGAGTTCCCTTTCCGAGTCAAAGAAAGGGGTGACGGACGCACCTGGAAAATCGGATCACTCCCACCCGAATATTGAGCTTTTCAGACCGGCTTAAAAAACGGCGCACCACGAGACTATATCCCACACCTGGCTCGGAGGGTCCTACGCCCACGGAATCTCGCTGATTGCTAGCACAGCAGTCTGAGATCAAACTGCAAGGCGGCAGCGAGGCTGGGGGAGGGGCACCCGCCATTGCCCAGGCTTGCTTAGGTAAACAAAGCAGCCGGGAAGCTCCAACTGGGTGGAGCCCACCACAGCTCAAGGAGGCCTGCCTGCCTCTGTAGGCTCCACCTCTGGGGGCAGGGCACAGACAAACAAAAAGACAGCAGTAACCTCTGCAGACTTAAATGTCCCTGTCTGACAGCTTTGAAGAGAGCAGTGGTTCTCCCAGCACGCAGCTGGAGATCTGAGAACGGGCAGACTGCCTCCTCAAGTGGGTCCCCGACCCCTGACCCCCGAGCAGCCTAACTGGGAGGCACCCCCCAGCAGGGGCACACTGACACCTCACACGGGAGGGTATTCCAACAGACCTGCAGCTGAGGCTCCTGTCTGTTAGAAGGAAAACTAACAAACAGAAAGGACATCCACACTGAAAACCCATCTGTACATCACCAGCATCAAAGACCAAAAGTAGATAAAACCACAAAGATGGGGAAAAAAACAGAACAGAAAAACTGGAAACTCTAAAACGCAGAGCGTCCCTCCTCCTCCAAAGGAACGCAGTTCCTCACCAGCAACGGAACAAAGCTGGATGGAGAATGACTTTGACGAGCTGAGAGAAGAAGGCTTCAGACGATCAAATTACTCTGAGCTACGGGAGGACATTCAAACCAAAGGCAAAGAAGTTGAAAACTTTGAAAAAAATTTAGAAGAATGTATAACTAGAATAACCAATACAGAGAAGTGCTTAAAGGAGCTGATGGAGCTGAAAACCAAGGCTCGAGAACTACGTGAAGAATGCAGAAGTCTCAGGGGCCGATGCGATCAACTGGAAGAAAGGGTATGAGCAATGAAAGATGAAATGAATGAAATGAAGCGAGAAGGGAAGTTTAGAGAAAAAAGAATAAAAAGAAATGAGCAAAGCCTCCAAGAAATATGGGACTATGTGAAAAGACCAAATCTACGTCTGATTGGTGTACCTGAAAGTGATGGGGAGAATGGAACCAAGTTGGAAAACACTCTGCAGGATATTATCCAGGAGAACTTCCCCAATCTAGCAAGGCAGGCCAACATTCAGATTCAGGAAATACAAAAAACGCCACAAAGATACTCCTCGAGAAGAGCAACTCCAAGACACATAATTGTCATATTCACCAAAGTTCAAATGAAGGAAAAAATGTTAAGGGCAGCCAGAGAGAAAGGTCGGGTTACCCTCAAAGGGAAGCCCATCAGACTAACAGCGGATCTCTCAGCAGAAACCCTACAAGCCAGAAGAGAGTGGGGGCCAATATTCAACATTCTTAAAGAAAAGAATTTTCAACCCAGAATTTCATATCCAGCCAAACTAAGCTTCATAAGTGAAGGAGAAATAAAATACTTTACAGACAAGCAAATGCTGAGAGATTTTGTCACCACCAGGCCTGCCCTAAAAGAGCTCCTGAAGGAAGCACTAAACATGGAAAGGAACAACCGGTACCAGCCGCTGCAAAATCATGCCAAAATGTAAAGACCATCGAGACTAGGAAGAGACTGCATCAACTAACGAGCAAAATCACCAGCTAACATCATAATGACAGGATCAAATTCACACATAACAATATTAACTTTAAATGTAAATGGACTAAATTCTCCAATTAAAAGACACAGACTGGCAAATTGGATAAAGAGTCAAGACCCATCAGTGTGCTGTATTCAGGAAACCCATCTCACGTGCAGAGACACACATAGGCTCAAAATAAAAGGATGGAGGAAGATCGACCAAGCAAATGGAAAACAAAAAAAGGCAGGGGTTGCAATCCTAGTCTCTGATAAAACAGACTTCAAACCAACAAAGATCAAAAGAGACAAAGAAGGCCATTACATAATGGTAAAGGGATCAATTCAACAAGAAGAGCTAACTATCCTAAATATATATGCACCCAATACAGGAGCACCCAGATTCATAAAGCAAGTCCTGAGTGACCTACAAAGAGACTTAGACTCCCACACATTAATAATGGGAGACTTTAACACCTCACTGTCAACATTAGACAGATCAACGAGACAGAAAGTCAACAAGGATACCCAGGAATTGAACTCAGCTCTGCACCAAGCGGACCTAATAGACATCTACAGAACTCTCCACCCCAAATCAACAGAATATACATTTTTTTCAGCACCACACCACACCTATTCCAAAATTGACCACATAGTTGGAAGTAAAGATCTCCTCAGCAAATGTAAAAGAACAGAAATTATAACAAACTATCTCTCAGACCACAGTGCAATCAAACTAGAACTCAGGATTAAGAATCTCACTCAAAGCCGCTCAACTACATGGAAACTGAACAACCTGCTCCTGAATGACTACTGGGTACATAACGAAATGAAGGCAGAAATAAAGATGTTCTTTGAAACCAACGAGAACAAAGACACAACATACCAGAATCTCTGGGATGCATTCAAAGCAGTGTGTAGAGGGAAATTTATAGCACTAAATGCCCACAAGAGAAAGCAGGAAAGATCCAAAATTGACACCCTAACATCACAATTAAAAGAACTAGAAAAGCAAGAGCAAACACATTCAAAAGCTAGCAGAAGGCAAGAAATAACTAAAATCAGAGCAGAACTGAAGGAAATAGAGACACAACAAACCCTTCAAAAAATCAATGAATCCAGGAGCTGGTTTTTTGAAAGGATCAACAAAATTGATAGACCACTAGCAAGACTAATAAAGAAAAAAAGAGAGAAGAATCAAATAGACACAATAAAAAATGATAAAGGGGATATCACCACCGATCCCACAGAAATACAAACTACCATCAGAGAATACTACAAACACCTCTACGCAAATAAACTAGAAAATCTAGAAGAAATGGATACATTCCTCGACACATACACTCTCCCAAGACTAAACCAGGAAGAAGTTGAATCTCTGAATAGATCAATAACAGGAGCTGAAATTCTGGCAATAATCAATAGTTTACCAACCAAAAAGAGTCCAGGACCAGATGGATTCACAGCCGAATTCTACCAGAGGTACAAGGAAGAACTGGTACCATTCCTTCTGAAACTATTCCAATCAATAGAAAAAGAGGGAATCCTCCCTAACTCATTTTATGAGGCCAGCATCATTCTGATACCAAGGCCGGGCAGAGACACAATCAAAAAAGAGAATTTTAGACCAATATCCTTGATGAACATTGATGCAAAAATCCTCAATAAAATACTGGCAAACCGAATCCAGCAGCACATCAAAAAGCTTATCCACCATGATCAAGTGGGCTTCATCCCTGGGATGCAAGGCTCCTTCAATATACGCAAATCAATAAATGTAATCCAGCATATAAACAGAGCCAAAGACAAAAACCACATGATTATCTCAATAGATGCAGAAAAAGCCTTTGACAAAATTCAACAACCCTTCATGCTAAAAACTCTAAAGAAATTAGGTATTGATGGGACGTATTTCAAAATAACAAGAGCTATCTATGACAAACCCACAGCCAACATCATACTGAATGGGCAAAAACTGGAAGCATTCCCTTTGAAAACTGGCACAAGACGGGGATGCCCTCTCTCACCACTCCTATTCAACATAGTGTTGGAAGTTCTGGCCAGGGCAATTAGGCAAGAGAAGGAAATAAAGGGTATCCAATTAGGAAAAGAGGAAGTCAAATTGTCCCTGTTTGCAGACGACATGATTGTATATCTAGAAAACCCCATTGTCTCAGCCCAAAATCCCCTTAAGCTGATAAGCAACTTCAGCAAAGTCTCAGGATACAAAATCAATGTACAAAAATCACAAGCATTCTTATACACCAACAACAGACAAACAGGGAGCCAAATCATGAGTGAACTCCCATTCACAATTGCTTCAAAGAGAATAAAATACCTAGGAATCCAACTTACAAGGGATGTGAAGGACCTCTTCAAGGAGAACTACAAACCACTGCTCAACGAAATAAAAGAGGATAAAAACAAATGGAAGAACATTTCATGCTCACGGGTAGGAAGAATCAATATCGTGAAAATGGCCATACTGCCCAAGGTAATTTACAGATTCAATGCCATTCCCATCAAGCTACCAATGACTTTCTTCACAGAACTGGAAAAAACTACTTTAAAGTTCATATGGAACCAAAAAAGAGCCCGCATTGCCAAGTCAATCCTAAGCCAAAAGAACAAAGCTGGAGGCATCACGCTACCTGACTTCAAACTATACTACAAGGCTACAGTAACCAAGACAGCTACAGTACCAAAGCAGAGATATAGACCAATGGAACAGAACAGAGCCCTCAGAAATAATGCCGCATACCTACAACTATCTGATCTTTGACAAACCTGAGAAAAACAAGCAATGGGGAAAGGATTCCCTATTTAATAAATGGTGCTGGGGAAACTGGCTAGCCATATGTAGGAAGCTGAAACTGGATCCCTTCCTTACACCTTATACAAAAATCAATTCAAGATGGATTAAAGATTTAAACGTTAGACCTAAAACCATAAAAACCCTAGAAGAAAACCTAGGCATGACCATTCAGGACATCGGCATGGGCAAGGACTTCATGTCCAAAACACCAAAAGCAATGGCAACAAAAGCCAAAATTGACAAATGGGATCTAATTAAACTAAAGAGCTTCCGCACAGCAAAAGAAACTACCATCAGAGTGAACAGGCAACCTACAAAATGGGAGAAAATTTTCGCAACCTACTCATCTGACAAAGGGCTGATATCCAGAATCTACAATGAACTCAAACAAATTTACAAGAAAAAAACAAACAACCCCATCAAAAAGTGGGCGGACATGAACAGACACTTCTCAAAAGAAGACATTTATGCAGCCAAAAAACACATGAAAAAATGCTCATCATCACTGGCCATCAGAGAAATGCAAATCAAAACCACAATGAGATACCATCTCACACCAGTTAGAATGGCAATCATTAAAAAGTCAGGAAACAACAGGTGCTGGAGAGGATGTGGAGAAATAGGAACACTTTTACACTGTTGGTGGGACTGTAAACTAGTTCAACCATTGTGGAAGTCAGTGTGGCGATTCCTCAGGGATCTAGAACTAGAAATACCATTTGACCCAGCCATCCCATTACTGGGTATATACCCAAAGGACTATAAATCATGCTGCTATAAAGACACATGCACACGTATGTTTATTGCGGCATTATTCACAATAGCAAAGACTTGGAACCAACCCAAATGTCCATCAATGATAGACTGGATTAAGAAAATGTGGCACATATACACCATGGAATACTATGCAGCCATAAAAATTGATGAGTTCATGTCCTTTGCAGGGACATGGATGAAATTGGAAATCATCATTCTCAGTAAACTATCGCAAGAACAAAAAACCAAACACCGCATATTCTGACTCATAGGTGGGAATTGAACAATGAGATCACATGGACAC
This sequence comes from Homo sapiens, assembly GCF_000001405.40. Classification (NCBI taxonomy): domain Eukaryota; kingdom Metazoa; phylum Chordata; class Mammalia; order Primates; family Hominidae; genus Homo; species Homo sapiens. The sequence continues at coordinate 22,807,205 of NC_000003.12, forward strand.
AGGAAGGGGAATATCACACTCTGGGGACTGTGGTGGGGTGGGGGGAGTGGGGAGGGATAGCACTGGGAGATATACCTAATGCTAGATGACGAGTTAGTGGGTGCAGCGCACCAGCATGGCAGATGTATACATATGTAACTAACCTGCACAATGTGCACATGTACCCTAAAACTTAAAGTATAATAAAAAATTAAAAAAAAAAAAAACAGAAGCCAAATTTTTCCTGATTTTTGCTTTTAACTGCTATGTTATGCTTCTACTGGAAGAAGCAGCTGACACATAAGTTAACAAGAAAATGTCCTATTTATATTAGCCACAAAGGAAAAGAACAATCTGCTCTGTCTCAGCAAGGGTTCAATCAGAGAAGCAGAATTTTCTGACCTTGGTTACAAGGCCTCTGACCATGGTTACAAGACAATATTGAAAAAGCTAGAACCTTCTTCATAGAGACAAAACACATGCACTGGCTCAGTTGCTGCTTCACACCAAGGAAGCGAGTCAGTAGATCAGCAGCAACATGTACTTGCTGCAAAATGGCTGCAATCTCCCTTCCACAGTCCAGCTCTGGAGATAGAATCTCCCTTATAGCTCTCCTTAACCAGAAATATGCTAGAAAGGGAAATCTGGGAAATATAGTTCAACCTAGCCAAGTTAATACATCACAAAGTAATTGCATATGCACTGAAAGGGAATCGTAGTGTAGGCTTTGGCAAAGACCATGGTAAACCAATTCCCTGACCTTAGATAATTTAGAATAAGCTGAGGGAAATAACCATTAAAGGAGTGATAACAAATATGATGAATGTCAAAAAAGAGGGCCATAAAGTCTGCTACGAAAACTTGCAACTAGGAGAATTAGGAGGTCAGCAGAGGAGTTGTCACTGAAGAGATGATGTTTCCATTAAAACTTGAGAATTGATTAGTAATTAGCCATTGGGAGTAGAGATTGGAGTGAGAGGTGTGAGGGCATTTTCCAGGTACAGAAGATGTGAACATTTCAAGGACAAGAAGAGAGTGGCTGGAAGCACAGTCTGAAAGGAAAATCAGACCTGTAAAGTAGGTGAGTGGCAACATTATATGAATATATGCTGCAATTTCACTTCTGTTGAAAGCAGAGTCTCAAAAAGGTATTTGTATATTATGTTCATAGCAGCCTCATTCATAATGGCCAAAAAGTGAAATCAACCCAATTACCCATCAGTGGATGAACGGGTAAGCAAAATGTGGTATATACATACAATGGAATATTAGTCTGCCTTACAAAGGAATTCTGAAACATGCTACAACTTGGATGAACCCTGAAGACATGATGCTAAGTGAAATAAGTCAGATACAAAAGGGCAAATATTGTATCATTCCCCTTATGAAGTACCTAGAGTAGGCAAATTCATAAAGATGGAAGATAGAACAGTGATTACCAAGGCATTAGAGGACAGAGATTGGGAGTTAGTGTTTAATAGGTACAGAGTTTCAGTTGGGACCAGTGAAAAAGTTCTGGAGATGTATGATGGTGTTAGTTGCACAACAATGTAAATATACTTAATGACAAAAACTGTATACTTTAAAGTGGCTAAAATGGTACATTTTATTATATACATATTTTACAATAAAAAACTTTTAAGATGTGTGTCCTTAAGGACATTTGCTTCTAAAACAAATTAAAAATCATTAGCATGTGCTAGTTTCTGTATCTTTAATGTACAGAGGGAAAAATAGTTTTCTAAGTTAACCTGTCATTCAGAACAGTTGAAATAAACACATGGAGATTTGTCATATTACAGCCAGCTAGGAAGAATAAGTTCTAGTGTTCTGTAACATTGTAGGATGACTATAGTTAATAATTTGTTGTATATTTTCAAATAGCTAGAAGAGAAGGTTTTGAATGATCAACAAACAAAAAAAAGTTCGAAGTGATAGATATGCTAATTACTCTAATTTGATCATTACGCATTGTATACCTGACTGGAAATATCATATTACACCTCATAAATATGCACAATTATGTGTCAAATATAAAATTTATAAAGAAATTACACCAGATAGAGTTAAATAAGCAAAGCCTGCACACAAGACTATTGCAAGAGAATGAACTCAACTCTGCTGAAACAAAAAGCAGGTGAACTTTCTAAGCACTGGGATGAGCTAGTGGAAGAAAACTGCAGGATGTCAGTAGGGAAGCTGGTCAATTTTACTAGACCATATGTATTTTCTAATTATTGCTTGTAGAAGTTAGGCTCCTACCCTCTCCACAGAAACTGGGAGACGGAGTGTATTTGATGAGTACATTTCAGAGGGATGGCTCCCAAGTCCTTTAGAAAGACATTCCTGAGTTATGAAACTGGCAAGAGCCTGGGAGAAGATTTACATCTCAAAGGGCGGAAAAAGAATTTTCAATTACAACTTTTCTCAAGAATGTTCTAAGAAAAGGAAAAGAAAAAATCTTAAGTTTAAATTTAATCAAGTCTGAGGAACAACAAAAAAATGATTTGTCAGTCAGGCAGCCCTCAGAACCAGAACAAGTTCTGTGAACTCTGGTCAACAATGAGACCAGGCAGCATTTATAGAAAATGTAAGTGAAGTATAGAGACAACTTACACGGTTACAGTTTAATTGGTTGATTGGTTACAGAACCTCCCCCAATTACCTAAAGGTCAACAACTGTGATTGAACCTCATATTGGTTTTGTCTGTGGGGCCTCGTGCAGGAGCTTAGGCCAAATCAATAGCCTCCTCCAAATTTTGTTTAACAATTCTCTTCTTTTGGTCAAGCTCTCATCTCTACAACCTTCTTATCCTCTCAGCTACTTGTCCTACACATTCCCTTCCTCTCACTCTGGAACTGCACTCCAGGACAAAAACTACTCTCCTTTTCCCCTAACAAGAACACATCCTTTATGTAAACTTCATTTACCAAAATTACATCCCAGCCTCCTCACATAAGGAGTTGTTTCCCTTATCATCACCATTCTCAATTGCCATATATTGATTAGAATTTCTAACTCTCAGAAACCTCAACTTCCAGTGAAAACCTAGGAAGTAAGCAATTTTGAAATGTTTCCTATCAGCATTTGGTAGGTGAGCACCATTTTATAACTTTTAGAAATGTGTTTCCTCATAACACAATTTCCACGTTTATTTACAGACCCATATTTAGTTTCTCTATGCTGTATAAAAACAAGATGCCAAAATACATATTATACATGTATACTCAGCAGTTAATGTCTTAGTATTTTAATTTACATAAAAATGACCACAAAATTTTATAAATATCTGTTACTTAATAAACACATTCTTGATAGCTTCTTGGCTACCATTATAGCATTATCTTTCCTGTACAGAAAAGCTATTCAACCAGAAACATAGACCAGTACAATCACAGGCAGTAGCCCCGCCCCATTGTCTGTGGAGGATGTTTCAAGACCCACAAAGGATGTCTGAAACCATGGGTAGTATTAAACCCTACATGTACTATGTTTTTTCCTATATATACCTATGACAAAGTTTAACTTATAGATTAGGTACCGTAAGAGATTAACAATAGTGAAATAGAACAATTACAACAATATACTGCAGTGAAAGCTATGTGAATGTGGTCTCTCAAAATATTGTACTGTATGCACTCACCTATTCTTGGACCACCGTTGACTGTAGGTAACTGAAACCATAGAAAGCAAGACTGTAGATAAGGAAGCACTATTGTATTCGTATCCTGTTTAATGTGGTAATTGAATGAAATCCCACTGTTAATGTTGAAATGGTCCTTCAGGTAGCAGAAAGGTGCCGCCTGGAGATTTGATTGTCTTCCAAGGCTTATGGGTTTGGCAAACCAAATATTAGGCACAAACTATTTTAGCAATTTTGTCACCCCACCGATTTTTTTTATAATTTGGATCATTTTGCCTATTACATGAGTTGTAGAGTTCAAAGTTCTTAACAAGGGAATCTTCAAGGACTCAGGGAGGACCAGGTAGCCATCCAGGCACTGCGTGAGTCCATGCTTAACACTGAATTTACTTTCTTTCAGATACCAATTTTTTTTCTCCAAATCAGGGGCTTTGCGTTGTTTATTACATAGATCATCATAAACATTGACTTGGATCAATCATATAGGTATCATTCTAATTGCACATCCTATCCATTCAGCACTAGCTGATTTAGCATTCCCTTTACAGTTATGGGCTTCACCCTTGGATGCATCTGGCTGAGATTGAGATTCTATCTAAAGTTGCCTCAACCCTGCCACCTCTTTGGTGTAGTTCTGGCCCTCAGTGCTGCAGCTTCCATGTGCTTCTCCAGCTTTGCCTCCAGATGCTAGGTGCATTCCCTCACCTGATCTGAATTTTCATGTTCCCCTTTTAGCTTCTCTACAATACCTTTGAGATGTTTCACTATGACCTGTGACTGCTAGGACTCCTCCTCTGCTGGCCTTCCACCTGTACTCCTCCTGTCATGTAGCCTCTGACTTCGTCAGTTCCTTGCTGAGCTCCTGCCAGAGCTTGGCCAGCTCCACATTCTGCTTGCCGCCCACATGGCTCATGGCTTGGTTCGAGGTATCCCTCAGGATGGAGTTCTGCAGCTGCCCCTGAAGAATCCAGATCTTGCCCTAAATCTGCTGCACCTCCTTCATGTGCTCCCAGTAGTTGGCCCACATGGTCACTTCTGGGCCATCAGCTGCTTTTTCACCTTGGCCTCCCAGACTGCTGTCTTGACATTTTTCACGACATCTCCTTCTAAGTTCCCTCAGTTTGCTCTTGGGGACAGACACATCTTCCCACTCCATGAACAGCAGCTTTTACTTCTCTTCCAGCTGGCATTTTAGAATTGCCACCATATTGCCTTCTGAGTGGGGAAGCAGTTCAATTTGGTCTAAAAGGAGGAGGCTTATTGGTAGACTGGCATAAAAAAATAAAAAATCTCTGTTCCTATGTCTTGTTTGTTTGCCATAAAGGCAGACATATTGGGATAAAGACTTTTTTAGTCTAGGTCTTTTGGTTGTAGGATAAAATAAGGAAATAAGGATGAAAAAGTCCCTTTGGTCTAATCCCTGCAATAGTTGTAATTGGAGGGAAATAAGTTTGTTAGCTTTTGGCAATTTTTCTTATTTTAAAGTCCTCTCAAGGTGTTCAGCTAAAGCTACCAATTCAGCTATATTTATAACTTCCTATCCACTTTATGCTTTTGTTGTTGTTGTTTGTTTTGGTTTTTTGTTTTTTTGTTTTTTTTTTTTTTTTTTTTTTGAGATAGAGTCTCACTCTATTGCCCAGGCAGTAGTGCAGTGGTGCAATTTTACAATTTCGGCTCACCACAACCTCCACCTCAAGGGTTCAAGGGTTCAAGCGTTTCTCCTGTATCAGCCTCCCAAGTAGCTGGGATTACAGGTGCCCGCAGCCACACCCAGCTAATTTTTGTATTTTTAGTAGAGACGTGGTTTCACCATGTTGACCCGGCTGGTCTTGAACTCCTGACCTCAAGTGATCCACCCTCCTTAGCCTCCCAAAGTGCTAGGATTACAGGCATGAGCCCCTGCTCCCAGCCAGTTTATGTTTCTTAATCAGACTGCTACATTTAGGACAAAGTTTGTTTATAAATAAAGCAGTTAATGCCATTTCAGTCTCTCAAGGAAATACTCCCTTGTTGTATTTTAAACACAGAATATTTTACAAATGTTGTTTCTAAATGATCTCCGTAATGTGAAACCAGCTCATCTTTCTTCTGCTTGCAAGAATATGTGTTGGTCCAATCAGTTTTCTGTGGAAAAACCTTAAGGATTGAATTTAAATGGTTTTTAGTGACGCTCCCAGCTCATTTCATGCCTTCTCACGAGGAAGAAGAAGTCTTTAATATCCTGCTCAAGTTCTTTCCATTCTACTGCTGCTATCCATTTACAAGCTTCATCAAGTCCAAATATCATGTAAATAAATTGGTAATCATCAGGGTGTCCTGATGGTAAATTCCTATGAGAATGTTAAATTCCTTTGTAAACTTTTGAGGATTTACTTCTGGATTAGCAGTCTCTTATGATGGCTCTAAGCTCAGCTTTAGACCATGGAGTAAAGTGGTTATGGCAGGTGAGCCTGGTTGTTCAAACGGTCTGACTTTATAAGGCATTTGTTGAACTTCGCCTTTTTAATTATGCTCAAGATGAAAAAAAAATAAGGTAATTGAGCAAAAATATTAGAGGAATCAGGGTATTGGGATAATGATAAGGAGAAGGAGCAGTCAGGATTAATTCAGTCAGAGTACACTCCTATTTCATCATGTCCTCTATTTGTTGCTTAAGCTTTTCATTTGCCTTCTGTAAAGAATCATTTAGAGGCAAATTTTGATTCATTTAATCTATTAGATACCTATGCATATCAATTTAAAAATGTATTCCATGTTTTTGTGGGGATTTTGATCCTTCTTTTTCTAATGTGCCCTGCAAATAATTTTATCCAACTTAAAACTTCCTCATTATGGCCACTTTAAATCTAAGTTATCTCTAGTAAGGTTAACCCATTCTTGTAAAAATGCACATGTATTGAGTCCTTTTTTTTTTTTTTTTTTTTTGAGACAGGATCTCACCCCTGTCACTCAGGATGGAGTGCAGTGAAATAAACATTGCTCGCTGCAGCCTTGACCTCCTGGGCTCAAGTGATCCTCTAGCCTCAGCCTCCCAAAGTGCTGAGATTACAGATGTAAGCCATCGTGCCCAGCCCCTGGGTTCATATTTCTTATACATGAGTTCTAGATAAATGAGTTCTAAGCTCCTTGAATTGAAATAAACCCATTACCAAGCCCACTACTTTAAAAATCCTACCTTAACTCTAATCCAGTTCTGGACCCAGTCCAGTCTCTGTCTGATTCAGTCGGACACCCAGGGTCTTCCTGGAGGACGCCATCCTGTTTCTGTTGCCACTGCTGATCCTAGTTTAGATCTAATTGCTCAAGTAAGCCCAGAAAGTTCAGAACACAAATTAGTGAAAGTTGAAACCTGAGCAAGAACTCACCCACAATCTTCAGTTGCCAAGAGAGATCAATAGACACAGTGGACCCTTGTGGGTACTTCTGTTTGCTCACCCCATGCTCTCTATGGGTTATTGGAGTTCTCCTCTGGATCCTACCAACTATGCCAATCTGTTAAAAGGAAAAACCTTAGACAGTTTAAATTTAACTGAGTTTTAAGGGGGAAAAATGATTTGCAAATCAGATAGCCCTCAGAACCAGAACAGGTTCTAAGAACTCTAGTCAACGACATGATCAGGCAGCAGTTATAGAAAACAGAAGTGAAGCACAGAGGCCACTTAAGTGGTCACAGTTTAATTGGTTAATTGGTTACAGAGCCTTCTGCAATTACCTGAAGCCCAGCTACTTAGATTGAACTTCATACTGGTCTTGTCTATGGGGCCTCATGCAGGAGCTTAGTCCAAATCAATGGTCTCTTACAAAATTTTTTTTTAACAGAGGTCAGGGGCCTAGAGTCAAGAAGAAGCCTGTCTGATGTTTAGTCAAGCAGAGGGAAACATTAAGGTCTTCTTAATCAGAGAAAACCTTAGTCAGACTAAAACATTTGTCAGAATAAAAGAAAAACAAAAAGACTGTCGCCATTTACTCTCAATAAAAAGCTATTAAGCATGTATTTCAGCAAGAATATAATTGAATCAGGAAAGAGGAATGGGAAGCAAGAAACGATGCTTAACAAAGAAACTGGCAAACATATTGGGAAGTTAAAATAAGCATTGAGTTTGAAAGAAGCTTGTAACAAAAATTAAAATTTGCAAGAACTTACAAATGAGATAGAGCCAAAATACATGACAGTGATAACATGCAAGACACTGAATCTGGTTATTAAAGTAGAAGCATTCTAAGATCTCTGGTAGGATATAGAGATATTGCTATATTTTAGAATTAGTCATGTATTTGAGGGTAACTACCAAAATACAAGAAGGAAAATAAACTCTTTCCAAATCAGTAGAGGAGATAGGGGACTAAATAAAGCTCAATCAGAAGCCTACAACCAGAATGTCAATAGAAACCAATGGGCAGACAAAAAAGTCAAAGGACTAGGAAGAGAGAAGCCTAGCAAAACAGAAAACTTGCATAGGATAACCACCCTAGTATAATTAAACACTACTGGGGAAAAAAATGTGGCCCCACACTCACTCTTTCAGCAAAGTCCCAGGTGGGAGCTTAGACTTCCACCCTCACCCAGCTGTAATGAAGCAGCTCCTCCCATACCCAGGGTGGTATCACAGAAGAACAAGTCAGGAGCCAGTACAGAAGAGCAAGTCAGGAGCCAGTACTTTCATCCTAGTCTAGGAAGTGTGAATGAGTATGCACACACACACACAGAGTCAGTTCTGGCCACGTGGAAAGCCTGGACTTCAGCCTCCCTCTCCCATTAATAAGGCCCTCCTTCCTATTTCCACAGGGGTAGCATTAGACGAGGCTGAGTGGGGAGACCATCCCTCAGCACCCCCATCTCCCTGGTGTCTGCAGCAGTAACAAGGTACCCTTCTCCTGCCAGCCAGGGTGGTATCATTGGTCACCTAGTGAAGAACTTGAACTTCCACCCCCTGCTTGATAAACAAGTTGTGGTATATCCATCTCACAGAATATTACCGAGCAATAGAAGGAACAAGCTATTTCTGCATGCAACAAGCTGTATGAATCTCAAGGCACTACGCTGGTGAGAGAAAAGCCAATCTCAATGTTATATGAAGTTATATGAATGATGTTCATAATACAATGTTATATGAATGATTTCATTCATATAACATTATCAAAATGGCAAAATTTTAGAGATGGACAGCAGATTTGTGTTGCTAGGGGTTAGAGATATTCAGGGAGACAGAGGTGAGTGTGATTTTAACTGGGCAGGAAGCACACGGGAGATCTTTTTGGTGATGGAGTAGTTCTGTATTTTGATTCTGGTGGATTATACAAATCTGAACGTGATAAAATGGCATAGACTAATACACATACATTGTAGCAATGTCAGTTTTCTGGTCTTGATGATGTTCTATAATTACCTAAGATATAAATACTGGGGAAAATGGAATAAAGGGTACATGCGACCACTCTGTACTATTTTTTGCAACTTCTTGTGAATCTATAATTATTCCAGAAAAAAATAAATGACTTCATCCAATAAAAGGCAGAAAAGTATGGATAAAAAAGCAAAGCAAAGACATTCCTAACAGAAAACATAAGCTAGGTGCCAGAAATATGTAATCACAATGAATTAAAATGAATTGATCCCCCCTATTAAAAATAAACATTCTCTTATTGAATTAAAAATAAATATTGAATTATATGCTGTTTGCAATTGATGCATCTAAAATACAAAGACACAGAAAACTTGAAATTAGAAGGATGGAATATTAATATAAGCATAATACACATAAAGACAAAAAATATCATTATGATAAAAGAAAGTCCTTGCCTAATCATTAAAAAAACTCATTAGGGATATTTAACAAGACTCATATGCATTCTAAAAACAGCTTCAAGATAATGACAAAATTGATAGAACCAGAAGAAATTGGCAAAACAATAATCATAATGAGAAATTTAGATAGCTCTCTTTGAAATTAATAGAAATTTGTAACAAAATTCTGAGAAAACAATAAATCACACAGATAAAAACAGTTATAAATATTTAGAATACTGAAACAACATAATAAACCACAGACATAGAAAGTAAAGACATGTCAACAGTGTGGCTAAAAACTTCAACTTATCTGTAAACAGGTAAACAAACATCCTAAACCAACTGAGAGGTTCCACGGCTGCCAAGCATGTAGAAAACTGGCAGGAACAGTTTCCAAACTATAAAAGTAGAAAATAGAGTAGTGGTTACTGGGATGGGGCAGTGAGAGGGTGAGGGATGGGGATTAACGTAAATGTGCATGAGGAATCATATTGGAATGATGAAAATGTTCTAAAATGGATTTAACGTGATGAGTGCACAACTTGGTAAATTTTTTTTAATCATTGAATTATACATTTGAAAAGGATAAATTATATGATATGTAAAATATGCCTTAATAAACTTATTTTAAAACAAGAGTCTTGCTCCCACCCGGCCAATGAGAAAAGCCTGAATAAACTACAAAACCATAACTTTTCTTGAACATCTCAGAGAGCCGGGGTTAGCAGGAAACCAAATAGCCAGTGGTAGAAGAAAGTAATGATAGCAACAATAAAACACAAACCTAGCTCAACTCCTTATTTTGGAAAAAAATAACTTCAAAAAGTATACATCAATTATCATACGAAATTGTGAAACCCTTAAATGATTTCTCACGAGACTAGGAATGACATTCAGCATTGTTCTGGAGATCCTAGTCAGCAAATTTAGGCAATAAAAAATTTTAATATAAAAATAATAAAGGAAGAAGCATAACTGTTATTTGCATATTATATAGTCATGTCTTTGGAACATCTAGAAAAATCTGGAGATAAAATAATAAAATTAATAAGAGAAAATTGCAAGGTGGGTGAATACAAATCTATAAACAAAAATCAATTGTATTCTTATACGTCATCAACAATTAGAAGCAAATTTTTGGCCAGGCACGGTGGCTCGTGCCTGTAATCCAGCACTTGGGGAGGCCAAGACAGGTGGATCACCTGAGGTCAGGAGTTTGAACATGGCCAAAATGGAGAAACCCTGTCTGTACTAAAAATACAAAAATTAGCCAGGTATGGTGGCAGGTGCCTGTAATCCCTGCTGTTCAGGAGGCTGAGGCATGAGAATCACTTGAACCCGGGAGGTGGAGGTTGCAGTGAGCTGAGATCATGCCAATGCACTCCATCCTGGGTGACAGAGTAAGCCTTCATCTCAAAAAAGAAAAAAAAAGGGAAGCAATTTTTAAAATGTTTTAACATACCGTTTGTATTAGTCTGTTCTCACACAGCTATAAAGAAATACCTGATACTGGGTAATTTATAAAGAAAAGAAGTTTAAAGTTAATTGGCTCACAGTTCCACAAGCTATACAGAAAGCATAATTCTAGCATCTGCTTGGCTTCTGGGGAGGCCTCAAGAAAACTTACTATCATGGCAGAAAACAAAGGGGGAGTGAGGCATCATGCATGGTAGGAGCAGGAGGAAAAAGAGAAGGCAAAAGTGCTACACACTTTTAAACAATCAGATCCTGTAGAACTCTATCATGAGAACAGCACTAGGGGGATGGTGCTAAACCACTAGCAACTGCCTCCATGATCTAGTCACTTCCCACCAGGCCCCACTTCCAGCATTGGAGGATTACATTTTGACATGAGATTTCAGTGGAGACAGATCCCAACCATATCATTCCACCCCAGCCCCTTCCAAATCTCATGTCCTTCTCACATTTCAAAATACAATCATATCTTCCCAACAGTCCCCCAGAGTCTTAACTTCTTCCGGCATGAACTCAAAAGTCCACAGTTTCAAGTCACATCTGAGACAAGGCAAGTTCCTTCCATATATGAGTGTGTAAAATAAAAAATAATTTAGTTACTTCCAAGATACAATGGCGGTATAGGCATTGGGTAAATACTCTCATTCCAAAAGGGATAAATTGGCCAAAAGAAAGGGGCTACAGGATCCATGCAAGTCCAATACCCAGCAGTGCAGTCATTCAATCTTAAAGCTCCAAAAGAATCTCCTTTGACTACATGTCTCACATCCAGGGCACACTGGTGTAAGAGGTAAGCTCCCAAGGCCTTGGGAAACTCCACCCCTGCGACTTTGCAGGGCTCAGCTCCCATAGTTGCTCTCAAGGGCTGGCATTGAGTGCCTGTGGCTTTTCAGGCACACAGTGCAAGCTGTCAGGGAATCTACCATTCTGGGATCTGTAGGACAGTGGCCCTCTTCTCACAGCTCCACTAGGCAGTGCCCCAGTTGGGGCTCCATTTCCACATTTCCCCTCTGTATTGCCCTAGTAGAGGTTATCGATGAGGGCTCCAACCCCTGCAGCAGGCTTCTGCCTGGAGATCCAGGTTTTTCCATACATCCTCTGAAATCTTGGCAGAGGCTCCCAAGCCTAAACTCTTGCACTCTGCGCACCTAGGGGCTTATTAATACCACATGGAAACCACCAAGGCTTACAGCTTGCACACTCGGAAGCAACAGCCTGAGCTGTACCTGGAGCCCTTTTAGTCACAGCTAGAGTTGGAGCAGCTGGGATGCAGGAAGCCATGTCCTAAGGCTGCACAGGGCAGTGGGGCCCAAGGCCTGGCCCATAAAACCATTCTTCCCTCCTAGGCCTCTGGGCCTGTGATGAGAGTGGCTGCTGTGAAGGTCTCTGAAATGCCTTTGAGGTCTCCCCTCTGTTTTGGCTATTAAAATTTGGCTTCTTTTTACTTATGCAAATTTCTTCAGCCTGCTTGAATTCTTCTTCAGAAAATAAGTTTTTCTTTTCTACCACATGACAGGGTGCAAATTTTCCAAACATTTATACTCTGCTTCCCTTTGAAATATAAGTTCCAGTTTCAGGTCATTTTTTTGCTTAGAAATTTCTTCTGTCAGATACTCTAAATCATCACTCTCAAAGTTCAAAGTTCCACAGATCCCTGGAACAGGGGCACAATGCAGCCAGTCTCTTTGCTAAAGCATAACAAAAGTGACGTTTGCTCCAGTTCCCAATAAGTTCCTCATCTCCCTCTGATACCTCTTTAGCTTGGACTTCATTGTCTATATCACTATCAGCATTTTTGTCACAACAATTTAACAAGTCTCTAATAAATTCTAAACATTCCCTCATCTTTCTGTCTTCTTCTGAGCCCTCCAAACGGTTCCAACCTCAGCCCATTACCCAGTTCCAGAGTTGCATCCACACTTTCAGGTATCTTTATAGCAATGTCCCACTCCTCAGTACCAATTTTCTGTATTGGTCCATTCTCACACTGCTATAAATAAATGCCTGAGACTGGGTAATTTATAAATAAAACAGGTTTAATCAATCAGCTGATGGTTCTGTAGGCTATAAAGAAAGCATAATTCTGGCATCTGTTCAGCTTCTGAGGAGGCTTCAGGAAACTTACAATTATGGCAGAAGGAAAAGGCAGAGTGAGAAGTCTCACATGGTGGGAACAGGAGGAAGGGAGCAAGAGGGAGGTGCCACACACTTACACACTTTCAAACAACCAGATTTTGTGGGAACTTTATCACAAGAGCAGCACTAGGGGGATGGTGCCAAACCATTAGAAATTGTCTCCATGATCCAATCGCCTCCCACCACGTGTCTCCTCCAGCATTGAGGAATTGCATTTTGAAATGTGATTTGGGCAGGGACACAGATCCAAATTATATCACCATTTATAATAACAAAATAGATTAAGTACCAGAGAATATATCTAACATAGATATGTAAGACCTTTTCAAAGAAAACCATAAAACTTTACTGAGAGACATTAAAGAAAAACACAGTATAAGCAAAACACATCATGCTCATGGTTTGGAAGATGCACTTCTATGAAGATTTCTATTCTCTCCAAATTGATTTACAATTCAAGAGAATCCTTATCAAATTCCAACATGTTTTTGTGAAAAATGCCGTCTCTAAAATTTATGTGGAAGTAGAAAGGGCCAGGAACAGCCAACACGGTTTTGAACAAGTCAAATGAGATGGAAGAACTTGTTCTTCAAAATATAAGGGCCTATCATAAAAAGCTACAGCAATTAATTCAATGCATACTGTACAGTGGTAGTCAATAGACCCATGGAACACAATAGCTCACTAAGAAACAGACCAATGCTTATTTGGACTCTTATAATATGGTAGGGATGGTTCTGCAGATTGTTTGGAAAAGAATCACCTTTTCAAAAAATGTGAAAAACTGAATGAAAACACTTTTAGAAGACATTATAGGAAAACATCTTCCAGTCTTTTGGATAGGGAATGATTTATTAAATAAGACTTAAAGAGTACTAATGATAAAGGAAAATATAAATTTACTTACATTAAAACAGCCACGCAAATACACCATGAAGAAAATAAAAAGTCAATAAACAGCGAGAATATTTCTAACACATATAGCTAAAGAACTTGCACTTAAAATACACAAAAAGTATAGACAACTAAATTTTAAAGTGTGCAAAACACTTGAATAGGCGTTTCACCAAAAGAGAGTATAGATACAAATAACCAATAAACATATTTAAAAAGTGCTTCACCTAATTCGTAATTAAGAAAATATCAGTTTAAGAACAATGAAATATCACTACTCACAAAATATTTAAAAAATGGGACAACCCAAGTGGTGGTAAGGATGTAAAACAAGAGAACTCACAGACTGCTGATGAGAGCATAAATTGATGCAAGCACTTTGGAAAACAGCTTGGCACTATCTAGAAAAAATGAGGATACAGATACCCTAAGGCCATACAATTCCACTTACTGCTACCTCTGTGCCAGGATGCATGTATACAAATGTACATAGAAGCCTTGCTTTTAATAACCAAAAGTGGAAAGAACAAAATTGTCCAGGAGCAATAGAATAAATTTAGAAGAACAAAATATTCATACAGGGGAAAGGTATGGGAAGCTGGTGGAGAGGTAAAAAATATAATCAGACTGGGTGATACAGTCTCAATTGGGGTGATATTGTCCTCAAGGAGACAAAAATTGGTTCCTGGAGGTGAAAAAAAAATCTATTCTTTTTATTCCTAAAGCACATATATACTATAAACATACATGCAATACACTAACCAATATAGAGTATATCTGTAGGTATTAAAATTTCATGAGGGACAAGGGGTGGGGAGAACAATGTCTAAAGAGGCTGCTTTAACGAGGTAATAACGCAAAATGGTTGAGGGACACTTGACTAGGCAATGAATGAAGCAGGGCGGGGTAAGAGTCTAGAGGTCTGGATGGTGAGAGTTAACAGATAGGACTACTTATTACGGCGGCTGATGCAAAGGAGTAAGTGAGGCAGAAAGGATGTGGCCTCATAATCATTTAGAACCAGATAGGTAATTAGTTCAAGTTATCATCCCAAGTACTTAACTGAAAGTTTTAGGATCTCCTCAGAGGGCAGTTTCTCCAGCAACTTATTGAGCTGTGTGTGATGTTCTAGGAGTGGGTCTAGCTCACAGGAGACAGAATGTAATAGGAAAATCACTAGCATGTGCTTCCATGACACACAGAAATAGTGTGGAACGATTTGGCCCAGGGAAACTCCATACTGAACTACACAATAATCACTAGGGCTGTGAGCTTGTGTTGGATCCAATAGGAAAGATTTATTTTATAAAGAATGCTAGGGGTTATCATGAATGCAGGATTGCATGCCCTAATTGGTATCCTTGAAAATGAAGAGAAATAGTGCAGCTAAAGTTGGTTAATGATATAATTATTTAGTCAAAATAATAATTATAAAATAGACAACTAGAGCAGTCATTATAGTAAAAGCCAGTGGGAAGTATAATTTAAAGAAGGGCTCAGAGTGAAAAAACGTTAAGTAAAGCTTGAAGTAAAATGAAATGGTGAGCTGTAGCACACAACACACAGTGAATAAAAGAATAGACTCACAAAATAGTCAAGCCAGAAGAACTTTTGGTGATAATGAAGTCCATAGCAGTTAAGTGACTTGGCTGAGTCATGAAGACAGCCAACGGGGGGCTGAACACTTCAGGCCTTCTTGTCCAGTGTTTCCCCCAATAAACTATGCAGCCTCTGAAGACACATTGTCATTTTGCCTTAGAATTATTAATAGAAAAATCCATTTTCCTTATTTATCTTTCAATTGTTATATTGAACTTGTGTCTTCAAATTATTCAAATGAGCTACTTTAAAATCACTTTTCAAAGAATAACTGAAAATTATACTCACATGATAAGCATACCAAGATATTGGGAGCTTTGAAACCATGCCCACAATTCTCACCAAAAAAAAACTTTTGGACTGATAGTTATTATAAAACTATTACAATAGTTGTTATAACTATCTTACTATAATAAAACTTATTATATTTCCTCAAAATTAAAAAACTCAGAAAAATAACTTGTTAAGGAGAGTTAAAATGAGTGAAGACTTCTCTCTGAATTAAAGTGTGTGATTATTCTTATGAATAATTTACATAGATTTAGGAAGAATGTATGAAGTTATTTGTTAGACAAGGAAGGAGGAGTATTAAGTGATATTAATCTTTAAAACAGAAACTAAGCAAGGATGTAGCATCTGTGAATTAGAAACCCAACCAGAGTTGATAAAATGCTTGTGCTTAAACTTTGATGAGCCTAAGAATAACCAAGTAAAGGATACAGATTTAAAATGCATTATTGAGTAGAAATGGAAACAAAAAAAATTCAAGAGTTGTTCTTGTAGTTGTCACTGGTGTTGGACAGCGTTTTGTTGATGATAGAATGTAAAATAAAAATGGTACCTAACAGCAGATGGGACACTTCTATTTATCACGGCTAGAGTCATCAATTTATTGCGCTGTATCATAGAAAAAGAAAGTATTGATCATAGCCGTCAACTCCGAAGAAAATCCTCAACATAGAATTAGAGGGTTCACTGGGAAAAACTAGGCTCCTGCTTTGAGGCAGGTGAGGTCTTGATAGTTCCTTTTGTACGTAAGATAAAGCGCCCATCAGTGGCGTCTCTAAGGTGCCACAGGTACCATGAAACATCATAACACCAAGAGAAGCCAAAGCTTCATAGTTACCTTGTTACCTGTTGACTTGCTCTGTGTAGATTATTGAACCTCATACCATTTGCTGCATTGAGAATTTTTTTGCCTACACTGAAAAAACATATTAAGAATTTACAAAATCAACAGTCATTTTTGGAGCATAACTATGCAGCTTATGTCACCTGTGAATTTGTTTTATGTGTAAAATAAAATTTAATGCCAACAAGAGACAGCATTATATGGCCACCAAAGTATCTACCATTGTCAATAGTCCTTGGATAGTATGTTAAAGTGAATCCTTGAGAAAGTCAGAATTGTTCCACTAAACATGTAAAAAAAAAAAAAGATTGTTAATAATAAAACAACTAAATGCCAAATTTTTATTGTTTCCTTCTTTAAGAAAATTCCCAAGATGAATTACCTAAAAATATTTGCAACCACTAGGATAGTAAGAAAAGACCTGTGATCACATTTCACTGTCTTTTGTGTACTCCTAGTAATGAATCAGTTTCTTTGAGTAAAATCTGCATGCAAGACCTCAACAACTGGAATGTCTGGGTCAGGGAGTGTTCAGCTTTATTAAATGTCTGATGGTCTTAGGTTTGAATACAAACCCCATTCAGGTTCTGGTTTATTATCTATAGCTCTTTTGAGTGAACATACATTTGCAGTCACCACTGTGAATGTCAGTTATCATCACTTTATTTCTTAGGCATAAAAACAATCCCAACTCTTCTTCTGGAGCCTACTTTCTAAAAACTAAATCTCTGGCCCCAGTTTATTTTCTATTCCAAAGTTAAAGTCAAATGTAAAATCTATTGCCACTGTGAGTGTTCTGGTTAGCTGAAAATTTTCTATGCTGTGTCCACTTTTATATGTTAAAATATGACTTAGAAATCCAAAGATACTACTTCTACAATAAAATTATAAATTTGATTTTCCCAAAAGTTATATATGTATACTTATTTGTCACAACAAGATTGTGAAATAAAAAAGGGTGTTACTACTACTGAAACTCACAAAGGTTAAGTCATTCTCTAATTGTCCTCTCACAATTCCCATTCAACCTATCAGTAATTCCTGCTTCCTCTACTCCCAAAATGAACCCAGAATCCAACCACTTCCATGGGCAGCCACTTCCTGAGACCTTCCATTATCTCTCACCTGGATTACCACAATAGCTGGCAAATAGTGTTCCTGTTTCAAGTCACTGCTTCAATCAGTAACAAGAGCATTTATTTTAAAATGTGCACCAGATCTCGTTACTCTTCTGCCAGAACCCTGCGGTGAATCCTATTTCACTTAGGATAAAGGCCGAATGCAGCCCTGACCATGATGACAAGGCCCCACTTGCTCTTATTTTCTGTATCTCTCATCACTCACCTCCTACTTGTCCCCCTTTGCTCACCTTGCTACAGCCACCCTCATCTGCATGCTGTTCTTCAAACACGCAAGGCATGTTCCTGATTCAGTTGCTGGAGCTGGCTTTACCTGCTGCTCTTGCCTCAAATGTTCACGTGGCATCCTTCTCCATCTACTTGGAATCGCTGTTCAGTCCTTACCTTCCTGGTGATACCTACCCTTACCATCTGTTTACAATTACAACTTTAGCCAGGCACAATTGTATGCACTTGTTCCCAGCTACTTGGGAGGCCGAGGTGGGAGGACTGCTTGAGCCCAGGACTCAGTCCAACCGCGTCAACATAGTGAGATGTCGTCCTTAAGAAACATAAACGTTTTTCATTGCAACTTCCCTAACACTCTCTTATCTTGATTCCTCTATTTTGTAAATTATGTCACTTATGATTTGTTTGCTCTCAAATCACCCCCCCGCCCATTAGAATGGAAGCTCATGAGGAAGGAATTTCTATCATGGATGTATCCTGAGTACCTAAAACAGTTCCTGAAACACATCACGCTGTCATCAAAAATCAGCTAAATAAATAAATGAAGGAAACATACATGAGAGCTCAATCACACATTTTTTTTTCTTTGTTGCTACTATTGTTTCGTTTTCCTGACTAATTGGGTTAGAACAGCACTGTTAGGCTCTGGGAACACCTTTACTTGGGATTAGTCATATAACCCAGTGGGCCAAGAAATAACAGAGAAAGTGAACAATACCCAGTTCCCTGAAGTGGTTTGTAAAAATCTAACAGGTTAGGATATTCAATATATGCAATGTGGTGCTGAATTTAGTAATGGCGCCTGGATTAAACAGCATCAGAAAAAGACTCCATCTGTCCCATAGAGTAATGTGAGGACAGAGTAGAATGGAAATTGGTGGCAGTTCTGGGGTTTCATTAAATGCGTCAGTCAGGTAGAGATAGGAAATTGCTTTGGCCCAGAGCACATTGCTCACCACATGCTAAGAAAATATGCAGAGAAACTTCGGGTCAAATGGCTCTGCCTTCTCCTAGGTTAACAGGAAAACCCAGGGTCACAGCTATGGAAAAATGGGCAGTGGTAGCCATAATAAAAGATTAGGAATTACGGACCAGTTATACCCACTGTCATTCAAAATTGACAATGCATTCCCATTTATTATAACACCTCAAACCAAAAAACAAAAGGAAAAGAAAAGAAAGAAATACTAAGATTACATTCCTATAAAAAAATTCAGGGAACCCTGTATTCTAATTATCATGAGAATGATATTCAAAGTCTCTCCAACCCCCGGCTCTTGAAAACATTTAAGCAGAATTTTCCAATATATTCCCTGATTGATTTTTTTTCCTTGAAGCTGAATAAGAAAAATGATCATTTGCCTAATGGAAAGATATGACCATCTCAAATCAGCTTTCTGATTCAAATAATGCTTATAATCAAAAGGATGTCTTTTAAGGTTTAGAAAATACTGTAAAATGGATTTTTGTGCTGGCAATACCCTATAGATATTTGCTTAAAGGGATACTGTCTCAATGGAATTGACTCTATTCTAGTGCCAACATCTTAATTTAAGCAGACACATTGTATTAGAAACCTTTACTTATAAAAGAATCAGGGGGAATAAAATTATTTAGGCATGCCACTTGGTTTCAGCAAACTACATAAAGATATACCCCAGAACTTGAGCTTGTAATAAAGTACAGCCTTGCCATTTGTGTGAAATCCTGTCTAGTCTTAAAATCTGGCAAATACAATGCATAATTAGAAAATGTGCCTGACTATTAGGAAAATGAAACTCATCGAACTAGACTTAGTCAATTTGTTTGCTCCATATTTCAAGCAAAGAAATATTTCATATTCCATCACAAAATAATGTGCCCCTCTGGGACAAAGCTTCCAGAGGAAGGAACAGGCAGCAATCTTTGCTGTTCTGCAGCCTCCGCTGGTGATACCCCGGCAAACAGGGTCTAGAGTGGACCTCCACAGCAAACTCCAGCAAACTCCTGCAAACTTGCAGCAGAAGGGCCTGACTGTTAGAAGGAAAAATAACAAACAGAAAGGAATAGCATCAACATCAACAAAAAGGACATCCACTCAGAAACCCCATTTGAAGGTCACCAACATCAAAGAACAAAGGTAGATAAATCCATGAAGATAGGGAGAAACCGGCACAAAAAGGCTGAAGATTCCCAAAACCAGAATGCCTCATCTCCTCCAAAGGATCACACCCTTACTAGCAAGGGAACAAAACTGGGTGGAGAATGAGTTTGATGAATTGAGAGAAATAGGCTTCAGAAGGTGGGTAATAACAAACTCCTCCAAGCTAACGAAGCATGTTCTAACCCAATGCAAGGAAGCTAAGAACCTTGACAAAAGGTTAGAGTAATTGCTAACTAGAATAACCAGTTTAGAGAACAATATAAATGACCTGACAGAGCTGAAAAACACAGCACGAGAACTTCGTGAAGCATACACAAGTATCAATAGGTGAATCGATCAAGGGAAGAAAGGATATCAGAGATCGAAGATCAACTTAATGAAATAAAGCATGGAGAAAAAATTACAGAAAAAAGAATGAAAAGAAATGAACAAAGCCTCCAGGAAATATGGGACTATGTAAAAAGACCAAAGCTAATTCTGATTGGTGTACCTGAAAGTGACGGGGAGAATGGAAGCAAGTTGGAAAACACTCTTCAGGATATTATCTAGGAGAACTTCCCCAATCTAGCAAGACAGGTCAACATTCAAATTCAGGAAATACAGAGAACACCACAAAGATACTCCTTCAGAAGAGCAACCCCAAGACACATAATCGTCAGATTCACCAAGGTTGAAATGAAGGAAAAAATGTTAAGCGCAGCCAGAGAAAAAGGTTGGGTTACCCACAAAGGGAAGCCTATCAGACTAATAGCAGATCTCTCTGCAGAAACCCTACAAGCCAGAAGAGAGTGGGGGCCAATAGTCAACATTCTTAAAGAAAAGAATTTTAAATCCAGAATTTCATATCCAGCCAAACTAAGCTTCATAAGTGAAGGAGAAATAAAATCCTTTACATAAAAGCAAATACTGAGAGACTTTCTCACCACCAGGCCTGCCTTACCAGAGCTCCTGAAGGAAGCACTGTAACATGGAAAGGAACATCCAATACCAGCTACTGCAAAAACACACCAAATTGTAAAGACCATCGACACTATGAAGAAACTGCATCAACTAATGGGCAAAATAACCAGCTGGCATCATAATGACAGCATCAAATTCGCCCATAACAATATTAACCTTAAATGCAAACAGGATAAATGGACCAATTAAAAGACACAGACTAGCAAATTGGATAAAGAGTCAAGACCCATCAGTGTGCTATATTCAGGAGACCCATCTCACGCGCAAAGACACAAATCAGCTAAAAATAAAGGGATGGAGGAATATATACAAAGCAAATGGAAAGCAAAAAAAAAAAAAAAATCAGGGGTTGCAATCCTAGTATCTGATAAAACAGACTTTAAACCAACAAAGATCAAAAGAGACAAAGAAGGCCATTAATAATGGTAAAAGGATCAATGCAACAAGAAGAGCTAACTATCCTAAATATAAATGCCCCCAATACAAGAGCACCCAGATTCATAACTCAAGTTCTCAGAGACCAACAAAGAGACTTAGACTCCCACACAATAATAGTGGGAGACTTTAACACCCCACTGTCAATATTAGACACATCAATGAGGCAGAAAATTAACAAGGATATTAAGGACTTCAACTCAGCTCTGGACCAAGCAGACCTAATAGACATCTACAGAACTCTCCACCCCAAATCAACAGAATATACATTCTTCTCAGCACCACATCACACTTATTCTAAAATTGGCCACATAATTGGAAGTAAAACACTCCTCAGCAAATGCAAAAGAACAAAAATCATAACAGTCTCTCAGACCACAGTGCAATCAAATTAACTCGGGATTTAGAAACTTACTCAAAACCTCACAACTACATGGAAGCTGAACAACCTGCTGCTGAATGATTACTGGGTAAATAACAAAATGAAGGCAGAAATAAAGATGTTCTTTAAAACCAATGAGAACAAAGACACAACATATCAGAATCTCTGGAACACAGCTAAATCAGTGTTTAGAGGGAAATTTATAGCACTAAATGCCCACAAGAGAAAGCAAGAAAGATCTAAAACTGACACCCTAACATCACAATTTAAAGAACTAGAGAAGCAAGAGCAAACAAATTCAAAAGCTAGCAGAAGACAAGAAATAACTGAGATCAGAGGAGAACTGAAGGAGATGGAGATATGAAAAAACTCTTCAAAAAAATCAATGAATCCAGGAGCTGGTTTTTTGAAAAGATCAACAAAATACATAGACCACTAGCCAGACTAATAAAGAAGAAAAGAGAGAAGAATCAAATAGACACAATGAAAAATGATAAAGGGGATATCACCACTGCTCCCACAGAAATAAATACAAACTACCATCACGGAATACTATAAACATCTCTATGCAAATAAACTAGAAAATCTAGAAGAAATTGATAAAATCCTGGACACATACACCCTCCCAAGTCTAAACCAGGAAGAAGTCAAATCCCTGATTAGACCAATAACAAGTTCTGAAATTGAGGCAGTAATTAATAGTCTACCAACCAAAAAAAGTCCAGGACTAAATGGATTCACAGCCGAATTCTACCAGAAGTACAAAGAGGAGCTGGGACCATTCCTTCTGAAATTATTCCAAACAATAGAAAAAGAGGGAATCATCCCTAACTCATTTTATGAGGCCAGCATCAACCTGATACCAAAACCTTGCAGAGACACAACAAAAAAAGAAAATTTCAGGCTAATGTCCATGATGAATATCAATGCAAAAATCCTCAATAAAATACTGGCAAACCGAATTCAGCAGCACATCAAAAAGTTTATCCACAATGATCAAGTTGGCTTCATCCCTGGGATGCAAGGCTGGTTCAATAAACATAATCAATCACATGAACAGAACCAATGGCAAAAACTCATGATTATCTCAATAGATGCAGAAAAGTCCTTCAACAAACTTTAACAGCCCTTCATCCTAAAAACTCCCAATAAACTAGGCATTGATTGAACGTATCTCAAAATAATAAGAGCTATTTATGACAAACACACAGCCAATATCATACCAAATGGGCAAAAACTGGAAGCACTCCCTTTGAAAACTGGTGCAAGACAAGGATGCCCTCTCTCACCACTCCTACTCAGCATAGTATTGGAAGTTCTGGCCAGGGCAATCAGGCAAGAGAAAGAAATAAAGGGTATTCGAATAGGAAGAGAGGAAGTCAAATTGTCTTTGTTACCAGATGACACGATTATATATTTAGAAAACCCCATCATTTCAGCCCAAAATCTCCTTAAGCTGATAAGCAACTTCAGCAAAGTCTCAGGATACAAAATCAATGTGCAAAAGTCACAAGCATTCTTATACACCAATAATAGGCAAACAGAGAGCCAAATCATGAGTGAACTCCCATTCACAATTGCTACAAAGAGAATTAAATACATAGGAATACAACCCACGAGGGATGTGAAGGACCTCTTCAAGGAGAACTACAAACCACTGCTCAAGGAAATGAGACAGGACATAGAGAAATGGAAAAACATTCCATGATCATGGATAGGAACAATCAATATTGTGAAAATGGCCATACAGCCCGAAGTAATTTATAGATTCAATGCTATCCCCATCAAGCTACCAATGACTTTCTTCACAGAATTAGAAAAAACTACTTTAAATTTCATATGGAACCAACAAAGAGCCCACATAGCCAAGACAATCCTAAGAACAAAACCAAAACAGCATGGCACTGGTAGCAAAACAGATATATAGACCAATGGAACAGAACAGGTGTCTCAGAAATAACACCACACATCTACAGCCATCTGATCTTTGACAAACATGATGAAAACAAGCAATGGGGAAAAGATTCTCTATTTAATAAATGGTGATGGGAAAACTGGCTAGCCATGTGCAGAAAACTAAAACTGGACCCCCTCCTTACACCTTATACAAAAATTAACTCAAGATGGATTAAAGACTTAAATGAAAGACCTAAAACCATAAAAACCCTAGAAGAAAACCTAGGCAATTCCATTTAGGACATAGGCATGGGCAAACACTTCATGGCTAAAAGACCAAAGCAATGGCAACAAAAGCCAAAATAGACAAATGGAATCTAATTAAACTAAAGAGCTCCTTCACAGCAAAAGAAACTATCATCAGCATGAACAGGCAGCCTACAGAATGGGAGAAAATTTTTGCAATCTATCCATCTGACAAAGGGCTGATATCCAGAATCTACAAAGAATTCAAACAAATTTATAAGAAAAAAAACAACCCCATCAAAAAGTGGGCAAAGGATATGAACAGACACTTCTCAAAAGAAGACATTTTTGCGCCCAACAAACATATGAAAAAAAGCTCATCATCACTGGTCTTTAGAGAAATGAAAAACAAAACCACAATGAGATACCATCTCACACCAGTTAGAATGGCAATCATTACAAAGTCAGGAAACAACAGATGCTGGAGAGGATGTGGAGAAATAGGAAAGCTGTTACACTGTTGGTGGGAGTGTAAATTAGTTCAACCATTGTGGAAAACAGTGTGGTGATTACTCAAGGATCTAGAACCAGAAATACCATTTGACCCAGCAATCCCATTACTGGGTATATACCCAAAGGATTATAAATCATTCTACTGTAAAGACACATGCACACATATGTTTACTGCAGCACTGTTCACAATAGCAAAGACTTCAAACCAACACAAATACCCATCAATGATAGACTGAATAAAGAAAATGTGGCATATATATACCATGGGATACTATGCAGCCATAAAAAAGGATGAGTTCATGTCCTTAGCAGAGACATGGTTGCAGCTGGAAACCATCATTCTCAGCAAACTAACACAGGAACAGAAAACCAAACACTGCATGTCCTCACTTATAAGTGGGAGTTGAACCATGAGTACACATGGACACAGGAAGGGAAACATCACATACCAGGACCTGTCAGGAGGTGGGGAGCTAGGGGAGGGATAGCATTAGGAGAAATACCTAATGTAGATAACAGGTTGATGGGTGCAACAAACCACCATGGCACATGTATACTTACGTAACAAACCTGCACGTTCTGCACATGTACCTCAGAATTTAAAGTATAATATAATAATAATAATAATAATGTCTTTAGGGAAAGCTGCAATATACTCTGCTCATAAAGGTCAATTTCCTGTAACAGGAAAATCATGTGGGTTTTAATGGTAGACAGACTTGGTTTCAAATTCTGGCTCTAACATTTACTTACCACGTAATATTTGGTATTACTTAACTAAATCTCAGTTTCCTCAATCTGTAATATGAGGGAATAATAGGGAGGTACTTACCTCAATGAGTTTTTTATGATGATTTTAAAAGATAATACATGTAAATCATCTTATATATAGAGGTACTAAATAAATGGAAGTTATTGTTTATGTTCTTTAAAAAATCATACTAATGTGCTCAAATACTCTGGTAGCCTAGAAGAAGGACAAAGACATACCTGAAAAAGAAGGGCTATGATTTTTGAGTGTATTTTCATCTTTCTTTTTCTTTCTCACTATTATCTGTCTTCTGCACTGTTATCTGTCTTCCTGCTGTAGATTGTAGCACAATGTCGTAGTTATTTGTTCTCATGTTATAGTCCATTTTATACCTGAAGCAAAAAAAGAGGCAGCAGGTGAAGGTGTTTGCTTTGTAATTTTATTATTCCTCTACAATTCCTAGTACAGGTCCTTATAAACAGGAAGCACTCAGTAAATACTGGATACAAAGATGAATCAAAACAAAATATGTGTTGGCTTCCTAAGCGCTTCTGAGAATTAGGGGAGATAATCTTTAAAGTGCACCTTGAAGACTGAGCAAAGGACAATGGACAAATTGCAGGAGTGGATATAATAGGAAAGTGTTCTCTAGGCAGAGAGAATTCATGTAGTAGGGCAGGGAAATCAGAAACAGCATGGCATGGTTGAGAAACTACAATAAATTTAGCATGGCTGGAGTACAGCAACATTTGCTCATATTTCAGAAAGCACCAAAGAACAAGTCTGATGTGCTAAAGAGGAATTGTGGAAAATGTTTTTTGTTTTTTTTTTTTTGGTGAGGAAATGCTGGGCCTGTGATCTGTTTTATATGCCTTTGTGAGCTAAAATTATCTTAATAGGCAGTTTACTCAGAAGAGCTTTCTTTGTGACTATAGACGCTGTGTTCTTCCTTCTTTTTATTCTCCTCAAAAATGGAAAAGCACCGGCAGCACTTCTAAAATTCTAGTCAGAAACCTGAAATTTTTCTGGAGTAGTTGGGTTACTCTTAAAAATCTATCACAATTCTAGTACCAACCTTCTCCAATACGCAAATAAGTTTTGTCTTCTAACTATATTTATAAGTCAGTTGCCTAGAACTCAGAATACAGACACTAAAGAAAAGATGGCAGTAAATTTCCTTGGCTTATCCATGGTCTTCAGGCTTTGGGCTCAGTGATTTTTCTCCACCACCCTACACTGTCTCCCACTTTTCTTTCCTTTTCAATTTCACCTTTCACTAAACCCCCACACTCATTGTTGAATGTCACACGCATATGTGCATTTGTACAGAGTATCATTTTATGCAAGTAAGATTTGGAAGTACTCCCTTCCAGACCCCAGTATTTTCAATGTACCAATGGACATAGTCAAAGATTTTGTCATACAAATCATTGTAAATATATAGTATCATGAAAGTACACCTAGCCTTTTCCACTTGTGCAAATTATTGGCACATGGAGACCAAAGTCTTGGAGGCTCGATACTTGTGAATGTCACTAAAATCTATTAAATATTAGAAAAAAGTTATAGTTGTTTTGAAATGGAACAGGGACCCCTTTTTGGAGCCTACTGGGTTCCTCCCTTCCCTCCTCTCACTACTGCACGGAAATAAGGAAAAACAAAATTCATCCTTTCAAAGGAAATTCCAGGTACCTAGCTAGCCCCGCAACCAGTAATTAAAGAAGTAAATATACAACTTGCTAAAGAAGAAGATAACAATAGTTTAAACAATAGTGACTCAACTAACATAAGAGTCACAAGATACTGTTTTCTATAGAAACTGAAGTTAGTAACTTGACATATGTCTTTGAGTTATTTATCAGAAAAACAAGGACCCCCACCAGATGCAAAACACTGACTACTTTCATGTAGACCTCGACAGACTAGAACCAAAAACTGGATAAGGAAGTCCCAGAAATTCCCCAGCCCTTAACTCACTTTAGCAATCCCCTCACCTTTCCCTTTAAAAACCCTTGCTTGTAAGCTTATCATGGTGTTCAGGTCTTCAGCATTAGCTGCCTGCTCTCCTGGCTTGGCACCCTGCAATAAATGCTTTTCTTTCTCTTACTGCGTACCTTCATGCTGGTGTTTGCCTTTACTGCACAGGTATAGTGAATAGGTTCAGTGATAGCTTCTGTATCTGCCTTACCTCCTTCAGAGAACTGTAAGTTCCTCAAGACCCTCACTTAAAGTAGGGCATGGCTTTCATTCATTGCTGTAGGCATCACTGTATTTTAATAAAAACTCCGCTATGTACTGTGCACTCTGCTAAGCATTTTCCATAAATTATATAAACTCTGATAAGGTAAGTACTACTAATGTGATCTTCACTTTATGGTGAAACAGGTGAATTAAACTTCCCACAGTCAGAAAGCTTATTAGTGGCAGATTCAGAACTTAAATCCAAGTCTGTTGACAACAAGCACCATGCTTTTTCATTTGTTATATGTATGTCAAATGACAAAATTACAAGAAATTTAGCTTAAAGATCTAGTTGGATTTTATTTGTGATTCTAGAAGGGAGCAACACCTCATTCTGTAAAACCGAATGAGTATTCCACTGAGCTGAGCAGAGGAGGTTGGCTGTATAAGAAGAAAAGAGCTGAAGAAAGCAGAAACAGAGAAAAAAAACAGATCAGTCATTTCAACATTACTTCCTTGTAGGATTAAAACAGAGGCGACTTCCTTACTGCTGACTCAGGTTGACTGGAATCTCCTGGGTTTTTTTTTCAGAGAAACTGGTGCATTTCAAAGTCAATTATTGACTTTTGCTTCATGTTGTTATATTATATATTTCACTCTCCACAACTTTCAAGATTTAAAAAAACCTATGTAAAATTATATTTTAAAACTAGTTTTCATGGGAAGACCTTTCTATTGCTTCCTTCCTTTAGTTTTTAAATCAGTTGCCAAGAGCTTCATTCTAATATCTGTTTTGCTTGTAAAAATTTGCTTTCAAAAATATATAAAATTATTTTCTTAAAAAAATGTTTAACTTTCCACCTGATAAAGCCACTCATTTTCATTCAAGGAAGAAATAGCCCTTTATATATTTCGTTTGTTTGCCAATCTTGCATCATTTTTTTTAAATTACCATTATTTGAGGTAAATAAGCCTTAGTTAATAGGCTTAGCATTTGCAAACAATTAATTTTACAGATAAAGATAACACCCTGGTATTAGCATTATGCATACTTGACAATGCAAACACATCTATTTGCATACTTATCCTCAGATTTTCAAACATATCCTCATTAGAAGCAGTTCCAGGAAAAACATAGCCTCCCTGGAATTTATGTTGTTAAACACTTAGTCTATTCAATAATGCTTCTTGATTAGTCTCTACAATTTTAACCTCATAATCAAAAGGTGCTAAATTATTACTAAAAGTTTATGTCATGTACTTAGTTCAATATTACACAATCTTTGGATCTCAGACCTCCTACCACATCATTACCAAGAGCTTAGATAAACTGTCCTTTCAGCAGCTGTGAATCCATAAGGCTCTGCAGCAAATCGATTCTGGCTTCCTCAGAGGAAAAAATTCATCTGAGGGGCATAAGGCAGAGTGAGAAATCAAGGCAAGGTTTAGAGCAGGGGTGAAAGTTTATTAAAAAGCTTTAGAGCAGGAAGAAAAGGAAGTAAAGTGCACTTGAAAGAGGGTCAACCAGGTGACTTGAGAGATTCAAGTGCACTGTTTGATCTTTGACTTGGGGTTTTATACATTGGTATGCTTCTGGGGTTTTGCATCTCTTCACTACTGATTCTTCCCTTGAGGCAGACTGCCCACATGCTTCGTGGCCTGCCAGCACTTGAGAAGGGCCCAAGTGTGTTTACTGAAGTTGTACAGTATGTTTACTGAAGTTGTTCACATAATAATTTGAGGCATTTTCTCCTTACCAGTCTAGTGTTCCTAGAGGAAGGTCATATACCAGTTAAACTTCACCATTTTCCCTCTCAGTGTGCATCCTTGAGCCCACTAGCCCAATTCCTGAGATCTTATCAGGAAGCTGGGGATCACCAGCTTCCAGTGTTTTCTATTCATTGGGAGACTGCCTCTCCCTGGCATCAGGTGTGATCAATTATTATTTCAGAGAGGCAGTTTAACAACTTCCTGACCATCACTTGATGGTTGCCTGACATTTCTTGGTTGGGGGGCACTCTCCTGCCCTACCCATGTCTTCCTAGCTACCTACTCTAATAGTCCTATCCCAATCCTGTTTACTCTTGTTTCCCAGCCACTAGGACTGTGCCTCCACAGACATGTCTTTTTTTCTTTTTTTTATGAGACAGAGTCTCACTCTGTCACCCAGGCTAGAGTGCAGTGACAATCTTGGCTCACTGCAGCCTCCACCTCCTGGGTTGAAACAATTCTTATGCCTCAGTCACCCAAGTAGCTGGGATTACAGGCATGTGCCACCATGCCAGGCTAATTTTTGTATTTTTAGTAGAGATGGGGTCTCACCATGTTGCCCAGGCTGGTCTGAAACTCCTGACCTCATGTATGCCTCAGCTTCCCAAAGTGCTGGGATTACAGGCATGAGCCACCACACCTGGCCCAGACATGTCTTAAAGAGAAAATAAGAGGCCGGGCGCGGTGGCTCACACCTGTAATCCCAGCACTTTGGGAGGCCAAGGCCGGCAGATCACGGGGTCAGGAGATCAAGATCATCCTGGCCAACATGGTGAAACCCTGTCTCTACTAAAAATACAAAAATTAGCTGGGCATGGTGGTGCTTGCCTGTAATCCCAGCTACTCAGAAGGCTGAGGTAGAAGAATCACTTGAACCAGGGAGTCGGAGGTTGCAGCGAGCCGAGATCACGCCACTGCACTCCAGCCTGGCAACACAGCGAGACTCCATCTCACAAAAAAAAAAAAAAAGAGAGAGAGAGAGAGAAATAGAAAATGAGTAGCATAATTTCATTTATTGCTTTTTATCAAGGTGTGTAACAGTAATCGCTTCTAACAAATTTTCAGAGATATTTTAAAAGAATTCATAATTTGTCTATTTCAGGATAGGCATGGGTCTAAATTATCAATCAACTCTTTGGCACTGGCTAAAATGAAAGGACAAACAGCAACTCACCTTCCTTTTCTATTCTGACCTCCCTGAATACTTCTTTCTTTATCTCTACAGCCATTCTAAGTATGGAAAACTGCTGATGGCCTTCTACCACAGTGTGATCCTACCCAGAAGGCTTCACCAGTCAAATGAAGTGGGAACAGCTACCTAATCTTTGTGACACATCTAAGGATTTCTAAATGTCAAGTATGAAAACCTGAAACAAAGAAATAATTAGTAAAACATGTATCTCCAATTATTTTACTTCAAAACTCAGCTTTCATTTCTCAATTTCCTCAATTTTTTAATACAAGGTCACTTCCTTAACAAGGTTTTATAAAATACAACTTTCAAATTAAGAAGTAATGTGAAAAACTAAAATTGAAATCACGGGCAAAAGAAGTATGCTCATTATCATCACTGGCAGTAAACATTATTTTATAAGTATTAGCCAACACAGTTAAATAAGTAATTGAAAATAAGAATATAAATACTGAAATGGAAGAAATAAAATTGTAATTATTTACAGATGATGTGACAGTCTATCTGGAAACCCCAAAGTAATCTGTTGAAAAATCATTAAATAGTAAGATGTGTCTTAATGGAAATTGTTTACCGAATTAATACGCAAAATCAATACCTTCCCTTCACAGATATCTCCACAACTTTTATGCATAATGTGTTTCTGAAAGACACTACCAAAGCCAAACAATGAATATACACAATAAAGACAAGACAGAATATGGAATATGACATAAAAAGTTTTATGAACATATTAAATAAAGGTATTTCTTTAGTAAATGAGATAGGAAGTAAGGCTAATAAAATGAAGCACTTACGTGTATTTTCACATTAACTCCTAAAAGCTAACATGTTCTTTTCCTCTGGCTCCTAAATTCCTTCTTTCACAGCAGGAATTAAAAGAGAAGTCATGGTACCTGTATGATACCTCATGGTCAAAATTTATCAGTCCTTTTTTTTTTTTTTTTTTTGAGATGGAGTCTCACTCTGTCACCTAGGCTGGAGTGCAGTGGCACAATCTTGGCTCACTGCAACCTCCATCTCCTGAGTTCAAGCGATCCTCCTGCCTCAGCCTCCTGAGTAGCTGGGATTACAGGCCTGTGCCACCACACCTGGATAATTTTTGTATTTTGTATTTTTAGTAGAGATGGGGTTTCACCATATTGGTCAGGCTGGTCTCAAACTCCTGACCTCATGATCCGCCCACCTTGGCCTCCCAAAGTGCGGGGATTACAGGTGTGAGCCACCACACCCAACCTATCAGTCCTTTTTATACATCGATTTTTCTCATTATTGTATCATTATCTTAGATAAGTGTCTTCTCTCCAAAGGAATTTAGAAGCATATTTACTTGGTAATATCTTCACTAAAACTTAATCTAGTAATAGAGCTGAAGAGAATAATAGCTTTACTAAGTCCAAAGTCATAAGATGATTATAGAATCCCCATTTGCAACTCACTGTTTAGATATCTTATTTAGTGCTATCTTTCCAAAATTTAATATATGTCCCTTTTTGTTCATTTCCATCACAATTAAACACAGTTGCATATGTACAATGAGTACTCAGTTGAGGCTGGTTTGAGCTTTTTGGCAAGTCTGAATATTTTCATTTTTGCCTCAATTGTAACTAATTTTAGAAGACCTGTGCTTCTTATCACTAGTATCAGCATTTTCATTTTCCACTTTTCCCAGTCACTTTTTAAAATTGTTAAGAAAAAATGCAACATGTAGTCAAGTATTTCCACAAACATAGACCCAAAAATATCCAGACGGCAAAATTCAACTACCAGCTGTTAAGGAGGCAGGTTAGCATTTAAAATAGCCTAAGTTGTGTGTTCATTAGCTGAGAGATGAAAACTTAAATTTGGCAAATGAAAATCAGTTTAGAGGTAGCATTACACTATATGATATACAAATGTGCAAGTTGCATGAGACAAAGTCACAAAAGTTGACAATGATTACAGAGACAATTTTTTAAAAATTATCACAATAGCAATAGAAAAGGTTAAAATTTAGGAATAAATTTGCTCAAGTTATCTATTGTTTTGTAGTAAATCACCCCCAGATTTAGTGGTTTACAAAAACAATGATCATTTGGTTGTCTCTCATAATGTCTTAGGGCCAGGCACTCAGAAAGGCCTCAGCTCAAAGACTTTGGCTTAGGGCTTCCCTTGAAGTTGAGGTCAGATAGTGGCTGAAATTGAAGCAGCAGGGCACAGGAGCAGCAGGGCTTCCTCAGAAAGTGGCAGCCTCAAGGCAATTTGCAATCAGGCTTCTTACATGGCAACTGAAGGCCTTAAGAGAGAGCCTTCCACCTTTGCAAAAGTGAAATCTGCCTCATGACCTAGCCTTGAACGGAAAGGGAAAGTATTTTATGTCATACAAAGCCTAGCCTCTGAAGTCATGAAGAATCACTTCCATTGCTTTCTTTTGTTGCGAGTGAGTTGCAAACCCACCCAATTGAAGGAGAGGAGAATTTGACTTTACCTCTTGATGGAGGCAAGGCAAGAGTTGCAAGGTATGGTGAATATATTGCAATTTTCTTTGGGAAAAAAAATCAGCCACCAAATCTACAATGAAATGTGCAGAACCCACATGGAGAGAACTATATAACCATATTTAAAGTAAGTTTAAAAAGAGAATGTTAATAATCACATTTAAAAATGTTTAACATTATATACCAATAAGAAATTTCAAATTAAAACAATGATGATACACCACTACAGGCCTCTTAGAATGGTCAAAATTCAAAACTCTAACAACGCTAAATGCTGACAAGGATGTGGAGCAACAGGAACTCTTAGCTATTGCTGGTGGGAATGCAAGAGTGCAGCCAGTTTGAAAGACAGTTTGGCAGCTTCTTCCAAAACTAAACATATTTGTATCATATGATCCAGCAATTGATACAGGTATATGAGAACTCTCTAAACCTTCAGCTCAATTTGCTATGACCCTAAAACTGCCCCAAAAAATATAGCCTATTTTTTTAAGAAAAAGAGAGGGAGAAGATACAGGTTGATAGATGTTCTTGAGTGGTAGAACATATCATATCATGAGATGCCATTGTCCCCAAAGTAAATTTATCAGTTTAACACAATCTCAATCTAAACTCCAATGGGATTTTATTTTGAAACTTCACAAAATGATTTTAAAGTTGGTCTTGAAGAGTAAACTGTTAACCTGAAGACTTAAAGAGTCAAAGGCCAAAGGAAATGACCAACTTCCTAGGAGTGCTGTGAACACTGAAGGAATCAACAGAGGTAGAGCACTTGGAAAACATCTGGACTAGAATAAGTGCTCAGTAAATGTTAACTATTCTCACCATTATTGGACTGAAAAACATGGGATTACTCCTAATATAACTCTCCTCATGGTAGAAAACAGAATGAAAATGACTTAAGGTGAAATATCTGGGACTAATGTGTCCTGTAGTAAAAGAAAGGAAAGAAATGGTTTGTTAAGTAGAGGGAGAAGTGAAATCTAGAGGGTGAGTTTTAAGATAAAATTAAACCATATCTGTGTGCTGCGTGTATGAGTCTGTTAGAAGGGAAAATATGATGATATATGAGAGTAAAGGGATAATTTCTGGATTCCTTCCCTTCAATAGGAAATAGGGAATAAAATACATGAATATAGTAGAAAAGCGGAGGAATGGTTCTGGCCTAGCCATTTATTCTTACTCTCAAGAGAGGGGACAACCTATATGGGCACAGACGCTAGTAGGAAGGTATGTAATCAAACATGGTAGATGAGAATCCCCAGAAACTGCAAGCTAACAACCTCCCTAAATGATTGTTATTCTTAATAGAGTTTGAAAACCACTGCTCTATACAAACACATTCATGTATGGGAAACTGAGGCTTAAAAAAACCAAAATAATTGTCTAAGATTGAATATCTCTTTTGTAGCATCATCAAGATGACGTTCCAGTCTTTTTTGTTTTCATTATACAAAAACTAATAAAGTGACAGTGAGTTTTATACAGAGTTATTAAAGGTTATTCTACAACCATGTAGTCATTTAGACCTAATATGGACAATCTAAATCAAATTTTCCAGCTTTTACAATTCACTGTGAAATATGACAGTAAGTTAGTAGTATTAAAGCCTAAACTGAAGACTGCCTGAAACTCCAAAAAACACAGATAAAAATAGTTTCCTATATTTTATACAAAATAATGCCATTATTGGCATTAGTTCCAACTTATGTAGAATATGCAGTGTTTGGTTTTCTGCTCCTGCATTACTTTGCTGAGGATAACAGCTTCCAGCTCCATCCATGTCAATATTGCTCCTTTTTATGGCTGCATAGTATTCCATCATGTGCATGTAGCACATTTTCTTTATCCAGTCTACCATCGATGAGCATTTGGGTTGATTCCATGTCTTTACTATTGTGAATAGTGCTGCAATGAACATATGTGTGCATGTATCTTTATAATAGAATGATTTATATTTCTTTGGATATATACCCCATAATGGGATTGATGCGTCAAATGGTATTTCTGCTTCTAGATCTTTGAGGAATTGCCATACTGTCTTCCACAATGGTTGAACTAATTTACACACCCATTAACAGGGTAAAAGTGTTCCTTTTTCTCTGCAACTTTGCCAGCATCTGTTGTTTCATGACTTTTTAATCATTGCCATTCTGACTGGCAAGAGATGATATCTCGTTGTTGTTCTGATTTGCATTTCTCTAATGATTAGTGATGTTGAGCATTTTTATTGATTTTTGACCACAAAAATATCTTCTTTTGAGAAACTGCATGAGCATGCAGTTTGAGAAGAGTCTATTCATGTCCTTTGCCCACTTTTTAATGGGGTTGCTTTTTTCTTGTACATTTGTTTAAGTTCCTGTGGACCCTGGATATTAAACCTTTGTCAAATGGATAGATTGCAAAAATATTCTCCTATTCTGTAGGTTGTCTTTTCATTCTGATGATAGTTTTTTTTGCTGTGCAGAGGCTCTTTAGTTTAATTACATCCCATTTGTCAATTTTTGCTTTTGTTGCAATTGCTTTTGGCATTTTTGTCATGAAATCTTTGCCCATGTCTATGTCCTGAATGGTATTACCTAGATTTTTTTCCAGGGTTTTTATAGTTTTGGGTTTTACATTTAAGTATTGAATTCATTTTGAGTTAATTTTTGTATAAGGCATAAGAAAGGGGTCCAGTTTCAATTTTCTGCATATGCCTAGCCAGTTTTCCCAGCACCATTTATTAAATAGGGAATCCCTTCCCTATTGCTTGTTTTTGTCAGGTTTGTCGAAGATCAGATGGTTGTAGAGCAACACACTATTAATGAAGAATCTCCTTAAGCATGTGATGTAATGCCCTCTCATACTAATGAGAATGCTAATATTTCTCTAATTAAAAATTTGGAATACTAATATTTCTCTGATTAAAAATTTGGAATACATTCTTCTATGCACTACCACCACCCTATCAAAAGGATCACAGAGAAAGATATGGAAGGTTAGTATCCAGAGAAGAAAGTGGAAAGACATACAACTTAAAGCCCAAATAACTGAAGATATTTAGTATAAGGTATCTGAAAACCAAGCTATCCATTTACTGGGCTGAAAAGTCAGTCTCTAGGTGTGAGAGTTGATTCCCCTCTCTCTCTCCTTCTGTGTGTGTGTGTCTGTGTGTGTGTGTGTGTGTGTGTGTGTATTTGTGCTGGTGATAAGATGGCCAAAGGTTACATCAATAGAGAGGCATCCCCCACTATTTTAAAAAACACACATATAAACAACCACGCAACTGTTCTAGAATCAATTACTAACATAATTCATATCTCACACTGTCAGTATATAATGATCTTTTAATAGTAAGTCCTTGTTGATTTCAACTCTATGATATATGAAAAACTCTATTACTGAGCCCCTGAACTACACAAACTAGTTATATCCCTGTACTGACTAAAAGTGTGTTTACAATAGTTATTGATAGTCTTGTTTTCAACTCTTCAAAGAGATTTACCGGACTTTGTGACATAACCTCCGCATCAAAAGTGAAGCAGTTGCAGACCCACAGCATCTACCCTTCCTGGAATGAGGATATGGCAGAAGTGAGCAAGATGCTTGGAATCACCTGCACCAGAGGGAAGGGGACAAGGATGAGGCAAATATCAAAATCAAGACAGAATATCTCAGAACAGAGCATTCTAGAAAGACCATGCAAGCCATCTGCTGGGGCCTGAGATGTTGAAATTTGTGAGCTCGGCCCACATCCATCTTCAAGTTATAGGTCCAGGCATTAGAATCCTGCACCCTAAACTCTACACTCTATACAGGCAAGGAGCACATGTGGTTTTGTTTACCAAGGTAGTCCTAACACTTAGCATGGTGCCTGATTCACTGAAGGTACACAATAAGCCTATGTTAAATTGGTAATGAGTAAATGAATGAAATGAATAAACGGTGACCACTCCCTTGGGTGGCAACTGGTCAATCCAAATAGTCTTCATCTCTCTTGAAGAAATGAAATATGTGTTGCTAGGAAAATTACAAAGGCAGTAGCAAGAAGCAATAAAGGAAAAGTCACAAATTAAGGAGACGCAGTGCAGTTAAGAGGAGGAAAGTTGGTCAATAGTGTAGAATAAATAAGAACAGAAGCAAAGAAGCATCTACATAAAAACACAGCCACAGAAGTCATTAACAACCAGCAGATAGCCAGTAGTAAAGTAGAAAGATGAAGCAGCGATGTCTGGCAGAGTTGTACTTTTGTCGCCAGAGCCACTGTCAAAGTATTAAAGAATTGCCTTCAGCAAAAGAGGCGCTGCCTTGCCATCAAGGTCATGCAAATCTCTTTCCTGATGGAATGAGGGAAGCCCAAGACCAAAGGAAAATATGAGGATACAGAAGAGTATCTCCTTTACCTTAAGATGAAACTAACTATGGTGTTATGAGCTCACCATGGCATCAGGCTGAAGGTGATCTTGAGCAGAGGCCTTGCTTCACTCCTTCCTTCACTCCAGGGAACACTCAAAACTCGTGTGCACAAGAATACACACTTCAGGCTCTGCTTTTAGGGAATCCAACCTCAGGCATCTACTAAGTGCCAGACCCAAGGCCATCCACTTGGGAGCACAGTGGTGAGCAGCAGAGGAGCTCTTCCACCTGGAACTTCCAAATCTAGCAAAGGTTGGGAGATAGATATTAAACCACAACTTAACCACAGAAAATATTTATTTATAATTTCCACTATTTTGGTGAAGGAAAGTGACACTACCAATGAGACATAGCAACTGGAAAATTACAAAATTCAGAGTCAGCTATGAGATTCCAGATGGATGATTAAATATTAGACATTTTCTACTGGAAATACTAACTACAACTGAAGATCAAAGGAAAACGTTTTGTTCTTCCTTTATGTACCATTGATTGAAGATAACCACAGGCTCCTACCTCAAATTCAGGATGTCATTTTCTCTCCTTCACAATAGAGCATTTTCTTTTTCTGTTAATCTAAAGAAATATACTTTAAATGAGTCAGAAAATTTCTGCCCTTAGAATTATATATGTGTGGGAATCCAGGAAATAAACACACAGGAAGAGAGAGCTTGTGCACACACCTCAGGAAAATATGTGATGCTCAAACCATATGCTTTCAGTTTGTCTTACAATTTCATAGACTCTTGTACAATTTCTACACCATAAAAAGTTTAGGTAACTAAGAACATCCCTGTAAAACCTAAATGCAAAGGATATAAATTGTAGCAGTGTGCTGAGAAAGTGAGAGTTACATAGCTAACTGGATTGGCAACCATGATAATTGAATAAAAGCACTTTCTTATTACCTACAAATTCTTTTCAGTTAGGTAAGAGAAAGCAGCTTGGCTGCTCTTCCAGAATCAGGTCTTAGAGACACATGAGCCCAGAGAGTTTAAAGGTGAAGATTAAATACAGAGGCATGTGAATGTTCTATAATGAAGAGCCTACCTGAAAGGATTGCAGTGGGATTTGTTTATAGTGTCCTCAAGCAGTATGGCAGCGTTTTTAATCTACATTACTTAGGAGACATAGTTTACTGTCCATATCTCAGAGACTTCCTATTCTGAAGATGTTCTGCATGTAGAAATCTTCTCAGAAGAGTTCACCATTGCTGACTTCCATTAGCAGGAAAATTTCTAAGAAACAGCAATGGAATTATGCCCAAGAGGAAGACTTCAAGCTATAACCAAGTATTTATCAAGGCAGATCACTCTCTGAGTAGAAATTTTAAAGGCTTTTAAAACACAGAGGTAGCACTGATTTCATCCAACTCTAGTACTAGTACTGCTGGGCCCCCACTTTTCCTCATAATACCAAGTCAACTAAAAGCTTCCATTTCTAGAAGAATTATAAGAGAAGGAAAAATGATTGGGGTAGTGACAATACTGGATAGAACAGCATCATGGGCTCTAGATTCAAACAGGACTGAGAGTAAGTCCAAATTCTCCCACTCACTCGCTGAGTCTACTTGAGCAAGTTGCTTATTTTCTCTGTACCTCAGTTTCCTCATTTGTAAAATGGGAATAACAACAGGACCTACTCACAGGATGATGATAATGATTAAATGTCATCTTCAATGCATAGCACTTAGTACACTGCTTATCACACAAGAGGTGCTCAACAACCTCCTTCATGTACTCCACACTTATTCAATAAGTATTTATTGAATAGCTACTATGTGCCATGCATTATGCCTCTGTTGCACTTATGAAGTCAACTTTCTCATAGAACATTATGTAGACTTAATGATGGTGAGGATAAAGATGCTGATGATTATGATGGGGTGATGATGATGATGATGGTGATGAAAACACAACACAAATAGAAAATTACTATGTGCCTCTGAATAGCCACAGTGATTTTCTCTTCAAAGTTTTACCTCAAATACTCTTAAAAATCAGGCAGTGTTATAATTGAGATTTAACTGACTCACTTGGGGATGAGATCAGGCTGAATTTTATCCCCTGTTCTATAGCCACAAAGGGCCTCCTAAGCT
This sequence comes from Homo sapiens, assembly GCF_000001405.40. Taxonomy (NCBI): domain Eukaryota; kingdom Metazoa; phylum Chordata; class Mammalia; order Primates; family Hominidae; genus Homo; species Homo sapiens. Next base: position 22,846,662 of record NC_000003.12, read on the forward strand.
AATTAATGCTATAAACAAGATGGGAGGGGAATTTTGCCTGCATCACAGAGCAGTTGTTTCCAAGCACTTTCGCCTGTAATTTTCAAACAAGCACTGTAATTGCGAAGTAAGCAGAAGCCAGCATTGCTAAGCCTGGCTTTGTACTCATTACCAGTCACCATTATCCGCTCATTAATGCTGGTCCTAGAGCTGGCAAAAGCCCACTCAGCCTCATCCTAGTTACTGTGCTCAAATGCAATGGAGCAAAAACCATTACGATTATCTACTGCACTAATTCAAAGCTATGGGATACGGCAGTAGGTAAAACCACTGCCTCTAGTGTCTACCTGCATGGATTCAAGTCCAATTTGAGTCCACTTTGTCCTGTACAATATTGGTCACCTTATTTAACTTATGTGAACCTAGATGGGACTCTTCCACTGTACCATGTGGATAATGACAGTACCTATCTAGTAGAATTATCATCTGGTTTAAAGAGATAATCCATGTAAATCATTTAGCACAGGGTTGGCCCATAGTAAGCACTTAACAAAACCTAGCTGCTACTATTTTATATAATGATCATCACTATTCTGACCATCAAATGGAATCAGCAAGACTACAATGGGTAAGGAAAGAGCCTTATTTTGAGAAGAAAAAAAGGTCTCCAAATTTTCAGAACGAGAAAAATAGTGGAAGAGAAAATATCCATGCTCCATCTCATTATTAAATATTGTACTAACATCCTCAAAGGAAAGTCTCATGCATTTCTTACAAATATGAAAAAAATCCTAGAGGAGAATTATACTGTCACCTTATGTCAGCATCCTACATTTAAAATAAATTAATAAAACAACTTAAAGAATTGTTTGCATCTAGGTTGCCAAAAGACCAATTTTTATTTTACTTATTTATTTGGCCAAGGGAGGCACAGGGTAGGAAAGAGCTGGATTTGTCAGTCAGGTTTATTGATCTCTCTAAGTGCATTATCAAGCTAAGATGTGTAGTCACCAACTAGCTGACTTGGCGAGCAAACCAAGTCCCAAGGGATTTCATTTTCACCTTAGAAAGCAGACTTTCAAAGTCAAGGTAATTCTGTTAGGCTTTCATACTGTATTCCTCCTTCAACTAAATCTAAGATATCACAGCATTAACTTACCAGTGGAAAAAAATGGGGATACAGTTTCTAAATTTTTAAATGTTATCTACTTACTAAGGCATGCTTCTTAGCCACAACAATTTTTTTAACCATTCCAGACAAAAAATACCTCCAAATCCACTTTGCAGTAACAAAACTCTATAATTAAATGTAGATTATTTTAACACAATCATGTAAAAAATAAATAAATAATTTTTAAAAAAGAAAATATTTGGACATTTCTGAACCAAATGTTGAAAGAGCCACAGTACAACTCTTTGTTTTGTTTCATCTTGCTTGAAGCTGTAGCTCAATTTGGAGAGTTCCTTAGTTACAGAGTAGTTTTTTTTTCGCTCCAAGTAGATATTCCATTTGCTTTTCTCGCACTCTCTTCTCCCAGGTAAAGTTGCCTTTCTCTGCATGTCCAGCACTTGAGAAATATGATTTCCTTTGTGAGATGAGTAGGTTGCAAAAATTTTCTCCAATTTTGTAGGTTGTCTGTTCACTCTGATGGTAGTTTCTTTTGCTGTGCAGAAGCTCTTTAGTTTAATTAGACCCCATTGTCAATTTTGGCTTTTGCTGCCATTGCTTTTGGTGTTTTAGACATGAAGTCCTTGCCCATGCCTATGTCCTGAATGGTCATGCCTAGGTTTTCTTCTAGGGTTTTTATGGTTTTAGGTCTAACGTTTAAGTCTTTAATCCATCTTGAATTGATTTTTGTATAAGGTGTAAGGAAGGGATCCAGTTTCAGCTTTCTACATATGGCTAGCCAGTTTTCCCAGCACCATTTATTAAATAGGGAATCCTTTCCCCATTGCTTGTTTTTCTCAGGTTTGTCAAAGATCAGATAGTTGTAGATATGCGGCATGATTTCTGAGGTCTCTGTTCTGTTCCATTGATCTATATCTCTGTTTTGGTACCAGTACCATGCTGTTTTGGTTACTGTAGCCTTGTAGTATAGTTTGAAGTCAGGTAGCATGATGCCTCCAGCTTTGTTCTTTTGGCTTAGGATTGACTTGGCGATGTGGGCTCTTTTTTGGTTCCATATGAACTTTAAAGTAGTTTTTTCTAATTCTGTGAAGAAAGTCATTTCCAGAATCTACAATGAACTCAAACAAATTTACAAGATAAAAACAAACAACGCCATCAAAAAGTGGGCGAAGGACATGAACAGACACTTCTCAAAAGAAGACATTTATGCAGCCAAAAAACACATGAAAAAATGCTCACCATCACTGGCCATCAGAGAAATGCAAATCAAAACCACAATGAGATACCATCTCACACCAGTTAGAATGGCAATCATTAAAAAGTCAGGAAACAACAGGTGCTGGAGAGGATGTGGAGAAATAGGAATACTTTTATACTGTTGGTGGGACTGTAAACTAGTTCAACCACTGTGGAAGTCAGTGTGGCGATTCCTCAGGAATCTAGAACTAGAAATACCATTTGACCCAGCCATCCCATTACTGGGTATATACCCAAAGGATTATAAATCATGCTGCTATAAAGACACATGCACACGTATGTTTATTGCGGCATTATTCACAATAGCAAAGACTTGGAACCAACCCAAATGTCCAACAATGATAGATTGGATTAAGAAAATGTGGCACATATACACCATGGAATACTATGCAGCCATAAAAAATGATGAGTTCATGTCCTTTGTAAGGACATGGATGAAATTGGAAATCATCATTCTCAGTAAACTACCGCAAGAACAAAAAACCAAACACCGCATATTCTCACTCATAGGTGGGAATTGAACAATGAGAACACATGGACACAGGAAGGGGAACATCACACTCTGGGGACTGTTGTGGGTCGGAGGTAGGCGGGAGGGATAGCATTGTGAGATATACCTAATGCTAGATGACGAGTTAGTGGGTGTAGCGCACCAGCATGGCACATGTATACATATGTAACTAACCTGCACATTGTGCACATGTACCCTAAAACTTAAAGTATAATAATAATAAATAAATAAATAAATAAATAAATAAATAAATAAAGTAGCTTACATTTCACTTCCAATAAAATTTCAAATGCTAGGAAAAAAATAAATAAAGTTCCTTGAGATTCAGAAAAAAAAAAGTCAGGAAACAACAGGTGCTGGAGAGGATGTGGAGAAATAGGAACACTTTTACACTGTTGGTGGGACTGTAAACTAGTTCAACCATCGTAGAAGTCAGTGTGGCGATTCCTCAGGGATCTAGAACTAGAAATACCATTTGACCCAGCCATCCCATTACTGGGTATATACCCAAAGGACTATAAATCATGCTGCTATAAAGACACATGCACACGTATGTTTATTGCAGCATTATTCACAATAGCAAAGACTTGGAACCAACCCAAATGTCCAACAATGATAGATTGGATTAAGAAAATGTGGCACATATACACCATGGAATACTATGCAGCCATAAAAAATGATGAGTTCATGTCCTTTGTAGGGACATGGATGAAAGTGGAAATCATCATTCTCAGTAAACTATCGCAAGAACAAAAAGCCAAACACCGCATATTCTCACTCATAGGTGGGAATTGAACAATGAGAACACATGGACACAAGAAGGGGAACATCACACTCTGGGGACTGTTGTGGGGTAGGGGTAGGCGGGAGGGATAGCACTGGGAGATATACCTAATGCTAGGTGACGAGTTAGTGGGTGCAGTGCACCAGCATGGCAGATGTATACATATGTAACTAACCTGCACATTGTGCACATGTACCCTAAAACTTAAAGTAAAATAGTAATAAAATAAAATAAAATTAAATTAAATTGAAAAAAAGAAATATGATTTCCTGTTGTTCTTTCTAAAATGATTTGGGACCTGGGCAGCTTCACTCTTGTACTTGACAAATAATCATTCTTGATTGAGAAACAGAAGAAAACTGAAAATACTTAAAACATTTAAAATATGAAGCCGCTCCACTGTGATACACAGTTGTGGAAACACAGGCATTTCATGAAAAAGTACTTCAGAGTAAAACCTGTGTGTAAGCAAGCAATATTTAGCCTTCATTTATCTCCCCTTCACCAAAATGGGGAGACAGAACACTTCAAAGAAGCAAGAAACCTGCTCTCCGGATTTCACAGCAGGTAGAAAGGGACACCTAATTAACCAGTGGCCTGTTCCTCTTGATGAAATGTGCATATCACACAGTCATGATTGAATGACACTCACATTAGCCCAAGGAAAAGTTCAGAAACTCCATGACCAGCTCAACATTAAGGGGGCAGGATCAAAGATGACTAACATTGAAGATTTCACATCAAAAGGAAGCAACCCTGAGAGAAAAATAAGCCCTCTTCTACACCTATCTTCTTAATGGGAAAAAATTTAGATGTGTCCCTAAAATTTTAAGAGCATTTAGCTCTTTTAGCAACAAAAATTCTATAAGTAATCAAAAAATAATGTATTGTGCAATTCAAATAAAGTAGAAAGGAAAGGCATTGATCTAATGTCTATAAAGTGCAGTAAGAGCACTTTCTATTTTTAATGGCACCTGTCACAATTTTATGAAATGCCCATAGTTTGTCTGAATCACATGAGGGGGATATACATGTGTGCCTTCTTAGACTTCATCTAAACCCATTTCAGAAGCAGAAGACAAAAGGCACGTCTTACATCGCAGCGGGCAAGTGAGAGAATGAGAGGCAAGCCAAACAGATTTCCCCTTACCAAACCATCAGATCTCATAAGACTTATTCACTACCATGAAAACAGGATGGGAGAAACCGCCCCATGATTCAATTATCTCCCACTGCATCCCTCCAACAACACATAGGAATTATGGGAGTACAATTCAAGATGAGATTTAGGTGGGGACACAGAGCCAAACTGTATAATTCCACCCCTGGTCCCTGCCAAATCTCATGTTCTCACATTTCAAAACCAATCATGCCTTCCCAACAGTCCCCCAAAGTCTTAACTCATTTCAGCATTAACTCAAAAGTCCACAGTTTAAAGTCTCATCTGAGACAACATAAGTCCGTTCCACCTATGAGCCTGTAAAATCAAAAGCGAATTAGTTAGTTCCTAGATATAGAGGGAGTACAGGCATTGGGTAAATATAAATACACCCATTCCATATGGGAGAAATTGGCCAAAACAAAGGGGCTCCCGGCCCCATGCAAGTTCTAAATCCAGCAGGGCAGTCAAATCTTAAAGATCCAAAATGATCTCCTTCGACTCCATGTCTCACATCCAGGTCACACTGATGCAAGAGGTGGGTTTCCATGGTTGTGGGCAGCTCCATCCCTGTGGCTTTGCAGGGTATAGCCCCCCTCGTGGCTGCTTTCATGGGCTGGTGTTGAGTGTCTGTGGCTTTTCCAGGCGCACAGTGCAAGCTGTCGGTGGAGCTACCATTCTGGGGTCTGGAGGACAGTAGCCCTCTTCTCACAGCTCCACTAGGTGGTACCCCAGCAGGGACTCTGTGTGGGGTTCCCAACCCTCATTTCCTTTCTGCACTGCCCTAGCAGAGATTCTCCATGAGGGCCCCACCCCTGCAGCAAACTTTTGCCTCAGCATCCAGGTGTTTCCATACATCTTCTGAAATCTAGATAGAGGTTTGCAAACCTCAATTCTTGACTTCTGTGCACCCACAAGCTCAATACCACGTGGAAGCTGCCAAGGCTTGAGGCTTCCACCCTCTGAAGCAACAGCCCAAGCTATACCTTGGCCCCTTTTAGTCATGGCTGGAGTGGCTGGGATGCAGGGTACCAAATTTCTAGACTGCACACAGCACAGGGACCCTGGGCTCAGCCCATGAAACTATTTTCTCTTAGGCCTCCAGGCCTGTGAGAAGAGGGGCTACTGTGAAGACCTCTGACGTGGCCTGGAGACATTTTACCCCATTGTTTGGGGATTAACATTTGACTCCTCCTTACTTATGCAAATTTTTGCAGCCAGCTTGAATTTCTCCTCAGAAAATGGGTTTTTCTTTTTCTATCACGTTGTCAGGCTGCAAATTTTTCAAACTTTTATGCTTTGCTTCCCTTATGAAACTGAATGCCTTTAATAACACCCAAGTCACTTCTTGGATGCTTTGCTGCTTAGAAATTTCTTCTGCTAGATACCCTAAATCATCTCTCTCAAATTCAAACTTCCACAAATCACTAGAGCAGGGGGAAAATGCCACCTGTCTCTGCTAAAACACCTATGCTCCAGTTCCCAACAAGTTCCTCATCTTCATCTGAGACCACTTCAGCCTGGATCTTATTGTCCATATCACTATCAGGCTTTTGGTCAAAGCCATTTGTGATGGTTAATACTGAGTGTCAACTTGGTTGGATTAAAGGATACAAAGTATTGATCCCGGGTGTGCTGTGAGGGTGTTGCTAAAGGAGATTAATATTTGAGTCAGTGCAGCTGGGAAAGACAGACCTACCTTTAATCTGAGTGGGCACAATCTAATCAGCTGCCAGTGCAGCTAGAATATAAGTAGTCAGAAAAATGTGAAAAGAGAGACTGGCTTAGCCTCCCAGCCTATGTCTTTCTCCCATCCTGGATGCTTTCTGCCCTCGAACATCGGACTCCAGGTTCTTCAGTTTTGGAACTCGGACTGGTTCTTCTTGCTCCTCAGCCTGCAGATGGACAGTTGTGGGACCTTGTGGTCATGTGAGTTAAAACTTAATAAACTCCCCTTTATATATATAAATATCTATTCCATTACTTCTAGAGAACCCTAATACACCATTAAACAAATCTCTGGGAGCTTCCAAACTTGCCCACATTTTTTTGTCTTCTTCTGAACCCTTCAAACTGTTCCGACCTCTGCCTGTTACCCAGTTCCAAAGTCACTTCCACATTTTCGGGTATCTTTTCAGCAGCACCCCACTCTACTGGTACCAATTTACTGTATTAGTTCATTTTCACACTGCTAATAAAGACATACCCAAGATTGGGCAATTCACAAAAGAGAGAGATTTAACTGGACTTATGGTTCCACATGGCTGAGGAGGCCTCACAATCATGGTGGAAGGCAAAAGGCACATCTTACATAGATGGCAGCAGGCGAGATAGAGAATGAGAGGCAAGCGAAATGGGTTTCCCCTTACCAAACCATCAGATCTCCTAAGACTTATTCACCTCCATGAGAACAGTATGGGAGAAACCATCCCCATGATTCAATTATCTCCCACTGCGTCCCTCCCATAACACATGGGAACTATGGGAGTACAATTCAAGATGAGATTTAGATGGGGACACAGAGCCAAACCATATCACCCCATTAGTGGGACCATCCAGTATACCACTCTGAACAGGCTGTGGCCAAAAGAATCTCTTGATCTTGTATAATTATACCACATTCATAGGTCAGAGTAATCCTAAATAGGTATACTTTTCTAGCAAGAAAATATTGACATTTTGCTACTTAAGACTACCCTTGTTTCATTGTAACTTACCAGTGCTAAGCTACACTTTCATTTCCCCAACAGGGATTCTTGAAGCTTGCAAGAGCATTGCAGCATGTTAAGGCAAAAATAGCTTTAAAATATTAAGAACCATATTCTGGGGTGAAAGATGAGACACAGATTTTGTGTCACAAGAAACGGACTAAACACTGCCTATCCCCACCAAGTGGGGAGAGAAGGAAAGACTAAAACTAGCATCTACTACTGTTTACTACATGCCAGACCCTAATTTTATGACATCATATGAATTTACTTTCCTCGAGCCCAGTACTAATAACTCCATCATCTTTTACTAATTGTGAAAAGAAAAAAATATCATGAAAGGTTTAAGTAAGATGCCTTACATTCTGTAGGTTGTCCATTCACTCTGATGGTAATTTCTTTTGCTGTGCAGAAGCTCTTCAGTTTAATTAGATCCCATTTGTCCATTTTGGCTTTTGTTGCCATTGCTTTTGGTGTTTTAGACATGAAGTCCTTGCCCATGCCTATGTCCTGAATGGTATTGCCTAGGTTTTCTTCTAGGGTTTTTACGGTTTTAGGTCTAACATTTACATCTTTAATCCATCTTGAATTAAGTTTTGTATAAGGTGTAAGGAAGGGATCCAGTTTCGGCTTTCTACAAATAGCTAGCCAGTTTTCCCAGCACCATTTATTAAATAGGGAATCCTTTCCCCATTGCTTGTTTTTCTCAGGTTTGTCAAAGATCAGATAGTTGTAGATATGCGGCATGATTTCTGAGGGCTCTGTTCTGTTCCATTGGTCTACATCTCTGTTTTGGTACCAGTACCATGCTGTTTTGGTTACTGTAGCCTTGTAGTATAGTTTGAAGTCAGGTAGCATGATGCCTCCAGCTTTGTTCTTTTGGCCTAGGATTGTCTTGGCAATGCGGGCTCTTTTTTGGTTCCATATGAACTGTAAAGTAGTTTTTTCCAATTCTGTGAAGAAAGGCATTGGTAGATTGATGGGGATGGCATTGAATCTATAAATTACCTTGGGCAGTATGGCCATTTTCACAATATTGATTCTTCCTATCCATGAGCATGGAATGTTCTTCCATTTGTTTGTGTCCTCTTTTATTTCGTTGAGCAGTGGTTTGTAGTTCTCCTTGAAGCGGTCCTTCACATCCCTTGTAAGTTGGATTCCTAGGTATTTTATTCTCTTTGAAGCAATTGTGAATGGGAGTTCACTCATGATTTGGCTCTCTGTTTGTCTGTTATTGGTGTAACAGAATGCTTGTGATTTTTGCACATTGATTTTGTATCCTGAGACTTTGCTGAAGTTGCTTATCAGCTTAAGGAGATTTTGGGCTGAGACAATGGGGTTTTATAAATATACAATCATGTCATCTGCAAACAGGGACAGTTTGATGTCCTCTTTTCCTAAATGAGTACCCTTTATTTCTTTCTCCTGCCTGATTGCCCTGGCCAGAATTTCCAACACTATGTTGAATAGGAATGGTGAGAGAGGGCATCCCCGTCTTGTGCCAGTTTTCAAAGGGAATGCTTCCAGTTTTTGCCCATTCAGTATGATGTTGGCTGTGGGTTTGTCATAAATAGCTCTTATCATTTTGAGATTTGTCCCATCAATACCTAATTTATTGAGAGTTTTTAGCATGAAGGGCGGTTGAATTTTATCGAAGGCCTTTTCTGCATCTATTGAGATAATCATGTGGTTTTTGTCTTTGGTTCTGTTTATATGCTGGATTACATTTATTGATTCGCGTATGTTGAACCAGCCTTGCATCCCAGGGATGAAGCCCACTTGATCATGGTGGATAAGCTTTTTGATGTGCTGCTGGATTTGGTTTGCCAGCATTTTATTGAGGATTTTTGCATCGATGTTCATCAGGGATATTGGTCTAAAATTCTATTTTCTTGTTGTGTCTCTGCCAGGCTTTGGTATCAGGATGATGCTGACCACAGAAAATGAGTTAGGGGGGATTCCCTCTTTTTCTATTGATTGGAATAGTTTCAGAAGGAATGGTACTAGCTCCTCCTTGTACCTCTGGTAGAATTCAGCTGTGAATCTGTCTGGTCCTGGACTTTTTTTTGTTGGTAGTCTATTAATTATTGCTTCAATTTCAGAGCCTGTTATTGGTCTATTCAGGGATTCAACCCAAATGTCCATCAGTGATAGACTGGATTAAGAAAATGTGGCATATATACACCATGGAATACTATGCAGCCATAAAAAAGGATGAGTTCATGTCCTCTGTAGGGACGTGGATGAAGCTGGAAACCACCATTCTGAGCAAACTACCGCAAGGACAAAAAACCAAACACTGTATGTTCTCACTCATAGGTAGGAATTGAACAATGAGAACACTTGGACACAGGAAGGGGAACATTACACACTGGTGCCTTTCGTGGGGTGGGAGGAGACGGGAGGGATAGCCTTAGGAGATATACCTAATGTAAATGACAAGTTAATGGTTGCAGCACACCAGCATGGCACATGTATACATATGTAACAAACCTGCACGTCGTGCACATGTACCCTAGAACTTAAAGTATAATAATAATAAAAAAAAGATGCCTTACAAATATCAACTACTAGTATCATAAGCTCTCTCAACTCACTATCTACACACAACCAGCTCTCAAGGCCGCCTTAGTTCTGCTATTCCTCTCCAGGAATGATGAGTAAAACAGCCAATTAGGCTCTTCCTGGAACACTTTCTATATCCGCAAAATGATCCAAGAATTTGAATTTTTATGTGCAACATTCAGACAATCTCTTGTGATCCTGGGAGACTGCTTCTGCTGGGGAGGTTGGCAGGAAAGAGATTCTTCAAAAAACAAAAAATTATAATCTACCTAAATATCTTGGAGAAAACTGACGAGAAAACTGGAGATGCACTCTGTTCCTTGTTTATTAGAATGACTTTCCATCCAACCCTCAATGGGATGTGGGAAATGAAGAAAATCTTCAGGGTAACTTGATCCAAAATATCTTTCACTAGGTCTCTTGTTAAACTCAGATTATCCTAAACTGTATCTGTTTTCCACTTCTTAAAACCTATACATTTGCAGTAACTTCTTTTTGTGAATTTTATTAGTTTATTTTTTTCACTTCAAAAGGCAAATGTCCCAGGCTAAATACCTGAGATTTTTAAGGAGCCAGAAAGTCAATAGCCTCAAAGAATCCATACCTAAGTAATACTTGTATCACAGAAGAGCAATATTTTGATGTTTGTACTCACAAACACATCTGTCAACACATCTAAGTGGTTTCCTAACATAATAAAACATGTACTTTAATGCAAGTTAAAGAAAAAAATTGTTCTATTAATATTTCCTAAATTAAATGCAAGTACAAATATCAGTTGGAGAAGTAACACATGCATATCTCAGAAGAAGTAACAAAGATACATGGTAAAAGTTAAGAAAATACATAACCTCAGGTGTGGACAAATCATGTTGAATGGCTCTGTGAACATTATTTAACCTCTTTGGAGCTCAGTCATGACCGGATACTAAAGGACAAAGATGTAGTATCACACATATCAATATACCTTAAGTGAGGACAAATATAAGCCCACATTTCCCAAAGTCTTATTATTTATTTTGAGATTCAAAAGTATTCCGGATTGCTCCACTGTTGGCATTAGGTTCTGAGGAATTTAGAAGAGAAGGAAAAGTAAAAATATTTCACTCTGTTACAATCAATGGCAACACTGTCTCCAGCAGTGCTGTCCAATAGAGATATAACTCACATGAGCTATTTTAAGTTTCCTAGAGGTCACATTAAAAAAAGAAGAAATCTTAATATGCTATATATAATCCAACATAGCCAAAACATTCTTTCAACATATAATCATACAAAAATTTTACTAATGAGATATCTTACATTTTTTATATTAAGTCCTCAAAATCCAATGGACATCTCCATTTGCACAAGCCACATTTCAAATGCTCCATAGCTCTTGTGATTATTGGCTATCATAATGAACAACACATACGTAGAACACTTTCACCATCTCAGAAAGTTCTATTGAACAGTGTAGCTCCTAGGAATTAAGAACTTAAAATTAAGAAAATAATTGCACCTAGTTTGAAAAGCATGGCCTGAGGGCCAGAAGCCAGCTCTTAGGTATCCTCAGCTCTTCCTATATGCCAGCCTCTGTGCCTAATAAGCTCATCAACTTATTGAAGCTCAAACTTTCCCATCTACAACCTGCACATCAAAAAAATAAAATGAGGGGCTCAAAACTGCTGATCCCCAAGGTAGCTCCCTTTCAGCTCTCACAGCATCTGGCACAACTGCTATGGAAATCTGCATGAACAGTATTAACTGACCTTAAAAGGAAGGCTCTTTTCAAAAGGAACACATAGACAGCATTTTGTATTTCAATGTTATCTCCATTGTATCTTAAGAGGAGCACAGAAACATTTGGCTTGAACTTAGCTTTTTCTTTCCCTTTCTGTTTATCAGTGTTTTCCCTGGCAGATATCGGCAGAGAGCCCAGGAGAAGTTCTCCCTTGAAGCTTATCCAGGAGTTTCCTGGTAGCACATTGCTATCACTTAGGAGTTCAAGGTCAAACCAACCAGCCTCTTTTCTCCTCCTTAAGTTGGCAAAAGAAATGACATCTTCCCAAAATGCTTATTATAAGAAGAAAATATATGGTTAAACCATTCAATTAACTCACAAATTTATGGAAGGCATGCCACCGTGTGTATCCAAATCTGGTGAATTCAAATGTGTATGTTCAGCCAGGAAAAAAATTCCTTTACAAAGACTGCCAACTACCCTACCCACCATTACACTCTGTGAGCATATGTGCCACAGAGGGAGCAACTGGTCTCATTTTCCTCAATATGTTAATATATTTTTGCCCTGAGTATTATCTGGTCTTTTAAATAAAATTATTTTTCATGCACATGGCCCCTAAACTCAGCCATGTACTTTATTGCCTAGTTAAGGGATTATTAAGAGTATTTTGACTGTACACAGTTTTTGCCTTTAGACTGGTATCTCCTACATGAGATGCAAATGTAAGTGCCAGATTTTATGTGATGTGTTATCCAAGATGACCCCTTGAAGCTGAAACTGTGGTAGGCAAGACAAAGGCATGTACACAGACAACTTCAAAATTTGGCAGAAAACCCTAGTATAATATACATTAGTTAAAAGGAAATATGAAACCCCAAAAAAGAAATAAATATTTCTGCCAGGTCAAGGGGAAAATATCATGGAAGTCCTTTTAAGAAGGTAAAATTTGTTATAGGTCCTCAAAGAGAAGGATTGCAAAGAACAGGAATAGGCTAAAGTAACTTTATGCCCCGAAGGAAATCACATAAATACATTCATGAAAATGAGAAGTTACAGTATTGCTGAAGAAATAGACACTATTCCAGTTTGACCAATATGTAGGAAGCATTAAAAGAAAAAGTGGGGAAATTAGTGTGGAAGTATAGCCTTCAACCTAATCCTAAAAAGCTTAGTCATGGTAGAATAAGGTGTGATTACAAGTCCCAATGTGCATAATGGCTCAAAAAAAATAAATATTTGTTTTTTATTCATGTAACTGTCCCCAGCAAAATTTCCTAAGTTTGGCAGGTGCCTCTCCTCCACATGGTGATTCAAGGACCTAGGCTCCTTCCTCTTCTGGTTCCACATCCTTAAGGGCAGGGGTGAGCAAATAAGTATGGCCTGGTTTTGTACCTCAGTGAGCTAAGAATGACTTTTATTTTTTTAAAGGTTGTAAAAAAAAATGAATAAAACTTAAAAAGGTTTGTATTGACAGAGACAATTCTGTAATATTCACTGCAAATATTTACCATCTGATTCTTTTCAGAAAAAGCTTGGCAACTCCTGCCTTAAGGCCTCATTGTCTTCCATATCTGGCAGACAAAAAGAAAAATAGCGTGAAGGGGCCTCAGTCCCTTCTTAAAAGCCTCACTCCAAAATGACACACATCACTTCTGCTTTTCTTCCATTGGCTGGAACTCAGTCACATGGTCACTGCAAATTTTAAAGAAGGCAGGGAAATGTATCCAGCTGTGTGTCTAGGAAGGAAAGGAAACTGGTTTTTGGTGAGGTTATCAGTCTCTGAATACCCTATTAATGGGTTTAGATTGTCTTCAAAAGACAATGAGGAACAAACCATGAGAGAATTCTGAAAACAGAATTGACAAGACAAAATTGTTTAAGAGCATCTCCTTACAATAGTAAATAAAGAGCTACCTGCAGGAAGCATAACTCAGTATCAAGTCACTGAGGCACTATCACAGACTTACGAGCACCTGGCAAACGGCCCAGAACAATTTTTAAAAGTCACCTATTTGTCAATTAAACTTCACCACAAGTCAATTAGCATGGTGATTTTTATGCTCCAGAGAGAACAGGCTATAATGAACAGTCAGGAGTTGTGAGGACTCACAATAACAGTAATTCTTTATGGGATGGTATGTGAAAAATATCAACAGCATAACATAAATTTTAAAATAAATTTCTTTCTGGCTGAGTGCAGTGGTTCATACCTGTAATCCCAGCACTTTGCGAGGCCAAGGCAGGCAGATCACAGGGTCAGGAGACTGAGACCATCCTGGCCAGGATGGTGAAACCCTGTCTCTACTGAAAATACAAAAAATCAGTTGGGCGTGGTGGCACGCGCCTATAGTCCCAGCTACTCAGGAAACTGAGGCAGGAGAATCGCTTGAACTCCAAAGGCAGAGGTTGCAGTGAGCCAAGATTGCGCCACTGCACTCTAGCCTGGCAACAGAGCAAGACGCCATCTCAATAAATAAATAAATAAATAAATTTCTGTATAGAAGGATAGTGCTGATACTAGTGGAAACACAGGAAACTTATAGGGACCTGGAAGTTTAAAACCAAACTTTTTCTTCACTCTGTTATGAAATAAACAAGCTTTGAAATCAGAATGACCTCAGTTCTAATGCTGATTCTGAAACTAGCTGTGTGAGTAGAAAAATCACTTAGTGTCTTTGATTTTTTCATTTCATCATCAGTAAAGTAGAGATTTTAAAAAGAAAATTGTTCTTGCAAACTGTTATAAGGTTTAATAATGATATACATAAGACAGCTGACCCAGTGCCTGGCACAGAATAAACCCTCAAAAAATTTTAACTACTATCATTACTATTGTCATTATTATGCCTATTTAAAGCCTCTTTTGAACAAAAACAAAGTCATTTGTATCCTAAAATGACTTGCAAATAACACATAATTAACAAACACACTAAAATATGTGGTTATAACTTGCTTTTTCATTTCAAATTTATAAGAGAGGAAGCAGAAGTTCAAAAAGCAATTTCCTTAATTAAAAAGAATCTGATGTTTAATTCACAAACAAGGTTTTATAGCCATTAAACTGGAACCAGTCCATTACTTATACACCTTTGTGGTTTTTTCAAAACACTTTACCTTTAAACACTTTGAACCTAATGGATCCTGGATGAAGGTGCAGGTAGAGTCATTTCCCGTGATGAAATACCTGCATTAGTCACGAGCCATTATTTAGTAAAGACAGGAAATAAACAAAGATGCATATGAAACAAAATTATTCTGTGACCTCCACCTGAGGCTTTTTGCTTTGTGACAAAATCAAATAATCGACTTATTTAAAAATTATGTATTATTAACTTTCTAATTGAGGCATCTGGTAGACATTTCGTGAAGATTTTTTGCTATTTAATTAATTAAGGGTGGATGTGGTCCTGTGGTTTGTAACTATTCTTAAAGATCTCTGTCATCTTCTTTTAAAGCTGAGATGCCCACCTTAAGTTGGGTTCCCTCAGAAGCAAACAGGCCTGAGGCAAGAATTTGAATGCAAATAGTTTTTTCAATGGCTACCCCAAGAAGAACCGGAAGGAAAGCCAGGAAGCAAGATGGGAAAAGGAAAAAAAAAGAAATTCACCAAATTTTGATGAGCAAGTTACAACTTTAGGAAAGTAGGGCTCAATCTCGCTGGGAATCTCTGGGAAACAGTAGAGAACATGCCTCGGGGTTGTTCCACCTGAGGGGAACCAGGGTATTTATCAATTGGCTCCTATTTGCTGCAGGTTGAAGGCTACACCTGAGCGTGTTAATACTCTGGCACTCTATCTAGCCTGCCTACGTAGGCCGAGAACACTCCTACAGCCAGAGAAAGCCTCCTGGTGGTACCAAGGAGGTATAGGTGAGGCACAGACAATGTCTGCTGAAATAGCCAAGGAGAAGGGTCTGTGGGCCAAGTGTTACCATCATCACTGATACTTTACCCAAGAGGAAATATTTTACTTCTACCCTAAAGCATACTAGAAATTCTGATTGCCCTCTGTATCAGGGTTCTCCAGAGAAACAGAGCCAATAGGATGTATATATTAAAAACAGGTTTATTTTAAGAAATCGGCTTATGTGATTATGGAGTCTGACAAGTCCCAAGATCCATGGGGTGAGCTGGCAAGCTGCAGGCCCAGAAGAACCAGTGGCGTAGTTCCAGTCAGAAGGTGGCAGGCTC
The DNA here is from genome assembly GCF_000001405.40 of Homo sapiens. NCBI lineage: Eukaryota > Metazoa > Chordata > Mammalia > Primates > Hominidae > Homo > Homo sapiens. The sequence goes on from NC_000003.12 coordinate 22,862,669, forward strand.
AAGACCCAATAAGAACTTACGTTGCAGTTGGAGTCTAAGGTCAGCAGGAAAAAAAGCTGATGTTTCAGTTCAAAGGCCATCAGGCAGGAAGAATTCTCCCTCACTTGAGGGTTGGTCAGCCTTTTTGTTCTACTTGGGCTTTCAACTGACTGGATGAGACCTACCCAAATATGGAAGGGCAATCTCCTTTATTCAGTCTACTGATTTAAATGGCAATCTCATCCCAAAACACCATCACAGAAACATCCAGAATAACGTTTGACCAAATATTAACAATATTGACAATTAACACTTAAAACTAACCATCACACCCCTTTAGTGAATGGAGCAATCAGTGTTTTTCAGATTGAGAACTCAAAATACTTAAACTGCTTCATGCTTTCACATGAGACAAAAACTAAACCAAGGGAGACAAATACAAAAGAGAATGTCCAAACTTGTCCCCACTGATGAAAACAATAGCTGTATTTTGTGCTCAAATCTGTCAGTCACATATTCAGCCCTGCTGGCCTTTGGGTCAGGTATCACAGATCTGCAGGCATGGATGCTCACTTCAAGGAGCCCTGGATGAACAACCGTGGGAAGGGAGATCAAAGTGCACACATCCTTTCCTTACGATATGAAAGAGAAGTTTCCATAATGAAGCAAGAAATGCAGAGGCCAGCCTGCTTTGCAGATAAACCATTTCAGAATCAGTGTCCTAAATAACCCTGAAATTTGAATTCCCAAAAACATATTAAGTGATACTTCCAAATCTAGTTAATGACTGATGTTTTTCCTGTTCTGAATCAATAAGATTTTACTTTTCTAAACATTAACTGTTCTACCACAATAATCTCTGATACTCCTTGTTAAAACCTAAAGGTCAAAGGAATCAAATCATGACTCCTCACCTTTAAGGAGTATATTCTTAGTGAAAAGCAAAATGAATGAGCAGTTGCTTCTCTGCTTTGGATAGATGTATGTCAGCAACCACACCACCCCATGGAAAATTTCACAAGCTACATGTGATAAATATACAGTATGTCACTTGTGATTATGGTGTGTTTTAATAATAAAAACTAATATATTTTGTAACACAAATAATATTTTTGTCCAAAAAGAAGATGTGATTTTTTGCAGGGAGGGAGGAATTTGGAGTTTTTAGGGTTTTTTAAAATTGTTATTATTATTATTATTATTACCTAGTTGTCAGATAAGAAGAAGAAATTACCCAGACACTCTTGCGGGCCCTGGGGATATAAGAGAAAATAAAACAGATAAAAAAAAATCCATGTTCTCATGGAATTTGCATCCAGGAGTAAGGGAGAGGAGATAGAAGAAAATAACTAAAATATAAATAAGCGCTTGAGAAAGGTAAAACAGTGAGGGGAACAGCAGGAGAGGACCTGCTAAGTCCAGGGGAGGCTGGCTGGCCAGGGACCTGGAGCAAACACTTTGAAGGCAGGGGGAACAGCGAGTGCAAAGGCCCTGAGGAGCAATATGCCTGGCTGGTCAAGAACCAGGAAAGAGGCCAGCGTGACCCGGTCGGGATGAACCAGGGAGAGAGCAATAGTTAGTGAGGTCAACTGGGGTGAGGGGCAGTGGCCATTTCATGTCAGGCCTTCCAAGCCATCATAAGGACCTTGGCTTTTACCCCAGCTAAAATTAGGCACAGATTCCAGCAGAGATATGTCTTATGTTTGAACAGGATCTGTTGGTGGCTGTGCCGAAAGCAGAGTCATGAAGGGCAAAGGAAGCAGCAGGGAGACCAATAAGGAGGCTAGGGAAGTGACCCAGCCAGGGGAAGACAGCGCTTGACTCCAGGGTGATAACAGTGCATTTGGTGAAAATAGTGAAATTCTAGATATATTTTAAAGCTGAAGGCAATATAACTTGCTGGCAGAACCAAGGTAGTAGGTAAAGTAAATACAGGACTCATAGGCCCTCTAAAATTGTAGGTTGAGCAACTGGAAGAAGGTGTATGCCATCTACTGATATAGGGAGGTCTAGGGAAGGAGGAAGTTCCAACTCAGGCAGGAACATATTAGTTATGGGGCTTTTATTAATTGTTTGAGTAGAAAATCAAGCCAATTAGTCAGATGTACGGGTCTAGAGATCAGAGGAGGGGTCTGTATTGCAGATATGATCTGAGGAGTGACCTCTGTAGAGATGGTATCTAAGGCTGAAAAAGGTTGAGGTCACCAAAAAAGAACACTTACAGACGAAAAAAAAAAAGCAATTTGGATAGAAAAAAGTTACTGAAAACAGTGTGTGACTGAAAAAGCATCACTTTTCCACTTTACATTCACCTTTAGTTATTAGAAAGAGACTTTGGAAAAACAAAATAGACATAAAAGCTCAATGAAGGGCTGGGTGCGGTAGCTCACGCCTGTAATCCCAGCACTTTGGGAGGCCAAGGCGGGCAGATCATGAGGTCAGGAGATCGAGACCATCCTGGCTAACACGGTGAAACCCCGTCTCTACTAAAAACACAAAAAAATTGGCCAGGTGTGGTGGCAGGCACCTGTAGTCCCAGCTACTCAGGAGGCTGAGGCAGGAGAATGGCGTGAACCTGGGAGGCAGAGCTTGCAGTGAGCCAAGATCGTGCCACTGCACTCCAGCCTAGGTGACAGAGGGAGACTCTGTCTTAAAAAAAAAAAAAAAGCCTCAATGAATGAAATTTAAATCACCCATAATCCTCTCTACCCAGAGACACATACTATCATAATTTGGGATATTTTCATAATTAAGATAATACTTCGGCTGGGCACAGTGGCTCACTCCTGTAATCCTAGCACTTTGGGAGGCTGAGGCAGACAGTTCACCTGAGGTCAGCAATTCAAGACCAGCCTGACCAACATGGAGAAACCCTGTCTCTACTGAAAATACAAAATTAGCCGGACATGGTGGCGCATGCCTGTAATCCCAGCTGCTCGGGAGGCTGAGGCAGGAGAATTGCTTGAACCTGGGAGGCAGAGGTTGTGGTGAGCCGAGATCATGCCATTGCACTCCAGCCTGGGCAACTAGAGCAAAACTCCATCTCAAAAAAAAAAAAAAAAAAAAAAAAAATATATATATATATATATATATATAATACTTCACAAGTATATTGTAACCTGCTTTTTTTAATAATAGATCATAAACATTTCCTAAAGTAAACTATATACGAATATCCCATTATTCAATTAACCAGCTCCTCTTGATGTTGGACCTTTAGAGTATTTTCAGTTTGTCACTATTATGCATAACACTGCAATCTTGTTTATGCAAATAAATCTGTTTATGAATTTCTGATGTTTTCCTTATGACACTCCTATAAGCAGAATTTCTTAGTTGAATGGGGTGTACATTTTAATGGTTTCTGATATACAGTGCTGAATTGCTCTCAAGAAAGGTTGCACTAATTCACACTCATAGAATTCCTTTTTCCTACCCCCTTGCGCTAAGAAGGTAGTCAAATATTTAGCTTTGTAAACTTGAAAGATTAAAAATGGCATTCCATGGCCAAGCGCAGTGGCTCACACACTTTTGGAGGCTGAGGCGGGCGGATCACTTGAGGTCAGGAGTTCAAGACCAGCCTGGCCAACATGGTGAAACCCCATCTCTACTAAAAATACAAAAATTAGCTGGAAATTGCTTGTACCCGGGAGGCAGAGGTTGCAGTGAGCCAAGATTGTGCCATTGCACTCCAGCCTGGGCAACAGAGTGAGACTTCATCTCAAAAAAACAAAAAGGCATTTCAATATTTCAATGCTATTTTATTCTTTATTTCTAGAGAAGTTAAAGAAATTTCATATTTTATGGGCTCTAAATTTACCTTTCTATGAATTACTTTGCTTATATAAATTACTTGCTCATATCCTTTGTCCATTTTTCTAAGGAAGTGTTAATCTTTTTCTTACTGGCTTATAAATATGTTAATGATAAAAAGTTCATTTTTGTTTTGGTTTTCTGAATTATTTTATGAAAAAAAAGGAAAGAAAAAAAATCAAGGTTTCTTCCAGATTCTGATATAAACACCAGAAAGTATAATGTTATACCCCAAACTCAGTCTAAATTGAAGTGCCAGGAGCTCTAAGATAGTGTTTCTCAAAAGGTGATTCTTAGAGTACCTGAACCAACATTTCCTAGGAACCTTGTTTAAAAATGTAGATTTCTGGATACCAACACAAACCTACGAAATGAAAATTGCAGGGAAGAGGGCACATTGAAAATTTGCTTCTTTGACAAGTATTTCAGATGAAGTATTTTGCACAATAAAGTTGGGAAGCCACTTGCAGCAGGTAGAAGGGGTACTAGAACTAGCTCTCAGAACTTTAAGACCATTAATTAAGTTAGAGGTCAACTGCATCAGGGCCTGTAATGCTGCTCTGGACTAATTCACCTTAGGGACCTTCTCAGAATCCACAGTATTAGCCAGGAATGGGGAGTGACCTAATGAATATTATGGTAGCCCCTGCCATTATATAACAAGTTATACAAGCACTTACTCTAGCTACAGAGGTGATGCACAAATCTTCACACAGCACCAGAAAGACCGTTTGGAACACAATCAAACATGCCAAGAAGCAAGCAGTATCGTGTTTAAAACACAAGTTACTCCTGCAAATTTCCCCAGAATCTATAGATAACTAGGACAAATGCCATTTTCCTCCCTAATACAATATACCACAAATTATTTTTAATTAAAAAAATGCCAGACATCGTTTTTGCCCTGACTCATAATTTCATGTCCCACCTTTTTTTCTGAGGTCATTTCTGCAGCAACCAACTGTGGGCAAGGAATCTTCGACAACACTCCTTCTGGCACGGCTTTGCTATGAGAGATGCTTGCCAGAGGCTGCCAAAAGAAACTTGAAAACACAGGAGTTAACTCTCATAAGGAAGTGGTTCTTAAAGTGTGACCCCTGAACTAACAGCCTCAGCATCACTTTAGAACTTGCGAGAAATGCACATCTCCAGCCCTAGGTCAGCCCTACTGAATCAGAAACTCCAAGGCAGGATCAGCAATCTGTGGCTTCACAAGCTCTGCAGATGATCGGATGGACTAAGGTGGAGATCCAAGAGGTGCAGCAGAGTCACCCGGAGGTGAAAGCAGAGTGCTGCCCCCACCCCCTCCTTAGGGCTTTGATTTGCAGGCCTGGGGTAACACCCAAAAATCTGCATTTTCAAAAGGTTCCCGGGTGATTCCCATGCTGCTGGTCTAAGACCACATTTTGAGAAAACCTGGCCTGGGAAAACCATTAGCCAGTGCAGACCAGGCATTGGGTAGGCAGGTGGGCAAATGAGTCTGTCTTCCACTTCTCAGTGAACAGTCATGAGACACAGTCTATCAGATTCCTGCAAGGTCCTAATACAGTTGAATTCGGATTGCCCCCAGCAGTAACCAGTTTAATCACATGCCCTTAGTATGGCTCTACTTCCTTCTGTTTCACTTTTCCAAGCCCCATGCTCCAATTCCCTAGGGTCACTTCCCAAAATCAACAACCTCCACTAGTTCTTGTCTCATGTTCTGCTTTTTGGAGGATCTGATGCTGAACAGAACCTATTTCATAAACCTCAGCCCACAAGCTTACTATCCCACAGATTTCAATCCATCTTGTGAGGCCCACTTGCTCAGTGTGCAGCTCGCTCCCCTTTTAATTCAACAAGTCCTCACATTCATTTTCTTTGTTTTTTCTGATACTCAGTAAGAGCATCCCATCTTCTGCCAGAACCACCCTTCATTGTGCCTCGAGAGTATTTTTTTTCTGTTTTTATTCCAAAATGAACACCTTCTATCCTAAATATTCCTCAAAAGCAATACCCATGGCAGGATCATGTGAACATGCCACCAAAATATAGTGTCCTATGACATGTGATGGCCATGGGGCTGCTGATTAAGAAGACAGCAAAACCCTAAGTTTCACCGGCGAACTCCTTGTCCCCAGATATCCTCATCTCCTAGGATTCCAAGAAGAGCCCTTGGATAGGATTCGGAAACAAAATGAATTTTAATTAAACCAAGGTCTTCTATGGCCAAGAATAAAATGCACGAGTATCGTCAAAAAGAAAAACAACAGAAAGGTTGCCACAGCTGAAAAGGGAAAACCAAGCAGAAGTGTTTCCCCTACCAGGCCTGCTGAGAACTTTTACAGCCTACTTTAAAACTGTTCAGATGAAAGACACAGATCAGAAAAAAGTCTTCAAGTATATTTCTCTTTTCTTCCTCTAGCCAGATTGTTTTTTTAAAACACAGTGTAGTGAAAGAAATAAGATTAATCAAAAAGAGTTGCTGGGAAGAAAAATAATAAAGTTCGTAGGTTGTTGTTGTTTAGTACAAAACAAAAAAAGAGATTGTGCTATAAAACAGAGGCCTGGTTGCTGCAGGGTGGGGGTTTGGGTGCAGGGGAAGACGTTCAGGAAGGCTAAATACGAACAGGAGACTGTACCTGTTGGGAGGAGAATATACTCAGTAATTTATAGAGTCCTGATGTGAGATAAGTCATCTTACTTTTGATGTGGTTTGTGCCTAACTCATTTATTACGAAAAATGATTGGAAACCCAGAGCATTTGATTTATTTATCTAGCAACTGGCTAAAGCCCAAAACTAACCCAGAGAGCAAACAGCAATAAGAAAGCCATCTATCTTCTTGAATTAAACACTTGCTACCAAATCATAAAAATTTGTCCTTTATCCAATCTATGTCCAAGATCAATCATAAAAGGTCATGCCTTGGGAATAAGGTGACTTGAAGCTTTCAACTAAATTTCTAGGCTTCTGTGAATTTGAGCTTCAACCTTCAAAGACAGCAGGGCATGGAGTTTGGCAGCAAACGATCCAATCATCTTAAATGCTGATGTAAAAATTGTGATTCGCTTGATTTAAAACACTGTTTTACTGTGAATGTTTCAAGTTTTGTTTGGATTCTGGTTTTTAATACCTACTGATAAGTATGCAGAAAGAGATACTTTGGGACTTTTATTGCCATATTGCCTATTACTGCTTCTGTGTTTAAAAAATCTGCTTATTGCGAGCAGGGTACAGTCATTTTATGCATATTGGGTTTAATTTTCTACTAAGCAAATAAAAATGCCTTCATGTAATTTACAGATCTTCTTTTTCTCAAATATTGTATGTGTACTTTGATTTCTAGTGCTGTCTGAATGACCCCATGCTGAAAGGATTTCATTTTGCATTTCCAAAATATATATACAGAACCCATTAAAGGAAAGAAATGTAAGCCACAATTTATATAGGAAAGAAAATGCTCCAATCATAACCCAATGATTTTATATAACCAATATGTTCCTCTATGACTACAAAATGAGGTCACATTTTCTTTTGTATAGTCAAACTATTATACCAAAGTTCTTTCCTGATTGCTAGAAGCTGGCTACCACTCACACTGTCTTCCCCAGATGATCTTCAGCTGTTTCTGAGACTGTCCCAGGACACAACCTGTGCGTTCAGAAACAAACCCTCCATCCTAATTCTCCCCTCTTCTACTGTCTTTGTCATTCAGCCTCTACTGCCAATGACCTGCTATATATCAGCAATCCACACGACATGGCTGTCCTCTGCTACTGCCAATGACCTGCTATATATCAGCAATCCACACGACATGGCTGTCCTCTGCTACCTACTGCTGCTAAGACCAGCCCTCCGGCCTTATCTCAGGGGACCCTGGCTTTCCTGTCCTGCTCCATAGCAAGCATAGGCAAAGGCTTCTGTTGAACTCTGCAAAATGTCAAGAGACAGTTCATTAATAAAACAAAGCTAAGTTTATTCCAGCTCACTACAGTAAGGGAGAACATCATCTTAACGGAAGTAGAGTATTTACAGGGATTGGAGTCTGGTCTAAAGGGGTTTAAGGCCCGTCCCTCAAGGTGTGAAACTGGGATTGGGCAAAGTCTGTGACCTAATAGTTTAGGACTGGTGGATACAGAGGTGAGAGTCTGGAAGCAAATCTTGATAACTCAATTGTTGTTTGATAAGTGAGCTGTTTGCCCTCATAACCACACAGCTGGTTCTGATAAATTGATCAGGAATTTTCCGAAGCAAACAGGTTATTTATTGGTGCAATATCTTATCATTCCTAGACAAAGGTCTCCTGGAACAAATAACTAAGTCATGTTAACATAGGTGGACTAGCACCGTATCATGTCTTGTTGACACCTCAGTGTTGCCTCTCAGTGTTGCCTCTTCTGTTTGACAGGCCCAGACCCCAACTAAGTTCTGAAAACTAGCTTCCTGCCCTACTCCATATCTGTCTCACCAGACGCGAGGCAGACCATTCCCTTCCATCAAAGCCTTTCAGAACCCCAGAATTAGCCAACTCATTCTCATCCTTGTTTAAAAAAGAGAAAAAGACAAAACATTTCCCCTTCCTCCTCTTCCAGACTATGGCCAGCCTCCCTTACATCCTTGTTTCTTGCTGAAACTTAACCCAGACTTGCAGTGGGGAACCTCTGACTTCCAATAAGGATATGCTCTGGCTCTGGCCCTAGAGCCCAATAAAAGGGACACATTGATAGACTTCTCAAGTCCCACGTCACTTGATCTTTTTCATGGTCCCTTTTTAACCTACGAAGTTTTCTATTTTCCAGAAAGTACACCTAACACACATGCCTTATGCATCTATGGTTATATTTTTACCCAGCAATGATTTTCCTTTAAACCATCAAAGCAGAGACTTATGCTAACTGTGGAGACAATGAGAAAATGGTCCCTTCTACTCTGCAATTTAAATTTTTATTCTAGATAAACTGTTAATTTTTTTAACTTCTCATCTTTATAAGTAGCTTAAAACAAAAGAAGGTTAGTACAAATAAATATATAGAAACATAAACTGAGAAAATGAATGCTGGGCAATACATGATTTCATTCACCTGCTGCTTTTTTTTTTTTTTTTTTTTTTTTGAGATGGAGTCACTCTGTCGCCCAGGCTGGAGTGCAGTAGTGTGAGATCTCAGCTAACTGCAGCCTCCATCTCCCAGGCTCAAGAGATTCTCCTGCCTCAGCCTCCTGGGTAGCTGGGATGAGAGTTACCCACCATCATATCCAGCTAATTTTTGTATTTTTGTAAAGACAGGGTTTCACCATGTTGACCAGGCTGGTCTTGAACTCCTGACCTCAGGTGATCCACCTGCCTTGGCCTCCCAAAGTGCTGGGATTATAGGCATGAGCCACTGCACCTGGCCTGCTGCTTTTTTAAAAAAATCCATTTAAGGAAATTGTCTATCCCTAAGCTACAGCGTTGACATGCAATATAAATAAATATGAGATGCTCCCAGTTGATGCCTTCCGTTAGTACCTTAAACCTAAATACAATGACAAAGCCATCCGTCTCTGGGTTATAAATTCCGGAACCACAAAAGCACTAAGGTCCACCAAACATTCTACTTCATTAGGCAAATGCTTAAAATTCCAACATCAAGAGAAAATCGGGGTATCTTACAATTAATTCTACAATAAGTACTCTCCTGGGGAAAAAAATCGAAACAATATTAGGAAAATTGAAAGTATACATGGTCTGGGATAAGTTAATTACCTTATTTGAGTCTATGAGTTCATTGAGGGCAGAGCCTGTCCCCAGCACAAAACACAATATAATTGTTAAATAAGCATTTGACAATTGACTAGCTGTTTGAATGAACCAATGAATTAATGAGTTAATGAATAACTTGCAAGTAATTCTCTTGGGGCTCAGCACTCTGAATCTGGCCTAAAGATCCTGGACTGCAATCAAGTAGAAGTACATCAAGAAAAATAATCCTTTATTTTGAAAACTTTGCTGATACACCAAATCGACATGAATTTCTAAGCTCCACAGGACAGTTACAGGACAAAAAATGAATCTAGAAATACTAGGGTATACCAAGATATCAACAGATCCTAAAGCAAGCCACTGGCAGGCGTCAGGATCAAGGGAAGGGCTAAAAGATGGAGAAAAGTTGGAGTCAACCCACTGGGCTGAAACAGTGCCTCCCTTGGGAAGAACAGTTAATCCAGACTGAGTTAGGCCTGCAGACACTGGTAATACCTTGCTGGATGATGCACACTACAGCGTGCTACAGAACTCTGTACTCTTGCTTTTCAGCAACTGTTTTTTGACTATTGTGGGAGGTGGAGAGAGAATACTGAAATGTCAAAGCTTCCAAGTGTCCAACAAGTACCCAGCTACCAAAGGGAGAAATTCTTCCAAGCGTTTGCATGGAGGTTCCAGCCAATAAGTATGAAGATCAAGATCCCTGGAAAATAATCAGACCCTTATGTCCCAAGTATCTCTAATATAAGAGTCACATCTGCAAATGTTGCATGCTCATTAATTCTGACTTTAATGGAATTAATATCTTAGAATTGTCCCTAATCAAAACCTAAGCTTCAAGGTGAAGACATTTCAGATTCTGTTTAAAATCTGATCCTAACAATCCTCATAGTAGCAACTCTTGTTTGAACCTTGTATATTTCTCACAAAACCAGTAATAGAATAACTTCTATTCACAATTATAATTTCTAATAACAAGGCCAGGTCTCTGAGTATTAATCTCGATGTTCTTTCCCTTCGTCCCCCAACCCCTCTCTCTAGGGCAATGATTTCCAACCTTGGCAGCACAGCAGTAACATCTGGAAAGTTGCCTCTAAAAAGTACTCATTTCTGGGTCCCACACACTGATCTTCTGGTTTAATTGGCCTACTGATGGAACACATATGTCAAAAAATGCTTAGGTGATTCTAATGTGCAACCAGAATTGAAAAGAAGTGGCCTAGGCCCATGTTCTCTCCCTGAGCACACAAAGAGCCTGAAACAAAAATTCAAAAGAAATGACCCATCTAAGAGCAAAACGAAGGCTTGGCTTTAGGACCAGCTTTTCCCTCCAGTGAGATGAAAGGCTAGGCTGGAGAAAAGAAGCAAGATGAGGACAAGAGTATGAGCAGTACAGGTGTATAAGTCCATTTTCACACTGCTATAAGGAACTATCTGAGACTGGGTAATTTATAAAGAAAGGAGGTTTAATTGACTCACAGCTCCACATGGCTGGAGAGGCTTCAGGAAACTTACAATCATGGCAGAAGGTGAAGGAGAAGCAAGCACCTTCTTCACAAGCCGGCAGGAGGGAGAGAGAACAAGCGGGGAAGTGCCGCACTTTAAAACCCTCAGATCTCGTGAGAACTCACTCACTATCATGAGAACAGCAAGTGGGAAGTCCATCCCCATGATCCGATCACCTCTCACCAAGTCCCTTCCTCAATACATGAGGATCACAATTTGAGATGAGTTTTGGGTGGGGACACAGAACCAAACCATATCAATAGAACATCCTTGAAGTGGGAAGAAGAAGGGGAGCTTCTGTTGCAGAGGACCTAAAAGAGGTATGGAGGGTCTTCCAAGGCCAGCCTGGCCTTCAGCGTGGACACTTCTCTCCTATCATCCCCCATGTACCACTGGGGATCAACTTGGCCCAAGGGCACCAGATGCTCATAAGCTCTCCAGGCAGCAAATACTCTGTGTTAAGATGTGGGCATGAGGGGATAACCCAGTTCTGACTAAAGTGGAACTTGAGAGGACTGGTGAGAAATTTCCCTGTGGGATCACTCTGGCTTGTTATATTTCTTTGTTTGTATCAATTACCCTCACTGCCCTAACCTTAAAGGGAGCTTCACAGGGAGGATAAACCATTTTCAGCATCCACAACCTCCATATTATTTCAAGGATTTATATCCCATATTCTTCCCCCAACCAAATATGTTGTTTAGTGATTGAGTCTGTTTGAAAAAAAGAAAACTAGACATGCTTAATCATATGGTTTTATACGGTAGCTACTAATGTCAGAACAGAATTTTAGATTACCATGGATTAATTAGTTCAGGCCCATTGCAACCCAGGGATATTTTTGCAACATCTAATCCATTTCTAAAACTGTGTTGAACTCTGAGTCAAGTTTCAGATACTGAAAGACTCTATTTCATTATTTTAAATAGGAAAAGAATGTATTCCCAACCCATCCAAAATCCCTGACATATTGCCCCAAATATCGCTAAAACCCTTGAACACCTATAAACAGTCCACCAAAGATTTCTACAGAATGCAAACATTTAAAACACCAATTACTGAATTATTGAACACTTACTGAACTCATTAGTGAGTACGTTTGTGTATAATACTCAATGGTTCTAAACAATATTAGATGTAAAATACATATTTTTTCTAGTCTGCCACAAACATGTATTTACTATATGTAAATAAGCAATATAATAAAGATACTAAAAAATACCAGAGCTACTATCTAAATTGGATGAAGTTGGGGTAGTTTGGGGAAGGGCATGGGAGGTGCCAGGGGAAAGGGAAGGTAGTAAAGGGCACAATATCAAGCAAAGCTCCACAGAGGGTAACTTGGAGTCAACGCCACAGGGACATTCAGAGATCATGTGGGTCATACTTCAGAGGTGCTCCAACAGAGAGTAAGGAGACTGAAGTATTTTCCCACCCCACCTATCCATCCTTGGTTAAAGGCTGCCTTAGAGGTAAAAGATTCTAGTTCTTTGAGAACAAGAACTAGAGAAGGAGCCACAAGATCTGTGTCCTTCTCCTACTTCTTCCACCTGCAGGCCATAAGACCTGTGGCAAGCCAATTTGCTCTGTTCTACCTCAGTTTTCTCACATTAGAAACACCACCACTCGCTCTGCCTTTGTCAAGAGCAGTTGCAAGGATTAGAAGTTAGCATGTATGAGAATTGTGTCATAATACAAAAAATGCAATTTGTTGCCGTTCACCATCAATAAGACATGTCTTTGATATGTTTTCCCATTCTGGTATATTTTGGGCCAAACTCTGTGGTGAGTTATTAAATATTAAAAGACTTAGCATTTACCCTCAGGGGGATTTCAAGGAGACAGACATTATAAATTCGTCTGTACAACATATAAATAAATTATTACAGGCAAAACAAACTAGAAACATCTAACAATATAGAACCAATTTCTTTGCAAAGCTATAGAACTTTTATTCACATACAGCCAATATTTACTGAGCATCTCCTATAGCAGCTACTGTTCCAAGCATTGGAACGCAGCAGTAAATAAAAGAAACCAAAAAGTACAGTACAACTGGAAGTTGCCCATTTGCCAGAAGGCCTGCCAGTTCAGAGAACAGCTGATTAATAAGCCACTTTTGAGTGACCACTTGACACCCCAGGCCACATGGGTTGATTTTTGTAAATGTAAAATTTTGCATGGCTGTGACTTTCCCAATAGTTTGTTTATGCTTGTTTTTCTGATTCCCTCAAACCAAAGCCGTCTTGGTATCTTGTGTTAAGGTATGCCTGCTTCCAAAGGCTTTAATTGGGCCTGAATAAGTGGTGATCTCAACTGGGACCACTTGTTCACATAAACAAGAATACATCAGTGCAGTTTAGCAGATCTGAACACAGAAGTTTTTACACATTTATGAGCACCCACGAGGAGGTTTATAGGAGGTATCACAGACAAGTAGACTAAAAGAACTGTCAAGCAGACATCCTATGGAAATTTTTATGGAAATATTTTATGGAAAGTCTGGTCTAAGATTTCAGTAAGGAGAGAAGTGGAAACAAAAAGTAATATTTGGGTATTTTCTGTAATGTCAGATATTTTTATCACTCTCATACCCAATAAGGAAGAATGGCCTATAATCTACTTGGTGAAGATAAAACTACGTCATTAAATGAGCTGATTTGTGGGGGCAGGAGAAGAGAAAGAGAGTGCATGGGAGCATAGTTCTTTATTCTTGCGTCAGTAGAAGCTGCTTGCCCAGAATAACTTCTAGGCTCTCGTGCATACAATTAGGGACTAACGTAGAAGTGAAGGGACAATATAAAATGTTGCCCTCCGACTTAATACAAGGGGTAGTTTCATCTATGGCAAGAGGTAATGATCGATCATTTATCTTGCATCTGTATATAACAACACAATCCTCTATTTTCAGCTTAGAAGTCATCTGCTGTCAGAGAAATAGCCTGACTCCTGCTTCCATCCAAGTCTAAGAGGGGCATTTCCTATATACTGACACTCCGGGACTCTGAGTTTCCTCTCATGGCACTTATATCGCAGGATCATAATTGCCTGATATAGACCTATATCTCCCTATAGACCCCATAGACCCTTCTCTCTACAAACCCTTCTAGGCTAGGAGCTCCATGAAAAAAGTTGTAAGTTCTATCTTATAACTACGGCATACAAACGTATGACCTGTATTTGATATATATTTGTAGAATTGATGGACGGAAAAATAAATTTTGAAAGCAAACACTGCATAACATATATACAAATACCTTCTGAGAGCAACTGAAGGTAGCAAAATCAAATAACTAAAGTTCTTCAAACTGAATTCTTCATAAATAAGGAAAGCAATTGTCTAGTGGGTCTGGTGGGTAACTAGACTGTCTAACTTATCATTATCTCCCTATCCCGCAGAAGATGCTTTAAAAGAATTGAATGAAAAAACAGTTGACTAAGTAGAGAAGACAGAATAGAACTCTCAGAGTTTCTCTTGTAATGCATCTATAATACTGGTTGCTTAACTAATTCTGATGCCTGTCATGGGTCTTCATTCCCTCCCAATTAGCTTTTTTATTCAGTCTCAGAAAAAGGCCATCAATCTTCCATAATCATTCCCTTCCTAAGCAAACCTAAGATGGAGATTTCTTGACTCTTCCTGAAGTCAATCAAAGCAACAATATAATCTCTCCTCTGAGTATGCCAGATGAAGCCATTCCCATGCCGTCCTTAATCTTAATAAGATTTTACTCAATATTTCATTAAATGAATTCCTTAAGGAAAACAAGCATAAGCACAATTTCCAGTATCCAGTTTTATCCACTTTGGCTCAAATACATCACTAAAGTATTAAAGAATCTTCTGGTTATAAACCTTCTCTGTCTGAGTTTTTATGTGTTCTCTTTCTAATTCAGCCATTTTTTGATAATTCAGTTGATGGCACTGTAGAATGGAAAACAGTCTTCGTGGAGTACATCTCCAGTAGAATTTCCTAAAGAACTAGTCCACTGACTCCCTTCTTCATGCAAAAAAAAGTTGAGATAGATATTTATTACTTCTGTTCACTTTCAGATGGTATTATTTTAGACCTGGAAATCCATACTATGTTCTAATGAGCCCTGCTTTTCTTTATCGAAGTCCAGCCACAGCATTAAGTTCAGTCATTGGAGAATCCAGTCTAATTTTCCATGCCCTCACCAATCATCTATTCGATTCTGGTCGTATTAAAAACAAAATGAGAGGCAAGATGGAAATTGAAAACTTTTTCCTCTCATTCTAGTAAATTTAGATTTCAGATTTTCTTCTAAGGCTTAATTTTAATGTCTTTTAGTGTGCTAATCACATATTTGGGGAAAGGCTAATAAATGGGTTTGTTGAACAGAAAACCCTTCTTTTTCTGGGTGTTTGTGATTTTTCTATTTCCTAGATTTTTATCTCACAGCCTCATAGACCACCATTTATATTTAAATCAGTTGTTCTAACATATAAAGTGGGGGACAAATTTATTGTTCAGTAAGCCACATAGGCTAATTAACATGACCTATGGTCTTAATTTTGCCACTGTATTGGACAATATCAGTGTTCCTTCCAGGCAACTCAGACACCATCCCCAATTATATATCTTATTATTGTCTCTTTATGCAGCACCTCCAACTTTAAGCCTCATTCCCTTTTGTGTATGCATTTGCTACCTGTAGCAATTTTCCAGACACTGCTTTTATGCTACTGGTACCTGCTGGGGCCACAGTCTAGGGCTTCAGATGCCTGGGAATTTATATGTCCCTTGGGAGACCAAGGGAGGAGAAACTTACCAATGACTATGCAAGCCCAGCTGCCTTGTCTCAAGTGGGGCCATTTGGAGACAGGTTCTCAAGAATCCCCCTGTGGGATCATGCTGAAGCTATCCTCACTGGGACATTACCTGAGACTGCACGCTCTAGCTTGGCCTTCTCTCCTTCCCTGCCCTGCTTCCCCAATATCATTAGTGATTTCTTTGGAGAACATGTCATTAATGAATCACTTATACATGAATCTAATCTCCCTATCAGGATCTGATTCTGAGGAAACATCCTAACACAGCCAAAAGACACAACTATTTTGTGAACATCACAAATGATCCAGTAATAATAAGCAGTGGATTTGCTGATAGCATAATAATTGTCATTCAGATTTCAAAGGATGACTCCAGCTAGAAGCATGAATGATGAATGCTTCTAAGTAGTATTTTAGAGTGACTAACAAGATATATTGTTAAATTTAAAAACAAAGATGGAAAAAGTATGTACAGTATGCTATTTTATCTCAGAAAAAGGTAGAAATAAAATGCATGTACGCTCTTGTTTTGACTGGATGTTTATGTCCCCTCTTAGATTCATGTGTTGAAGTCCCAATCCCTAGTATCTCAGAATGAGACTGTATTTGGACACAGGGTCTTGAAAGAGGTAATTACATTCAAAGGAGTTCACCAGGGTGGGCCGTAATCCAGTATGACTTATGTCCATATGAGAAGAAGAAATTATGACACAGACACATACAGAGGGACACAAGGAGAACACGGCCAAGGAGAGAAGCCTCAGAAGAATCCAAGCCTGCCAACACCTTGAACTCAGACCTCCAGAACTGCAGGAAAATAAACTTCTGCTGGTTAAGCCACCAAGTCTATGGTGTTTTGTTATGGCAGCCCTGGCAGACTAATACACAAAGTTCTCTGACCAAAATACAATGAATGTAGAAATGATAAACAGAAATAAATTCAAGAAACACATAAATATGTGTCAATTAAACAATACACTCCTAAATAAACTATGGTTCAAATAAAATTAAAATTAGAAATAATAGAATAAAAGGAAAATCAGAAAATAATTTTAGATTAGTGAAAACTAAAATACAACATACCAAAATTTACAGGATGCAGCTAATGCACTGCTCAGAGCAAAATGTAAAGCTGTAAATGCCTATGTTTAAAAGAAGAGACCTCAAAGCAATAACCTAACCTTCTACCTTAAGAAACTGAAAAAATAGAAGCACACTAGATCCAAAATAAAGAAAGAAAAGGAAATAATAAGGATTAGGGCAGAAATAAATGAAATGGAGAAAAAAAGACACTAGAAAAAAATAACAAAACCAATATTGAAACCTTGATAAGACAAACATAATTGGCAAACTTTTAGCTAGACTAGCCAAAATAAAAAAGAGAATATTCAAAATACTAAAATCAGAAGTTAATACAGGGTGTCACTATGTATAATGTACAAATCAAAGGGTTATAAAAGAATACTATGAACAACTGTGTGCCAACAAATTAGATAATTTAGTTGAATTGGATGCTCTCCTAGAAGACACAAACTACTATTTGTATTTTCTTGACTCAAGAAAATACAAAATATATAGATAGACCTATAACACATAAAGAAATTGACTTAGTAATCAAAACATTTCCCACAGAGAAAAGCCCAGGCCCAGATGGTTCACCACTAAATTCTATCAAACATTTGAAGAAGAATTAACTCCAATCATTCACAAACTCTTCCAAAATACAGAATAAGAAGGAATACAGTTCAGCTCATTCTATGAAGCCAGAATTACTCCAGCACCAAGTGCAGACAAAGACATTACCAAAAAGAAAAATAATAGAATAATATCTCTTATGAATATAAATACAGAAAGTTCAACAAAATACTAGCAAACTGAATCCAGCAACATATAGAAAAGACTATATACCATGACCAAGTAGGATTTATCCCTGGAGTGCAAGGTCAGTTTAACAAGCAAAAATTAATCAAAGTAATGCACAATGTTAATAGAATAAAGGTAAAAAATATATGATGATCTCAATAGATGAAGGAAAAGTGTTTGACAAAAATCTAAAACCACTGCATGACAAAAACAGTCAAGAAACTAGAGATGGAAGAGAATGTCCCCAATCTAATAAAGGACATCTATGAAAAATCCACGGCTAATATCTCTGTTTTTAATAATCATATTGGCAATAATTATTTTTGTACTCTACTTCAAATCCTGGCAACCAGCTTGTTTCTCTAAGTTCCATAGTCATCAAAAACAACCAAGGTTTCTTGGAGAAATGTCTGATTCCAAATCTGTGACATGATGTATAACATGAAGTCAGAGCTTATAAAGTGAAAAATCTTTAAAATCACTGGGTTTACATCAGAAAAATTTTGAAGTCAGCTGAAACAATTTGAGCATACATAGAAAAATGGATCAAATATCAAAGATGCTTAAAAATGTCTGAATTCATAGATATAAAAAAATAAAAACCTATTGCTCACCTTTGGAGAAAGCTAAGAAAAAAACCTCACGTTGAAAACTAGTAAATAAAGGAAAAGAATCAAACATTTAAGTTGCTTTTCTGTATAAACTGCCCTTCAGAGTAATCAAATAAATGAAGGAAAGTGTGTCTTTATAGAAATATTCTGGCTAATAAATGGGAAAAATGATAGAATTAGAACTTCACCATTTTAATACCCTTAATGAAATAATGGACAGGCAACAATAATTAATGGCTGTTAACATAATAAAATGGAATAGTTGGACTTTATATGCCTCCTGATATAAGTATCTGTCATAAAAATTATAGCTGAATCTGACCAAGTCTCCAGTTCTATTATTAATAAAAAATACAGAAGACAAGATAAATGTTAAACATCGTCATAGGCATGCAATAAGAAAATCCAGATTGTAGAAAACTCTACAGGAGTTTTTTCAGGACAAATGATCCAGTTTCTTTAAATAAGTAACAAAGTAGCACAAAGGATGTGAGGAAGAGATGGAAAAGATACTTTTGTAAGGTACTTAAACTACACATGAAGTGGCATAATATTATTCAAATCACTAAAAATATTAGAAAAGGAGGTATAATTAATTAACCAATAGAATCCTAAAAAAAAATTCAATTAACCCAAAAGCAGGCCAAAAAAGTAGGGAAAGATAGATGGACTAAATCAAACACAACTGAGAAGCAGTAGATTTAAACTCAACCATGTCAATTATTACATAACATGTAATAGTCTAAATATTTCAAATAAAGACAAAGATTTTCAGATTGGATACAAGGGCAAGATCCAACGATAAGCTGTCTAAAACAAGCCTACTGATAATCAGTTAAAGGTAAAATGATGAAAAATTGTATGCCATGCCAATACTAATCAGAAAATTAGAATGGCTACATTAATATCAGACAAAGTACATGTCAGAGCAAGAAATGTTATCAGTGACAAATAGAATTCACCAGGAAGACATGACAATCTTAAATGCATATATGTCTAAAAATAAAACTTCAGAAAGTGAAGCAACAACTAATAGAACTAAAAGGAGAAATTGACAAATCCACAATTATAATAAAATATTTAACACCCCTTAATATGGTTTGGCTCTGCGTCCCCACCCAAATCTCATCTTGAATTGTAATCCCCAGATGTTGAGGAAGGGACCTGGCAGGAGGTGACTGGATCATGGGGGCAGTTTCCCCCATGCTGTTCTCATGATAGTGAGTGAGTTCTCAGAAGATCTGACAGTTTTATAAGGGGCTCTTCCCACTTTACTTGCTCCTTCTTGCCTGCTGTCATGTAAGACTGTAAGACGTGCTTGCTTCCTTTTTGCCTTCTGCCATGATTGCAAGTTTCCTGAGGCTTTCTAGTCATCCCTCCTGTTAAGCCTGTGGATCTGTGCGTCAATTACACCTTTTTCCTTTATAAATTACCCAGTCTCATGCAGTTCTTTATAGTAGTGTGAGAATGAACTAATTAATACACCCCTCTTTCAGTAATTGATAGTATAAATAAAATCAGTATGGATATAGAAGACATTACCAACATCATTAAACAACTTGACCTGATTAACATTTTTGGAAGACTTCAACCAACAGAAGCAGAATACGCGTTGTTTTCCAAGTGCACATGGAACATTTACCAAGAGAGACTGCAAGAGACTGCATTCTAGGCCATAAAACAAATATTAAAATTAAAAAAAATTGAAATCAAGCAATATATATTTTCTTACTCTAAGAAATTTACATAGAAATCAATAACAAAAATACCAGGACATCCTCAAGTATTTGGAAATTGAACAACACACTTCTAAATAACCCATGGATAAGACAGGAAGTCACAAGAAAATGGAAACATATCTGGACTTGACTGAAAATGATAACTACATATTAAAATTTGTGGGATGCAGCTTGTATTAGTTGGTTCTCATGCTGCTGATAAAAACATACCTGAGACTGGGTAATTTATAAAGAAAAAGAAGTTTAATGGACTCATAGTTCCACATGGCTGGGGAGGCCGCATAATCATGGCAGAACCTGAAAGGCATATCTTACATGGCAGCAGACAAGAGAGAAGCAGAAACAAGAAAAAGGGGTTTCCCCTTATAAAACCATCAGATCTCATGAGACTTATTCACTACCACAAGAGCAGCATGGGGGAAACCACCCTCATGATTCAATTATCTCCCACCGGGTCCCACCCACAACATGTGGGAATTATGGGAACTACAATTCAAGAGAAGATTTGGGTGGGGACACAGCCAAATCATATCACAGCTAAAACAATGCTTCATGGTAAATTGTGGCATTGAACGTTTATATTAGAAGAGAAAAACAGTCTCAAATCAATTATATGAATTTTTACCTTACTAGAAAAAGAACAGCAAATTGAACCCAAACCAAGCAGAAGAAAAATAATTAGCATAAATCAATAAAATTCAAAACAGAAAAATAATAAATATAATTATTTAGTCCCAAAAGCTCGTCTTTTGAAAAGACTAATAAAACTGATAAACCAAAGCAAGACTGACAAAGAATAAAAAGAGATGACACTTATTATTGAAATGGGGAATAAAAAAAGAAGACATCATTATAGATCCCAGAGGCATTAAAAGGATAATAAGGGAATATTTTATGCCAATAAACTTGATGACTTACATAGCATAGACAAATTCCTTGAAAGAAACCAGCTGTGAAAGCTTACTAAAAATGAAAGATAACATGAATAATCCAATATATATTGAAAAACTGAATTTGTAGTTTAGAATCTTGCAACAAAGACACCAAGCCCAGGTGATTTCACTAAGAATCCTACCAAACATGTAAGGAACAAATGTTATTAATTCTACACAAACCCTTCCGGAAAAATGAATGAGGGAAAACACTTGCCAACTCAGTTTATGAGTTTATTACCCTATAAATACCAGTCAAAAATATTATCAATAAAGAAAACTGCAGACCAATATTCCTCAAGAGCATAGACACAAATGTGTCTCACCAAAATATTAACACATTGAATTCAGCAGTACATAAATTTCAAGGGATAAAACTAAAATAAAGATAAACTTAGATTTAAAAAAATTAAGTACACGTCAACTAGAAGCTTCGTGTAGATCATGTTTAGATCCTGGTTTTAACAGAAAAAAAAAGAAATTTGAATTCACTCAACATTTGTTGATATTAAGGACTTGTCAATTTCTTCAGCATGCTAATAGTATTATGACTGTGTTTTTGAAGAGGTCTTTGAAAATATACACTGAAATATTTAGCCATACATGCTGGAAAAAACACAGATAAAGTAATATATTCTCTAGAATTTGCTTCAAAATAATCTATATTGGCCAGGTGTGGTGGCTAACACCTGTAATCCCAGCACTTTGGGAGGCCGAGATGGGCAGATCACCTGAGGTCAGGAGTTCGAGACTAGCCTGGCAAACATGGTGAAACCCCATCTCTAATAAAAATACAAAAAAATAGCCCATCATGATGGTGGCTACCTGTATTCCCAGCTACCTTGGAGGCTGAGGCAAGAGAATCACTTTAACCCAGGAGGCGGAGGCTGCAGTGAGCCCAGATTGCACCACTGCACTCCAGCCTGGGTGACAGAGGGAGAGTCTGTCTCAAAAAAAAAAAAAAAAATCTATATGATGAGATCATGAGGAATGGGAGGGGATATAGATGAAACAAGACTGGGTGTCTGTTGATAAGTGTTTATGCTAGGTTCATTACACTATTCTCTCTACTTGTATATATGTTCAAAATTTTCCATAACATGAATTTAATATAAATTTAATATAAATTTAAAATTTTTAAAGTAAGTGAATAAAAGTATTGCTCCCTAATACATCCCTAAGAGGTCCATTCCATTAAAGAACAGCCACAGGCCTGCTGAGCTATAGATCGTTTTTCCTCTACTCTGAAAGGAAGCCATTTGAAGTCTAAGTGCCAAACACATGCCCATCCTCCCATTGGTTGATGATGAAAATAGTTAAAAGCTTTCATATTTCAAGGCGTTTTGACATAATGGTTGTAAATTAAGACTTCCTTTCTTACTGATAATATTTTTCTGTTTACATCCCAGGAAAATCATTTTACAATTTTTTCTTTAACACTTACAAGGGGCCAGGCACTCTGCAAAATCTCAGAGATACAAAGTTGAAAATAAAATAAAGAGGGTTTTTCTATTCAGTATCTACTGTGCAACAAACACTGTAATGAATATCATTTCATTGTTATTATCATCTCCAATTTGTACATGAGAAAACAATGTTAGTAACTTGATTTGTGGCCAGAAATATGTGTCATTGTTTAAACAGCTCATTTATAAAAATAGGTAGGATGCTAGGTTTTCTTGCTTTGTTTTATTTTTTTCTATACCATGGTTCAGTAAACTTTTCCAGTGAAAGACAAGTTACCAGATATTTTAGGCTTTGCAGGCCATGAGGTCTCTGTCACATTCTCCTTTGTTTTGTTTTGCTTTGTTCACAACCTTTTAAAAATGTTTTCTAAAAAGACAAAATTCTTTGCTCTTGGGCTTAAAAGCTTACGCCATGGGCCAAATTTGGCCCACGGGCCACAGTTCACCAACCCCTGGACTAGACTATGGTATGTTTCATTTTAATTCATTTAGAATACCTCATTTCATTGAAAGACTCCACTATACCATATAGTACTAATCGCCGTAGAAGGCACAGCATGAACACGTTTTATATTTGCCATCTGATCATTGTTCTTCCCTAGAAATTTTGCTAATGGACTGAGAATGTTAGAAGCAAGGTAATGTCAAGTGGTAACCTGACCCTTAAAGCATGATTTTTGCAATAATGTTGTCCAAAAAAAAAGTGCTTATCTTAATTCTATAACAACTTCATTCATTCCATGGTTGCAACAACAGATAATAAAATAACTGGACTAGATCAAGGTAATAAAACATGTCTGTCTTCACAAGGCAGATAGAAAGTTAGGAATCAGTAGCTCCTATTCAAACACTCTTGAAGCACAAAACCTAAGTCAAGATTATACTTAGGATTCTCTGCCAAACTAACCACATCAAAATAAAGTGTGTTCTAAATTAAAATAGATACGGCAAAATAAAATGTGAAGTTTTCCTTATTGCCCCTATTATCTTCTATCCCATCTCTCATTGCCCTCAGAGGCGTCACTTTTCCTTCAGAGAATTAGGATTGCTCAACAGGAGTGCAAAATGAAACCAATAGTGCTTTGGTCTCTAGTTGCTAAATCAAATTTTAAAACCATAGCAAAAATAGCAGTCCAAAGACCAAAGCATTTTATTTTTATAAAGCAGGCTTCCTGAGAAAAGAACAATTTGAGAATCCAGTGTTAATACTTGAGTAAGCAACGCCTGGGGTTTATGCCCTGAACAAGTGATTGAAATAAAAGAAAAAGATCTAGATTTAAGTAGACAAGGGTTGCCCAAGCTCATCTACCAAGAGGGAAGAGACATGGAGGGGCAACTATTATGGAGGAGAGTCATGAGGCCAGACAGGGTCATGGAAAGAGGAGGGGAATCTTCTTTAAAAGAGTGCCAGCCTCTGCCTATATAGACACTTCCTTTTTAGCACTGATGAAGCACAGGGAGCCTGGCCTAACTTAGCAATGCACTGCCGTGGAACTGTGCCCTGAGAGTTGTTTGTGCCAAGAACAGCTCAGTGTGCAATTTCCATCTGCGGTGGCTAGCAGGTCCCTTGTTGATCATCCAGTGACAACAATGTCCATTGATGCGCTGAGTTTGCTCAGCACAACCAAAACAAACAAGGTGGGACAGATTGGAAGCAGCTTGAGACTCAAACTCCCCACCTCCCCTCACACACACCACTCTCCAGCAAAAGCAGTGCTGAAGCCCCAATTCCAGGTGTCACGACTGAGGTTCAGGGAGAGTGTTAGATACACAAGGACACACTGCTAGCAAATGACAAAGCTGGGATTCAAGCCTAGGTTGGTCCTGCTCCAAAGCTACTGCTCTTAACCTCAGCATTATGCTGCCTCCCAAAATTCATTTCAAGCCTAAATTTCCATAATGCTTCTTTATGAGATGCCATCTGCCTAGAATAAGTTTAAGAAGAAGAAATCTCATTTTTATCTCAAATACCCATGAAGTTCCTTATATACATCATTAGTATACTCAAAGTTTCTTGTATATGATAGCTCACTTAATCCCCACAACCACATATGGGGTAAGCAGTGTTGGGAGATGGGAATTGGACACTCAAGCAGGTTAATTAATTTAAACCAAGGTCACACAGCTAGTAAGCAGCGGAGCCAGGATCTAAGCCCAGATCTGGCTGATGCCAAAGATGTTTCTCTTTTCCACTATAGAAAATCTGCAAGTAAACATGTATACAGATTTACAAAAAAAATTGCGTTTTATTTTTAAATTCACCATTTTTTCTAGGTTAAAAAAAACTGTCTACTCAAACAAATGCCTGTCAATTACCCTCCAATTTTTTGGCCTGCAACTAAATATAAACTTCATTTTGTTCTGCTAATAATGTTGACCTTTTACAAATAACTTGTCTCTTGTATTTAGGTTAGATTCTTAACCTTAAATATTTATTTACACTAAATTCCTAGCACAGGACTCAGATATATAAATGATAAAAAAAGAAAAAGATAAAGAAGTGAGTCAGGGAAAGAAGAAAAAAAGAAACTCCTGAAATTAGGAGTAAACATCAATATCTGCCTAGAATAGGTAGACCTCAAAAAATAATATTAAGCAATGGTTTAGAATCTTACAAATGAGTTGTAGTATCTATTTGTAGGTAAAATGTTCTACACTGTCTTTTATGTATAATGTCAGTTAGCTTTAGCCATGACTGACTTAAATCTGCAGTCAGTTTCAAGACCAAGTGCAATTATCTCTAGGAACTTGCTTATGGAAGGTGAACCAGCCTTCAACAGCTCCTCCATGTGGCCACACTTGTAAAGCACTACAAAACTTTCTAGTTGGAGGTTCAATTTTGCTCAATAACCTGAAAATTAATTTTTCAAGGAATCCTCGTTGGCATTATTTACAGTTTATTCTTCATTAAATTGCCACTGATACATTAAATAGGAATTTTTTATCTTTAGCAATGATATGCATGAGTTCTGTTCTTTGCTATTATGAATACACTATCAATGGGCTATAACATTTTTTAAAGCTTTACTAGTTTATAATGTATGTTTCTTCTTGGCCACAGCCACAGAATGCTTACGGGAGTAACTATTGGCAAGCACATGGTATGGTCAGGCAGAGAGAACCTAAATTCCCCTCCAGGACAAAATAAAACACTTTTTCTCCATTTGAATTCACTAAATCTGCTTAACCAGATTTTCACAAAGCTATGAAGTGATTTACTAATTCGGTGCAAACAACAGAAAGCAGCCTTCACTCTGGCAACCCCACTCAGCAAACTTCTTACCTGGCAGAGTCTTTAAATCACCCTCTTAGGACAGTCTGTCTTTTACCGTTTGGATAAATTTGTCAAGGTCAGTACCACAGAAAATCATAAGAAAAAAAAAGGCTGCATTTCCTATTTCAATGCCCTTATTTTAATTTTTGGTGACTTCATTCCAGCTCCTGTACCAACCCTCCCCACCCATACCAATCTATCTCGCCCTAAACTTTATGGTTCTTTTCTCAGTCTTAAGCTACACCTCTGGCCCCATCCTAATCCCATACAAACTGTTGCTTATTAGTAAAAGTTGAGTGGCTATGCCTCCCAGAGTAATTAGATAGTTACAGTGACCTTTAAAAACTGAAGTGTTTATTAGAAATCACAAAAACACATTGCTTCAAAGACAATGTTTTCGAAGCCACCACTAAAGTGAGAGGGACCGGAGCTGACATAAATCAACATACAGAAACTCTTTTCCCCATTCTTCACCCTCCTGGTATAGCCCCTCACCACCATATATGTCTCTGCATCATGCTGACGAGTCCCACACCAACCTGACCTGAAGAGCTGAATATAACTCAGATCTAGATGACTCCAAGGTGGGCCTAAGATGTCCCCCAAATTTTTTTCTCACAGAAGTTGCCTATAAACAGTTTACATAATGTAAAACTCTAGGTAAATGCTTATCACACATTTTGGGGAGCATAAATCAGCATAACTTCCAGATTTTTTTTTCCGGGAAAGTCATAATTCGGAGCCTACTTCCAGATTTCAACAAATTCAATTTACATTTCAATTTGATATGCACACCCAATCCCTGAATCCACTATCCCATTGGCCCATTTTGTGATTCCTAATGGGCCCAAATTGAAGGTCTCCCAAACTGGAAAGTTGTCTTCCCAGGTAGATGTAGTGAGCCTGACATTTTCCCACTTGTGTTCAACCCCGCTTTTGCAGATGTTGAAAGAGAAAATAGTTCTATCTGAGTAGATCAAATGCCCAGTTTTATTAAAACATTGTAGCAGCTCCTAATGAATGGAAATTCCCAGAATGAAGCCTGTCTCTGATGCATTCAGCCCTGTATTCCAAGAGCTGGGTTAAATACCATGCAGGTTCACCAGCCAATTGACTCCTTGCTCCTTCCTTTCAATTAATAAAGGACCTCAGGGAGCCTCTTGTTTTAAGTGGTGATCACAAAACTCATCCTTTATTTCTCTGTTCTTAGATCTTTCCAGGGAAAGAATGTTGAAAGCTATAGGAGTTTTGTGAAGGTGGGCATATCAGAGTTTAATATTAACAAGCTTTAGACATTTCTTCAATTAAGATAATTGCCGGAGGTCAATGACTAAGTCTTATAACCCAACAATCTGTATAATATTCTACTAACTGTTTAATTAAGATTTATTCTATCACCAGGAAATCCCTCGTATGTATACGCTGGCTCTCTCCACTCTCACTGGACAAGGCCAGTCACAAAGAGAATAACACTTTAACATTTAATTCTTCCCCCAAAATCACTGCCCATGCATCCCAAATTTATACCAATCAGTTCTCAGATTAACTAGGAAACCAGAGGGTATAGACCACACAGAAAGGCCTTGAGATGTCCATTCCATTCTCATATGTATTCTACTTTGGATTTAGCAAACAAAAAAGCACAGAGATAAAATGGGATACTACCAAAATACCTTTTTAAATGAGATAATTTCTGAAGACCTGAAGGAAGAAAAAGTAATTAATAATTTAAAGTTAGGAGGAAAAATGTCATTTGGGGAAAGCATTGAGCTCACTAGTTAAGCAACCACAGACTGAAAGCTTGAAGAAACACTTCAAAGACGTTAACTCGAATGGCTTAATGCTCCAAACCATAGGTTCCTACTGGGGCTGTGCTTGCAAATGATTTCATAGCTCTGGTCTGGGTTCACATCCAGGAACGTCAAAGAAGACTCAAGGCATATCTGACGTGATTTTTCCACTCATGAAAATTTGTGATTTCATGGAAGTCATATAAGAGAATTACAGTGAAATTTAATATGATGCGTGCAGGGAAACAACATGGAAAATTCAGTATGTCAATCGCCAAACCTTTAGCCTTACCGCAAAAATTCACAGTACCCAATTTACATAAGATTATGAATCTTGGATTGGGAAAACAAAATTTATCTTCTATTAAATATGCATACCAGCCTGAAACAAGCTTGTAATTTTATACCTGAAAGTATGTGACTTCAAAACATCAAATCACAGAGTGTTAGAGTTATTAGAAAACTGAGAAAATCATTTCTTCCACACTTTTCACCCCATCTCTACCAAATACAAACAATTAGCTGGGCATGGTGGTGGGTGCCTGTAATCCCACCTACTTGGGAGGCTGAGGCAGAAGAATCACTTGAACCTAGGAGGCAAAGGTTGCAGTGAGCTGAGATCACACCACTGTACTCCAGCCTGGGCAACAGGAGCAAAACTCTGTCTCAAAAAAAAAAAAAAAAAAAAAAAAGATAAACAGATCCAAAGAGGCCCATCCAAGTCTCCTTTTATTACCTTCCTCCTCCTCCTCCACTTTCTCCTCCTTTTCCTCCTCCAATCCCTCCTCCTCCTCTTCTTCTTCTCAATCACTCCTCAACCCACAACACAGTCTGAGTTCTGCCTCCCTGACTCCATCCCCCAGGAACAGAAACTTTTCCCCAAATGACACCATTACCTATTCGCTCAGTCTTAAAATTTCTGTTCTCTTCACTCAACGAAAGAGTTCCTTGATTTTCTGAATATTTCTGATGACATTGCCCTAGAAAGCTCTCTTCTGCCTTCACTTAAATGTTAATTGTTAGGTCTCTGCCATAGACCCTTTTCTCTTCTCCGTCTGCATAATCTCCATCAGGCAAAATCCACTCTTGCCAGGACTGATAGTTCCTAAATCTCTGTCTTTACCCTAGACTTCTCTCCAGTGTGTCAGACCATGTATCCACTGCCTACTTGCATTCTCCACCTGCATAGCCCACAGATTTCTCGAACTCAACTTGTCCCAAACTGTATGGTCATCTTCTCCCATCTCAAATCTCTTCCTTCTACTGGGTTTCCAAAACTAGAGAATGACATTTTAGCTATCCAATCCACAAACCCACACGTCATCCTAAACTCTCGTCTTCAGTCCCAACAACCAATAAATCATAAGTCTTGGAGATCTTATTTACAAAGCATTTCTCTAATCAGTACATTTGTTGCCATCGCTACTGCCTCTATGCTAGCCCAAGCCGCTGCATTATCTCCTAGCTCTCCTCCTCCTTCAGCTCAGTTATTTCCCCAACATATTTTCTCCAGAGTAGCCAAAGTGATCTTTCCTGTCATTTCATTACTTAAATCCCTTCAATGTCTTCCCAGTGTTCTGTAATTCAGCCCAAATTCTAACATGTGTGGCAACGTTCTGCAATGTCTGACTCCTCCTACACCTCGGAAGGCACAAATGTCTGCCTCGGTGGTTTTCAAATGCAGTATTTTTATGCATCAGGTTCTCTTAAGAAGATTAAAAACACATTTTAAGAGTAAATGCAGAGACACAACCTGAAGTTCAGTTATGTACTATAACCTGGTATATTTTCTTTTGCTACCTTTTCTTGCTATCAATTCTGCCATAGCGCCAGGATCAAGCTGTTGATGCCTGCATACATTATGAAAGACCAGAAAAATAATTGCTGGTTTCTCAAAATACAGCAGCTATTTACATTTTGTCTTTGGATGTTTCTCTCGATGTCTAAGTTCTACAGAACAGTTCCTTCCACAGAAGGGGACTTTTTATCGGAGGAAACATCTGAAGTCTTTTTAAAATATGAAAGCTCCACAGAGATCAGGGAAGAGCAAGATGATGAGAGAAGCAGTATCTGCATCGGTGAAAACTTCTCACCCATGCCTTGCCAATGGCAGCCCTGCAGCCACAATTAGCCAACCTCAAATTGCCAATGGCTTGCCAAGTAACCCTTGTGTGAAGAAACTTGTTAAAATATACCAATAATTCTAAAGGGCAACAGTTACTTTTCTGAGCCACCAAGAGAGTTTTATAAAATATGGATGACCTGGTGTGATCCCTGGGGTGTCTGATTCAGTGGGTTCTAGGTGATACTGGAGCCTATATGTTTTTAAAGCCTGACAGGTAATTCAGACGCACAAAACCTTTAAGAATCTTTGAGATACACATTTGCTATAAACTCCTAGAGAATGTCTTCCAGGGTGTCAGGTTTCTGCAGTTGTCTTAAGAAAACCCTCACAAGAATTCCAGAATTCAAATTCGGACATGAGAAGATTTTCAGGGGTTCCACAAAGCATCAGGATGCCAGTCTGTCCAGACAGCTCTGTGCAGGATAACAATTCTCACCTAATTCCTCCCTCACCTGGAAAAACGGGAAACACCAGGATGTAACTCCATGAAACAAATGAAAATCCATGTCAGGCACAGAGATAGAAAACATAAATCAAAAAGGTAACTATCTTTGCTTCCGTTGACAGAACAAATAGGTGATTTTCTCAATCTTGTTTAAGTGTGCTGATATTTAAAGAATGTAGATGTTGAGAAACACTGTAAGTATTTTTCAAAACTTTTGAGAATATTTTACTTTTATAGTAAAAAGTAAGTCTTTGGACGCACACATATTTAGGATTAAATCTTTGCTCTATGGCTTACTAGTTGCATGATAGGGGTAATTTGCATACTTCTTTTAAAACTCAGTTTCTTTTATTGTAAAAATCAAGATAACACTAAACAGTGAAAGGGAAAGCTTTCTGATGAACCAGATTATTACTCAGATGTCTGCAGAAAAGCTATGCCTTACTGTGAGGGAGGCTGGTCAGAAGGGTGGATGGGTGGGGACTCCGTAAGGCTGAAATGCACTGTGTCATTGGGCAGGGAGCTGAACTAGAGATGAAAATAAAACATAAACAAACTAAAAACTATAAAAGCAGCTCAAGACAATTAACTTTCTAGTTTATGTTAAAGGTCAGGCTTTTCCATCAGCCCTGCCTTAGCCCCTGGCACAGAGTTTATGGGACAAGAAGCAGAAGAGAGTGGGAAATAGAAAATGTTTTCAAAATACTTAAAAGCGTCAGTGAGATACATGCTCAGATTTCACTGGGATAAGTTACCTCAGCAGCCAAGAAAACCAAAACACTAAATGGGACCTAAAGGACTTTAGTTTGAAACACATCAGGGATATCTCCCAAATACACAAGTATCCACAAAGATGATGTCAAAAATCACACAGAAATGGAGAAGCTGGGATGGCTGGAATTCAGCTGGTGCTAAACTTAGGGATCAATGCTTAATCATGTTTATCCTGACTATATCAAACTGGTCAGATGTAGGATAATGTATTTCATATGTATATAAGACTTCTAGCACTTTCTAAGAATACTACTCAGCACCCCCCTCTTAGGAACTGCCTCTCTCCACCATCAGCATAATCAAATCCAGAGCTGCAATCTTAATACAAAGTGACCTCAACAACTGGCCCCAGGAGTGGCTGCCTTGGCAAGCTGAGCTAATGGATTTCTTCTCCAGGACCCTTGGGCTTGAGATGATATAAAGCTTGAGAAGAGTCTTTGGTTGTTCTGATATTTCATGTTTCCCACTGTGAGAGATGAATCTGCATGGAGTGAGACACAGAGGTAGGGACCTAGCAGCAAGTCCCTAGTTCCAGATGTCTGAAGCCCAGCTGCACCCCTGTCTTCCCAACACTTTGCTGTTCAGGTCTTCTTTCGACTCCTCTGAAGCCAGACATCCTAGCTTTGAATCCCAGCTCCACTTACACAGTAGACTCTGTGGCATGCCACCAAGATCCCCCTTCAGAACTAAAGAAGATTGATTCTCCCAGCTGTTGGGAGTGTTGCCAGCAGACTGCTGTCAGCTGTCAGCCCCCTCCGGGAACCGTCCTCTACTGAAGAGAACTGCCTGACTCTTCAGGGATAACTTCCATAATATTTTATATTCTTTGTGTCCCAATTCTAAAAAAACAATGCAGGGCCATCCCTGTCCCAGAACTCTCCATGGAGCTGCCAGAAGCCTTTGTTGAGACTGCATCACATCCCGACTTCTCCCTCTGCCCATTCCTGTTTCCTGTTCTTCCCCCAAGGTGTTGACCCTAGAAACACTCCCTCATATACTTCCCACATGCAAATGTCCAAACCAGAGTCCACTTCTCAGAGCACCCAACCTGCAACAACTAACTTGTAGAATCTTGCAAGTCACTGAACTTCTCTGTGCTTCAGTTTCATCATCTATTAAGTGGGGATAATAATATAACCTACTTCATAGTAATATCATGGGGATTAAATGAATTAATATATGTAAAGTGTTTAGAACAGAACAGCATTGATACATGATAAGTGCTATTTTATTCTCTGTTATTCTTATATTTAGTATTATTTTTATTACTACTATATAGCAAGTTAAGTCTTATTTCCCTTTTATACAACTTACATTGATTAAGATTGGACAAGTTTCTAAGGGATCCTAACTTTGAACACAAAGAAGTTCAGGCTTACAGGGTCCCTGAATCAAACATTTATTTCCCTTTTGACTTGGTTCATTAAGAGTCCAAGCATGTAGGCCTTTAGGGTTCACAGAAGAAGATTCATTTATTGACTCAAGCTTGTGCCTGAGAAAGGGCGACAGGGGTTAGCTGTGGAGCCTGGTTTTTGCCAATCTGTTGTTTTTGTAAGTGCTGCTTTGTACTTCTGCCCAGAGGTGCTGGTGATGAGTGTGTTGCTATAAAACTAGACATAAAACATGTGAAATGGAGCCTAAATCATAAAGACAAAAATTGTAACAGCAGGTTAGATTTTATGGCTTGAATTTGTCTTAAATTGGCATATATAGCATTGCTGCTGGGATCCCTTGAAGTGGCATATGCAAATCAAAGGTAAATATGTCCCAGACAATTAAATATTGTTCTACAGTGAGATCAATATTGATAACTGAGCAGTAACCATAACTCTTGATGAAAGGATAAATTTCGTTTTTATTATTCTGTTGTGAAAGATAATTCTACTGTGAAAAATTCTGTTGTGTTCACCTAGAAAGTGATTAACTAATTGAATATCTCAATAAATATTTCTTATATATCCAAAGCATAATGGAAATTCTTTTAGGAAATGAAGATTGTTTTAGGAAAATAGGTGACATCTGGACCACCCAGAACTTGCCCTCTGTGCAAGTTAATGCCTTTTTTAGCTATGAGTCCTAATGTAACAACAGGGCAAGGGAAGGAAAGTGGAGAATCAAAAAAGGCTACCTGGCCATAGAAAACAAGAGGTTGCCCTGGACCCGCTTCT
Organism: Homo sapiens; assembly: GCF_000001405.40. NCBI lineage: Eukaryota > Metazoa > Chordata > Mammalia > Primates > Hominidae > Homo > Homo sapiens. The sequence goes on from NC_000003.12 coordinate 22,895,669, forward strand.
CTAGTCACTTAGCCCAGCACCATGACTTTTTAAACCATCTCTATGTCGGTAATTCCCAAATCTGCATCTAGGTCCTCTCCCGTGAAATATGGGTCTCCTATCTAAAGCTCTACTTGGATGTCAAATAAGTATCTCAAATATTGAATGATGCTTGATTTTTCCACTGAAAAATCTGCTTCTCCCTTGGAGTTCCCCATGTTTGTAAATGACCTCAGCTTTCTTCTGGTTGCTCAACAACAACAACAAAAAAACAAAAAAAAAACTAGAAGTTATCCTTGATTCTTCTTTTTCCTGACTTAATCTTTAAATATATCCTGAATGTGTGTGCTACTTTCCACCTTCACCACCACCACCCTAGTCCAAGCCTCCACATCACTCTCTGCTACGATCCTCCAGCCTCTCCCATGATGGCTTTTTTTCTGTCGCTCAGCTCCCAGTTCTCTGCTCTTCACACTAATCATAACATATCATTTCTACCTCCATGCCTCTGTGTGATCTCTTCCCCAAGTCTAGATTGCTCATACCCCTGGTCCACACACAGCTCTTCTTGACACTCAGATCCTCAACAGTGACTTTCCTGACCACCCAAACTAATAAAGATACTAGAAACTTTTCTCATTCTCCCCCCACCACCTTTTTTTGAGACGCTTTTTTGGGGTCTCACTCTGTTGCCCAGGCTGGTGTGCAGTGGTGCAATCATGACCCACTGCAGCCTCAACCTCCCAGGCTCAAACAATCCTTCCACCTCAGCCTCCTGAGTAGCTGAGACTACAGGTGCATGCCACCAAATCAGTTAATTTTTGTATTTTTTGTACTGACAGGGTTTCACTATGTTGCCCAGGCTAGTCTCAAACTCCTGGACTCAAGCAATCCACCCCCATCAGCCTCCCAAAGTGCTGGGATTACAGGTGTGAGCCACTGCACCCAGCCACATGTCCCCTTTTTTTTAATGTGTTGCAAATCCCTCATCACTATCTGATAGGTTTTTATTGTTTATTTATTCAGCTATTTATTGTCTGTCATGAACATACATACATTTTTATGAATGTACGTCATAAGAGAACAGATAGGGGGCTGAGGTGGGAGGATCACTTGAGCCTGGGAATTCAAGACCAGCCTGGGTAACATAGGAGACTCCATCTCAAGAAAAAAAAAGAGAGAGACCTTGCCTGTCTCTGTCCCCATTGGATATCCAAAAGTAGGGGCTCAGAAAACATTTGTTGAATTAATGAATGAGTGGTAATAACCAAATATTGGAAAATCAAGTCAAAAACAAGACCAAACTGATAAGGGAATGCATAGATTAAGTAAAAGTCTACCATGTTCTGAGTGCCATGTTACTCATTTTTATATATGCTAATTTATTTAATCTAACCATCATCTATCTGAAGTAGATTATATTGTGATAATCTCACATTTTTAAGTCAAAGAAAAAAATGCAAAGAAGTTAAGTATTTTTCCCAAGTTCAAACTAGTAAAACACAGCAAGGCTAAGTGTGACTTTAAAACCCAGCTCCTTCCAACAATCACATTGGTTTGCTATCAGATCCCAAGTCTTCACTCATTTCCCTTCATTACTGGTAATGAGAAGTAGGTATTCATGATTCAAATAATCTTTTTCATTTATACTCTGGCAAAATTCCTCTGATTCTAGTTATACTTCATGCAAAGAATCTACCATGAGATTACTTATCAGGTAGTGAAAAGATTTGTACAATAATAAAAGTGTAACAATAAATATATATTTCATATTTACCTTTGGAAAAAAAATACATCTTAGCTCATTAGACTAAATTGTCAGTTATCTGAAGCTTATAAAAGGATAGCCTGGATTCACACTGTCTCACACACACACACACACACACACACACACACACACACACACTACTATTGCTTCCCTGATTAACTTCGTGGCTTCACTGAAATGTAGAAAACACACGAGATTTTTACAAACAGTATTATTTTTATACTTTGGCCCACTACATATGAAAAGAGGGGATTGTACCAGATGGCCTCTGAGATCCCTGCCAGCTCTCGCCTCCCAGGAATAAACAAGCAGAGTGGGAAGAACACAGGCTTTGAAGTAAAACAGACCCAAATTGTAACAGTGAACCTCTCAGAACTTTTATTATTCTGTAAAATTAACATAATAAATTTACTTCTCAGAGTGGTTATAAAGACTGGTAAGGCACTTAGTACAAAGACTAGTGCGCCCATATTTTTATATGGTCGCCATTATGATTGTTATGAGTTAAGTTGTGTCCCCTTAATAAAGAGATGTTGAAACCCTGACATCCGATGCCTCAAAAATGTGACCTTATTTGAAAATAGGATCTTCATAGAGGTAATCAAATCAGAATGAGGTAATTAAGGTAGGCCCTAAATCAATATGATTGATTAAAAGGGGGAATTTGGATACAGAGACAGACATACACAAAAAGGGGAAATTTGGATACAGAGACAGACATACACAAAAAGGAGGAATTTGGATACAGAGATAGACATACACAGAGAGAATGTTGTGTGAAGATGATGGCAGAGATCGAGCCAAGGGACACTACAGATTGCCACCAAACCACCAGAGACAGGCTAGGCAAGAGGCATGGAACAGACTCTCCCTCACAGCCCTCAGGAGGAGTCAACCCTGCCCACACCTGGATCTTGAACTTCAGGCCTCTGGAACCATGAGACAATAAATTTCTATTGTTTGGGCCAGTCAGTTTATGGTACTTTGTTACAGCAGCCCTAGCAAACTAAGACAGGACTCTGAGTGACTAACTGTTCCTGGTGTATTTGTGTTGTTTTTCCACCTAGCAGTCAATGGTTTTGAAACTCTTTGACAGCAAGCTCAGCAAGAAAAATATTTTACATAGTCACAAAATATATATACATATATATGTATAAATGCTCACACACACACAATACTAGATAGATAAATAGATGATAGATAGATAGATAGATAGATAGATAGATAGATAGATAGATAGATAAAATGTTGCAGACTGTTACCTTAAATGCACTCTGATATTTTCTATTCTGCTATTTTTAACCTGGTAGTAGCGCACTAACTTGATTTCACCACCACTTAAGAAGCACTAAGCTGGACTACAAACTCCTTCAGAGCATGAACACACCTCTCTTTTCTTAGCCTCTACCCAACACTGGACATGTAATAGTCAAAGAAACACTTCATGATTGACTTTTAAGGCCAAGACTTATATGATGCCTTTTTTATGTCACTACTTTGAGCTCTTTTCATAAATCTATACCAAAATATTCAATGTCCATGGGAATTCTTGAGTAACTACCAGAAAAGCATGTGGCAATGACTGGTGAATATTCCTAGATCAAATCATATCATGATAAAAATATATGTTGGATGTTTCTTTAATACACAGATTACTTTTATCCTGGGTGGTATTAGTTTTTCCAAGGGTGCTGCTGTTCTGCATGCTGGTTATAAACCCCCAAAATTAGTATATGTAAATCAAGGTTGCTTTTAACCATAAGAAAACCTGTGATTTTCATCAGATGTTATACATATTGGGAAGGGAAAAAGAAGTTGCTTCAATATTTTATATCATATTGCTGCATATTAAAATGAATTATATCAAATAAATATTAAATAATAAGTGATAAATGCTTCTCACTGGTGAATTAAGATATTAGGCAATTGATGTGTTAAACTTTTGAGGATGTTTGTGGATTTATTAGTTATCTATGTTTATTCTCTTTATAAAATCTCAAAAATATAGTCCAATGTAAAAGCCACAGATAACTATTCAGTGCTTACTATATCTGCAAGAAACTATGTCCAATATAAAATTATATGAGATGAGATATCTACCCTCTAGGCCCTGCTTAAAATTTGGTTGAATTAAAAGACACAGGACTGGCCAGGCGCAGTGGCTCATGCCTGTAATTCCAACACTTTGCATGGCTGATGTGGGAAGATTGCTTGAGTCCTGGAATTCGAGACCAGTCTGGGCAAGATAGCAAGACTCCATCTCTACAGAAAATTTCAAAAATTAGCCAAGCATGGTGGAATGTGCCTATAGTCCCAGCTATTCAGGAGGCTGAGGTGGGAGGATCATTTGAGCCTGGGAGGTCGAGGCTGCATTGAGCTGTGATCGCAATGCTGCACTCCAATCCAGGCAACAGAGTGAGACCCTGTCTCAAACAAAACAAAACAAAACAAACAAACAACAACATAGGACTACTGGACTAGGTGCAGTTTGACTGCAGTTACAGCCATGACTACCCATTTCTATCACCTCTCAAACCTCCACCACCACCACCACTATTAACTTAATTTCCAATGAAAGAAGTAGTCCAAGTAGAGATAAAACTGTCCCTTGCATTAAATACTCTGGCTGGGAGTTCTTCACCTGCCAAGAAACTTCAGCACCACTCCTCTCTCCCATGCACCCAACACCCTCAAGCCCCCACAGTAGGGTACATCAGTTTATGCTTCAAAATTTGCTCCTGATGCTATCAACCACACCAACAAGAAAATTCCCTTCCCTTCCCTCATCTGGGTACTCACAATGTGCTCAGCTAATCAGGTGTTTTTAAAATTTTTGAAATAAAATATTTTAATGCTATATTCCTACTCTGACCTTCCCCCATTATATTTCTCCTAATGTAGGTGGTATGGCAGTGGCTCTAGGCAATTCTGGAATCCAAAGAAGAGTTGAATTGGGGATGTATTTGGTTTGGATTAAGTGGGATCTATTCATGTGATTCACAGTCAATATAGAGATAGCACAGTTAGTGTTCCAGTGGGAGAATGGCTTCGGAGAATTCTAGTGGCCCCTATGCTGACTCAGCCAGTGTCATAACATCAAACTGCAGGGCCAACCATTGCATCACAATATGACAGGGCCTATGATATCCAGCACCAGATGTACATAGGTACTGAAGGGAAGACGAGTATTGACATGGAAGGAATCAGGAGGTGATCTGTTAAAAAATTATTTTAAATTTTACTTCCAATATGAAAGAAATTTTGCCAAGTCTGACAACCCCAAAAATGTACATATCACTACCAATAACAAGTTGAAAATTGAAAGAAACTTTAAAATAAAGAACAATGAAAAATAAACATTGCCGATCGTTCCAGAGGAAATGCTAACTTATCTTTCTATTCTCTTTGAACAGGTGATCCAAAGACTATGCAGGCAAAACATGAAAGAAAAAAATCTAGAAGTGGATCAGGAAGTAGCCCAAGAACAGTCAATAGAGCAACCTAATGGCAGGAGATTCCAGAAAAACGCCCAAAAAAGTCCTTTCTGGAGGAAGAGTTTGCCCTGAAATAAAACCTATATACTTTGCAAGAGCTGAGAGATGTGAGAAAGACTAGGAGGAGAGAGAGAAAGACAAAAGCTCCGTGGCGGACAAAGGCAAAGAAGACTCAAGGAGAAGAGTAAAATATTCTGTGATCAAAATATCTCAAAACACACCAGGACAAATAATCTCCCTCAAGGAAGCTCCTGCAAATAGCTAGACCAAGAAAAAAAATGGTCAAATAACTAGACCAAGAAAAGTATTTTGTCATGAACTTTTAAAAATTTATTTCTCTTTAACAAGTTAAGGCCACAGAATCTCAAATAACAGATTGTAAGAAGAGGAAATGGTGAGAAAAAGAGGTGAATTAAGTATTGCAAGAACTCAGAAGAAAATTGAAAGAAAAAATCATTATATAAATAAAGACAAAATTAAACGAAAACTAGAGAGAATAAATATTGTGGGAGAAAATTGTGATTACCATAGATTGTAGATATTAGAAAAGCAATCAAAACAAGACAAATAAGGAAAAGTTTGAAAAGGAAGATGGAGAAATTGAAAGATTTTTTTAAAACAGGCTAATGAGATCCACCATAAATACAATTGTTGTCTTAAAAGAACAGTAGGTCAGAACAAATTTTTGAAATTATAATTCGTGTACATTTTCTTGAAATAAAAGTTGAATTTTCATGTTGAAGTGGCATAGCATATGTCTGTGACAACTGACCTAGAACAGTCAGCACTGACACAAATTGTAGTAAAATTTTTGAACTTTAAGGATTAAAAAGAAATCACCTGGTTTGTCAGGCAAATCAATCAGGACACCTATAAGGAAAAGAACCAGACTCAAACTGATTTCTTCCACAGCATCCTTCAAAGCCAAAAGACAGTAAAGCAGTACCTACAAGATCCTCAAGGGGAAACATGTCAGCAAGAATTTTATAGCCAGCCAAGCTATCTTTCTGAATAGAGGCTATAGAAAAACAGTGTTGAAAATATAAATCAGGGAATATTTTTCTCATGAGCCCTTTGGAGGAAATGTCTAGGCAACAAATTCTAACCAACTGAGAGAGAACTGGAGAAAACATAGCAAAATCACTGATAGTGTGCATTCAATAAATTTAACCTCAGAACTAAGATTAAAATAAATGTAGGGATTACAAGGACATCAGATTGTAAGTATGTACATACTCTGTGCCAAGCAATGACCTTCATAGCTGTATTCCCTAGAGAAACACGTGTGCAAGAAGACATCTTTAAAAAATTTATTGCAGCATTGTTTATAATAGAAAAAAATTCCACAAAAATTGAAACAACCTAAATGTTCATCAAAGTTTAAAAGCATGCAAAACTGTACTATACAATGTTTATAGATAAATATATAGTTAAAATTGGGATGGGCTACCTAATTTGCAGGGCTTAATTAAAAAATGAAAGCCTGAGCTCTAATATACTATTTGACAAGTGCTGTCTTGAACCAGTTTTGAAGTAATGGGTGAAAATCTCAGTTTCCCTTCACTGGCAGTTTGCTAAGCCCCCACGCCAACCACTACCCTTATCACTCTCCAGGGCCACCACGCATACCCCCCAAGTGTGTCCCACATAGCGGTCCAACACTCTGGGGTCCAGCAACAGACAACTAGAGACAGCCCTAGAGCAGAGGAAATTATTCAAATTAGCCAATCCACAAGGACCCCAGGAGACCTAGCTATGCCACCCTACTTGTCTTAGATAAGCTGCCTTATACAGCCCCAGCTTGCTGTTATCCTGTCCGTGGAGGCAACTCTGTGTGGTCCTGTTTGACATCCTTCTCTCATTTGCAGCTGTAAGAAACAAAGAGTTCTGCCTTTCATCTATCCAAATGTCAATGTGTTGTATCCCACCATCAAAAGAGTTTTTGAATCTCTCAAAACAAAGACCACTTGCCTTGTTCAAAAATTATTAACACTTCAAAACAGTGACAGCTGAGCCTTAAAATAAACATGGGGCTATTATCAACACAGGTTCAGTGCAACAGGGTTACATGCTCATACACCTGGCCCTGGTTAAAACTTTGAAACACACATGTGACTCATAAATATTAAATTCAGAATAGTATTTACCTCTAGGGAAGGAGAGAGGAGAATTGGATTAGCAAGGAGAACTGAGGTTTTCAAGAGTTAGATCTTTTATTTTATTAAGATAAAATAAAAGATAAATCATAAAGATAAATAAATTTATTTTATAAAAATAAATTTTAAAATCTGAGCCAAATATGAAGAAACATTAAGATTTGATAAAGCTGATATCTCTCACAAAATATGTGGATGTTTGTCATATTTTCTGTCACTTCCATTTCACTTTTTAAAAAAATAATTAATACAGTAATGATTCATACAGAGGACCACTTGCAATTAAAAGCTAAAACAGTATTCAAAAAGCTTTAGGTTGTACTTTAGAATATACAAGCCCTATGATCAATACTGAAAGCTAATTAAAAATTAAGGAAAGTGAGTTTGGAAGTGTTGAAATAGGAAGTAGAATGGTGGTTGCTGGGGGAGGAGAGAAACAGGTGTTCAATGAATATAGAATTTCAGGCATGCAAGATATAAAGGTTCTAGAGGGCCGGGCACAGTGGCTCATGCCTATAATCCCAGCACTTTGGGAAGCCAAGGCAGGTGGATCACCAGAAGTCAGGAGTTCAAGACCAGCCTGACCAATATGGTGAAACCCAGTCTCTACTAAAAATATAAAAATTAGCCAGGTGTGGCGGCACGTGTCTGTAATCCCAGCTACAGGCCGGGACAGGAGGCCGAGACAGGAGACTTGCTTGAACCTGGGAGGCGAAGGTTGCAGTGAGCCAATATTGTGCCACTGCACTCCAGCCTGGTGACAGAGTGAGAGTCCGTCTCAAAAAAACAAACAAACAAACAAACAAAAAATCTAGAGCTGTACCAGACAACAATGTGCTTTAGTTACCAATATTGTACTGTAAACTCAGAAATTTGTTCAGAAGATAGATCTTATGTGTCTTTTACCACAATAAAAATATCACCTTAAAGATTAATATTTGTCCTTAAGATTCAATTTTATCAACTTTCAAATGGTATTAATATTAATTGGGTGTATTTCATAGCATTCTAATGAGAATTAAAGGATACAGAGTTGGACGGGTGCAGAGTTGCTTCTGGAAGAAATATGACACCTGCCCAAGGAGAACCCCAAATTTAGTACAAACTTGCATTGGTGATGGTAGTACTGGAAAACTACCCTCATGAAATATCATTTGACTGCTGAATTTGAGATATAGCCACCGTGGGTGTGGAGCTCCATCCCCTTTCGTTCCACACTGATATGGTCTGGCTTTGTGTCCCCATACAAATAGCATATTGAATTGTAATTCCCGATGTTGCGGGAGGGATCTGGTGGGAGGTTATTGGATCATGGGGGCAGATTTCCCCCATGCTGTTCTCGTGACAGTGAGTTCTCACAAGATCTGATGGTTTAAAATGCGTGGCACTTCCCCCCTTCACTCTCTCTCCTGCCACCATGTGAAGAAGGTCCTTGCCTCCCCCTTTGCCTTCTGCCATGATTGTAAGTTTCCTGAGGTCTCCCAGTCATGCTTCCTATTAAGCCTGTGGAACTATGACTCAATTAAACTTCTTTTCTTAAGTTACTCAGTCTCAAGTAGTTCTTTATAACTGTGAGAATGGACTCATACACCAACAAAGGGCCCATTAAGTTCAATGGATGGGACACAGCTGGCCCGGAGAAATTTGGCAAACTGAGAGATGGCTGATGGCTATTATATCCAAGCCCAGGGTGCCCTAATGCTTAATGTAACATCAAGAGTTACAAGAAGGTGCCTGACGTAGAGATCTGGTATGAGTGTATGAAAACACCCCCATCATGTTTTGTGGCAAAAAAAAAAAGGATGTTAAGCCAGAAAATGAAGACAAAGTTTACTCTCTTCTATTAAACAAAGAGTCTTTAGTACTATAACATTTATGTCAAAAATAACTACAACTTTGAAAAGTCCTTCCTCTGGCCTGCTAAGAAGCTCACTGAAGACCCCAGCCTGAAGTTTGTAGCCATGCCTGCTCTTGCCCCACCACAGGTTTTCCTGGACCCAGCTTTGGCAGTGCAATATGAGCATGATTTAGAGGTTGCTCAGACAACTGCTCTCCTGGATGAGAAGGATGACCTGTGAGAAAATAAAGCTGGAGCCCAGAGTCAGAAGTCTAACTTCATAGGCAACTGTCCTGTGATGTCGTGGTTGAGCATGTTTGCCACTTTATTATACAGCTAAGCAGAAGGTCTGCTTTAACTTTGGGATACTGAAGGAGATAAATGGACTTCAGAGTAAATGTAACCACTAAAAAAAAATTTTTTTTGAGCCTGCATAATTAGCTGTTTTGGAACACAGCTGTTTCCTTCCTGAGTTTCAAACGCTGTATAAGACCTATACAGTCGCAACACAGTATTCAACAGTGAAATGTTTCTTACTCTTATTCTCATCCCTTTTTGTTTAGAATCATAATAAAGTTGTATTTCAAATATCTAAAAAAAAGAACTAAAGAATGCAGGTTAGTCAATACAGCATTAATGTTTACCATCAGTATATTATTATCATCATCATCACATAATTGAAAAGTATATTAGAGATAGTTACAAACAAAAACAAACAAAGCCAAGAATGCAAGAATATACATTATTGTAATATAAAGTATAAAGGAAGATGAATCAAAGTAATTACAAATATACTCTAAAAAAATTAAGGAGGCCAGGAGTGGTGGCTCATGCCCGTAATCCCATCCCAGCACTTTGGGAGGCCAAGGCAGGTGGATCTCTTGAGCCTCAGAGTTCGAAACCAGTCTGGGAAACCTGGTGAAACCCAGTATCTACAAATATATATGTATATATATATATATATATATATATATATATATATATATATATAAAACACACACACACACACACACACACACACACATATATATACAAAAAAATAGCCCAATATGGTATCATACACCTGTAGTCCTAGCTACTCAAGAAGCTAAGGCAGGAAAATTGCTTGAGCCTGGGAGGCAGAGGTTGCAGTGAATCAAAATTGCACCATTGCACTCCAGCGTTAAAAAAAATAAAAATAATAATTTTAAAATAAAATATTAAAGGAAATATATTTACTTGTACATTTGCTTGTTTTTGAATTGTCCCCTTTTCTAGCATAAAAAGGAAATTGAGATTCATGATTTATCTGCATAATTTCTACCACTATTAATTTTTATAATATTTTTCTCTTTTTAAACTGCAATATTAACTGTCCTCTAAAGACTTGGGAATATTCATCAGTATAAAGATTTGTGAGAAAACAATATAGGTAAGACTCCTTGATTAGAATAAAGGGCAAGATTCAGTAGATTAACTGCCATCTTCTGTTCTTTTAAAGTCACTTTTTTTTTTTTTTTTTTTTGAGACGGAGACTCACTCTGTCGCCCAGACTGGAGTGCAGTGGCACGATCTCGGCTCACTGCAACCTCCACCTCCCGGGTTCAAGCAATTCTCCTGCCTCAGCCTCCCAAGTATCTGGGATTACAGGTGTCTGCCACCATGCCTGGCTAATTTTGCATTTTTAATAGAGACAGGGTTTCTCCACGTTGGTCAGGCTGGTCTCGAACTCCCAACCTGAGATGATCCTCCCACTTCGGCCTCCCAAAGTGCTGGGATTACAGGCATGAGCCAACGTGCCCAGCCTAAAGTCACTATTCTTTACTAAATGCGTGTGTAGAGAATGCTAGAAATCTTTTTTAATATTGCTGGTCATAAAATAATTAGTATTTTATTTATGTAATGATTCTGGAATAAGTATATTTTGGAGAGTGTTTTGTGCCCAGTCTCTAAATCACTTAGTCACTTACACTCCCACCCCCAAAATATGCAAGCAGTTTAGTCCTTGGAGAGATGAAGAAAGTGATCCCTGGCCCAAAATGACTGAAAGATTGGGAATATTAGAGTTTCACAGGAGGCTGGAACTCCCTCTTTGAGATGTAAACTCACCAAACAGATTCTAAATGGCCTAAAAATGACTGCTCAGCATTGTAGACAGGTGGGTCTCAGAAGCCACAATCCCATTAGCAACAGGTGGCTCTCCAGGAGATGACAGGGAAACAGGATGTCATCTGTCTGTCCCTCTGGGCCACACCACATCCTGCCCTTCTCCAGGGCTCTGTACCTGAAGCTGACCTGCAGCACTGCATCAACAGATTCCCTTGCCCTCTCTTGTTGGCATATGGATGGTTTTAGCCAAGTAGGGGACAGCAGCAGGAGAATGGAATGAGGAAGAAAATAAGGTCAAGCATTTGTGCCCCTGGCTCCCACCCTCTCAGTTTGCAGCAGACACACTGACTTCTCTACTTGTGGCTGAAGCTCCTTGGGCAACCCTCTCCTTAGAGTTCCCTGTTCCATTTTCAGCCATCACTCCCCGCCACTGCCCTTCAAGTTCAGAGATAGAAATGGGCACCCCACAATTCCTAGCCTGAGGGGACTGCAGAGGTTGTTTCCCTAAAACTTGCCCACACTGTTATTAGGCTCTTTTCAAATCATTCACTGTGAAGGTCCTGTTGCCATCCAAGGAAGAGAAGAAGAAAAGTGCAATGTCCAAATGAGGAAGAGACACATGCATAAATGTTAAATGCTCTGTAGATGACTCAGCCACCCACCATTCCCAACCAGGGTTAATGTTTTCATTTTAGTGAAGAAAGTATTATTAAGTAAATCTTATATAGTTAAATATACTAAATTATAATGAACACCATCATTTTAATTATTTCATGCTTCTGAAATAAGTTTATATTTTGCAGAGTGCTTTTGCCCAGTCTTTAAATCATTTAGTCACTCACACTCCCACCCCCAAAACACGCAAGCAGTTTAGTCCTTGGAAAGATGAAGAAACTGAACCCTGGTCCAAAATAACTAAAAGACTTGGAACATTAGAGTTTCACAGGAGGCTAGAAACCCACTTTGGGATCTAACCTCACCACACAGATTCTAAGTGGCCTAAATGACATTTCTATCTGACCATAATTCCTACCCACAAACTTTAATATGCCTGGCTTAACACCAGTGTTAGCTCACCAAGATAAATGATGGCTTTCATTCCCTGATAACCCATGCTGCAATTGGAGAGGTGAATTTAAATTAATAATATCACACACTGGAAAAGTGTGTGCTGCCCTGTCAATCCTACTTCCAATTACGTGTTCTGGATCAAAAGGAGACTTCCAGAAGGAAGTTAGTCCCTGAGTTTTTCATCTCCTTCCCTTCCAAATAGAGCCCAGGGTGCCCTCCTGTGTATAAAGTAAAAACAAATCTCCACTGTTGACAATATTATTAAGATAAGTTTATGTGTGAGTGTTTATTTTACTAACAAAAATATATAATTTGGGTGGCAGCTTTTTAAACGAACATGCTTAATAAGTTGTTGTACTGTTGGCATCATTGTTTTTGAGTCAAGCATATGTATTGTTTATATTTGGAGTTGGGGTTCTCAGGAGTGGGGACAAGTCCAAGACACAAGCCTTGTTTTATTCTAAACTCAAAATTCAGAAGGCCAAATAACTAAATGATATTTCCATCTTATAAATAATTATAATTTGAGATTTAAAATAATTACTAGAATGTTCTAATACCTAACAACATATTATGACAAAGTTTACCAACTCTCATTAGGCACATCAAAGGCTTTCTCTCATCAGGGCTTTTACCTACATTAATTTGCCTGAGATATCACCTTTCCACAGCAGAGGACCCCTAAGTTGTCATGGTTTTTGTCATGACCTTATAAAGTTCTCCATTTTCAGAAGGATTGTTAGAAAAAATCCAGTTCAACAACCTGCAAAAGGCCCCACTTGTCTATCAATGAAGATTTGATTAAGGTTAGGCTATGAAGCACAACTTCCAAGCAAATTTCTAAAGAAATGTTCAGGCAATTAAAATAATGTATCCATTTACCTCCTGAGGAAGCTATCCATCACACTTCCAAAATCACAGTTTTGGAAGACAAGAAACACCCATTATAGAATTTGTTTCTTCATGAAAACATTAATAACCAGCCATATTTTTATAGCTGGAGAGCAATTTGATTTAACTTTGGAGAGTAAATTGTCTTTTTCTTTTGCAGAGGATTTACTTTGAGTTACTTACATATTCCTGCATTCTCATCTATTTGTTGTGTTCTAGTGTCCTCCAATGGATATTCTCGATAGTACTGGTACTGCAGAATCTATCTGGCTCTGAAAATCACCAGGAGTCTGGATGGGACGTGAGCTTTGTGGGTAAATAACCCCTTGAAGAAATCCAGTTCCCCTAGTCTGGATGGGACGTGAGCTTTGTGGGTAAATAACCCCTTGAAGAAATCCAGTTCCCCTAGTCTGAGCTGAAATGAAGTAGCACTTAAGGCACATCCAAAAATCATTCTCCTTAAAAGAAGATGAGTTCCAGACTCATTTGTATTCAATCCCATCATTTCCCTTTTCTTTTTATCATATTAAACAATCTTGAAAGTAGTGGACCCATTTATATAAAAGTTACTGTTGAAAAATGTAGAAAAAGTATAATTTGGTGGCTGGAATTTAGAGGTATGTGGCACAGTGATAGACTGGATATCAAAGTAAGACACGATTAATGTTCTTTTATTACCCTAGAGAACACAGAAAGTATTCTAGAGCAATGACGTTTGACTCAAACACAGTTTGTTACACAAAATAAGAAAAGATAAAGACTAAAACCATTTAATTAATAGATAGATCAGTCTGAATTATTGAGAAATCTGAATGGCGAAACCCCATCTCTACTAAAAACACAAAAATTAGCCAGGCATGGTGGTGCACGCCTGTAGTCCCAGCTATTCGGGAGGCTGAGGCAGGAGAATCACTTGAACCCAAGAGGTAAAGGTCACAGTGAGCTGAGATGGCACCACTGCACTCCAGCCTGGGCGACAGAGCGAGACTCTGTCTCAAAAGAAAAAAAAAGTGCTTTTGTATTTTCATGGTCACAATTAGCATGCAATTTTAATAGATAGCCCAAGTAATTATAGCAAAACTCAGGACTATTTTTGTAAATTGATTTGTATGTGGGTAGGGGGAAATCTAACAACCACATGTTCTAAATTTTCTGTTATTTACATTTTAAATCACTCCTCCCACATCCCACAACAGGTGTTGAATCTTGTATTAAATCGTGTCCCAATTTCGATCCAGAAAATACAGTGACTCGCTCAAACTATGGGTTTGAGAAGGAGCACACAAAGAGGAACTGGGGTCTGTTGAATATATGAGAATAACTCCTTGAGCAGATAAGAATTTGAACCACGCCCTACTTTCACACAAAGCGAGAAGATAGCTGAAATATGGTATCTGATACTTCATGGGTGTGCTTCCCTAATGCATATGTTATCCTATCAGTTATGTGTATCTAATATTTCACAGGTGTATATGTTTTCCTAATGCATATAGGCTACAGAGGTTACAGTCCCATAAACCTTTTAAAATAACCATGTAACACTATAGCCTTTAAAATCTGAAGTAGTACCATAAGGTACTCTAACCATATGCAGGGACAATATTATGGGTATGATTCTCTCACCTACTCCACCCATTTCATGGGAATTCTGAAGACCGCTATTGTGCCTGCAAAATAGAAGATCTGGAAAGTTTCCTTTTTTCTATTTTTATTTTAGGTTCAGGGAGTACATGTGCAGGTTTTTTACATGGCTAAATTGCAGGATATGCAGAAGATTGAAACTGGACTCCTTCCTTTCACCATAGACAAAAATTAACTTAAGATGGATTTAAAACTTAAATGTAAGGCCTAAAACAATGAAACTATAGAAGAAAACCTAGGAAATACCAATGTGGACATCAGCCTTGGCAAAGAATTTATGATTAATTCCCTGATACGGTTTGGATTTCTGTCCCTGCCCAAATCTCATGTCAAATTGTAATCTCCAATGTTGGAGGGGTGGCCTGGTAGGAGGTGATTGGGTCATGGGGGCCATTTCTCATGAGTGGTTTAGTACCATCCCCTTTGTGCTGTTCTCGTGATAACAAGTGAGTTCTCATGAGATCTCGTTAAGAGTGTGTAGCACCTCCCCTTTTCCTTGCTCCTGCTCCCACCATGTGAGATGCCTCGCTCCTCCTTTGCCTTCCTGAGGCCTCCCCAAAAATAGAAGCTGCTATGCTTCCTGTACAGAACTGTGAACCAATTAAACCTCTTTTCTCTATAAAAGAAACAGACTAAAGCAGTCCTCAAAAGCAATTGCAAAAAAAAAAAAAAAAATTGACAAGCCAGACCTAATTAAACTAAAGAGCTTCTGCACAGCAAAAGATACATCCTATATGTTTTCTGCTTATTCTATTGATAACAGGATGGGAGAAAATATTTGCAGACTGGAATGTTTCTAAGCAGACAGATATTTTAATAAAATTATGAATCATAGCCCTCAAGGAATTCCAATCATCAGATGTTAATTTTGGATTATGAATACTGGTGTCCCTTAGTATCCATGAAGAATTGGTTTCAGGAACCCCTGTGGATACCAAAATCTGTGGATGCTCAAGTCCCTGATATAAAATGGCATGGTATTTACATAAAACCTATGCACACCCTCTCATATACTTTAAAACATCTCCATATTACTTATAATGCCTAACACAACGTAAACGCTATGTATATAGTTGTTTACTGTATTGTTTAGAGGATAATGACCAAAAAAGTCTGTACATGTTCAGTACAGATCCAACCAACGATTTTTTTTCTGAATATTTTCAATCCACGCTTTGTAGAACCCATAAGTACAGAAGACTGACTGTACTAACTAAACTAAATTAGACTAAGTAAACTAAACTGAACTAAAACCAGATAACAGCTATGACACATCCTAAAAGCAAGTAAGTAATAACTATCAGTAAGTTAAATGCAAATGTGAACTACATGTATTTGTTCATGGGAACCTGATTATAGTTCTAATTATAGGGCTATGAGTCCCACTGAGCTGTACCATCAAGAGGAGAGTAAGTCTCTTATCAGTTCATTCCACCATGTTTATTGACAAACAAACTATAGAGAAGAGGAAAGCACATGAAGATACTGCATGCAAGTGTGCACATATGCATAACTATAAATATGAAAATGGCTGTACCAGTAACAACCTCATACCAGCAAAACCCAGCATCTCCTGAGAAAAGTTCACCAAGTTTTTGAGAATCTAGTGAGATAACCATCAGAAATAGAAGAATAAATGGTATTTCCTAAATGCACTGTACCAGTATCTCTGGTTGTACATCTTCTATCACCAAGATGGTTGAGATGCTCCTCCTGCCATAAGGTGGTACCCAGCACATATCCAGGGCAGCTTACATGAATAATTGCTCCAGCTCTCAGTGGCTTGAAGGCAGGCACTTGAGCCTCCAGAAGTTCTGGTGTAACCTTCACTCACTCAGGCATTATCATTCACAACTGTGCTCTTCTGGTAAGGTTCTTGCCGTATAGAAGTTTATAATTTTTGGAGAATCCAGCTGATCTTCCTGCTAAGTATCCTAACTATGTGGACTTCCTTCTATATTCTTCAGACTAATAAACCTTATTTGATTGACTCATCCCTGAGCTGTCTCTGGGTTCTCCATCAACCTGAAGCTAGTATTTTTATTTGTCAATAAAAATTTATTTGTCACATAGTAATTCACATAGACTAAAACCTGTCTAAGAAATTTCATTATGAAATTTATGTTTATGAATACATTGTCTCCTGTGATGATCAAATTCACTCTGGTAATTCAATAATCACACATTTCAGAAGTCATTAGAAAAAAACTGCAGCTCCAAATAGCCAACATGACATTTCAGCAGGTATATCTTGGTATTATGACTACCTGTCTCAATCTGGGGCCTACATTGGAGTGCAAATTGGAATATGTTTATTTCATGGTAGTAGAAGAAGCTCAAGAAGGCAAGCCCAAATGTGTAGGTCCATTGTCCAAACCAAGTTACATAGCCAAGAGCAAAGTCAAGGGTCAGGGAAATACACTCTGCTCACGCTAAAGTGATGGCAAGAATGTAGATATATAAAACTACTACTGAGAGGGGAAGACGTAATACAAATAACTCAATCTACCACAGTCACAAAGGTAAACAGGAAAGAGAAACTGTATTAGGAGATAGAAGACCTGGATTCTAAGTCTTGTTCACTCACTAACTACTTGAACAACTGGATAACGAATCTCTTTGGTCCCAGGTGATTAAGAAGTAAGTAGACTAAATGATTTAAGAAGACTTATGTGGTCCCAATTATGCTCAGAGAGCTTTATCTCTCATCTCAAATCAACTCCTAGTCCCATCATGCATATGGCTTTTAAAGTTATGAGTCTCCTACTCAGTATTAATAGATTAATCCCTGGCTTCTATAACTGAGCAATGACTCACTCCCATTACTATCTCCCTTGTACTGTATTTTCCATAGGCACCTACACTTGCCCCTTCGTGTATACTTCTTCCTGTCCTTAACATTTAACCTTAATCATTAACTGTTGAAAGAATGTCCTAGAGGGTCTCATAATTCTTATACTATTTAGCATAATTAATTTTATCTAAAATATTCCTTAATCAAGCCCACATCTAAACCTTTAGTGATCCCTTTCCACCATTTCTTGCAGGTCTAAATTTGTTAGCCTACCATTCAAATATCTCTCTTCTGTTTTCCTTTTGTTATCACTCCATTCACTCCACTTGAAGAAAACAAAATCCTCCAAGTATGCTGATCTTCCCACTGGTTTAAAAAAAAAAAAAAAAACAACTATCCGAAACTTGAAAATGAAGTAAAAGGGTGAGTACCATGTCCTTTAAAACTCATTTGGAGTCATTACTTCAAAGGTCCACTCAAGGATTATTTAGGAGTATATACCTTGTTCAAATTATGTTTATCATTAAAGACCTAGATGTAGTGGAGTCACATGTTAACATGTAGATTTTTGTCCAGTTGAAAACATAACCCCCATGGTTACCACTTATTATCTCATAGAACATTACCTGGTTTTGTATTTAACCCAGGAATCACATCCTACCTTTGCTTTATTAAATTAGTAAACATCTCTAGTTCCTCAAATGGCCTTGGAACCAGCCATGTCACTATACTAATTTCCTCATTAGTTAATGAGATGAGTAAAGTCTTTCCCATATTTATTTTAAATCTGTAAAACTGCTATGTTTTTAACTTTTTGAAAACTATACTATTTTAACACTAATCTCTTTTTTAAAAGTTTTGCTCATTTTTCTTAACATTGCTCAAACTGCTGTACCCTCTCAAGAATATCTTCCACTTCTCCATGCTAATCAAGATCCTACCTTTCCTTCAAGTTCTTATTCCAATCATATTTCCTTGAAAAGATCTTTAAACTGACCAGGTATTTTTAGCCTGCATTATTACTTCTGCTTCTTTGTAATTTTATTTACTTTTAAATGTTTATTTTGGATTTTTTGACTAGATGAGAGTCCAGGCAACAAGCATGCTATTGAATTTTAATCATAACAAAAGCATTTTTAAACACTGATATTTATGGATACACAAAAAAATGACTATGGTATGGCAATTCTTAGAACTTTTAGAAAACATAATAATGTATATCTTTATATTTCATAGAATATTACAGAGTACAAAAAGAGTGGGAGGATTGAACAAGGAGCCATTCAACATCAAAAATACATTAATTAGCAAGTTTACTACTTTCCTAGACCTGCTTAGTCAAAATCTGGAAAACACTTTAAATAAAGTCTTTGCACAGCGAAAAAGGATCAGCACAGATAGAGAGTGCCAGACACAGCTGCAGAGTCAGCCTTTTGTAAGAAGTTCATTTTTAGAGAATCACTTGTAAATTTATGTAGCACCACATCACTTTCATCTCAAAAGGAAAAACACGCTGCTGCCGTTCCCAGGGATGGAAGGGTGGGTGCTTTCCTGCACTCACTCCCCTATAGGTCAAGGTTTTTCTATGCATGTATTTGTTTAAGATCTTCTACCTCAACAGCAAATGTCAGGACAGCTCCACATTAGCACAAAACAATGGGAAAACTCAATTCTGATCAATTATATTTTCCTTAAAAATTATTTTCATTTATGGACAGCCTGGGCAACATAGTGAGACCCTGACTCTAGCAAATATTTTCATTATTAGCTAGTTGTTTCAGCTGGAATCATAATTTAAAGACACCACCCAAAATAAAATTATACATAAAAATTAATTCTACATAAAAATTCTACATAAAAAATAATCTAGAACAAAAGAAAACTATCCTCACTCCAAGCCCTTTAACCAGGTTTTTTATTCTGGAGAGTTCCTGGAAGTCTAGGCTTAGGGGTAGATGAAGAGCAGTGTTAAAATCAGGCTTCGGGAACCAGGAAGTTTTGTGTGCCTTACCCTTAGAACATGACAATAGTTTCCTGTCTCATCTCCAAGGCTTTGTTCTCTTACTTCCAGCTCCATCTTCCTATAGCGTCATCTGATAATGTCACCCAGAAACCTTCAGTAGCTACTCACTAGTTCCCAAAGAGAATCTAAATTTCCCATCCTGCCTTTCAAGACTTTCACAATTAATCCCAAAGCACCTCTCCCACTTACATTTCTCCCAACAGACCTGTATAAGACAAACACTTCAGCTAAATCAATATCCTCCAACATACCTTTTATTTCTTCATGTCTATACCTTATTCTTACTCTCCCCTTTGCTTGGCACACTATTTACCAACCATCTCTGCTTACTATTCTAGGTTCTACTCAAATTTCACATCATCCTCAAGATCTTCCCTATAATCGTCATTACTCTTTGCTTCTTTTCTTCAATTCCTGTAGCTTTTATCCTGTGTATTATTCTGTTGCATTAATCATATAATAGGCATATGTATTATCCCTCTTATAAGATGAGAAGGACAGCAATCACATCTTACATACTGATCACTTGCCCTCCGATCATGTAATAGGCACTCAATAATTACGTGCTGAATGAATGAACTGCAAAGAAACTGTAATCTCCATGTTGTGTGCTGGTTTTATGAATTCAATTTTTACAAGCTGGGGTTGATCTTTCACCAAATTTGTACTTTTACCCCATAATATAACAAAAAAATATTTTTTAGTGAATCAAGTTCATCAAAATTTGACAAGTCTATAGAATGCTAGTTAATTCATACCAGCCTCTTGGTTTGACCTAAACATGACCCTCTGAAAATGGGGTACCTAATCTGGATGATACCATGTTCCTCTTCCAGGAAAACTGTGTAACAATTTCAATGAAAAGTTTAATGGCCTAAAGAACCTTCAGAAAAATCTGAGAAGTCAGAGCCTCTGACACAGGTTGGACTTAGGATTTTTGTGCAGGATGTTTATTGAGAGTGCTCTCAGAAACAATATCTTCAAGAGCAGAGAAGGAAGCAGGACTGGGCAGTGGAAGAAGCTAGGCAGCAACACAGTCATAATGAGCCTCTGATCGCAGTAGGAGCTCTGGGGCGAGGCTGACCCTGTTCATCCCAAGAGAGAACCATATCTTTACACCCATGAGTCGATCAATTATGAATGTGGGCTTCCTGAGAAGGAAGCATCCTTGGTCAAGGTGGTCTCTTCCATGGAGGCAGTTCTCAAAGAGAGCTGAGGAGACCTCTCAGCACTCAATCTTCCCAGCAGCTGGGAGAATAAATTCTCCAGTGCTCAAGTAGAGAGTTTGGCCAGCACAGTCCAGCAACCACAACTAAATCTAAATACTCATACAGCTAATGTTGTTTTCATCAAGTCCTAGAGTGTTTCATTTCATTTTGTTTTGTTTTGTTTTACATACCTTAATTCTATAAGGCAAAAGACAGTTGTACACTCCCCTATTTCTCATGCAACATTCCTGTACAAGTCTGAAACATATATTGCAGTGCTTTTCCCAACCACAGCAGTTTTTATTCCCAAAACAAATTGAATGTGTGTTTGTATCTCTTCCTTTACTCTCATGGTCATATTGCAAGAAGAATGATAAATGGAAAGACTTACATTTAGAAAGCAATGAGGGAAAAGGGGGAAATGTTTTCTGAGTCACTTCAGGAAACTTCCTTTTGTTACAGTTAGGCATGCATCTAAGGCAATATTTTAAAATACAAAGCATTTTGAAGAGTCAGCAAATATCTAGCCAACTTGGACAAACGGGATGATGCAGAGTCCTGCATGGATTTATTTGCCCTTTTGCACTAATTCCTTAGTTTTGGTGTCTTTACAATAGAGTCTATAAAGCACTTTTACATACATTGTTTGTCGTTTTCTCAAGAATTCTGTAAAGTAGCCAAAGATTAAAATTATCTCTATTTTAAAAGTTACAGACTATGACCCAGAGAGCTGAATTGATCTTTTTCAACCGCACATAGATAACAAGGAGAAGAGTGACTCCTTAGCCTAGCTGTTCAAAGCATATTGACTTGACTAGCATCACACCAGCAGGGACCAACTACCATACTGCCATCCACTGTAAGACCGTCACAAATCATTGGTTAGAAATGACACGTGAAGCTTGCAAATAATTTACTTTTACATGTAAGGAGGAGTAGTCTGCATAAAAATATATCTCTTGCTCGTCTTGTTCTGAAATGTTTTCTCCAGTAGAACAAAATTGCTATAGAAGGAACAGTAAGACTTTGATAAGCCTATGGGAGTGTGTCTGGCATATGAAGCTCGTTTATCAAGTGAGTCTTGGTGGCATGTTGTACTGCATCACCCTGCCTCTAAGATCTATGACCATGTCTCCTCCTTTACATTTGCCACCGTACACAGCTCCTGAGTTTTGACCTCACCTCTAAAACTCTTCTTCAAGACAGAGTTAACCATACATTATTTATCCTAAAACTACTCGTTAGCTGCTTGCAGCTGCTTACTCACCACAGTTAGTAAAGCTCAACATCTCCTCTTCTCCACCCTATCATGCCTATTTTTATTCTTTCGCAACCCTAATTCTGTGACATGACATTTCATTAGTAAAATGTTTATGATGTCTAAAAGTACCAAACTCAGAATAGCAATGAGAATATTTATCTATTAGCAATTACAGAATCCAACCCACATATCAAAGTCCCGTGTTTCAACTACATGAGGGAGAAACAGGAATCAGAAAAGGAAGGCAACAGTAATCACCAACCAAGGGCATTGCAACATTTCTAAAAATACATTGGCCATGTTTTGAACACAACTGTGCTTTTAAGAAACAATAGCATCCGAAAGAAAAATGGATGTCTAACCAACAAACTCCAATTAGTCATAACAAACTAACGACCTTGTCATAGTATATATCAGAATAAGAAATGATCAGAAATCTTTCTGAAGAAAATCTTTCATCCTTTCTTCAACAGGAGATTCATACTTCTTGCTTACATAAGACTAAAAATAAATCATACAGGCCATCTGATATTGTTACTAAAGCAATAATAAAATTTATTTTTTAACAAGCTGATTTCAAAATACAGTCAAATGAACAGGTGCTCCTTTTAAGAAAAGTCACTTAGAAAGCTATACAGAAGGTGAGTTTAGCTTAGTGAAACTGATTTCAAATGCTACACATAAAAATTAGTCTCCCCCTATGAAAAGGTGCTCAGCATCATCAGAGAAATGCACATCAAAACTACAAGATATCATCTTATTCCAGTTACAATGGCTTTTATCCAAAAGACAGGCAATAATAGATGCTGGTGAGGATGTGGAGAAAAGGGAACTCGTGTACACTGTTGTTGGAAATGTAAATTAGTACAGCTACTATGGAGAACAATTTGGAGGTTCTTTTAAAAATTAAAAATAGAACTAAAATATGATCCAGCCATCCTACTGCTAGATGCATACTCAAAAGAAAAAAAATCAGTATATTGAAGAGATATCTATACTCTTAGGTTTACTGCAGCACTATTCACAATAGCCAAGATTTGGAATCAACCCAAATGTCCAGCAACAGACAAATGGATAAAGAAAATGTGTTACATATACACAATGGAGTACTATTTAGCCATAAAAAGAATGAGATCCTGTCATTTTCAATAATATGGATGGAACTAGACAATATTGTGTTAAGTTAAATAAGCCAGACACAGAAACAAATTGCATGTTCTCACTCATTTGTGGGAGCTAAAGATTTAAACAATTAAACTCATTGAGATAGAGAGTAGAATGATGGTTACCAGAGGCTGGGAAGGGCTGGGGGTGAGGAAGCGGGGATGGTTAATGGGCACAAAAATATAGTTAGAATGAATGAGATCTACTATTTGATAGCACATCGGGGTGACTATAGTCAGCATTAATTTGTTGGACATTTTAGAATAACAGAAAGTACATTTGGAATGTTCTTAACGTAAAGAAATGGTGAATGCTTGAGGTGATGGACACCCTATTTACCCTAATGTGATTATTACATATTGTATGCCTGTATCAAAATATCTCATATAGGCCAGGTGCACTGGCTCATGACTGTAATCCCAGCACTTTGGTAAGCTGAGGTGGGTGGATCACCTAAAGGTCAAGAGTTCGAGACCAGCCTGGCCAACATGGTGAAATCCCCTCTCTACTAAAAATACAAAAATTACCTAGGCATGGTGGTGGCTGCCTATAATCCCGGCTACTAGGGAGGCTGAGGCATGAGAATCACTTGAACCCAGGAGGCAGAGGTTCAGTGAGCCAAGATCACGCCACTGCACTCCAGCCCGGGCAACAAAAGCAAAACTCCATCTCAAAAAATAAACAAAAATCTCATGTACTTCATAA
Source organism: Homo sapiens (assembly GCF_000001405.40). Lineage (NCBI taxonomy): Eukaryota > Metazoa > Chordata > Mammalia > Primates > Hominidae > Homo > Homo sapiens. The sequence continues at coordinate 22,919,749 of NC_000003.12, forward strand.
ATATAAATACCTACTATGTATCCAAAAAAATTAAAAACAATTTTTTAAAAATTAGTCTCCCCTTTGTAGTCTTATCTATGGCAATTATGCCTGTGATATAGTTTTGGCCCAGAACATTTTGTAACTCCTTTTTGTTAACTATCTTCAGAGCAAGTAACAATAATTGCCAATCACTGAGCCCTTACCATGTGCCATGCATTAGAAAAACCATTTTACACATGTAAATATAGCCTTTCACAACAGCTGGATGAAGTAGATATTATTTGTCCCGTGTTCCAGATGAAAAGAACTGGTGTTTACAGAGGTTACACGATTTAAAATGCCCAAAGGCCCCAAGTCCCAAAGCCAGCAAGTGAGGAGCTAGTATTTGCACATAAGTCTTTCTCCTTCCAAATCACTTGACTGCACAGTCACATATGTCACATCATGAAGTCAATCCAATTCATGACTTCACTCATTGCTAACAGTTTCACAAGCCTCTGTGGAGGGCTCAGGATTTTCCACACATCACTCCAAGAATACCAAAATGTGAAAGACAATGTCACCAGAAGACAGAATACAGGCCCTCCATGCGATTACAAGTGGATGAAGTTGGTTCTGATTAACACCTGACTTTCTCCAAAGGATAAATTCACCTGCAAAGGATAAAGCTTTGCCACCACTGGAGATAATTTAAAAACTGAGTGGGGATTGAGGGTGGGGTGGGTATGGAAGCCAATACTCAAAAGACAGTGCTTCAAAGATCAGTCACAAAGTATGCTGGAGAAGAACACCAGTATCACAATTACTGCAAGGTCTCCCAAGGTGAAGACTGTATGGGAGATGTTACTCACTTGAAATTCTGTCATATTTGTAGAAGTCCTGTTGCTTTGTGGTCACTACTTTTAGTTTGTGACAGTGATTTGAAAGCACTTTTAAGTTCATGAATTTATCCTTTATTAACTAAATGTATGAATTAGACTGCTCACAAAACCAGATTTCCTTGTGATTTTATTTGCTCTGAGTATTAACTGCAAGCTGGGCCTACTTGGCAAAGTTATATTTTCCCTTTGCAGATGTTTAATTGTAGAATATTATCTTAAATGCATATTAAATACTGATCTGTGTATACATACCCCAAAAGGGAGTATTAATTTGGTAGAAATTATAAAATCACATAAGTTATTGTTAGCCTTTTCTTTCAAGTAGAATATAAGACAAATAAACAGATTTTAACATAACTTACAGACTTAGCAAATACTTTAAATTTGCATCCATTTGCAACACTTACTTTTAGTAATGGAGCCCAGGTGGGTATAGAACACACACCAAAGAATAACCAAAAAATGATTTCAGTGTGAACTGACTTCAGGTTTATGGTTGCATCCTCTCACACCCTTAAGAAAAAGTAATCCTTTTTCAGTGAATGAAAACTTTTGATTTTTACAAAATCAATAACACTGTTGCAGAAGATCACAAAATTCTCTCTCTTCTGAAATTAGAAAAATTCTGGGAGCTTACTATTTCTGTATGAATACAGATTTCTGATGGCTAGGGAAAAATCAGGAGGTAAGACAAATGGATTTGCAACACTGACAATCAAACAAAAAATAAGGCACTTTAAAATAATTCCAATAGTAGGTGATACGCACATTTCATTGTGCAATGTTTATGGGTTTGTCTGAGATTTTAAGATTTATCAGTTCTAATAGCCCAGGATCAAGGGAATGGTTTCTCCTCTTTCACTTTCAAAGATTCCCTGTAAAGTCCACTTTTTCATGAACTGTCAGTCAGCATAGTCTCTATTGCTGAGAAATCAGTTGTATTTACTTATTCCCTAATGTCACTCAAAATAATGACTCAAAAGGGTAACTCAAAATGAAAGTAAATACAAACTATATGGATAACAGAAAGCTATTAAAACTTGGAGAAGTAAATTTTTTAAGTTTTATTCTTCCCAATGCAGTACTATAATATAACTCCTTGCAAATTACCAAACTGCAGGCAATCATTTGAGAATGACTAAGTGCGTCTCTTTAAAGTGAAGGGAAAGAATTACAATAAGAGCAATAAAAAAGTCAGATATACAGATCTTTAAAATAATAGTTATTTACATTTTGTAGTTTGCCCAGGGTTTCCACTTATAATGTCTTCCTAGGGTAGATATTCTACCCTATTTTACAGGTGAAACTGAAATAAAAGAGAATATAATTTGTCCAAGTTTACATGATTTCAAAATGCATTAAGAACTGAAAATTAAACAGGTTAAACAGAGTTGAAGTGAATGAAAAGGAATTATTCAAACTAGACATATTTAAATTCCTAGGCCCAGATAAATTACATCTTGGGCAACTAAATTATCATTCAAAGTCTTTAGACAATTATTAATTGCCATTTTGAGCATCTGTGAATTAGGACGGTACCTGGAGACTAGAAATATTTAAGAAATGTTTTAAAGCAACACTCGAGAAAGAATTTCCCCATTAATTATAGAAACTTATTTTATGTTCTTAGAAAACTTATTTTATGTTCTTATTTTGTGCTGGATTACGAAAAATTAATGTCAATGAGGCAAGATTCTCAAAAATCCAGAGTACTTAGAAAATAAACTTCTTCATAAGTAACAAGTTAGCTCAGATAAATCTAACTTATTTCTAAATTATCAAAAATAAGAACAAGAAAGTGAAAATGGTAAGAATACATTTACTTTGATAGTTTTTCTTATTGTTATTTCACCCTAAATGAAGAAACACACAGGTAGAAATTATAATTCGAATTAGTCCACTAGGTGGTGTTCTAAAGATTGGAGGACATCTTGGTGAGCAGAAGATCCTAAATGACAGCCTCGATGTATCATTACATAGCTTTGATTTTTAAATTGCTATAATCGTCAAAAATAAACACTATCTGATTATGAATCATGTGATTCATAAACTTGCAATGGGACCAGGAAAAAATGTTCTTAGAAAGACTGGCTCTGGATACAATAAAAATAAATCTTTATATTCTCTGCCCTTGGCAAATAGAGAGGATTGGATGAGAAAGCCCTGCCTAAAAGTTTATACATAATCAAAGAACCCAGTAATTTCATAGCATTGCTTGCGCTTTGAGTCATGACAGACCTGACATTCATGGATAGGTACTTTAACAGCTATATCACACTGGTTGAATCATTAAAATACTTTCCTACCAGCTTATAAATAACTGCATGCTGACCACCCAACCCCTGCCCATACCCCCCTACAGCCTAATCATCCTCAGATCCTCCTCTAGTACCTCTCTCATCTTCAACTAGCAATATTGACTCAGTATGAAATCTCTGGCATTGCTTCTATCTGGTTGTTAAATATTTTTAATAGTGCCCCTACATAGGCACCCAGAGTTGATAGGTTTATTCAGGGCATTTTAATAGCAGTTCCTTTAAATATGCAAAGGTTGGAAAAAGCCAAAGAAGAGTGAGCGAAGGTCTCAGAACTAAAGGGGCCCTAGTAACAATTTTTGGCATAAGGAATGAGAGCTAGAAAAAAAGGTACCCGATGAAAACCTCCCGATTGGCGCAGTGATGGAGGAAGTTGAAAGATAATTATGCTACTAGTCAATTTTAATTTTCTTGCTGAATCATGAGATAATCCTCCACAGTTGCTCTCCAGAGAGTTTAAGGACTGGTGTATTGTGATGTATTACAGGTGTTTGGGGGAATAGAAATCAGTAAAGCAAAGTTTCATGGCTGGAAAAAATATGAAATCAGTGATAAGGGTAGAAGCAATAATGTAAACTATAGTACAAAACTACATCGTAAGATGGAAGATCAGTGAACTTGAAAACATAGCAATAGAAACTATCCAAAGTGAAACACAGAGAAAAAAAGACAATTCAAGACAATAAACAACTGTGAGGCAACTTCAGACGGCCTAATAAACATGAAATCAGTATCCTGAACGAAAAAGAGAGAGGGGGGAAGACAGAAAAAAAAAAAATCTGAAGACTTAATAGCCAAAAGTTTCCCAAATTTGATGAAAACTATAAACCCACGGCTTCAAGAAACATAGCAAACACCAAGCATAAGAAATATGAAGAAAGCTACACAAAGGTAAATCATAGTCTGAGAGTTCAGAAACAGTAATAAAAAGAAAATTTTAAAGTCACTCGTAGACAAAAAAGGGCATGATCCTTTTAGCAGGACAAAAAGTATGAGAGGAGATTACTCATCAGAAAGAAATGGAGCAGCATTATCAAATTACCAAAAGTAAAAAACAAACAAACACAACTAAAATTCAATTCCTAATAAGAATATCTCTCACAAATCACATTAAAAAGCAAAAAGAATTTATCTCCAGTAGGTACATTACCAAAAAATAAAAATAAAAATTATCCTACAGGCAGAATGAAGATGATATCAGATAGTGATATGGATCTACACAAATAAAGAAAGAGCGCCAGAAATAGTAACTGTGTGAGCAAATATTTTTTAAAACTTACTCATTATTTAAATATATTTAAAAGATTATGGACTGTTTAAACAAAAATAATGTAGTATGGGACTGTAATATATATAAAAGTAAAATGCATGACAATGATAGCACAAATGCCAGGAGAAGAAAATCAGAAAGACATTGCTGAAAGAATCTTATAAGATGCATGAAATTATACAGCACCACTTAAAGGTAGATTATGGTGAGCTATAGATGTATACTATAAACTCTAAAAAAATTGCTAAAATAAACAAAGTTACAGCTACGAAGCCATCAAAGAAAATTAAATGGGACCATAAAAATATATTCAATCAATTCAAAAGAAGGCAGAAAACGTAAAAAGAAGGAACAAAAAAACAAATGGAAAACAATTAGTATGATGATAGATTTAAACTCAACCATATCAACTGTAACTGGTCTAAATACCCATATCATAAGACAAAGATTATTATATTGAATAAAAAAGCATGACTTAACTACATGCTGCCTACAAGAAACACACTTCAAATATGAAGATACAAATAGGCTAAAAGTAAAAAGATAGTATAAGATATACCATGCTGGAAGTTATTTACAGAAAGCTGGAATGGCTATATTTATATGAAATCAGGTAAATTTTAGAGCAAAGAATACAAGCAGCAATGAAAAAGTTTATTTTATAATGATAAAGGATCAATTCATTAAAAGGGCATAATAATCCTGTTTATATAACTAACAACAACTTATGAATCTATAATGCAAGAACTTCATACAGCTGTATGAAGAATATACAGATCCACAATTATACCCAGATATTCCTTTCTCACTAATTGATAGAACAAGCAGACAAAAATCCAATAAAAATATAGAAGGCTTTATCAATACTATCAACCAACTTGTCCTAATTGATATTTTTAGAGCACTCCACCTACAAAATGCAGAATACATTCTTCTCACATGCACACAGAACATTTATTATAATAGGCCACATTCTAAACCATAAAACAAGTCTCAATAAACTTTAAAAAATTCAAGTTATAAAAATATATTATCATCACAAATGAGTTAAATTATAAATCATTAACAGAAAAATATATAGAAAATCCTCAAATACTTAGAACCAAATTATACACTTCTAAATTACCTATGGATCAAAGAAGAAATCAAAATGAAAATTAGAATTGTGAACTGAATTAAAATGAAAACATATCAAAATTAGTCAGATGCTACTGAAGTAGTACTTAGAAGAGAAATCTATAGTACCTATTGCCTATATTAGGAAAGAAAAATGGTCTCAAACCACCAATCTAAGCTTCTACCTTAAGAAACTAGCAAAAGAGGAGCAAATTAAATTCACAGTAAGTGGAAGGAAGGAAATAATAATGATCAGAGTGGAAATCAATTAAATAGAAAAGGGAAAAACAATAAAACAAATAGTTATTTGAGAAGATCAATTAGGTTGACAACTTCTAAACACGAAAAAAGAGAGAAAAAAAATTTCTAATATCAATAATGAGAGACGTTATATCACCAAAGATTCTGCAGATAATAAAAAGATAGTAAGGTAACATTTCAAACAACCTTATGCAAATAAATTCAGCAACATAGAGTAAATGGACAAATTCCATGAAAGACAAACTACCAAACTACACTCAAGAAGATATAGCCTGAAAGCATTATGTCTATTAACAAAATTGAGTTTATAGGTTAAAGAATTCCTGCAAAGAAAACTCCAGGTACACTTGACTTTACTGGAGAATTCTGTTAAAATTTTTAAAAAGAAATAATACCAATTCTACAAACACTTTTTTCAGAAAACTGAAAAGGCAAGGATGTTTTCTGACTTGTTCTATGGGGCCAGCATTATCTTAATGCCAAATAAAGGCATTATTTAAAAACAAAAAAAACTAATGCCCAAAATCCCTTATTAACATGAAAGTGAAAATTCTAATCAAAATTTAGAAAATTAAATTGAAGAAGATATAAAATTGATGTCACGACAAAGTATGATCTTATCCCAATAATGTAAAGTTGGTTTAACATTAGAAAATCAATCAATATAAATTACCATATTACCAAACGAAAAAAGAAAAACCAGGCTGGGCACGGTGGCTCATGCCTGTAATCCCAGCACTTCGGGAGGCCAAGGCGGGCAGATCACAAGTTCAGGAGATCGAGACCATCCTGGCTAACACGGTGAAACCCCGTCTCTGCTAAAAAATACAAAAAATTAGCCCGGCGTGGTGGCGGGCGCCTGTAGTCCCAGCTACTCGGGAGGCTGAGGCAGGAGAATGGCGTGAACCCGGGAGGCAGAGCTTGCAGTGAGCCGAGATCGTGCCACTGCACTCCAGCCTGGGCAACAGAGCAAGACTCCGTCTCAAAAAAAAAAAAAAAGAAAAAAAAGAAAAACCATATATTTATCTCAAGAAACACTAAAACTATTTTATGACATCTAGCATCCATTCATGATAAGAACTTTCATCAAACTAGGAATAGAAAGGAACTTCATCAACCTGACAAACACTCACAACTAATATTTTATTTGTATTTTAACGTCACGAGAAAAAACTGAATTATTTTCCCTTAAGATAAAGAACAAGACAAGGCTCTTCACCCTCACGGCTTCTGTTCAGCATTGTACCAGAGGTGGTAGCCAGTACAATAAGGCAAACAATGAAATAGAATGCATCCAAGTAGAAAAGAAAAAAGTAAAACTGACTTTATCCAAAGATGACATGATTATCTCTGCAGAAAATCTGGTGGAATCTACTAAAAAAAATTACTAGAACTAGTAAGTGGATTTTACAAAATGTCAATAAACAAAACTGAATTGTGCATGGTGGCTCACACCTATAATCCCAGGATTCTGGGAGGCCGAGACAGGAGGACTGCTTGAGCTCAGAAGTTCAAGACCAGCCTGGGAAACATAGTGAGACCTTGTCTCTCCAAAAAATAAAAAAATTAGCCAGGCCTGGTGGCATGGAACTGTAGTCTCAGCTACGTGGGTGGGACGGTGAGGAGGGGGGATTGCTTGAGCCCAGAAGGTCAAGGCTGCAGTAAGTCCTGATCACACCACTGCACTCTAGCCCAGGCAACAAAGTGAGACCCTGTCTCAAAAAATAATAATAATAATAAATTGTTTTTCTATATACTAGCAGTGAAAACTCGAATATTGAAATTAAAAATTAGTGTTATTTATATAGCATCAAAATATATTAAATAATCAGGGATGGATCTTACAAAAAATATAAAACACTAAAAACTTTAAACAATACTGAGAGAAATTAAGGAAGACCTAAACAACGGAAATATGGGAAATATATATTGAATTCGTGTGTTGAAAGACTCAGTGTCATTTCTCTCAAATTGATTAATAGGTTCAATATGTTCCCAATAAAATCCCAGCAATGTAGAAATTGACAAACACATTCTAAAATTCATATGAAAACACTAAGGACTCAGGGGAGGCAAAACAACTTGGAAAAAGAACAAAGTTGGAGAATTAACACTACCTCATTTCAAAACTTATTATAAAGCTACGATAATCAAAATAGTGGGATTAATATAAAGGTAGACAAATTCATCTGTGAAACAGAATGAAATATACAGAAACAGACTCATCCATATAGGAGCAGTTGATTTTTCACAAAGATACAAAGAAAAGTCAGTGAAGAAAGGACAGTCTTTTTGACAAATGATGCTCGGAAAATCGATGTCCATTCACACACACACACTGAAAAGAATTCATACCCCAGCTACATACAAATGTACAAAAAATAATTCAAAATGGATCTGTAAAAATCTTCTAGAAGAAAATAAAAGTTTTCTAGATACCACAAAGATTTTCTAGATTTTCTAGGCAAAGATTTTCTAGATACCACATCAAAAGCACAATCTATATAAGAACAAACTGGACTTCCTCAAAATTAAAAATTTTGCTCTTCAAAAAATACTGTAAAGAGAATAAACAGAAGCCACAACTTAGGAAAAAAATTGCAAACTGTGCTTCTTATAAGGGGCTTGTATTTAGAATTTATGAAGAATTTATAAAGAATCATATATTGCTGGTGTGGCAGGCCAATTCTCCCTGGCTATCACACAGACAGGCCTGCATGACAGTCACACAGACAGGCCTGCATAGCAACCCAGTTACACAGACAAATTTCCACTGCGCTGCCTTCACATTGAGCAAATAGTTAAACCTAGGGAAATCGGTGCCCAGACATCAAAGCTAGAAATGAAACACATGGTCAGTAGGAGGCTTGCATGGGCTTCTCCTTCGCTGGAGCAAGCCAAAATAATAAACAGTTTTACATTCCCAGTGCCAGGACCTGTCTTGGGTCAACAAAATCTGAGACAAGTCAAGGTAACAGAGGCAGCTGTTTGAATAGATTCAATGGAGAGTCTAAGGCAGCTCTCCAGACCAAGCTGTAAAGGAGATAAGATAGAAATAATCACTGCAGTACCACAATAGGCAGGCCTTGAATGTACTGGGGCCCTTTTAATCGGACTTAGCAAGCATTTTTTGCCTCTGACCTAGTTGGAACAAAATTAGTTACCAATAGACTTAGGCGAATGCTATGCTATAGGTACATAACCCCAATCTATATAAGGACTAAGAAAATTGTAACACTTTGAGTTGGTCTAGTGGAATTACCTCTGGCCTTCTCACTGTATCCAGTTACAGTAATAAATTCCCTTCTTCCTAGTTTGTCTGCTTCTCATTATTGGGACTTGAGAAAATGCAGCCGGACCCGGCTTCGTTCCAGGAACACTAGCAGGAATGTAAAATGGTATAACCACTCTGAAAAACAATTTGACAGGTTCTTAAACAGTTACACAAACACTACCATATGATCCAGCCATTCCATTCCTAGGTATTTTACCAAGAGAAAAGAAAGCATATGTCTACACAAACACTGTACATTGATGTTCATAACAAATTAATTTATGATAATCGAAAGCTGGAAACAACCTAGCTGTCCATCAACAGGTGAATGAATAAACAAACTAGTATATCTGCACAATGGAATTCTCCTCATTAATGAAAATGAACCCACTACATTCAATAGTAGTTGATTCCTACTGCAACATGAATGAATCTCAATATAAGTATGCTGACTGAAGAAGAACAATTAACAAAGAGTACATACTGTATGATTGCTTCCTATAAAATGCTAGAAAATGAGAACATAGAATATAGAGACAGAAAGCAGATCGGTCATTGCCTTGGGTTAGGGGTGAGGGAGGGAGAGGTGACAGGACAAGATTGCAAAGGGGCGTGATGGCTATCCTCAATATCTTGATTGTGGTGATGGTTTCATGGGTGCACGTTTACATCAAAACTTAGGAAATTGTACTCTTTAAATATGCACTGCTCATCTTCTGTCAATTATACTTTAATAAACCATTTTTATAACCTAAAATCTACATCTCAAATACTGCCTTCTCATTTAGTGGGACTTTGCCCCATACACCCTCCTCATCACATGCTTCTCATGTCAGAGTTAGTAAATACTACATACAAACAAGAAGAGGAGTTATGCAACTGGGAAGCACTTGGACACTCATCTCCAGAAAGGGTGAAGACCAATAATCTACCACAACCATATCTCAGTGGGTATATACAAAATTCCAGTTCAAGATAAGGTCACATACATTATACCTAACAAGTCTGGATGGAGACATAGCTTCAGAAAGACAGAATAGGCCAAGAAGAACCTAGATGCAAGGTGTTAATGAGAAAACCAAAGGCAATGACCAACATGAAAAATGGAGCCAACAAGAGTCATGCAAAAAAGACAGATCCAAGTCTACTGAATGGGGCTCAGGTCTAATTACATTAGTATTACAGTGTCTGCAAATTTACTTTAAAATACTTCATCAAGGTTATCATGATATTATGAGTTTATGCTTTAAATCTAGAGGCAGCCAGTTGCCCTGAGAATTCAAACTTTAAGGAAGATAAGCAGGTATTCTATTAGAAGTGCCATGCTCCATGGTACTGGTACCAAAACAGATATATAGACCAATGGAACAGAACAGAGACCTCACAAATAACACCACACATCTACAACCATCTGATCTTCAACAAACCTGACAAAAACAAGCAATGGGGAAAGGATTCCCTATTTAATAAATGGTGCAGGGAAAACTGGCTAACCAACTGCAGAAAACAGAAACTGGACCCCTTCTTTACACATTATACAAAAATTAACTCAAGATGGATTAAAGACTTAAATGTAAAACTCAAAACCATAAAAACCCTAGAGGAAAACCTAGGCAATATCATTCAGGACATAGGCATGTGCAAAGACATCGTGGCTAAAACACCAAAAGCAATTGCAACAAAAGCCAAACTTGAAAAATAGGATCTAATTAAACTAAAGAGTTTCTGCACAGCAAAAGAAACTATCATCAGAGTGAACAGGCAACCTACAGAATGGGAGAAAATTTTCGCAGTCTACCCATATGACAAACATCTAATATCCAGAATCTACAAGGAAATTAAACAAATTTACAAGAAAAAAAACAATCCCATCAAAAAGTGGGCAAAGGATATGAAGAGACATTTCTCAAAAGAAGACATTTATGTGGCCAATAAACATGAAAAAAAGCTCATCATCACTGGTCACTAAAGAAATGCAAATCAAAACCACAGTGAGATACCATCTCACTCCAGTAAGAATGGCGATTATAAAAAAGTCAGGAGACAATAGATGCTGGCGAGGCTGTGGAGAAATAGGAACACTTTTACACTGTTGGTGGGACTGTAAACTAGTTCAACCACTGTGGAAGACAGTGTGGCAATTCCTCAAGAATCTAGAACCAGAAATACCATTTGACTCAGCAATCCTATTACTGGGTATATACCCAAAGGATTATAAATCATTCTACTATAAAGACATATGCACATATGTTTATTGTGGCACTATTCACAATAGCAAAGACTTGGAACCTACCCAAATGTCCATCAAAGATAGACTGGATAAAGAAAATATGGCACGTATACACCATGGAATACTATGCAGCCATAAAAAAGAATGAGATCATGTCCTTTGCAGGGACATGGATGAAGCTGGAAGCCATTATTCTCAACAAACTAACACAGGAACAGAAAACCAAATATCACATGTTCTCACTTATAAGTGGGAGTTGAACAATGAGAACATATGGACTCAAGGAAGGGAGAAACACACACTAGAGCCTGTTGTGGGGTGGGGGACAAGGGGAGGGAGAGCATTAGGACAAATATGTAATCCATGCAGGATTTAAAACCCAGATGATGAGTTGATAGGTGAAGCAAACCACCATGGCACATGTATACCTGTATAAAAAACCTACTCGTTCTGTACATGTATCCCAGAACTTAAAGTAAAATAAAAATAATAATAATCATCATCACACACACAAAAAAAGAAATGCCATGCTTCAGCAGTGACGACTACAAATGGTTATTGATTAATATCAGATTGATCAATTGTAATGATTACCATATCATCAATATCAAATACTTTGCACATTAGCATAGCAAGTGTCATAAATGGATTTTTATTGGTGAAACTAGTGGCTTGTCTTATTGATGAAATGCCATGATCAATCTTAGTAATGGCTCTCATTGGTGAAATAACCAAGTGTAACAGACATGTGGCTTGGTTAAAGTTTTAGAGACACTCTGCCCTTCCATGAGGAGGAAATAGAACCTTGCAAAACCTGTATCCTTACGGTCTTGGAGACAACACCTATGTCCTGCTCTCCAAGGGGCCCGATTTCAGCCATTAATTAAGAGAATTTCTCATTTTCTGATTCCAAGTATAAGGGTATATAATTCCTTCTGAGAATATAGTTTTGTCTGCCCTGAATAAACTTTTCATGCAAGGTGATGGTTGTGGCATCTAAATGCAGAGAGAACTGGGATTTCCTTAAATTTACATAATAGGTTGTGAGAACAGATTATATCTACTTTCTAATTAGTTTGTTTAATAAGTGAGGAATCCAGAAGCTATCACCCCAGAATGGCATCAATGCCAAGAGTTCTCTTATATTCCAGTTTCTTCAACCCTCTATGGATAGAACAACTTAAAATTACTACTTCCAAATCCCATTTTCTAGAGGGGAAGAAACTATGTTAGGCTTTTACTGTTCTAAGGATGGTAGACAGCAGCTTGCCAGAGGGCCGTTCACTCAGTTGACAAAGGTGTATTAAGCACCTACCATGGGCTAGACACTGTGAATTAGTAGCTTGGTTAGTCATCGGGTTGGGGCCAGATGAGGCAGTGAAGGGCCACATCTCCAACAAGACCCTCCACTAGGGAAGAATGGGAAAGACAGAATGAAAAAGTAACTCTTATGCATGAGGAGCTGTATATCAAGGAAACTAGAGAAGAAAATTGAGACTCCTGATACCTACGAAACTGTGATTCTATCAGTGAAACTTGGCAATGGAAGTCCTGTTGTTAACATCATATGGACTGTGATCTAGTATGCATATACCCTCATCCTGGCCAGCATCCCTACATCCTATAACAAAGGTGATTCTTCAGATGGCTGTAGGTCCCTTGGGTTACTATGCCAAAGTTCCATCTTCAAAACATTTCTGACATTACATTATTTGCTCAAATCTTGGTATATTTGAAAGTTTTCCATAATAAATTTTTTGTGGTTTTGTTGTTTTTTTTTTTTTTTTTTGAGACAGAGTCTCGCTCTGTTGCCCAGACTGAATGGAATGCAGTGGCGTGATCTCGGCTCACTGCAACTTCCACCTCCCGGGTTCAAGCGATTCTCCTGCCTCAGCCTCCTGAGTAGCTGGGATTACAGGCAGCTGCCATCATGCCTGGCTAATTTTTTTGTATTTTTAGTAGAGATGGGGTTGGCGGGGCTGGTCTGAAACTACTGACCTCAAGTGATCTGCCCACCTCGGCCTTCCAAAGTGCTAGGATTACAGGCATGAGCCACCACGCCCAGCCCATAAGAAGGTATTTTTAAATCTTGGAATGCAAGAGGTTATCAGGCTTCACATGAACTTTCCCAGAGGTGAGAGACTACCACTGCATAAAGCTTACATTGAGCTGAAACTGAACTTCCTATAATGTCCACCAGTTGATCAGAGTCCTTTCCTGTGACGTACATAAAAGTAATCTTCACACAAAAGTAAATCTCTCAAAAAGAGGACCCTCCAGATAGGAAGACTGTTATTAATTTACTACCCAAAATGGGGACAAGTTTGAAAATAAAAAGTGGTGCTAAAATAATTGAAATATTATAATTTGAAATTTATATTTATTAATCAAATATCAGTTTTTAATATACTGGGGGGTTTATTTAAAAGTTATAATTCAAGAGCATTTTCCAAAATAAGTTTCTGTCTAAAAAAGTAAAAATAACACATGTGGAACAGATGCTAAGCCAGATGAGACACTGGGAACCAGGCATGAATGGGGAATGACCCAAGTGAAATCAAGCATATGGTCATGCTAGTTAATATGTCTCATCATCACTATCCTTGCTCAGGTTAAACATCCCAGTTCTTTGAATTGTTCTAACTTCTTCAGTATCCAATTTATTTCATCTAACAATACCCACTTAAAACATGGCATCAAAAATAAAACCCAATATTCCTGATGCGTTTTGACCAGTGCATGTTACAATGAAGCCATCATCTCCATAAATCCAAACATCATATTCTCTCAGTACTCCCTTTATACTGCAGCAGCCTCCCCAACAGCTGCATCCATACTGTTGGCTTTTATTCAGCTTGTAATCAACTGAAATATTTTGTCCCAAAGTGCTGCTAAACTGAGTCTTCCTCTTCATGAACATTCACAAAGAAGTTTATTTTCTAAATCTAAATTCAGGAATTATTTCTTGTTAGTTTCAGGTGATTATTGTAGACTCTTAATATAGTTTTTAATGAACAGCTTGTCATGCAATATATTATCTGTTCTTCTAATTTTTTTGTCACATCCAAAATTTGTTAAGCAAATTACATATGTGTATATATATCTTACGTATCTTACATATATATGTGTATATATGCATATATGTGTGTGTATATATGTGTGTATATATGTATATGTGTATATATGTATATATGTGTATACATATGTGTGTGTATATATATACGTATATATGTATATACGTATATATATACACACACATATGTATATATATACACACACATATATACAATATATACATATATACAATATATACATATATACATATATACACATATACACATATATACACATATACACATATACACACATATACACATATACACATATATACACATATACACATATACACATATACACATATATACATATATCATATATATATACATATATATACATATATACATATATATACACATATATACATATATACATATATACACACACACACACACACACACACACACACACATATATGTCTTTCACCCAAATCTTAAATCAAAATATTTAGCAGAACAGGGCCCAAGCTAGACTACCACTAGGAACTGGTTGATCCATTTAGTAACAGCTCTTTAACCAGGTAAGGAACCACCTAACCATGCTCACATTGAGCCCATATTTCTACATCTAATCCCAAAGAACATTATGAGAGATATTAAACAAACCAGAGACTTCCCTTTGAATGGAAGATGATAGAATCCTGAAAGTAATTTTCCAAACCATTTACCGTGATAGACAGTCTACCCATAACTGTCTTGTAAAGCAACCTGAAGGTTTTCCAGTAGTGAAAGACACCAGTTGTACAGAGTTCACCACACAACCCAACAGCTCAGCCCTCAACGTCTAAGTGCTGCCTGGTGAAAGTACAACCCAGAAGCAAAAGGGGAAAGCACATGAAGTGTATTTTGGTAACCAAGTTCTGTGATTCAGTACAGATGTTACATCCTCCATGCTCTTCTGTGGAGCATCTTGGTCTCACTGATGGGCCAGTCTGAGTTTTTCCTATCCAAGGTTCACATTGAAGCTAAGTTGAAAAGCTGTGGCAGGGATCCACAGTGACTCAACAGGAGGGGTTAACTTAAGCCAAGCATGGACAAGCAGAGAACTAGGGCCAAGAGAAACCTCTGATGAGGTGTGGCAGAGTATGACTTCAACTGCTAAAAACAGAGGAGAGGACACCATTAATCTCTACGACATACGTTAACAACAGCAACAAACATTCACTAAATAAAACCCAAAATGTCCAGAATCTGAATTACCCTGAAGACACCACAGTAGTCTCCATAACAATTTTTTCAAAGCAAAGTACAACTGTTTGAATTCAGAGATTATGAAGGAAGTGTGATCCAGAGAAAATGTACATCTGGTCTGAAATGAAGTTCCAGTTTCTTCACTTAAGTGTTAAGTGATTTAGAGTTTGTCATCTACTTTTCCCAAGCCTCAGCCTTATTACCTATAAATGGAGTCCTTTGTTCATGCCATGCCATGTTACAAAAAAGGAACTAAACCAACTAAAGGCAACTGTTACTCTGCCAACCTCACAGAGTGGTCGTAGAGATCAATGTGAAAATACAAATAAAAACTCCATATAAATATGTACCCTTATGATAATTAGCCATAATATTAAAATTTTATATTTTGTTAATCTGATTAAAGATTTATCTTAAAGGTTATGATAGATAGATGATAATGATGAAGAAGATAGATAGATAGATAGATAGATAGATAGATAGATAGATAGATAGATAGATACAGATAGATGAGAGAAAGATGATAGACACAGATATATTTATAAGAGCAGGAAGCTATATTTACTACATGCTGTCACTGAAATTTTCTCATAGAATAACAAAAATTTACACTTGGAATACAATTTTGCACACAGCCTTATCTTACAGATGAGCAAATTTGAGTTTAGCTGTGTTAAAATGATCTGTTTAATGTCAAGTTAGAAAAAAAAACACTAAGGCTAAATTCCAGATTTCCACTCAGTCCTATGTTCATTTCACTACACTAGGATGCTAATTCTGTTAATAATGACAATATCAGAATATTCAGTTCAGACTGTCACTATTCAAAAGATAAACAAAACTATCACCTTTACAATACTGCCAAGATACATCACAGAACATAACTTGGTGTGAGATTGCATTAATGTGTAATTTTCTCTACTCTCCTTTTCTCTTCCATGGGCCAGAACATGGCTTCATACTATTGAAAACAATGGTCTGGAAAGGCACTACCAATCCATCAGAGATGGCAAGTTGAATGGAATTATTTACACCTCTTAGGTATATTGGAAAGATATGGAATGAAAAACAGGAAACTTGAATTCTGGTTCAATTCCTGCAACTCCCTAGCCATGTCACATCAGGCAGGCAAGTTATGGGTACTTCCCCATTGGTAAAATGAGGATTGGGACTACCTGACCCATTTCCAGTTCAGATATCCTTTACTTCTACAACTAACATATACAGCCAGCATAAAAGAAAGGTAAAATAAATAAGATTACAACTGTTAAGGATAAAAGTGTGTACTGAGAGAAAAGAAAATTATCTCAACAGGTATACTTGTGATTTGTAATATTTCCTTATTATTGAATCAGATGATTACCAATATAACAACAACTATAGTTTATATTAGTTAGAGTATGCCAAACGCCTGTAACGAATTCCAAAAGACTCAAATACCCATAAGTTTATTCCTCTTTCACAAAAATGCCCGTGTGGCAAGTGTCTCTCCTCCACATGGTCATTCAGAGACCCAGGCTGATAGGGGGATCTATGTTTACAACTTCCAAGATCAACCTAGTCATTGCCTTTGCAGCTCATTGCAAGAAGGAAGAATATGTATGGACGGCACATTCATCAACTTAGGACTTGGCCCAGAAGTGTTATACCTCACTTCCTCCTGCATCCTAACGAAGAGAAATAACCCATGTGGCTATATATAACTTCAAGGAGGTTTGGAAAACTTAGTCTTCAGCTGACCAGCCACATTTCCAGTAAAACTCTATTACTATGACAAAAAAGAAAACAAATTTTGTTGGACAGCTAACAGACTCTGCCACATTGGATAGTTCATTTAACAAGTTTCAATATAGTCAGGCTACAAATACAAAGACAGTTGATATAAACCTCGTTCATAAAGCCATTTAGTCAGAAAACTGCTACTAGAACTTAGAAGCTATTAGTTTGCTTAAATATTAGTTAGAGAAACAATTCCTTTGAGTCCCTACTTTGAGTCCCTTTCACCTATGAACTCTATAAAGACCTGACAATCAGAAATGTATTCAATTTGATCCAAAGAAGCAGGCTTTTGCTTTTAATTTGTTCTAGTAATCCATAGGAAGCAGATCTTTTTGAATCAGAAGTGGAATCTATAGCTTTAAAAAGATGCCTTCCCCTAGTAGTTGAGGCAGAGCAATGAGCAATCCAACTGGCTAAGACTGAGTGATACTCAATAGAAGTATGTTCATCTGTTACACTTGGCAAGGTTGCTAATGCACAGTGATGTTTGTTATGTCTTTTCTTTAGCTCATAAGTTAAAAATAAAAAGGAAGACATAGGATAAAACAGAACCACCACCACTCCATTCCATCAGGTCCCTCTTCACTGAGACTTAGCTCTTCTACTTGCAAAATGCAGCAGATGGAATGTTAAATCTAAACTATAATGTCTCTTGCATTCCTAGCTGTCAAAACAAACCATGTGCCTCCTGCTTCTCAACTATAATTCACTAAAAGCAATGAGACTATTTCAGACACCAGAGCATGCACAACTAAGTCTATTTTGAGTGATCCTTTTTAAGTGTATGTGTTAGAAGATGAATGAGTGAACTCAAACAAGAAATAAGTGTCTTCACTCAATGAAGATTTATTGACATTTTAATTATGACTTCTCTATGACAAATACACTTAGTCCTACTAAGGCCACTAAGAAAAATTATTTATCAGTTGTGATCTGTGCTAAACAATATATGTTAGGGTCATAATAGTCTTTGTTCATTGTTTAGACCAATGCTGCCTGATATAAATATAATGCAAGTTACAAATGCAAGCCACATATGTAATTTTACATTTTCTAATGGCACATTTAAAAAGAGAAAAAGAAATAGGTGTGTTGATTTTAATAATGTATTTTCAACCCAATATATCCAAAATATTGTCTTTTCAACATGCAACCAGTACAAAAAATACTAAGAAGATATTTTATACTCTATTTTTCACATTAAGTCTTTGAAATCTGGTATATGTTTTGCACTTACAGAATATCTCAATTTGGACTAGCCAAGGTTCAAAGTGCTCATTAGCCACATGTGGCTAGTGACTATCCTATTAGACAGTTCAGGTTTAGAATCTCTTAGAGGGCTATTTTTTTTTCAGGACTTGGAGTTTATATGAAAATTAGAGTGATAAGGAAGTGTGCTAAGCATCACAAGTACATATCTTAACCCTAAACTCTTCCCTCAGGCCCACAGTGATTAAAAATTCATGCATCAAATTAGAAGTTGCATAAATATTTTTAATAGTATCCATGGCCAAACGTATCAGAGGCCCTAAACCCTTAGCCCCTACTTGCAGCCCATATCTTGATTGTTGTTAATAGGTTTTAACTCCAGCACCTAATCCACAAATCCTACAGGATGCTTTGTCTATAAATATATATAACTGGGCCTTTATCAGATGTGATCAACTTTGGGTAAATCCCAAAATATGCCCAGCTGATGATCTGGGCAAAAAAGGCACTCAATCTTTGAAAAAGAGGAAGTTAGGGGGCCACCTTCTAGAAACTGAACGTCAGTCCTGGATGCTGTTCGGGGGCCAACTTCATCTTATAAATGTATGAGCTGTGTCATAAAAACCAGGGTAAAGGGGGTAAGGTAAATTTCAATGGAAATACCCCAACTAAAGGTCTTCACATTGAAAATTTGTAAAACACCGCGCAAAATATCAGGTCTACAAGGCTTACGGGCTGGACCACCTTCTTATGATCCCTGACAGAAGCTCATAACCACTTATAAGAAGGTTTCCCACCCTGTACAAGAGCAAGGAACATCAGCCAAGATTTAGGAGGAAACATAAAACTGCAAAAGAACCAATTTCTGTTTTAGTACCTCATTTTTGAACAATTTGAGAAATGAATAGCCTACTAGTAATTTTCCAGTCTTCTTTAAGATATTTCATGTGTAAATAGTAGTAAATAGATTTGACAAGTGCTGGATTGTGTTACTGACTAAATAAACTCAATGATAATTTTTTAAGAGAGCCACTTCACACAGATCTCACCTAAATTAAACAGCGCCAATAAATGCAAGCTGAAAACCAGCACCTTGTCCAGAAGGCTTACCAATGATCCTTTTGCACATGAGTCATGAGCTATTTCTTCAGCAGAGTGTAATTTTGGTAATGCAAACAAGATGTTCTTGTGAAGAAATGACTTTATATAAGTATTCAAAAACATCATACAAAGAGTACAATGGATCTTCAGACAAGAATCATGTTTATTCAGCCCATGGTTTCCTCGGAAACAATATTATCAGTATTATGAGCATCACTGAAGAAACTAACAGGAAGCATCTTGAGTGCTTATAAAGATACATGCCCATGTAGCCAAAAAGCATTTATGTTATTCTTCCTCTGAAACTAACTGGGAAGTGATGTAAGGCAAATCTAATTTGTTATTTAATCTTTAATATAGAAAAGTTCATTGTATAATAAATGTAATTTGTTATAACAAATCTATTCTATAACAAATGTAATTTTCTATAGAATCTTTAACATAAAAACAAAACTTTCTCCAAAAATTTACAAGCAAAAATTGTACCAGAAGGATCCTCCAATTCCCTGAAAATATCTGATTTGAGGCCCTGAAGTCCATAATTTTTCTGACACAATTTAACTTTCCTGTGCCTCAGTTTCCTCACTGTAACAGTGAGCATACAAACAACTACCTCAAAGATTTCTTATGAAGATTGCAATGATCCATGTAAAGTGCTGAGAAGAAAGCCTGACACATAGAGAGCAATCGGTAAATATCATATATTATTTTTATAATTAAAGATTATGCAACACAGAGAATAGAGCAGCCCAGTCAGAAGTTACACAAACATATAGCCTAGAACCTCTGGCTCTAGACTCTCTATGGGCTCTAAATGCTCATGCTGTATTCACAGTACAAGTATTGAGTTTTGGTAATAGATCCCCATTTCAGCAACTAAGTCCTCTATCTCAGGGGCCCCCAGCCCCTGAGCCACAGATTGGTATCGGTCTGTGACCTGTTAGGAGCTGGGCTGCACAACAGGAGGTGAGCAGGGACAAGCAAAGCTTCACCTGTATTTATAGCTGCTCCCTATCGCTGGCATTACCGTCTGAGCTCCACCACCTGTCAGATCAGCTGTGGCATTAGATTCTCATAGGAGCACGAACCCTATTGTGAACTGTGCAAGCCAGGGACCTAGGCTGCGTGCTCCTTTTCAGAATCTAATGCGTGATGATCTGTCACTCTCTCCCGTCACCTCCAGATGGGACCATATAGTTGCAGGAAAACAAGTTCAGAGCTCCCACTGATTCTACATTATGGTGAGTTACATAATTATTGCATTATATAGCACAATGTAATCATAATAGAAATAAAGTGCACAATAATTATAATGCACTTGAATCATCCCCAAACCATCCCCCTCCCCAGTCCATGGAAAAATTGTCTTCCATGAAACAGGTCCCTGGTGCCAAACAGGTTGGGGACCACTGCTCTATCTTATGTAATACTTTGTTTACACAAAGTTAATCTCATGAAAGAAAATTAGACCGTACCTTTGCCAGATATGATTGGGTGCAGGAAAAGCCAAATATGTGCCCCAAAGAAAAAGAAATATATAGGGATCCAATTTCTAGAAACCAAAGAACACTATTTTGATGCAGGTAGACTATAGTTAAACAACAACCAAAAACAAACAAGCAAACACAGAAAAGAAATTAAAAACCTATCTACCATTGAGACAAATGGCCACAGCAGTGATGCTAAGAGAATAAATGAAACATTCTAGCTTCATCTTGGGCAGTCCAGCCATAAGCAGTTGGGGCATGGCAGGAGCATGATTTCTAAACAACTGTAGCTGAGATTATTAGCACTCACCCATATCCGAGTTCTCCCATGCTCTTGCAGTTAGATGTGTCCAGGTGACTGGATTCTGACTAACAGAATGTGGGATAGAATTGATATAAGTCACTTACAGGCCTAGCTCCTAAAACATGCTGTGTGATCTTCCATATCCTCAATCTCCTTGAGGAAGCTTAGAATTCTGAGATGATAGAGGCAAGCAATGGAAGTTCATCTTCCTGAGTTACTACTTAGAGAAGAATATGAATGAGAAATAAACTTTCATTGTGGTAAGCCACTGAAGCTGGGCATTTTTTGTTATAGGAGCTAGTGTTACCTTTTACCACCCATTTACTTTAGTGGTGATTTCAACTCTACCTGGATTCCTGCCTGTAAACTCTTTTGTTCATATCATCACACTGCTTTTTTCTAAACTACAGCTTACAGACCCAATGAAGGAATGATGAACGACATGAACTGGTGTCCCACTGGGCTTAAATTGATATAATTTACTTTCTAATGACACTCAGACTGGTACACTCCCATTTTAAAGGGCTCTTTGCCTTAGTGATTGTTAAGTTCTTTAAAGTCTCTCCTCTCCCTCTCTTCATTCTGTTCACCATCACCTCCCATCTGGGCCATGGAAGTTAGTTTCTAGTTGGTGTTCCATTCTCCACACAGTAGTCAGAATACATTCCCACCTAAAACCCCCAAATGGCTTACCACTGGTTTGCTAGACTTTAAATCCTAGAACACGGCATAAGAGGACCTCCATGATCTGGCTCCTGCAGGCTCCAAAATCATCTCTCTCTACTTTCCCATTCAGTTATTGTGCTCCACCACTCTGGGCTTAATTCAGCCCCTTGAATGTAATGCATTTGTTCCCATCTCAGGACATTAGCACCTTCCTTCTCCAATATCACTGCCTATGAGGAGTCTTCCTTGGCTACTCAAGCTAAATTAGGGCCCTCAAAGACAATGCCTATCACATTATCATATCTTCTTTTGAGCATACATGAGTATCTAAAGCAATCTGTTACTTTTTTATGTCTGAATGTCCCACCTCACCCCACTGACAGTGAAATATACATTCTATACAACTTTGTCTTGTTCTCAGCTGTCAACCAACACTTAGACCAGTACCTGGTACACAGCACATCCTCAAAAGAATGTATGTTAACAGACTGATGAAAGCCATGAACACCCCTTCCCCAAATGCCTTCACTCACAAAATAGTTTGCATATTATTTTATAGGATTAGGAAACCCCTAAAAGCCTGCATGTACTGTCTAGGAATCCATGAGTCCTAAGTCAATAAACTTAAATATTAAACGGATAGATCAGAAAGCCAGGTTAGTTCAAATCAAACTTTAGCTAGAAGTTTGAGAAACTTTAGTCAGTGTCTACATTGTCTAAATATTATTGATTTGCTGTATAATTATTCCAGTATCTTTAGAGTGGCGTATTAAAGTCCTCAATTATTATTGTTGAATTATCTATTTTTCTGTACAATTCTGTCCATCTTCATTTTGTGTAATTTTAGGACTCTGCTGTTAGATGTATATATGTTTATAATTGTTACATTTTCCAGAAATCCTTTTTATAGCTCTTCTATTATTATAAAATATCCCTAATGCAGGGAACTAGCATAGTCTTTTTCTAGCCCACTTAGTATAAATATTCATATTTTATACCTCATGCTTCAAACTGTTTTCACACTTCAGTCACTGGAGTCTGAAAGATCAAGTCACCTCCATTTGCCCTGTGTGATGAGGCCAGACCAGCTCCCAGTCCAAGAAATCAAAGTTGTCTACTCCATCCCCAATGTGTTCCAGCACTGCTTGGCCCACAAACATGCAGAATCCCAGGTACAAGAAATCACTGCCTGGCCTCCCCACTAAGCAACTGCTGATGAGCTGGACAGGGCTGGGAACTGCTGTCTCCCACTGAGACCTCCCACCAAGATTTTAGCCTCTCAACAACTTATGATGAGGTGCTTGTTTGGACTTAACAAACAAACAAAAGTAATCCTTTTGACTTTCTCCTAGATGATGTCAACCATACTGAAAGACTAGCAGTTGTCAGCATGAACTCATGAGATCAGAGCAGGAGCTTTCAGATTATTTTCTGTGGAACCCTAAGGGTCTACAAAGATGTTCCACAAAGCTTGGATTCAAATTTAATTTTTAAATATATATATATATATATATATATATATATATATATATATATTCATTTATGTTTAAATTGTAATGAAATCAGTATATGCATGTAAATGTCATATCAAATTGAAACACTCTAGAGACTGCATTGTGTAACTACAAAAATTTGATTTTATACAAATCCTGGTATTAAAAGATCTATTGTTTCTTTGTGTTTAATTAGACATCTTGTAGCTGTATCAGTGATTACAGAGGTTGCAGTTCTGCAGTGGCCCTTTTTTTATTCAAGCTTATACATGTCTACAACATATACAATTATTAAATTGACTGCATGATTATTAAATATGTGTGAGTCAGAATTGTCTTGATCTGTGCAAACAAAAGAAAATAGAGAAACAAATTGGATACAGTAATTGTCATTCATAACCCTCAATTTCATATATTCTTTAGAACAGTACTATGATTTTCCTTTATTAACTTTTACTGTTATATTTGTGAATTTAGAAAATATAATTATGCTAATAAGGTATTGGTGTTATCTATTTTATACTCAACATCTAATCTCTGTTTTGACAAAGCCCAGCTGTCTACCTCCAGTGTGACATGGGGATGAGGGGTTGGGGTATATTCACTGTATATTGCTTCACTACAAATTACCACCAACTTAGTAACTAAAAACAATATCCATTTATGATCTCATGGTTTCTATAGGTTAGAAGTCTGGGCACAGAGTAACTGGGTTCTCTGCTCAGTCTTGCAGGTTAAATCCAGGTTTTTTCTGGGACATGATGCCATCTCTGGCACATTGTCCTCTTCTAAGCCCATTGAGGCTATTGACAGAATTCAGTTTCCTATGACTTGCACTGGTTTTCTGTTGCTTCATATAAGTTATCATTTAGTGGCTTAAAACAACACCCATTGATTAGTTCACAGTTCTACATCAGAACTTGGCATGGCGTGGCTGGATTCTTTGCTCAGCATTGTACATGGTGAAATCTGGATGTCAGTCACACTACACTCCTTTCTGGAGCTTCTGGGGAATAATCTGCTTCTACACTCACTCAGATTGTTGGAAGAATGTGGTAGCTAGCTGGCTGTCGAGGACTGCTCTCAGTTCCTACAGAACACTCTCAGATCCTTGCCATAGGACGATGACCCCTGCCATCTCCAAAGCTAGTAGCTTAGAATCTCTCCAGTGAGCTTAATCTCTCCAGTGTGCTATGACAGAGTCTTATATAACATAACCACCATTTGCCATATAACATAATCTAGACAAGGGAATGATTATCCTGTCATATTCATCAGGTTCACAGGTTCCACCCCCACTCAAGGATAAGATATTATACAAGATATGCTCACCATGGGGTGGGAATCTTAGGGGCCACCTTAGAATTTTACAACCACAGGTGGCAAAGGGAGCCATCTTGTTAGCTCCAGAGTGAACCTTACTTGTACATGCCAATTAGGATGACCCCTTGGGAGTAATTTCTTTAAAGCTAACACGTGACCCAGATGTAGGCAATGAAACATAAAGTGACGTCTGCTGGGGAACTTCGGAGAAACATTCCTCCCTCATAAGATAAGACCACCCCAACTCCAGCTGTAGGTTTTGCAGTCTAAATGGGATGCCTAAAACCACTACTGCCATCTTGCTCCCAGCCTGAGGATACATGTGTCACACAGAGGAAGAAAGAACCAGGACAGAGCCATGCAGAAGTGTGACTGGAGCCCTGATGCACCGTGCTGAAGTTCATATCACCTCTGGACTTTCTGTTAGGTGAGATTTTTAATTCTCCCCGTTATCCAAGCCAGCTTGAATCAGGGTTTTATCACTTGCAGCCCAAGCCATTCTGTGAATAAAGGACACTATGTAAGTTTTAATTTATACATTAAAAAAAGACTCCAGGTGCTAGAGAAAAGTTTTAAAATCATATATCTACTGGATACAGTCATACAGGCCTAGGATTCCAACTTAGCTTCCAACCTTAATGAGCTAAAATATTAATATTTTATCTATAAAATCAGGAAAAGTAATGACTACCTTTATGGATCATTATAAGGACTCAATGATGTTGCACACATGTAGCAAAAGATTTAAAGGGAAACACTATACTTGTTTCAAACAGCTGATTATGACCTGGAATTAGGGAGGGAAGACGGAAAGGGAGGAGAGAAAGTGGGGGATGTGTGTGATGGAGTAGAGAGAACAAGATAGGAGGTGAGCTCTGTCTGAGGAATTGGTGCTCTGGGCATGTCCCCCTCCCCCGACCCTGATTGGTATCTGAGCTCTAGGGAAGGCGGGCCTGCAAGCATATTGAAGTGTGGGACTTAAACACATACACGCTTTGCACAGTGTGTGGTCAAATGGTAGGAGGTGGCAGGAGCCACAGTGGTAGAAGAAAAGCCCTTTTCAGAGGAAATTCTTTCTCTCTGAAAAGCGATAAAGAAGCCAACATTGTAGGTAAGTACTCCTGAAATACTTTCTAGTGCTGGAACTAGACAGCAGGCTTTAAAGGAGCCAGAAGTGTCATTAAAGCAGCGGAGATGGGCAAGGAGAGAGCGGGAAAACATTCAGAGAAACTTGTAACTTTTAAAAAGGGTTTTCGTCTGGGCGCGGTGGCTCACGCCTGTAATCCCAGCACTTTGGGAGGCCGAGGCGGGTGGATCACGAGGTCAAGAGATTGAGACCATCTCGGCTAACACGGTGAAACCCGTCTCTACTAAAAATACAAAAAATTAGCCGGGCGCGGTGGCGGGCGCCTGTAGTCCCAGCTACTCGGGAGGCTGAGGCAGGAGAATGGCGTGAACCCGGGAGGCGGAGCTTGCAGTGAGCCGAGATAGCGCCACTGCACTCTGGCCTGGGCGAAACAGCGAGATTCCATCTAAAAAAATAAAAAAATTTTAAAAAAAGGGTTTTCACATTCATTTTTGAGCTCACATTATGTGTCAGTCTCTCGGATGCCTTTATGGAGTTTACATGCTTACGCCTGCTAGATAAATGGGATTTTCCTTTCCTTTTGATTGATTAGCTAAGGCAGAAGGAGATAGCAACCGTGATTATAGAGTACTTTTAGGAGGCCAAGTATATTAACCAGATCTTTCTGTGTAACAAACAATCCCAAAGTCTCAGTGGATTACAATAAAGCAAACATTTATTTCTCTCATTACACGGTCTACTCTACCAGTAAGCTGAGACATCTCAGCTTCGAACTTCAGATAAAGTTCATGCCTCCTCCGCATGTCTTTTACCTTCCTTGGACCTGTGGCTACTCAAGGCAAGTTCTTCTCATTAGGAATTGAAAGAGAGGTGAGCAGAAACTCACAACACACAATGCCTCTTAAGGTCTCAGCTCAGAACTGGCCCATTGTCACCTCTACCCACAATCCATGGACCAAAGCAAGTAATGTGGCCAAGCCCAACATCAATGGAGTGGAGAAAAATATTCTGCCCACTCTAGTGGAAGATACTTCAAAGTCACATGACCAAAGGTATGGATTTATAATTCATAAAGATGATGAGAATTGTGACCAATAATTCAATCTACAACACCAGGCCTTAATGGGTGTACAAAAGGCACATTAAAAAGCAGGAGAGAGAAAAAGAATAAATGGAAGTAAAATGATGTTAAGGACAAAAAAATTCCCTTTCCATTTTGCTTGGGTTTATATCAGCTATCACCCATCTTCCATATAAATGCACATCATTATTCACTTTAGTTAGAAACCTCTCTGTTCCTTAAAAGCCAGATGACCTTGGGCAAGTCACCTAGCCTCAGGCCTCAATTTCCTAATCTATAAAATAGTGAACATAAAGGCCACCTTATAGGACTGCTGGGATAAATGAGATCATGAGTTACTAGCTTATAGAAATTGCTAAATAAATGATAGCTGTTGTTACACATCATCCTAGGCCCTTACTTTGATTTGGAATTTATTAATATATTATACAACTGCTATGTTTGAGACACAGTGCTAGGAACACAAAATATATCTGTGATTGAAAACCTCACAAATCATTATTGCCCGAAATTACAAATAAATCATTGCCTTATAAGATATTAAATAGTATATTGAAGATCTGAATAAGGTGTCACAGGCACACAAGCAAGAGAGGGAATTTACAGTATCTGGAAAAGATGGAAAAGGTTTCACACACAAGTTGAAAGTCAAGCTAGGAATTGAAGTTTGAATAGAAGTACCCTAGGCAGGGAAGGAGGAGAGGACATTCTAGAAAGCAGATGGCAAATGTGTAGCTAACTGATGCCAGAATCAATTGGTAATATTACTTTAGGAACATGTACAAGAAAGTATGTCAGCTCCCCATGTTGATGCTAAATTTGCCTTCATCAGGAATGTGGTGGTAGAGTGAGAGTGGCTGTACAATTCCCTGCTAAAGGGCACCATTAAAACAAACAATGTGGCTGGTAGATCCCTTTGAGCCACTTGAAACTTCTGTTATTTTGGATACAAAGACTGTCATTTGTGAAAGTGGATACAAGACAAGAAGCTTGCAGAGTTCCAAATCAAAATAAATGCTTTCCCCCCTTAGAAGAACATTACGTGGAACCACAGACTCATGGAACACATTGCTCTCCTGTGGGAAAGCTGTCTTGTTAACTTTGCCACAAGTTAACAAGACAGTCCTTTTCTGTTTGTTTTTTACTCTTATCCCATAATAAACCAGACAACCTAAATTAGAGTAGACAGTTCCCCTTCTTTTTTTTAAACAGCTGTTGTTCTTCCCACTGACTCTGAACAGTGCACTTAATAATGCCTCCACTGGGAATTCCAAACAATAAAATACATGCGAATTGCCTTTTAGAAGGAAACACAGAAAGGAAACACTGATTCTTGCACATTCTTGTTCCTGTGAGTTAAACAATATTTTCTATGTTGTCTCTTGCATTTCAAAGAGTGGACATTCCCTAAACATACCTAGAAGAAGGTCTGAAAGGTGCTGTCAGAAAACATTCACTCGATTTCTTTTCCAGCAACAGTAACATTTTAATAATACCACCTCACATTTGCACAGTGCTTGGTGTATAACAAAATGCATTTGCAGTCATTATCTATGTAGTTCACAAAGTAATCTTGGAAAGAAGCTAAAAACCATTTTAGTTATGAGCAAACTGGGCCTCTGAGATCAACATGTCACTCAAGACACAACAACTAGTAGTCACAGCAGAATTTGAACACAGGTCTCAAACTTTTCCTCTACAAACTGGCAACAGTTAGAATGCTCTGGGTCATCCATAAACTTAACGCAGTTAGAACCACTTATTGCATACATCAACATCATGGATTGCAGAGACTCCAATCCCACCTGTACTAGCTATATGTCCTAGAGAAATTTATTCATGTTCTGAGTCTCTTTCATCATCTATTGAGTTAGTTTTCAGGATTGCCATAACAAAGTACGACAGACTCCGTGGCTTAAACAATAGAAATATTTTTCCTCACAGTTCTGAAGGCTAGAAGCCCAAGATCAATGTGTCAGCAGGGTGGATTCCTTTTGAAGGCCTCACTTGACCCACAGATGGCCATCTCCTCCACAGTCTTCCCTTCACCTGGTCTTCCTCTGTGTGTGTCTGAGTCTTAATCTCTTCTTATAAGAACACCAGTCATATTGGATTAGGGCTCATATTATTGACTTCATTTAACCTTAATTACCACTTTAAAGACCCCATCTCCAAACCACAATCACATTGTGAGGTACTGGAGGTTAGGACTTTAACATATGAATTGGTGGGGACACAATTCAGCCTACATCCTCTATAAAATGAGAAGATAGAAAGTTATTGTGCAAAGGTCTCAGTGTGATAAATTCTGTTATTACTGGAACAAAGTACCATAAACTTCCTGGCTTAACACAAATTTTCATCTTAGAGTTCTATAGGTCAGAAGTCCAACATGGGTCCTGAGAGGCTAAAATCAAGATGTCAGCAGGGCTGCATTCCTTCCTGTAGGTCTAGGGAAGGATCCATTCCTTGCCCATTTGTTGGCAGAATTAAGCTCCTTGCAGTCGTAGGACCAAGATCCCTATTTTCCTGATGGCTGTCAATTGAAGGTCACTTCAGCTTCTACAGGTCATAGCATTCCTTGGCTCTTATCCCCCTTCCTAGATCTTCAAAGTGAGCAACAAAGGGTTCAGTACTTGTCACATCACATTTCCCTCATACCTCTTCTGAGATCATAAATCGCAGACACAAATGTGGTCTTCATAACTAGACAAGTTACATTTCTTAAGGAGATCTGTCCTGACCACCTATTTAATGCCACTGTGGAACCTCCCTCCCTGTCCCACTGTAGCCCTGATCTCCCTGACTCTGAGCTATTTTTTCCATAGCATTTCTCATCTCATATAATTTCTCATTTATTTATTATACTCATTGACTGTCTCTCTCCTCTAGAATGTCAGCTCCATAAGAGCAGGAAAGTTTTGTTCACTGAGGTATCCTATCCACATCCTATCCTATCACTGATGTATTCTTACCACAGTCTAAAAGAGTCTCAGGTTTTAAATGCTCATGTGATGAGACTGGGCCCACCTGCATAATCTAGAATGATCTCCTCACCTCAAGTTCCTTAATCTTAATCACATCTGCAAAGCCTTTTGTGCCATGTATGGTAACACATTCATACCCAGGATTTGGGTATGAACATTATTGGGGGCCATTATTCTGCCTACCACACAAGTGCTTGATAAAAGACAGCTATTCTCTCTTCAAAGATTAAAGATAAATATTTGCAAGCCAGTACGCCTATTTAAAATTAGGTTGATTGGTTTAACTAAGTGGTTCCAAATGGTGGATATTTGACAATATCTGGAGACACTTTTGGTTGCCACAACCAGAAGGGAGAGGGTGACATTAATCCTTATTAGGTCAAGGCTAGGGATGCTACTAAATATCCCACAATGCACAACACACTCTCCATAACAAACATCATTATACTGCCAAGGTTGAGAAACTGATTTAACTGAACCTTAGGAAAAGCTAATTGATCTACACGGGAATCAAAATTTTATTTTATCAAATGAACTTTTATTGATGCCATAATCAAATGGTATCTTATGATGCGTGACAAAACATTTTTTTCTTCAGCTGGAAAAAATATCTTTAGTGTGTTTAAGACATGGTATAAGTAGGTGGCTGTATTTCTTTTGAAATTTCAACCTGTTCTAAGAAATGAGAATGGACTTAGAGAAATGTATTCATTAATTCATTTACTGAAGATCTATCAAGGGTCAGACACTGTCCCAGGCATGCAGGATACATCAGTGAACAAAACTTCCCTGCTCTTATGGAGCTGACATTCTAGAGGAGGGAGAGAGTCAATGACAATAATAAATAAATGAGAAATTATATGAGAGGAGGAGTACTATGGAAAAAATAGCTCAGAGTCAGGGAGATCAGGGCTACAGTGAGATAGGGAGGGAGGTTCCACAGTGGCATTAAATAGGTCATCAGGACAGATCTCTTAAGAAATGTAACTTGTCTAGTTATGAAGACCACATTCCATCTCATTTTCTTAATCTTATTTGCAAATTATATTTGTGAGACGTGAACACTGAGATAGCCTTGCATTTCTATTCTCGTCGAGAAACATTAAGTGGAAAAGAGATGAACCCATCAATATCAACTCATCATAAACAAAAGCTCAGGGCTTGCAACTCAAACCCTTGAGGTGCCTTCTCACTGCACTTCAGTGTCAGGAACAAATAGGCGTTCAAGCATTATGAAGCTCCAAGCTATGGAGTAAACTTCCTTCTCCCCCTTCCTTGCCCCACTCCAAAAAAAAGTAAACAGATCCAAGGACAGGTCAAATGTGCTGTGAGCATCTTGTTTGCTGAAACCATCTAATATGCATTATGCTGACTGCATTATATTTGTCATTTAAGTAAGGTGAAAAATGAAAAACAGTTGGTTTAGTGCTTGTACACTAAACCTTCAATTCCCTTAAAAAAAAAAAAAAAAACTATGAGAAGCTAGAGAAAGTAAATTAAAATACAATTTAAAACAATTCCTTTATATATATATTGGTCTATGCCACCAATTCTAATTTCTATCTTTGAAATCAAAATGACCAGTGACTGCCTGAAAAATAGCTAGGTCCTAAATTGCAGTATGTTTTAAATTTTGAGAGTTTGTATCCCTCCATAATTTTGTAATTAATCTTTCGAATTCTGGTCTCAAAAATTTGGCCCTGAAATATTTTGAGAAGCACCACCATTTATTCTTCTAACATAAAAGAAAAATCAATTTAGAAGACAATTGGCTTCCCTGCTATTAGCTGTGTCTGATTATGTTCATGCTATGAAAATTCTAGTCAGCAAGTTGAAACTTGTTGTTGTTGAATTTGCTGTTAAACAAATCAAGGAGAGAAATCAATATTTTCCAAATACAGCCTGGGGGAGAACCGTAGCAGGAGGAGAAATGGTGCTCTCAGTCATCTAGGGAGTCTACACCACAGAGTTGGAGCATATATTTAAAAATTAACTTTCCCAAACATCCTTTTATGGCCCATTTTGACAATATTTCTGGTTACATATTATCCTGCAGTTTGGCTATTTTTTTAAACTCTCCCTGTCCAAATTCATTCCAGTGGGAGCTGCCTGTTGGCAGTGTAGGCCTGTGATTAACTCACTGTGTGTAATTCATTTAACAGCATAATGTGCTTTTGCAAGTGCTGCTGCAGCACAAAAAGAAACTGCCAACATTAGCATTCCTGGGTCATGCAACCTGCCCCACTAGGCCTAGTCATTTAGAACAGACCCCTCCAATAAGCTTTCTCACACCCTGTGTTACACTGAGGATGCTATTTGACTGCTACCCAAATCCCTATGAGAGGCAGCTATCCACATGTCTTCTTTAACAACAGGAGATGGTTTCCAGCTGTGCAGTGACCTCACCCTCTACTGCCTTGCCATTCAATGCAAGGTCCCTGAACCAGCAACATTAGAAATACCTGGGACCTTGTTTGAATCACAGAATCTCAGGCCCCTCACCAGATCTAATGCATTAGTTCATTTGCATTGCTATAAAGGAATACCTGAGGTTGGGTAATTTATAAAGAAAAGAGGTTTATTTTGGCTCACAGTTCTGCAGGCTGTAAAAGCATAGCACCCACATCTGCTGTGGGCCTCAGGAAGCTTACAGTCATGGCAGAGGGAAAAGTGGGAGCCAGTGTATCACGTGGTGACAAAGGGAGCAAGAGACAGACGAGGAAGTTCCAGGCTCTTTTAAACAACCAGATCTCATATGAACTCATGGAGTGAGAACACACTCATTCTCTCAAGGAGGGCACCAAGCCATCCATGAGGGGATCCACCCCCATGACCTGAACACCTCCCACTAAGCCCTACCTCCAACATTGGAGGTCACATTTTCACATGAGATTTAGAGCAGACAAAACATCCAAACCATACCATCTAGGAATCGGATCCGGCATTTTAACAAGATCCCCCAGGTATGCATATTAAAGTGCGAGGAACTCACTTTAATAAAGTGGACACCAATTGTTCAGCCTTCCCAGCATCCCTTCCTACTTTTTAAAATCCCAGCCCCCCAATTCTCCTTTAGGAAACTACTCTTCTCCAATCTCAGGCTACGGGATTCAAATGTTCCTAACTGCCTGCCCCTGGGTGGCCAGATAAAAGCTTTCATCACACTGGCCTCTGTGATTAATCAGGAAGCCCATGCACTCCAAGCCAGAGCAATGAACGTTAGCCACATTTGCTAGAATGAAGGGAAAGAAGCATGCTCTTCTCTGTACAGTTACCAACCTAGTAAGATGGAAGCCTGGAGCTACTGTAACCATCTCTATCTCTTCATACAGAAAGTCTGACTGAGCATTAGACAGAGCCTCGAGATAAAGACTCGAAAAGTCATTGTTTGAGCACTTGAATCATCCTGCCGAGATCCACATACCCTCTCTAGGCAAGGGGCAGACATTCAAGGGAGTAAGGATAGGATTCTTTTTTTTTTTTTTTAATGTACTTTTTCTCTTCCTTCTTTTGTTTTATTATTATACTTTCAGTTTTGGGGTACATGTGCACAACATGCAGGTTTGTGACATATTTATACATGTGCCATGTTGGTGTGCTGCACCCATTAACTCATCATTTAGCATTAGGTATATCTCCTAATGCTATCCCTCCCCCATACCCCCACCCCACAACAGGCCCCGGTGTGTGATGTTCCCCTTCCTGTGTCCATGTGTTCTCTTTGATCAATTCCCACCTATGAGTGAGAACATGCAGTGTTTGCTTTTTTGTCCTTGCGACAGTTTGCTGAGAATAATGGTTTCCAGCTTCATCCATGGCCCTACAAAGGACATGAACTCATCCTTTTTTTATGGCTGCATAGTATTCCATGGTGTATATGTGCCACATTTTCTTAATCCAGTCTATCATGTTGGACATTTGGGTTGGTTCCAAGACTTTGCTATTGTGAATAGTGCCGCAATAAACATACGTGTGCATGTGTCTTTATAGCAGCATGATTTATAATCCTTTGGGTATATACCCAGTAATGGGATGGCTGGGTTCAAATGGTATTTCTAGTTCTAGATCCCTGAGGAATCGCCACACCGACTTCCACAATGGTTGAACTAGTTTACAGTCCCACCAACAGTGAAAAAATGTTCCTATTTCTCCACATCCTCTCCAGCACCTCTTGTTTCCTGACTTTTTAATGATCACCATTCTAACTGGCGTGAGATGGTATCTCATTGTGGTTTTGATTTGCATTTCTCTGATGGCCAGTGATGATGAGCATTTTTTTCATGTGTTTTTTGGCTGCATAAATGTCTTCTTTTGAGAAGTGTCTGCTCATATCCTTCGCCCACTTTTTGATGGGGCTGTTTGTTTTCTTCTTGTAAATTTGTTGGAGTTCATTGTAGATTCTGGATATTAGCCCTTTGTCAGATGAGTAGGTTGCAAAAATTTTCTCCCAATCTGTAGGTTGCCTGTTCACTCTGATGGTGGTTTCTTTTGCTGTGCAGAAGCTCTTTAGTTTAATTAGATCCCATTGTCAATTTTGGCTTTTGCTGCCATTGCTTTTGGTGTTTTAGACATGAAGCCCTTGCCCATGCCTATGTCCTGAATGGTATTGCCTAGGTTTTCTTCTAGGGTTTTTATGGTTTTAGGTCTAATACGTAAGTCTTTAATCCATCTTGAATAAATTTTTGTATAAGGTTTAAGGAAGGGATCCAGTTTCAGCTTTCTACATATGGCTAGCCAGTTTTCCCAGCACCATTTATTAAATAGGGAATCCTTTCCCCATTTCCTGTTTTTCTCAGGTTTGTCAAAGATCAGATAGTTGTAGGTATGTGGCATTATTTCTGAGGGCTCTGTTCTATTCCATTGGTCTATATCTCTGTTTTGGTACCAGTACCATGCTGTTTTGGTTACTGTAGCCTTGTAGTATAGTTTGAAGTCAGGTAGCATGATGCCTCTAGCTTTGTTCTTTTGGCTTAGGATTGACTTGGCGATGCGGGCTCTTTTTTGGTTCCATATGAACTTTAAAGTAGTTTTTTCCAATTCTGTGAAGAAGGTCATTGGTAGCTTGATGGGGATGGCATTGAATCTATAAATTACCTTGGGTGGTATGGCCATTTTCACGATATTGATTCTTCCTACCCATGAGCATGGAATGTTCTTCCATTTGTTTGTATCCTCTTTTATTTCGTTGAGCAGTGATTTGTAGTTCTCCTTAAAGAGGTCCTTCACATCCCTTGTAAGTTGGATTCCTAGGTAGTTTATTCTCTTTGAAGCAATTGTGAATGGGAGTTCACTCATGATTTGGCTCTCTGTTTGTCTGTTATTGCTGTATAAGAATGCTTATGATTTTTGCACATTGATTTTGTATCCTGAGACTTTGCTGAAGTTGCTTATCAGCTTAAGGAGATTTTTCAGCTGAGATGATGGGGTTTTCTAGATATACAATCATGTCATCTGCAAACAGGGATAATTTGACTTCCTCTTTTCCTAATTGAATACCTTTATTTCCTTCTCCTGCCTGATTGCCCTCTCTAGGCAAGGGGCAGACATTCAAGGGAGTAGGGCTAGGATTCTTCAAAAAGAAAGCCCGCCTATGATTAGAGACCCGCCTAAGATGGGCCACAAGCTCCTGGTTAATTATTTTACTTTTCCTATGCCTGGCCTTGTGGTTCCTGAGAACTCCGTGTTGTGAGTGCTCTTTAGTTTTATAAGAAATAGCCATCCTTGGCCATTACCACCAGCAACATAATTGTTCCCCAAGGTTCTCAGCATCCTTCCCCAAAACCCCTCTCTACCTAATCTATGTTAGTTGGATTAGGGTTGTTACAGTTAGGCAAGTTAGATGTTCTTCTAACTTGTGTCCATGCGCTAGGGCCATGGTCTGGAATCCCAAGCGAATAAGCATCCTGCCACTAATCTCCTGGTTTATATCTCATGCATGATGAGTCACCCCAAACACACATACACAGCCCAATGCTTCTGTCATGGAGTCCTCTCAGGCCAGAGAGGCTCTCAGGTGTATCAGCAGCTGGACCTAGGGGAAGAACACCAAGTCTGCAACACACACTGAAGATCTTCTTGGGTTCAACTAAATATTCAGATTCACAAAAATGCCACAGGCTACACTCAGCATCCATCTATTACATTATGGACAAAAACCAGAGCTTGCCAAAAGTATAGCTTCAGGGATTCCGGTTCTATAGAAATCCTTTTAGTAGTCTAGCAGCTGAAGTACAAGGAGATGAGACACACAGTGGGTAGACATAGGATCCACTCTGGCCTAAAAGCTGCCAGCCCATAGGATCCATAGCTTCCAAGGTTCCTGCAAGATAGATGCTCAGGTAAGAGTCACAACTCTTAGGGGAGTCCAAAGCATAGCTTCCCTATATAGTATTTATAGTTTATAGCCCTCCCAGTCCAGATACAAGTTGACAATCAAAGGTCATTTTTGGCACAAGCAATTCTGCCTGGAAACACAGTTGACATTCTGTCATTGTCAAGTTACCAGGGGAATTGAGCTAAAGGGTTAACCAGAGGTCAAATTCTCATTCAAAAAGGGAAAGGGCTTTGTTAACTATTTGTCCACAAAGCTAATAAAAATGGAAAATAGCCTCAGAAAATACGGAAGGATTCTTAAAGAGGCTGTGGTGCCCCACAGTTAAGATGAACATATAGGCAGAGCAATTATGTGGAAAACAAATGCAAACACAACCAGCTCTCCTTTATAATAGGACCATTTCAGTGATGGGGCCAGGGTTCCCCTGGGTGGAGTACCATGGATGGAGTGCTCGGCCTGCTGAAGTACAGGTGCAGCTCTGCCTCTCACCACTGCATGCACTTGCAACAGAAAACAATGAGCAGATACCTGTCACCAATTGTACTAGCCCTTCTTACGAAGGCTGAACTGAGGCCTACAGAAGGCATTCTTGCTGAAAAGTCATGAGAATAGATGTAAGAATGTGCCCACTTCTGGCATCTGTGTCTATTAGATGGAGATTGGCATGGCCAAGGCTAACCACCTCACATACACTGCAATGACCAGGAATCCCTTGCAATCCTCCTGTAGTGCACACAAGCAGTAAGAAGAAACCCCTCCCCCACCACTGTCTTATCTTCCCCAGCCTAGCGAGAAACCAAGAACAATGTATAGTGAGCTTCCACTAGAACTTAGTGGCATTAGAGGTTGTCATTTAATTATCAAACTGTGCCAAAACCTGGCAGAAAAACTGAGTTCCCCAATATACTACATGGGTAGTCCTATCAAGTTCTGCCAATACCAATAACCACCTAAAAGCACAAGGACCATAATCATCAAAGCCACCAATATTAGCCACGTTGCCAGAAATACCTCCAAATGCCACTACTGAGCTTCCAATACCACAAAGCCACTATTATCTAAAACTAGTTATTATAACCAGAGCTATAAAATTGCCAATATCCAAAATATGTACCACTGTTGCTGTCACCCAGAAGCCCATGTCCAATATCAAATATTAGCTATTGTCACAGTAATGCTGTGTAACAAACCAACCTAAAATTAAGCGGCTGTAAACAATAACCATCTATTATTGCTCGTGGTTCTTCAGATTAATCAGACAGTTCCTCTGGTCTGGCCCAGGTTTTTCTGATCTCAGCCAGATGTGTTCATTGGCTGCAGTTAGCAGGTAGGTTAGCTGGGCTCTGGCGTCTATGATGTCCTCATCTAGATAACTGAGTTCTGCCATAAATGATCTCTTACCTTCCAGCAGGCTGGGTCACGCTTGTTCATGTTAAAGGAAGAGGGACACTAGCAAGAGGAGAAGCACAAAGGGCCTTTTGGGATCTAAGGCTTAGAACTGACACATGTAATTTCAGCCACTTTCTGCTGGGCAGAGCAAGTGACAAGATAAGCTCTGATTCAAAGGGGAGGAGGAGATAGACTCCACCTTGTAATAGTTGTCACAAAGTCTCACTGCAAAAGGTATGTGTACATGGATATGTGGAGACTTAGGGCCATGTTTTTAATCAATCTGCCACAGGCACTTTGAATCATAGTGCCACGTATACCTTGACGTATACCTCTTCTTTGATCAGAACTTTAGTCAGTCTCTTCTGAGTCCTCTGCTTAACTAGGCTCTACCTTGGGCTTCCCTATCTGTCCTCATAGAATCCAGTTTGAGCAAGAATCCTGCGTAGTCAGTTTAGTGAAAATCCGCCACCTTTGGTATCTGACCTCCCCTTATCCTTGATGTTTCCTCTTAGTAATTTTCCACTCACTGACCCCATCCTGCTCCTTGATTAAAAATCCCCACTTGTCCTTGCTGGAGAGGGAGTTGAGTTCAATCTCTTCCCCACTGCAAGACCCCATTGCAGTGGTCCCTGTACATATTGCCATGACCCCCTTCCCATCTTTAGCAAGGGTCATGAATTATTTTCTTTAAAAATCTGGACTCTGCTCCCCACTAAGCTGTGGCCTATGAGAAGAATCCATAGTCTATTTCAATTGTAATTGATTTTTTTTCCTAACTCTCAGAAATACAAGAACATTTTTTAATACCACATCCTGACAAAGTGGTCCCTGAGAATGATAAACAATATATATTCAAACATTAACTTCTTTCATCATTTTGCAAATTTTACAGTATGTGATTGTGGCTTTTAGAATAATCATTCCAATAGATAATGTGTCAGCTTTCTTCCTATGAAAGGATCAAATCCGTTTCTTTGGGGAGTCTTCCATGAGTACATTTTTAGAAAGCGAATGTTCATTTTCTTGATAAATAAATATACAACTTTGAAAAAGTTTCCTGGGAAGAAGGAGCAAATGAGCAAGGTTGAATAATTACCAGTCATTACTGAAAAAATCAGAAACTATTTACAAGACACAAATACACAGTGAAACATATTATATGAAGTGAAATAATATAAAACTTGGCAGGAACCCAAGCTTAATGAGTTTTAGGATATGGTTTTAGAAGCACCAGGGATTTTCTGTGAGTACCCACATCAGCATGAGATCTGGTCTTACTGGGAGCTGCTTACCCCTACTCAAAGATGGCCCCAAGAGTGAAGAAGTCAATGCCTCTTTGAAGGCCTTGTATAGAAAGATGGCACATCCTCTTTCAGCTGACAGATAGGATCTCTGGGAGCCTGTCCTATCAGCACCTTCCAAACTGTGATGCTGGTGACTCCATCATTAGATCTCAGCACCAACTGTTGGGGCTGAAGAAGCTGTTCCTCAGACACAAGGTCGCATGCTCACAGGTCAAATAATGCAGATAGCAGTGGAAGATGTTGGCATATTTTGCTTAATATTAATTTTGTTTGTCGAACCATGCCGCTATTAGTCTGTTCTGGTAGTGCTATAGATTTCATTGTGCATCACTTGCTGCCTCTTTTGGGGTAGAGTAGGAATAGCATGTGTATTGTTGGGGAATTAGGAGGCCCTTCAAACCATGAGGAAAAATCACTGAGATGGGAGGCCAATGTTTCAAAACTGTTTCTGTGGCTATTGTTCCAGAGAATCTCTGGACCCAGACACATTCCCAAAGTTTCAATTATAAAGACTCATTCCTTCAACAAATATTTATTGCACACATACTTGGTGCCAGGAATTGTGCTAGGCACTACAGATACTGCAGTGTTTACATAGACAAGGTTTCTGCTCTAATGTACATCAAATATAGAAGCCATGTAATAAACAGGAAACATATAGGTGAACAAAAGAAGTACAGCTTGTGATAAATTCTAAGTAGGAATAAACAGAGAACAAGGATGGAGAAGAATGGCAGAAGGGAAGGCAGGCCAGCCGACATTCAGTACATGTCAGGAAATGACTGTCTAGAGGGTGACACTGAAACTGAATTTCAAAGAATGAGTAGGAGGCAGGCATGCAAGTCTCTGGAAGGACAGAGGAACAGAAGTGGGAAGTCCCTGAGGCCAGAAAAGACCCATTCTAGGGCCTATCAGAAGGCATGTGGCTACCACAGTCAGTCTCTGGGGAGAGAGGCATGAGATGGAGTCCGAAAGGGGTGGTTCTTCCGACCCATGAGCATAGAATGCTTTTCCATGCATTTGTGTCACTTCTGATTTCTCTCAGGAGTGCTTTGTCATTCTCCTTGTGGGGATCTTTCACCTCCTTGGGTACTATGCCCACTACCTGGGCCATAGGATCATTTGTACCCCAAACCTCAGCATCATGCAATATACCCATCTAGCAAACCTGCACATGTACCCCTTGAATCTAAAATAAATGTTGAAGTTTTTTTAAAAAGCAGCAGCAGAAGAAGAAGAGAAAAGAAAAGAAAGGGCTGTGGGAAAGAGATGAGGCAGAGCCTCTTAGGTCCCGGTAGAGAATGCACAGTTTATTCTCAAAATAAAAGGAAGCCATAGGAAGGCTTTTAAACAGGGAGTGGCATTATCTCAAGCATTTTTTAAAGATCCATCTGGTTACTGGGTGAAGAATAGATTACGTCTATATTATCATATTTATGTAAATATACTGATACATACCAGCGTATCAAGATACGCTCCCCAGAGTGATATTAATTTGGGCAAAAGGCCCATAAATCACCTCGCCTCCATATAAGAATAAATATTGTTTTAACGCATTGCCAAAAGCAGCACGCGCCAGAATTTATTAGTTTGTGTTAATTTTTAATTTGATGCTTGAGCTCCTCCTTGTGGCTGCATGGTTGCAAGCTCCTTGGCAATGCCAGTTTCCACATAGCAACTAGGAAGCTTTTCTTTCTCTCTTTCTTTCTTTTTTTTTTTAACTGTCCTTATTAATCAAAAGTGCAAAGCCTAAAATGGGGGCTTGAGGTTTAATTAGTGCATTTGAAAAAATAAGTTGATATGCTATTACAGATGAATACTTATATATAATATATGCACTACATAATACATAGTATGATATGGTTACATTCTCACTGAAACCTGTTGCTGCCTGTAATACTCTTGCCAACATCTGGTAATTATTAGAGTAAGATATAAGGTCTTTGCCTTCCCTCAAAAGTAATTTCATCAAATAAAAGAATGTATTTAACAAATCCACAGCAACTGAACAAAAGGCATGTCTTTACATTTCATCTTCTCAGTAGAAAAATGAGTTAGGACATATTCATCTTCTGTGGAAGAGACAAATATAAATAATTGTTATCTTCATTCGTTCATTGGTTGGTGACTGACAACTTGAATTAGAGAGAAACCCAACCAGTTGGGCATTAGGGAATTTCTAACTGTTGTATCCCTCAGTTAAGAAGAATTACAGCTTTGGAAAATCGCTCTCAGAAGGCACATTTATTCAAAAAAAAAATCTCATTTTCAACCCATTTTGATGTGTAGAAAGCTTTCATGCCATGAGATATTCCATGCATATTATGAGCTAGAAGGGAGAAGAGCCTGTTCAGCTCTGGAGAGAGCTAAGTTGTGTTACCTACAGATAAAGTTAAACCTCTACCACCGTAATTCTATGTATCTTTCTTCTAAGCTCCACTTATTATTCCCAATGTACTTCTAGTGCATTTAGAATTTCCAAGTAGCAGCAGTTGGGCTGGCACCTAATAAAGAATCTGGGAATTTGATGGGGCCAGTCAGACAGAGGTCACCATAGTAGTGATACCTTCCCTTGGACAGGTAGGAATATCCTGATGGATAATGTTTGAAACCTACAAATGACCCCAGAGCATGAATGACAATAAACAACTATGCAAGGTGGAATAACACATTTAAAATTCTACTAATGCCACGCTCATGTTGCTGACACAGCCTACTGGACTACCCTGGGTGTGATTCCTATAGGAAATTGTACTTAACCACAAAGACTTGCTTTGAAATAGCTATAAGGCAGACTGCTATAGAATTTTGTTGCTGGTCACAACTCATGAGAGTGGTAGTAACATAAAGAAAAAGCATAAATGCCTGCAGTTACTTGCAAACAAGTAACCATAATATTGGGAACATAGAGCATTATTCTATGATGTGTTATTGCTTTATGACGTATAAACCATAGAACATTTCAGTCATAGCCATCTCATCTTTTTGCTGTTACTGTCAAAAGAGGGATAGGTCACTAAAAAATGGAAACCAATTTTGTGGTAGCATTAGTTTGAGTAACAGATTCATAAGATGCAAAAATATTTGCAACAAAAATAGAATAAAACCACAGAAAACAGAAATACTCAAGAGTGATAATGAATATGATATATCTAAAGCACAGGATAACTTAAACATATTAGAAATATGAAATTAATATACAAGTCACTACAGATGACGTGATTTAAAAACATTTTAAATTATCTGAATAGTGATATACAAAAAGATATAAAAATTTAAACCATTTTCAGCAGCACTGAAACTATAGTTTTGCATGGACTGTGTAAACATGATCTCCAACATAGTTCAGGAGATCAGTCAGGATCTTTCTGGTGTAAATGACAGGAATTCAACTCAAACTAGTGCAAGCATTTTTTCATAACTAAAAAATGCAAGGATGAAGAGGGCCACAGGAAATCAATGTTCATTCTCTCTCTCTGTCTCTCTCTCTTTCTCTCTCTCTCTGTCTCTCTCTCTCTCTCTCTCTCTTTCTCTTCCTCTCTCCCTCTCTGTCTGCTCTGCTACTTTCTGAACTGTATCCTCACTCTTTCCTGAATAGACACCTTGTTCTATGTAGCTGGGTTTAGGGTCAGAAGCAAATGGCCTGCTACGCTCTGAATGTCCGTGTCCCCCCAAAATTCCTATGTTAAAATCTAATCCCCAATGCGATGGTGTTAGGAGGTGGAGCCTGTGGAAGGTGATTAGGGATTGGTGTCACCGTGGCAAAGGAGCTCACTACCAGATGCGCTAGAAGTCAATACTCTGACACCGGGTTTTTGAGAAAAGAAAGACTTTTTACTGCAAGTAGACTCCCAAAGAGACAGGAGTCAAGCTCAAATCTGTCTCCCTGGGCTGGGGCTAAGGCAGTTATTTTATTAGAAAAGGTTTAGCGGGTGGATTCCGAGATTAGCAGGTGATTGGTGGAAGGAAAGGGGAGGTCTGGAAAGTCCTCAGGCATGCGTGGTTCTCTCTTCATGCCTCTTTCTTGGGGCCCATGTGCAAATTCGGGGGGAGTTAGTATGAAATGTGGTGGAAATTCAGGCTGTGACATCAGCAAGCTCACTCTGCACAAACTCCAGTCAGCCACATTGCTCCCAACTAATTTCAGCTAGTTTTGTTACCTTTTAAATGGAGGGATTTTCAGAATTTCAGCAAGTTGTTTCTTTTCTTAACTGCTATCCTGCAACTCAATATTTTATGTTAGTCACAGGTTTCTTTAATTCTTCAGGGCATGGTTTCATTAGCGCCCTTACAAAAGAGGCCCCAGAGAGCTGC
Organism: Homo sapiens; assembly: GCF_000001405.40. NCBI lineage: Eukaryota > Metazoa > Chordata > Mammalia > Primates > Hominidae > Homo > Homo sapiens. Next base: position 22,963,246 of record NC_000003.12, read on the forward strand.
CTTACCCCTTCTGCTGTGTGAGGACACAGCCAGAAGAAGCCACCCATGAACCAGAAAGTGGTCCCTCACCAGACACGGAATCTTCCAGCACCTTGATCTTAAACTTTCCAGCCTTCAGAACTGTGAGAAATAAATTTCTGCTGTCTATAAGGTGCTCAGTCTATGGTATTTTGTTATAGCAGCCCAAATGGACTAAGACATGGCTACAGACATTCCTATTCCCAGAGGACAAACACCATTTTTCTCTTACGGCACTCCATGTTAAATCTATAGTAAGGATTCCAAGGGGCCCAGTTTGCGGCACATCCTCACATCTCTGGGCCAATTTCCAAAGTCTGAAGAATGGGGTGTTCTAATGGCCATCCTTGGATTCGCTGTAGCTTGGTGGAGGCTGGGAGGCAAAGAACAGGATATTGTGATCTGTGGCCTTCTTATACACAGACTACTCACAGCAAGGTGCTATTGCCCGAAAAGGAGGAGGGTCAGGAAGTATGAGAGGGGATAGCTAAGCAGGAATACACACACACACACACACACACAATCTACTATTTGCTATTAGGTCAATTGATCACCAGCTCTAGAAAAGTGGTTATAGGGTATCAGCCCACTCCCATATGGCTCCACAGTGGGGGAAGGGGAGAAGCAAAGTGAATGAATCACTATGGGAAGGTAGACTTTACTTCAAATACAGAGAGAACTTTCTAACAATTAGAGGACACAAAAGATGCCATAAGCTATACCTCATAATATACTGAGTCTCCCATTTCTGGAGATGTTCAGTTATGAGCTGGAAGACAATTAGGCAGAGATGTTGCAATGGGAATATAAATTTCAGATGGGTGGGAAGTGAATCCAAATTACAATAACCTTGAACATTTATGATTCTGCAAATTATAACATATCGGATGGGATGAGATTTATCCTCAGGGACAGTGTTGGCCATTAGACATTTTGGTTCTTGGGACCTGCCTTCTGATGGAGGTCACCGTCTGGTGGTCCATGGACCACCTAGTATTATTTTAAATATTTTATTTAATTGCCAATACTGCAAACTCTTGGAAAATTCTTTTTTTTTTCTTTTCTTGAGACAGGGTCTTGCTCTCTACTCCGAGGCTGGAGTGCAGTGGCACAATCACAGCTCACTGCAACCTCCTGGACTCAAGCAATCCTCCCACCTAAACCTCCAAATTAGCTGGGACTATAGGAACATGCTGCCGTACCTGGCTAGATTTTTAATTTTTTCTAGAGATAGGGTTTCATTCTGTTGCCCAAGCTGGTCTCAAACTCCTGGGTTCAAGCAATCCTCCCGCCTCAGCCTCCCAAAGTGCTGCGATTACAGATGTGAGTCCCGTGCACCTGACTGAAAATTCTTACAATTTTTTTATTTTACAGCCTCTCTTGAAAATACTTGATCCGTGTTATCAGGAGCAAAGAGTGACTACACTCTTAGCACAGGGTTCATGCTCTCCCAATTTTCAGAGTCAAAGCCAGCCTACCTCATTTATTTACAGTGCCTCTCTCTCTCCTATTTATATTTCAGTTTGCAACCCATGTGTAAACAAAAGTTTTAACGGTACTTTTTACTCTGGTTACCATAGCTTTATCCCCTTTCTTTATCAGACTGATATCCTCTACCCAATCACACATTCACACATTCTTAACCAGTATAGCAACAACTATAATAATAATAATAATAATAATAATAATAAATATTAAAAGGTATTGAGTAACACTTATTTTGTGTTCACGCTGTGCTAGCTAAGCACTGTACTAAAGCAGCTATATTCTGCAACAGTCAGTATAGAAAAGCTTCCACTGCAGGAACAAATAACTGCCAATCTCAATGACTTAATGCAGAAAAGTTCGTTTTGTACACACATTTCACATCCAATGGGAAGCAGCACGGTGTTCTAATCCACTATAGTTGCTCAAGTATCTAAACTGACCAAGGCTCTACCATCTTGTGGTTTCCTTTGATCTTCTCAAAAATTTAGTAGACTTCTTTCTATTCATTTGCCAAAAGTTACATGGACCAATATCTTCACCCATCATTCTTTATGAAGCATGTTATTTAAAAACATTGTTTTCCAACCTTTTCCCCTAGAACTTAAAGTTTATTCAAATATGATCTGCCTCTCAAGTTATAGCACATGACAGTATTACCAAACATTTTGCTGCTACATGACATGGACTGCATTCTTCTGGTCTCTGATATCACTATCCTCATTGTCTTTGGCCCAATCATTAAGCCAATACAAAAATACTTTGGGTTTTTATAATAATAACACTCTACTTCCTGTAAGATCAATTATTATTCACAGTAGCCTAAGCTTGTGCTGCTGTAACTAATCATCCAAATCCTCAGGAGCTTGACACTGTAAAAGTTTATTTCTCGGCTGGGCGCAGTGGCTCACGCCTGTAATCCCAGCACTTTGGGAGGCTGAGGCAGGCGGATCACGAAGTCAGGAGTTCAAGACCAGGCTGGACAACATGGTGAAACCACGTCTCTACAAAAAATACAAAAAATTATCTGGGTGTGGTGGCAGGCATCTGTAATCCCAGCTACTCAGGAGGCTGAGGCAGGAGAATCGCTTGAACTCAGGAGTCTGAGGTTGCAGTGAACCGAGACCACGCCACTGCACTCCAGCCTGGGCAACAGAGCGAGACTCCATCTCAAAAACAACAACAAAAAAAAAGTTTATTTCTCATTCATGTAGGCTACCTATGTAATTCACAGTAGCCAGGGCTCTGCTCCACACAGTCACACAGGCACCCAGAGTGACTGACGTGCTAGCATTTTGTAGATGTGCCACCTGTAACACATTACCTTTACAGTTGCCACAGCAGATGAAAGAAGAGATTAGCAAATTAATTTTTTAATGCCTCATTCCAAATGTGACACATAGAACTTTCACATCTCATTGGCAGAACCAGCCAAATGAACCACCTAACTGCAAAGGCTTTTGTGAAATGTGTGAGAGCAGGTAGAAGGTTTAGTGAGCACCGGTCTCTCTGCCTCATTATACCATCTAACTCTCGTTACAATGTTCAGAGGTAGGTATTACTACCCTCACTCTACAGATGAAGAAAGTAAGACTTAGGGAAGTTGAATGACTTATCCAAGGACACAAGTAGTAAGTGGAAGATGCAAGATTGGGATTACAAAAGGGTTGGACCAGGCAGAAGAACTGCAAAAGAACTGCAACCAGAACATACTTACTATCTACATCTTCTAGGTACTTCTAAATTTACTCATTTACCATAAGTTAATTGATTCACTGCACAGAAGGTTCTAGTTTCAACTTTACCACCATAGTGTAATTTTGCATAATTCACAACTTTGGTCTCACAGAGCTTATGATTCACCACCTGAACCTCAGTTTATTTGTCCATGATTAAAGAAAGTGGACTAGTAATTCCTAATGCCCCATCCACCTCTGAAACTTGTGATTCACTTCTAAGGCCAGTGTGAAATTGATTTAGAACTCAAGATATGAGCCCTCCAACAGATGCTGATGCATTATCCATGGAAGTGTGGTGGCCAGAGTGACATTTCATGAGAAAGCATTTTTATCAGTGCTTATTTGTATTCACCTGAAATACTTAAAATATTTTATTTCTCAGAGCAAGAAATAAATGTGTAATACATAACTCCAAGAAAGGCTTTTAAGAGAGAAAGTTTATCATCATTGATGCTGCATCACCATAAGCAGACTGATCAGGGCCTTCTCTAAATCCTGCCAAATGTTATTATTTTACCCGATCTAAGCACCCACCACTGGATTATTGCAATAGCCTCCTACCTGAATTCCCACCTTCCCCCCTTGTACTGTTAGGATCTATTCCTCACACTGCAGCCAGAATGACTCTGTCACAACATAAGTTAGAGCCAGTCATAATTCTGCTGAAATCCCTCCAATGGCTTCCCCTCTCATGCAAAGTGAAAGTCTAAATCCTACAGGGAACCACGTCATCCGCCCCTGCCTCTCCGCAGCCACACCAGCGTTCTTGCTCTTCCTTGAACACTCCACGCCTGCCACCACCTCAGGGATGCTGTCCTCCCTCTTCCTCACCCTGAAGCTCTTGTCTCCTGGAGAGCTTCAGGGTTCAGCTGCTCACCACCCTCATGTCTCTGCTGACATAGTAGCTCTGTCTCAGATGTGTTGGGCCACTTCCATTTTTAAAAGCACCATGTATTAGCCTCTGTCCCCTTTCCCTTAATTTTTTTTTCTTCACATTTAACATCGTTGGATATACCAAGTATTTGTGTATTAGTTGTCTCCCTAATAGGAAATGATAGAATGCTCCTCCATGATAGCAGAGACTTTATCTGCTCACTGCTGTATCCCCAGTGCCCGGAACATTTTATGTCATATAGTAGGTGCTGAATAAACACTTGTTTAATAAATGCACAAATACATTACTTAAATACTTGGTGCAGTATTTATAATAGAAAGTAAATAAAATGAAGCTCTTCTCATCTATTATAATTATTACTGCACTCTGACTGCATATTCCTGCTCATTCTGGGAGAAGTGCATGTTCTTGTTTGAAGAGCTATCTTAACTTTGGGTGTGAAGTTTTCAAAGACAACAGAAAAAATCAACAGGTCTCTATGTAAATTCCAATGAAGGAAGGATTCTAGAATGAGAACTCAAGTGGGCTATTCATCTTGAATAGACTATTAACGTCATAAATAGAATACTATTAAGTCTAAGTAAAATAGAACTATGCTGTCCAAATATGGCTATTTAAATTTAATTAAAAGTACATAAAATTTAAAATTCTATCTCACAGTGCTACATTTCAAGTGCTCAGGAGCCACAGCTGGCTGGTGGCTACCTTATTAGAAAGGATAGGTATAGAATATTTTCCTCGTTGCATTTTATCTTGCATGGTGCAGAGCTGGAGTTCAGCGAATGTACTAATGTTGGAATGTTGTATTCTACTGGGATTTCCCTTGTGGGCACCATAGAGCTCCTATATTAACAATGGGATAGAGTTGCCCCCAACTGTTACCTTTCTCAGTCATCCTTGGAAAGGGCAAATCTTGGGAAAGGAAAGGAGGATATGGATATTAGTTCAAGAAGAATTTAGGAATTTAAGAATAAGATTGGTACCTGGACTTGAAGCAGCTATAGGAGCCCAGGGACACCCCCAGCTGTGGGAAGAAGTTGGCCTCAGCTAACGAAGGCAATCAGAGAGCTGGGCAGAAGGCAATCTGACAGGCCTGAAACTCTGGGTTCTGAGAGCAGTCAGATGAGCAGCCAGCAGTGAGATAGCCATCAAGGATCAGCCTCATCAGCAAAGCCAGTAGTTCTTTGGAACCAGAATAGGAACTGGTGGTCCAGATGAGACCAGGATATGACACAACCTAACAGGGAAGCACATGTGAGATAAGTCTCCAAAAAGCAGCAGGGAAAAGGAGACCCAGAAAGATGGAAAGGTGCCGAGATCCTGCTATCACATGGCCAGAAGTCTTCTTAATTGATTACCTTCTACCTACAAGCTGCTGAGGCTTTTGCTGGAGCGAGTGTGGATGGAGTCAGGCAATTTGTTGTGTGTATATCACAGTAAAAATATCCACTCCCCGCCCTGTTGTACCTACTCATGTCATTCCCAGTCAACAATGGCCCTTTTTAAATTGAAGTAGAAGTCAATAGGTTACCAATACGTTGAGGATAACTGGAACCAAGTCTTGCCTGGGTTCATTTGGAAAATCAATGAAATGTGTACCGAGAGCCCTGCTGACATGTGGGTAAGGATTTTCAGGAGGAAATAGTGGAGAAGATGTGGGACAGGCCCAATGGGCCTCTTTGTATGCAGGCTTCTCAGCCTTCAAATGAATGAAGGAAGAAACTGGGCACAAAAGTCTTCACCCAGTAAAGAAGCCTGAGCTGTAGGATGGAAGGGGCAATTCTGAGTGTGAGTTCAGAGGCATAAACAGCACTACTAGGGACCTCTTTGGCAAAGCAGAGTGCAAAACCCAAGAGGAGAGCAAGGCATTCTGCTCCAGTTATCATTGCTGCCTAACAAACCATTCCAAACTGAGAGGTGTAATACAGCAATTGTTTTATTCTAGCTTATGATTCTGAGGGTCAGGAGACAGGAGTTCACACAGGGCAGCAGCAGGAAAGGCTAGTCTCTGCTCCACAAAGTCTGAGCCCTCACCTTGACAGTGTGGGAGGCCTGTGGGTGATCCAAATGGTTGTGCAATAGAATTATCTGGAGGCTTCTTCACTCACATGTCTGGCTGAAATGACTCAAAAGCTAGACTCAGCTGGGACTGTTGGCCTGATCACCTACTTGTGGCCTCTCTATGCAGCATAGTATTTTCATGCCAGAGAAACTGGGTTCCGAGACAGACCATCCCAAGGGGAGGACCTGAAGAATGAAGTTCCAGGTGACAGTGCATGGCCATCCCAAGGGGAGGACATGGAGAGTGAAGTTCCAGGTGGCAGTGCATGGTCATCCCAAGGGGAGGACGTGGAGAGTGAAGTTCCAGGTGGCAGTGCATGGCCTTTATGACCTGCCCTCAGAAGCCACATAACATCATTTCTGCCACGCTCTATTAACCAAAGCAATGATAGACCACCGAGATTCTAGGAGAAGGGATGTACACCCAACTTCTCATTTGAGGGAGCATCAAAGAATCTAGAGCCGTATTTTTAAACCATCACATATTCTTCTCTCCACTTTGGCTTTACCCTTTCAAGGGCTGCTGGCCCTCACTTGTAACAGATACATCACTGTTTGTTGACATGGTGGTGCTCAGCACGAGGCTGGCTAGTTTGTAAGCACATAAGAGATATCCGTTGAAGACACCTAGCAATACTTGAGGGTACCTCACAGGGACCTAAGATTCTATGGGAACAGAAAGAGCAAATGCCAGAACGCATTTAAAAAAAAAAAAAAAAAAAAAACAGAGTGTGGCTCTGTCACCCAGGTTGGAGTACACTGGCACAATCTCGGCTCACTGCAACCTCCATCTCTCGGGTTCAAGCAATTCTCTTGCCTCAGCCTCTGGAGTAGCTAGGACTACAGGCAGACACCACCACTCCCGGCTAATTTTTTTGTGTTTTTAGTAGAGATGGGGTTTCGCCATGTTGGCCAGGCTGGTCTCGAACTCCTGAGCTCAAGTGATCCACCATCCTTGGCCTCCCAATGTGCTGGGATTACAGGCGTGAGCCACCGTGCCTGGCCAGAACTCATTCTTAATAATATAGTTCCATGGGTAAGCACAGGCTGGAGAAACCAGGGCAAAGGGTAGAGGGAATATGGCTTATACTTAAGAATGGCCAAATTAAACAGGACAACCGGTGAGAGACCCACAAAGACTATGGAAGACATGAACTAAAGCACCACATCATGCAATGCTACCCATTTCTGGATGGCTGCAGACTGCAAACTAAATGAGCTATTTTGTTCCGTTGAAATAAGGAAACAAGCTGTGCTTTTCAATCCAATTATTTAAGCCAACCTTGAGTCTTCTAAAAAGAATTGCAGGCATGATGTGCTTTAAAATGCTAGCCACAAATGTTCATGGAAATGCAAACTTCATGTGCGGAGTAAGGAAAAGACTTGATGGTAGGAATTGGCTCTTCAGCCACATCCCTGCACATCTTTAAAAATAAAATAAACCATACAGAATTTAATTCCAAGTGCTTGATTGTTCTGAAAAATCAGAGGGAATTTGAGCCAAAAGGGAGGATAAGTAGCCCCCATCCACAAAGGATAAATATCTGCTCCATAATTTATGGGAATGCAAATCATCCAAGCAGCAGTCTATTGGCATTGACTGTATTTTCATCTAATTAAATGGTTACACAAGTCTCAGAATGTCATGTCTCCTACCAGCTGACCCTATTCCCATGACTTTCCCTACAAGAGTTCAGGGGAACATGACACTTGAGAAAGACATTTTGTTTTTAACCTAGAGAAAAAATATGGATTTGTGCTCTCTGAGGAGAGCACAGAATGACAAGAAATAGCCAGGAGGGTCGGGGGAGCCACCAGGAGGAAGCATATTCTACACAAGCAGGACAACCAAGTCAATGCTCTTATGTCAAGAATGAATTTGGGGCTGGGCGCAGTGGCTTGCTCCGGTAATCTTAGCGCTTTGGGAAGTCAAGGCAAGAGGATCGCTTGAGGCCAACAGTTTGAGACAAGCCTGAGAAACAGCAAGACTCTGTCTCTGCAAAAAAGTTAAAAATTAGCTGAGTGTGGTAGTGTGCACCTGTAGTTCCCACTCGCTACTCAGGAGGCTGAGCAGGAGCATCACTTGAGCACAGGAGATCGAGGTTGCAGTGAGCTATGATCATTTCACCGCATTCCAACCTGGGTAACAGAGTAAGACCCTGTCTTGGAAAAAAAGAAAAAGAAAAGATAAAAAAAGAATGAATGTGACCTTCTTAAAGAAAAGAAGGAAGCTCATGGGGCCAGGATGTAGTGGGCAATGTGAAAGCAACAAAGGATGAGATCAGGGAGATAAGCAGGCACTGTGGTAAGGAGCTTAGAGTTTAATCTAATTATGGTGGGAAGAAGCTAGAGGACTTTAAACAGGAGAGTAACTCTGGAAATTGAGTGGAAAATAGCTTGAAAGGGGTCCAAAGTATTTGTGCTGGTGCAAAAGTAATTGCGGTTTTTGCCATTGAAAATAATAGCAAAAACCGCAATTACTTTTGCATCAACCTGATAGAAGCAGTATACAAATGAAGTGGCCACTGCCTGCGATGATTGGTGCTGATGTCTTAGACTACAATGGTAGCAAATGAGGCAGAAATGTTGGGAGAGTCTAACATGTCTCAAAGGGAAAGTCAACAGAAGAAAAGACAAGATATACTATTATGCTAAACAAGTTTCTGTCTTCTTACTATGTGTTACCCAAGACCCCCTCTATATGCTAGGATGGTGGAGGAAAAAAACAACATCAAAGGGTAAGAAAATCTTGCCCCACAGGATTAACTTCCATTGGACCATTACATGAAGAAAGTGCTCTCACATGCACATTCTCACTTGATCCTTACAACAATCTTTTTTTTTCTTCTTTCTTTGAGACAGAGTCTTGCTCTACTGCCTAGGCTGGAGTGCAGTGGTGCAATCTCGGCTAACTGCAACCTCCACCTCGCGGGTTCAAGCCTCCCAAGTAGCTGGAATCACAGGCACACACCACCAACCCCGTCTGATTTTTGTATTTTTAGTAGAGACAGGGTTTCACCATGTTGTCCAGACCGGTCTTGAACTCCTGACCTCAGGTGATCCTCACCACCTAGGCCTCCCAAAATGCTGGGATTACAGGCGTGAACCACAATGCCTGGCCTCTTACAACAATCTTATAAGGAAAGGAAGCACACCTAATGAGTTTAACTTTACCAATTAAAAACTCAGGATTTGAAGACTGTGATAGACTAACCCAAGGATACACACTTAGCAAGTTGCTAATCCAAGACTTGCACAAGTCCTTTTAGCATCTGTTAAAAATCCTCTACATTGTTTTCCAAAGAGATTTGTTCTAATGATTATAATAAATCTTAGTTCTTATTGAGTGTTCTCTCTTTCCCAGACATTGTGACAATTCATGACATATATCCCCTCTTTTAATCCTACAATGTAAGTACCATTATTGCTGTCCATAACTTTTCAAAGCTTTCACAGCTGTTAAATGCTAGAACTAGAATTTCAACCAAGGAAACTTACTCCAAAGCTCATTTCCCCAGCCATAACATTAAGCTATTATAGACAGAACAAGTAGAATCTCTTGAAAAGTCCATAGGTCATCTCCAGTGTTAGATATCTTAAAATAATTTTAAATACTAATATTATCTCAGACCTTTAACAACCCTGTACTGAAAAATAATATACAAAGACTCTGGATATTTTTCTCCTAACCTCTGATAATCATTGAAGAATCTATTTCTCAATTTCTCTATCTGGCCTGTGAAAAATGTCCCAGATATGAAATCTGATGATCTGCCCTTTTACCATTTGATCCCTAGCAACATCCATCTATAGCCACCAGTGTAATTAGAGATGTGTCAAAACATCAAGGCTGTTGGCAAGATTTACTTTATCATTTGCTCAGAAACATAAAGCATCCATTACAGGGCCAGAACTTCATAATTATAAACATTTCTTAAAGACAAATAAGCCAGCAAGGGACAAGCAAATTCGCCCAAATAAAGACATCTATTTGTGAGATTTCCTCGAAGGTATCTTCTATTATTTAACCAAACATTACCTCACTTTTTTAAAGAAAAAGAATACTTTTGCTTTGTAAATAGAGCATCTGCTATTCAAATGCATTATATTAAATTATATACCATTTAGAATTAGAAGAGACTTCAGGGACTATGTAATTTAATAGTCTCAAATTGTAGACAGAGACACTTAGTTCTGTGATATTTATTGTGTATCCGGGGTCCCCTAGTGAGTTGATTACAAGACCTGGCCTCTGACTCCCAGCAAAGTGATCATATTTTGTCATCTTCCTTTATATGTTACCTTTACTAGTATATTAACATCTTCTCTCTCCAATAAAAAAGGTTGTTTAGAAACTTAGTCTAAAGTTATCCACATAGATGGATTTTCATATGTTTTACAGTTGAGTAAACTCTTCCAGATCCAGTTCAAACGTGGCTACTTTGACTGTCAGACAGAATGAGTGATTCCGTCATTGTGTTCCCAGAGCATTCTGTTCATTTCTCAGTAGCTATCATATTGTCCTGTAATATTTCTGTTTAAATATCTGTCTCCTCTATAGGACTGTGAGTTCGTCAGGGCAAAGATTGCCTTAATCCATCTTGTATACCCCAGCAGATTGCACAAAATACACCCTTACTAAAAGTTTTTATGAATGAATGTGTTGCTGAATTAATCAATTACTAGATATCACTTGGTCCGCTCTCTGAGCTCAAAGAGATAGGACTATCATCATATTGCTCTCATACACAAACCCACAGCCAACATAATTCTGAATGGGGAGAAGTTGAAAGCACCCCCTCTGAGAACTGGAATAAGACAAGGATGCCCACTATCACCATTCCTCTTCAACAGACTACTGGAAGTCTTAGCCAGAGCAGTCAGACAAGAGAAAGAAATAAAGGACATCCAAACCGGTAAAGAGGAAGTCAAATTGTCACTGTCTGCTGACGATGTGATCATTTACCTTGAAAACCCCAAAGACTCCTCCAGAAAGCTCCTACAACTGATAAAAGAATGCAGCAAAGTTTCCAGATACAAGAGCAATTACACAAATCAGTAGCACTTCTATATGCCAATGATGACCATGGGGAGGATCAAATCAAGAACTCAATCTCTTTTACAATAGCTGCAAAAAAAAAAAAAAAAAACTTAGGAATATACCTACACAAGGAGGCAAAAGACCTCTACAAGGAAAACTACAAAACACTGCTGAAAGAAATCATAGATGACACAAAGAAATGAAAACACATCCCATGTTCATGGATGAGTAGAATCAATATTATGAAAATGACCATACTGCCAAAAAGCAATCTACAAATTCAATGCAGTCCCCATCGAAATTCCACCATCATTCTTTACAGACTTAGAAAAAAGAATTCTAAAATTCATATGGAACCAAAGAAGAGACTGCATAGCCCAAGCAAGACTGAGCAAAAAGAACAAATCTGGAGACATTATGCTACCTGATTTAAAATTATACTATAAGGCCATAGTCACCAAAACAGCATGGTACTTGTATAAAAACAGGCACATAGGCTAATGGAACAGAATAGAGAACCCAGAAATAAACCCAAATACAGCCAACTGATCTTCAACAAAGCAAACAAAATCATAAAGGGGGAAAGGACACCTTTTTCAACAAATGGTGCTGGGATAATTGACTAGCCACATGTAGGAGAATGAAACTGGATCCTCGTCTCTCACCTTATACAAAAATCAACTCAAGATGGATTAAGGACTTAAATCTAAGACCTGAAACTATAAAAATTCTAGAAGATAACATTGGAAAAACTCTTCTAGACATTGGCTTAGGCAACGATTTCATGACCAAGAACCCAAAAGCAAATGCAATAAAAACAAAGATAAATAGCTGGGACTTAATTAAACTAAAGAGCTTTTGCATGGCAAAAGGAACAGTCACCAGAGTAAACAGACAACCCACAGAATGGGAGAAAATCTTCACAATCTATACATCTGACAAAGAACTAATACCCAGAATCTACAACGAACTCAAATCAGTAAGAAAAAAATAAACAATTTCATCAAAAAGTGAGCTAAGGACATGAATATACAATCCTCAAAAGAAGATATACCAATAGTCAGGAAACATATGAAAAAATGTTCAACATCACTAATGATCAGGGAAATGCAAATCAAAACCGCAATGTGATACCACCTTACTCCCGCAAGAATGGCCATAATCAAAAAATAAAAAAACAGTAGATGTTGGCGTGGACGCGGTGACCAAGGCACACTTCTACACTGCTGGTGGGAATGTAAACTAGTACAGTCACTATGGAAAACAGTGTGAAGATTCCTTAAAGAACTAAAAGTAGAACTACCATTTGATCCAGCTATCCCACTACTGGGTATCTACCCAGAGGAAAAGAAGTCATTATACAAAAAAGACACTTGTGCATGCATGTTTATAGCAGCACAACTCACAATTGCAAAAATGTGGAACCAACCCAAATGCCCATCAATCAATGAGTGGATAAAGAAACTGTGAGAGAGAGATATATACACACACACATATATATGCACATATATATACATATATACACATACGTATATATATGTGAATATATATACATACATATATATGTGTATATATATACACATATATGTACATATATACACATATGTATATATATGTGAATATATATACACATATATGTACATATATACACATGTATATATGTATATATACACATATATGTACATATATACACATATGTATATGTGAATATATATACACATATATGTACATATATACACATATGTACATATATGTGAATATATATACACATATATGTACATATATATATATACACACACACACATATATATGAGATGGAATACTACTCAGCCATAAAAAGGAATGAATTAACAGCATTTGCAGTGACCTGGGTGAAATTAGAGACTATTATTCTAAGTGAAGTAACTCAGGAATGGAAAACCAAACATCGTATGTTCTCACTGATATGTGGGAGCTAAGCTATGAGGACACAAAGGCATAAGAATGATAAAGTGGACTTTGGGGACTTTGGGGGAAGGGTGGGAGGGGGACAAGGGATAAAAGACTACAAATAGGGTGCAGTGTATCCTGCTCAGGTGATGGGTGCATGCACCAAAATCTCACAAATCACCACTAAATAATTTATTCATGTAACCAAATACTACCTTACCTCAATAACCTATGGAAAATTAAAAAAATATATTGCTGTCATAAAAAAATACCTTTGGGTAAATAAGTCATAAACAAAGCAAAGTAGACAGCTGAAGAGATTATCTACTTTGGGGACAGAGTGGGGAATGAGGATAAATGTGTCAATCTGGGTCCAATCAGGAAATCCGGAGACAGAAGCCACACAATAATTAAACAGAAGTTTAATATAGAGAATTATTAAACGATGCTAAGAGAATAACTATAAAGATATAAAGAGAACCTAAAGGATGCCTTGGACCACTGGAGAGTATCCAAGGAAAAACAAACTTGGAGGGGAACCCCCACCTTAAGACTGAGGTTCAGACCTCATGGAAGGTGTGGTTGCACCCTTACTAGACAATGTAGAAGTTTACAGTTTTGCCTGGGCCAGGGCTGGTCCAGTGTTGTTAGAAAAGCAGCAGCAGCCCTTCAGGGCACAAGTGAGCAGTGGCTGGTAACTGGGCATGCAGAGAGTCAGGGAACCACTGCAGGTGCAAGGCCCAGAGCACATGGGGTCCACATCAGGAGAGCCACAAGAAGCAAAACCTCTGGAGCACATCCCAGCTGAGGGTGGTGGGAGCATGCACAGGTGGAGTCAGGGTGCCTCTGCAGGTACAAGGCCAGAAGCATGCAATGTCCTTGTCAGGAGGGCCAGAGAACAATGGTCTCTGGGACCGGGCTGGGGCTGGAAAGTTGCTAAGGGATTGCCCACTCAGATACACTGCTGGGGCAGAGCACCACAGACTGTGTCCCCATACGTGCACCACAGCCTGATCAAACAGGAGCAGGAGAAAGCACAAGCAACCAGGACAAGGAAGAGAAGCCCCATTCCTCTCGCAACATCCCTCTAACACCTTCTACTGACAGAGTTTAGCATCATGCTCACTGAGGAGAAGTGCTTAAAAAGTCCAGTCCATTCTCATAGAACAAATACTCAAAGAGGAATTTGGAGCTGAAGGGAAGAAATTTGTGACTGTCACAAGGATCCAATACTCAGTAAATAAAAGACAGTTGGACCTAAGTTATGGTGTCCTCTAGTTATGTCTCTTTATCTGTACAATGAGGACGGTAATAGCATCTACCTTGAATGTGGTATAAATACAAAGATCTCATGGGTACTTAGAACAGTGACAGCATATGTGCTGATCATAGGACAGTGCCTGGGACATACTTAGAATTCAGTAAGTGTTTGCTATGGTTATTTTCATAACTTGTAAAACCAGAACCTGAATGAGGAGACTCAAGTTCCCATCCTAGCCCTGCTATTCACTGACTCTGGAGCACAGAGCAGTCACTCCCCACTGGGCCTTAGCTCCTGCTGCTGTAAAGTGGCCCTTCCCCACTTTTAACCTCCCATGCTCCCATCTCACATAGCCAATATCTGTGCCTTCTGCTCCACACAAGGGAAGCCCATGTCAGGGTGTATAGTGAGCCTCACCCTCAAAACTGAAACTAAAAGAGAAGACAGAAAGGTGATTTGGCTGCACTGAGAAACATTGAAGCCATTTATAATATAAAAACAACTCAGTGTTACAGGTTTTCAAAGTTTCTGCATTTAGAAAATCTTAGACACTTCTGCTGAGAGTTTTCAGAACCGTTGGAAGCCAACAGCAAAAACTAGGAACCAACTTATTCGTGCTTAGTTAGATTAGATGACCTCTTATGAAAGATGATAAGAGGAGCATGAACAAAGTTCTCTTGCCTTAAAATTATTATCTCTCATTACTATCTCACACATATACCTGTACCCATACTGCCTTTCATTTATTAGATAAAAAAAGAATTGCCCCCGTATTCAACCGCAAGCATACATGGAAAGAATACTGCATTGTTATAACTATCATATATACATCCTTTAGTGTGAGCTTTCTTGTCACATGTCTTCCAAGTGCTTCAGAATCCAAGAGCATACCCGAATGCAGGGGGCTGAGAATAGCACTGGTCTCCTGGAAAAGAGGCAGGAACACTGCAAGGGAAGCTGGAAGGGCCTGAAAAATAAACATTGCCAGCTTCATAGCTTTTCCTGGAGCCACCTCAGTAGGAGGATCCCATAAATCAAGAAGCCCACAATATTTCCCTGCCCATATACAACAAGTGTTCACAATTCCAATAATTTTATTACTTGGGTTTAAAAAATTTTCCCCAAATTACCTCATTATCAGAATCATCTAGGATGCTTGTTAAAAACACAGATTCCTAAGGTCCCATCCCAAGCACACTGAATCAGATGCTCCCAGGAGGGTCCTGGGAATTCACAACAAGTCTTCAGGTGGTTCCAATAATCAGGTTAAATTTGGGAAGTAGTGGGTTAGTAAAATGTCTCATCATAATACTCATTAGGTGGACTGTGTATAAACAGATTTCTGAGCCACAGAACCACTGGATCAGAATATGCAGGGCCCCCAAGAGTGCCAGGAGGTGGTTATAGTCAGTGTCTTAGCTCGGGCTGCCATAGCAAAACACCATTGACTGGATGGCTTTAAAAGCAGACATTTATTTCTCACAGTTCACAGTTCTAAGTTCAAGATCAAGGTGCTGGCAAGGAAAGTTTCACTGAAGCCTTCTTCTCTTGGTTTGTAGGCAGCCACCATCTCCCTGTGTGCTCATGGGACCTCGTCTTGGTTCTCCCTGGGGACAGGCAGGTTTAGGTCTCTCTAGTGTCTCTTCTTAGAAGGGTACAACACATCATGATGGTCCTACCGTCGTGACCTCTTCTAACCCTAATTACCTTTCCAAAGGACCCATCTTCAAATATCCATTACACTGTGAGCTTCAACTTACGGACTTGGGAAAAGGAGTGACGCAAACGTTCAGACCATTACAGTCAGATATTTTTTAAACCATGGGTTAGATAATGATTTAAATGAAGCTTCTTCCAAAATTCTTAGGTTACCTGGGAAATGACAGCACATTTCAACTACCATCAGGCATTTATTCATTAGGAAGGCCTAGTTTAACTGGTAAATAGTAAAACCCGAAACAAATAGGTCACAGGGAAAATCATTTTTAAAGACGCATTCGAAGAGAATGAGGGATTCCACCTAAGGAGGCTGAGGTGGGATGAAACATGAGTGGTAGGGCAGCGCTTCCCCAACTTTAATGCACACCTGAATCACCTGTAGTCTGTTGTAAGCAGGTTCTGACTCAACAGGTCTGGGGTGGGGCCTGAGACTCTGCCTTTATCAGCTGCTGGTCCACAGATCACACTTTAAGTAAAGGGGTAAGGCTGGCAGTTCAAGTAGCTAGACTTCTACATCTGTGGGGTATGATACAAAAGACAGGCTTTTTCAATTTAAATTTTTTGCTTAGTCAACCATCTAATACCACTGCAGAAGGCTGACTTCCAAAATACCATCTAGAAGAAAAGAGTTTCAGAAATGCCAGTGCTGAGCTCTGTTGCTCTCAACTTTATTAAAAATAACTTCAAAAGCACATTAAGAGATTATACCAGAGGTTTCTAAAATATCTGACTTCACAGAGTCCTCACTGCCTCTGTAATCTTTTCACAATGGCGCAGTCCAAAAGAAATACCCAACTGTTCTGTTTATTAAGTAGTCAGGTCCATACAACTTACTGAGGGTTTTTTTGTCCTAACATCTTAGTAGCCATTTGAAAAAATTACACACATAAGCTGAAAGAAGAAAAAATTTCTTATTTTTTCCTTAAATATTAGGTTGGTGCAAAAGTAATTACGATTTGGCCATACTTTTAATGGCGAAAACCGCAATTACTTTTGCCCCAACCTAATAACTACGACTATCTATTGCAGTGTGTGAATCTATTGGGCACTGCACAACTTCTCAAATTTTGGAGTCCCCCTTGTTTCCCTTTGCACATTGCTTTTGGTGTGGTAATTGCTGCTTATCACAACAACTGTCAAGAACCCAGCTTCAAAAATAGATGACGCTGTTGAAAGGAATGCAGTGTAATCTATTGAAGAAACTGTCAGCTCTCTTAGGCTAGTACTTTACGTGTTTTCCAACAAATATTGAATATCTCTGTCCTTTCCTGTAAAACAAATATTTCTAAGGCGCCCCAAGGTACCTTGGCTCTGTTTGGGAACTGTAAGATCATACCCCTTACAAAGTACTAATGGTTACCAAAGGCAAAGTAAGAATTCTAAAAGAACATAGAAACTTTTGAAAATAATAGCTACAAAAAAAATACAACAAAATTCCTCTTAGATTTATTATAGAGAAACTGGCTATTCTCTGGCTGATTAGAACAAAAGCATATCCTTCTTAATGTTAGGATTCTTAAAATAAAATGTTTATAATTTTTTGAAGGAAAATTATCTTTCTAATACTTTCCCAGTAATAATATATCACTTTTCATCAGAAAAAAAAGGATTAACATCTAATTATTATTGTTCTTTTATTTTCTTACGTTCACCTTCTATTTCCTTGACATTAGACTTCAAATTAAATGTAAGGAACAATTCCGAACATTCAAGCCTCACAAAAAAAAGGAATCTTGATTGATTAGAAGTTTTACTTTATGTACCTACAATTTCCCAGTAGTCCTATTTCTCAATCAGAATTTGAATAATCTTTACAACTTGTATTCCCCCAAACTCAGATTTAATGACTCAGTAGGTTCAGAAAGAGAAATAACAGCTGCAGCTCATCCCGCTGTGCTATTCAGTAATGACAATGTTATACCACATTAGCAATTGTGACATTAATAAAAAGAAGCCCATAGGATTAACCAGAGACAGCTGACTTTAGTCAAATGTAGGTCAGGCTTTGTTTGCTCAGAAGCTGGTAATAAATTCCCAGGTAACTGCTCTCATGTGTCACACATATATGTCAGGAGCATAATTTCAGCCTCACTAAATGATTCACATTTTTAAGTTTCCGTAAGCCATTTTTGAATTATTGTTAAGCATTTAATTCCGCCATCAGGCCTATAGGCTCCTTAAAATTATTAACTTATGTGACATTACAGCATGTTTTTCCTTCAGGCAACACTTAAAAACACCTTGGAGGGTTTCATGTTCACCTTCCAGATACTGAAGTTCTTACTAGCAGAGGCTCAGGGGTCACCCCTAATTTACAGCATAGTTACAGAGGAAATGGTATTGATGGCTAAGAAAGCCACCTGTCATCACAAAGTTCTCATTGTCAGGAAATATCATTGAAAGCTTAACATGAGTATTGCATTCTTAATCAATTCTTATGGTGGGCTATATACAAACAAGAAGTCCATAACCATTCTCTAAAATATATTGAAAAATATAAACACTTTGGAAAACAGTTTAGCACTTTCTTTAAAAGTTAAACATACACCTGCCATGTGATCTAGCCATTGCTTTCCTAGGTACTTGTCTAAAACAATGGAACCATATGTCAACAAAAAGACCTGCACAAAAATATTCATAGCAACACAGCATGGCTCACAACTGGAAACAACCCAAATCCACAGGAGAACGGCTAAACAGTGGCATATTTATACACCAGAACACCACTCAGCAATAAAAAGACAAGAGCCATAGATCCATGCAAGAATCACGGACAAATCTCTAAAACATTATGTTCAGTGAAAGTAGCTAGATGTAAAACAGTACATATTGTGTCATTCAATTTATGTGAAATTCTAGAAGTCAAAAACAATCTATGGTGATACAAATCGGAGTGGGGCAGGGATAGACTGCTGGGAGAACAAGAGCACTTTCTGGGGTGTTCTATATCTTGTTGGGGTGATGTTATGTTCATGCATATATTTGTCAGACTCATCAAGCTGTGCATTTAAGATCTGTGCATTAAGATCGGCATCTAAATTATACCTCGATGAATAAAATATATGTGAGTGCTCTGTAAGCTCTTCAATTTTATACTTAAACTTTATTAAGTCAACTACTTTTGTTAAATGCTTATGTAACTGTAAAACATTATGAAGTCTTTTAAACATCAACAAAAAGAGATGTCACCTGAAAGATACTAACTCAATATTACCCAAGTAAGGATAATAAGCAGCATATTTAATGAGTTAAATAAATGGATAATTTTAATTGATTTACATTTTAATTCCTTTTACATGCAAATGGCATAATTTGAAAGCTCTGTTTGTACCTTAGAAAAATATCAATGGGCATAATCGCAATTAAGTACTTAAAGCTAATTTATATTAATGTAGAGAAGCAGCTGCAAGATGAGCCAAAAACAGTAAATGATATAAAAATAATTTGAATGTCTAATATTTACCAGAGTTAGTGACTCTTCTGTCCAAACTTTGCCATTGCCACCACTATGATTCAGACTCCTGCTACCATTTTTTTTTAAGTGGAGCAGATTCCTAATTTGCTTTCCTAATTTGACTGCCTTACCCCTTTTAAAGACATCATATTAATCTTAAAGCACAGCCTAAGCATTTCATGCCATTCATCACAATTACAGTCAGGGTCAGCTCCCTAGTCTGGCATTCAAAGCGCAGTTTTGGTCTGACTACAATCTCTCCCTGGTGGCACCTACTCTCATGGCCGCTTTTTCCCAGCCTCCCACTAATCCATAGATCTCTATACTGAGGCAGCTAGATGGCTCACCTGTTCCTACCCCTCACCCGTTCCGGCTTCTGCTCATGTGCCTCTCCATTTGAACTTTATAGCATATCCAATTCATCCCGGTTTCCAAGATCCACTTTTGTTATCACCTCCTTGTCAAGGAAATTCACCATTTTCCTTACTCAGAGTAATCTTTCTCTCTTAGAAACACTCATCACATTGTATGCCCAGTTCTCTTATCACCACTGTCAATCTTATATTGTGAAATGGTTTGGATTCCAACTCCAGAAAGAAACACGTAGCTTGAAAGCTTAGTTCCTCAGCTGTCAGAATTTAGGCACGTTGCTTCATCTCTCTATGTTTCTGTTTCTTCATCTGTTAAAAAGTAAAATAAAAATAGTATCTCTCTTTTATGATTGTTATAAGCATGAAATTAGATAATGTACATAAAGTGCTTAGTCTGACACACATTTTAAATCCTCAATAATATTTACCCCAAAACTTGCTAGCTAAAAGAGAATAAATTCTCCAAATGGATGAATTATATACTAAGAATTGAGGGAACTTGTAAATGGAAAACATTTTGAGGAATATCAAAAGAAACCAGAAGGTTGGAGGTGGATAACTTTTGCTGCTGTTTTCAAAATAGGACGTAAGTTTGGTTTTAGAAGCTGCAAAATGGTGAAACTGATGTTAATTTGAGGCAGGAAAAGTCTGGGTAAAAGGGAAAACAAAAAAACAAAAAAGGAGAAGTAGTCCAGGTACTGAAGAGAAATAAAAACACATGTCCACACCAAGACTTGTACATGAATATTCATAGCAGCTTTATTCATTATAACAAAAAAAAACTGAAACAAATGTCCACCAACAGGAAAGGGATAAACAAAATGTGTTATATCCCTACAACAGTATACCCCTCAGCAGTACAAAGGAACATACAACTGACAGAGCCACAACACGGGTGAATCTCAAAATCATTGTACTGAGTAAAGGAAGCCAAACACAAAAAAGTACAGCGTGCATAATTCCACTTATATGAAAGTCTAGAAAATGCAACTAACCTATAATGACAGAAAGGAGATCAGTGGTTGGCTGGGGCATGGGGATGGAGGGAAGGAATAACTGGAAAGAAGAGGAGAAAATCGTGGAAGATGATAGAATGTTCTGTGTTTGTGGTGCAGTGTGGTTTCAAGGATATACACATAATTCTGTCAAAACTCATCAAAGTTGTATTCTTCAAATGGGTGTGATTTGCACCATTTTTTTTAAGTCAGTAAGAACCTAAAAAATAAAGTAGTACTGATTGGGGCACAGTATATTTTCATTAAGAAAATGTTACATTTGTTTGACAGTTTTTCCTTCTTCAACCAGGCTCCTGGAACACAATATCTACGAAATGAGTAGATGCAAAGTATCTGAATCTCAGCAGGATATTTGAAGACATTTGTAATGATATGCTGTTGGATCTAATGAAATGTTATGGCCTGGGTGCAGGGACAATGAAAGAATTGAGTCAAGAATCCCCTGTCATCCTAGAAGATTTCTAGTGGCAGGTCACAGGGTTCTGCACCTAGCCTGTTTAAGCCTTTTATCAATTACTTGTCTGAACACCTAAGGGCACAGCCATTGCTTTGTGTTGGCTAAACATTGGTATGTTGGATGACAGATTAGGATCTAAATCATCTTGATAGGCTATAGCAGTAATTTAGGCATAATAGGGTAAAACTTTACAAGGACAACTATTAAATAGACAAATTGAATCTAAAATTTAGCTTTCCAAGTACAAGATAGAGGAACCATGCCATACCAGCAGGACATTAGAAAAGTCAGCCTTAGGGTCATAATCATCAATAAGCTCAGTGTCAACCAACAGTGAAATATAACTCTTAAAGAAGTTAACTTGACCTTGGGTTGCATCGAAAAACACATAAGCTTTAACAGGAAGAAGATGGAAATCATGTTTTATTCTCCATAATAAGCTTACATTTAAAAATATGTCATGAAGTTTTTGGTGAGATGCTTATTGGCGGGGGGAAGATTAGAATTATATCAGAGGGAAAAAAATGTTATGTTTTTAATCTATGAGTTCCTTAAGGACAGGATCCATATTTTAGTCATCTAAGTATCACTAGCACCTGTCTCAATTCCTGCCATGACTATAATTATTGTTTAGAAAGTAAATGATGTTTATATATTGATAAGACTTGAATTGTTGTCACATAAGTAGTGGGAAAGTAACAAGGAATTTTTAGCCTAGGCAATAAAAAAGACTGAAGAAGGGGGAATGAGGGGTGAATCAAGGTGGACAGCACAAAATGTGCCTATGGTAACTGCAGTGAATTATAGATGGCTGAAAATCTTTGTCACTTCCCTCCATTAGGAAGTGGAATTATTTGTCCAGCCCTAGAATCTGGGCTGAATCTGTGACCACTTTGACCAAAAGAATGAAGAGAAAGTGATACTGTAATAGTACCAGGTCCAGTCTTTAAGAAGACTGACAACTTTCACTTGCTTTTTCTTCCACCATGCTAGAAGGAAGCCCAAGCAGCTACAAGGATAGGTCTACATGTGGCAGAATTAAGGCACCCAGCCAGCAAGTGAGGCTGAGTTCCCTGCCAATAGGTAGCATAGACTTGCCAGCCCATGTAAATGAGCCACTTGCAGTAGAGCCTTAACTCCTCAAGCCACCCCGCCTGATGCCATATGAAGTAAAAATGAGCTTTCCCCACTGGGCTTTTGCAAAATCACTAGCAAATAAGATATAGTTGTTGTGTTAAGCCACTGAGTGTTGAGGTGGTTTGTTATGCAGCAAGAAATAGTTGAAACAGTAACCATATTCAAATATATTAAAAGCTATCATATGCATGGTCCCATGGGTTATAATTATAACCAATATGCAGAATTAATACTGATATCCATAACTTGAAACGTTTCACTGAGAAGCAGGTTGGAACCTTAAAGATAAGACCCGACAGAGAAGAAAGTGCCAAAGTTGTAGAGCTCATTTGGCATTAGAACTCGCCTCAAGGAAGTAAGCTCAGGTTCATTTTCAGATGACATCAGTTCCCAAGGGTTTCATCTGCTGGGCATTGTAGTGCCGGGGGAAGACCATTCAGGTTGAATAAGATCCTATCGATCCAATGTCTGGAGAGAGCAGATCAGCATAAGGCTAGAAGGCTTTCAAGACCCCAGTTAAGATGAGATTCAGAATGGATATCAATCCAAGAGGGATCCTGGAGTAACCACCCAAAACCAGAGAAAGCAAAGGTACAAGGATTATGCACCCAGAGTGTGGGTTTAAATGGTATAGTTTGGAATGAGGGCACACCTTAGACCTACCACACATCAGATATGTCAGATATGGTCTTGATTCTGTGATCTGATGGGAATGCAAATCCTAAGGTGCCATCAAGTTAGTTTAGGATTGGCTCAGAAACCAGCCAATTGAAGAACTGGCTAGGAAACTAGAGTGGGCAAGTAGGCAATGGGTGCCTCTTCAGTATCTTTGGCTGGGGGGCTAAGATAAGAGTCTTCTGAGAGGAGCTAGAGGAAAGCAGGTTTTAGTTTAACACAAGGAAGAACTTTCTTAGAGGGGGTGTATTCCTATGATTGCAAAAAACTGAATTATCACCTGCCAGGAGATCTACAGAGAAGATGCATACATCTAATAAGAATGATATCAAATAACTTTTTAATGCCCTTCCAACCCGAGATTTCCTAACACATACATAATGTGAGGGCAAACTGCTTGCACAGAGCACATAGGTGCTCAACAAGGAGTGGATGGATAGACAGAGAGATGGACAGACAACTGGATGGGTAAACTTAAGGATGAATAATGCAGTCTGACATTTTCAAATACTCAGCACCTCCCATCCACAGACACATTAGCCACAGGAAATAAACTGGACCTCAGAAAAAAAGAAATTAAAATGTATTTGTACCTCTAAGAGTCTTCCAAACACTTAGTATCTTGGAGTACCCAAATATATGCTGCATTTTTATGCTTATGAAAGCAATTTCTTAAGAAAATTAGAATTTCATGTGAAAATGTCTTAGTTTGTTCTGACTGGTTGACTCTGAGCAAGGGTCACTGTGGACCTGTATTCACTGGAATTTGGTACATTCAGCACAGCTCAGCTTTAACAGTCAGGAACCCAAGCTCCAGGTACAAAAGACAGCCTTGAGCAACAGAGAAGCAGTGACCAGCCAGGGTCCACGTGTTCTATTATCTCTTCTCCCAGCAGATTTCTCATGCCACATTGTGCTTTATATGCCTTGTACCTATTTTTTAACCTTTGCTCTTGTCACACACTCCCTGGTATGAGACATTTCTGCAGGTCTCTGATGTAGAGTATATACTCTCCTCTAAATAACATGGCCAAGGTTTTAGGCAAATAAATGTCTAACACCTTCATACACAAAGAATATCTTGTTCTTTAAGACAGAGGGTAAAGCTCTATGTTCTAGGGAGTGGTTAACAAATTATTTGAACCACAATCCACACTCAAAAAACATTTTACAACCTAACACAGAGGATACATATAAAATAATATTTACCTCACAATGTGCCATGCATTCCAATATTTTCTATTTCATTTTTCAAGCTGCCAGTGAGAACCCACTAATATGAATTTATGACACACAATACATGGGACTAATGGTCTAAAAGGCACAGCTTAAGGGACAATTATCAAGTAGTATTTACAGGGAGTGTAGCAGTGAACCAAGTGCCCCCAAACTATGCTAACATTAGAAAGTTCTGAGCCCTCAAAACCTATAAATAATGTTGCCATTTTCTAAGAATGAAGCTAATAAGAGTTAATACATAATGGATGAGATTAGCTAAATGTAGAAATTAATTCAAGAAAAATGTGGGCTGCAGGGATTTGAAAATACTCTCAAGTCCAATCAAGGCATCCAGGATGAACAGTGTGACAGTAGTCTTACTAGATTATAATTCTAACATGAGAATTTTATATTAAAATAGACAGTTTTATTTTGCCTTGCCTGAATAAATCCTGTTAGTAGTAGGAACTGAATGCATTGGGGTGGGCTGACTTCCTTGTAAGCGGGAAGTCAAAAGACAAGGATTTTTTAGTAGGTTCCTCCATCCAGGGAAAAGACTACTGCAGCCCCTAAATGCAAATATCCAGTCAGCTTGGCAGCTGGGGGCCAGGAGGAAGGTGGAGCCTCCAATTCTCATGGCTCAACGACACTTGCTCTCTCTCTCTTCATCGAGATCTACTAAACAATTTTTGATTTAAACACTGGTTTCCCACTCATGTTTTCCTAAAGAGGTAGGAACACACTAATCAGCTAATAGAAATTTCTTATCTGCTTGCCAGTTATACTTTTCATTGTCAATGAACAGACTGAGATCTCGATTAATATACATCAGTCTTGTGGGTTTGGTTACATGATCATTTCTACACTGAATGAAATGTCAAGGTTGTGGAAAGCAAAGAACCCAGCCTAGAATAGGGCAGCACTTCTAGGATGATGGCACTCAAGAGAGCCTGCCTGGGCATCCTGCCAGCCTGTCTCAAAGCAATCCCTCTTGCAACTCTATCACTTGACCCATAACAAGTTATTCAGAGGTTAATAAATGACAAACCAAATAAAAATATATTGGTTTCAAAGAGAAAAGCATTGACTTAGCATTTCTTCCAGCCAGCTAGAGTGAAGGAATATTATTGAAACCCAGTCAACTTTGCTTTCACACACCAGAGTTGGCTATGGTCTAATCTTTCACAGACTGGGGTTAATGTTTTCAGTTTTTTGTTTGGTTGGCTGCTTTGTTTTTGAGATAAGGTCTTGCTCTGTCACCCAGGCTGAAGTGCAGTAGGACAATCACTGCTCACTATAGCCTTGACCTCCCAGGCTCAAGCAATCTTCCCATCCAGCTCTCAAGTAGCTGGAACTTCAGGTGGGTGCCACCACGCCCAGCTATTTTCTTTATTTTTTGTAGAGACATGTTATTTTTTTGTAGAGATATGTTGCAGGGGCAGGTTTTGAACTCCTGGGCTCAAATGGCTCTCTAGGCTTGTGGAAGTGCTGGGATTACAGGTTTTGAGTCACTGCAGCCAGCAGGTTAATAAAACAATTTGTGTCACAGAGTCTGATGGCCGTATCACAATTTAATATTTCCAGTCACCTACTGGGTCTGGATTTTCATTGCTTCTCAACGCCATTCATTGATGCCACACATATTTCATGAGCACCCAGATTCAGTAGTCACAAAACAGAAAAGAGCTCTATCCTCAAGGAGTTCAAAGTCTGGAACAGAAGGATGAATTGTTATAAATCAGTGTAAGAAATGGTGTTATATTCAATATAAAGTCGTGGCATCAAGTAGGATGGACTCAACTCGAAGAAGGGAGATGAAAGATTTCACAGGGAAGATATTTCAGGTGGGTTATGGGGGAAATAAAAGTTTACGAAGCAGACCAGCCAAGAGCAATCATTGCGGAAAGAGAGCACGCGGGGGAGTTAGGCTGTATGAGGAGTTTGGACTGGAATGGTCATGGTAACTACCATGAGTTTAAAAGGGACACTTTTGTTATTGAAGATTTGGTGTCTTTTCAAGAAGAGATATTTCCCAACTCCAGGAATTTCTGCCGTAGAGGGCAAATATCTGTGGCTCTCCTGGCACCCCAATGCTCGCACCATGTTGAGGTGCAAGCAGGGGATAGCCCAGCACATCATCTCCGAGGAGGACGAGGGCGAGCAGCAGCCGCAGTGGCCAATCCCCAAGTTCGCAGACCCGGCCCCAGCGGCGCCGGCAGGAAAGCCGTGTGTCCCAGGGAATGAAGATGGAAGGAGTGAGGACGAAGGCCCTGTAAATCAGCTTCGAGGGGAGGAGACGCATGTCTATGAGAAACGCTGTGTGGAGTTCTTTGGCATCTCTGAATTCTTGGAACATAAGAAAAATTGCACTAAAAATCCACGTGTCCTCATCATGAATGACAGACAATGAGGGCCCGGTGCCTTCAGAAGACTTCCTCGAGTCTGTACTGAGCCACCAGCCACCCAGTCCAAGCAGGAAGTACGGCCACAGGGAGAATGGTGGCAGCCCAGGGCACATGAAGGAAAAGTCGGGTACTTAAAGACAGGCACCCCAGGACATAAGCTATACACCCAAAGGTAAAGTGGCCAACACTAAGGTGCCCCTGTGGGGACTGCAGGGTGGTGAGTCCACGGAGCCCGAGTGCCTGGCGCCAACAGGATCCCGTGGGTGCTCAAGCAGATCCTGTGCCTGCAGCAGCAGCTACGGCAGATCCAGCTCACCCAGCAGATCCGCGCCCAGGCGCACTGGTGGGCCTCGCACGCCCTCCACTAGCCGGACGGGGCCCCGCAACCCTGAAGACCTTGGGCGGCCACGTGTCCCACAGGTTTCAGCAGCAGTGGCTTTGCTCAGCGGGAAAGCTGGGAGCCAAGGTCTGTCTCTGGACGCTTTGAAACAGGCCAAGCTACCTCACACCGACATCCCTTCTGCTGCCAGCTGTCTGTCCCCAGGGCTGACGCCCCTCATCCCACTCTGCAGCCGGATGGGAGAGGGCACTCCTGAACATCAGTCTCACCTCCCCAGCGCTGTGCGTCCTCGGGTCTGGGCCGGGTACTCTGCCAGCGGCCTTTCTCCGCAGTGGCATTAGACTACCCGGGAACGGGAAGGGGAAGCCGCCGGACATCTCCGAGGGAGGGCGGATGGGCAAACCCGAAGACGAGGCAGTCCTCGACAAGCATCATAAGTGTGGGACCAGGCGCTCTTCCACATTTATCCAAGCCCAGCCAACCCAGCTGACAAAGTCTGGGTTCTGGCACGTCAGTTGGACCATCAGCACCATCCCCAAGCAAGCCCTTTGTTAGTGCAGCCCTGCTGGGAGGCCCAGCCTATGGGAGTGTGGGAGGAACGCACCGCTAGCGCTCCTCAGATTCACGAGCAGGTGCACACTGCAAGAAGCCTGTTGTATGCAGCATTTATGGGCGAGCCTTTACCACCAAAGGCACCTTGAAGGTCCACTGTATGACACACGGGCGAACAGTCACTTGGCCTGCCATGGGAGGAAGCCATGGAGAATACCATGGCTCTAATAGGTCCAAAGAGAAAAAGAGTATCGGAAATGTTTCCCCAGGAAATCCTGGCCCCTTAGGTGAGCGTGTACCTGCTGTGTGGAACCAGTACACCAGCATGCTCAACGGTGCTCTGGCCACAAAGACCAGTGAGACCTCTGTGGTCCAGAGTGGCCATGTTCCACTCTCCCGGTTTTCCCTGGGGGGCCAGCTCAGTCGTGAATAAGGCCACCATCTCCAAGAGGGATGGCTCCCAACGAGGCATCAGTGCTGACGTGGAAGAACCAGGTGCTACTGACCCATCCCAAACACCGGTGTCCTCACTTCCTGGAAGAAAACAAGACTGTGGTCAGCTAAGGCATAGGAGAACTTGCATGGAAGGAGAAATGCAGAGTGAAATCTCTAGAATCTGCTTTAAAAAAAAAAAAAAAAAAAACTCCTCCTGTTTTATTGTTCTCATTGATAGGCAAATGTTTGCAAAGGTTGTGACTACAACCTCAGGCAAGTCCTGCAATCACAACTGTTGCTATGCTGCTTTACAAAAAAAATAAAAATAAAAAAACAAATCACCCCCAAACACAGACTAGATTTTTTTTTTAATTTTGGAAAAAAGCAGGTCTTGCAAAGTAGCTTTATTACTTGTGACAAACTGTATACAGAGAACCTTTGTACAACCCAGAGTGACTTTTCCACAAACTGTTACCTACTTCAAGGTAGAACTGCTGAAACTTACTGAACAACAATGGAAAAGACAACTACTTAGCCTAGTTGAAGGAAAGGACGCTATATACTTCCATGGTAACTGAATGTGGGTAAAAGGACAAAGTCTGTCATCTATTCAGGAACCTGTTTTATATGCCCCCAACCCTGTCCCCATCTTGTTGGTTTTTTTTTTTTAAATATACTTAAAAAAACAACACACACACACACACACACACAGGTTGTAGAATTATAAAATCGCTTCAGCCTTAGAACCTTAAGTAGGACACCCTCAAATGGACTTATGTTGGTCCTTAGGGAGTCAAGGTGTGTGTTGCTGTGACACTAGATTTTGGGGGAAGGGTTGTTTAGGAGCTAACACATACACATAAGGCTATTAAATTGGTTTGATTTGGTTTGGTTTTCTTACAAAAAAAATGGAATTAAAGCTAATGTGTACTTCACACTTTTAAACTTGCCACCGGAAATATTAAATACAAATCGTTTCAACGATGATGTTTTATTTTTTTCCAAAGCCACCCAAAATGATAAGGAAATCTTTTTATATGTAAAGCACTGTACTTTTAGCTAATTTTCTAACACATAAGTTGTCTCTTTTTCTATAATCTTAAAACATATAATTTTGTGAAGGGGATACTCATTAGAAGTGGCAGTGCCTAGCAACTTTTTGCTCTGTTTGCTAAATTATCATGCATAGGAAAAACAGTCTCTGCAGAGACTGTTCAATTCCCACTCCTAGATAAGTGATGGCCCAGAGTACTGAAGGCCCAGCCAGGAAGGACAGTGGATGCCAGACACCGGGGTCTGGTATTAGAGATTAGTGATGAGCAAGTAGAGATCTCAGGCGGGGTGGCGTGCAGAACTGGGATGCTATCCAGCCCAAGCCACACACTTAAAGGAAGCCTCCAGGTGTACAGACAACAGGTTGGAGGCAGGGTCGATGCTTCAAAGCCAACACTGTGGGGAAAGACCCAAACTGAGTCCTGCACCAATGAATGAACAGCGTGGCAGTGACTTTATGGCATGAAATGGTTAAAGACATATTCAGGGAACGAGTCCCAAGATTTTCTCCCATCATTAAAAAGAAGGTATGTTTCTGCCAAATGCAGGGACTGTACCTTACTTTATAAAATCAAATGCTTCTATCATACCAAAAATAAACATAGTCAAGTCCAGGGTTTTTTTTGTTTTTGTTTTTGTTTTTTTCTGATACAGGGTCTCACTCTGTAGCCCAGACTAGAGTGCAGTGACATGATCTCAGCTCACAGCAACCTCCACCTCCCGGGCTCAAGCGATTCTCCTGCCTCAGACTTCCAAGTAGCTGAGATTACAGGCACGAGCCACTACCACCTGGCTAATTTTTGTATTTTTAGTAGAAACGGGGTTTCACCCCATGTTGGCCAGACTCATCTTGGACTCCTGACCTCAAATGATCCAACTGAGTCGGCTTCCCAAAGTGCTGGGATTACAGGGATGAGCCACCGCACTTGTAACTTGGCCAGGCCAAGTTTTTTCTAAAGTCAAAGTTTGAAAGGACCCGAAAGCAAGGGAAAATCACATTTTTCCTAATTATCATAAGTTTGAGAGTTTCTTGTAACTTTTTCATTAGTCACTGATACACATAAAAATAAACTCTCTCTGAGCAAGATAACATCCATTCTGTTTTGATGTCAGAACATAGTAGAATTGGCAATTATTGTTTAAGTTTGCATTAATTTCTTTCCTTATATATTTGTCTAGGTATGCCTCATTCTGAGAAGAACTGAAAGTGGCTTGTTCAAGTGAGCAAATAAAAAACTGTTTGCTTATCATCTTCCTGAACTACTTAGTTAAGATGCAGCATTGATGCATTTAAAAATACATTTGCATAAAATATATTTAAAATGTATTTTGAAATAATAAGAAGACAGTCACCTAAGTTAATGCTTTCATGGACACTACATATAATTATATGAGGGGTTACTTTCCACTTATACATTTAGAACGAAAATCACATAGCATAGGGAGTCAGGCAGCAGATTTCATTTGTGTACTTAAAAACCAGGTAAGTGGTCCAGGCGCGGTGGTTCACCCCTGTAATCCCAGCACTTTGGGAGGCTGAGGCAGGCGGATCACGAGGTCAGGAGATCGAGACCATCCTGGTTAACACGGTGAAACCCCGTCTCTACTAAAAATACAAAAAGTTAGCCTGGCATGGTGGCGGGCGCCTGTAGTCCCAGCTACAGGCTGAGGCAGGAGAATGGCATGAACCTGGGAGGAGGAGCTTGCAGTGAGCTGAGATCGCGCCACTGCACTCCAGCCTGGGTGACAGAGCGAGACTCCGTCTCAAAAAAAAAGCAAAAAAAAAAACACCCAGGTAAGTCAATAGAAACAAAAGACCTATTCAAAAGTTCCCAGATTAACACACTATGTAAGAGTAAATTCAGGGATATAAATTATTTCATTGTTTTTCAGAAGTGTAAAATAAAAATGTTAGTGCTAGTAAGTATTGTGAACTGTTTTTCATTTCAATTGCACATTTTTCCTTCTATGCTGTTTCTTGCTGTTCCATGCATATGCCACCCCACATTCAATGAGCAGCTAAGCATGTACTGTTCATGTAACAATGTTACAGCCAGCTTTAGGCTTCAATGATTGAACAGGCACTACTGCTCTCTCCTATCTCACTCATAGAAGACAGTTAAAGTACTCTACAAATTCAAAATAATTACAAAAAGAAATGGATGAGCTTTTGAAAACAGAAATAACAAGGTAGTTGATTGTACTGTGCACATTCCCATATATGAGGCTATTTGAAAACCACAGATGTTACTTTTCATTCAAGGCTTTCTCCATGTTTTAAGGTCGAAACTTCATTCTGTTTTTAATTTATCAAAAGAGTATAGATTAAAAGTTTGAGACTTCATTTTTTATGTAAGAGCTAATTCTATTATAACATTACAATGATTATCTTTACCTGTATAACTTATGTAAGGAGGAAAAGATTACAAGTATTTCCCCTGCTCCAATGCTTGAAAACTGCTTGAGATAATTGCAACCAGATTTGTGAGGTCATGGCCAGTTAGTAGCTGCTAATGCAAGGTTGAGGAGAAAAGCCGTCTTCTTTAAGAAACAAACAATTTTAAATAAAAGGTATTGTTCTCTACCAAAAAATTATAGCAGATGTAATTGCCTATAAAGAACATTAATAGTCTTAAGGTTTCAGATCAACAGTCCTTGGATCTGTTAAAGAATAACTCTCAAGATTACAGAAAAATATTTCCTCTTCTTTGTAAACATATATACTTTAGAAAGAAATTCAACTTTATGATGACAAGGTGAAAAATAATATTAACTTAAATATTATGATAAATGATATATATTTTTCTCTACCCTTTCTTATCCTCTCAAATAAAGTGCAATGAATAAATCAGTGCTTTGCATTTTCTAAAGTCCTATGTTAATGGTTCCTTTACTTAAAGAATTCTTTAAGTGACACTAAAATTATTTCAACTCTAATTTTAACCAAAGCAGAATGAAAGAATCTAGTACTTATAATAATTTATTTCTGCATTAGCAAAGATTTGTTTCATTAGTCATAAAAATTCAATTGAAAAGGGCATAAACAACCACTCTTATCTATTTTTGATGAGTGAATAAATTTGTATAATCTTTTGAAAAGGCAACTTGAATATATCAAGAGCCTGATACTAGTTATCTATTGTTACATTAAACATTATCCCAAAACAAAAGGCATTTGTTACTGTACAGTTTCAGTGGGTCAGGAATTTGGGAGCAGCTTAGCTGGGTGGTTTCAGCGTCTCTCATGAGACTGTAGTCAATATGTTGGCCAGGGTTGCATCCATTTAAAGGCTTGTCTGGCACTACAGGACCTGTTTCCACAAAGATGCACCTGTCTGGCTGTTGGACAGAGACCCTGGAGAAGGCTGCTGACAGAGGCCACCACGTGGATCTCTCCATAGAGTTGCTGGAGCATCCTCACACGTCAACTGTCTTCCCCAGAGTAAGTGTCCCAAGGGAAAACAAGGAAGCGACCACAGCCCTCTTATGACCTAGTCTCCAAAGTCACACACTATTATTAATACTTCTGCCACAGTCTATTTGTTAGAAGTGAGACACTAAGTCCCTCTAACACTCAATAAGAGGTAAATTAAGAGACTTTTCTAGAAGGAAGAATTATCAAACAAATCCTAGACCTACTTTAAAACCATTTCTATTAAAGCATTATGTGAAAAAAAGCATTATGTGAAAAAAAGCATTATATGAAAAACATACATGGAAAAAATATTTAAAAGAATATTAAAATGTTCAAATCAGTTGCCCTTGTGTGTTAGAATTGAGAGATAATACTGTCTTCTCTACTTTTCGATATTTCTATGCAAGGAAGCATCCTTCCCTCTCTTCCCAGCCTGAAGTATTCTTACTTGCACCTTGTATGCCATGTGCTTTTATTATGAGTACTATCTTTTATTCAAAAGTTTCCTAATATTTAACAGAATTTATCCTTTCCATTTTAAAATTATCAAACTCTTGATTTTTTAAATTATAAAACTTCAGTCCAAAAGACACAGCACAACAAATACCCCTGTTCATTGCTGGTGGTGGGGAGAACTCCTACCCTCCACCCCACAAAGGATTGTGTCCCATTCACCAAAGTCCTTTTGGACTGCTGGAAGGAGACAAGACAGAGGCAGTGAAGGGCATTTGCAGGCCAGGCCTCTGATTATACCAAGGTGTACTGCTGATCCCAGAAAGTAATTCCTGGCCCCAGAGGTTGGAAGCAGGCCTCTGAGCCAATTCAGCTCCTGTGAACTCACACTGTCACTCCTATAGTTGCCTTCTTTATCCACCTGCCTGAAGACTTTCCAGAAAACAGATCCGCAAAAGATCATTGTCATGAATGGGATGCAGGGGTCTGATCAGTCAAACCCATTCTCCCTTTTCCACCGCTTTATATACAGCTTCCACCCACCCTGATCCATCCATGTTCCCATCACAGACACTTGTAACAGACACTGTCTGTGCTGATCCCCTGGAATCCTCCTTACTAGTTCTGAGTGTCCATCCCCTCACTCCTGGGTGTTTTGTTTCTAAGGGCTTGGATCTGCAACTTGGTTCAGTGATTGCTTTTGAGCTACTGGACTACTTTGGCTACAAGCCCAGAGAGCTGAAAGTTCTTAGGATTTCACATCTAATCCACTCTCCGCAATTGCACTTGCCTCCACAACACACACACACACACACACACACAGCCATCCTTAGCCAATGACTGATAGAAGTGGGAACACAAAAGCCCAGCTCTTTTGTCTCAAGCCAGGGCAAACTGAAATATTACTCTTTCTTGGTGTGTTCTCTTATTCTGTCCTACTCCCCCAACACCCTTTCCATTTCTCCTGGGAGCTCTTCCTTAATAGGCCCTATGTACACATTCCTCCTTTCAGGGCTTGCCTCGGGGAACTCATGCAAACCCCAATGACTAGAAGGAATTTAGTTGCCTGGAGACCAGGGATGTTAAAAGACTTCCAATGCAAAGTACATCCTATAAAACAAAGAATCATCCTACCCAAAATGGCCATAGCACCCTGACCAAGAAATTCATGGGCAGGGGAAGTGGGGGAGGGAAAGGGGAGGGGAGTGAAGAATGTTCAGTTAAGACCAAAACAAAATAAGTCCAAAGTTTGATTTGGTTAAGGAGGAGTCAGTTGATGATATTGACAGGGAGTGGCCAGAGCGAAAGAGGGAGAAACCAGGAAAGTGGGATGAATAGAAACCTAAAGTACATGTTTCAAAAAAGAAGAAGGTGTCAACAGTATGTGATGCCACTGAGATCACATAAGCAAGAACAGAGAACTGGCTACTGGGTTTGCTCACTGGAAGTCATTGGTGCCCTTGACAAATGGAACTGCTGAGAAGCAGGGAGAGTGAAGTCAGATGAAAGTGGGTTCTACCCAGGTTTCAGAAGGCAAAATAAAACAAAATAAAGTGGGTTGAAGATTGAAAGGATATAAAGGTAGAAGAGACAACTCATGTGTCTGCCCTTGGATAGGTGCAGAATAATGGGAGAGTGATTGGAAAGGAATGTGGGATAGAGAAAAATTTTAAAGAACATGTTTATATAATGATAAAAAATAATCCAGTATTGAAAGAGCAATAGATGGTGCGTGAAAGAGAGGAGAGAACAAGGAGAACATAACTTGAGCTGGCAAAAAGAATTGAGATCTAGATCTCTGAAAAATTAGTTACCCTTCCCAAGGACCTAGTGTTTAATATCATAACGCCTCCCCAGCATCCCACTTCTGATCTTTCTGTAGGGGAAAGAAAATGCATCAATTTTTCATGAAGACCCACCCTCCCCAAACAACAGATTGAAAGACTTCCTGCTAAAACCACACACAAAAACCATAATAATAACACACACACGTCCGCATATATTCAGTTTTCAAGCCCTATGTGGTCTTGAATAATAGGGCCAGCTGGGGAGTTCAACTTTGATTTTTACAAAGCAAACTTTGCTCCTATGGCCTTCTGCGGCCTCTACGGTGGTACACTACTCAAATATTTCAAGAGAGAACCTGCTGCAAGGAAAGTAGTTAGCGGACCACCTTCAGCTGCTGCATCTTTGGGATCCATCCCAGTGTTCTCTCTGAGGCCACCCTCTTCCCAGGCTACTCCCAGCCAATGACTGAGATCAGCAGGGCTACTGGAGCTGGGAGATTCCTGCCCAACACAAGACTCCTCTAACTGGCAATCTTTGCACCAAAGCTCCCCATCAGGCTGGTCTAGACTTTCTCCAAACTGCATTGCAGTTTGAGGTTCTTCCACAAATCCTCCCAACTGCCTCCTCTCCTTTCACAGTGTCCAAACCTGTGGCATGGTCTAACTAGTTCTAACTATTTCTGTGACCTCTTCCCTTATATTTCACAGATATTTTCTACAACAAACCTCTTGTACTTCTAATTCTGTCTTGGTGTCTGCTTCCTGGAGGACAAAAACTGACACAAATCCCTTTTCCTTTGGAGATCCAAAGTGTGTCCCAAAACTGAGATCTTGTTAGCTTGCCAGCTTCAGTCTTGACTTTACATATATGGCATTTTTCAGCCAAAGACTTGGCATCTGTAGAAATATTAAATCAAATTTTTATACTTTCAAGTAGATGATTAATAAATTGTTATTATTGATAGCTATGCTAGTTTTATAAATGATTGCTATAACCTCCAAAAGATCTGGCACCAATTCATATCTCTCTATCCCTATTGAATAAGCACAGTTCAATAGATTGTTTTTCTTGTTTGCTCTTTTCCAACAAAGAAATCACAGTGCACTGTTGTCAAATAAATAGACTAGAATAATGTCATGATACAAATAGAGCAAATACCACTCAGGCCCTCTGTATCAATAGAGTTCTTGATTACAAGCTGTAGCTAACTGAAGCAATAGGGAATTTAATTTATCAACATCATATAGGGTGGAGGAAAGAGGACTGACAGAATCAACAAAAGACTGGGGCACTAGGCTTGGGAATGGATAGAAAGGACCTGGGGGCTCTTAGAGTAGAGAAGCAGGAAATAACTCCGCAATCATTTCATGGAATCCTGAGCAGACTGCCACTGCTGCAGCAAGACACCTGCAACCACCTCTGATATTCACATTAGTGTGTTCAACTCGTTGGGTTCAAGTCAAAGAGATGCCATCTGCGCACACCAGGGGAAGAGAGAAAAGAGATCCAGGAAGATCACCTTACATGGTAGGGGAACAGGTGCTTCCCCCACCAAGGCTATGAGCAAAGGGGAAAAGAAAATCCTTCAAAGGAAATAAAGGAGTTTATGAAGGTGCTGAATGCTGGGAAAATTGAAATTACAAAGACAAATCTCACCACACATTTCTAGATCTGAAACCAGTCCTTTTCCATCATTCAAAAACCATGGAATGGAAAGTTTGTTCAAAGAAAATCTTAGAGCAGTGGTTCCCAACCTTGGCTGATGGAAGAATCACCTGGAAAGCCTTTATGAATCCTAACACTCAGGCCAAAACCCAAATCAATTGAAGAAGAATTTGGGGGGTGGGACCCAGGCATCAGCACCTTTTAAAGCTCCCCCAGATGATTCTAATGTGCTGCCAAAGTTGAGAACAACTGTATTAGTAGAAAACCCAATACATAAAACAGATAAAACAGAGCTATTCCAGTGGGTAGGGAGGTTGGCACCTCTCTGATCCCCTTTGGTCCCCAAGACATCTCCAAGGAATCATTTTATACCAGCACTTAAGATATATTATTATTATACATTCATTGACTCCTCCATTTTTCTCATACTCCAAATCCAATCTGTCAGTTTGACTGAAGCTTCAAAAGATAATCAGAAACTGAGCACCTCTCGCCAACTCTCTTGCTGCCACTCTGGTCCAAACCCCCAACATATCTTGTTTGGATTAGTGCAACAGCTTCCTAATGGGTCTCTCTGCTTCCATCCTGCCCAGCTGCATGCTTTTCCCAACATAGCACCAGGAGTAATTCTTACATAACATAAATCAGATCCTGTTCCTCCTCTGCTCAAAACCCTGGGATGGCTCTCATTTCATTCAGCTTAAAGGCCAAAACCCTCCATGCTCTACACCAGAGGTCAGCAAGCTTTTTTCAGTAAATATATCAGGCCGTCTAGTCCATAAGGTCTCCGTCACAACTATTCAACTCTGCAGTTATAGCCAGAAAGCAGTCATAGATGATATGTAACTGCAGCTGTGCTTCAATAGGACTTAATGTACAGAAACAGGCCAAGGGACAGGATGCTGTCCGCGGGCTGTATTTGCCAACCCCTGCTGGGATCAGACCCCATCACAGTTCCAGATCGATGTCCTCCTGCCCTACTCCTTTCTCTCTCCTTTGCAATCACACAGGCCTCCCTGGAGTTCAAGTTCCGGGCATACTCCAGGCACTCTCATGCCTGAGGTAGTGTGTTCTATGCTCCCTCTGCCCACGATGCTTCTCTCTTCTAGCCCCTTACCTCCAAGTCTGTATTCAAATCTTCCCTTCTTAGTCAGGCCCAGCATGGCCACCCTAGTTCAGACAGTGCACTGCCTCCCACTCTACCCCCATGGTATCCTAAGTTCCCTTACCCTTTCCTTCTTCAATTTTATTTTTTTCCATAGCACCTTTAACTTTTAAACATATATATAATTTACTTATTTATTAAGCTGCCTGCTGTCTGTCTAAAATGTAAACTCCACAGGGGCAGCATACCAGGGTTCAGAGCAGCAGAACCACTATGAAAGATACAGAATAAAGGATTTATCATCATGCAATTTGGGGAGAAGGTGGGACAAGCTATGCGGGCTGTTGCCTCTGAAGGTCCTCTGTCACTGATCCTTCATTGTGGATGACTGAACTGGGGTTGGGCATGTCAAGCCTTCCCTTGCTTCCTGCCCTGCCTTCCCACAGCCTGCAGCCCTAGCTCTTGTCACACTTTGCTCCATGTCCTCAGCTGTGAGCCAGCTCTACTCTTTCCCACACTGAGTCTGGAAACAGTCTGAGCAGAGTCCTGGACTCCCCAGTTACCTATGAGAGGAAGGCAAATATAGATGAGGAAATCAGGCCCAAGAAGAGGCGTAATATACCATAAATACACAATCTGCCAGGTTAGGCAGCCCAAGTTTGAAATGCAACTGAGACACCTACTAAAAGTGTGGCCTTGGGCAAGGGCCTTAATGCCTCTTAAAGTTTCTATTTCTCAACTATAAATAAGGTATAATGATAATACTTCTCTCTCTTGATGGCTTTTTGCAAATATTAAATGAGATGGGTATAAGTTAAATGCTAAGCATAATGCTTGAGACCTGGTAAGCTGTCATAAATATTAACTATCATTATTACTATTATTATTAAGGTCAAAGAACGAGTAAGTGATAGAGCTAGGAATTGAATCCTTCTCTATCTCATTTCATTTCTCATAGCACATAATTATAGAAAATTAGTATATGGTGATAGACAGAAATGGTCACTAGCTTGTGACTAAATATAGACAGGTTTGATTATGAGCTTACTATAGGGATGAGAAAAATATTACTTGCCCTAGGTAAGTAATACTCAGCAGTTTCTATTATTTTATTAGTCTTCTCTGACAGAAAGCTCTAAAGGAAATCGCTTTAATAGCTTTATGTGTGAGGTGAAACACATCTTATTGGTCTTTGTTGTTTTAAGCAAATACACATTATTAAATCCAATGGCTTTCTTTGTGGACTCACAATAGCACACTGCTAAAAGTGTTCTGGGTGGAAATTTTCTCTCTTGCAGGGAAGTTCTAAAATTATTGTACAAAGTTATCTGTGCATTAACATGTGCAATTTTGCAGTGACTTCCTGGAAAGCTGGGTATGAAGTAAGGGGCAGTTGTCCTTGGGATGACTCGCAATGTTAGGGCTACTTTAGGAACTTCCCTACAGTAGTAATATCCCATGAGAGTACATGGTCCCAAGAAAGGCTTTCAAAGCAGCCCACAATATATGTGTCAAGTCCATCAGGTAATTAATCATGTGTGTTCCAGTGGAACTGTATTAGCACTTCCAGTTTTTCTCAATAACATATCTGCAGTAGGTTTTTAATCTTATTTGATGGACAAATTGGCCAGAGTGTTTATTGTGGGCCTCCATCTTTGTGAATGTTGACAGATTATCTTTTGATAGTTTCCAGCAGACACTACAGGAGAGGAGATGTGTTCTTGCTCAGAGGATAAACTTAACTTACACTTCGCAAAATTTTAAGACATATTTCCAGGTTTTCTGGCAAAGAGGTAAACTCTGGGGGCAGCTAGAGCTCTGAAAGGATCTGGATCATCTATTTAATAAAAAGAAAAAAATCACAGCTATGGTTCCTCAGCATTCACATTCACCAGTGGGGGTTTGCATTTCATTGTTTCAAGGTTCAGCCAAGTGTGATTTTATTCTGCTCATCCTGACAATGACCCTAAAAAGACATAAAATCCATAGCAAATTGAACATTAGGCAAACAAACCTAATCTAGATGAGAGAATAACTACTCTGGGCCAAAGACTGCGATAAACACTTCACATTCATGAGCTCATAAGATTCTCATTACAACCCTGTCATGTGGGTGCTACGATTAAGCCTATTTAAAGATGAGAAAACTAATACTCAAAAGGATTAACTATCTTCCTCAAGGCCAAATTGCAAGCAAGATGAGGAGAAGGACGTTAATAGACTCCCTGACTCTAGAACCCCAGCACCCAGCCATAATTGCCCTCCTTTTTTCTGATTCCGGAACCTGCCAAAACAAATACCACATTAGGGTCTCTGCCAACTCGTTGCCTCAGCAGCGAACACGCTTCTCACAGAAGACTTCTTGTTGTCATTCACAGCTCAGTGTAAATTTGTTCTACTTGGGGAGGGTTTCTTTGTCACCTGTCACCTAGTGTGCTCGGTTTGTCTCAAGCAAGGGACAAGAAAGCTGCAGTGGATATCCCTCATCTCCTGTCCCTCACTGGCTGAGTACTGCGCCTGTGGGCTCTCTAGCTGCTGCTCTCTGCACAAACAGAAGCTGTGGCCTGCACAGTAAGGGCGAGGGTCCCCGCAGCAGGCCTTCAAGATTGGTTAGTCTGGAGGTTCACTAACGTCCTCCGAAACCAGACAATTTCCTTCTTTACATTCAGCCATCCACAGTGTCAGATTTCCTCTCAAGAGTATTTGCCTCTTGGCCATACGCCAGCTTCTAGGAACAACTGAGTCGGCTTGCTTCCTCCCTTCACATCTACTGAGATGGACTTTCTCTTCCTATTAAGAGCAGAAAACTCCCCACACATTTCCAGAAAACTTCCCACACATTTCCAGAAAACTCCCCTCACGGCTGATTGGCTCAAATTGGATCATGGGTCCATTCCTGAACCAATCTCTGTTGACAGGAAAATACTTTGTGCTGATTGGGTTAGGCCAGATTCTTAAACCAATCACTGGCAAGGTGGATGGTGTTACTGGGTGATGTTAATCAGCGCCAAGCCTGGTGGCTGGGTCCCTCAGCCTTCCCTGAGACATATAGACGCTTGGGAAGTGATTTGTTTAGGGAGGAACGGGGAAAATGAATGCCAATAGGCCATCAAGGCCTCCACTGCATTTAATAACTTCCAGTCTGTTTTAAGACTTTCCTAGGTCCTTGGCATTCTTATTTGCATAGACAAATAACTATACCTTCTCAGTACCCCCTACCCTGACCCCAATCAAAAATCTCATATACTGGTTTAATAGCATCATAGCATTTATTTCCATCTGATATATACTTCTTTGATAGTTTATTCACTTAGTCTGTTTTCTCCACTAGGAAATAAGCTCCAAGAGAATAAGGATATTGTCTGCCTCATGTATCACTATAACCTTCACCCATAAAGTAATGTCTGGAATACAGTAGATGGTAGATAAATATTTGCTGATTGAATGCATGAACTAAAAAAATTAATGACTCAATGAATAATGACTTTTACTACATCAATCCAGGAGGTGAGGGAGGTATTTGAGGCCACTGATGGGGGATCCTGTAGTCCCTGGCAGTGCTGGGTTAGAGTGAGAAACTGAGAGAGGGCTAAGATAAAAGAAATCCTGCTACCCAGGTCTCCTGGGTCCCAAGCTGCAGTTTGAGCAAAATACATCAAAACAGTCTCATTCCTGTTGGATATCCCTGGTGGGGTGTGACTGGAGTTATGGTGGGGACCCTCTTTGTGGGAGGAGGTAGCTATTTAAGAAGCTGAACAGACAAGCCAGGGTAACAATCCTGGGGCAGTGGGAACCCATATCCCAGAGTAGATGCAAAAGCCCCAGGAACATAGCCATATCCCAGTCACGTATGTCCTTAGACCACTTTCTCTCCTAAAGATGCTGGATTTCATGTAGGCCTAGAGGATATGCCACAGAAATATCCTCAACAAATAATGCGGACTCCATTGGCCTAAACAGACTGAGCACTGCGGATGCACAGGACCTAATGGATTAATTACACTCAACACGCTAGCCGTTTCAGACACACTGGCCTCTCTGGACAGAATGATCACATTCAAAATATGAACCTATTGGGACATGTGAACTAGTGCTGATGCACCGACCACTCTAGGCATACTGATGATTTCAACAGTACCAGCAGTCTCCAACTCTCTAAACAGGGGAGCATTAGAGGTGGAAACCTGTTTCGAAGTGGGGACTAGAGGAATTGTTGTGAAATGAAGTATGCGCACCATTGTTACACAGATGATATGTGACTCGGTTGTCAGATCTGCCACTATTACACTAATCACTCTGGAATTCTGACTGTTTCATGTACACGTCAAGGCTGACTCAGGGCATACTTTCTGCTCAGTGTTATTACTCTGGGTACAATGCTTTACTTGTGTGGACTTTGATCCCCAAAACAGTGAGCCATTGCTGGCCTCTTGCACACTCCCCCAGCCCAAGCATTTTCTAAGATATTACCTTCCAGATTAGAAGTAGAATAATCAGTGTCACAAGGTGGATAGGGAGCAGAAAACTCTCTGCCTTAAAAAGCAGTAGAAGAGTTACATAGAACAGTGATCAGTACAATCCTCACCTTCAAAGAGACAGATAAGTGGATGGGATGAAGCTTCTCCCTAACTTTCTAGTGGGCATGTGGAGGCTATTTCTGCTGGCACAGCTTGGATGAGCCATCTATTATATTTTTTAAGCAAATCCATTATATCTTCAAGATTCTGGCAATAGGTTGAATAACAGCCCCAGCTTTTAAAGCTAATTTTCTTTTCGCTTCTCAGGGATTGTGGAAGGCCTTTGGTATGGGTTACATGAAAATCTATTAGCCTTCCCAAACTGAACTGTTTGATGTAAGCACATGAATTCTAAAGCATTCGCATCGTTTAATTTTCAGAGGTATATTCTTTATATCTTCAGGGTCTTTGTCCTTTTCTTTAAACATGCCTCATATTTGGCTCTCTTTCTCCCGAGCCTTTCTTTTTGTTGTTGTTGTTAACTGAAGTATAACTTCAATAAAGTACAACCAGCTTAACAGTAAGGTTCAATGAATTTTAACATATGCATAACCACAACCTAGATCAAGATATAGAATCTCCTTTCACCAGAAAAGTCTCCTTTGTGTCCCTTCTTTGCTAATATACCCTCCCTCAAAGGTAATCATTACTTTAACTTCTAGCACCATAGATGAATTTTGGTCCTAATGCTCTTTCTTAAATATTTTTTCAGGATAAAGTGCCCCAGAGTTCAGAGCACTGAAATCTGCTCCCTTTGACTTATTTTCATACGAAGTTAAAAGAGAAGGCCCAATGGTGACAAAGAGAGATGGAACAGAGGAAGCTACAGGTGCTGGTGACTATCGTCATTTAGGGCTGTGGCTCTAACTGGGAGCTGTCTTGTTCCTCAAGAAGTATGTGGCAATTTCTAGAGACATTTTTGGTTGTCACAACTTGGGGAGAGGCTGGAGAGTACTACTATCATCTAGTGAGTAGAAACCAGGATGCTGCTCAATATCACCTCTAACAATTATTTAGTCCCAAGTATCAATAGTGTCAACGTTGAGAAATCCTGATTAAGAAGATGGCTGCCTTTAAACAGGGGCTGACTTAAGATCCTTTTCTATTACTTTTGAGCCTCTTTATGAAATTAGATGTAAAAAGTGGGCAGGTGGTGTGTAGTCCAAGAATAGGATTCTCAGTGCATCTTCATCAATGATAGTTACTAAAAATTTCATCCAAAGTTTGACTGGCGGTCTTTCCATTAGTTTTCTCCTCTATTACCAGTTTGGGTCTCTTCTGTGCACGCTGGGAGAAAGGGTATCACATACTGTTAGCCTGCTATCATAATTACCCATAAGTCCTTATGTGTAACTTTCATATTAAAAATGCAATGAAAATCAACATTATTATTTTAAATGAAATGCTTTTGTGACTATGAAATAGTGAGTAATTTTACCTGATGAGAATTCTAGGGGAGAAGAGGAAATTGAACAAACTGTATTCTTGACTGTCAACCTTAGCTTTTTATAAGAAAAGGCTGTGAGGAAGTTTCTTTTTTAATAGTATTTTATTGATCAGGTTCCCAGGGAAATTTGCTAGCACTGCAATGTAGGTCAGATGCACAATTTATAAGTAACCACTGATGCTTTTT
Organism: Homo sapiens; assembly: GCF_000001405.40. NCBI lineage: Eukaryota > Metazoa > Chordata > Mammalia > Primates > Hominidae > Homo > Homo sapiens. The sequence goes on from NC_000003.12 coordinate 23,007,083, forward strand.
CCCTCTAAAATAACAAATGCTGCAATCAAGGGCAATGCATTCTAATTCCCCCTCCTGGATTTTAATAGCATCTCTCGAGTCTCATTTTCAATAAGGTATAAATTGTACAAGTAGATGAGAAGCACAGTTAGAAAGACAACCCTCATGGAACCAATGACGGTTTTGTTTTATGTCCATTTAGTTTAATCAGACAACACAATTTTTACAGGAAAACATTCATATTCTTTTCCACTCACCCCACAGCAAACTATATCTCAGCAAATTATATCACAGCAAAGTATATCTCCTTTATCAGTCATTATTATGAAGTCAGGTATTTCATGTAAGTAAACTTTCCAGGTAAATGAAACTTACCCTTTTAAGGAGGAAAAATGTTACTCTTTTTTTTTAAGCATGAAATTTTCTCCTCCCTCTGCCAGTAAAATTTCTATTCATACTTTAAGACTCCTTCTCTTCCTTCATAAGAAGTTTCCGTTATCGATCTAATCAGAAAGAATCTCTTCCTACTAGAATTCCTGCTGTATTTTAATCATGTTTCCATTGCACCTATATCAAGGATCACTTCAAGAATGTGTAAAGAAAATAAATGAGTTTGTGCCCTTAGAGAGAGAAACTATCAAACCAACACATGATGGGCAAAAAATGGAGACAGAGAAAGACATTTTAAAAAGGATGAAATGAGTCAACATATTTAAAGCACTTGGAACTCTGCCTGGCATATCATAAGCCCTAAATAAACATTACTGTAACTATTGATTTTATTATTGGAATTAAATAACGTGGATTGCTTCTAGAGAATAATGCTTGATTATAGTGGAAAATAATATGCCTATCAGATGGAGGATTTTCCATCACTGAAAATCCAGAAAAGAGAGAACGCTAGAGGAATATATTGGATGGATCCATCCCAACAGTGTCCAAGAGGAGTACATGAAAAGTGGACTGCCATGTGGATATTTAAAAAAATAATAAAATAAAATAAAACTAGATTTGCTGGCATTCAAATATTAAATTAGCTTTTGGTGTGTATACATGGACAGAAGGCGAGACTGGATGGGCATGTCTGGACCCACGGGCATGTTTTATCTCCTGTACATTCATAAATTGGTTTTGTACTTTGGGCTCTGTGAGTTTATCTGTTCCCAAAAAGTGAATCCACTCAGTGTAGTGTAGTTGTATTTATTAGCTTGCTCATTTTGCTGGAAAGAAATTTATCATGACATCCCAGGAATAAGATAATACCTCTCCTCTTTGCCAAACACTAAAAGATATTACTTCTACAAGTTTAGCTGCTTTTAAGGTATTATGTTTATTGCCTTATATTACAACATTCTATTATAAACTCCATTGAGAGCAATAATCATTCATTCTTTCCATCTCCCATGGTTTTTAATATATGAAGAGTTAATGGATATTCTTAGTAAGCATGCTGATTGGGGAAAATATTTGTAGAAAGATTAGGCAGTATTTATCAAGATTTAACATGTGCATACACTTTGACCAATTCCATGTCTCAAAATCTACTTAGAGAAAAACTTGTAAGTGTATGCAAGTAGATGTGTATAACAATGTGATTTAGCATTGTTTATAATCACAAAAATTTGTAACCATCTATGTGTCCATCAGTAAAATAAACAAACAATAATATATCCATTCTATGGTATGTTAATTTGCAATTTAAAAGAATAAGAGAATTCTAATGTCCTAGCATGGAAATATGTCTAACTATATTGTTAGGAGTAGGGGGGAACATAATACACACACACACACACACACACACACACACACACCAAAATATAGATTGTATGAGATTATTCACGTAGACAGAAAAATTATGAAAAAAATCAAGGTATCATATATCTTCTCTGGGTGAGTACATGTACACATAGGTACATGCTTAGAAAAGTTTGGAGACATACACTCCACATTGATAACTGGATAGCCCTATTGCAGGGAAGAGGTATATCTGAATTTGGGATCGTAGATTTATTTGTAATGTTTTAACTTTTTAACAACAAGAATGTATTCATGTATTAATCATACATTATAGTTGAGTTTTCTAAAGGAAAATTACAAATATTCAATGGCACAAGAAGATTTAAATAAATGGAGAGACATCATAGACCTAGATTAAAAAAAAAAAAAAAAACCTCAATCTGGCAAGATGTCAATGCCACCCGAATTAATTTGTAAAGTTAAAGTAATCAAAATCCTAGCTCATTTTTGAAAATTCACAAAATACTCATATGAGGAAACAGTTAAAATTGTTTTAAACAAGTAAACCATAAGAGTAACAGTATTGTCACAAATTAAAATGTATTATAAAACAGAATGTTTACAGTGTGATTAAAAAAACAAAAACATAAAAACATTTTAAAAATCAAAAAATAAAGGGCAAAAATACTCTATTAGGAAAGAAAAATCCTGGTATATATTAAAGAATTGTATTTACATGAAAGAGATTTTTTTAAAATAAATTTTACTTTAATGATTAAGTTCAAGTAAATGTTATAATTCAAATCAAAAGAAGCTACGCACTGTAGTGTACCTGTAATCCCAGCACTTTGGGATTCTGAGGCAGGCAGATCACTTGGGCTCAGGAGTTCAAGACCAGCCTGGGCAGCATGGCGAAACCCCATCTCTACGAAAAATACAAAAATAAACTGGGTGTGGTGGAATGCGCCTGTAGCCCCAGCTATTCGAGAGGCTGAGGTGGGAGGATCTCTTGAGCCCAGGAGGTCAAGGCTGCAGTGAGCCGAGATCGTGCCACTGCACTCCAGCCTGGGCAACAGAGGGAGACTCTGTCTCAAAATAAAATAAAATAAGAAGATAAAATTAATGTTTTTTTTAAGCTGGATACCTGTTTTTTACTTTTTATTGTAGTTTAGCATGTATTTAGAAGATTTATAGATCATTAAGTACATAGCTTGAAAAAAAATACTACAAAGTGAAGAAATCCAGATTAAGGAACAGAACATTACCAACACTCAGAGACTCCCCTCTTGCCCACTTGCAATCACTATGCTCTTTACTCACCCAAATTAGCCACTATCCTAACTTCTAACACCACAACTTAATTTTGTCCTTTTTGAACTTTATAAAAATAGGGATCATAGCTTTCACTTTATGTCTTATTCTTTTAGCGTATGTCTTTGAGATTCATTCATGTTGTTACCTGAATCATACGGTTCATTTTCCATTGCTGTGTAGTATTCCACTGCATACATATACTACCTTCTATAGACTGAATGTCTGTGCCTCCCAAAATGTATATGTTGAAACCCTAACCCTCAAGGTGGTCGTATTAGAAGGTGGTACCTTTGGGAGATGATTAGGTCATGAGGGTGGAACCCTGATAAATGGAATCGTCAAAATATATAAGAGATTTCGGAGACCTTCCTTGCTCCTTCAGCCATGTAGGGATGTACTGGGAAGAAGTCTAGGAACCAGGAAATGGGCCCTCCCTAGACACCGAATCCATTAGCAACTTGATCTTGGACTTCTCAGTCTCCAAAACAGAGAAGTAAACGTTTGTTGTTAAAGTCACACAATCTAGGTATTTTTGTTATAGTAGCTAAAACTAAGACACAACATCATTCATCCATTTGCCGTGCATTGTTCATGCATCCCTCTTATTCATGGGTTTACCACCAACTGTTGCCAGATCTGCCTATTAAAATATGATAGAGAAATAGACAGTCTTGAACACTGGTGGTAGGTGGTTTGACCACTTTGGAAAATGGTTTGGCCTTATCTATCAAAGCTGAACACAGCATTCCTTGTGATCCAGCAATTTTGCTCCAGGTATATACCCAAAAGAAATGCATGCACTTGCTTACCAAAATGAAGCTACAAAAGCATTCATAACAACATCACTTCTGTTTTGTTTTTATTACGTGAACATGGCAATTACTATAACTGTCATATGAGTTTGAGATAAGTGGGATAATGGATATATTTATATTTAGAAACACTGATGGAGAATCTGTGAAACAAAATTCTTTACATGCTATGTGATTTAGCTAAATAAAATCATGACTAGAAATGAACCTAAATATTTAAACTTCAGCCCACTGAAAATAATACTGTGTACAGGACTACTGTCTCCCAACCTTACTATTGTGCTGTTTTATTAAAAGAGCTACACGCCAACCAGCTCATAGTCTTTGCATAGCCCTTGGACCTAAGATTTTATTTCATTATGAGCTTAAGGATTACAGTGAGTTTTCCATTTAATAATTAGCTTCACTAATGATTGAATTGTCATCTTAAATTACTGCTAACTGAACCTGAAATCCCCTTCATTAACTTTAAAAATATAAGGCCACAGCTAAATTGAATTAAAAATGTCAGCAGCTAAAATAACAAAGAAGAAAGATATTCACTCCGTGATTTTCAAACCTCCTATTCCACAGAAGATTATTTTAAAGACAGAGAATTTACTCCATATGTTACATGTGCTGAAACAAAAATTTAGAGAACATCCTTAAAGACACTCTTAATCAAATCACAAATTGAGCACCAAGATAAAGAACCTATGAGCATAGAGAAATTATTTCTCAATATTTAAAACAGTATGGTGTAAAGACATTTCTTACTTAAATAAACTAAAACTTCAAGCATATCACAAAAGCTAGTTTTATAAATTTATAAGTAATAGCAAAATAATTAAAATTACTTGAAGATGGCAACTTATCAAAATAAAATTATGATGTACATTGTTCTGGTTTTAAGACTTTGAAAATTAATGTAAACATACCCCCAAAACCAGCAATTCCACTACTCTAAAAAGAAACCTTCACTCAGGAGAGATTAAAACATATTTTCACACAAAGACTTGTACAAGAATATCTAAAGCAACTTTATTTATAATGGCCAAAAGTAGAAATAATTCATATGTCCATCAGATGATGAATAATAAGCAAAATGTGGTACATCCATACAATGGAGTACGATTCAGCAATAAAAAGCAATGAGGTACTGATACATACTAAAATGTGGAGGAACTTCAAAAACATGCTAACTGAAAGGACCTGGGCATGAACAATCATATACTGTATTAATCCATTTATATAAAATGTCTAGAAAAGGCAAATTTGTAGACAGAAAGTAGCTTAGTGGTTGGCTAGGCTAGAGATGGGAATGGAAAATGACTGCTAATGGTCACAGTTTCTTTTTTCTTTTTTTTGGAGACAGTCTCACTCTGTCGCCCAGGCTGGAGTGCAAGTGGTGTGATCTCAGCTCATTGCAACTTCCAACTCCTGGGTTCCAGCGATTCTCCGGCCTCAGCCTCCTGAGTAGCTGGGACTACAGACGTGTGCCACCACGCCCAGCTAATTTTTGTATTTTTAGTAGAGACAGGGTTTTACCATGTTGGTCAGGTTGGTCTCAAACTCCTGACCTCGTGATCTGCCCATCTCAGCCTCCTAAAGTGCTGGGATTACAGACATGAGCCACCGCACCTGGCACATGGTCACAGTTTCTTACTGGTGTGATGGGAATGTTCTAAAATCAGAATGCGGTGATGGCTGCACAATCCTGTAAATATGCTAAAAGTCATTAAATTAGTCACTTAAACTGAGTCAAATTTACAGTGTGTAAATTATGCCTCAATAAAGTCATTTTTAAAAATAAGATTGAATTCTGAAAATCAGCCAGGATATTGCAGATTAGTTGTAGCTTGGCATCAGTGCACATGGTTTCTTTCTGTTTGTCCTCAAAAATTCTAATGTTGAATTATCTGCATTTCCAGAAATTAGATCTCACTATGCAAAAAAAAAAAAAAAAAATACTAAAATACTAAAACGTGTTTTAAAATGTAAATACATTCCATTAGCTAATCTAACCAGGAATCTGGGAATCATATATAAACTAATATAACTTTAAAAAATATATATCCATGGGAAACAGAATTGTTTATAAGGACTTTTCTTAATTTACCTTCTTCTACGCCCTCACAAAGTTCCTTATCCATCCAGGATCCAGAGAAATTTTTTTAAGCCTAGAGCAGATTATATCACTACTGTTGGAAGCTGCCAGCAGTGAGAACAATCTATATCTCACTCTCCCACAGTCTGAAAGGTCCTCAATGCTCTCACCTTTGCCTGCCTCTCTGGACCCACTTCACATCATGTTTCTCATCCCTAAATTTAAACACCAGCCACACTGGCCTTGTTGCTGTCCTTCCAAAAACCCCAAGTTTGTTCCAGCCTCGGAGTCTTTGCACTGGCTCTGCCTTAAAAGGCAATGAAGTATAGTGGTTAAGCGTGCAGACTCTGGCTTCATACTGCCTGGCTTTCTGCCTGTGTTTAAATACCAGCTACGACACTTTCGGTGAGTTACTTAATTCCCCTGTGCCTACTTTCCCCATATGTATCATGGTAATAATAACCATATCTACATCATAGGGTTGTTAGAGGATTACATGAACTAATGTTTGAAAAGTGCTTAGGGCCAGGCGCGGTGGCTCACGCCTGTAATCCCAGCACTTTGGGAGGCCGAGGCAGGCGGATCACCTGAGGTCAGGAGTTCGAGACCAGCCTGGCCAACACAGCAAAACCCTGTCTCTACTAAAAATACAAAAATTAGCCAGGCACGGTAGCGCACACCTGTAATCCCAGCTACTCGGGAGGCTGAGGCAGGAGAATCGCTTAAACCCAGGAGGCAGAGGTTGCAGTGAGCTGAGATCGGACCATTGCACTCCAGCCTGGGCAACAAGAGCAAAACTCCATCTCAAAAAAAAAGAAAAAAAGAAAAAAAAAAAAGAAAACTGCTTAGAAGAGCTTTTATATAAAACTTCTTAAAGTATCTGCCTGAAATGATCTTTCCCCACATCTCTTCAGAAAAGGCCTCCTATCATTCCGAACTCAGTTCAAATGTCCTCACCTTAAGCCCCTCATTAACTAATTCTTAACTCCATGTATTCAATACATAGTTATTAAATGCTTGTTTTGTGCCAGGCACTGTTTTCGGTGCTGAGCAAGTATGAAGAAAACAAGTAAAGATTATTGCTCTCATGGAACTGACTCTCCAGTGCGGTAAGACAGAAGATAAACAATAGTCATACAAATATATCATGTCAGAAGCAATCTGTGCTGGAGAATACAGGAAATGGAGAGCAGAGTGAGTGGGGTGGGGAGTGCAGGAGAGGGGCTGAGAAGGACTAGTCTGCATCATTGCATGGGGTGGCCAGGGACACTGAGAAGTGGCATCTAAGCAAAGAGTTGAAGGAGGCAAAGGAGTTAGTCAGAGGTGATGGTCAGGAATAGTGTTCCATGCATTGATAACGGCCAGAGCAGAGGCCCTGAAGCCAGGCCCGGGAGGCTGGAGTGTGCCCGGCCTGTTTGAGGGCCTCAAGGGGCCATTGGGCTGCAGTGAAGGGACAGAGAAGGAGAAAAGGTTAGTCCTAAAAAAGGGGAGCTGTGCTCAGAGAGGTATGAAGGGCATCGGGTAGATTATACAAGGCGTCCAGGGCCATTTAAACTCTTTGCCTTCTTATCACGGTGATATAGTGGGGGGTGGCAGATAGACACTAAGAGGACACCCAGTTATCCCCACTGACCCACTGAAATTGTGAGATAAAAAAACGTGTGTTGTTTTAAGCCACTACTTGTAGTAATTTATTACCCAGCAAAAGATAATGAAGAGGGAGACAAAAAGGTTTTGAGCAAAGGAGTGAAGTGATCTGATTTGTTTTATAGGGAGTGCTCTGGAAGTGGCATGGAGAATAAGCTAAAAGAGAGCAAGCACTGAATCAAGGAGTCCAGGCAGGAAACCATTGCAATAATCCAGGCAAGAGATGATGGTGACTTAGACTTGGACTAGGATGTGGGATCATGAGAAGCAGTCATATTTTCTCTTTCTCATAGAACTTCTGCCTAAAACCTGCATACATTTTAACTCATTTGCTATAACTTCTTTCATTCCTCAACCCATCCCTGAAAGAACCAAAGTCCTATGAGCATAGACACCTTGTCCATCTTTTGCATAATTTTAAGCACTGCAACTAACACACAGAGTGGGTGCTAAATAAAAGTTTGTAGAATAAGTGAATGGAAGAGTGAATTTGTGAATGAATGAATGAGTAAATGGGTAAATGAATATGAGTTCAAATTCACTTTTATCCTTTGTGCAGTACACATATGATTTTTAACTTAGGATAAATGAAATATTTCAAATTAATGAAACAGCTATTTTTATAGCTGTTACTGGAAGAGCTAACAATTTGAAACAAAAATTAAATTCAATACTTTATATACTTCAAAAGATGGCAGATAGCTTAAAGAGTTTAATATTTAAAAATAAATCCTAAAAGAACAAAAAGAAAATATAACAATTATTTTAATATGGAAAAGGACTCTCCAAAGGCAGAAACTACTTTAAAAAGATTGATAGGTTTGATAACACAAAAATTCTTAACTTCTGTGCAGGAAAATCATTATAAACAAAAGTTAAAACCTAACAAACATACAAAAAAAGTAACTATATATGGACAATGGAATAATACCCTTCATGCATAAAGGACATTTACAAATAAATAAAGGAAAAATCCTCCATAGAAAAATTTGACTAAAGTATAGAAGAATTTATAAGAAGGACATATAAATGTTCAAAAAACATAAGAAGGGTCCAACCTTACAAGAAATTAAATATATGTAAATTAAAGCCCAATAAATTAATACTTTTCTCCTATCAAATAGACATTGATTTCTTTTAATGTTAATACAGATGTTGGCCAAGTCACTGGTTAATGAACATTATTATTCATTTTGGCTCACATTAGTATTAATTGATAAATTTCAAGGGGTGATTCAGTAGTATGCAGCAAGTACCTTTAAAATGTCCATAACCATTGGCCACCTGATTTTACTTATTTTAAAGAAATTATCCCAGATGCACATACAAAGACGCATGTGTATACAATGGAATACAAGACAGACGTAAAAATGTTATCATTGTAGGACAGATAGTAATTATATTGAAAAATGTACTCCATACAGTATATTGTTAAATGGAAAAAAGTTATAAAGCAGATTATACAGAGTTGTTTCCATTTTTAGAATATACATATATAATTATTATTGTGTGGTTATACAAATATATACAGGTGATAAAAATGACATAAAACTATATATACTCATTGTACCAATGTCAATTTCCTGGCTTCTGATGACATAGAACTATATACACTCATTGTACCAATGTTAATTTCCTGGCTTCTGACATTGTACTTTAGTTATATAAAACAGAACCATTGGGTATGACTGGGTGAAATGTGTAAGATTTGACTAATTTTTATTTTCATCACATGTTTATACTTTTGTTCAATGAACAAATATTTTCATAAGAAAATATTATTGAATAATGTAAAAACCTAAAGATGTCCCAATAATTAAAATCTTTTTGAATATATATTTATGTGTGTGTGTGTATTATAGATGTAAGATATACATATGAGGAAAGATGGATGGATGAATGGATGGATGGATGGATGGATGGATGGATGGATGGATAGATGACAGAGCCATTATGAAACTTATCATATATTAAAATGACATCACAAAAATGCTTCTGATAATACAAGTTGGATATGTAAGGAACAGACAGAGCTTTCATATTAATCAGTGGTAAGCTACTGTATCTTTAAATTGAGTTAATAATCAGTTCTTTACATTAAATCACATTTTTATAATTGTATATGTATTTTATTGTGATCAATTACAAACATAGACATCAACATCAACAAATATAAAACAGCCTTGTTTTTTCTTCTCTCCTGTCCCCATCACTGAAATGTCCTTCAGCTCTTCCCTTTTCCTTGCCTTCAAGAATTACGATGGAAACAGTTTGAAATGGAAAAAAAACTGCAATTTGAATTTGATTTATTCTATTTAGCATCTGTGGTCAGGGGCAAATCTTTTATCCTCTCTGAGTCTCGGTTAACTCTTCTGTAAATGGAAATATTAATTAAGCCACTTACAGAGTAGTTGGGAGCATTAACTGAGAAGACATGTGCAAAGTAACAAATACTGGTAGGTTCTTCACACATGTGAGATTCCTCTTTTTTCTTTCTCCATTTACTTCCTATTCCTTGACCTCTCCTATTGCCAACATTTTGAAATTCTTATTTTCTGAGAAAACACAAGGATTTTTTTAAATTTGTGCAGACTGGGACACTAATTTTCTCAGCAAGATCACATTTTAAGAACTAAGCATCACTAAGGGCTTTTTTCTTTTATGGGGATGAGAGGGTATGGAGGAGAACAGAGACTAATATTTTTTTGGCACCACTCACAGCCCAGTGCCGTATGGAGCACAGCCTCTCCCAGTTATAACAGTTGTTGGATATTCAGTTTTACCGAATCCACCAAGAGTACATTTATCTGGAAAAACTCCTGAGAACACTAAAGAAAGCTAAGAGCAATTCTATTCTCGAAGCACTATTTCTTCTCCATGTCATTTTTAATGCTGCTGAATGCCATTATGCAATGATTTTAGTAGAAGTCGGCTTTTCAAAATGGCATATTTTTTCGCCTATCCCCAAGAATTCATCTTATATTTCAAATGGCCTAGTTTCAAGCTGTTATATCAGTCAGGCTAACACATGGTCACAGGCTTAGCAATTTAGGGGTAGGGGAGGGGAGAGGGAGATGAAAGGGCTTGATTTGCCACGATGGTATAGCACAGCCCTTAAATCTTTAGGGTTTCTTCAAGTCCTGGCTTCACCTCCTCTGTTGTTCCACATCCACACATACTCAGCATTTCACATTCAGGTCATCCAGCCCTTATTTCCAGCTCACTATCACAACCCTCAGGGCAGTCCACTGTGGTCTTTCCCATCATTCAAATAAATAACAAAATCGTGTGCTGCAAAAACAGCAATAAGTGAAAAATGCAAACCTGCCTGTCCTGTATGTGACTCATGGCACAGCAAGCTGAAGGATCTTCAGTGTGCTATTCTCATTACATAATAACCCCTCTGGTTCCAAGCTGCAGGAGCCCTTCCAATTTATATCAGTGTCTGGGTTGTTCATCTTTTTTTTTTACCATTCTGGCCTTTAGCCTGTATCTATTCTCTGTTAGCTCTAATCTAAGTAAGGAGAATACATTCTGCAGAGTCAAGCAGGTAGGGCTGATTTTTAAATGTGCACATATTTAGGTAGAATATTCTAATGCTTCATTGTAGTGGGCATTTGTTTTCCATTTTCTGAGCTTGGTTGGCCCCATTCTCCCCGCATCCTTGGAGCTGCCAATACTTCCAGTAGACTCTTTTCCTATAAAATGTGGCCAGTTATTTCCTGTTATTTGCAACCAAGAACCCTGAGTAATATAACCTTCAAGTCATCACAATACATTCTCATAATCTAAGATAAGGGCAATAAAAATATGTGGAGACCTTCAGATAATATGAATATTAATAAAATGTATACTTGAAAGAAAGATGTTTATGAAACACTGCCAGGGAAAACAAGCGCTGTATAAAACAGTATGTATAGTATGATCTTTTTGCAAAAGAAAAAATATAGATATATATCTACATGTCAAGAAAACTGAAAGGATACTATCAAAATGTTAATAGGGTGGGTAATCTTCATGAGAAGAACTCGCCTGTGATTTTTATTTAATTCTTTTTGCTTCTCCATGCTTTCTATAGTTTCTACCATGAACACATATTCCTTTTGCAATATGAAACAAATAATAAATGTTATTTTAAGGAATGCATTATATGTTGAATTCCTAACACCCAATGTGACAATATTAGGAGGCAGAGACTTTGGAAGGTATTTAGGTAATGAGGATGGAGCCCTCATGAATGGGATTAGTGCCCTTACTCTAAGAGGTCAGAGAGCTACTTAGCTGCCTTTCTACCAGGTGAAGATACAATGAGAAGTTGGCAGTCTGTGGCCCAGAAGACAGCTTTCATCAGAACCTGATCATGCTAGCACCCTGATATCAGACATCAAGGCCTCCAGAATCAGGAGAAATAAATTCCTGTTGTTTGTAAGCCACCCAGTCTATGGTACTTTGTTATAGAAGCCTAAGCTGACTAAGACATTTAGCAATATTGCAATTTCAGACAAATTTCCGCCTTTTTTAAATAAATAAAATAAAAGCAGAAATTTTTTAGGAAGTTTCAAAGCTCACTAGTTAAAGGCTGTGCCATTACAGTCCTGATAATTTACTCACCTCACATCAATTCCTCTCCTGCTAGGATAATTCTGTAGAAACATTTGTCTGTGTTTTTTTTTTCTTTTTATTAATTATTCAGCATTGTGTCTGGTTTTGCTTCAAAGGTCGGAGGCAAAATTTTCAAGTGCTCTTAGAATTTACTTATTTTCCTTCAAGAGTGTTTAGAATAAAATATCCAGAGTTATATAATCTGTTAAACATTAATTGGTCATGCAAAATTTTACATCTCTTGATTGTACCATTTCTAGAGTTCAGTCCTTGCTCTCTCCTTGTACATCATTGGTTTTCAAACGTATTGGTCTTGGGATCTCTTTATACTTATAAAAATTGCATAGAGGTTTGGGGGAGAAATGGCAGATAAGAAGTAGAACTAACTTGCAGCTCCCACTCAGACAAACAGAAAAGCATGTGGAGACTCACATCATAAATTTTTGCTCCATGAACCACCACAGGAACATACCAGGAAAATGGAAAGAATTCACAGACCCTTTGAAAGAAGCAGCTTGCCACTGCAAACTCCATGAGACAGCTGAAAAACTGTGAATGCCCAAAGTGTGAGAAGGGGAAAGTCCACCTCCAAACACACATCCTCACCGGGGAACCTGAAAATCCAGATTTTAGATCCAGATTGAGAGAGTGCAGCAAAATATAAAAGTAGAAGAAGCAGGGGAAAGAGCCCTGTAGGCACTCCCAGTCCCCAAGGAGGCCATTTCTGACTTTGTCTCACAGGGGTTTTTGGGGAGGGCAGCCAATAAAATTGGGGAAGGGCCACAGGGAGACGTCCAGCTGAACTTTGCAATAATTTTGACTTAGCGTGAAATTTCCTGGGCAGAATCCAGGGGGTGAGTGGGAAGCGCAGATAAGAGCACAGAAGCCACAGCAGGCAGGGAGGGGTGAAGCTTGCAAGCCCTGCTTGCTTTCTCAGCAGGGAAGCTTATAGCCTGGGGCAAGATCTGATCCCTGCACACTGGAGGCCTGGATATGAATTCAGCTCTGTTGGCTGTTGGGGGAGCACAATGGGGGTTGGACTGGCCTTGCTGGGTACCTGGGAGCTGAGTGGGAACTGTCACTGCTGGCTTTCCCCCATTTCCCTAGCAACCTGTACAAAGCACCAGAGGAAGCCATAATCCCCCTTGGAACATAACTTCATTGGCCTGAGAACCACCCAATCCACCCCCACAGTGGATGCAGCAAACCCCACCCAAGGAGAGTCTGAGCTCAGACATGCCTAACACCACCTTCACCTGATGGTCTTTCTCTACCTGCCTGGTAGCCAAAGACAAAAGACATAAACTCGTGGGAGCTCTGCACCCCCACCCATTATCTGAGAAACCTGAATACTTATCCAGGTGACTTTAGAGCAAGCTTGTATCCTCCCCTACCCCCATACTACCGTAACTGACGCTTTCTTGAAAGCACCACCTTCTGGCTGGAGGCCAGTCAACTCAAGCCATTACAGCAACTCATAACAGAACAACCCTGCTCCAAGAAAGGAGAAAACAACAGCTAATTCCACCACCTGCAACATCCTCACTGACCAGAGCTCCTGAGTCTGCCCACATGACAACTTCACTGCTAGCAAAACCAGCATTCGGGAAAACCCTGCCACCTCTGCCACAGCAGATGCTGATATCCACGGCTGAGAGCTCAGAAGATAGATCACACCCAGGACTCTTTGCCGGCACTCCCCGGTACCAGCCAGAAGCCCAGTAGCTCTGCTGGGTGGCTAGACCCAGAAAAGCAACAACAATCACTGCAGTCTGGCTCTCAAGAAGCCCCATTTCTAAGAGAAGGCGGGGAGCACTACATCAAGGGATCCCCCCACGGGACAAAAGAATCTGAAAAGAAGCCCTCGTGTTCCAGATATTTTCTCTGATATAGTCTACCCAAATGAGAAGGAACCAGAAAAACAATTCTGGTAATATGACAAAACAATGTAACACCCCCAAAAGATCACATGAGCTCATGAGCAATGGATCCAAACCAAGATGAAATCTCTGAATTGCTAAATACAGAATTCAGAGGTCGATTATTAAGCTACTCAAAGAGGTACCAGAGAAAGGTGAAAACCAACTTAAAGAAATTTAAAAGATAATACAAGATATGGAAGAAAATAAATCTCCAGATAGATATCATAAATAAAAATAATCACAACTTCTGGAAATGAAAGACACACTGTATTAGTCTGTTTTCATGCTGCTGATAAAGACATACCCAAGACTGGGCAATTTACAAAACAAAGAGGTTTAATGGGTTTACAGTTCCATGTGGCTGGAGAGGCCTCACGATCATGGCAGAAGATGAAGGGTATGTCTCACATGGCTGCAGGTAAGAGAAGAGTTCGTGCAGGGAAACTCCCATTTTTAAAACCATCAGATCTCATGAGATTGATTTACTATCACAAGAACAGCGGAGGAAAGACCAGCCCCCATAATTCCATCACCTCCCACCAGGTTCCTCCCATGACACGTGGGAGTTGAGGGAATTATAATTCAAGATGATATTTGGATGGGGACAGAGCCAAACCATATCACGCACTTAGAGAAATGCAAAATGCACTGGAAAGTATTAACAGCATATTGGGATTACGTTAAATGCCAAACCTAAGAATAATTGGTGTTCCTGAGGAAGAAGAGAAATCTAAAAGTCTGGAAGACTTATTTGAGGGAATAATCGAGGAAAACTTCCCCAACCTTGCTAGAGATCCAGATATCCAAATACAAGAAGCTCAAAGAACACCCAAGAAATTCATCACAAAAAAAATCATCTCCCAGGCACATAGTTATCAGGTTACCTAAAGTCAAGACAAAAGAAAGAATCTTAAGAGCTGTGAAGCAAAAGCATCAGGTAACCTATAAAGGAAAACCTACCAGATTAACAGCAGATTTCTCAGCAGAAACCCTGCAAGCTAGAGGTGATTAGGGTCCTATCTTCAGCCTCTTTAAACAAAATAATTATCAACCAAAAATTGTGTATCCAAGGAAACTAAGCTTCATAAATGAAGGAAAGATAAAGTTTTTTTCAGACAAACAAATGCTAAGAGAATTCACCACTACAAAGCCAGCACTACAGGAATTACTACAAAGAGTTCTAAATTCTGAAACAAAACCTGGAAAAACACCAAAACGGACCTCCTTAAAGCATCAATCTCACAGGGCCTATAAAACAATAATACAATGAAAAAAACAAGGTATTCAGGCAACAACTAGCACAATGAATAGAATAGTACCTCACATCTCAATACTGATTTTGAATGCAAATGACCAAAATACTCCAATTAAAAGATACAGAATGGCAGAATGAATAAGAGTTCACCAACCAAGTAATCTGCTTTCTTCAAGAGACTCAACCTAACACAGAAGAACTCATGCAAACTTAAGGTAAAGGGGTGAAAAAAAAGATATCCCATACAAATGGCCACCAAAAGCAAGAAGGAGTAGGCTTTCTTATATCAAATAAAACAGACTTTAAAGCAACAACAGTTAAAAAAGACAAAGAGGGACATTACATAATGATAAAAGCACTAGTCCAACAGGAAAATATCACAATCCTGAATATATATGCACATAACACTGGAGCACCCAAATTTATAAAACAATTACTACTAGACTTAAAAAATGAGAGAGATGGCAACACAGTAATAGTGGGGGACTTCAGTACTCCAGTGACAGCACTAAACAGGTCATCAAGACAGAAAGTCAACAAAGAAACAATGGACTTAAGAAGCTATACCCTAGAACAAATAGACTTAACAGATATTTACAGAACATTCTACCCAATAACTGCAGAATATACATTTTATTCATCAGCTTATGGAACATTCTCCAGGATAAACCATATGATAGGCCAGAAAACAAGTCTCAATACATTTAAGAAGACTAAAATTATACCAAGTACTCTCACAGTTCACAGTGAAATAAAATTGGAAATCAACTCCAAAAGGGACACTCAAAACCATGCAAATACATGGAAATTAAATAATCTGCTCTGGAATGATCTCTGGATCAACAATAAAATCAAGAGGGAAATTTTTGTTTTTTGAATTGAATGATAATAGTGACATAGCCTATCAAAAGCTCTGGGATACAGCAAAAGTGGTAGTAAGAGGAAAGTTCATAGCAATGAATGCCTACATCAAAAAGTCTGAAAGAATACAAATAGACAATCTAAGGTCACACCTCCAGGCCTTTGAGAATCAAGAACCACACCCAAACCCAGCAGAAGAAAAGAAATAACAAAGATCAGAGCAGAACCAAACGAAATTGAAACAAAAACCCCAAAAGATGACCGATACAAGCAGTTGGTTCTTTGAAAAGATAAAATTGATAGACCATTAGCAAGATTAACCAAGAAAAGAAGATCCAAAAAGCTCAATTAAAAACAAAATGGGAGATATTACAACTGACACCACAGAAATACAAAAGATCATTCAAGACTACTATGAACACCTTTATGCTCATAAACTAGAAAACCTAGAGGAAATGGATAAATTCCTGAAAATATGCAGCCTTCCTAGCTTAAATCAGGAAGAAGTAAAAACCCTGAAGAAATCAATAACAAGCAGCAAGATTGAAATGGTAGTAAAAAAAAATTACCAACAAAAAAAAGTCCAAGATCAGATAGATTCTCAGCTGAATTTTATCAGACATTCAAAGAATTGGTACCAAACCTACTGAAATGATTCCAAAGATAGAGAAAGAGGGAATCCTCCCTAAATAATTATATGAAGCCAGTATCACCCTAATACCAAAACCAGGAGAGGACATTAAAAAAAAAAGAAAACTACACACCAATATCCCTGATGAAGATAGATGCAAAAATCCTCAACAAAATACTAGCTGACCAAACCTAACAGCATATCAAAAAAAAATCCACCACGATTAAAGTGGGCTTCATACCAGGGATATAGGGATGGTTTAACATACACAAATCTATAAATGGGATACACCACATAAGCAGAATTTAAAACAAAAATCACACGATCATCTCAATAATTGCAGAAAAACCATTTGATAAAATCCAGCACCCATTTATGGTTAAAATCCTCAGCAAAATCAGCATAGAAGGGACATACCTCAATGTAATAAAAGCCATCTATGACAAACCCACAGCCAATATTATAATGAATAGGGAAAAGTTGAAAGCATTCCCCCTGAGAAGTGGAATAAGACAATGATGCCCACTTTCACCACTTCTATTCAACATAGTACTAGAAGTCCTAGCCAGAGCAATCAGACAAGAGAAAGAAATGAAGGGCATCCACATTGGTAAACAGGAAGTCAAACTGTCGCTGTTCACCAGTGATATGATCATATATGTAGAAAACCCTAAAAACTCATCCAAAAAGCTCCTAGATCTAATAAATGAATTCAGTAAAGTCTCAGGATATAAAATCAATGTAGACAAATCAGTAGCACTGTTATACACCAACAGTGACCAAGCTGAGAATCAAATCAAGAACTCAAACTCTTTTACAATAGCTGCAAAAAAATAAATACTTTGCAATATACCTAACCAATGAGGTGAAAGACCTCTATAAGGAAAACTACAAAACACTGTTGAAAGAAATAATAGATAACACAAACAAATAACAGACAACACCCATACTCATGGATGGGTAGAATCAATATTGTGAAAATGACCCCACTGCCAGAAGCAATCTATAAATTCAGTGCAATTCCCATCAAAATACCATCATCATTCTTCACAGAACTAGAAAAAACAATCCTAAAATTAATGTGGAGCCAAAAGAGAGCCCACATAGCCAAAGCAAGACTAAGTAAAAAGAACAAATCTGGAGGCATCACATTACCTGACTCAAACTATACTACAAGGCTATGGTCACCAAAACATCACGGTACTGGTATAAAAATAGGCACATAGATCAATGGAATAGAACAGAGAACCCAGAAATAAAGTCAAATAGTTACAGCCAACTGATCTTTGACATAGCAAACAAAAACATAAAGTAAAGAAAGGATATTCTATTCAACAAATGGTTCTGGGATAATTGGCAAGCCACGTGTTCAAGAATAAAACTGGATCCTCATCTCTCACCTCATACAAAAATCAACTCCAGATGAATCAAACACTTAAATCTAGGACCTAAAACTATAAAAATTCTAGAAGATAACATTGGAAAAACTCTTCTGAACATTGACTTAGGCAAAAACTTCATGACTAAGAACCCAAACACAAATGCAACAAAAACAAAAAATAAATAAATAGGACCTAAGTAAACTAAAAACCTTCTGCACAGCAAAAGAAATGATCAGCAGAGTAAACAGACAACACACAGAGTGGGAGAAAATATTCACAAACTATGCATTTGACAAAGGGCTAATCTCTAGAATCTACAAGGAACTCAAACAAATCAGCAAGATAAAGAAACAAACAATCTCCCGAAAAATAGACAATTCTCAAAAGAAGATATACAAATGGCCAAGAAACGTATGAAAAAAGGTTCAACATCACTAAAAATCAGGGAAATGCAAATCAAAACCACAGTGCCATACCACCTTACTCCTGCAAGAATGGCCATAATCAATAAATCAAAAAATAATAGATGTTGGCGTGGAATTGCTGAAAAGGGAACACTTTTACACTGCTGGTGGGAATGTAAACTAGTACAACTACTATGGAAAACAGTGTGGAGATTCCTTAAAGAACTAAAAGTAGATCTACTGTTTGATCCACCAATCCCACTACTAGGTATCTACCCAGAGGAAAAAAGTCGTTATATGAAAAAGACACTTGCACACGCATGTTTATAGCAGCACAATTTGCAATCGCAAAAAATATGGAACCAGCCCAAATGCCCATCAATTAATAAGTGGATAAAGAAAATATGGTGTGTGAGAATATGTATATATAATATATATCAATTTTATGTATATAATGGATATATATATGATTTATATTCATGAATATTCTTTTCATAATCTTCTCCTGGCTGTATATAGTATATATATATATATCCATGACATATATACTATATATATGATATTTAAAGAAAATATGGCGTGTGTATATATATATAAATCTTCATTTTATATATATATATATACACACACATATATATATGTATGTATACTACTGAGCCATAAAAAAAATGAAATAATAGCATTCACAGAAACCTGGATGGAGTTGGAGACCATTATTCTAAGAGAAGTAACTTAGGAATGGAAAACAAAACATCATGTGTTCTTACTTATAAGTGGGAGCTAAGCTATGAGGACACAAAGGCATAAGAATGATAAAATGGACTTTGGGTAATCAGGGGTAGAGTGGGAGGGGAGTTGAGGCATAAAAGACAACACACTGGGTATAGTGTACACTGCTTGGGTGATGGGTGCACCTAAATCACCACTAAATAACTTATCCACATAACCAAACACCGCCTGTTCCCCAAAAACTATTTAAATTAAAAAATAATTATCAAGAATCCAAAAGAGCTTTTGGTTTACATGAGTGATATTTATCAATATTTGACTGTATTTAAAATTAAAACAGATAATTTTAAAACACTTTTTTATTAACTTGTTTATAAATTTCAGTAACAAATTCATTATATGTTATCAAAATAGCATATTGCATGAAAAATATATTTTTCCAAAACAAAATTAGTGAAAGAGTAGCATTGCTTTACATTTTTGCAAATCTCTTTCATGTTTTCCTCAATAGATGACAGCTGCATTGTCCTATTCTGCTTCTGTTCTGTTGCAATATCACACATTATTTTGCCTCTAGAAAAGTCCATTGTACACTCATGAGAAAATGAGAGTGAAAAAGGCAAATAACACTTCAGTATCATTATGATGATGGTTTTGATTTCATGGACCCCCTGAAAGGATTACCGGGGGCTTCCTCCCTGGGAATCCCCAGGCTGAGAACCACTGTTCCTACATAAAGCCCCAAGAGGCATAAATGAGTTGATGTCATCTCATGGTTGTGCAGGAACTAAATCAGATATCTAGCACATGGCATTAATGTTTCCTGGGTCAAGGAATACTTTCCTGATGGCTGTTTTTGGCCCTTTAAGCCACAGCAATGGATAGAGATCTTCTTGAACTTTTCATTGAGACACAAGGAGAATTGCTTCACATTCCCAATTTTCAGCTAGAACAGGACTCAGGGTTACAAGAATGGACAACCCCAGTTCTGTCCTATCTCAGAAAGGTAATGTTTGTCCCAAAATAACTGAAAGATCCCAAATATCTCTCAGGAAAGGAACACTCTCCAGCCTCACCATAGACTATCCCAAAGATAGCTCCTGAGGCTGCCTTAACTTTCTTATTAGTCTTCAAAAAAAATTGTGTATTAAGATTCAACTAATAATGACTGTACATCTATCTTGTGTCATACACTGTGCTAACCACCTTACATGCATTTTCTTATTTAATGCAAGGACTCTAACCTTCCTCTATAAAACATTACTATTTGATGGAAACACTTTAGTGACCATTCTTTAATGCAGTAATTGTTTCAACGATCCATCATGCAGTAATTGTTTCAATGATCCATCATGGTCAAACCATCATCTAAGCTGAAAGACTGAAATGACAAAATTAAAAAATTAATATAGAAAGTTAATAAGAAGAAACCCTTATAACTGTCTTCCACTCACACATCCAATCACAGATTAACTGAGACTTTTCCAATCCCTCCAGAAAATGTATTGACTTGATACCAGCAGTATGTTGACTCTCATGACTAGTATGCACACATATGCCCTACTAATCACAGGGATTATACCAGTTGAGTTAAATTTTAAGCAGTCAGTGAAGTTTGTTTCCAAATTATTAATGTCAGTTGCACTTGTTATTATAATTATGTACTTGAATTTTATTGTATTAAAATTATGTAATGTAATTTAATATTCTATTAACTGACTGATGAGATGAAGAAAAAAGGAGAGTTGTTTCTATGAAAGCTCAGCTTTTTCTTTTGGAAAGTTACAATAAAGTCAAGTTTCTAAAAAATACTAGAGTTGAATCACATCTGAGTGTAACAGCTTTTAAAAGACTGGAGAAAAGGTAAAATGCCAGAAGACTTACATTCTTTAATTTCTCTACAGAATGTCTTTAACATCTTGCTCAAGAAATTGAAAATTTTAGATAATTCATAATGGGTGAATTTTATACAAGGAAGACAACACAGTATTTCAATCAACAAACTCACATGGCAAGAAAAGAATTTTGCCTTACAATGAACGATTTACAAATGAATGCTCATTTACATTGCAAATAAAAGTAAAATGTTTAAGGTACTTAATATGTTAAAAATCGTTCCTCTTTTTAACCAACTTTTTGAGCACTTTTTATATGGTCACAACTGTTGAGTCCATGGAAATATTTAAGAAGATGTAACTTTTATTTGGAAGAAGGCATGTTCATAAAACAAACAGAAAATAAACAAGCTACCCCCACCAAGTGCTAGTATTGATTGCAATATTGTAAATTATAGTGTTATTATAAATGCTATAAAAATTCCAAAAACAAACACCAACGGTTCTGCAATAGTCAGGAAGCCTCCATGAAGGAAACGGGGCATAAGCTGAGTCTTGCCAGACTGGTGGGGAGTTGTTCCTTTTTCTGTAAATTGGGACTTTCAAATGATGAAATAAGATGAATTCAATTCAATAAAAATCTGGCATTACTTCGTGGTCACATCTTACCTTCTCATTGCTCTATAATTTCCATCCACCAAAATCTAGCAACTAATAACATACCTTATAGTCGCTGCTTGTTTATTTCCACCTCTCAAATTCCCATCTTACTGTTTTCCCTGTGAAAATTTCCCTTCATTAAATCTTTAATAACTTTTAGTTTGCCAATTCCAAAGGACTCAACCTCTGGCCATTTACAATTTGGACATCTTTTTCCTAGCCTTTATTGCTTTTTTCCCTAATTACAAAAAGATGTTCAAATAGCAGAGTAACTGTTCTAAAGATTTTATGATGCAAGTATTGAAAGAAACAACAAACTTACTCTAGTATATTCCACTTTTAGAAAACTATTCCTGGAATCCACATCACCGAGCCTCTTGAGTTCAAAAAAATTTTAAGTGCTATCAGGAAAGATAGGTAGAAACAAAAATTTCAGTGTTGTCTGTGCATATTCTTTTTATTTCCACACTTTTCATATTCTTCTCCTGGCTGTCAAAGGGTGGCTGTCTCCCTTCTTTCAAATGTCATATTAACTATCACCACCTGACAGAGGATTTGCTCAACCCACCAGCTCATCTAAGTACTGCCTGCCTCCACCATATTATTTGGTGTCACAGCGTACTCATACCCTGCTTATCTCCTTCTGAGCAGTTATCACCATCTAATTATTTTTATTTACCTATTTACTTGTTAAGTGTTTCCATTTTTTCTAGATTTTAAATGCTAGGAGAGCAGGGAGCATATCTGTTTCATTTACAAATACCTACACAGAGTTCTGCCTAGTGCCTAGCATGTAATATACTCAATAAACATTGAGTGAATGAATGATTTTGCAAAGCAGTCACTTTTAACTCTTTGGTGAATGCATTTTGAGAATTTTTCCTAGGAGAGCACATATATATATATTTTTTTCTTTACCAAAAAAAACCATGTTATGCATATTGTTTATCTATGTTGTTCACCTAAAATATCTCATAAACATCTGTCTGTGGCAGAAATTGCTTATCTTCATCCTCATTTGAACGCAGCAGAGGTCTCCAATATACGGAAGCTAACCAATTTTCTCTTTTTGAGCATTCAGAGTGGTTTTTAACTAACTCAGACATAGGTAGCCTCTGTTTTCTGAATGTGAAAGAAATATTGTCATGCTCTCGTAAGTTCCAAAATAACTATAAAAAAAAGAAATATTCATTCTCTTTTAAGACCATTCATTAACTGTAGTAAATTTCTCTTTTTACATTATGTTATCTAAGAACTCTTGTTTCTATCCCTTCCTACTTACCAAAATTATCGTACATTCTATTTTAGTATAGCTCTTCTGTGTGTTACTTCATTTCTCATATTATTTCAACAGTAGAGAAAAAAATAGTCATTTCCCCTATCAAACTGCAAGAATTTTCTACTCAAACTACACCATTTTTACTCAAACAGCAACACATCTTATTAACACTTATTCTATATGCCTCTCTTCCCCCTGTATTTTTTTTTATTATTATACTTTAAGTTCTAGGGCACAAGTGTACAACGTGCAGGTTTGATGCATAGGTATACATGTGCCATGTTGGTTTGCTGCACCCATCAACTCGTCATTCACATTAGGTATTTCTCCTAACGCTATCCCTCCCTCAGGCCCCAACCCTACAACAGGCCCCGGTGTGTGATGTACCCTGCCCTGTGTCCAAGTGTTCTCATCATTCATTTCCCACCTATGAGTGAGAACATGTGGTGTTTGGTTTTCGGTCTTTCTGATAATTTCCTGAGAATGATGGTTTCCAGCTTCACACATGTCCCTACAAAGGACATGAACTCATCCTTTTTAACGGCAGCATAGTATTCCGTGGTGTATATGTACCACATTTGCTTAATCCAGTCTATCATTGATGGACATTTCGGTTGGTTCCAAGTCTGTGCTATTGTGAATAGTGCTGCAATAAACATACGTGTGCATGTGTCTTTATAGTAGAATGATTTATAATCCTTTGGGTATATACCCAATAATGGGATTGCTGGATCAAATGGTATTTCTACTTCTATATCCTTGAGGAATTGCCACACTGTCTGCCACAATGGTTGAACTAATTTATACTCCCAGCAACAGTGTAAAAGCATTCCTATTTCTCCACACCCTCTCCAGCATCTGTTGTTTCCTGACTTTTTAATGTTTGCCATTCTGATTGGCATGAGATGGTATCTCATTGTGGTTTTGATTTGCATTTCTCTGATGGCCAGTGATGATGAGCATTTTTTCATGTGTCTGTTGTCTGCATAAACGTCTGCTTTTGAGAAGTGTCTGTTCATATCCTTTGCCCACTTTTTGATGGGGTTGTTTGTTTTTTTCTTGTAAATTTGTTTCAGTTCTTTGTAGATTCTGAATATTAGCCCTTTGTCAGATGGGTAGATTGCAAAAATTTTCTCCCATTCTGTAGGTTGCCTGTTCACTCTGATGGTAGTTTCTTTTGCCGGGCAGAAGCTCTTTAGTTTAATTAGATCCTATTTGTCTATTTTGGCTGTTGTTGCCATTGCTTTTGGCGTTTTAGTCACAAAGTCCTTGCCCATCCCTATGTCCTGAATGGTATTGCCTAGGTTTTCTTCTAGGGTTTTTATGGTTTTAGGTCTAACATTTAAGTCTTCCGTCCATTTTGAATAAATTTTTGTATAAGGTGTAAGGAAGGGATCCAGTTTCAGCTTTCAACATATGGCTAGTCAGTTTTCCCAGCAACATTTATTAAATAGGGAATCCTTTCCCCATTGCTTATTTCTGTCAGGTTTGTCAAAGATCAGATGGTTGTAGATGTGTGGTGTTATTTCTCAGGGCTCTGATCTGTTCCATTGCTCTATATCTCTGTTTTGGTACCAGTACCATGCTGTTTTGGTTACTGCAGCCTTGTAGTATAGTTTGAAGTCAGGTAGCATGATGCCTCCAGTTTGTTCTTTTTGCTTAGGATTGTCTTGGCTATGTGGGCTCTTTTGTGGTTCCATATGAACTTTAAAGTAGTTTTTTCCAATTCTGTGAAGAAAGTCATTGGTAGATTGATGGGGATGGCATTGAATCTATAAATTACCTTGCACAGTATGGCCATTTTCATGATATTGATTCTTCCTATCCATGAGCAGGGAATGTTCTTCCATTTGTTTGTGTCCTCTTTTATTTCGTTGAGCAGTGGTTTGTAGTTCTCCTTGAAGAGGTCCTTCACATCCCTTGTAAGTTGGATTCCTAGGTATTTTATTCTATTTGTAGCAACTGTAGATGGGAGTTCACTCATGATCTGGCTCTCTGTTTGTTATTGGTATATAGGAATGCTTGTGATTTTTGTACATTGATTTTGTATCCTGGGACTTTGCTGAAGTTGCTTATCAGCTTGAGGAGATTTTGGGCTGAGACAATGGGATTTTCTAAATATATAATCATGTCATCTGCAAACAGGGACAATTTGACTGCCTCTTTTCCTAATTGAATACTCCTTATTTCTTTCTCTTGCCTGATTGCCCTGGCCAGAACTTCCAACACTATGTTGATTAGGAGTGGTGAGAGAGGGCATCCCTGTCTTGTGCCAGTTTGAAAAGTGAATGCTTCCAGTTTTTACACATTCAGTATGATATTGGCTGTGGGTTTGTTATAAATAGCTCTTATTATTTTCAGATACATTCCATCGATACCTAGTTTATTGAGAGTTTTTAGCATGAAGGGCTGTTGAATTTTGTCAAAGGCCTTTTCTGCATCTATTGAGATAATCATGTGGTTTCTGTCATTGGTTCTGTTTATGTGATGGATTATGTTTATTGATTTGTGTATGTTGAACCAGCCTTGCCTCCCAGGGATGAAGCCATCTTGATCGTGGTGGATAAGCTTTTTGATGTGCTGCTGGATTTGGTGTGCCAGTATTTTACTGAGGATTTTCACATCAATGTTCATCAAAGATATCGGTCTAAAATTCTCTTTGTTGTTGTGTCTCTGCCAGGCTTTGGTATCAGGATGATGCTGGCCTCATAAAATGAGTTAGGGATGAGTCCCTCTTTTTCTATTGATTGGAATAATTTCAGAAGGAATGGTACCAGCTCCTTTTTGTGCCTGTGGTAGAATTTGGCTGTGAATCCATCTGTTCCCGGACTTTTTTGGTTGGTAGGCTATCAATTATTGCCTCAATTTCAGAGCCTGTTATTGGTCTATTCAGAGATTCAACTTCTTGCTGGTTTAGTCTTGGGAGGATGTATGAGTCTAGGAATTTATCCATTTCTTCTAGATTTTCTAGTTTGTTTCCATAGAGGTGCTTATAGTATACTCTGATCGTAGTTTGTATTTCTGGGGGATTGGTGGTGATACCTCCTTTATCATTTTTTATTGCATCTCTTTCATTCTTCTCTCTTTTCTTCTTTATTAGTCTTGCTAGCAGTCTATCAATTTTGTTGATCTTTTCAAAAAAACAGCTTCTGGATTTATTGATTTTTTGAAGGGGTTTTGTCTCTACCTCTTTCAGTTCTGCTCTTACTTATTTCTTGTCTTCTGTTGGCTTTTGAATTTGTTTGCTGTTGCTTCTCTAGTTCTTTTAATTGTGATGTTAGGGTGTTGATTTTAGATCTCTCCTGCTTTCTCTTGTGGGCGTTTAGTGCTATAACTTTCCCTCTACACACAGCTTTAAATGTGTCCCAGAGATTCTGGTAGGTTGTGTCTTTCTTCTCATTGGTTTCAAAGAACATCTTTATTTCTGCCTTTATTTTGTTATTTACCCAGCAGTCACTCAAGGGCAGGTTGTTCAGTTTCCATGTAGTTGTGCAGTTTTGAGTGAGTTTCTTAATCCTGAGTTCTGATTTGATTGCACTGTGGTCTGAGAGACAGTTTGTTGTGATTTCTGTTTTTTACATTTGCTGAGGAGTGCTTTACTTCCAACTATATGGTCAGTTTTGGAAGCTGGGTGATGTGGTGCTGAGAAGAATGTATATTCTGTTGATTTGGGGTGGAGAGCTCTGTAGATGTCTATTAGGTCTGCTTGGTGCAGAGCTGAGTTCAAGTCCTGGATATCCTTGTTAAACTTCTGTCTCGTTGATCTGTCTAATATTGACAGCGGGGTGTTAAAGTCTCCCATGATTATAGTGTGAGAGTCTAAGTCTCTTTGTGGGTCTCTAAGGACTTGCTTTATGAATCTGGGTGCTCCTGCCTTGGGTGTATATACATTTAGGACAGTTAGCTCTTCTTGTTGAATTGATCCCTTTACCATTATGTAATGGCCTTCTTTGTCTCTTTTGATGTTTGTTGGTTTAAAGTCTGTTTTATCAGAGACTAGGATTGCAACTCCTGCCCTTTTTTGTTTTCCATTTGCTTGGTAGATCTTCCTCCATCCCTTTACTTTGAGCCTATGTGCGTCTTTGCATGTGAGATGGGTTTCCTGAATACAGCACACTGATGGGTCTTGACTCTTTATACAATTTGCCAGTCTGTGTCTTTTAATTGGAGCATTTAGTCCATTTACATTTAAGGTTAATATTGTTATGTGTGAATTTGATCCTGTCATTATGATGTTAGCTGGTTATTTTGCTCGTTAGTTGATGCAGTTTCTTCCTAGCATTGATGGTCTTTACAATTTGGCATGTTTTTGCAGTGGCTGCTACTGGTTGTTTCTTTCCATATTTAGTGCTTCTTTCAGGAGCTCTTGTAAGGCAAGCCTGGTGGTGACAAAATCTCTCAGCATTTGCTTGTCTGTAAAGGATTTTATTTCTCCTTCACTTATGAAGCTTAGTTTGGCTGGATATGAAATTCTGGGTTGAAAATTCTTTTCTTTAAGAATGTTGAATATTGGCCCCCACTCTCTTCTGGCTTGGTTTCTGCAGACAGATTCACTTTTAGTCTGATGGGTTTCCTTTTGTGGGTAACCCAACCTTTCTCTCTGGCTGCCCTTAAAATTTTTTCCTTCATTTCAACCTTGGTGAATCTGACAATTATATGTCTTGGGGTTGCTCTTCTCGAGGAGTATCTTTGTGGTGTTCTCTGTATTTCCTGAATTCGAATGTTGGCCTGCCTTGCTAGGTTGGGGGAGTTCTCCTGGATAATATCCTGAAGAGTGTTTTCTAACTTGGTTCCATTCACCCCATCATTTTCAGATACATCAATCAAACGTAGATTTGGTCTTTTCCCATAGTCCCATATTTCTTGGAGGCTTTGTTCATTTCTTTTTACTCTTTTTTCTCTAACCTTGTTTTCTCGCTTCATTT
The DNA here is from genome assembly GCF_000001405.40 of Homo sapiens. Classification (NCBI taxonomy): domain Eukaryota; kingdom Metazoa; phylum Chordata; class Mammalia; order Primates; family Hominidae; genus Homo; species Homo sapiens. The sequence continues at coordinate 23,035,143 of NC_000003.12, forward strand.
CATTAATTTGATTTTCGATCACGATACCCTTTCTTCCACTTGATCAAATCGGCTATTGAAGCTTGTGCATGCCTCACAAAGTTCTCATGCCATGGTTTTCAGCTCCATCAGGTCACTGAAGGTCTTCTCTACACTGTTTATTCTAGTTAGCCATTCATCTAACCTTTTTTCAAGGTTTTTAGCTTCCTAGTGATGGGTTTGAACATGCTCCTTTAGCTTGGAGAAGTCTGTTATTACCCACCTTCTGAAGCCTACTTCTGTCAACCCGTCAAAATCATTCTCCATCCAGCTTTGTTCCATTGCTGGTGAGGAGCTGCGATCCTTTGCAGGAGAAGAGGCACTCTGGTTTTTAGAATTTTCAGCTTTTCTGCTCTGGTTTCTCTCCATCTTTGTGGTTTTATCTACCTTTGGTCTTTGATGTTGGTGACCTACAGATGGGGTTTTGGTGTAGATGTCCTTTTTGTTGATGTTGGTGCTATTCCTTTCTGTTTGTTAGTTTTCCTTCTAACAGTCAGGTCCCTCAGCTGCAGGTCTGTTGGAGTTTGCTGGAGGTCCACTCCAGACCCTGTTTGCCTGGATATCACCAGCAGAAGCTGCAGAACAGCCAATATTGCAGAAGGGCAAATATTGCTGCCTGATCCTTCCTCTGGAAGCTTCATCCCAGAAGGGCTCCTGCCTATATGAGTTGTCTGTCGGCCCCTACTGGGAGCTGTCTCCCAGTTAGGCTACACGGGGGTCAGGGACCCACTTGAGGAGGCAGTCTGTCCATTCTCATTCTCAGAGCTCAACCACTGCTCTGGGAGAACAACTGCTCTCTTCAAGCTGTCAGACAGGGACGTTTAAGTCTGCAGAAGCTGTCTGCTGCCTTTTGTTCAAATATGACCTGCCCACAGAGGTGGAGTCTATAGAGGCAGTAAGCTGTGCTGAGCTGTGGTGGGCTCCACCCAGTTCAAGCTTCCTGGCCTCTTTGTTTACCTATTCAAGCCTCAGCAATGGTGGACGCCCCTCCCCCATCCAGGCTGCCACCTCGAAGTTTGATCTCAGACTGCTGCAATAGCAGTGAGCAAGGCTCCATGGGCGTGGGACCTGCCAAGCCAGGCATAAGGGAGAATCTCCTTGTCTGCCAGTTGCTAAGACCTTGGGAAAAGTGCATTATTCAGGCAGGAGTGTCCCGTTTTTCCAGGTACAGCCTGTCCTGGCTTCCCTTGGCTAGGAAAGGGAAATCCCCCAACCCCTTGCACTTCCTGGGTGAGACGACACCCCACCCTGCTTCGGCTCATGCTCCATGGGCTGTACACACTGTCCAAACTGGTTGGACCCATCTTCTGCATCAATCACGCTGGGAGCTGCAGACTGGAGCTGTTCCTATTCGGCCATCTTGGAATGGATCCCTTCCCTCTACTATATTAATCATTAAATTTTCTTCTTCACATTTTAACACTTCCATGGAATTTTTTTTTAATTTTCATAGAGTACTCTTCCCCTTGTCTGACTTCTCTCAAGAATACTAAGGTGAAGTCTATATTTATAAGAATTATGCCCAGTATTTCTACCATACTATTTTTTTCTAAATACAGTATTTTTTTTATTTTGTGCTATATCAATGGATTAATTACGACTTAAGTCACTATCTCTAAGTCCCAGATGAGTTATTCATTAATTTCCTTAAATACCCAACGAAACTCTTTGACATCTCTCTGATCTAGACTCTCCCTTAATGACTCTGTTCTCCACTTCTTACTTACTTTCCGTTTTTCTTATGTCACTTCTATAATTAGAAAGAACACTGGGGCTACAAAATGTGGTCTTTAAACACCCAAAGGGCAAAAGCAAACATTCCATGAGAGTCAAAGAGAAACTGAAGCACCAAAAAAAGAACGATGACTTAGCCAAATTAACTCCCCCAGGAAATTATTTAAACTATTATGAAAGTGTTTTATAGTATGATAAGAGTAAAAAGCAAAAATGAAAAGACAGATATTCTGCTGCAAATTTTCTCTTGTAGTTAGGTAGATACATAAATATAGACAACTAGATGATAATTATCATATCAAGAAATGCTATTATACCCAAGCACATGGAGAAATTCCTGCCAATTTGGAATGTGAAACAAATTTAGTACAATAGAGCAATGTGCATATTGTCCTGCTGGAAAACTATTTGTTTAAACTAGGAAGTGGTAAATGACATCACATACACAAGGTTGATGGGTAAAATCACTTGCTGTGGAACCATGAAGATGGTAAATCCAGCACCACCCAAAAGGTGGATGCAAGGACTGCTCCTTGCACAGAAATCCTCCATCCACTAAGAAATGCCTTGCTTTTCATTTTTTCTCTCAAAGGAAACTTTCTCTTTTCTTTAATATCTCCATTTAGGCCAAAATATAAAATGTATCTACTTTCTTGCTTTTTTCAGCTATTCCTCGCTCATTAAGTTTCCTACTAAACATGTTATTGATTTTTAAAGTTCTAATAATTATATGAGTACTTTAGCTACTAAAATAGCCACCATTTTTTGAACTCCCACTATGTACCAGGCAATAGTAAGCATTTTCTATAAATAGCATTTTTTTATTCACAGAACAACTATATGAAGCAGAAATTATCCTGATTTTTACAGGAGAAGAAACTGAGCCTTAGGTGAAGGAACTTTGTCAAGGTCTCCCAGTTATTAAGGGGCAGAGGAAGACTTGAAACTCAGGTCTGATTTTCAACACATATATATTTTCCACATTATTCTGCCTTGTCTAGAAAAGTGATATTTTTGGCTGGGCGCAGTGGCTCACGCCTGTAATCCCAGCACTTTGGGAGGCTGAGGTGGGCAGATCACCTGAGGTCAGGAGTTTGAGGCCAGCCTGGCCAACATGGTGAAACCCTGTTTCTACTAAAAATACAAAAAAATTAGCCAGGCATGGTGGCACGCACCTGTAATCCCAGCTACTCTGGAGGCTGAGGCAGGAGAATTGCTTGAACCCAGGAAGCAGAGGTTGCAGTGAGCCAAGACTGCACCACGGCACTCCAGCTTGGGCAACAAGAGCGAAACTCCATCTTGAAGAGAAGAGAAGAGAAAAAAAAAGAAAAGAAAAGAGATATTTTGACAGCACACAAGCTAGGTACTCCTTCATTCAATGACATGAAAAAGCAGGCTTAATTCATTTTGTTGTCATTGAACCAATTCAAAACAATTACATACAATTTAAATTTGTAAGGAAAACATAAATTTATAAAATGAATGCTTTATGCCTTTGGAATGCATATGATATTGATAATGATCCATTGCTATCTGAGTTTTAAATTTTGCCATTTTTCTGCCTGAATCATTTGGAGATCAGGTAGAAGTTCAAGCCAAATTTTATTGAAAAATAGGCAAAAATTTCATCTATATTCACTAACCCCTAAAGAAGCTGAAATTTTCCCTTACCATTGATCCATTGCAGATTTTTTATCATGTTCCCTCGTACTAAATCAAAATAAATGAGGCCATGTCTAGCAGTTAAGCACTCACTGTCCAGATGTTTGCACTCAAGTGCACCCAGCTAAAAGTAGATAAGATTCATGTTCAAAATCCTTCTAGAAATACTTCCTCATTTAGTGCTAGTTTAATGTGAAAAGTGCTAAGCCATATCTTATATTGTAGAATTGCCTTCTTCTAACAATAGAGAAACATTTTATTAACCAGCCAAATTATTTTCCACCTACTGGAAAGTCTCTCGTAAAATTATTCCCCCTAGTGATAACAAGAGCTGGAGCCAATGCCAATCCTCTGAAATGATAGCCACAATAATCCACTACAAAAATGATTACATGAAGTTTGCTTTTAGGAAATAATGCAAAAGTAAAAATTACTCAAATTAAACAATTGATGATTTCCCATTACAACCATCCACAGAAATATTTATGATGAATATCTTCACTATATTTAGAGTGGTAAAATGCTCCTCTCTAATTATAATAACTAAACCATTCCATCACTGGAAGAATACTGTGGCTAATGTCAACATTATACAGTGAATCTTAGCATTACAAAACACCAGTGAGTTCTACAAACTTCTATTTGTAAAAATTGAACTATGTTAGGCACCATGAGGCATAGAAAGATAAACAAGAGATTCTACCTGCCATTCAGGTGTCTATTAGAAGGATTCTTAAAATCTGTGCACTAAAAATTTAACAAAAAATTGTTAAATATATACGAGAGGCACAAAGAAAATGCCATGAAAAACCGAAGTGTTTGTTTCAGGTGAGAAAAAATCAACAAAAACATAATGAAAGAGTTAGTGTATGTGCCTCCACTTTCAGTTTGGGTAGGCTGTCAAGAGGTGAAGAGGAGGATAGAACAATGTGGGCAGAATAGGTAAACAGGAGAGGAAGAGACAGGTTTGACTAAGGCCTCAAATTACAAAAGGGACAGACATACATAAGGAATCTGAATACAAATGTAGACATTATAAGATCACTCCGGAAACGGAAGAAGCTTGAGAGGTTCTCATTTTCCTTTGAGTCCTTTGAGCAAGAAGTATATGCTCTAACTTATCCTTAAAGAAGTCACTGCACAAAGGGCCAAGATCAATAATCTGGAGAGATGACAGACTGGCAAAAAGACTCCTGCGATTGTAAAAGTCAAAGGTGTAGAAAACCTAAAATAAGGCAATGACCAAACATAATATTATAAGCCACTTAATCTTCCCATATCTCAGTTTATCAGTTTGCTAAATACAGACAATACATATGTTACATCCTACAAATAATTGAAACATTAGCAATGAAAAGTTTATTAACTAAATTCAAAAATTCAAAACAATGCATATCAAATTTAGATTCACCACAAAAAAACTTAACACTACTTAGAAATTTAGTTTGGTATATCTATAAAGAGCTTTTAACATTCATAATTTTCTAAAACAATGCTAAACTCATTTTGAAACTGAATTAAAGGTAACTTTTAAAAAATTACATATTGGCCGGCCGCAGTGGCTCACGCCTGAAATCCCAACACACTGAGAGGCCGAGGCTGCGGGATCACCTGAGTGATCACAGGAGTTCGAGACCAACCTGGCCAACATAGGGAAACTCTGTCTCTACTAAAAATACAAAAATTAGCTGGGCGTGGTGGCACATGCCTGTAATCCTAGCTACTCAGGAGGCTGAGGCAGGAGAATCACTTGAACCTGGGAGGTGGAGATTGCAGTAAGCCGAGATCACACTGCTGCACTCCAGCAAGGGGGACAGGGCAAGTTTCTGTCTCAAAAAAAAAAAAGTTACATGTTAAGTGTGCTTAAATTCTCTCAAGCTAATATTTAGTATTCATCTTATTGCAGTAAAAGTTGTTCACATTTTAGCAAGAGCTTTGGAAAATAGCGCTATTCAAACTGATGCATTTTTTTTAGCATTGGAGTTGCTCAGCTGAAAATGTATGTATTTGGAGTTTTTATTTTTATATATAAATAATTTGTATATTTGAATTTCTATCCTCTTCAGTTCCTGTGGTATGCCACAAATGTTTGGTAAGATTTAAAGTGTTAAATCTTTAAGATACTAGATGATCTTAGAAGTGGAAATCTATTATACATTTGTGAACTAACAATTAGTCTATGTAACTACAAATTAATATGAAATTGCCGGTTCAGTTACTGGGAGTATAAATGTTAGAAAAAATACTGAAATGCTTTGCAAAGTGGCTTATGAGTTTAAACCTGCTAGTGATTTTTCAAAAGGTGAATAGGAATAATTCTTTCTCTCACTTCATCTTGTTATAACAAGAATAAAAATTCCACAACAGTAATGACCATTTATTTTTAATCATAAAGAAGAATTGTACAAGATATGTGTAAAGAAATTTTGCTGAGACATTAAAAGACTTAAGTAAATGTACATTGACCATATTTCTGGATTGGAAGACTCAAAATTGAAAAAATATTAATTCTCTGCAAAATAATATGTGAATATTAATAGAATACCAAATAAAATTGTAAGAAAATTTGGGAGGAGAGACAACTCAAAAAAAATAATTCCCAGTTTGATTAGAAGAATAAAAAACATGAAAATTGAATACCCAGAAATTTTCTGAAAAAGAAGAATGATAACAGAAACTTATTCTGCCAGGTTTTTAAATACATTTTAAAGTAATAGGCTGAATGTGGTGGATCATGCCTGTAATCCCAGCACTTTGGGAGGCCAAGGTGGGTGGATCACTTGAGCCCAGGAGTTTGAGACCAGCCTGGGCAACATGGCGAGACCCCATCTCTGCAAAACATGCAAAAAAATTAGCCAGGTCTGGTGGCACACACCTGTGGTGCCAGCTACTTGGGAGGCTGAGATGGGAGGATTGCTTGAGGCTGGGAGGCTGATGCTGCAGTGAGCTGAGATGCCGCTACTGCACTCCAGCCTGGGTGACAGAGCAAGACCCTGTCTCAGTAAGTAAGTAAGTAAGTTACAAAAATGAAAAGGGCTTGACAAGGGAGCCAGAAAATAAAAGAAACACAACAGAATAAATAAGTGGTTAATGGTCATAGGGAGGGACTTTGAGTCAGTGGACAAATGGTAGGTATTCAGTAAATGTTGCCAGGAAACTGGAGAAAAATCTGTGGTCAAATAGAAAAAGAAAATTTTATCCCTAATTCATACTTTCTTTCAGAATAAAATTCAAATGAATTAAAAATATAAATATTAAAATGTAATTAGAAGCATACAGAAGGGAAATTACCCATAATCAAGGCATGGAAAACTGTCCAAAGATGATATAACCTGAAAAAGGCCAATAAATCTGACTGCAGAAAACTATTTAACACTGAACTGCAACAATGCCAAAAACAAGATTAAATTTTAAAAGGGGGCCAGAGAAATTATAATACATGAGGCAAAGTGTTACCATAAAAATGAGATGTTTTTCACAACTATTACTCAAGGTCCTGGCAAAAAACAGATGGCACACTCAAGCAGGGTGACTGGAGGAGTTTAATAAGAGTACATTTTACAAAAGTGTGGACAAGGCTAAGGGAAAATCAGCCAAAGGTGATGAAGCACCCCAGGGCTAGCAACAGCCCAGCAGAGATCCATTTCCCACCCTAGGTCAGAATGGAAAAGGATGGGAGAAGTTGCTGGAATCTAGAATGAGTAGAGACCACCAGATAGAAGCTATAGCCTTTGGTAGAAGGATACAGCCCACCCACCAACAACCTGGCAGAAAGGAGGCAAAGGAATAATTGCTTTGACCTCACTCTGCTTCCATGTGTGCTTGTCCCACCAATGGCTCCATTGGCTGACCCGTAAGGAAGCCAGAGGTCACAGAGCCCACAAATGCTCCAAAGGGCAGGGTGGGGAAGGGTGGGGAGTACATTTGGAGGTGGAAATGGAAAACTCGTCATTGGAAAATATTAAAAGAATGATTTATCAGTGCCAGAGAGGGTGTGGCGAACTGGGGATTCATGGGAGTACATGTTTGTGGTTGCAGAAATATTTCCACCCTTCGGGAGGTTAAGTTGACAACATGAAATGTCAATATCCTGCAACCTACAAATTCTACTTCAAAGGATCTATCATTCAAAAATAGTCAATGAACTAGTATGTGTGTGTATACATACCTGTGTATATGTATATGTCTGTATATATACACATGTATATTCATCACAGCATTGTTTATTACAATGAAACTTTTGTAATAACCTAAATGTCTATCAGTAGGAAGTTGGTTAAATATATTATTGTATTTATAAACTGGACGACTGTGCTGACATTAAAATTGATTATTTAGGCTTATGTATCTTAATAAGGAAAGATGATCATAATAAGTCATTAAATGACAAAATTAACACATAGGGGCAAAAAAGAAATCTAAAGGGATATGTACCTAGTGGAAGTGGCAAAACTGTGGGTTGTTTCGGTTTATTACTTGTATTCCTGGTTATGTGTGTGTTTTTCAATTTTTTCAAACAATAAACATGAATTACTGCTTAGTGGTTGATGGTGTGTTTTAGAAAAAAAGACGAAAATTTTTTAATGTGAAAGTAACTCTAACAGTAGATATTTTGGGCTTTTTTCAATTTGGTTTCTTTCTTGTTTCAAAAGAAAAATGTGTGCCCTTTATTAACCAAGAAAACTAGATAGAGCTCTGTACCAGGGTAAATGAGGGCCTCTGTAATAAAAAGCCTGGGTAATGGAGAGCTATAAATATTTATAAGAGAATTGTATTTGGTAAGGAAAGATGTTTCTAATGATTTTTTTAAAGTACATTATAGAGTTGCTTCAGCCACAAAAATGACAGGCTCACCACTCATCAAACTCATCTTTTTTTTTCAACTTCTAAAATACACTGTCAACCTCACAGCATGAAGCCCATTATAAATTGCAGTCCTAGTTTTACATTAATATCAAAATAAGACTAACAAAATTTAAGTGTCAAGCTCTATACTGCACATAGTATTATTTATGTTTTATAGAGAAACTGAGGTTTTTTAAAATCCCTCAATATCAATTAGATTAACTGGTTGTTCTTAGCTATTAGTAGAAGGCAATTTATTCACAGAGATAATCAGAAAATTAGTCTATGAAATAAAAGTATGTCCCATTCTGTGAGCTGCATTAAAAAACACAATGTCTGCCTTCAAGTTAAAAATGACAAGTGACCAAATACATTTCTCTCTTCTTCCTCCTAGGACCCTACTAATAATAGTGAAGATATATAAATATATATATACAGACTCAGGCATTGGGCAACCAAACACTCATATATATATATATATGAACTAAACTGATGGGTCAGAAGGGATCCCCCCGCACAGCACAGCTGCACTACCAAAACAGCCAGACTGCCTCTTTAAGCAGGCCCCTGATCCATTCCTCCTCACTGGATGGGACCTCCCAACCAAGGTCTCCAGCCACCCTTGCCCATGTTTTCTGGCCAGGGATTTGATTTCTCCCTGGGACAGAGTCCCAAGAGGGAGGGGTGGGCCACCATCTTTGCTGTTTTCACAACTTAGATGTTCCAGTCTGTGGCCTTGGAAGATCCCAAGCCAGCCAGGGGTGGAAGTGGTGCCCCAGCACACTTGCTCTACCAAAGAGTGGCTAGACTGCTTATTTAAGTGAGTCCCCAATCCCATTCCTCCTGACTGGGTAAGACCTCCAAATTGGGGTCTCCATCTGCCTCCTACAGGTGTGTTCAGGCCAGCAACATGTCTGTACCCCCGCTGGGACAGAGCCCCCAGAGGAAGGAGTAGGCTGCCATCTTTGCTGTTTCACAGCCATCACTGGTGATACCTCCAGGTACTGGAAAAACTGAGGTAACTAGAGCAGATCCCCAGCAAACCACAGCAGCCCCGTGGAAAAGCGGCCATACTTCTAAAAGGGAAAAAAAAAATCCTCATCCAACAACCTCAAGATTGAAGGTAGATAAGCCCACAAAGATGAGAAAGAATCAGCACAGGAACACTAAAAACTCAAAGAGCCAGAGTGCCCACTTTCCTCCAAATGACCACATCATCTCTCCAGCAAGGGTTTGGAACTGGGCTGAGGCTGAGATAGCTGAAATAACAGAAGTAGAATTCAGAATGTGGATGAAAATAAACTTCAGTGAGCTAAAGGAGCACATTGTAACCCAATGCAAGCCAAAAACCATGATAAAGCATTGCAGGGGCTGACAGATAAAATAGCCAGTATAAAGAAGAACATAACCAACCTGATAGAACTGAAAAACACACTACAAGAATTTCATAATGCAATTACAAGTATTAATGGCAGAATAAACTAAGTAGAGGAAAGAATCTCAGAACTTCAGGACTGTCTTTCTGAAATAAGACAGGCAGACAAGAACAAAGAAAAAAGAAGAAAAATGAAGGAACAAAACCTCTGAAAAATATGGGATTAAGTAAAAAGACCAAATCTACAACTGATTGGGGTAGCTAAAAGAGAAGGGAGAATGGAACCAATTTGGAAAACATATTTCAAGATGTCATCCATGAGAACTTCCCCAACCTGGCTAGACAGGCCAAAATTCAAATTCAGGAAATGCAAAGAACCCCAGTAAGATACTCCATGAGAAGATCATCCTCAAGACACATAATTATCAGATTCTCCAAAGCTGAAATGAAAGAAAAAACTGTTAAGGGCAGCCAGAGAGAAAGGCTAGGTCACCTACAAAGGGACACCCATCAGACTAACAGCAGACCTCTCAGCAGAAACCCTACAAGCCAGAAGAGATTGGGGGCCAATATTCAACATTCTTTTTTTTTTTTTTTTTTTTTTTTTTTTTTTTTTTTTTTTGAGACGGAGTCTTGCTCTGTCGCCCAGGCTGGAGTGCAGTGGCGGGATCTCGGCTCACTGCAAGCTCCGCCTCCCGGGTTCACGCCATTCTCCTGCCTCAGCCTCCCAAGTAGCTGGGACTACAGGTGCCCGCCACTACGCCCGGCTAATTTTTTTTGTATTTTTAGTAGAGACGGGGTTTCACCGTTTTAGCCGGGATGGTCTCGATCTCCTGACCTCGTGATCCGCCCGCCTCGGCCTCCCAATCAACATTCTTAAAGGAAAGAATTTCCAGCTCAGAATTTCATATCCAGCCAAACTATGCTTCATAAACGAAGGAAAAATAAGATCCTTTTCAGATAAGCAAATGCTGAGGGAATTTGTTACCACCAGGCCTGCCTCACAAGAGCTCCTGAAGAAAGCACTAAATATGGAAAGGAAAAACTGTTACTGGTCATTACAAAACACACTGAAGTACACAGAGCAGTGACACTATAAAGCATCTACATAAACAACTCTGCAAAGTAATCAGCTAGCATCATGATAACAGGATCAAATTCGTACATAACAATACTATACCCCAACTAAAAGGGCATAGTATTGGGGCATAGTATGGCCCAATTAAAAGACACAGAGTGGCAAGCTGGATAAAGAACCAAGACTCAGCCGGGCATTGTGGCTCATGCATATAACCCCAGCACTTTGGGAGGCCAAGGCAGGTGGATCACTTGAGGTCAGGAGTTCAAGACCAGCCTGGCCAACATGGCAAAACCCCATCTCTACTAAAAATACAGAAATTAGCTCAGCATGGTGGCATGCCCCTGTAGTCCCAGCTACTTGGGAGGCTGAGGCAGGAGAATGGCTTGAACCTGGGAGGCAGAAGTTGCAGTGAGCTGAGATGGTGCCAATGCACTCCACCCTGGCAAGACTCTGTCTCAAAATAAAAAAACCCAAGACTCTTTGGCATGCTGTCTTCAAGAGACTCATCTCACATGCAGTGACACACATAGGCTCAAAATAAGGAATGGAGGAAAATTTACCAAGCAAATGGAGAACAGAAAAAAATCAGGGGTCACAATCCTAATTTCTGACAAAACAGACTGATATGGTTTGGCTCTGTGTCCCCACCCAAATCTCACCTCAAATTGTAATCCCCATAATCTTCACATGTCAAGGGCAGGACCGAGTAGACGTAACTAGATCATGGGGACAGGTTTCCCCATGCTGTTCTCATGATAATGAGTGAGTCTCACAAGATCCCTATAAGCTTCTGGCATTTTTTCTGCTTGCGCTTCTCCTTTCTGCCACCCTGTGAAGAAGGTGCCTTTCTTCCCCTTCACCTCCTGCTGTGATTGTAAGTTTCCTGAGACCTTCCCAGCCATGTGGAACTGTGAGTCAATTAAACCTCTTTGCTTTACAGATCACCCAGTCCCAGGTATTTCCTTATAGCAATTTGAGAACACACTAATACACAGACTTTAAACCAACAAAGATCAAAAGAGGCAAAGAAGGGTGTTACATAATGTTAAAGCGTTCAATAAGAAGAGCTAACTGTCCTAAATATATATGCACCCAAAACAGGGGCACCAAGATTCATAAAGCAAGTTCTTAGAGACCTTAGATTCCCACACAATAATAGTGGGAGACCTTCACTGACAATATTAGACAGATCATTGAGACAGAAATTTAATGAAGATATTCAGGACCTGAACTCAGCTCTGGATCAAATGGACCTTATAGGTATCTACAGGACTCTCTACCCAAAAACAACAGAATATGCATTCTTCTCATCACCATGTAGCACTTACTCTAAAATAATCGTAAGTAAAATATTCCTCAGCAAATACAAAATAACTGAAATAATAATAGTCTCTCAGACCAGTGTACAATCAAATTAGAACTCAAGACTAAGAAATTATCTCAAAACCATACAATTATATGAAAATTAAATAACCTCCTCCTGAATGACTTTTAGGTAAACAATGAAATTGAGGCAGAAATCAAGTTCTTTGAAACTAACGAGAACAGAGATACAATGTACCAGAATCTCTGAGACACAGCTAAGGCAGTGTTATGAGGAAAATTTATAGCACTTAATGTCCATATCAAAAAGCTAGGAAGATCTCACGTTAACAACCTAACATCACAACTAAATGAACTAGAGAACCAAGAGCAAACAATCCCAAAGTTAGCAGAAGACAAGAAATAACCAAAATCAGAGCTGAACTGAAGGAGATAGAGACACAAAAAATCATCCAAAAGATCAATGAATCCAGGAGCTGGTTTTTTGAAAAAATTAATAAAATAGACCACTAGCTAGGCTAATAAAGAATAAAAGGGAGAAGATTTAAATAAACAGATAAGGGGGATATTATCACTGACCCCATGGAAATACAAACAACTATCAGAGAATATTATAAACACTTCTATGCACATAAACTAGAAAATCCAGAAGAAATGGATAAATTCCTGGACACATACATCCTCCCAATACTGAACCAGGAAGAAATTAAATCCCTGAACAAATCAATAACAAATTCTGAAATTGAGACAATAATAAATAGCCTACCAACCAAAAAAAGCCAAGGTCCAGATAGATTCACAGCTGAATTCTACCAGAAGTACAAAGAAGAGCTGGTACCACTCCTACTTAAACTATTCCAAGAAATTGAGAAGGGTCTCCTCCCTAACTCACTCTATGAGACCAGCATCATCCTGATACCAAAATCTGGCAGAGATACAACAGAAAAAGAAAACTTCAGGCCAGTATCTTTGATGAACATCAATGCAAAAATCCTCTACAAAACACTGGCAAACTGAATCCAGCAGCACATCAAAAAGCTTATCTACTACAATCAAGTTGACTTCATCCTCAGGATGCAAGGTTGGTTCAAAATATGCAAATCAATAAATGTGATTCATCACATAAACAGAATGAAAGACAAAAACCACATGGTTATCTCAATAGATGAAGGAAAGGCTTTTGATAAAATTCAACATCCCTTCATGTTAAAAACTCTCAACAAACTAGATATTGAAGGAACATACCTCAAAATAATAAGAGCTATACATGACAACCCCAGAGCCAACATCATACTGAATGAGCAAAAGCTGGAAGCATTCCCCTTGAATACTGGCACAAGACAAGGATGCCCTATCTCACCACTCCTATTCAACAAATACTGGAAGTCTTGACCAAAGAATCAGGCAAGAAAAATATAGGGCGTTCAAATAAAATGGGAAGAAAGGAAGTAAAACTATCCCTGTTTGTGGATGACATGATCCTGTATCTAGAAAACCCCATTGTCTCAGCCCAAAAGCTTCTTAAGCTGATAAACAACTTCAGCAAAGTCTCAGGATACAAAATCAATGTGAAAAAATCACTAACATTCCTATACATCAAAAACAGGCAAGCTGAGAGCTAAATCACGAACAAACTCCCATTCACAATTGCCACAAAAAGAATAAAATACCTAGAAATACAGCTAACTAGGGAGGTGAAAGATCTCTACAAGCAGAACAACAAACCACCTCTCAAAGAAATCAGAGATGACACAAACAAGTGGAAAAACATTCCATGCTCATGGATAGGAAGAATCAATATTGTTTAAATGGCCATACTGTCCAAAGCAATTTATAGATTCAATGCTATTCTCATTAAACTATCACTGACATTCTTCACAGAACTAGAGAAAACTATTTTAAAATGCATATGGAACCAAAAAATAGTCCAAATAGCCAAGGTAGTTCTAAGCAAAAAGAACAAAGCTGGAAGCATTGTACTACCCAAAGTCAAACTATACTACAGGGCTACAGTAATCAAAACAGCATAGTACTGGTACAAAAACAGACACATAGACCAATGGAGCAGAATAAAGAGCCTGGAAATAAGACCGCACACCTACAACTATCTGATCTTCAAATAAACCTGACAAAAACAAGCAATGGGGGAAGGATTGCCTATTCAATAAATGGTGCTGGGATAACAGGCTAGCCATATGCAGCAAACTGAAACTGGACCCCTTCCTTATACCATATATAAAAATTAACTCAAGATGAATTAAATGTTTAAAACCCCAAATTATAAAACCCCTGGAAGATAACTGAGGCACTACCATTCAGGACATAGGCACAAAGATTTCATGATGAAGACATCAAAAGCAATGGCAACAAAAGCAAAAATTGACAAATGGGATCTAATTAAACTAAACAGCTTCTGCACAGCAAAAGAAACTATCAACAGAGTAAACAGACAACCTACAGAATGGGAGAAAAATTTTGCAAGCTATGCATCTGACAAAAGTCTAATATTCACCATCTACAAGGAACTTAAACAAATTTACAAGAAAAAAACTAAACAACCCCATTAAAAAGTGAAAAAAGGACATGAACAGACACTTCTTAAAAGAAGACACACATGTGCCAACAGTCATATGAAAGAAAGCTCAACATTACTGATCATTAGAAAAATGCAAATCAAAACCACAATGAGATACCATCTTACACCAGTCAGAATGGCTATTATTAAAACGTCAAAAAATAATAGAGGCTGGTGAGGTTGTAGAGAAAAAGGAACTCTTATACACTGTTGGTGGGAGTGTAAATTTGTTCAACCATTGTGGACGACAGTGTGGTGATTCCTCAAAGACCTAAAATCAGAAATACCATTTGACCCAGCAATCCCATTACTGGGTATATCCCCAAAGGAATATAAATTGTTCTATTATAAAGACACATGCATGTGTATGTTCATCATAGCACTATTCACAATACCAAAGACACAGCATCAACCTAAACGCCTATCAATGATAGACTGGATAAAGAAAATGTGGCACATATATACCGTGGAATACTATGTAGCCACAAAAAAGAATAAGATCATGTCCTTTGCAGGGACATGGTTGGAGCTGGAGATCATTATCCTTAGCAAACTAACTCAGGAACAGAAAACCAAACACAGCATATTCTCACTTCTAAGTGGGAGCTAAATGATGAGAACACATGTACACATAAAGCAGAACAAAACACACTGGGGCCTATCAGAAGTTGGAAGGATGGAGGAGAGAGAGGATCAGTAAAAATAACTAATGGATACAAGGCTTAATACCTGGGTGATGAAATAATCTGTATAACAAAGCCCCATGATACACATTTACCTATGTAGCAAACCTGCATATGTGCCCCTGAACTTAAAAGTTAAAAAAGAAAAATAAAAGAAGATCACCATGGCAAAAAAATAATATATGTATATTTTATATATATACATGAACCCTAGAGTCAGACTATGATATATATGTATATATAGTATGTGTGTATAGAAATAGAGACAGATAGATAGATGATTGATTGATTGATTGATTGACTAGCCAGTCACAAAAAAGCAAGAAAGAGAACAGGAGGGAGTCCACTGGCAGACAGGAGAGTTCAAGAAAATCCTGGAAGATGGAAAGAAGAGTGCTTAGGGAAAGAGGCACAGCATAAGTTGTACATTGAGGCAACTATGTTGCCACAAAGTTGCTTGACTTCTTGACAGAACCCCAGAAGGCCTTGAAATAAACCTACATCAGAAAGTACATAAAGGTAAAAATAGGAAAATGAATTGGAAGTCAGTGTGATAGCCATTTTCCAACATGGTCTTCAATGATCCGTACTCCCTGGTATGCACCTGTTTGGCCCTGTCCTATATTAAATAAGGAATACCCCTATGTGGCCAATGGAATATAGAAGTGACAGTGAGTGATTGCTGAGGCCAGGTCTTAAAAGACTTTGCAGCTTTCACCTGTTCTCTTGGATGGCTCACTCTGGAGAAGCCAGCTGCCATGCTGTGAGGATACTGAAGCTTCCCAAGGAGTGGAGAGGGAGGGAACATAGGAAGGGGAAGGGAAGGAGGGAGGGAAGGGAAGAAAAGGGGAAAAATCAGATTGTATACAAAGCAATAGTAACATGAATTGAATCACATTTTCCTAACAGCAAGTAATCCTGAATACTAGACACAATTGAGGAATGCCTACACAATGTTGAAAGACGGTATGGTACTTATGAGCATGAACTCTAGAGTCAGACTGCCTGAGTTAAAATTCCTGGTATTTCCACTTACTACCTGCCTGACCTAATTTTAACTACTTTCCCCTGCCTCCAAGTATGTGTCAATGGCCAGAAGCAGTCAGATCCATGATGAACAAAACAGAAATAAAGGATCAGGACTTCTTGGTCAGTTAGACAGGATGGCTAATAGGAGTAAGGCCTAGTCCAGTGCTGACAGCAACCAGGATAAAGGCCTACATCTTCAATCTACCAACTGAAGTAAGAAGTAAAGGAAACCAAAGCCAGTTCCGTGAAGGAGGGGCTAAGAGGGATAGGGAAATTGAAGGGGATTTCCAGCTTTCTCTGCCAGGAGAGAACTGGAGGAGAAACCATACAACATGGGTGGGACAGGACCAGTCTGGCAAACTGGCACCATACAGTGGGAGTTAGATGACGAAGCTAATGCATCACCAGACTCAGACATTGGGCCACCAAAGACGATGTTTACAGCTTGCTTCCTAGAAAGAAGGGCAGGATTATCATTTCCAAGACAACACTGGTTAAGAATTGTTTCCAAGCAACACTGGTTAAGAATAAACCCTGTTATGTTCATTAAACTGTAATGAATGTCTCTACCCCAAACTATGAGAGCTCCAGGGGCAGAGACTGTATTTTGTCCATTCTTATCCCCAGAGTTTGGCAACTGGTCAGCACTTGATAAATAAAGGAAAGAATGTATAAACGAAAGGTGACCTTTTTGTTGAAATAATTGAAGTGGAGGCCTGAAGAATCCTTCAGCAGACGAAGATAGTTAGGCTTCATAAGTGACCTTAACCTTGCTTGATTTAGAAACATAAGTGAACTTTAACTTGGGCTACTTCTTGTAAATGCCCATATTAAAAGAAAAATGAAACTTAAGGCTAGCCAATAAGAGGCCGGCAACTAACCTATATAACCAGGGATTTTCCATCAGGATAGACCACATATTGCAACTGTATAACTAAGCAATCACATTTTTGGGGGCTACTTCCTTGTCTGCCCTGTAAAAGCCTTCCCCTTCTACTCTGAACCACTTCTGGTAGAGTCCCTAAACCCATTTCTGGTTTGGTACTTCCTGATTCATAAGTTGCACAAACACACACTTAAAAAAATTTTATCATGCCTCAGTTTACCTTTTAACATTAGAGACTACTGAATCAAAGACTAAGGTCTTACGATGGAAATCCAGATCCGGGCTCAGAATTAGTTTATTACCCAACTGTAGCCTCTCCTTAGAGGCAAGATTCCCCTGCTACTCTAGTTTCGGCCCTGACAGTGAGTACACGCCCTCTGGCCACTGCCTTCTGCTGGTCACCTCGAGATTACACCCTCTAGAGCCTGAACTGCCCGAAACGGTGCCTGCACCCTGACAAGGGCATAAATGGCTAGCCATCCCCTCTGGCCCAGCTAGTCAAGATGACTAATCCTGTCCAAAGCTCTCCTGTCTGTTTTTCTCAGGCATGGGACTCTGCTCTACAGGAGGAGACTCACACAAAACTCCAGCTTTGTTGATTTGCCCCTGGCTGTCTCCACTCTCAGGCGTCCCTTATCTTTTCTTTCACTTCTGGGAATGCAGTTCAAACTCACTGCAGTAACTTCCCAGAGAAACTCGCTCAGTGATATACAGACAGGGAAACTGAGTCTCAGAGAAGATGGGAAACTTGTCCCCGGTCACAGAGCTGCTAGGTGTCAAAGATAAGATGGGGATTGTACAACCCATGAAACCTTCAAGACCCTGCTCTTCCAGTAGCAGGCTCCCTGACTGGCCCAACAGCCCACCTTCAATCTCCGAGCAAGCACGAACTGACCCTGGGCCGACTCCACTGACCTCCATATGCACTTTCCTTCCAAAGGGAAGAAATGCTCAGCTGTGATCTCCATGGCCTATAAATCCTGGAATACATTTTTGTTTCAAATAGGTCTTTTCCAAGCACACATCTCTTTTGAGACGGAGTCTTACTTTGTTGCCCAGGCTGGAGTGCAGAGGCGTGATCTCGGCTTACTGCAAGCTCCACCTCCCACGTTCACGCCATTCTCCTGCCTCAGCCTCCCGAGTAGCTAGGACTACAGGCGCCCGCCAGCACGCCCAGCTAATTTTTTTTTTTTTTTTTTGTATTTTTAGTAGAGACTGGGTTTCACCGTGTTAGCCATGATGGTCTCGATTTCCTGACCTCCTGATCCGCCCACCTCAGCCTTCCAGAGTGCTGGGATTACAGGCGTGAGCCACCGCGCCTGGCCCCAAGCACACATCTTAAAAGCACCTGAGCTTTTGCATTGATCCCAGAAATAAGGCCTCTAGCTTCAAGGACAAAAGCAAAATACCACGAATTTGGAACAAATTCAAGGGTCAAGCCTGCCTAAAACAGAGAAAAATAATATAATAATGATGGTGCACTATTTTCAAGGAAATGAGGCTTTGCCATGGTCATGTCCATGTACTAACTAGAACTGCACATGGCAATCATACTTGGATGAAGACCTAATTTAACGAATAGGTAAGAATTATTTCAGTTAGCAAATCAGAGCCTCAATCTAAGCCATTACACGGCCCAGCTTTCAGAGACGTTTCACTTTGTCTATGTACGCGCAGTTACTGAAGCCTTTTATTTATTCTATAAAGTATATAAACATCTCTTCCTTGACTCTTATTTACACTATTCCTTCACGTAGAAAAATCCTTTTTTTCTTGATACAGCAAAGAGAAACCTTATTTAAAATCCCTTCTACAGAAGCAATTGTGCCCCAAACCTCAGCATCATTCATTATACCCAGGCCACAAACTTGCACGTGTGCCCCTAGAATCTAAAATAAAAGTTGAAATTATTAAAAATAAAGTCCTTTCTGAATTATCACAAATTTTAAATTGATATTACTAGGATCAGTGAAATTTTAATATAAGCCTGAATTCACTGTGGATTTAAAAAATAAAGGTAACACCCTGGTTTATAAGTGGTATTCCCTAACATGAGGCATTAATAACTATATATTTGCTACAAATAAAAATGTCAAAATATATTATTGTTTATTTCATTAATTCTACTTTTCTTAGTTATGTGATTGTGTGGAGAATTTAAACCTATTTTGACAGGCTTTTCAAAAAAAGGCATATTTTTACTATATTTTATTTTCTGAAGTGGCTATTCTCAATGTTATTGAGTTGTAATAGCTTATTGTTGATCATTTGCTTTCATCAGTCCTTCCTTCTAAAAGCACTCAATGCCCATAATACTGGTCATAGCCAAGAACAACATAAAATATATAGCCCAAACTATGGCACTTCTAACAGCAATGATGGGGACTATTAATAAAGACACCAGGTACAAACTGGCTCTGTCCTAGGCATGATCAGCCTAGGCATGATCAGCCCAACACAGTAGTCCTCATCCTGATAATGGATTCTATGTAAACATTTTCAAAAGATAAAGCTAAATGCACAAAGATTCTCATTGCTATAGAATATACATCAGTGAAAAATAAGAAGCAACCTAATATGGGAGATATTAAGGTATGGGAATATTAGCTTGATTATAGATACAATTAATTGAATATTATACAAATCATTAAAATCGATTATCATGAAAACAGTGTAACAGTATAAAATGGCATGAAAAAATATTTAAAATACAATTTTGAGTGAAAAAAAGACAAATTCATATGAGCACTGGTATTACAGCTATGTAAAATTATATTCAGATATGTAAAGACATGACCAGCTACATAATTTGTGAGGCCCAGTACAAAAAGAAAATGAGGGGTCCCTTGTTAAAAAGTTATTAAGAATCTCCAGTCAGTGACAGTAGAACATTAAACCAATGTTCTACAAGAGGCCCATCTCAGTATGAGACCCTGTGCCACTATCTCTTCATCCACTTGTGCTGCTGTAACAAAATACCTTAAACTAGGTAATTTACAAACCACAGAAATTCATTTCTCACTGTTCTAGAGGCTGGGAAGTCCAGGATCAAGGTGCCCATAGATTTGGTGTCTGGTGAGTGCTCACTGTTTCATAGGTGGCACATCCTTGCTCTGTCCTTGCATTCCCAGGGGGCAAACAGGCTCCCTCAAGCTCTTTTATAAGGGCACGAATCCCACCCATGAGGGGTCCACCCGCATGACCTAACCACCTCCCAAGGGTCCCACCTCCTAATACTCTTGCAGTGGAGATTATTAGGTTTCAACAGATGAATTTTGGAGGAAATTCATTCATTATTTGAATCAACATAGCACATTGCAAAAGTAAAAGGACTATGAAGCCTGGAGAAGAACTACTTGAAAAGAGAGAAAATTTAAACAAATCAGTTATTTGGAAGGGTCATAGGTTTTTTTGTTTTATCTTCATTATTGTTATAATGCTTTTTTCATAAATTAAATTTTAATTGGTAACATCTTTAGATTAACATATAGTAAAATCAACTTTTAATAATGTGAACATCTTCTGACTCTCTGAAAACAGACACATCCTGGGGCCCCAGCTCTCCATCCTGCCTGAGCATCAGTATCTCCCGGGCAGCTTTGTACATTCCAAATGTCCACCCCTCACCCTTAGAGATTTTGACTCAGTGGTCTGAAACAAAGCAATTGAAACCTAGCTAGGTAGCATCCTAAACTGCCTTTTTCAACAGAAGGATTTCAAGTATTGGATTTGGCCTTCAGGATCTTATTCTCTCTCAGAAATAACAAATTTTTCATGACTTAATCACGACTACAAGTCATGTAGGAGAAGGAGTCTGTGGTTTGTGGTTTTGACTTTCATGTTCTGTTGTTTTGTCTGTTTTTAACACCAAATTTGAAGTTACTCATTCTGAGGTAAGCTTTCAAAATAGTAAATATACAAGCTATGTAATTCTATGGTGAAATAATATCATATCTGCAAGAAACCCAAGAAGAAATTTTAGATACAGAGAATGAGAAATCTGTTAAGAGAATTGTTGAGATTTTTCCCTTTGTATGGCTTCAAGGTAAGAACTGGCATGGCTTTATATGGAGTTTATTACAGCCTACCACAAACTTATTAATAAGAAATAGTGTTCCATATATTAGGTCATCAACCAAAGATAAGTGCAAGATATTTCTCTTTTTTTTTTTTTAACGATGGCCCTAAGAATAAACATTCCTTACTTGATTTAATGACAAACTGAGACATAGAAGTAGTAGTTGGTGAGAGGGAGATCAAAAGGCCCCCCTTTTGTAGCTGATAAATATGTTGGAAGAAATGTAATTTATTTATTATTATACTTTAAGTTTTAGGGTACATGTGCACAACGTGCAGGTTTGTTATATAGGTATACATGTGCCATGTTGGTTTGCTGCACCCCTCAACTCATCATTTACATCAGATATTTCTCCTAATGCTATCCCTCCCCCAGGCCCCCACCCCACAACAGGCCCCAGTGTGTGATATTCCCCTCCCTGTGTCCATGTGTTCTCATTGTTCAACTCCCACTTATGAGTGAGAATATGTGGTGTTTGGTTTTCTCTTCTTGTGACAGTTTGCTTAGAATGAGGGTTTCAGGCTTCATCCATGTCCCTGCAAAGGACATGAACTCATCCTTTTTTATGACTGCACAGTATTCCATGGTGTATATGTGCCACATTTTCTTAATTCAGTCTATTACTGATTGACATTTTGGTTGGTTCCAAGTCTTTGCTATTGTGAATAGTGCCGCAATAAACATACGTGTGCATGTGTCTTTACAGTAGCATGATTTATAATCCTTTGGGTATATACCCAGTGATGGGATTGCTGGGTCAAAAAGTCTAGATCCTTGAGGAATCGCCACACCATTTTCCACAATGGTTGAACTAATTTACACTCCCACCAACAGTGTAAAAGCGTTCCTATTTCTCCACATCCTCTCCAGCATCTGTTGCTTCCTGACTTTTTAATGATCGCCATTCTGGTATAAGATGGTATCTCACTGTGGTTTTCATTTGCATTTCTCTGATGACCAGTGATGATGAGCATTTTTTCCTATGTCCGTTGGCTGCATAAATGTCTTCTTTTGAGAAGAGTCTGTTCATATCCTTTGCCCACATTCTGATGGGGTATTTTTTTCTTGTAAACTTGTTTCAATTCTTTGTAGATTCTGGATATTAGCCCTTTGACAGATGAGTAGATTGCAAAGATTTTCTCCCATTCTGTAGGTTGCCTGTTCACTCTGATGGCAGTTTCTTTTGCTGTACAGAAGCTCTTTAATTAGATCCGATTTCTCTATTTTGGCTTTTGTTGCCATTGCTTTTGGTGTTTTAGTTATGAAGTCGTTGCCAATGCCTATGTCCTGAATGGTATTGCCTAGGTTTTCTTCTAGGGTTTTTATGGTTTTAGGTCTAACATTTAAGTCTTTAATCCATTTTGAATGAATTTTTGTGTAAGGTATAAGGAAGGGATCTAGTTTCGGCTTTCTACATATGGCTAGCCAGTTTTCCCAGCACCATTTATTAAATAGGGAATCCTTTCCCCATTGCTTGTTTTTGTCAGGTTTGTCAAAGATCAGATGTGTGGTGTTATTTCTGAGGCCTCTATTCTGTTCCATTGGTCTATATATCTGTTGTGTTACCAGTACCATGCTGTTTTGGTTACTGTAGCCTTGTAGTGCAGTTTGAAGTCAAGTAGTGTGATGCCTCCAGCTTTGTTCTTTTTGCTTAGAGTTGTCTTGGCTATGCGGGCTCTTTTGTGGTTCCATATGAAATTTAAAGTGGTTTTTTCCAATTCTGTGAAGAAAGTCAGTGGTAGCTTGATGGGGATGACATTGAATCTATAAATTACCTTGGGCAGTATGGCCATTTTCATGATATTGATTCTTCCTATCCATGAACATGGAATGTTCTTCCATTTGTTTGTGTCCTCTTTTATTTCGTTGAGCAGTGGTTTACAGTTTTCCTTGAAGAGTCCTTTATATCCCTTGTAAGTTGGATTCCTAGGTATTCTATTCTCTTTGTAGCAACTGTGAATGTGTGTTCACTCATGATTTGGCTCTCTGTCTATTCTTGGTGTATAGGAATGCTTGTGATTTTTGCACATTGATTTTGTAACCTGAGATTTTGCTGAAGTTGCTTATCAGCTTAAGGAGATTTGGGGCTGAGATGATGGCGTTTTCTAAATATACAATCATGTCATCTGCAAACAGAGACAATTTGACTGCCTCTTTTCCTAAATGAATACCTTTTTTTTCTTTATCTTGCCTGATTGCCCTGGCCAGAACTTCCAACACTATGTTGATTAGGAGTGGTGAGAGAGGGCATCCCTATCTTGTGCCAGATTTCAAAGGGAATGCTTCCAGTATTTGCCCATTCAGTATGATATTGGCTGTGGGTTTGTCATAAATAGCTCTTATTGTTTTCAGATACGTTCCATCAGTACCTAGTTTATTGAGAGTTTTTAGCATGAAGGGCTGTTGAATTTTGTCAAAGGCCGTTTCTGCATCTATTGAGAAAATCATGTGGTTTTTGTCTTTGGTTCTGTTTTTGTGAATTTCGTTTATTGAGTTGTGTATGTTGAACCAGCCTTGCATGTCAGGGATGAAGCCATCTTGATCATGGTGGATAAGCTTTTTGATGTGCTACTGGATTTGGTTTGCCAGTACTTTATTGAGGATTTTTGCATTGATGTTCATCAGGGATATTGGCCTAAAATTCTCTTTTTTTGTTGTATCTCTACCAGGCTTTGGTGTCAGGATGCTGCTGGCCTCATAAAATGAGTTGGGGAGGATTCCCTCTTTTTCTATTGATTGGAATAGTTTCAGAAGGAATGCTACCAGCTACTCTTTGTACCTCTGCTAGATTTCAGCTGTGAATCTGTCTGGTCCTGGACTTTTTTTGGTTGGTAGGGTATTAATTATTGCCTCAATTTCACAACCTGTTTTTGGCATATTCAGAGATTCAACTTCTTCCTGGTTTAGTCTTAGGAGGGTGTATGTGTCGAGGAATTTATCCATTTCCTCTAAATTTTCTAGTTTATTTGCACAGAGGTGTTTATAGTAATCTCTGATGGTAGTTTGCCTTTCTGTAGGATCAGTGATGATATCCCCTTTATCATTTTTATTGCATCTCTTTGATTCTTCTCTCTTTTCTTATTAGTCTTGCTAGTGGTATATTTTGTTGATCTTTTCAAAAAACCAGCTCCTGGATTCATTGATTTTTTGAAGGGTTTTTTGTGTCTCTATCTCCTTCCGTTCTGCTCTGATCTTAGTTATTTCTTGCCTTCTGCTAGCTTTTGAATTTGTTTGCTCTTGCTTCTCTAGTTCTTTTAATTGTGATGTTAGGGTATCGATTTTAGATCTCTCTTGCTTTCTCTTGTGGGCATTTAGTGCTATAAATTTCCCTCTATATGCTGCTTTAAATGTGTCCCAGAGATTCCGCTACATTGTGTCTTTGTTCTCATTGGTTTCAAAGAACATCTTTATTTCTGCCTTCATTTTGTTATCTACCCAGTAGTCATTCAGGAGCAGGCTGTTCAGTTTCAGGCAGTCTTGAGTGAGTTTCTTAATCCTGAGTTTTAATTGCGTTGCATTGTGGTCTGAGAGACAGTTTGTTGTGATTTCTGTTTTTTACATTTGCTGAGGAGTCCTTTACTTCCAACTACGTGGTCATTTTTGGAATAAGTGCAATGTGGTGCTGAGAAGAATGTATATTCTGTCGATTTGGGGTGGAGAGTTCTGTAGATGTCTATTAGGTCTGCTTGGTGCAGAGCTGAGTTCAAGTCCTGGATATCCTTGTTAACCTTCTGTCTTGTTATCTGTCTAATATTAACAGTGGGGTGTTAAAGTCTCCCATGATTATTGTATGGGAGTCTAAGTCTCTTTGTAGGTCTCTAAGAACTTGCTTTATCAATCTGGGTGCTCCTGTATTGCATGCATATATATTTAGGATATTTAGCTCTTCTTGTTGAATTGATCCCTTTACCATTATGTAGTGGCCTTCTTTGTCTCTTTTGATCTTTGTTGGTTTAAAGTCTGTTTCATCAGAGACTAGGATTGCAAACCCTGCTTTTTTTTTTCTTTCCATTTGCTAGGTAGATCTTCCTCCATTCCTTTATTTTGAGCCTATGTGTGTCTCTGCACGTGAGGTGGGTCTCCTGAATACAGCACACAGATGGGTCTTGATTCTTTATCTGATTTGCCAGTCTGTGTCTTTTAATTGGGGCATTTAGCCTATTTACATTTAAGGTTAATATTGTTATATGTGTATACACCATGGAATACTATGCAGCCATAAAAAAGGATGAGTTCATGTCCTTTGTAGGGACATGGATGAAGCTGGAAACCATCGTTCTGAGCAAACTATCACAAGGACAGAAAACCAAACTCCGCATATTCTCACTCATAGGTGGGAAGTGAACAATGAGAACATTTGGACACTGGGTGGGGAACATCACACACCAGGGCCTGTTGTGCGGTGGGGGGATGGGGGAGGGATAGCATTAGAAGATATAACTAACATAAATGATGAATTAACGGGGGCAGCACACCAATATGGCACATGTATACATATGTAACAAACCTGCACATTGTGCACATGTACCCTAAAAGTATAAAAATAAAATAAATAAAACATATGTTCCCATTTCCAAAAATATATATATATAAATATATATATATATATAGTTATATGTGAATTTGATCCTGTCATTATGATTTTAGCTGGTTATCTTCCCCGTTAGTTGATGCAGTTTCTTCTTAGCATCGATGGTCTTTACAATTTGGCATGTTTTTGCAGTGACTGGTACTGGTTGTTTCTTTCCATGTTTAGTGCTTCCTTCAGGAGCTCTTGTAAGGCAAGCCTGGTGGTGACAAAATCTCTCAGCATTTGCTTGTCTGTAAAGGATTTTATTTCTCCTTCACTTATGAAGCTTAGTTTGGCTGGATATGAAATTCTGGGTTGAAATTTCTATTCTTTAAGAATGTTGAATATTGGCCCCCACTCTCTTCTGGCTCGTAGAGTTTCTGAAGAGAGATCCGCTGTTAGTCTGATGGGCTTCCCTTTGTAGGTAACCCAACCTTTCTCTCTGGCTGCCCTTAACATTTTTTCCTTCATTTCAACCTTGGTGAATCTGACAATTATATGTCTTGGGGTTGCTCTTCTTGAGGAGTATCTTTGTGGTGTTCTCTGTATTTCCTGAATTCGAATGTTGGCCTGCCTTGCCAGGTTGGGGAAGTTTTCCTGGATAATATCCTGAAGAGTGTTTTACAGCTTGGTTCCATTCTCCCTATCACTTTCAGGTACACCAATCAAACGTAGATTTGGTCTTTTCACATAGTCCCATATTTCTTGGAGGCTTTGTTCGTTTCTTTTTCACTCTTTTTTTCTCTAATCTTGTCCTCTCACTTTATTTCATTAATTTGATCTTCAATCACTGATATTCTTTCTTCCGCTTGATTGAATCGGCATTGAAGCTTGTGCATGTGTCACGTAGTTCTCGTACCGTGATTTTCAGCTCCATCAGGTCATTTAAGCTCTTCTCTACACTGTTTATTCTAGTTAGCCATCATCTAACCTTTTTTCAAGGTTTTTAGCTTTCTTGTGATGGGTTAGAACATGTTCCTTTAGCTTGGAGAAGTTTGTTATTACCGACCTTCTGACGCCTACTTCTGTCAACTTGTCAAACTCATTCTTCACCCAGTTTTGTTCCCTTCCTGGAGAGGAGTTGTGTTCCTTTGGAGAAGAGGCGTTCTGGTTTTTGGAATTTTCAGCCTTTCGGCACTGGTTTCTCCCCATCTTTGTGGTTTTATCTACGTTTGGTCTTTGATGTTGGTGACCTACAGATGGGGTTTTCGTATGGATGTCCTTTTTGTTGATGTTGGTACTATCCCTTTCTGTTTGTTAGTTTTCCTTCTAACAGACAGGCCCCTCAGCTGCAGGTCTGTTGAAGTTTGCTGGAGATCCACTCCAGACCCTATTTGCCTGGGTATCACCAGCGGAGGCTGCAGAACAGCAAATATTGCTGCCTGATCCTTCCTCTAGAAGCTTCATCCTAGAGGGCCACCCGCTTGTATGAGGTGTCTGTCGGCCCCTACTGGGAGGTGTCACCCAGTCAGGCTACACAGGGGTCAGGGACCCACTTGAGAGGCAGTCTGTCCATTATCAGATCTTGAATGCTGTGCTGGGAGAACCACTGCTCTCTTCAGAGCTATCAGGCAGGGATTTTTAAGTCTGTAGAAGCTGTCTGCTGCCTTTTGTTCCAATATGTCCTGTCCCCAGAGGTGGAATCAAGTGGAAGATATTTTGATCCAGGTAGATGGTACATCCACCATGCAGTTCTTGGCACAGGCATCAACTCCTCCGCAAGCACTATTTGCCCAGCAATGTCTGTCCTGGGCACTGGCAGGGTCAGGCACTCACTTTTAGGTGCCAACTATGCACTTGCACAACACTGATAGCAGGTGCCTTCTTAAATGTTGTGCTCTGGGCCTCTCACTTTTCTCACTCTAGCCCAGGCCTTGGACACAAGTGTGGGAATTTATAGCATCTGTTTGCATCTCTGTCTTCTTGACTCAAACCAAATAACAATTTTCTCCCTTAATAGATTTTTTTAGAGAAAGTTCTCAATCATCAGAGTATAATTATTTAAATTAGATATTATCTTCAGTAAATCAGGCTTTCAAATGTCCATTAACAGTATGTCAAAGTATGCCTAATTAAATCCTTGGATGACATAAGAATGTCTGTACTATTTATTCTGTATCATTAAAACCTAAAATGACCTTTAAACAAAATGTTACCATGACTTCCTCATTCTAGAAAAGACAAGCACCAGCAACCTTATGCAGAAAAGCTAGTTTTACTTTAGTATGCTGGTCTTCATCAATCCAAAGAGTGAAAGGAGTGGAGAGAAAATAATTCTTAGAGAGGGAGAAAGAAAGATCTGGATGATATGTCCAGCCCTGGCTGTCTTCAGCTTACCTCAGTTTTAGGCGCTGATGTTTTCAAACTACAGCCCCAGTCCCACCAAGTTAAATGCTGCAGCTCTTGCTAGTCAGAGTTTGTGGAACAAACTTGGTGCAGCAGCATGAATATCACCTGAGAGCTTGCAGGAAATGCAGAATCTCAGGTCCCACCCCAGACCTGCTCCAGCAGTATCTGCAGTTTAACAAGATCCACTGGTGATTTGGAGACACACTAACATTTGGAAGGTATGCTCTGTTTCAGCCCATCCCTTCTCCAACAGGGTCTGAAGTAGCATTTCTTCTTTTTTCATTATTATTATTATACTTTAAGTTTTAGGGTACATGTGCACAATGTGCAGTTTTCTTACGTATGTATACATGTGCCATGATGGTGTGCTGCACCCATTAACTCGTCATTCAGCATTAGGTATATCTCCTAATGCTATCCCTCCCCGCTCCCCCAACCCCACAACAGTCCCCGGTGTGTGATGTTCCCCTTCCTGTGTCCATGTGTTCTCATTGTTCAGTTCCCACCTATGAGTGAGAACATGTGGTGTTTGGTTTTTTGTCCTTGCGATAGTTTGCTGAGAATGATAGTTTCCAGCTTTGTCCATGTCCCTACAAAGGACATGAACTCATTAAAGACACATGCACACGTATGTTTATTGCGGCACTATTCACAATAGCAAAGACTTGGAACCAACCCAAATGTCCAACAATGAAGTAGCATTTCTGTTATAAGCAAAGGGACCAGCCAAGGCTAGCCTGTCTCCAGGCAGTTGTAGGGTCTCTATCTTAATCCTTGATGTGTTTGTCCCAGCCTTACAATGGTTTCTGCTGTGGTTGCTGTGATGGTTAATATTAAGGGTCAACTTCATTAGATTGAAGGATGCAAAGTATTGTTCCTGGGTGTGTCTGTGAGGATGTTGCCAAAGGAGATTAACATTTGAATCAGTGGACTGGAAGAGGTAGACCCACCTTCAATGTGGGCGGGCACCATCTAATCAAGTGCCAGCGCAGCTAGAAAAAAGCTGACAGAAGGAGGTGGGAAAGTCGACTTGCTGAGACTTCCGGCCTTTATCTTTCTTTCATGCTGGATGCTTCCTGCCCTCGAACATGAGACTCCAAGTTCTTCAACTTCTGGACTCTTGGACTTACACCAGTGGTTTACCAGGGCTCTCAGGCCTTCGGCCACAGACTGAAGGCTGCACTGTCGACTTCCCTACTTTTGATGTTTTGGGACTTGGACTGGCTTCCTTTCTCCTCAGCTTGCAGATGGCCTATTGTGGGACCTCACCTTGTGATTGTGTGAGTCAATACTCCTTAATAAACTCCCCTTCATACATACATCTATCCTATTAGTTCTGTCTCTAGAGAACCCTGACCAATACAGTTGCTAATTAGCAGACTGAGACTAGCACTCTGCCTTGATTCATACTCTGTGAATCCCACACTCCACCCCAAAGAAGTTGGGAAACTGACAGGGCCATTTTTTGTTGTCACAATGAATTGGGTGTGATATTTAGTGGTCAGGAGTCACAGATGCTAATTGTCCTGACATCCATGGGATAGTCCCGCACATAAAGAATGCATACATTCCATTAAAATGTCAAGTATTCCACTGGACATTCTGTTAGGTGAAAAATGTGTGTATAAATCTGAGCCTAGAGGTTAACTTCATTTCACACATGAACACAAAGTATTTTTGTAGGAATGCAACTACTGTGCAAATCAAGGGAAAAATAGACTTTGTTTTGATCACAATTTTACTAAGAATTGTTCGCGAATTGCCTAAAAAAAAATCACATGAATAATGGCAACAACACTTCTGGTAATTCAATTGCCAATTCAGCACACCTGTGTCCAGTTCTATTCATAAGCTTTCTCTTTCTCAGTGCAATGCTCTGATTTCTTCATTATGTCCTCTAGGACCAGGCTACTCACAAAGTGTATTCCACGTGCCAACAGCATCAGCATCACCTGGAAGTTTGTGAGAAATGTGAAATCTCAAGGCCCATCCCACACCCACTGAACCAGAATATGCTTTTTAACAGGATCTCTGGATATCTGTATGCACAGTCAAGTTTGAGAAGCACTGTTCCAGTGTATTTCTGTACAAGCATTATATATTAAAAATAAATAGTATTATTTACTTTTACTTCTCTGTTTTATAATTAGAGCATACTGATTTTTTAAATTATGTTTGTAGGTAGATTATCAATAAATGTTAAGTGTAACAAAATATTTGTTTGAAATGGAGGAAATTGGGTGGGAGAGGGTTGAGAATCACCTAGTTGGGACCTGTCCATCTGCCCAGTTATTGATTATCTACTTTCTTGAGCCCACCACCAGCTGAAGACTTGGAGCCACCCCAATTATGGTATCACCATTGATTGAAACTCCTGCTGCTGCCACTCACTAATCAGATGGATCCCCTTCAATAAACACATCAATCCCAGTCAGGAGCAAATCCCAAGACTCAGTGGGATAGAAACTATCTTTTCACTGACAAGCCATCCTCTTTCTCTTAAAGACCAGACTCATAGCCAAGTTATTCCTGCCATGCTACAAAATTTTCTCCCATACCCA
Source organism: Homo sapiens (assembly GCF_000001405.40). NCBI lineage: Eukaryota > Metazoa > Chordata > Mammalia > Primates > Hominidae > Homo > Homo sapiens. The sequence continues at coordinate 23,065,912 of NC_000003.12, forward strand.
TGTACGTTTTCCAACTCCTAATATTCTCTGCAAGTGATCCCACCAGTCATGAAGAAGTTACAGATATAGTCTATTTGCATTCAAACTTGAGGATTCTATGTGAAATTTTCTGAGCTTCTGGAATGTTGTATACACCCACATCCAACTTAACACAAAAGTACTTTTTTTTTTTTGAGATGGAGTATCACTCTGTCACCCAGGCTGGAGTGCAGTGGCGCGATCTCAGCTCACTGCAAGCTCCACCTCCCAGGTTTGTGCCATTCTCCTGCCTCAGCCTCCCGAGTAGCTGGGACTACAGATGCCCATCACCACGCTTGGTTAATTTTTTTTTATTTTTAGTAGAGACGGGGTTTCACCGTGTTAGCCAGCAAAAATACATTTTTTTAAGCAAAATATGAATGATTTGGTGGGGGTGAGAGGAATTGGCACTAATAATGTATTATATGTTATTATTCCTCATTATGGCATAAGCACTCAAAGAATTGTTTATTTCAATTATAAAAGCTGATTGGTACAATCTTAGTTTGAATTACGCCACTGCAAAGAGAATTAGGAACTTAATTATCCAAGTTTCCACTTCACAAATTATCTAGGAAAATCTAATCATTTCTAAATACAGCAAAATTGGATATACATATGATGCATGAAGGAATTATAACTTGCACAAAAGTTTCAGGGGCTCCCATGATGTTAAGATATTTTTAATACTCATCGTATTATTGGGCTTTTTCACGTAGTTCCCATCAATCAAAAGAGAAGTACACAATTTATCAGTATATTTCCTGGTTAGGGGCTTGGTATAAATCATTTACACAGTCACGTTACACAAACTTTTCTTCATTATATACTAGAAATAATTTTTTATTTCAACCATCCTACCCTGAATCACCACCTCCCAACTTGTAGTTTAATAACATGACTTGTTCCATGACACAGCCTATAGACCTTTGAGATAGTACAGACATGAAGCAGGAAGGAGTAGTTTAAAAAGTCAGAAAACTGGTACTTAACCCTTGTGCCAGTTATCAGCTATGTGATTTCAGTCATTATATCAAACTCTGAGAATCAGTTTTCACATCTACAAAAGAAGAGAGTGGACCAAATGCTCTATAGCATTCTTTCCATCTTTAAAATTTTGTGATTATATTCACAGACCAAACACAAGCATGTTCTATAAACTGTAAAACAACTTTATAACATTTTCAATTCAACCTTGATATTAGATCACTTGGTTTTATAAAGGATTATAACTGTTATTGGTTATTGATATGGTTTGGATTTGTGTCTCCATCCAAATCTCATGTCAAAGTGTAATCTCCAGTGTTAGAGGAGGGGCCTGGTAGAATGTGACTGGATCATGGGAACTGACTTCCCCCTTCCTGTTCTCATGATAGTGAGTGAGTTCCCATGGGATCTGGTTATTAAAAATGTGTAGGACCTCCCCCTTCTCTCTTCCTCTTGCTCTGGCCATGTGAGACATGACTCTTTCCTCTTTGCCTTCCACCATGATTGTAAGTTTCCTGAGGCCTCCTCAGCCATGCTTCCTGTATAGCCTGCAGAAACATAAGCCAACTAAACCTCTTTTCTTTATAAATTATACAGTCTCAGATAGTTCTTTATAGCAATATGAGAATGAACCAATACAATTACGTATGTTCATGAAAGGAAGCAATGTCATGCTTAATTTTAAAAACCACATATAATTAATTTCTGTAAGTAATATTTTAACTTTTTTACTCTCCTGACTAAAATCTGTTAGCATTTCTGGCAAACTGGAATTCAGGGAGGCAGAAGTTGAGTTACAAACCCCAGGGCAAAGGAAGGATGCAGAAAGGCAGGGCACTGAAATTGTTAGAGATAAAGCGGGAAAAGCAGTTAATGTAATGGAACTGAACTCAGGTCTGCCCACTCAGCATGGTAATACCAAATATCCACACTGAGGTTTTATAGCAGGAGAAACAAGGGCATTCATTTGCAGGACACCAAGCAAGGAGAATCCGACAGCTCACACTTAAGACCCAACCTCCTGGATGGCTTACAATCAAGGGTTTTTAAAGGCAGATGTAAATTTCAGAAAAGTAGAAGTTACTGGCAAAATCATAAATCAATACATGGAAGTTATACATTGGTTTGGCTTTAAAAGGCAGGATATCTTAAAGCAGGGGAGCTTACTGGTCATGTATATTCAAAGATTCCCTGATTTGCAATTGATTAAGGAAGTAAAGCTTTGTCTAAAAACTTGGGGTCAGTCGAAAGGAATGTTAAGCTCTGGCCTGTGGGCATAACTTCCTCCAGGTCCCTCAGGAAGAAATTGAGAACAAAGAACAGAAGTCAGAGTTCAGTCCTCAGTTCCCCTTTATCTGAGGTCTATGTGCCAATGGATGGCATTTTCTATTTGGTAGGTGTCCAGGTTTCTGAAAAACAACTCAAGGATATGTGTTAAGGTGTTATCTTTAGTTTCTATAGGGAACTAAACATTTTGTGGCTCTAACTTCCTTGGCTATTGTTTCAAGCTATTGTTACCTTCTTGCTTGTCAGGTTGCTCATTTATTTTTCAAAGCTAGCTAGGTACCTGGAATTTTCCTTGAAGAAACTCAAGATTTGCCTTCATTTTTATGCTTGAGCGGGCCCAGCAGGCCCCTCAGAGGAGTCCCTGCTGTGTCTCAGTAACACATACGCAAACAACTTAGGGTTGGCTAAATTTCTAAACTCCGAGGACCTAAATTTGATCAGTTTGAAAGATGACCTTTGTATAGGTTATAATCTAACTTTTTAATAAAACCTTTCTCATAATTTTGCAAGAGAATAAAACCTCATGTTTGCTAAACAGCCTTTGGCAACTTGCCGAAATCTACCGAAATGTAAGGTGTGTATGACCTTTGGCTCAACAGTTCTGCTTCTCCAATTCTATTCAGCAGTAATACTGGCTGATATACAGAAAGATATGTGTTCATTGCAGGGCGATTTGCAATAGAAAAAAAATGGGAGACAACCTATGTAAATTGCTAAGAGCAAGGCAGTGGCTATGTATATCTGGGTTATGAAACACTGTATGAATTTTTATTTTAAAATAATTTCAGATTTACAGAAAAGTTACAAAAATAGTACAAAGAATTCCCATATATCCTTTACACAGATTGTCAAAATTAACATTTTATCACAATTGCTTTATTCGTTTCTCGTTCTCTACATATATATGAATATACATATATAAATATGTGTGTATATGTATATACATATATGTGTATATATATGCATATGTATAATGTAGATATGTGTATATATGTGTGTATATATATATAATATGTATATATACACACACATACACACGTATGCATTAGTCATTTTCAGCAAAATTCATAAACTTTTTTTCTCCTAGTCCAGGACCAGGCATTGCATTTACTCGTCCTGTCTCCTGAGTCTCCCTTAATCTGTAATAGCTCCTTGGTTTTCCTTTTGTATAGAGCACCCTTGACACTAACTGCATCTTACAAAAAGACTCCATTTTATATTTCACAGGGCACCTTGCCAACAAGAATATGATGTTTAGCTTAATAAACAAATAAAAAAACATAAAGACTGCATCCAACCAGGTAAGAGTACAAACAAACACACTCTTACACATTCAGCAGCTCGAAAAGGCCATCTTAACTGACATTGTCTCGCAGCCACTCATGATAAGAACTCGGCGGCCGGGCGCGGTGGCTCACGCCTGTAATCCCAGCACTTTGGGAGGCCGAGGCGGGCGGATCACGAGGTCAGGAGATCGAGACCATCCCGGCTAACACGGTGAAACCCCGTCTCTACTAAAAATACAAAAAATTAGCCGGGCGTGGTAGCGGGCGCCTGTGGTCCCAGCTACTCGGGAGGCTGAGGCAGGAGAATGGCGTGAACCCGGGAGGCGGAGCTTGCAGTGAGCCGAGATCGCGCCACTGCACTCCAGCCTGGGCGACAGAGCGAGACTCCGTCTCAAAAAAAAAAAAAAAGAACTCGGCATCTGCCACAGAAGGCTGTACCACATCAAAGACTCTTCCTTGTGAGACCAACAGACTGCCCTGCCCAGCCCAGCCCAGCCCAGGACTCCTTTTATCTTCTTCACTCATCCTGGACGGTGGTTTACCACCTCTTTCTCCTATCTCTTTTTTCCTGTTGATGTTAAATGTTCTTTGTTTGTTGTGGAATGTTTAATCCATAACATTTATATATTAAGTATACTATTATGTATGGTTTGCAATATTGACTGACTTGTGGAGTGGCTTGAGCCTGTGTGCATGTGGCTCTGACTACTGGGTGAACAGGAAGTGCTAAGGAGAATTGCCTCCTTGGGAATTCTGTGTGGTTTGTGACTCTTTTTTTCTTTTTTTTTTCTTTTTTTTTTTTGAGATGAGTCTCACTCTGTCCCCCAGGCTGGAGTGCAGTGTTGCTATCTCGGCTCACAGCAAGCTGCGCCTCCTGGGTTCACACCATTCTCCTGCCTCAGCCTCCCAAGTAGCTGGGACTACAGGTGCCTGCCACCATGCCCAGCTAATTTTTTGTATTTTTAGTAGAGATGGGGTTTCACCGTGTTAGCCAGGATGGTCTCGATCTCCTGACCTTGTGATCTGCCCGTCTCGGCCTCCCAAGGTGCTGGGATTACAGGCGTGAGCCACCGCCCCCAGCCGGTTTGTGACTCTTGTGATTGAAATAGCATTAATAAAAGCCTGACCTTATGGAAAGACACAAACATGCATAAACCCAGTTATCTCTAACTTTGCAGCGGTCATGACACCATTGTCTTTCATGACTGACTTTTTTTTTTTTTAACCCAGGATCTTACTCTATCCCCCAGGCTGGAGTGCAGTGGTATGATCATATCTCACTGCAGCCTCGAACTCCTTGGCTCAAGTGATCCTCCCACCACAGCCTCCCAAGAAACCAGGACTACAGGCCTGCGCCACCACACCCAGAGACCTTGACATTTTTAAGCAGTACAGGCAACTGGGCACAATGGCTCATGCCTATGATTCCAGCATTTTGGGAAGCCTAGGAGGGAGGATTGCTTGAGCCCAGGAGTTCAAGACCAGCCTGGGCAACATGGTGAGACCCTGTCTCTGCAATAAAAGCATTTAAAAAGTTGCCGGGTGTGGTAGCACACATCTGTGGTCTCAGCAACTCAAGAGGCTGAGGCAGAAGGATAGCTTGAGCCTGGGAGGTTGAGGCTGCAGTGAGCCACAATCACTCCACTGCACTCCAGCCTGGCTGACAGAAAGAGACCCTATCTCTTAAATAAATAGTTCACTCCAATTATTTCTGTAGAATGCCTCCTAATTTGGATGTGTCTGAGGTTTCCTCATATTAGATTACACAGCCATTTCTCATGTAAGTAAATATATATGTAATGACATTCAAGACCTCGAGATATTTTGGTAATAGAAAGGGGGATCATATTTGTCATGGTCGCAGCAGGAAACAGATGGCCCACTCAAAGGATTTAACTGAAACTGTTCTAATGAAGAGACTCTTCACAGGTGTGGACAGAGTCAAAGAAGCAGCAAGAGATTGAGGAAACCCACACAGGATGGTAATACAACAGGGATCAGCACCAGCAGGAAGTTTTACCAGCCTTAAACTGAGAGAATAGTTACAGCTGGAGCTAAGGAAGAGGGGCCACCAGGCAGCAGCTGAAGCCACAGAGGAACATGAGTTGGGACAGGGTCAGGGTTATAAATACCCCAATTTCCTTATTACTCTCCAACCTTACACCAGTGCCTCCCATGAGTCAAAACAAACCAGAAGCAAGAGGAGAAGGAAGCCAAGATAATATAATCCACAGAAGTCAGCTCTCCAGGGCACATTACAGGACAGAAAGGATGGAGAACAGAACCTGAGCAGAGGGACAAATAGAGAACAACCAGCATGACAGCACATTCTAGTGACTGAGGATATGAAACAAGATGTCAACTTGGATTCATCTCATGGTACAGAATTTCCGCTAATGGGCAGGGCTGAAGACAGAGTCACTAAACACTCCATGTTTTTATGTGCACAAAGCAGCCAACACTGAGGCCACCCACCTCCCACAGCCCTTACAAGAGGAAACAAAAATGCAGAAGCAGTCCTACCACCCACCACCACATGACCCTCTTTTAGTCTATGTAAAAAGAGAACTAAGAGGGGAGGAGATCACCAGCCTTAGAATAGCAATTCACAGCAAGAGTCTATTCCCTCTGGTTCCCATGGAGGATTGGGAAAGGATTGCTTCCCTTTCCCCAAAACAAGGTAGGCAATCTCCACTGATGCTCCAAGAGAATCACTTGTAAAGATTTGGGGTGACCGCAAGAATAAAAGACTGGCATTGTATCCCTATATGATGTCTGCTTATCCAGATGACCTGATGATCTGCTCCATGCTACCTACATAGCAAAGAGCAGAGAGAGACGACAAGCAGGAATAGGGGAGGTGCCAGGTGGAAAGAAAGTCAGAATTGCCTCGAGTTCTTGATTTCTGAGAGACATGGAAGATGGGATCCCGCATGTCTGCCAGCTCTGGAGGTGGGTAGTTTCAGCAAGCGGTTGAGACTGAAAGAACCCTTCTTAGAACTACCATAGCTGGGTGTGGCAGAGGAAAAAGATGTGCCCCATCAAAGAATGAGACTGGATATCATCCTTGGCTGGAAGAGATGTCTAAATATGACAAAGGGATACCTATGCCCACCACCGCTGATGGAAACAAGCCTCTCTTAGATGGGGCATATTGATACTTTCACCATCCTCATTGAGCTCACAAAGGCTGGAATAGCAGATACAGTCACCAAGAAAAAGCTGTAAGCAAGCTCCCTTCCCCCACTCCCACATGGACCCAAGTAGCTAGAGCCACACATAGCTCTGCCCTCACTGAGGCTGGGGGGAGACCCTCTCCAAATTGCACTTACGACTGAAGTTTCAAAATAAATACAATGTGAAATACCAAAAATAATACCACTTTAATAGTAACTGAAAGTAACAGGAAAGCTATAGAAAAGGGCTAAGTTTCATTAAGGAACCTACTCACCACCCAACAAAAAAGGGAAACTTAAAATATCACATATGGGAGAAAGTCATTTTTAAGAAATGAAATCATTTCATATTTATGTTCCAATGAATTGTTCTCAATAATTTTCTTCATATTTTAAAAGTTAAATATATGCAAGTAAAAAGAATTGGAAGGCCACATATCAACTGTTAACAGTAATTTCATATACAAAGGGAAGAGATTATGGAAAGTAGCAAGGATTGAAGGTAAAGTTTTCCATCTTATTCTGTCTTCTTTGGCATTTGAAACTTATAAGCATGAATTGTGCATTGCTTATGGAATTATTCTAAGGATAAAACAAAGGGTTTTCTTGTACTTTATCAAGCATTGTGAGCTTCTCAATTATTAGTAATTTATTGTAAGAGTTGGAGGGAATGACACGTGCAAAGCCTTTATCATAAATCCTGGCACAAAAGATTCTCACCTAGTTCCCTTTCCCTGGTCCTCCCATTAATACCATCGTCATTAGTATCCTACACTAACTGTGATGGCCCAAATGTCATTTTATGCTTAAAAAATGAAAACTGTAAGAAATACTGTAAATGCAATTATGCCCTTAATTTTCATTCCCTTTTTAAGAATCCATATTAAAAATTTTCTTCAGAGATGAACTTAGCATTTTTTCAGTGTTTTTAGTATGCTTATACTTACTGAATTTTTCTTATATTCCTTTTGCAGCCTCAAGGTTTTCCTTTCTCCACTTGATTCTGATGTGTCTTTATCGGGATCAACCTCTCCTCTGGGAGGCACCTCTAACGTGCCCCCCAGAAAGGCACAAGTGAAAAACCTCTAGGCAAAAAAAATGTCAATGGCAAAATGTACCAGAAAACCTCAGCAAGTTCTCCCTATGTTCCCATCTCTCATGACCTCATCAGCTTTCACCTGTTCCCTTTCTGGCCCCACATCCAGGTTACACATCTCATACTTTCCCTGATGAGTTGCCAGGGCCACTAAGACAAATCCCAGCATTCCACTCTTTGCACATTATGCAAACATTTACAGAGGGCTTACTAAGCATCAAGGCTATGTTAGGAGTTGGAAGTTTATTCATAACCATGAATACAATATGTTGCCGCACACTCAAACCCCAACCTTCCCATTGCTTATGCAGTTGCAGGTTAGCCAAATCCTGTATTCCAAGCTTAGCATGAATATCATCCCTGGAATTCTAATTTTGTTATTGTTGTTGTTATTGAGGCAGTGTCTTGCTTCGTTGCCCAGGCTGGAGTGCAATGGCACCATCTCAGCTCACTGCAACCTCTGCCTCCCAGGTTCAAACGATTCTCATGACTCAGCCTCCCGAGTAGCTGGAATTACTGGTGCGTGCTACCATGCCTGGCTAATTTTTGTATTTTTAGTAGAGATAGGGTTTTGCTGTGTTGGCCAGGCTGGTCTCAAACTCCTGGCCTCAAGTAATCCACTTGCCTTGGCCTCCCAAAGTGCAGGGGTTACAGGCGTGAGCCACCGCGCCTGGCCCAATTCTTTCTAATTTTCAAAATTGGCTGCTCTGATGATGTTTGCTGTTGAGATTATACTTTATGTTGGTTGGCCAAAAAATTCTAAACTACAGTTTATTTCCTTTATTTTCTGCCTAGGATAACCTACCTCTCTGGGCCATAAAACTTTAACAAAGTCATCTTAATTTTATGAGCAGTGAAAGTTGTTAATCCTGACTTTTGAAAGATGTTTAACACAAAACCAAATTGGACATGAGTGTGGTAGTGGGCCTTGATCCAGTGGGAGACTGACACAACCTTGGGATGCTGTCCCAATTGCCACCAAATGCTGAATGAGTTTATGTCAACTTTACAAGAATTTATCTGGCATAAAGTTTCTTCTGGGATATAAACGGGACAAAAGGTTTACTTCCTATTAAGTATACCACATGTAATTCTATCTCCCTGTAAGGCTACAAAACAGTTTAGGGACTTTAGCTTGAGATAAATGATTTACTGTGATTGTCCCAGCACTCTGCTTATTTATGCTTTTCAGCAAAGTTAATATTATTGTAACAATTCAGATATGAGCACATCTTTAATTAATTCTTCTCTTATCGAAATGAATTTTGATAGAATTGTTTCTCTACATTTGGTTTCTTTTATTTGAGAAGAAAAGAAACACAGTTTCAAAGAAAACAGAATTTAAGGGCTACAAAAGAAGGGAAATGAATACACCTGTGGCATGTGAAACTCACCCCTGAATATAACTATTGGGATCAACTCAAATACTGTGTCTGTTGAAAGAATATCGTTAGAAGTATGCTTGGGAATGAAGAGTCCAGCTTTATTATTTCACAATTTTAGAGACTATGTTTTCTTGATTTTCTATAACAATAAACTGATAACCAAAATTGTAAGTAAGATATTCTGCTATCACATTGATTTACAACTAAAACCAAAAATCTTATATTTAGATAGAGTAGAGCCATGGCAAGTAATCTTGATTTGTTGTTTTAAAACCATTGCTCTTTTTGAATCTTTAAAATCTGTTCCATCCACTCCCCACTCAGCTTGAAGTTGACTTCTTATCCACCCTGTTACTCCCTCCATCTCAACTCACATTCCTTTTATGTATGAAATCATTCAATTCTTGCCCCCCAAGCAACTTCTCACCAAACTATTCTTTAACAGTATTTCAATCCAGCCAGAACAAAATTCCAAGAGAAGGAATGTGACTCCAAGCCAGAAGCTTATCTTTTTATAGAACAGAATAGAATCCACAGCTATTTGACTTGTACTGTATATAGCGCATAGCCAATGTCATGTGCACGAAAGCTTAATAAGACAATTTCATGATGAAATACCCTGGGCAAGAAAGCCACAAGAAAATTCCACAGAAAGCAGCAGGGCCAAATTCTGCAACAAATGTAATTTAGCCCACCAAATTGCAACATGTAATTGAAAGTAGCAGTGAACAACAACAACAACAAAAAAAAAAAAACAGCACAAAATTAATCCTTAAGCACTGTGCTCATGATATTCAATTAAAACATGGAAAATACATATAATAAAATATGCCAGAAGATTAAACTGTTAGCCTTTTCAACACCTATTGTGCTTATCCTAATATGCTTAGTAAGGCATCAGATAGAGGCCCTAATTCATTTGTAGTTCAAGTTACAAACCTAACATCCTGCAAAATTAGACATTAACAAATACGGATGGTTATTTTAACATATTCATGCAGTCAGTGCACATGTGCTGCTATTTCTTTTGACCCCAATAAAAGCACTCCTCTGCTTTGAAAGTATCACTTATTCACAGCATCACTGATTAATAACATTTAAGAAATCATAGAAAACAAAAGAAGTGCCAAAAGAACAAAAGGAGATGGGAGATTGCCAGGTGTTTTTCTAAATTTTTTAAAAGGGCTAAGAGTGGATTCCACAAACTCTAGGCAAATGCTGGCTGATGGAAATATTGTAGCCCCATGTTAAAATGTTAAAAGAACCAGATGAAATTCATTTTAATAGTACATTTTATTTAACTTAACATATCCAAATATTATCATTTCTTCAGGTAATAAATGTAAAAAAAATTATTAATGAGATCTTTTACATATTTTGTCATACTGCATCTTTGAAATCTGATGTGTATTTTATGCTCACACCACATCTTAATTAGGACCAGCCACATTTCAAGTGCGCTGTAGCCACATGGACAGCTTGGCTGTGCAGCTACTGAGCTGTAAGCTACTGACCTTAGCACAAATCTAAAACAGATCATTGTATCCTGGCAAAGCCTGAGGCAAAAGCTTATGTGTTATGACTTTATTAAAGGTGCAATCTCCAGGAAATAGAAACGAGGTGAAGAAGAGTGTAGTGGGAAAGGAAGGAGAGCTATTAGGAGGATGTGTTTCTGAGTTGGCCACTGTTTGGAAACAAGTACAGGTACAACTATTTGTGCCATCTCATACAATCATTTTCTTAGACACATAAGGTACTATGTCTCTGTGGGAGGAAGGACGAATTTATCAGCTAGCTTCTGTCTCACATTGGCCAGTTCACTTCACAGAACATTAATGCCCCCACACTTTCAGGTTGCTTGTACATGATGCTAGTTCAGATCCCACAGAATGTCACATGTTAGAGGCTAGGCAAAAGCCCACAGCAGCAAGAAAAAAATGCAGAGGTGCAGAAAACAGGGCATTACTGGATTATGCCCACGTGAAGCCAGCTGCCATAGCAGATGGGGAAAACAAATGGCCAAGGACCCCACAGACAGGAATGTTAGAGAAGATTTGAGATGGTATAGAAGAAACGTCTTATGCAACCAAGAAAAAATGCAGAAATGACTGAGAGAGACCACTGGTGCACCCAAATACTTCATTTAAGTCATCAGTTAGGTATATCATGTGACAACATGCCTGGACCTCTACCGACCCGTCAGCCACTTAATCTACAAATCTGATTCAGCTTAATTCCTTTCTACAAACCAAACTTTGCCCTAGGTACTCCTCAGAGTTGGGTACTATTCAAGGAACTTAAAGCCCACTAGATCAATAATGCAACATCCAGAGAGCTTTGTCCTAATTCTCTGATTCTAGGACCCAGGTTTGGTTACTGGGCTCCTGCAGTGTTACTTAGTTCTTATTTTTCCTCTGCTCCTTCCTCTTTCCCACGCTGCTGAAGGCCAGTGTCTGTCAGGGCCCATTGGCCTAAAGCTGGGGTTGCTCTACCTGCCTCCCTTCCTTCATTGCTTTATATTACTAAGTCTTTGCTTCCCAGAGCATTGATCTACCTGGAAACCAGACTTGCCTCATTGGGCATTCCTAGAAAGATGTCCCCCTAGTGCATCCCCCATCATGCTGGTCTCCACAAACTATCTTTCTCCAGCATTGCTGGACTTCCACCAACTCCTACAGCTTAATCCAGCTCCCAACTCCACCTACTTCCCCAGTATTCAGTTTACCTTAAAAGAATATCTGTTCTACAGGGTGCAAGGATCTATTGTCTTTGGTCTTTCCTAGCCAAGGCCTTCTCAGTGGGCTTCTGCTAGTCATCCTGCAATTTGCCCATTCCTTCCTCTGGACAGACACGGCCTTGTACCAGGGTTCATGGCTTGGAGAGCAGAAGCACTTGTGTAAGTCCCAACCTGCCCAACTTCACTTTAGGCTTCACTTTTGCTGCCTGGAGCACACTTCCCCCATACTCTTCCAAAGACTTCCAGTCTCGGGGCCGGGGCAGGGTGCAGTGGCTCACACCTGTAATCACAGCACTCCGGGAGGTCAAGGCAGGCAAATCACCTGAGGTCAGCAGTTCGAGACCAGCCAGGCAAACATGTCGAAACCCCATCTCTACTAAAAATACAAAAATTAGCCAGGCATGGTGGCACATGCCTGTAGTTTGAGCTACTCGGGAGGCTGAAGCAAGAGAATTGCTTGAACCCAGGAGGCAGAGGTTGCAGTGAGCCGAGATGGCATCACTGCACTCCAGCCTGGGAGCCTGGGTGACAGAGCAAGACTCCAGCCCAAAAAAAAAAGAAAAAGAAAAAAGAAAAAAAAAACCCAAAGACTTCCAGTCTCTGCTTAAAAGTTTATCCTCAGAGAGGCCTTCTCTCGCCCCCCTCAAAGAAGGCCCTTATTACCATCTCAAAGTACTTATCACAACTGGTATATTACACACCCATTTGCTTATTTACTTACCTGTCTTCCTCTCCAGACTATAAGCTCTGTTAAAGCTGAATTTAACAGTGTATATACAGCCCCCCGTTATAGTGTCAAAATAAATATTGATTGAATAAACAGATGAATGATCTGTTTACCTAGCAATCAAGCTCCTATGTTAAAAATCAAGGAAATGATACAGACCAGGGATCAAGATCTCAAAGAAGTCGGGCAAGTAACATAATTATGTAAGCCACTGGCTTATGATCTCAGAGAGTGTCAGGATTTGGGACAAACTGCAGAAAGTTTACACTTCCTAAAGGCATTCAAATTTAAATTTCAGGCCCGGTTGGGTGGCTCACACCTGTAATCCTAGCACTTTGGGTGGCTGAGGTGGGCAGACTGCCTGAGCTCGGGAGCGCAAGACCAGCCAGGGTAACGTGGTGAAACCTCATCTTTACTAAAATATAAAAAATTATCTGGGCATGGTGGCATGTGCCTGTAGTCTCAGCTACTCAGGAGGCTGAGATAGGAGAATCGCTTGGATCCAAGAGGTGGAGATTGCAGTGAGCCAAGTTCACGCTACTGCACTCCAGCTTGGGTGATAGAGCCAGACCCTGTCTAAAAAAAAAAAAAAAAAAAAAAAAAATTTTAACTTTCAAATACATTCTACTGGCCCAACAGAACTCACCCTGGTCTCAGCATATTGCTTCTGACCAATATTGCATCCTCTTCCTCCAACTCATCAAGTATGATGGCCGGCTTGTGGGCCATGAATTCATGACCCAAGGGACATGGTGCTATCTTTAATTTGCTTATAATAACCTTGTTAGCAAGCTAGTATGAAATTTTACCTCCAGGACTTTGTATATGCTATTCTCTCAATTCCTTTCACATCTGTTCTGTCCAACTTCACTCTGCTCATTTCTGTTCACTCTTAGACCTCAGTTTAAATACTCAGTCTCAAGGAGCCTTTCATGACTGTGTGCCACCCCCTCCGATGTGATCTCAAGGTGACTGCATCCTATTTGCCTGTTTCCCTCCATATCAGGCTTCCCTTAAGGGAAGGGACCAGGACTTGTGCCCTGCTAAATCCCTGGTGCCTAGGACAGTGCTTGGTGTAAAACAGAAGCTCAAAATATTTCCTAGAACTCTAGGGATTCTCAGCTGGTTGAACCCCACTCCTGTAGAAAGCTAAAGAATGGATCCAAATATGGATTAAAGTCTCTAATACTGTGGCACAAGATCCCATCCCATTCAAAATCTTTTGTGAATGACCTGGCTGAAGACAAGCTCTGCTTTGATGTGCAAATATGGAAAGGAGAATCAGTGTATCGGGAAATGGCCAAAGGAGAGAAGACCAGAGAGTGTGGCTGTGGTGAGTGTGGGTTAAGCCTTGATTTTGTAAACCAGTTTGGGTATCTTTGTGAGTGCTAGTGTGGAGGAATTGTAGAAGAGTGTGGGGGAGGAGGCGTGGCTCAAGGTAGGAATGTGCATCTGTCTATTGGATTCACTGACGGGTGGTTTTACAAGCCTGGAGCAGTTCCAGTTGTTTCACTTTTGTTTTGCCAAAAAGTCTATAAGTGCTATTTAAAACGCAGCTTTGCTGACAGGATTCCATAAATCGATCTTTGTGTACCTTTCTCACCCAAGTTCTCAGTTTATAACACCCTTGGTTAGAATACAGCTTCCTCTCTTTCCTCGTTATATGCACATAAATACAACTGATTCATTCTCCTTCTTACATAATCTTACCGATGTTTGCTTTATCCCTGAGCTTGATTCAAAGAATGTCTTTGGGGAGTTCGGGGAGCAGAGCTGAGATAAATGGGGCAAAGGAACCTATGTATTGTAGATGATAGCCATGCTTCTAACACAGTACCTAAAATCTACTCAGTGTACCCCTTCAGAATACAGCTCATCCCTTACTGATGTCTCAACCATTGTTCCATGAATACCTCCCTCCAGGAATCACAACCTATTAATTACTAGTAGGATCCCCCTTAATGCTGGCTGTAGGAAACATTATAAAATTTGAAATGCTACATGCATTTGACCTTATTTCTCACAAAACCCTAATGAAATGGGTACTTATGGCAGACAACATAGGTACCCTCCATATCCACTAGGCCCACGCTGACCATGGCTTGTAGCCACGTGTGGTAACCACTAGCCACACATGGCTACAAGTACTTGACATATAGCTAGTCCAAATCAAGATAAGCTATGAGTCTAAAATACATACTGGACTTCAAAGTCTTAGAAAAAAGAAGTAAAATATCTCAATAATTTTTATATTTTTGCAATCATAGTTTTGATATATTGGATTAAATATGATATGTTATAAAAATTAATTTTTGCCAGGTGCAGTGGCTCACACCTATAATCCAGCACTTTGAGAGGCTGAGGCAGGAGGATAGCTTGAGCCCAGGAGTTTGAGACCAGCCTGAACAACACAATGAGACCCTGTCTCTACAAAAAATGAAAAATTAGCCAGGCATGCTAATATACACCTACAGTCTCAGTTACTTGGGAGGCTGAGATGGGAGGATCACTTGAACCCAGGAGGTTGAGGCTGTAGTAAGCCGTGATCACACCATTACATTCCAGCCCAGGAGGCAGAGTGAGACCCTGTCTCGAAAAAAAAAAAAAAAGAAAGAAAAGAAAAGAAAAAGAAAAAAATGATTTTATCTGCTACTTTTTACTTTTTAAATGCGGCTACTAAAGCACCCTAAAATTACATTTGTGGCATGAATTTGTGGGTGATGTTATATTTCTATTGAACAGTGCTGCATTAGCTATTCACTTCTATACTCTGAAAGCTGCTTACTATGAACATGTTACTCCACGCCAAGGGCCTTGTCCTGGCACCAGATGCATGACTGGCCTATGCAAAAGAGAAGCCAGTGCTGAAGAGTTAATGCACCCAGAAGCAGCCTTCAACCCATGAAGGGAGTTGGTGAGCGAAAGCCCCAGATCCCTTGCCCCTTTGTTGAAATAACTCTAGGTTGCATGTTCCACATCAACTTCCAAGGGTCCCTGGTGGGACTGCTCTCTATCTGCCCATGGTGGTCACTTGCTTAATAACACAACCTTCACTGGCTTTCTTCTCTTTCCTGTCTCATTTCTCTACTCCCCTTCTGGTGGTTCCTAGGATCACCTCTCAAACAATTTGCACTCAAATCCTCCACTGAGTCAGCTTCTGGTGGAACATAGAGTTCTGTAATTTTTTTTTTTTTTTTTTTTTTGAAATGGAGTCTCATTCTGTCACCCAGGCTGGAGTGCAGTGGCACGATCTTGGCTCACTGCAACCTCTGCCTCCCGGGTTCAAGTGATTCTCCTGCCTCCGCCTCCCAAATAGCTGAGATTACAAGTATGCACCACCATGCCTGGCTAATTGTGTGTGTGTGTGTGTGTGTGTTTGTGTGTGTGTGTGCATGCGTCTTTTTAGTAGAGATGGGGTTTCACCATGTTGGCCATACTGGTCTCAAACTCCTGGCCTCAAGTGATCCACCTGCCTTCGCCTCCCAAAGCACCGGGATTACAGGCATGAGCCACCATGCCCAGCCCATAATTATTTTGTATTTGCCTATAAAAGAGACTCAGTCTTAGAGAAGTTTTTAAAAACTTGTCCAAGGTCACGCAGGTTATAAGCAGCAAAGCAAATAATCAAACCTAGGCCTCCCTGACCCCAAAGCCCTCAGCCTCAAGTACTGTCCCATAGGTTCTCCATCTGCAGTGGGATGACCCATCTTTGGTGGGACAGTCAGGAACTAGCTGGTTCAAATGCAGAAGGTCCATGGGACAGGAAAGGAGTCCAAGAACTGCTTTTACACAAAAGTGGAGCATGGTAGGCAGCTTCTACGTTGGCCCCCAGTGATCCTCACCTGCTAATATTCACACTGTCATTTACCCATCTCCCCTTAAGTGTGAGCTAAAGTTACTGACTCACTACTAAACAAATGACTATGGTGGGAGTGAAGGGACACTTGTGTTATAAAAGGCTGTGGCTTCCATGGCTTCCATCTTGGATGCTCTCTGGCTTGCTTGCTAGCTTACTCTTTCCTGGACCCTACTATGTGTTATAGACTGAATTGTGTCCCTCCCCAGGACTAAATTTATATGTTGAAGCCCTAACTCCCAATGTGACGATATTTAGAGATAAGGCCTCTAGGGAGGTAATTAAAGTTAAATGAGATCATGAGAGTGGGGCCTCAATCCAATAGGACTGGTGTCTTTACAAGAAGAAGAAGAGACACCAGAGATCTCTCTCCCACTCTCTCCCTGCCCACCACACAGAGAAAAGGCCACATGAGGACACAGTGACACAAGCCAGAAAGAGAGCTCTCAACAACAACAACAAAAAAATTGTCCTCCATCACCTTGATCACAGACTTCTTGCCTCCAGAACTGTGAGAAAATAAATGCCTAGGCTGGGCACAGTGGCTCACACCTATAATCCCAGCACCTTGGGAGGCTGAGGCAGGTGGATTACTTGAGGCTAGGAGTTCGAGACCAGCCTGGGCAACATGACGATACCCCATCTCTACAAAAAATAAAAAATTAGCCAGGCATGGTGGTGTGTGCCTGTAGTCCCAGCTATTCAGGAGGCTGAAATGAGAGGATCAATTGAGCCCAGTAGGTCACAGGCTGCAGTGAGCCATGATCATGCCACCACACTCCAGCCTGGGTGACACAGTGAAACCCTCTCAATCAATCAATCAATATCTGCTGTTGAAGCCACTCAGACTGTGGTATTTTTTTACAGCAGCCTAAACAGACTAATATACTATGTCATGAGGTAGACCTGTGGAGAGGCCCATTTGGCAGGGGACTACGGCTTTTCAAGAACCCCATGAGTGAGTTTGGAAGCAGATCTCCCTCTGCACAAAACCTTCAGATGAGGCCGTAGTCCTGGTTAACAGATTGACCACCACCTCCTCATGAGGGACCTTGAGGCAGAGACACACAGCTAAGCCACACCCAGATTCCTTACCTACAGAAACTGTGAAATAGTAAATGTTTGCTATAATAAGCTGCTAACTTTTGCTGGTAATTTGTTATGCAACAATACACAACTAATACATGCAAGCAACATGCAATGTCAAGAGGCTAGTTAAAGAGGCTAAGAAGAGTCAGCCCCAAGTGCATTGCAATTAAATAATAATAACAATAATAATAATAAAAGAGCAAGAGCAGGGAGTGGAGAAGTACAGGGTGAAACTAAATGACATAGAGATAAGGAGGCAAAAGCAGGGAACAGCCAGCTCGCGAGGCAAATGGGAGGCTATCTTTGTGAATCCCAGAATTAGAGGTCGTGGATTAGGACTGGAATTCAACATGCTGCAAGCTGAAAGATTTACTTCCAAATATGCATAATCAGTAGGGAAGATAGTATCTAAGTTTGGGTTACCCCAGAAGGAGACGCTGAGATAATGATTCAAGTGAAAGTAGTTAATTTGGAGGTGATCACAGAAAATACCACTGAAAGAATAGGGCAGTGAGGCAGGAAAGAGAAAAAAGCCAATAAAGAAGGTGTTATTGTGCAAAATACCACTGTGGGCAACTAAACTTTAATGCCATTGGGGAAAGGGAATTCTGGGAGATAGGATAGAGCAAGTATCTCAGTTATCTCATCCAGGGGTGAGGGAATTGGGGTATTTATCCACCAACTTTTGCCAGTCATTGGTTGAGGAAGGGCATTAATTCCCAGCACCTATAGCCTATAAAAACAGAGACACTAGCAATTAGAAGTTAGCCAGCATGCCTAGACATAGTAAGTGCCAAGGGAACAGGAGTAAGATTCTGAGATTATCTGCTATATATAGGCCCTTAAAATAGCCTATAATTTTTTAGGTACCAGCTACCTACAATCTACTGAAATGGAATTATTGAAAATTATTGTTATAAAAACCTGTTGAAATAAAAAAAGGTTGCTTTTTAAGAGATCTAACAATAGTGTCTGAGCTCAAATCAGCTCAGTCTCATTCTTGCTTTAAGTCTTGATTTGAGTCAGAAACTGTGAAAAGTTACTTAGCTTCTCTGAGCCTTAGTTCCTTACCTGTAAAATGGACACAATAATTCCTGCTGCACTTGGTAGCTGTGAGATAAAGTGGGGAAAACAGGTAGGATAAAGGCAGATAATCATTTTTTAAAAGAGCTTTTTAAACTTGCAACTATTTGATGATGGCAACTTTGCCTATACGAAGGATTGTTCAAACAAAAGCAATAATACCACTTAAAAGTCAGTATTTAGTATACTTAGGACAAAAAATTCAACAATGCTGACAAGTATCAAACTACTTAACCTATGAGACACTATATAGACAACTACTTCTTGACATTTTCTTTCACATTCCAGTGTTAAAATAACACTAACATTAAAAATGTAATGTTGCTTTCAGGCACATGAAACAAAAAATGTATCATTTCTTTAAACCTGCTTTTTCTATAAAACGTTCTTTATTAAAGCTGTTAATATGTAAAAGAAATACACAATCAAAATGGTGAAATTGACCTAAATAAGTTGGCACCATTAGGTAAAAAATAAACTTTAAATTTTAAAAAGCAAAATAGATAAAATGGAGGAACATCAATCCAAAATTATGATTAATTGTAAAATCATACTAGTACACGCAAAATTTATCAATAAATGTAGTTTACTGATAAATTCCAACCACAAAGGTGATTGGAAGCACCTATTTTTAATGAATTTCCTTCTGGAAAATTCAGAGCTGCAGCCAAACTTAAATTCATGAAAGACTGCCAAACAAGCTAAGCAGGCCTAATTGACCAAAAACAAATAAACACACTCCAAATATCTGAGAACTGAATAGAAACACTGTACATTCTTGTAAGTATCCCAGGCTTTATAAAAATAGTTCCAAAACCCTGAAAATTTCTGATACACACAAATATGTAAGGTCACATAAAAATTAGCAACACTATCATTATGATGCACAAAATTACCAATCTATGACAAACTTCCTTGATGGCAAATATTTATTTTTGGCCAATTTGTTGTTTCAGCGAATTCTTCTGGAGTCTCCAGCACAGTCTGACATGCAGTAGATGTTTGAGAAATGTTAGTTCCCCTCTATCAGTATGTCTGCAGTACTGTTAAAGGAAGAAAATGCCGACAAAGATTTCTGAGACTCATCTCCAAGCCCAAATTATCCCCAAATAGGGCCTTTTGGGAGAAGCCCAATTATGGGAAATCAAACAGGAAGGTTGCTATGAAGTGCTTTGGGGTTGTTCATGGAAAAAAAGAATAACTGAGACAGAGGCAGTGGTTGGACACTAAGAAAGAGCCAATCAATGCATCAAATTGGACAGTGGTCCAATAGTCTAAGTTGTACCCCTCAAAATAATAATAAGGTCTAGGGAGTCCAGAAGCAGAGCTTGGTACAAGCAGACAAAATGGAATGGCTTAGAAGCTAAGTGTGGGAATGCTAAGTATCTCTTGAGGCTTTTTTTTTTTTTTAATTAAACCAGACACAAAACCGGACATGAATCCTTACTAAAGTCAGAAAAGACTGAAAGCCTCTGATGTCAATCACATAAATAATCTTGCAATAGAAAAGGATGACTCAATAGTTCAACACAATTCAACAAAAATATGTCTTTAGAGAAGCCTCAATTTCTTTCACAAGAATTTTGTATTCATCGGAGTTTGATTATTAATTTATCCCAAAGACTTTATCACTAAGAATGAGCTATCCCAGTGAACATAAACAATCTGATTTTAATGGCCTAACTATAAATAACTGCATTAATAAATTACAACTTTGCACTTTAGCTGACTGCCCACTCATTCAGTCTGTCCACAGCTGAATTAAAAGCCACTGAGAATCCACATTTAAAGGCCTAAGACTCCAGTTGCTACGCTTTGAGTGTCCTCTTCCAAAGCTCAACCCCAGGCTCAGCCTGAAACAATTCACCAGCCTCACATTCCTACAAATCCATTCTGTGTTTGGATGTCAGTAGTTCCCACCAAACTCTCTGAATCTATTAATCAAATTCTTTTCACATGGTTAGAGGCAATTCTGTGTGGGGAGCTGTTAAGCAGCTTTGTCTCTCTTCTAGAGATCCACGATTAGTTGTTAAATATCTCAGTCTTGTTAGTCCGCAGTTGCTGGGGTGGTGAGCAGTGGGGCAATAGCGCTACCCCAGACAACAGCTGTGCCACCTTTATTTCAGAAAGCCTATTGCCAAAGTTTTTTCCAAGATGAGGGAAAGGAGAAGATGCTGCTGATTTGGTTCAATGTTTCTCTTAGAATGATTTTATTTGCAAAGCTTTGGTCCAGATTTAGAGAAGATCTCTCCGTTAGTAAAAAAAAAATAATAATAATAACAACAATGACCTTATCCCGGTGGCTGCATTCCATCAAGTTAAGACTTGTAGAGAGCCATGAGGGCATGTCCAGTCTTCAAGTGGACACACTTAGTCCTTGGATGGTTCAGATTGTGTTTACTCAATGGCATCAGTAGTTCCAGGAGGGTCATTGGTCTGCTAAGCAGAACTCTGTGGGCTGAGTGGCTAGTTGTATTTGTTTTGGGTAGTAAGAAAGAAAAGCTTCTATTCAAAATGTATGATTTGTGACCAAAATATTCACATGATCTCAGTCTTGACTACTTTGGCATGAATGAATAATCAAGAATATAAAAACATAGTTCGCCTCCTCAGGACCAGATATTGTTTTATTTATCTTTTTTAATTTTATTATTATTATACTTTAAGTTTTAGGGTACATGTGCACAATGTGCAGGTTTGTTACATATGTGTATATGTGCACAATGTGGTTTGTTACATATGTATACATGTGCCATGTTGGTGTGCTGCACCCATTAACTTGTCATTTACATTAGGTATATCTCCTAGTGCTATCCCTCCCTCCTGCCGCCACCCCACGATGGGCCCTGGGTGTGTGATGTTCCCCTTCCTGTGTCTATGTGTTCTCATTGTTCAATTCCCACCTATGAGTGAGAATATGTGGTGTTTGGTTTTTTGTCCTTGTGATAGTTTGCTGAGAATGATGGTTTCCACTTTCATCCATGTCCCCACAAAGGACATGAACTCATCATTTTTAATTGCTGCATAGTATTCCATGGTGTATATATGCCACATTTTCTTAATCCAGTCTATCATTGTTGGACATTTGGGTTGGTTCCAGGTTTTTGCTATTGTGAATAGTGCCCTAATAAACATACATGTGCGTGTGTCTTTATAGCGGCATGATTTATAATCCTTTGGGTATATACCCAGTAATGGGATGGCTGAGTCAAATGGTATTTCTAGTTGTAGACCCCTGAGGAATTGCCACACTGTCTTCCACAATGGTTGAGCTAGTTTACAGTCCCACCAACAGTGTAAAAGTGTTCCTATTTCTCCACATCCTCCCCAGCACCTGTTGTTTCCTGACTTTTTAATGATCACCATTCTAACTGGTGTGAGATGGTATCTCATTGTGGTTTTGATTTGCATTTCTCTGATGGCCAGTGATGATGAACATTTTTTCATGTGTTTTTTGGCTGTATAAATGTCTTCTTTTGAGAAGTGTCTGTTCATATCCTTCACCCACTTTTGATGGGATTGTTTTTTGCTTGTAAATTTGTTGGAGTTCATTGTAGATTCTGGATATTAGCCCTTTGTCAGATGAGTAGGTTGCGAAAATTTTCTCCCATTTTGTAGGTTGCCTGTTCACTCTGATGGTAGTTTCTTTTGCTGTGCAGAAGTTCTTTAGTTTAATTAGATCCCATTTGTCAATTTTGGCTTTTGTTGCCATTGCTTTGGTGTTTTAGACATGAAGTCCTCGCCCATGCCTATGTCCTGAATGGTATTGCCTAGGTTTTCTTCTAGGGTTTTTATGGCTTTAGGTCTAATACGTAAGTCTTTAATCCATCTTGAATAAATTTTTGTATAAGGTGTAAGGAAGGGATCCAGTTTCAGCTTTCTACATATGGCTAGCCAGTTTTCCCAGCACCATTGATTAAATAGGGAATCCTTTCCCCATTGCTTGTTTTTGTCAGGTTTGTCAAAGATCAGATAGTTGTAGATATGCGGCATTATTTCTGAGGGCTCTGTTCTGTTCCATTGGTCTATATCTCTGTTTTGGTACCAGTACCATGCTGTTTTGGTTACTGTAGCCTTGTAGTATAGTTTGAAGTCAGGTAGTGTGATGCCTCCAGCTTTGTTCTTTTGGCTTAGGATTGACTTGGCGATGTGGGCTCTTTTTTGGTTCCATATGAACTTTAAAGTAGTTTTTTCCAATTCTGTGAAAAAAGTCATTGGTAGCTTGATGGGGATGGCATTGAATCTATAAATTACCTTGGGTGGTATGGCCATTTTCACGATATTGATTCTTCCTACGCGTGAGCATGGAATGTTCTTCCATTTGTTTGTATCCTCTTATTTCATTGAGAAGTGGTTTGTAGTTCTCCTTGAAGAGGTCCTTCACATCCCTTGTAAGTTGGATTCCTAGGTATTTTATTCTCTCTGAAGCAATTGTGAATGGGAGTTCACTCATGATTCAGCTCTCTGTTTGTCTGTTATTGGTGTATAAGAATGCTTGTGATTTTTGCACATTGATTTTGTATCCTGAGACTTTCCTGATGTTGCTTATCAGCTTAAGGAGAATTTGGGCTGACACAATGGGGTTTTCTAGATATACAATCATGTCATCTGCAAACAGGGACAATTTGACTTCCTCTTTCCCTAATTGAATGCCCTTTATTTCCTTCTCCTGCCTGTTTGCCCTGGCCAGAACTTCCAACACTATGTTGAATAGGAGTGGTGAGAGAGGGCATCCCTGTCTTGTGCCAGTTCTCAAAGGGAATGCTTCCAGTTTTTGTCCATTCAGTATGATATTGGCTGTGGGTCTGTCCTAGACAGCTCTTATTATTTTGAGATATGTCCCATCAATACCTAATTTATTGAGAGTTTTTAGCATGAAGGGTTGTTGAATTTTGTCAAAAGCCTTTTCTGCACCTATTGAGATAATCATGTGGTTTTTGTCTTTGGTTCTGTTTATATGCTGGATTACGTTTATTGATTTGCATATGTTGAACAAGCCTTGCATGTCAGGGATGAAGCCCACTTGATCATGGTGGATAAGCTTTTTGATGTGCTGCTGGATTCGGTTTGCCAGTATTTTATTGAGGATTTTGCATCAATGTTCGTCAAGGATATTGGTCTAAAATTCTCTTTTTTGGTTGTGTCTCTGCCAGGCTTTGGTATCAGGATGATGCTGGCCTCATAAAATGAGTTAGGGAGGAATCCCTCTTTTTCTATTGATTGGAATACTTTCAGAAGCAATGGTACCACCTCCTCCTTGTACCTCTGGTAGAATTCGGCTATGAATCCATCTGGTCTTGGACTTTTTTTGGCTGGTAAGCTATTAAATATTGCCTTAATTTCAGAGCCTGTTATTGGTCTAGTCAGAGATTCAACTTCTTCCTGGTTTAGTCTGGGGAGGGTGTATGTGTCGAGGAATTTATCCATTTCTTATAGATTTTCTAGTTTATTTGCATAGAGGTGTTTTTAGTATTCTGTGATGGTAGTTTGTATTTCTGTGGGATCAGTGGTGATATCCCCTTCGTCATTTTTTATTGCGTCTACTTGATTCTTCTCTCTTTTCTTCTTTATTAGTCTTGCTAGCGGTCTATCAATTTTGTTGATCTTTTCAAAAAACCAGCTCCTGGATTCATTGATTTTTTTGAAGGGTTTTCTGTGTCTCTATTTCCTTCAGTTCTGCTCTGATTTTAGTTATTTCTTGCCTTCTGCTAGCTTTTGAATGTGTTTGCTCTTGCTTTTCTAGTTCTTTTAATTGTGATGTTAGCGTGTCAATTTTAGATCTTTCCTGCTTTCTCTTGTGGGCATTTAGTGCTATAAATTTCCCTCTACACACTGCTTTGAATGTGTCCCAGAGATTCTGGTATGTTGTGTCTTTGTTCTCATTGGTTTCAAAGAACATCTTTACTTCCACCTTCATTTTGTTATGTACCCAGTAGTCATTCAGGAGCAGGTTGTTCAGTTTCCATGTAGTTGCATGGTTTTGAGTGAGTTTCTTAATCCTGAGTTCTAGTTTGATTGCACTGTGGTCTGAGAGACAGTTTGTTATAATTTCTGTTCTTTTACATTTGCTGAGGAGTGTTTTACTTCCAACTATGTGGTCAATTTTGGAATAGGTGTGGTGTGGTGCTGAAAAGAATGTATATTCTGTTGATTTGGGGTGGAGAGTTCTGTAGATGTCTATTAGGTCTGTTTGGTGCAGAGCTGAGTTCAATTCCTGGATATCCTTGTGAACTTTCTGTCTCATTGATCTGTCTAATATTGACAGCAGGGTGTTAAAGTCTCCCATTATTATTGTGTGGGAGTCTAAGTCTCTTTGTATGTCACTAAGGACTTGCTTTATGAATCCGGGTGCTCCTATATTGGGTGCATATATATTTAGGATAGTTAGCTCTTCTTGTTGAATTGATCCCTTTACCATTATGTAATGGCCTTCTTTGTCTCTTTTGATCTTTGTTGGTTTAAAGTCTGTTTTATCAGAGACTAGGATTGCAACTGCTGCCTTTTTTTGTTTTCCATTTGCTTGGTAGATCTTCCTCTATCCCTTTATTTTGAGCCTATGTGTGTCTCTGCATGTGAGATGGGTTTCCTGAATACAGCACACTGATGGGTCTTGACTCTTTATCCAATTTGCCAGTCTGTGTCTTTTAATTGGGGCATTTAGCCCATTTACATTTAAGGTTAATATTGTTATGTGTGAACTTGATCCTGTCATTATGATGTTGGCTGGTTATTTTGCTCGTTAGTTGATGGTTTCTTCCTAGCCTTGATGGTCTTTACAATTTGGCATATTTTTGCAGTGGCTGCTACTGGTTGTTCCTTTCCATGTTTGGTGCTTCCTTCAGGAGCTCTTTTAGGGCAGGCCTGCTGGTGACAGAATCTCTCAGCATTTGCTTGTCTGTAAAGGATTTTATTTCTCCTTCACTTATGAAGCTTAGTTTGGCTGGATATGAAATTCTGGGTTGAAAATTCTTTCCTTTAAGAATGTTGAATATTGGTCCCCATTCTCTTCTGGCTTGTAGGGTTTCTGCCGAGAGATCAGGTGTTAGTCTGATGGGCTTCCCTTTTTGGGTGACCTGACCTTTCTCTCTGGCTGCCCTTAACATTTTTTCCTTCATTTCAACTTTGGTGAATCTGACAATTATGTGTCTTGGAGTTGCTCTTCTTGAGGAGTATCTTTGTGGCGTTCTCTGTATTTCCTGAATTTGAATGTTGACCTGCCTTGCTAGATTGGGGAAGTTCTCCTGGATAATATCCTGCAGAGTGTTTTCCAACTTGGTTCCATTCTCCCCATCACTTTCAGGTACACCAATCAGACATAGATTTGGTCTTTTCACATAGTCCCATATTTCTTGGAGGCTTTGTTTGTTTCTTTTTATTCTTGTTTCTCTAAACTTCTCTTCTCGCTTCACTTCATTCATTTCATCTTCCATCACTGATACCCTTTCTTCCAGTTGATCGCATCGGCTACTGAGGCTTGTGCATTTGTCATGTAGTTCTTGTGCTGTGGTTTTCAACTCCATCAGGTCCTTTAAGGACTTCTCTGCATTGGTTATTCTAGTTAGCCATTCGTCTAATTTTTTTTCAAGGTTTTTAACTTCTTTGCCATTGGTTCCAATTTCCTCCTTTAGCTCAGAGTAGTTTGATCTTCTGAAGCCTTCTTCTCTCAACTCGTCAAAGTCATTCTCCATCCAGCTTTGTTCCTTTGCTGGTGATGAGCTGCATTCCTTTGGAGGAGGAGAGGCACTCTGATTTTTAGAGTTTCCGGTTTTTCTGCTCTGTTTTTTCCCCATCTTTGTGGTTTTATCTACCTTTGGTCTTTGATGATGGTGAAGTACAGATGGGTTTTTGGTGTGGATGTCCTTTCTGTTTGTTAGTTTTCCTTCTAACAGTCAGGACCCTCAGCTGCAGGTCTGTTGGAGTTTGCTGGAGGTCCATTCCAGACCCTGTTTGCCTGGATATCAGCAGCGGTGGCTGCAGAACAGTGGATATTGGTGAACTGCAAATGCTGCTGCCTGATCGTTCCTCTGGAAGTTTTGTCTCAGAGGAGTACCCGGCCGTGTGAGGTGTCAGTCTGCCCCTACTGGGAGATGCCTCCCAGTTAGGCTACTTGGGGATCAGGGACCCACTTGAGGAGGCAGTCTGCCCATTCTCAGATCTCAAGCTGCATGCTGGGAGAACCACTACTCTCTTCAAAGCTCTCATACAGGGACATTTAAGTCTGCAGAGGTTACTGCTGCCTTTTGTTTGTCTGTGCCCTGCCCCCAGAGGTGGAGCCTACAGAGGCAGGCAGGCAGGCCTCCTTGAGCTGTGGTGGGCTCCACCCTGTTGGAGCTTCCCAGCCACTTTGTTTACCTACTCAAGCCTAGGCAATGGCGGGCGCCCCTCCCCCAGCCTCACTGCCACCTTGCAGTTTGATCTCAGACCGCTGTGCTAGCAATGAGCGAGGCTCCATGGGCATAGGACCCTCCTAGCCAGGTGTGGGATATAATCTCCTGGTGTGCCGTCTGTTAAGCCCATTGGAAAAGCGTAGTATTAGGGTGGGAGTGACCTGATTTTCCAGGTGCTGTCTATCACCCCTTTCTTTGACTAGGAAAGGGAATTCCCTGACCCCTTGTGCTTCCTGGGTGAGGCAATGCTTCGCCCTGCTTTGGCTCAGGCACGGTGCGCTGCACCCACTGTCCTGTACCCACTGTCCGGCACTCCCCAGTGAGATGAACCCGGTACCTCAGTTGGAAATGCAGAAATCACCCATCTTCTGCGTTGCTCACGCTGGGAGCTGTAGACTGGAGCTGTTCCTATTCAGCCATCTTGGCTCCCCCCCAGATCTTGTTTTAAAACAGTGTTAAGCCACCACACCAAACTTTCTAGCATGCAAAACTATCCCATTTTTATAAAGCCAAATTAACAGCTGACTGACTGTATGCCTCTTCTTAATACACAATGACTTTGACAGTCACAAATGCTTTTTTTCTTTTTTTTTTTTTCTGAGACAGAGTTTTGCGCTTGTTGCCCAGGCTGGAGTACAATGGTGTGATCTCGGCTCACTGCTACCTCTGCCTCCCGGGTTCAAGTGATTCTCCTGCCTCAGCCTCCCAAGCAGCTGGGATTACAGGTGTGCACCACCACACTTGGCTAACTTTGTATTTTCAGTAGAGATGGGATTTCACCATGTTGGCCAGGCCAGTCTCGAACTCCTGACCTCAAGTGATCCACCCACCTCAGCCTCCCGAAGTGCTGAGATTACAGGCATGAGCCACTGCACCCAGCCATCACAAATACTTTTAAGCCCACACTTCCCATCTACAATCTCTGAGATATTAAGCAAGTCACAAACCCCTCTGAGCTTCAGTGTTCTTATTCGTAAACTTGGGATAAGACTCACTTAACAGGTAGTCATTGAATGCCTGATATATGCCATTCATTATTATAGGTGATGGGGATACAGAAGTGAAAAATAAAAATAAAAATTTGAGCCATTATGAAGCTTTGATTTTTCTGCTCCTCAAGATTGTTTGGAGGAGTACAAAAGATAACAAAACAAACATAACATTATTAGTGCATACTAGGTACTCAACGTTAGGTCCTCCAGCTAATCCCCTCGCTCAGCTTTGTTTCACTGTAATAAGTGCTATGGAGAGAGGGAGAAAATGTAGTGAGCCACTTCTGAACTGACTTTAAAAATCGAAAACACAAACCTCATTTAGGCCAATATTTTCTTCAAACTTCAAATTGTGATGTATTAGTGAGTCGTAAAATCAGTTTAGTGGGTTAAGGTCGATATTTTTCTTAAATTAAAAAATAGGATAAAATGGGATAGACTCAAACAGAACAGAATGGGACAGAATGAGGGGATGGGATGGGGTGGGGTGGGACAGGACACGGTGGAATGGGATGAGACGGGATGGATGGGATGAGATAAATGAAAAAATTCTGTTTCAATTGTGAATGTGTGTGCCTGTGTGTGTGCACCTATACACTGGATCAGGATGTAAAATGCATTTCTGACTGTAAGTCACCGTCAAAAATTTTTGAAAGCCACTGACCTATACATGGTTTTAAATTTAAAAAGAGAAATTTTCTGTTTTCACTGTTATCCTCAAATACCTAACTTCTTACCTAGTATTTGCAATGATTACTATAAAAACATGCATACAGATGAATTCGGTTTTCAAGAAAATGAAAAAACGTTCTGTAAAATAGAAAACATTTAGAAGTTCATTCCTACAGTCCTATATATGGTATTTCCCAGAATGACCAGCCCAGAAGTGGAATACATGGAGAAGGAAGGAGGCAAGGGGGTATACTGGTCTCTCTCTAAACACATTTTCAAAAAGGGACACCTTCTCAATAATTTCTAAACTAATATGTTTACAAAATGGTGTTTGGAACTACTATGAAGAAAGATAGAGGGAGATGTGAAAAAGATTGCATAGTGGGAAGACAGGGTAGACGAATGGTGCCGTATTCCTCCCCACCAACTAATGCGACAGGTCTTGCCCAACGCTGTAGACAAAACCACTATGCCCTCCCTCCAGGGAAACTACCTCTGATTTTAGAGCCCTGCATGTCTCTAACCCAGCCCACAGTCACCTAACAGGTGAAGAATAATGGCTCTACACTATGACCACATTTTTCCCATCAGTCTTACTCTCTCACCACTTGTTTACTTTGTGAATCATCCACTATTGTGAACTAAGTGGCTATAAGCCAATCTAGTCATGAGCAACTAGTAGACATTTTGGGAGATATCTACTGCCTCTAAAAAGCAGTTGTTATTCATTTGTGTGTCCTCTCCAAATAATATTTTTAAATGCAAAAAAATAAGATGCATAGGGAATAAAAAGGAAGCCAGTTTGAAATATAATTATTGAAAAAGTTTTAAATATTTGTGATATAAAAATACATAGAATTCTCTACAAATAAATTAAAAATAGACCTAATAATGGGTATACTACAATTATAATTTCAAATAATGACATTAAATGACATGTTATCTGTTATGTGTCATGAAAATAAATATAATATCTGTTCATTACAGTGGAAAGCTAATTAATACCAGAGTGTTTTGTCTCACTAATAATTGAAAGAAGTTCTATATTTCAGCTGGAGTTAATGAAAATAAAAATGTAATTATTTGTCATATCCAAGAACATGAACTCTTTGGATTCTACGTATGCAAAGGGTCCATAGACTGCAGATGAAGAACCCAGATTAGAGGCAGGAGATGGCTCTAAATCTCTCTACAACCTCACTACCAGGTAACAAAAGAGGTACATGTCAGACAGAATCCCGTCATTTAAGTAACAGGCAGGTCCAAAACAATATGTATCCTGTTCTTTAAACCTGATGAAATCCGAGCCCTCTGTCTTTTTAAAGCCTGATAGCACCTTGCAGGAAAGGCTTCCCCAAGCCAAATGTGACAAAATTCTAACACCACAATTTAACTAATCCTCAAGTAGAGTCAGACATCCAAGAATTCTTCAAATTAGTGACTGAGGATAGAACATCTCAGGAATCACACACAGGCACTCTTCAGGGCTGCTGCACACAGTTGTGTTTGTTGAGCATTGCATAACCCTGTAACCAAATGCAGCACCCCTGCTGTCATTCCTAAGGGTACAGACATTCCTAAGGGTGTAGACATTCTCAGGGTATAGCTGGGCTCTCATCCTTCTACCTTGTTCCAAGAGACAATGCTCAAAATATTTAACATCACAAATAGTACCGACCACCCAATCAGAATGGAGGCTGACTATAAACAACTGCAGTCATGTACTGCATAATGCCATTTTGCTCAACAACGGACCGCATATATGACAGTGGTCCCATAAGATTATAATATGGGACCATCATAGCACAACACATTACTCACATGTTTGTGGTGATGCTGGTATAAACAAACCTACTGTGCTGCCAGTCATATGAAGGTCTAGCTCATACAATTATAAACAGCACATAATACTTGATAATAAACAATTATGTCACCGGTTTATGTATTTACCATAATATACTTTATACTTCCATATATGTTATATAATATTCTGTATATATATCTAGAAGGAGCATAAAGTATATTTTATATATAATGTAAAATACATAGATATATAATATATAGGAGTATAAAGTATACATTATATATATACATGTATATGTGTGTGTGTGTACATATATATATGTATTTTTTTTTCACTCTTGTTGCCCAGGCTGGAGTACAATGGGTGTGATCTCGGCTCACTGCAACCTCTGCCTCCCGGGTTCAAGCAATTCTCCTACCTCAGTCTCCTGAGTAGCTGGAATTACAGGAGCCTGCCACCACACCTGGCTAATTTTCTGTATTTTTATTAGAGACGGGGTTTCACCATGTTGGCCAGGCTGGCCTCAAACTCCTGACTTCAGGTGATCTGCCCGCCTCGGCCTCCCAAAGTGCTGGGATTACAGGCATGAGACACTGCACCCGGCTACCTTCTACATATTTTTAAAAATTAACTGTAAAACAGCCTTAGGCAGATCTTTCAGGAGGAATTCCAGAAGAAGGCATTGTTATCATAGGAAATAACAGCTCCATGCGTATTATTGTCCCTGAAGACCTTCCAGTGGGACAAGATGGGAGATGCAAGACAGTGATATTGATGATCCCGACTCCTGTGTAGACCTAGGCTAATGTGTGTGTTTCTTCGTTTTTGATTTAAAAAGTTTAAAATATAAAAAGAATTTTTATGGAAAAATGCTTATAGCATAAGGATATGAAGAAAATACTTTTGTAAAGCTGTAGGATGTGTTTGTGTTTTAAGCCAAGTGTTATTACAAAAGAGTCAAAAACTTTAAAAAATTAAAAAGTTGTAAAAAGTAAAACTGTTATAGTAAGCTAAGGTTAATTTATTATTGAAAAAAGAAAAATATTTTTTATCAATTTAGTATAGTCTAAGTGTTTATAAAGTCCACAGTAGCATGCAGTAATGTCCTAGACCTTCACATTCACTCACCACTCATTCACAGACTCATCCAGAGCAACTTTCAGTCCTGCAAGCTCCATTTATGGTAAGTGCCCAGTTCTAGTGTGCCACTTTTAATCTTTTATACCATCCTTTTACTGTACCTTTCTATGTTTACATATATTTAGGTGCACAAATACTTATCACCGTATTTTAACTGCCTACAACATTCAGTTACAGTAGCATGCTGTATCGGTTTGTAACCTAAGAACAATAGGTTATACTATAAAGCCTAGGTGTGCAGTAGGCTAACCCATCTAGGTTTGTATAAGTACACTCAATGTTTGCAAAAAAACAATGATTTGCAAAAGACAAATGTTTGCAAAAGACAAAATTACCTAATGACAGATTTCTCAGAATGTATCCCTGTCACTAAGTAACGCATGACTGTGATATAGTCATGATAGTATGTCCTAGCTGAATTTCAAACTTGTCTTATTCATGTAAGGGTGGGAGTATCTTCTAGGGCATCCCCATATCTTGACCACTAAATTTCACCAATGAAAGTCCATTTCCAACCTATCATGTACACATTAACAAAGCCTGTAGTATTGATCAGAAATCAACATAAGTAAAATACTCATTTATAGTAACCATTTCTGAAGTGTGGCCTCTTGATTAAATTCTGGTTAATTACTTCTGAAGGGTATAGTCCAACAACCATATTTCGCATATGGATTAAAATGAACACAAATGCAAATATATATCACACAAGCTATACTAAAAGTTTCTCTAAAGAATTATAAACCAGCCAGACGCAGGGGCTCATGCCTGTAATCCTAGCACTTTGGGAGGCTGAGGCAGGTGGATCACCTTTGGTCAAACGTTCAAGACCAGCCTCGCCAATATGGTGAAACCCTATCTCCACTAAAAATACAAAAATTAGCTGGGCATGGTGGCGGGCTCCTGTAATCCCAGTTACTCAGGAGAATGAGGCAGGAGAACCACTTGAACCTGGGAGGTGGAGGTTGCAGTGAGGCGAGATCCCGCCATTGCACTCCAGCCTGGGAAACAGAGCAAAAACTCCATCTCAAAAAAAAAAAAAAAAAAGAAGAAGAACTACAAGCCAGATACTCAATTATCACTACTTTAATAAAAACAATCTATTAGGTGTTTAATATGACAAACTATTTTTGAAGCAAAAAAAAAAATCTCTTACACTTATCATTGGAAGGAATTCAAAGAAAACTTTATTTTTGAGTTTGGGTGCTGCATTTTCCCTCTATTAAATGGCATTTTGCAAGCTTTGGGAAATCCCCAAACTGCCATGAAGTTGTAAAGGAATCAAATCCAGCAGGGAGAGCCTGTCATCCCCTTTATGAAGCATGAAGGGATGTAGTTTTTAAAAGGTTGTCTAGAGAGACTAAAAAAGATCAAATTTAGAGCATGGAAAAATTGTGATGAAAACAGATAGAGATACAGAAGAAAAAGTTGTTGTTCTTTTAAAATGATGAGTTTGAATGTGTGTGAGAGAAAAAGACATTTGTACAGTACAATTTGAGAAGCAGAAAAACATGATGAGTGAGATTGAAAAGGAAGGCATTTGGGCAGAGATAGATTTCTATCTTCCTGCTCTGATATCAAAGCAATCTCGAGCACTTAGATAGTAGTACTACATTCCACTAGGCTGCACCTAGTGAAACTGTTTTTTAAAAAAATCAAAGTCAGGATCATGTGAAAGAAATGTATGAAGGTAAGTACTCAGCCAGCCCAGGAGTCAAAAAATAGCCCAAACAAAATTCTCAAACAACAGTGTAAAAGCTAAAAAAAGAAAATGGCAGCTATAGAAAGGAGAGGTGTACGCCAAACTAGTTCTGATCAAAAAATAATTGTAAATAAACAATGAGATTTCTAATAGCAGATTTACTGAATCATGACCAAAACAAAGACAACTAAGAGTGCCCAGGACTCAACAAACGTTCATGACAATAGTTGAAAACATCATTTTGTTTTCTTCTGGGACGCAGCTTGACTATATTTCCCCGCACCCATTGAGGTACTGTGGGCCAAGTGACTGGGCTCTGACCAATCAACTGTGGATGAAAATAATAACCCTCACTTCAGATCTGACCCACACAAACCATTCATGCACACCTCCACAGTTTTTATTTCATCTTCCACAAGCTTAATGGCTGGAGAAGATTTTGAAGACCTGCAGAAAAGTTGGAGCACAAGGAACCTGGTTTCTGAAAACAACGCATAGAACAAAAGCAGTGCACAAAGATATGGTTACCCATGAACGGGGAGACTATGAGCAACCCTTTGTTCACTTCCCTTCAATTTCCTATACTCCTTTACATTTTTATAATAAGCAAACACTAAGAATATTTTTAATATTTTTCACTTCCTTTTAACTTCCTCTACTTCTCTAAATTTTTATAATAAGCAAACACTAAAAAATATTTTTGTTTTATGATCTAGTAAGTTAATATATTTAAACAAGCAAAAATGTTAACTTTCTAGAAGTAAAATCATTCCTACTTTCTTTTAATAATTCTAGAAGGGCTGGGAATGCTCTCAGCATTCAATAAATGTAGTAAAAAAGAATAAATAGTGTCTTAGTTCGTGCTCGCACTGCTATAAAGAAATATCTGAGACTGGGCAATTATAAAGCAAAGAGGTTTAGTTGGCTCACGGTTCTGCAGGCTGTAGAGGAAGCATACTGGCTTCTGCTTCAGGGGAGGCCTCAGGGAGTTTTTACTCATGGCGGAAGGCAAAGCGAGATCAGGCATCTTACGTGGCGGGAGCAGGACTGAGAGAGGGGAGAGGTGCCACACACTTTTAAACAATCAGATCTCACAATAACACATTCACTCACTATCACCAGAACAGCACCAAAGAGGTGGTGCTAAGTCATTCATGAAGGACCACCGCGTGATCCAATCACATCCCACCAGGCCCCACCTCCAACACTGGGGATTATAATTTGACAGGAGATTTGAGCAGGACACAGATCCAAACCATATCAAATATTTTCTGATATCCTCAACATTTTGCTTATTTGTCAAAGCTTATCTTAAAATGTGACAATCTCAACTAAAATACTTGAGACAAAAAAAAAAATACTGCATACATTCTCCTCATGGTGTGAAGCACCCTGTGCCGACCATCCTTACTGTACATCTATGACTGTTTTCTAAACATAAAGACTGCATTTGAGATGTTTTTCGTTTTTAGAAGGAACATTGCACTGTTGGCTCATATCGGTCTTATAATCATCTAAAACCCTCAAGTCTTTTTCACATAATTTGCTTTCAAGCCTGATTTACCTCACTCTGCACTTGAACAATTGGTTTTATTTACCTCCAAATGCTGGACTTTAAATTGATCCTTGTTAGGCTTTATCTTATTTGTTTTGGTCCATTAGTAGATTCCATTGAGATGCCCTTGAATTCCTGATTCTTCAATGTTGCATATTACTTATCTCTCTGAATATGATAATTTTATTACCTCCTAAGTCTCCAAAGTTAAAGACAAAACTGTTAAATGGGTATGACAGAATTAACGATTCAGATAATACCCTAGCTCCTAGCATCAAAGAGTCAACTGAAGCCTACTTGCTAGTGAGCCACCAACTGCACCATCCACACTAGACACTACCCACTGGTGGGGTGGAAGCTCCAAATACACTTTCTGCTGTATATAGGAAGACTCAAGACTCAGCTTCCTAATCAAAAACTGATGCTTGCATCAACAGGTGCTTTGCCCATTTTTTTTCATTACAAAGTATGAATTTCATTTTTTAAAAATCTATTGTCTCCCTTGATCTGGATTTCTGTTTACCTCATCTGGTTGTGGAATTATTACTACCAATCCGCTAAAAGGTTGAAATCTACATTACTGGGGGTAGAGAAGCTAATGGGTCTCTGACATAATGTTCCATCCGTTCACTTTTATCTACCCTAAGATGAATCAGTGACATGCTCTTAAAGTTTTTGACATTCTCATGCTTTCAACCAGTTCTTCCCTACTGGCCAGGATATAGCAGATTCCCTTATTGCTTCCTCTACCCCATGGAAAAATAGTCAACAAAGCTAAGTAAAAAAATTGTGAGAAGTTACAGGTTACAGAAAAAAACATTTAGGAGATGTCTGAATAATTGGCATCTCATTTTACTCATATTTCTTATTTATCACTTTGGAAATCTCTTCCAATAAGGCCTCACTCAAATTCTCTATTTCTTCTGGGCATCTCTGTATTATACTCCTACATCTCATTATTCCAGGAATGCAGAACCTCACCAGATGGGTGGTGGCAAAATGGAAGAAGACATTCACAATTATGAGCAGCTCTAGCATAATATAAAATAGAGAATGACCAACCATCTTGGCTTGCCTGGGACTTGCAGGGACTTTTAGAACATCGGACTTCCAGTGCTAAAAGTGGGAAAGACCTGCGCAAATTCAGATGAGTTGGTCACTTTAAAATAGTAAACATGCTGTAATCCCAGCATTTTGGGAGGCCAAGGTGGGTGGATCATCTGAGGTGAGGAGTTCGAGACCAGCCTGGCCAACATGGCGAAACCCCGTCTCTACCAAAAACCCAAAAATTAGCCGGGTATGGTGGCGCGTGTCTGTAATCCCAGCTACTCGGGATGCTGAGGCAGGAGAATCACTTGAACCTGGGAGACAGAGGTTGCAGTAAACCAAGATCACACCACTGCACTCCAGCCTGAGCAACAAAGTGAGACTCTGTCTCAAAAACAATAATAATAATACAATAAAATAGTAAACAAATGTGGTATCTACCCTGAAAATCACTAAAAGTTTTCTCTAAATTTCTATTTCCTGAGTTTCACATAGAAGTGTATTTCTCTGTGATTTTGCCTTAAACCACCATAGGAAACAGCATATAGTCCCTGACTAAATGATGGGAAAGGAGTATCTTCGAATACTCATTTTAAACTTACCTAATAATCTTCCTCCCCCCCTCCTTCTTAATCTCTGTGAGCTATAGGTATTAAGACTGAGTGGCCGTTAAAATTTTTTATCAAATCCATCTACTTCTTTCTATCTCCACAAGCACCACCCTAGTTCAAGCCATGATCAGTGAACAGTTGCCTGGATTTATTTCAGCCACTTTTTTTTTTTTTTTTTTTTTTTTTTTGAGACGGAGTCTTGCTCTGTCACCCAGGCTGGAGTGCAGTGGCGCGATCTCAGCTCACTGCAAGCTCCGCCTCCCCAGTTCACGCCATTCTCCTGCCTCAGCCTCCCGTGTAGCTGGGACTACAGGCGCCCGCCACCACGCCTGGCTAATTTTTTGTATTTTTTAGTAGAGACGGGGTTTCACTGTGTTAGCCAGGATGGTCTCCATCTCCTGACCTCGTGATCCGCCCGCCTCGGCCTTCCAAAGTGGTGGGATTACAGGCGTGAGCCACTGCGCCCGGCCTCAGCCACCTTTTACCATACTTTTTCAAGCTATCTATAATGGACAGTTGGTTTTCATTTTTGCTTTTGTTTTGTGTCTCATTTTCAATCCTTTATTAATAAGCACTTTTGTAACATACAATGAAAACATGTTATTAGGAAACTAATCATGCATTTGGTTGTACAACAATGCCAAACTTGCCGTAAAAGTTTCTAAAGGCTTTTTCTCAATTTCTGTACTTACTTCATCATGGGCCAGTAATAAATAGTCTGTGGTCCAGTAGCCGTCTATGGATCACACTCTGAATAACGCTGTTCTAATAGATATCATCACTTCCACCCTGTCCCCTATTCTTCCTATCAAAAACATCTAGAATGATCTTTTAAAATGTAAATTAAATTATGTCAGCCCTCAGCCTATAAAATAACTGAAGAAGAGGGGGATATTAGTAACATAAACTCTGGACTGAACTCTGGAGCCAGACTGCCAGGACTTAAATCTCTGCTCCACAACTTACTAGAGTTTTGTGACCCTGGGCAAGCCACCAAATAGCTATGTGCCCCAGATTCCTCATCTAAAAACTGAGATAACAGCATTTACTTCATAGGGCTACTGTAAGGATTAAACACATAAATTTCTGTAAAGTGATTAGAACAATGTCTAATACATACTAAGCATGTATGCTGCTTCTACTGATATTTATTATTAGCATGGCTGTTAACATCCTACCATTATGAATGTTACAACCTACAAGTCACTCCCTATCTCTCCTGCCTCATCTAAACAACAAGGTGTCAAGCCAGCTCCTACCACACAATAAAGGAGCAATACATTAAAGACCGTTTGTGGTAGATCAGATCATTGTTCAGCAAATATTCACTCCCTTTTCTCTACCTCCATGGGAGACTTTGCACTTGGTCATGTGATTTATTTAGCCAATGGGACATTAGCAAGCATGATGTATGCAGAGGCTGGTGCAGTTGGGCTTCTGCCACCACCCTGAGAACAAGCTCTAGGCAGCCTACTGGCTCCAGAATATTGACAGCAGCATGGATCACACCTGAATGGAGCCTGCAGCCAGAAGCCAAGCCCAGGCAGCCCCAGCTGAGCTCAGCAGAGCAGCCCTGGCCAATCACTGTGTCACTGAAATTTTGTGGGGTTGTTTTGTTTTGTTTTGTTTTGTTTTGTTTTGTTTTGTTACACAGCAAAAGCTAACTGTTCACAGTATCCACCTCTGTTCTTTTTTATTTTAAATTCTTCCCTGCTTATATATACTGTGGTATATTCTGGAGAATTAACACACTAGAAAAACTGCCTATGTATGGCTGCTAGCCCATTCCATGATTTAAAAATCTCAGGAAACTCCTTTTACGCTTTGAGCACTTTACTTCTACCTGTATGTACACATATAATTATACACATATAAATAGTGTATAATTATACATACAGGTAGAAGTAAAGTGCTTTCCTGTTGGAGACCTATATAAAATCAATCCAAAAGCACAGAATTTAGAAGTAGTCCCCTAATTTTCCATCATCTAAGTACTGTAAACTCAGGCTGATATTTATAAGCTGAGTGAAGAATATAAGAAACCATTCCAGGAGACCATTCTTTTATAAGCATAAAAGGAAAAATTAAAATTGTTACCATTTCTGTTTCTTTCCTCCTAGACAATATAAAACAGAAGCTAAATAACCATAGACATCTTAGATCAAATCTAAAATTAATTCTCACACATGCTAGTGATAGTCTAAAAATGCCCACTAATTTCCAATGAGATTAACGTTTGCTGTAATATTCAAATATTGACTTTATATCTCCTGGAATTTTCAAAAATAAATATGTACTCTCGCTCATATCACAGAATTGTAAAACATTTTGGTCTGCATTTTCCTGCAAGGATATAGTAAAATGATTACAGTAATGGTTTCCTAGGCTCCTGCAAACTATTCATCTGGATGTATGTAAATTTGGGTCTAGACTACTACAGTGCATAGATAATTAGCCAATTAATAGCTTTTATGAATGTTATTGTGTGTCAACTGCAAAGGATTTTACTTACTGTAAAAGCTTAGGCTATCACTTCAATTTATTCCCACATGTCAAATAAATAACCATTTGGGAAAACATTTTGAAGTTTGAACTGAGGTAGAAGCTAATGATAGAATGGCTCAATATAGACCCTGTTACTACTTTTCAACCAGGAAATATCCTGTTACTTTAGCCATTGCTTTTTCACCTTGTGAAAACAATGGCAAATTACACAGGATTTGCCCTTGGAGGCAGGAAGTTGGGAGTTGGGCTATTTGAAATTAATACTCCTCACTGTTATAATTCATTGACCTGTATGGAATGAATGCTACAATGGTTTTTTAATCTACACCTTAAAGGTTTTTTTCAGTTTGGCTTTTGGCTTTGACTAAGGTTCATTGGATTTATGTTTGCTTTGTAAAATATACAAAAAATTACTGCACGAAGGTCATCATTGGGCTAGTGGTATAACATCTGTATTGCAACCTATTCAACAATCCATAGCTAAAAAGACAGAACTCATTTTTCCATCCCCCTGAAAGTACATGTCAGTTCTATTCCTCCAATTCTGCAAAAACTAAAACAAGAGTATAGTGGAAGTCTACATCAAAACCCCATTGGAAAAAGTACATTAAGTCTGGAAGCAACTGGTTCCGCTACATAAAAGGCTACCAGAAAAAAAAAAAAAAAAAAGCTGTGGTGATCAAAACATCATAGCTCTTTTAGTCTGGCAAGCAATCCAATTGATTCTGCATATCAGCTTCTACAGCAAGTGAGTTTCCTGGGTTCTGATGCCTGTATTAGTGGAAAAAGAAGTTCTTGGGAGTAATGGTTTATAAAAAGTCTGCATCTAGATCTTTCATAAAACATGGAAACTTATATCATCCATCTTGCCTCCTCTAAGCATAATTCAGAGGTGAATAAGGAAATTATGGGAGAGCGATAAAGCTAGTAATGGAATTTACATATTTTTAAGGACATACTTTGTCAGAAAAAAAAAATGTTCATGATGGAAGTCTTCTCTCCACAAACACACATAAGGTTGAAATGGCTGATTTAAGACACATGTGACAAGATTTTCTAGCATGTAGTATAAAATTATCAATCAAACTGAAAGCTGCAATGACTCTTTAAAACAATTCTTACCAAATATATAGAGATAGTGGAGGGGAGGAGGGAGACGGCAAGAGAGGTTTATTCTTAGAAAAATTGTCCCTATATCTGACAAAGGGAATATGTTGATTGGTAATTCTAAAATGAATGTTTTGTTGAGCAGTAAAATGTGGAAGAAAAGGTGTCAGTGAATCACTCCAGAGAAGGAGACTGAGCCACATAGAGTTGTAGTCTCAGGTTCAACATTGATTGGCTGGTAGACTTTGGGCAGATGAAGAACAAATTGCATTCACATGGAGTTCTACTGTTCAGTAAGTGCTTCTTTTTTTTTTTTTTTTTTTTTTTTTGAGACTGATTCTCACTCTGTCACTCAGGCTGGAGTGCAGTCCCGAGTAGCTTGGACTACAGGCGTCTGCCACCATGCCCGGCTAATTTTGTTTTTTGTATTTTTAGTAGAGGCCGGGTTTCACCATGTTAGCCAGGATGGTCTCAATCTCCCGACCTTGTGATCCGCCCACCTCGGCCTCCCAAACTGCTGGGATTACAGGTGTGAGCCACTGTGCCCGGCCACTGTTCAGTAAGCGCTTCCATATGCATTACCATGATGGATTGTACTCTTGTTCAAAATACTTGCTGCTCCTCCCTGCAGGGAACCCATTCCTCCAGGGCAGATCCTACTTTCCACTCCTTTGATGTCAGTCAGGATTAGCCAGTGACTTCAAGCTGAAGCCTTAAGAGCCAGTATTTGCTTCACGATAATCTCTTTACCCAGGCATCAGCCAGCAATGTTCCAGATAGGAGCTGCTAGGTCAGCCTGGTCCTAAAGAGATCATCAAGGACAGCCACAGCTCACCCACTATAGGCCTGTAGCATAAGCATGAAATAAACCCTGGTTGTAAATCACTGAGATATGGGGGTAATTTGTTACTTAAGAATAACAGCCTAAGCTGACAGTTAGAATCAGACTGATAGAATTTAATTCTCAACTGAGACTCAAAGAAGTTATGTTTTCCATGCTTAAGGGCACCCAAAAAAATAAGCTGATATTCTTTCCCCCTTCCTGGACTGTCTGTGATGTTACCTTTTGGGCCTTCATTTCCTCATCTATATATTGAAAGAGTTGGAATAAATAATCTCTAAAGTTCCTTCCACCCCTAACATTCTATATTCATCTGATTCCTCCTTTCATAGACTCTAGCTTTGCAAAAATTGCTTGGGTAACATGTGCTACTGTTA
This sequence comes from Homo sapiens, assembly GCF_000001405.40. Taxonomy (NCBI): domain Eukaryota; kingdom Metazoa; phylum Chordata; class Mammalia; order Primates; family Hominidae; genus Homo; species Homo sapiens. The sequence continues at coordinate 23,107,379 of NC_000003.12, forward strand.
GTAGTTATATTAGATATATTCTCTTGGACAAGATCCAAAATATTTGCATATTATAAAAAATTCCACAACTATTACAGCAAAGTTCTAGAGCATACTGATTTGCACTGTTTGATACTTTACTTTGTAAATATGTTACTCAGTTTTTTAACATATTTGCATACCATATTTCTGATTAAATTGCAGGATCCTTTGTAAGAAAAAGGTTTTTTCTTTCTTTTACCTTATTTCTTACCATGCCTTAGCATGTTTTAATAGGTGCTTAATGAATGTGCCTCTTCACCAATCAATCTTTTAATTAAAAAATAGAAAACAGGCCACAGTGGCTCATGCCTGTAATCCCAGCATTTTGGGAGGCTGAGGCGGGTGGATCACCTGAGGTTGGGGGTTCGAGATCAGCCTGACCAACATGGAGAAACCCTGTCTCTACTAAAAATACAAAATTAGCCAGGCTTGGTGGCGCACGCCTGTAACCCCAGCTACTCGGGAGGCTGAGGCAGGAGAATCACTTAAACTCGGGAGGAGGAGGTTGCAGTGAGCCAAGATCGTGTCATTGCACTCCAGCCTGGGCAACAAGTGTGAAATTCCATCTCAAAAAAAAAAAATAGAAAACATTTTTGACAAAAGAATAAAACATTGATTGTAAAGATTTTAAAGATGGCAATAAATTTATTTGATATTCCTATTAAGAGGTGGGGTCTAATTCCCCTCTTGTTGAATCTGGGCTGACCTTAGTGACTCACTTGCAAGCAAGAGAATGCAACAAAAGTGATGTTGCATGATTTCTGAGACTAGGTCAGAAAGAATCCTGCAGCTGCCACCTTGTTCATTGGAACACTCACTCTTGGAGCCCAAATATAAAAAGTGCAACTATCCTAACCCACCATGCTATGAGGAAGCCCAAGCCACAGAAGGAGGCCACATGCCAGGCACTCCAGTGGACAGTTCCAGTGGAGCCTGGTTTTCAGGTCATCCCAGCCTAAAAACCAGACACATGATTGAAGAAGCCTCTAGATGATTCTAGCGCTCAGCTATTAACATCACCCCCCACACCCCTATTGTTTGAGTCTTCCTAGCAGAGGTCTCAATCCCATAAAGCAGAGACAAGCAATCCTTTCTCTGCCCTGTATAAACCCCTGACCCATAATATCCATGAATATAATAAAGTGGCTGTTGTTTTACGCCACTAAATTTTGGGAGTGCTTATGCAGCAGTAGATAACTAGAGCATATGTTATCTGTAAAAGTCAGCCTAAGCCACAGTGTTAGCCCAGACAAACACAAAGAAGTGTGTGCAACCACATGTTTCCTGCTTTGTTTATTCTTATTAGGGTATAACAACCTACTGGGGTAAATACCTCCCTAGCAAGAGCAATCTGGAAGATAGGAGTATTAAAACATCAGGCAGAGATACAATCGAATTATTATCAAGCAATTGCGACCTAAAAAGAGTAGGCACTGATTGAATCTCAGCACTTATTACTTCACCTTGCAATTGCAACATAACAAAAACACCAGTCACAGATGCAATCACAAAGACAAGTGGAATCAATACTGACTCTAAAATACATTACAGGCCATTTTTAAATAAATATGTAAAATCTGCTGTAAATTGATTCTAGCTCAGTGTAACAAACTGCTGTAACAAGTTTTACATACAAAGCCTAGAGAAAAGAACAGGGAGGAGCAACCTGAAGCATGCACAGCTTAGAGTGAAGATGTTCTTCCACTTAAACTTCTTGCTCCATGACATGTGGTTGTTCTTTACACTCAACAACAAATTTCACCTTATGGATCTCAAAAGCTCTGCTCCGGGAGAGGACCAACATGTTCAAACAATAACAGCTAGAGAGTTAAAAATAAAGACAAGTGCTCTTTAATCTCAATTCAGTTTCCTAAGAAATCTGTACAGAGGGAGCAATAAACAGTGTTAAGGTTTTTTTTGTTTGTTTGGGCTTGTTTTCAGAGCCAGGTATCATGTTAGTTTATGTGCACTTAACATAGGCTTAATGATATATCTGTGCAGTGTACTTCTCTAGGCACTATGGAGATCAAAAATATGAAAAGCATAGCCCTGGCCAGACATGGTGGCTCACGCCTTGTAATCCCAGCATTTTGGGAGGCCAAAGTGGGTGGATTGCTTGAGCCCAGGAGTTCAAGACCAGCCTGGGCAACATGACAAAACCACATCTCTACAGAAAATACAAAAAACTAGCTGGGTGTGGTGGTGCACGCTTGTAGTCCCAGTTACATGGGAGACTGAGGTGGGAGAATCACCTGAGCCCAGGAAGTCGAGGCTGTAGTGAGCTGTGATTGTACCACTGCACTCCAGCCTGGGTGACAGAATGAGACCCTGTCTCAAAACAATTAAAAAGACAAGAAAAGAAAAGCCTATTCCTTGCCCTCAAAGAGTTACTGTATTAGTGAGGGAGAGATAGGTAGGTCTAAAAGTATTGATTGTACAAAGTAGAAGGTGTTAAGAGCCGAAAGCAAGACCTATTTACTAAACAGAAATGTATATCAAAAAGCTTGGATTTAGGCTGGGCACAGTGGCTCACACCTGTAATACCAGCACTTTGGGAGGCTGAAGTGGGAGGCTCCCTTGAGACCAAGAGTTTGAGACCAGTCTGAACAACACAGCAAGATCCCCATAGCTATTTAAAAAAAAAAAAAAAAAAAACACTTGAATTTGACTTGGACGTTAAGTAATCTAAGTAATACCCTGATATTTTAAATCCATTACTATAAATTCATACATATATACCCCCACTTTCATGCTTCCCTTCTAAAATGGCAGCCTCCTTAGACAAAATAACTTTTGACTACATGTTTTCTTTAAAAAATCCTTCACTATGTCTTTCAAGTACGCTGCCACATAGCAGTCCTCAATATATATTTGTGGAATTAATGAATACAATGTATTTGATGTAAGGTCTGCCACTAGAGAGTAGCAGCTCAAGAGAATTTGGTTCTTAGTGTCCCAGGCTCTTTTTGCTTACATCTGTGGTGTCTGTTGCTTTTGCTCTCATCCCACTTTTAAAAGCTGCTGATATGGTTTTAATGAAACTTGAAGTATTACCTCAAAAATTTTGCATTTTGAGCTTTATCATGAATTTTGTGATAAAAAGGTTTAGTCTTGGCCAGGCGTGGTGGCTCACACCTGTAATCCCAGCACTTTGGGAGGCCGAGGTGGGCGGATCATGAGGTCAGGAGATCGAGACCATCCTGCCCAACATGATGAAATCGCATCTCTACTAAAAATACAAAAATTAGCTGTGTGTGGTGGCACGTGCCTGTAATCTCAGCTACTCAGGAGGCTGAGGCACGAGAATCGCTTGAACCCAGGAGGCAGAGGTTGCAGTGAGCCGAGATCGCGCCACTGCACCCCAGCCTGCCAACAGAGCAAGACTCCATCTCAAAAAAAAAAAAAAAAGAAGAAAGAAAAGAAAGAAAAAAAAAAAGGTTTGCTCCTCTGGGCAAGAAAATGGCCCTTCTCCATGAACTTGAAATCATATAATGGATAGATAATGATATATTTCACCTACAAATGACAGGAGTCCTGGCCTCATTATTCTACCTTCAGCTAGAAAGTAGATTCCCACAGGCATAGGGTGCACGGTCTACCAGCTTTGCAAGGGTCTTTTAAATGTTTGAGATCTGATGAAAGATTTATTGACTCCAAAATATGAAAAGAAACCTGTAAAATCAAAGTAAAAAATGATTAATTAAATGCCTTTGAAGCATAAAGTTAGATTACCTACATGACTGCACATCAGCTTCTACAGTTATGCAAAAATTATATGTAATGTGGGCTATGGCTATCTTTTAATATATTTGAAAGGATATGAACTGTCAGGATACAATGGGAACTGTTCTTTGTCTCCCCAGCTGCCACTCTTTCCACCTTATTTCTCCAGCCCTAGTTTTTCTCTAACACGTCCCTCATTTTGTTCAGATGCTCACCCTTTCGCCCAAGCAGCCATGTGCCGAATTCTATAAATGAACCTTATTGGTGCAACGGTGATAGCACTTTCTCTACCATTAGTTGGTTCTGAAATTGGCATACAACTCAACTCTCACCAACAAGATATGAAAAGAATTCTGCTGGGGGAAGGCGTGTTCTGGAGAAAGTTTGTTTTGTCGTAAAAGAGAGGCAGTCCCTTATGACTGAAGTCTTTTCTGGCTGAACATGATGACTGGAACTACTCCAGACATATTGCTGAAGGCTAAGGAATACTGAGGATGGCAGACTGAAGAGATGGAAAGAACTTGGGTCTTTGATGACATGGTCAAGCTGTTGAATCAACCTACCCTGAAGCCCACCCTACCTCGGAACTTCATGAGATTAAAATGTCCTTTCTGTTTAATCCAGTTTCAGTTAGTGTGTCCTCACCGCTTTACAGGTCCCCTGCTGTCTTAAACAAGGAGCAAACATTCCCCTTCCTGCTTCTCTGTTATCATCTATTTCAGTCATCTTCAGCTCAGAGAAAAAGTTCTTTACTATCACTGGCTGTAAGTCACCCAGGGCAAGAATCACATTATACTGGTTCAGTGTCAGTGAGTGGTACTCATATGATTAGTGGATATCCTTTTTCATATTGCTGCAATATCTTCACTCATGACAATGGCTAGATTCAGCTATGTGGCCGGGCTCAGTCGTTGACATCACTGGACATAATCTGAGGACTATTGGGAAGTCCCATGGATAAAAATACCTCTACTAGATTTTCACCACTAAAGCCAAGTTAGTATAACACGCTAACCAAGACTTTAATTGCTCCTATCTAAATAATCATTTATGAGCCCACCTGGAATTTTGATCTATGGAACTGTGTGATATAATAAATGAGTGTTCTTATAAGCCACTAAGTTTGAAATAATTTGCTACATAGCATTAGAAAAGAAATAAAATATAGTATACATCATGTAAACATTTTAAAAATACACAAAACTGATATCATATATGTTAGGGAATCAGCAAACTGCACCCCCCGGGTATATCAAGCCCATGTCTTGTTTTTTACAGCTCATAAACTAAGATCAGTTTTCACATTTTTAAAGGTTTGTAAAAATTGAAAAAGAAGAATATAGGACAGAGACTGTATGTCATTCACAAAAACTAAAATATGTATTATTGTGCCTTTTACAGAAAAAGTTTGTTGACTCTGCTACATACTGTCTGCTATAGTTTCAGGATGCTGGCTGTGCTGGATGTCTTACACTTGTCCCCTCTGGGTCCATTTCCCAACTTCCTCCTTGCCCAGGCCTGTATGGACTATGTCAGCTGCCTTCTGGCTCCTGGTTGGGTGTGGCCAGTAGGGGCAGGGCCAGGAGACTAAAGGACAGAGGAGAATGAGACTGGGGTGTTGATTTGCCAGCTCCCTCCCTGCAGTGCAGCCTGAGGCAGGTTGTGTCCCTCAACCAAAGGACACAGATCCTGTGAAGACTGCCCACTCTGTGCCATTGTCTCCTCTGGAATCCAGTAACTCTTCTCTCCCTTCTCCCGTTTAGGCCTAGGGGTATTAGCACTCGGATACCCACTGCGATTTCCCTACATTCTGCCCACACCTGTGTAAATGGCATTTTTAATGAATACTCCTCCAAATTATTCACCTCAAGTGTGACATCTGCTCCCCACCAGGATCCTGACTGAAACACCCACAAAATTAATTATAGTGGTTACTTTGGGTGAGAGAGGAAAAAGAACAAGGGATGAGAAACAGAAAGCTTCAACTTGATCTTTAATGCTGGCTCTCTTTCATTTATGGAAGGACTAGAAACAAATATGACAAACTCTTAATAATGGCTGATTCTGGATGGCAAAAACAAAGATCTATCTGGTTTGTTCAGGCATATATATATATATATATATATATATATATATATATATTTACTCTCTCAAAATTAAAAGACTTTCTCAGCCACATTGATTACTGTTTAAGACTACCAGAATCATCTATCTATTAATAAATTAATAAATTCAAATCATAGAGTCTGCCTGACCAGCCCCAGTCTTGCCTGGTTGGCAGGTGAATCTCCTAACTAGTTGCTTTCTTATCACAACTTGTAACAGTCAAATTCCCACTGGCCTTTATGCTCATCACCACCCGAGGCATGAAGCCGCAAAAGCAACACAGCCCAACTGACTCGGTAGCCTGGCGGTCAGCACTTCTCCCAGATGCACTGTTCCATGGCTCCCCTTCTCCCCCGGACCTCCTTTAGTGGGCTCTCTGTGTTGTTTTCGGAATGAAGTAATAAACCGTCACTGCCAGTACTTATAAAATGTTCTGGCTTTATGGGACAGCATCTCCTGCTGCTTTGGGCACAAGTCCAGTTTAAGCAAAGAATCTGGAAGGAGAGCAAAAAGAGTTTTCTAACCATTGCACTAAGGATGGTAGAAAAGAAAAATTAGATTCATGGCAAAAAAAGAAAAAAAGCTCATCTTCAGGACAAATACCAAAAAATGGGACTACTAGCCTGGATCTGACTAAATGAAGTTATAAACATGAAATCCTTGGATTAATCATGAAAGTTTTACATGGGTTAGAAGACACTCCTCCAACACAAACAGCCACAAAAGGCTATGTCATCACTACACCCAAGATGATGAAATACCTGTTCATCACTTCATAGTCATCCTTTCCTTTATATAATCTACTCTGCTCATCTGAATTCTGACTTTTAGGGAAGTGCCTTTTGTGAGTTATGTATGCTCAGTGGTTTTACGTGTACTTCATTTTTTACCAGCTGTGACAAGATTCTTAATCTTCATACAAGAAAAGCCAAGCCCGTGCAAGAACAACCTGTCAGGGATACTTACAGCCTTGTAGTTAACTCTCTCCTGAGTGTGATTTAATCAGCAAGGTACTGCTGACAATGTGTAATAGAACATTGTAAAAGCTACAGGTTAATACCTCCGAGGGTGCCAAAGGAGATGCCATAAAGGATATGGCAGTGAAATGAAAAAATGATTATTATTTAGCATTTATTAATCCTAGGTGGTATGCTAAACTCTAAAGAACATAGCATAGACAGAAGCAGATTGCCTCTGAAGTTCTGTGCTTTCCTCAACAAAAATGGAAGAGACTCTTACAACATTATCTCTAAATGATAATATGAAGTAGAAACAGCTTGAATCCATGGACAATGGCAGAAAAATACCAAAATAAAAGCCAAAAGGATTTTTGATGTGTATGTCCTCCAACCACAATCTGCTTTCATACACAGCACAATCTTGTGTATCTACCAGGAGTCGACAAACTACAGCCTATGGGTTCACCACCTGTTTTTGTAAAGTTTCGTTGGAACACAGCCACATCCATTTGTCTACAAATTGTCTGTGGCTGCTTTTGTTCTACAACAAGAGTTGAGTACTTATGACAGAGACCATATGGCCAGCAAAGCCAAAAATATTACTACTTGGCCCTTTGCAGAAAAGGCTTACTGACCCCTGGTGTTGTTTGAATGGGAGAAAACATGATCTAGACTTATGATTGTCTTGATAGAGTTACTTATCAATGTATTAATTTACAAGTATTCATTCAAAATTAAAATTCAATCTAGCTTCATGAGGCATATATAAAACGCCTATGTTTTTGCATAGTAGAGGAATGCACATACCACAGTGAAAGTTAACACATCACTTTTCCAGAGCAAAAGCACTTCACCTTGATGGAACTGCAGGAGATTCCCACAGAACAAACTAGTTTCCTAGCTAGATCTTTATCTTTGAAAAGGCCAAAGATCTGGATAGTTGAATGGAAGGTAAGATTCTACTAGTTATCATTCTATATAGGATAATGGTCCATGGTTTAATTTCTAGAACCACTCTAAATTAGATTTTAAAACTATTTGGAGCATTAAGACATTTATTGGTTTTATGTTATAGTCCACAAACTCTTGAGAAAAAAAAAAAACCAGTTGCAATCCACTTCCTGATTCTGCGGTTACAGTACATTTCAGCCACATAGTCAACAGTGTGATAAAATCAAATGTCATTTGTTTATTCAGAGACTATAAATGGCTTTCTTGATATGAAAGTAAACATTGTTTGAAAACTTCTAGCCTGAAGGATTGCTTTTTAAGTCTTCTTTGAAGAAATCCTTTTAGCACTCTCCAACAAATGTGGACATCGGAAAACTCCTCATTCATCTGAACAGACCAAGAACAGTGTTTCAATCTTCCAGATGCATGGAAAGAACGTAAATAGCAGTTTTCCAGCACATAGGTGGTGATTCAAATAGATGCTATATTTCATTCCTCAGGAATTGAACTCTATGACTTAATCTTACCTGCTTAACATCCAAAGATCTATGTTAGGGTTTTGGTAGCTTACATATGCTCTCTGTGACAACTGAGTAATATTACAACATCACACAGTTTGAAGAGGGGAAAACATTCAAAACCTTTCAAGCCCAATTACTTCATGAAACTATTTTAAAAATCAGACTGAACCAAATTGCTGTATTTCCAAATATCTTTTTATTTTACAATAATTTTAAAGGATTTCTTTCAATTACTTATACCTTTTACCCCCTGTAACTCTGAACAAAAACACCTTTTCACAAAGAATGATGAGGAAAATATCCAGGCTTATTTAGAGAACTGATAATGGATATCCTTAAGCAGAATCAAAACTAGCCTTAAACAGGGGACTGGGCTTGAGTTCTAGCCCTGGCCTAGGGAACTAATCAGATGAATGTGAATGACCTTGATCAGTTCACTTTCTTCTTTGAGTTTTATTTTCCTCATCTCTAAAAGCAAGTAATTTAAATCAAATTCCCAGAGTACTTCCAGCCCTAATACAATGATGACTAAAGCTTGGCATCTATCATAGTTCTCAGTATAATTACTTCTAACCTTCTTCCAACCTCATTCCGATACATGACAAAATGCCAGGGAGGGGTGGAGAATCACAGTACACCAAACAGGAATTTTATTCTCCCCTTCTAATTTGGAAGGAGTCATCACAATATTGCTAAGCCACAGAGGGGCATTTTCTTTGCCCCTCTTTCAGCACTTCATATAAGATTAGGCATAAGTTCTGTCTTGGTTTCTCTGACTGTATTATTTAAAAGAGTAGAAAAAATGATTTATAAAAATAATTTAGGACTATCTAGAGTTTTATGGATCAACATACTGGCACGTTGCAAAAATAGCTTTAATTACCTAAAGCATGATGTCCAGAGAGCTTTATAACTTGTTCTTAAAAAAGGATGTGGAACTATTGGAACTCTCAGCTATTGCTGATGGAAATACGGTCCCATTTTGGAAAGCTGTTTGGCAGTTTCTTATAAAGTTAAACATACACCCATCTTATGACTCAGACAGAATATGGCTGTTAGAGTTTCACAAAAATATAATATGAAAGTAAATTACAGTACAGCCCTTCAAATAAAAGTTCACAAGGATTCTGAATTTCTTGAAGTAATATTAAGTATCCAAGTATGACAGTGTCACAAACTTACATATTAAGATCCTTCTAAAAAGAACCCAGTCGGCAATCTTTTAGAACATTATTTAGGAAGAATCAAGAATGTGAGAAAATGGATTGATGAACTAAATATTTTAAAGATCAGGTTGGGAAACTTAGGATAACTTAAAACATTCAATGCTTTCTGATATCTAGAAGGACTACCCAAGCAAAAAGAAAATAATTAAGTAGACTTATCTATTCTTTTATATGATGAAAAGCCCTCCAGGAGGTAAGGGGTCCCAGGGAGGAGCTGATAGTATAAGAAGTAATTAAAAGCAACGAAGCACAAACTGCATACTGGTTATTTTCTAGGATTTGTTTTTAACTTTACCTCTGAGCATTAAAGGAAACAAAGAAAATAGTAATATCCCTGGGCAAGAATAATTTCCTACTTTTCAGTAATCTTATGCAGAATAATAAACACAAGGAGGGGCAAGCTTTAATGAGAATGCAAAGATGTTTGACAATTTCTCAGACCCACCAACAACAGCAAAGCCGTGTGAAAAACACAGACAACATCCAAACATTTTAAGCCTCAGTTACCAAGTTTACATGAAATAAATTCCAGACTCCTCACCCAGCTTACAAAGCCCAGTGTGACCTGGCTTTTGTTCCCTTTTCTGCCTCACCTTTGTGCCTTCCTCCTCCTCACCTACTATGTTCGAATTTGTTCCTAGAACTTCCTCTGCTTGGTCCAGCCCCCAGGTTGCACCCACCCTGTCCTCTGCCTGCAGTGCCCTTTTCCTCATCTCGCTTGGCGTTTCTGTTTTTCAGCCTTCAGATTCCTGGAGTGTCCCCTTTCATCACCCAATCTAAAGAAGCCCCTTATCTACATAAATTTCATAATTTTTTTCCTTTTTTAAATTTGCTTATTTTCTCTCTACACCAGCTAGAATGTAAGCTCCATGAAAGCGAGTAACTGATCTCTTTTGTGCTTGGCACTATGAAAGAAAACATTATCGTGAGATTTGTAAAACTGGGAAGGAAGACTTTTTTCAAGATTACTGCAGTAGGGGTTTGCAATAAGGCAGAGAGATGGAACCCAACTCCAAATACAACAAGGACAAGTGGGGATTTGTAACCAAAGACCAGGGTAAAAGTTCAGTGGATGGGCAATTACTGAGAGGAGACATCAAGGGTAGGAGGATTCTTGCTAAGCTGACCTAACAGGATTTTTGTTGAAGGAAGGCCAGGATAGTCAGATACCAAAGGATGAGGGATGACTTAGGACTCTTTGGTATGGCTGGGCTGGGCAGGCCACGGAGAGGACAGTGCCAAGGTTGAGTCTGGTCAAGAAGAGGGCTGAAAGGAGTATAACTAAAGTCTGGTCAAGGGGAGGGTCTTTGTCAGCATATGGGAGGCTCTCAAAAAATACTGACCAACTGGGGCTGAGCACAGTGGCTTACACCTGTAATCCCAGCACTTTGGGAGACCAAGGCAGGCAGGTCAGGAGTTCAAGACCAGCCTGGCCAACATGGTGAAACCCCCATCTCTACTAAAAATACAAAAAGTAGCAAGGCATGGTGGCAGGCACCTATAGTTTCAGCTACTCTGTAGGCTGAGGTGGGAGAATTGCTTGAACCTGGGGGGTGGAGGCTGCAATGAGCTGAGACCAAGCCACTGTACCCTAACCTGGGCAACAAAGCAAGACTCTGTCTCAAGAACAACAGCAACAACAACAACAACAAAATACTGACCAACTGAATGAACAAATTCTCTCCCCCAAAATTAAAGTGATAGATTTGCTATTTAAATTTTTTAATTGCTTCAGTTTTCCATTTTATCTTGCTCCCCAAAACACCAGTAATAATAAGAATAAACAAGAAAATAAACTCTCTACTTTCTTTCAAGGTGAAAAGAGTAAATCTTCATAATTCTTGGTACCTTTTGGCATTTATTTATGCCTCAAAACTTTATTGAGAGTTCACTGTAATGTGCTGATTACTCTTCCAGGCATGCACAGACAAATCCAAAGAAAACATCTCTGCCTTCAAGTTCATTGTCTACTAAGTTCATTGTCACTGTCTACTGTATGATAAATACATAAAGAGATGGGCTATGGAAAAAGAAGCCCTGGTAGCTGAGATGAGAAAAAGGTAGAGAGGGAGCCCTGGCTGGCAATGAGGCAGGAGGAAGAAAGACTCAAGTGGAGAAAAATGTATTGAGAATTTTCCAAATCAAATGCCCTATAGTAAGACTTCCACAAGAAACCCTGCCCATCTTCCACAAAATTACAAACCCCAGGTTATGGTGGGTGTGATTCAATTTGTTAAAGGAACCAGCAAAGGAGTGAGGTTGAGTCAAGAGTTCGTCCAGGGCTTAGACAAAGGGACAGCTGCACTTCTGGGTCATGTTAATGCATGGAAATCATTCTTCTGTGGAAGAAAAACATTTAGTCCAACTGTTTTAGCAGTGATGTTGATGTAAAAAAATAATAATAAATTGCATAGATGTCCATGAGGATATCACTGTAACCCCGATGAATTTAGAGGGATGAGGAAGAAAATGTGCCCCATGTGATGCAGTGCTGCCACAAAATTGCTGATCACATGGACTGCAAGCTCAGTGGCTCTGCAGGAGAGGACAGGTCAAAAGAGGAGAGAGAAAAGTTGAGGCACTCCCCCCTGCTGCTGCTGCTGTTCTGGGCATGCGCCCAGCATCACTTGCACTCTCAGTGAGATGGAGGGTTAACTACAAAACCGAAAATAATATTTGATAATACTTGTGTATTTTTAAAATCTTAATGTGTTTGTTATATTTCCCAATAAATAGACTTTTTTTTAATTTTTAAATTTTATCTCAGGGGTACCATAAACCAAAGCTGACTAGGTGATCCCAAATTGCACCAGCGGAAAGGCTGGCAAAGACAAGACTAGATCAATGTAAGAGAAGTGACATTTGGAGGCAATAATTTCCAACATGTTCATTTAAAAATTGTGCTAATTGGAAGCTCTGCTTCTTCCATGTGAAAGCAACTAATAAGCTGATGACAGCAGAATCAGGCATCAGAACCCCACAAGGAAATTACAGATGTAATAGATACCTCTGGGTGCATATAAGACTTTTAAATCTAAATTGAATCTTTATTTAGAAATCAATTTATGTGGGTAGACTCTTTGCCCAAGGGTATTTGTTTGCTACTTTATGAATGTTTCAAGCCAGCAATTTTTTTCCTAGGTTTATAAATGCCTCTGACTAAATAAAATATGAGGATAGATTTGTATGATAAATATGTTTTTGACATTATCTATTTATTTGTCCATTGAAGTGTACAGACTTTATCTAAACACAGTTATCTATCAGACTATTTATTTTATGAAATAAAATTATCTATAAATGGCTATTTCCCTCTGTGCCCTCTAAAAGAACTAAAATAGTGAAACTTCAATTTATCCCAGAGATTGTGAGGTCAATCTGACCCTACTTCCAAATCAGTTAAAGGCTACTCAGATTTATTTAACCACTATTACACATCACAAAATATTTTACATAATTTAAAGAAAATGAGAGAAAATTTTCTCTAAAGCCTTAGCAATTGGTCCTTTTTAAACTATATTTTCATATCCTGGAAAAAAAATAGGGTCATAATTCAGGCTGAATCAGCCTCTAGACATAGGCTGGTAAAGGAGGAAATGCTCCCTAAATTTGATGGAACCAGGACAGGGGAACTGCCTCCACAAGGGGTGAGCACCAAAGCTGATGGTCAGCAACCCACACTACAGATTCCATAAGAAGAGACTGCACTTACCCGGTTAACATGGATACTCAAAGAGTCTACAGAAGCATTTTCACTTATTAGTGAATGAGGAGGTCAAGGGGTAACAACATCATGAACCCATGTGGTCCATCTGATTTGGGAAAAGATTTCAGCAAATAGCAAGGAGCATGGAGAAGAGAGTCCAGATCTCAGCAAGAACAGATTTATCAGTTGCTGAAATTTAGGGCAAGATTCTAGTCCCAGTAAGTTTCTATCAGGAACCAAGGAATAGACACATTGATACTGGCCAGGCAAGGTTAGTGTAGAGAAACTTGGACATACAGGGATTTGATCATACATAAGCTAAACAACCTCATTGGTAACCACTGGGAAAGGTGGGCTCCTAACTCTAGTCCCTGCCTCCACCAAGTTAAACCCCAAAATTACATAGCGTTATTCAATATGCCTCTTGCATTCCCTGAAATGGTACAACACGTAGACTCGGCAAGATGAAGTGAGGAAAACTCAGCTATCAAAGAGAAAAGTAGCATGGAAATCACCAATGCAACAGCTACATTAAACAATAAGATAACGATGAAACAGTAAATATGTTTTACTAGAATCACAAAAAAATTTGAAGTGATACAGTGTTTTAGTGCCTCACTCACAAATGTCAAGGTTAGAAGCAGGCTTCAAACCCCACTTTCTCTTGATCATCAAGTTTCTTATTTAAGGTTCTTTTTTTCCAGCAAAATCTCCTGCTGTGCTTGAGAATTTCTTAATTACATTTTCAAGTTTTCTGCTATCATGGCAGAACACTACATAAAGTAATTATGGAGCTAATAAAAAGAATGAAAAACTTTTTGTATTTTCCCAAAAGTATACAACAATGCAAAGTTGTAAACACAAACTTAAATGGTTTGCTCCACATTTGTCTCAGCAAATTAAAATGCCATCAACCCTTTATGGAGAAAATGTAGATAGCAAAAATAAAACATAGTAAAATGAAGATTTAGAGACTGAATTTCAATCCAAACTCACTGTGAGATTAATTGAAAGCTAAAATTTGAAAAATCTAAGTAATTTCCAAAATTGATTGGTTTTTTATGATTTAAACTATAGTAAATGTCTGTGGTAAAAAGTTTAGGAAGTGTAGAAAAATATCAAAAAGAATAAATAACACTCAAAAGCCCAATGTTCAAAGTTAGACAAAACTAACATTTGAATATACATTCGTCCAGTCTCTTTCCTAGGCATATAACTGCATTTTTCATATGGAGGAATCATAATACACCAAATTTTTTATAACCTGCTTTTCTCCTTTAATCACAGGCTGTAAAAATTTCATGTTATTGAACGTTCTTTAACAGCATCATTTCATTGCCTCCAAAGTATTTCAAGAATATACTATAATTTTAATAATTCCCTATTGAACATATAGTTTGTTTACAATTTTCTCTTATTGTACAAAATGCTTTCATAAGTTTTCTTTTACATGTATCTTTGTTCACAACCATGACTATTTCCTTAGGTTATATTCTTAAAATTAACATTGCTATATTTAACGATATGCAGATTTAAATCTTTTGCTATACATTGCCAAATTGCTTTCTAAAATGATTGTACCAGTTTATATTTACCCTCCCCTCTTTAACAAGAGAATGTTTATTTCTAGTATTGCTAATAACATCGGCTTCTAATTACCATCAGATTGATAAAGAAAATGGTATTCATTTGTGTTTGCATTTTCCAACTACTAGTCATGCTGTTGCTTTATGCTTATTAGCCATGTAAATTTCTTGTTTTACAACAGTCTATTATATCCATTGTCCATTCTTCTACTGGGCTGCTCAATTTTTTCTTATCATGACAACATCCTAGATTATTAAGCCTTTTTAAGATAATATATTACAGATGTTTTATACAGTGTATCACATTTTAATCATCTTTCTGGTGATTTTTACATACAGAAGATTTCTCATTTCTAAATAGTTAAACCTATTTATTTTTCTTTTATACTATTTGTATGCTAGAAAGGCTTTTCCCACCCCCAAGATCATATAAATACTTACTTATATTCTCTTCTTTAAGTTCTTTAATGAGTTTCATTTTTTTATATTTGGTCCATAATCCATCTGGAATTTACATTAGCATTAGAAGATTCTAACTTTATTCCTTTCCATATACCTAAACACTTGGTCATGTACCTTCTATTTCTGTGGTTTTTCAAATACCTTTTTAAAACACTGGAATGCTTTCTCCAAGCAAAATTATTTTACATGAGATGCCATTATATGTAATACAAATATAAATGGAGCTGTGCTATGAACCAGAGGTAGGGAGAGGGGTACAGGGTAGTGATTTTCTGCATTAGCCTGCAACACTTCACAGAGCACCATTTGCAAATTATTTATTCTTTCCCCAAAGATTTGAAATATCATTGTCATATTGTATTACCTAACTTGGGTCTGCTCTGATCTTTCTGTTCTATTCTGGTCATCTGGTCATCTATGCTTTTAGCAGCAGCCTGTTGTTTCAAGTTATAACTTTAAAATATACTTTCAAATCTGCACTTATACACACACACACACACACACACACACTCACACACCACATTGTTTTTCAAATTTTCTTGATTAATTGTGTCCATTTGCTTTACCAATATGAACTTTTTTTTTTTTCTTGAGATGGAGTTTCATCTTGTTGCCGGGGCTGGAGTGCAATGGCACAATCTCGATCTCGGCTCACTGCAACCTCCACCTCCCGGAGGTTCAAGCGATTCTCCTGCCTCAGCCTCCTGAGTAGTGGAGATTACAGGTTCTCCCCACTATGCTGGGCTAATTTTTGTATTTTAATAGAGATGAGGTTTCACCATGTTGGCCAGTCCATATGAACTTTTTAATTGCTCTTTTTGCCTTATTCACCCCCAAAGCTACCAATTATATTTCAAGAAGATGACATCAAATTTACAAATTGTTGTGGGGTTTGTAGACATCTTAAATTTGAGTATTTTGATCTAAAACTGTAACACTCTTTTCCATATTTCAACTCAGCTTTTCCTTTAAGAAAATTTACATGAATTTTACACATTTCTTATGATGATTCTAACTAGGTATTTTATATGTGTTGTATTATTGTTATTGGAATAATTATAATACATTTCACATCTGGTTATTATCAATTTATAAGAAAACTTTGTTTTTGTTATTCTCTTAATGATTTTAAAATTGTTTTTGCTGATTCTTTGAGGTCAGTAGTCAAATCACCATCAAAGAGTAATCTGTCTTATGTTTCTGATTTCTTTTTGAAATCTAATTGCATAGGCTAAACATTCCAGAAGAATGTTAAATGATACACATGCTAACGAGGACTCTTCTTCGGACCTTGATTTCGACAGGGATGCTTGTATCGTATAAAGTTTATATGATACTATTAAGTATCATATAAACAATTTAAAATAAACATTGCATAACATATTGATAAGGACTTACTTTTCTACCCTAAGTTTTGTAAAGATCTTTTTTTAAAATAGATGTTGATTTTTTCAAGTTCTTTTTCAGCATCTGGCTCTTTTTCTCCTTTCAATTATTAACATGATTAATTACACTGATATATTTTCTCATATCAAGTCATCTCTGAATTTCTGGAAGTTATTGGTTAATCATATATTGTTCCTTTAATATAATGCTAGATTTGATTTGCTAGTATTTTATTTAAGAATTCTGCATCTGTATTTGTAGGAGAAATTAGCTGACAGCATTAGAGTTTTGATACTTTGTTAGGTTTTGGTATTAATGTTACATTAGCTTCATAAAATGATTTAGGAAGCTAAATCTAATATCATGATTTTAATAAAGTATATGCTTCCAGGGTAAATTGCAAACATGGCTCATTATCAGTAAATGATGAACTATTTCATTTACATCAATGAATTCCATAAGATAAAGTTTCCCCAGCAAGGTTAGGCAGTAAATTGTAGTACAGATGATGGTAAAGACTTTGAGTATAGCCAACACAGGGATTTACAGGTAGATTCTACCATTTAAAAAGAATACTGAATTCTAATACTCAAGTTGATACAATTTGCAGGGATAGCATGTTTAGAAGGGTCATAGTGGCATGACCATTTAAAACAGACAAGGTTCACTAAAAGTATCAAAGTGGAAGTCACTATGAAGCAAAGTAGTAAAATGTACATAAGCAAATTCCATTCAGCAAATATTTATTGAGTACAGTTATTTTACCAAATACTTATATACCTGGTATACCAGATACCAGATATTGTCCTAAATGCTGTAAGATATTCCCAAAATCCCACTTGGGATACTTGTTAAAAGCAAGATTCCTGAGACCTGGCCCAGGTTTACTGAATTTGAATTACAGGAGAGGTATCAAGCTTGTTTGTTTTTAATAAGCATCCAGATCATCCTTACCATCAGGAAAGTTTGGGAAACCCTGGGTATAGAAGATTCAGAAATCAATGGGATATCTCTAGTGGCCTCATCAATTGTTGCACTGAGGAGCACTGGTCCTTGGGACATGCACTGGACATCCAAGATCTAGACTTGGAACTCAGCCTCCAAATGAGACTGAGGGGACATCCCTAAGCCACAGACAGGTTTGTAGAAGCCCCTGAATTTCTCCCTAGAGGTGCTTAGGGGTGCAATCTGCTTATTAAGTAGGGGCAAAGGAATTTGTTTTACAAGTTTCTTGCATAGCAAAATCACTCTTTGTATTTGATCGCATGTTTAAGTGGGGTGGCTTTGGGAGACCGATGGAAATTATAGAGAGACTAAAGCCATTCCAAGCCAACATTTGGCACCCTCACTGCTACAGGAGTTGGGCCTTTCTCTCAAAATACATTTTGACCAAAAAAAGCCTGAGTCTTTGTCCTTATTAAAGAAAAGAAAAATGTAAGCCTTCCCCATGGACAGAATTCTGAATGGAAACATGAAGATGCAAGTGAGAGCAATAGCTTGAGAGGTTCATGGAATTTGATTATTTAGGATGGGGAGAATTTAACATGTGCATGGGTAGAGAGAAAAAGAAAAGTCAGGAGAGCAAAATTTTGAAGCTGTGAAAATGAGGGAAGGAATTTGGAGTAGAGCAGAGGAATCAGGACAAGAGTCTGGAGGTAACCAGACTCACTGCTAGGAGCCAGGGTAGGAGGCAGTGAGCAAGACGGAGGAACGTGGGCATATGAGTGTTGTCAAGCTGCCCCTGGCTCTTCTCAGTGTTGGAGCCTTTGCTGACTACTCTGTTTTCTGCTCATGATGTGAACCAATCCTGACTAAGAGAAGAAAATTATTAACAACCTGAGCCTCCAATCAGGACACCTGGAGCTATTCTCCTGGGCATAGATCTGTTCTGAAGTGTGCCCAGGGTAGATACTGGATATCAAAATGACCACCAAGCTTCCACCTTCCCTTATTCAGACTGACTAGCCAATCTCGCGTTCATCTCAGCTACTGCAAATGAGTAAACAGTTGTTCACATTTTGTCTGCCTTTCCTAGGAAACAATAGATCTGGCCAGGCAAGGGGCTAGAGTTACAGCTCCATCAGATCAGTATTGTCAATTGCTTTCATGTATTCTGCACCTTAGGGCCAATGAGCTTATGAAGGAGGCAATCAACATCCTCTTGCAGAGATTTCAGCTGCTCTGTCATAGGGCCACATCCTTGAAAACACCCCTAGAATGGAACAGTGCTTCTCATAGTGCTGTCCTAGGATTAGTAGCATCAGTATCACCTGGGAACTTGTTAAACATGCAAATTCTTCAGCCCCATCCCAGACCCACTGAATCAATAATTCTGCAGGTAAGGCCCAGCGATGTGGATATTAACAAAGCCTCCAGGTGATTCTGATGTGTACTAAATTTTGCAAACCACCATCCTAACAAAAAGGCCAGTTACTGCCAGGTTCTCCTCTCTCTGGCCCTTCTCAGTAGCATCTTGAGGTAATGGCTTCTGTGTCTAAGCTAGCTCACTTGCTCCTTCTCACTCAATTTATTCTCACTGGCTCTGTTTTCTCCTCTACTGGCCTCATCCCTTCATCAGCAGGGTCCGATGGAAGCCCCTGAATTTGGTGTTTCTGGCCAGATTCCGCCTCCTTCTAAAAATTCACAGCCTCAAACTATTATCTTGATGGTGACTATCAACACCACTTTTCTCATGCCTTTATTTCTTCATCCAAGGACTCTAGTTCCCATACAGTTCTATGTAACCCTGCCTTCCTCCTTTCCCCAACTCCTGACAACACATACACTGGGCCCTCTGGAATTTATGAACTATCATCAGCAAAATCCCTAAAACCTCAATCTCATCTCTTAATATTTGCTTCACTTTATTGTTGCAATTTAAGGCTCCAGTTGGGAGTCTCTTAAATGGTGAGCCTCATACCACTGGGCATGAAGTTGGAGTAGGTGTCCCTCATGCTCCTCCTTGCTATTTCCAGCCCATTCTCTCTTCTCTCCTTCTGAAAACTCCCAACTTTGAATCTCATCACCTTCTAACATCCATTTATTCTTCTTATAATAGTCATTTACCCACCTCCAAATCACTCTTACCCACTCCTTGAAGATATTATCTCTGGTTCACAATACTACTATTCTAATTCTTCAGGATTTCCATATTTACACCGGTGATCTTTTCAATAATCTGGTTTCTCAGCTCCTTGATCTCCTTTCCCCCAGTGATCTTATCATCCCCCCTACCTCAGCACTTACTTCCGTGGTCACATCCTGGATCTTATCATCACCAATAACTCATCTCCTCCATGATGACAATTCCAAGCATGTCACTCCCATAGCCGCTTTCCATCTTTCCAGCTCACTTTTAGTCCAATTCCAACAGTGCTTCAACTCCATCAGAACCTCATCTACCTCATGTTGTCATTTTCTTTCCCAACCGGACTAAGATTTTTATCTTCTATCATTTAAATCACTCCCTTGCACACACCCTCAGTTCTCTTGTTCCTCTCTCTCTTCAGACTCCAACTGGAGAAAAATGAAACACTGTTGAAATCCTCCAGAAAGTGAAGGGTAAAAGTATGTCTTCTGCTGAGATTCTTAAGGAACAATAAGGCAGCTAACCTTGAGTATTTCCTTTGAGCTACACATAGTTAAGAGTGTCTTCCATATATTGACTCAATTAATACTCGTAATCCTATGAAGTAGTATTCTGTAATTATTCTATTATTATCTTACTTTACAGATGATATATCTCTCAGAGATAAAGCAACTTGCCCAAGGCCAGACAGGTAGTAAGTGACAAATGCAGAGCTTGAAGCCAGGCAATCTACTTCTAGCACTGAGCTCTTAACCACTCCATGATACTGTCTATGAGAGGATAGATATAGGTAGATGGCATGTCAACATGAAAACTGGGGTAAGCCATCAGGGAACTCACTCTGGGTCTTTCCAATTTTTTTACTTGAAGGAAGAAGTGAGAAGGTCTTCGAAAGTGCTGATCGATAGAAATACAACATGAGCCGCGATGTGAGGCATATTATTAATTTTAAATTTTCTAACAGCCACATTTAAATCACAAAAAGAAACAGGTAAAATTATAATTAAGCCAATCCTGTCAAAAATATAATTTCAATATTATATCACATATCAATTTTGACAATCTTTTACATGTCCTTTATGTCTTAGAAATTCATCATACATTTTAGACTTAGAGTATATCTCCATTTAGACTAGCCATATTTCAAGTGCTCAGTGTCTGCCATACTGGACAGTGCAGTCACTGGTAGGATGAGTGAGAGTAAACTGATAATATGTATGGAGATTAAGCATTTAAGGAGAAACATAAATTACCTGTTGTTTGGTTTATCTTAGGTAGTTTGAAGGAACAAATAACAGGACTGACAAGTAGAAGCCAGATCTATATTGAAATAAGACAATATAAATCTCTATGAGTGTCTATTTATATATGTAATGTATGTATACACTCGCACAAGTATGTTGGGTGCATGCAGATTCAGCATTCATGATTGGTAAGCCAGAAACTAGCATAATTTGATATCAATAGGATTTAACATCTTCCCCCACAAAGTACTTAAGCTACTCAGAATAGAATATAGTCTTCGTTTGGGAATTAATCCCTGGTTGTCTTCTGTCTGTCCATCTCTTCTCTAATTTTCAATCTTGCAGTCCTCATATCCAGTCTTCTTTCCAGTCTAGTACCTCAGACCCCTTTCAGACCTTCCCCTTTCTCTTCACTCTGTTGAATCTCTCCTCAGATTCAGACACCCATGGGTTAACACAGTGATCATAGACTCACTTTGGCCCTGCCCTTGACCTATCCACACCCACACCTTTCCCTCAGCCAGTTTTATTACTAACACGAAACCATGTCCTCCAGAATGACACCAGAGATTTTCCCATTAAGTACCTACAGTCAACACGGCATCCTTGTCTTCCTTTAATTCCCCCCTTCATTGAAATGTTGTCATCTCTTTAGTAGTGAATATTCAGTAAGATCCAGGATCCAGAGGATTGTTTAATTGCCATTTAGGTTAAGAATCACAAAGCAATTTACCTGGCGGCCAGATTGGAAGACAGGAGTTAGAAAGGGAAAGTAAAATGGCTGAAAAAGTTGTATAGCTATAAATATATTTTTATTTTTAAACTATGAAGCAATATAATAGCTATGAAATTGAATCTTCTTCCCTAGGGTAAGTAAGTAACAGAGTATCATAGGCCTTGGCAGGCAGAATAACCCCCTTTTCCAAGCTGGAAGATATCATCCTTTGATCAAAAACATAAGATCCTTTCATTTTCCCCACTATAGTCAGCGCTTCAATTTCAAAGGCCACTCGCTGTTTCTGATCTGTTATTTATCAGTCAGGCAGACTCAACACACATAGAGAAAGCCACTTTGGTAGAAGCTGCTGCCTCCTTTATCACAAATGCAGACTTAAGGATCTTATCCTGCTAAAACTGTACGGCACAACGAAAAAAGGCAGAAGCGGGGGCAGAGGAAAACCAACTTCATGATGGGAAGTTCCAGTTTACTGAGAGGAGCAGAGATGTCAAACATAGCTGAAATATGGAAAGTCGCCTAATGTGGCTGATAAATCCCTTTGTTTCTGAGCCAATGTCACTCCTAATACTGGGATTTCCAAAATAAAAATACCAGGATGCTGTTGGGCAGGTAAAAATATGACATTGCAACCAGGAAGGAAGACAAGTTAATATGTTCAATGACCCTAATACATGTCAGGCACGGTGCAGTCTTTTTAAAACACAGCAAACCTCACAATCCCCTCAGCATGAAGAAAAGGGGGCTTAGAGAAGTTACACATGGTATACTCTTAAGTGAACTGTCATTCAAATCCCTGCTTCTCCCACCCTGAAGCCGAGGCTTTTTCTTTCATTTTCATTGTTTGTTTTCACCTCTATCTCCTATAGCACCCTGCCTCCATAGAAACAGGAGGCGTCTTAGGTGTGTGTTGGTCTGTGGACTGGTTTAGCCAGAAGGACAAGCCCAACCACACAAACATTTGTTTTCACTTTGTCCTTTCTGTGTACATCATAATTGTGCACCCCTCAAAAAAATGTTAGGTTAAATAAACACAGGACACATAAAAACATCTCTGCCTCATCCCCACAACATAAATCATAGTTGCCAAATGTTAAATTTGCTGAATTGGTGGCTCACCGCTCTTAAACTACTAATTTACTCACATGCTTAACTTCAATGGAACCACAGTGTAATGTTCTTCAGGTGATTTTTTTTCAGGGGCACTGATATCACTCAACCATATTATTCATGTAACAATTTTATTCAACAAAGGACAATTAGATAAAGGACAAAAAGGCAAAGGATGGTTGGAATGGAAACATTGGAATCAAGTCAAACAGACTATATACTCCAATAATAAATGTAGTTTCCCCAACTAGTTTTACTTCAGGCTTCTATTACTTCCCCATGTTTCCTTGTGTGATATTATGAAATGCATATTTGGTCTTCTTCCCCATTTCCTGACTTAAGCATTCAAAATCCTTAGAATTCCCAAGAGATAAGAGTATCTTTTGTTAGCCAGGTGTGGTGACTGCTCGCCAGCAGTCCCAACTACTCGGGAGGCTGAGGTAGGAGGATCACTTGATCTAGGAGGTCAAGGCTGCAGCGAGCTGTGGTCATGCCACTGTGCTCCAGCCTGGGCAACAGAGTATCCTGTCTCGGAAAAAAAAAAAAGAAAAATAGTATATTTTGTGTTCTAATGAGATGACTGGTGGTTGGGAGCCCCTAGATTACCTCAGGATGGGGGCTGGTTGCCAAGGGAACCAACTGTGAGATTGGAGGATTGGAACCTTCAGTCCTACTGCCCTCAGGGGGTTTCCACATTGGCAAGCAAGCACTCATCCACACGTGAGGAGGGAGGTGCACCCCCAACTCCATAAGGACAGAAGTTTCTGCACTCAGGAACCTTCTAGACCTTGCACTTTTCTCTTTATCTGGCTATTTGTTTGTATCCTTTAAATTATCCTTTGAAATAAACAGGCAAACATAAGTAAAGTGTTTCCCTGAGTTCTGGGAGCTGCTTTAGCAAATTTATCAAACTGGAGGAGGGGCCCTGGAAATCCGAGTTTATAGCCAGTGGGTCAGAAGTTCCTGAAGCCCAGACTTATGACAGGCTCCTAAAGTGAGGGTCAGTCTTGGGGACCAGGCCCTCAACCTGTGAGACCTGATGCTACCTCCAAGTGGATACTGCCAGAATCGAATTGAATTAGAAGACACCCAGCTGGTGTCTGCTGCAGAACTGATTACTTGCTTGGTATGTGTGGAAAAGCCCCACACATCTGGTCACAGAAGTGTTCTGTGTTGTAAGAGTATAGTAGAAGGAAAAAACAGGTTTTTTTTACGCATTACTTGCATGAATTTTTTGTGAATGAACTTACTTTACTGGGTTTTTTAATTTTAAAATTATTTATAATTTTATAATTATATATAATAAAATTAATTATAAAAATAGCACATACTGTGGAAATATATACTCACTAGATTCTCTGGGTCATGTTTGGTGTGGATTCTTTCACACCTTTTTTCCATACAAACATTTATAATTATACAGAAAGGTTTTCCTCCTTTTTATAAAAAATACTATATACTATTCAGGCCAGGTGCAGTGGCTCACGCCTGTAATCCCAGCACTTTGGGAGGCCGAGGCAGGAGGATCACCTGAGGTTGGGAGTTCAAGACCAGCCTGACCAACATGGAAAAACCCTGTCTCTACTAAAAGTATAAAATTAGCCGGGCGTGGTGGCGCATGCCTGTAATCCCAGATACTCAGGAGGCTGAGACAGGAGAACTGCTTGAACCTGGGAGATGGAGGTTATGGTGAGCCAAGATGGCACCATTGCACTCCAGCCTGGGCAACAAGAGTGAAATTCTGTCTCAAAAAATAATAATAATGAAAATAAAATAAAATATAAAAATTACCATACACTATTCAATAATTTGTATTTTTTTCATTCAGAATATATCATGCACACCCCTCCAGATCAATACATTTAGGTTGACTTATATTCTAAGTAGTTATATCATTTTCCATTATAACTATATCAAAATATATTTATTTCTCTAGAGATGAAGATTTTGGATATTTTCAAGTTTTTGGTAGATGCTTTACTATAATATATACTATTACAACAACTTTCTTGTACACATATTCTTATGTACAGGTAATTAGGGCTACAGCTTATTGTGATATAGCCCTCAAGACAGAGTAATTAACTCAGGGACTATGCACATTTCTTATTAACAATATTGTTGTTGTTGTTGTTGTTGTTGTTGTTGTTATTATTATTTAGAGATTGTCTTACTTCATCACCCGGGCTGGGGTGCAGTGGTATGATCACAGCTCACTATAGCCCTGAACTCCTGGGCTCAAGTGATCCTCCCACCTCAGCCTCCCAAGTAGCTAGGACTACAGACGTGCACCAACAAGCCCAGCTAATATTTGTTTTCTTTTTTTAGCAGAGACAGGGTCTTGCTACGTTGCCCAGGCTTAACAATATTATTGAGACACAGACCTTAAGTGTACAATTTAATCAGTTTTAATGTATGCCCACACAACTGACTGATACCCATATCAAGATATGGAACATTTCCACCATCCAGAAAGTTCTCTCATGCCTCTTTCTAGTCATACAAGTCCCCAAACTGTAGATCATCCACAGATCTAATTTTGTGTGCTTTATTATTTCCTACAAACAAATTATAAAGTTTGCATCTTTTGGTGTTTGGCTTCTTTTGTTCAGTATAATAGCAGTAGTTTATCCATTGTGTTGTACAGATATACCACAATATTCATTTCTTTTAAACTGTATGAATATTCCACAATATATTCAAATATGCTTCTAGTGATGAACATTCAAATTGTTTCTGGTATGTTTTATCACAATAAAAATGTTACGAGAAACTTCCTTGCACTTATGTTCTTAGGTACTAGTACTTATTTCATCACAGGATATAGTCCCTTAAACAGCATTTTTTAATTTTTAAAATTTTTAATTTTTTAAGATACTGCCAGTTGCCTTCTCATTAGGTGACAGCAATTCATACTCCCATCAGCCGATTTCCCCACACTTTAATCGATCTGAAGAAACTCTTTGGATATCAGGGGTATTAACCCCTAAATGTTAAACACTCATTCATGGGAACAGTCACCTATCAAAATATTTAAAATACATGTATTGAGCTGAAACTTTATGTGGACTACTTTGCTGGGCAATGGTGATAAAAAGTTAAATAAGGCCTGATCCTCATCCTCAAGTGGCTTACAAATCAGATAAGAAAAGCAATATGATTAGCAAGGATGAAGGTTTTCATGTGATGCAACAGGAAAGGAGATTTAAGAAAATCATATTGCAAGGTCTGGGAAAGTATGTCTGGGCAAGTGGTTATAAGCGCTACTTTTGAAAAAGTAAGAGAACTTGATGAAGAAAGAAGAAAGTATCCTAGGCAGACAAGTGACTGGGAGAAGCCATCTAGGTATTAAAAAACCCAAATGTCCAGATTACAGGAGACCACAGGGACATGACAATTACATAGAAGGGGTGATCCCTGAGTGATGTGTGTGTGTGCACACACACAAATCACTATAAAAATTAATGAAACTTGAATAAGGTCTATAAAGTAGGTAATACTGTTTTAAGAATGTTACATTTCTTGATTTTGATAACTTCCGTGTGTTTGTATAATATAACTGAATGCTTTTGTTCTTGGGAAATACACACTGAAGAATTTAGAAATACAGGGACATAATGTCTACAACTTACTCTCAAATGGCTCAGAAAACAAATACTAGAGAGATGATGATTGATTAAATAGATAGATAGAATGATAAAACAGATGTGGTAAAATGTTAACAATTGGTGAATCTAGGTGAAAAGTATATGAGGGTTTTTGATAGCAATCTTGCAATTTTTCTGTAAGTTTAAAATTAGTTCAAAATAAAGGTGTTTTGTATTAATACTCAAAACGTAATAATGCCTTCAGTGACCTTAGGTGGTTCTATCTGACTAAAGTGAATCATATAAGATGGAAAGTGGTGAGCTCTGCAGACAGAGAGGCAAGCAAAGGCAAATTCCTGAAGGGCCTTGTTCTAAGCTGAGAAATGTGAACTTCATCCTGAAAGCCAAGTGGAGTGAAGGAATGAAATCCAATTTGCGCTTTTAGAAAGATACCTTTAGTAGCCTTGTGGGACCAAATGAGAGGCAAGAAGCCGGGTAGGAGGCTGCCACTATAATTCAGACAAGTGGTTCTCTTCGCCATCTTTTCTCCTCCTGTGGAGTCGCCGCTTTTAAGCTAGAGCAGTTGAAGGTCAAGCCGTGCAGTTTCAGCAGGTACAAGATCTTCCCCGGACACGGGAGGCACTACACCGGGACGGACGAGAAGGTTTTCCAGTTTCTTAATGCATTTATTTCCAAGAGGAATCCTCAGCAAATAAATTGGAGTATCCTCTACAGAAGGAAGCCCGAAAAGGGACAGTCGGAAGAAATTCAAAAGAAAAGAACCTGCCGAGCAGTCAAATTCCAGATAGCCATTTACGGGTGCGTCTCTTGCTGACATCATGGCCAAGAGGAATCAGAAATAAATGGCTCAACGAGAACAAGCTATCAGGGCTGCTAAGGAAGCACAAAAGGCTAAGCAAGCATCTAAAAAGACTGCAATGGCTGCTGCTAAGGCACCTACAAAGGCAGCACCTGAACAAAAGATTGTGAAGCCTGTGACAATTTCAGCTCCCTGAGTTGGTGGAAAACCTTAAGCTGGCACATCAGATTTTTAAATAAAGATTGGACTGTAACTCTTAAAACAATAATAATTCAGACAAGTGAAAGCCTCACCAAGGCAATGGCTGTGAGGATGGAGACAAGGGGACAATGTCCAAATATATTAAGATTCTGCATAACCTAGAAGTGAAGGATGTGGGATGATTCTGAGTTGGGAACTGGTTAAGTGCTGGTGCAAGTTACCAAAATAAAAAATACAGACAAAGAAGGGAGCTCAGGAAGAAAGATGATGGGTTCTGGGTTTACTACATGGAATTTGAAGGACACGTAGAAAATTCAAGGGGAGGCCTCTAGAGCTTAGCAATGGAATCTGAATAGGAGATACTAACTCGAACATCATCTGCAGGTAGGTGATTTGGGCTGTGATAAAGGACCGGTTCTTAGGGCTTTTTGCCTATTTCGCCACTACCAAAGTAACATTTTCTGAGGACACCTGACTTTTAAAAGGAGGCTAAGAATAAAAAGTTGTTATCTGACTGTCTTAGTCCATTTGTGCTGCCATAACAGATACCACCGCCTGCATAATTTATAAAGAACAGAAATTTCTGCATAATTTATAAAGAACAGTTCAAGAGGCCAGGAAGTCCAAGATCAAGGCACTGACAGGTTGAATGTCTGGTGAGGGCTGCTGTCTGCTTCCAAGATGGCAACTTATTGCTGCATCCTCTAGAGGGAAGAAACACTGAATCCTCATATGTCAGAAAAATGGAAGATCAAGGGAGCTGAATGAGCCTTTTTTTTTTTTTTTTGACCGGAGTGCAGTGGCGCAATCTCAGCTCACTGCAACCTCTGCCTCCGGGATTCAAGCAATTCTCCTCTGCCTCAGGCTCCTGAGTAGCTGGGACTACAGTCGCGCGCCACCTCACCTAGCTAATTTTTGTATTTTTAGTAGAGTTGGGGTTTCACCATGTTGGCCAAGATGGTCTCGATCTCTTGACCTCGTGATCCACCCGCCTCGGGCTTCCAAAGTGCTGGGATTACAGGCGTAAGCCACCACGCCCAGCCTGCATGATCCTCTTTTAAAGGGGCTTTAGTCCTATTCATGAGGGGAGGAGTCCTTATGACCTAATAACCTCTTAGAGGCCCTGCTTCTTAATATTACCACATTGGCAACCCTTGAATTTGAGGGCACACATTCAAACCATAGCACCTACAATACCTGGAATGTCTTCTTCCAAGTACCTGCAGAAATACACTCACCCCCTACCAACAAAATCCCCCCTCCACACACACACACACACACACAACTGCTCTAGCTTAAAAGATTATGTTTCATAATATAGAGATATTTCCACTAAATGAAGCAGTAGTAGGCTGGAGTGCAAAATGCAGCCACAGCTCACTGCACCAGCTAATCCAGAAGAGCATGCTAGTTCCGAAGAAGAGAAAATTTCTGACTCATCTTCACCATTCCCCATTAGCTCAGTCAGGGCCATCATAGACCTAAGAATTATCCAGCCACACCCCTAACACCCATCACTACCACCACCTAGCAAAACTATTTCCTGAACCTGCCTGTGTTATACCCCATTTTCTGATGACAACAAGGAGGAAAAGGAGTAAGGGAAACAAAAGAGATGAAGACAATAATTACCAGCAACCGGAAGTCAAGGGAAGATATCTACCCAATTCTAGATATTTCTAGAATTCTAAACAGACAGTTCTAAAATATTTGTAGTTTATGGAACCAACAACGGAGACGAGAATTGAATATATAAAAACTTATGGGATTTAATCATGGTTGTGGTAAGAATTAAAGCCATCGCTCTTTAAACAGTTTATTTTAAAAAAAGAAAATGCATTCAAATCAAGAAAGTGAGGGGAAAAAACCTACAGGAAAAAGAATTCCCAAGGAAGGCAAGAGGAAAAGAATATTGAACATAAAAATACATATAAAATAACTAAGGAAAAAGACAGAAAGATAATAGAACTTGCAAGTAAATCTAAGAGTTTTAGTTTTAAATATAAAAATCAATGACAGTTCAAACTCTGACAAGATAATTAGGCAAACCAACACAAAAGATGGCAAAATCAGACATACTATTTACAAATAATATAGGGAATATAAAAACTGTAAAGGTTTTCTTTAATTCTAAGCAAATTTTATCCAATCCAAAGCTAATACAATTGAAAAGCTTAAGAAAATACATAATTTTCCAGAAGTATATGTAGTTGACTCAAAAAGAAGAAAACCTGAATGAACCAAATAAATAGAATAAATTAAATAAATTATGACAGATACCTCTTAAAAAAAATAAGTCTCTAGACCTATTCTACTTTCCAGTGAGGATTTTTTAGACTTCATGTTTCTTTCCTTATTTTATCTTATATTTTTTTCTTTGCATTTTTGACAAATTTTTAATTTAACTGAACAAAATTTATATCCTTTTTTGATATAATATTCTATTAGCTGTATCTTTCTATGGTATTAAAAATCGTTTATAATATTAATAGCTGCAAAACATTGAATCTTATTAATGTGCTAATTATGAACATATATATGCTTAACACTTTTTTGCTATTAAAATCACTACTCAGTTGAACTTCTTTGTCCCTAAATCATTTTATATTTTTTCAGCTATTTTTTCCTTTAGTCACAATGTATGAACATTTTTAAGGCCCTTGAAATAGTGCCATATTGCCTTCCAAAAAGCTTATACCACCTATACTTAAAGCAAGAATATGTGAGTTTCCCTCTCAAACTGCACTCTCACCAACATTTGAGTAATATCCATTTTTAAAATCTTGGGCTGATTTCTTAGATGAACATAACAACTCAACTTAATTTAAATGTCTATAATGCTGGTAACAGCTTTCCAAATATGTATTAGTGCTTTCCATTTCTTTTGTTTTAGATCGCCTTTTCTGTTAATTAGCTTATTTATATACAAAGATGGTTTTGGACCTTTCCTATTTCAGGAGCTCCTACTGAGTAAGAATTTGGTTTTTTTGCTATTTTTGTTTGTTACATGCATATTTTCACAGTTTTTATTATTATATATATTGACACACAGAGTTTTTATATGTAATAAAATACTTTAAGATTTTCTCCATGTTCTTCAATTTTATCAAATTTTTCCACACTCAGACCATATACTTAACATTATTTTTCTATAGCTTTATCATTTTTAAACGTAAAATATAAATCATATGTTTCTAATCATTAAAATCATATATACTAACTACAAATATTTGATAAATACAAAAGGTATTTAAGATAACCAATATTATCTTTCCTTTTATGTCACAATAATCTAGTAGAAATTCAGGAATACATTAATTAATATTAGGAAATCTATTAATAAATTTATGCTAATAGGCCAGTAAGATAAATCACAGGACCTACATAGATGCACCAAATAGCATTTAATAAAAATCAACACTAGTACCTAATTTTAGAAAACTTAATAAACAAGGTATAGAAAAGCAAAATACAGGAAGTAAGAAAGATTAGAACAGACATAAATAAAATAGAGATTAGAGAAACAATACAGGAAATAAAACCAAAGTTACTTCCTTGATTAAAAAAAAATCTGACAAGCTTTTACATAGATTGACCATGAATAACAGAGAGAAGACTCAAATTACTAAATTCCAGAATGAAAGAAAGTGCATTACTACTGACTTTGCAGAAATAAAAAGAATTTTAAGGGAATTCTATGAGCAATTTTATGCCAACAAATTAGATAAGCTAGATAAAATGAATAAATTTCAAGGAAGACAGAAACAACAAAACTGACTCAAGAAGAAATAGAAAATACAAATGAAACTATAACAACTAAAAAGATTAGTAATCAAAAATGTTCCTACAAGGAAAACTCAGGACAAGATGGCTTCAGTAGTAAATTCTACCAAATATTAAAGAAGAACTAACATGGCCGGGCGAGGTAGCTCATGCCTGTAATCCCAGCACTTTGGGAGGCCGAGGCGGGCAGATTACAAGGTCAGGAGATCAAGACTATCCTGGCTAACACAGTGAAACCCCATCTCTACTAAAAATACAAAAAATTAGCCGGGCGTGGTGGCCGGCGCCTGTAGTCCCAGCTACTCAGGAGGCTGAGGCAGGAGAATGGCGTGAAACCGAGAGGCGGAGCTTGCAGTGAGCCGAGATCGTGCCACTGCACTCCAGCCTCGGCGACAGACAGAGACTCCGTCTCAAATAAAAAAAAAAAAAAGAACATGAATTCTTCACAAACTTTTCTGAAAAATAAGAGTAGGGAACAAGGCTGGGGGCGGTGGCTGACGCCTGTAATCCCAGCACTTTGGGAGGCTGGAGCGGGCGGATCACGAGGTCAGGAGATCCAGACCATCCTGGCTAACACGGTGAAACCTTGTCTTTACTAAAATACAAAAAAAGTAGCCAGGCATGGTGGCAGGCGCCTGTAGTCCCAGCTACTCAGGAGGCTGAAGCAGGAGAATGGCATGAACCCCAGAGGCAGTGCTTGCAGTGAGCCGACACTGCACTCCAGCCTGGGCCAGAGGGAGACTCAGTCTCAAAAAAAAAAAAAAAAAAAAAAGAGTAGGGAACACTTCCAAACATATTCTATGAGGTCATTAATACCCTGATACCAAACCCAAAGACATCACATGAAAACTTTGGCCAGGCGCAGTGGCTCATGCCTGTAATCCCAGTGCTTTGGGAGGCCAAGGTGGGCGGATCACGAGGTCAGGAGTTCGAGACCAGCCTGGCCAACATGGTGAAACCCCATCTCTACTACAAATACAAAAAATTAGCCAGGCGTGGTGGTAAGTGCCTGTAATCCCAGCTACTCAGGAGGCTGAGGCAGGAGAACCACTTGAACCCAGGAGGCGGAGGCTGCAGTGATCCAAGACCATGCCACTGCACTCTAGCCTGGCAACAGAGGGAGACTCCGTCTCAAAAAATAAAAAGAAGGAAGAAAACTACAGTCAATGTACGTTATTAATATAGACACAAATATTCTCAATAAAATACTACCAAACTGAATCTAGCTACATATAAAAAGGATTACATGCCATGACCAAGTAAGATTTACCCCGAGGAATACAAGTATGTTTCAGAATAAAAAAATTAGTCAATAAAATATATCACTTTAATAAAATAATTGATCAAAACTTGATGATCACCAATGCATAAAAAGTATTTGACACTCTAGGGGTGGACTTGAGCATCAGTATTTTCTAAAAGCTCCTCAGCCAATTCTAATGTGGAACCAAGTTTAAAGCCCCCTCCTCTATGTTACTTCTACTTTTTGGAAGGAGCTCTTCCCTAATGATAAACTTGTAAACTTAATTGAGAATACTCAGAAATATTGCCATGAGAACATTTCAAATTATATTGTGAAATATTTAGGCTCTGAACCTGGTAGATTTTGTGTTAGAAAAACATCCTTTACCTACTTCTTTAGGCTAATCAAATTGTAGTTAATTGCATGGGAATCTCAGGTTTTTCAGTGTTTTTACTGGGTTTAAAGAAGTGTTCCGTTTGAAGGATTCAATACATGCACAATCTGTCAGTATAAGTTAGCAGTCCATAAAGAATTGCTTTCATGGAGAGATTAAGAAGATGGCTGTCCAGATAGAATGGCGATCATTAAAAAGTCAGGAAACAATAGATGCTGGAGAGGATGTGGAGAAACAGGAATGCTTTTACACTGTTGGTGGGAGTGTAAATTAGTTCAACCATTGTGGAAGACAGTGTGGCGATTCCTCAAGGATCTAGAACTAGAAATACCATTTGACCCAACAATCCCATTACTGGGTATATACCCAAAAGATTATAAATCATGCTACTATAAAGACACATGCACACGTATGTTTATTGCAGCACTGTTCACAATAGTGAAATCTTGGAACCAACCCAGATGCCCGTCAATGATAGACTGGATAAAGAAAATATGGCACATATACACCATAGAATGCTATGCTGCCATTAAAAAGGATGAGTTCATGTCCTTTGCAGGGACATGGATCAAACTGGAAACCATCATTCTCAGCAAAGTAACACAAGAAGAGAAAACAAAACACAGCATGTTCTCACTCATAAGTGGGAATTGAACAATGAGAACACATGGACACAGGGAGGGGAACATCACACACCAGGGCCTGTTGGGGAGGTGGGGGCTGGGGGAGGGATAGCATTAGGAGAAATACCTAATGTAAATGACGAGTTGATGAGTACAGCAAACCAGCATGGCACATGTATACCTATGTAACAAATCTGCATGTTGTGCACATGTACCCCAGAACTTAAAGTGTAATAATTTAAAAAAAGAAGATGGCTATCATATATTTTGTCATATTATGCAGACCACCCACAAGCATACCTAGGACTCATTTAAATCCAAGTGGGGGCCAGAGATACATTTGGAGTATCTTGAATTGAACCTGATATTAAAAACTGTAAAATAATGTATCACAATTCAGGTTACCAACATAACAACAAGGACCCCATAGGAAGTAAGAGTATGGGATAGGCATGGTGGCTCACACCTGTAATCCCAGTACTTTGGGAGGCCAAAGGGGGCAGACCACCTGAGGTCAGGAGTTTGAGACCACCTGGCCAACATGGTGCAACCCTGTCTCTACTAAAAATACAAAAATTAGCTGGGCGTGGTGACATGCACCTGTAATTCCAGCTAGTCAGGAGGCTGGGGCAAAAGAATCACTTTAACCCAGGAGGTGGAGGTTGCAGTGAGCTGAGATAGGGCCACTGCACTCCAGCCTGGGCAACAGAGATTCTGAGAAAGAAAATGAGAGTATGCTCATTCTAGCTTACTGTTCTATCAGTCTATTCTGATTTTGCAGAATATTAATATTAATACGAATTCTGGAGGACTATTATAGCAGAGGAACTTCTTATTCACAGGAACTTAAGGGGGCTCAAGGTACTCCCCATTTACATTTCAAACTTTGGTACCTGCAGCCATAAAAAAAAAAAATCATGTCCTTTGCAGCAACATGGATGGAGCTGGAGGCCATCATCCTAAGCAA
The DNA here is from genome assembly GCF_000001405.40 of Homo sapiens. Lineage (NCBI taxonomy): Eukaryota > Metazoa > Chordata > Mammalia > Primates > Hominidae > Homo > Homo sapiens. Next base: position 23,141,822 of record NC_000003.12, read on the forward strand.
ATTATTGCAGGAACATAAAACCAAATACCAGCCAGGTATGGTGGCTCATGCTTGTAATCCCAGCACTTTGGGAGGCCAAGATGGGCGGATCACTTGAGGTCAGGGGTCTGAGACCAGCCTGGCCAACATAATGAAACCCCGTCTCTACTAAAAATACAAAAAGTAGCCGGGCGTGGTGGCACACGCCTGTAACCCCAGCTACTTGGGAGGCTGAGGCAGGAGAATTGCTTGAACCCAGGAAGCAGAGGTTGCAGTGGGCCAAGATGGAGCCACTGCACTCCAGCTTGGTCGACAGAGAGAGACTCTGTCTTGGGGGGGAAGAAAAAAGAAAACCAAGTACTGCATGTTCTCACTTATAAGAGGTAGATAAACACTGAGTACTCGTGGACATAAAGATGGCAACAATAGACACTAGGCACTACTAGACAAGGAAGGGAGGGAAGGGGTGAAAAACTGTTAGGTACCATGCTCACCACTTGGGTGACAGGATTAATTGTACCCCAAACCCCAGCACCACATAACATACCCCTGTAACAAACCTGTACATGTACCCTGAATCTAAAATAAAAATTGAAATGATTTTTTTAAAAGGAGAAAAAAAACACAGAAGAAGCAACATTAAATGTTTTTCAAGGGTTCTGGCTAATCTAAAACACTTAGATTTCATAATGACAATGTTGAACCAAAGATAATAACCTTGGCAGCGTGACATAGGTAAGCTCAGGGGTAGGTCAACTTTCCCAAAGTAAAATAAATTCAGTGACACAGAGCTGAAAATATCCTGGCTATTAGGCCACTGTGTTTGACACATCCAAAAAGGCAATTTCAAGGAGTAACACAGCTTTTCTTTTCTATTTAAAAAAAAAAAAAAAAAGTCCGTTACCTTGATTGCGGTGATAGTTTCCGAGGAGTATGCATGTGTCCAAACTCATCAAATAGTATATGTTATACATGTGCAACTTTGTCTGTCAATTACTCCTTAATAAACCTGTTTTTTTTTAAAGGAAAAAAATACTTAGGTGCAAAAATCATAGCTCTAAAATACAAGGATGCCAACATTGTTCCCAACAATAAATTGACCATAACACCAGTTAAAGAATTTGTGAAAAGATACAAAAAAAAAAAAGAAAAAAGAAAAAAGAAACAAAAAAATTTTTTTAAAGAATTTGTGAAAAGAAAACTTATCCTGGCTGTCATCGCCCTGATCAATCTTCAAACAAAGAATCTGGTTTTAAAGGTTATGCCAGACGTGGTGGCTCACACCTTTAATCCCAGCACTTTGGGAGGCCAAGGTGGGTAGACTGCTTGAGCCCAGGAGTTCGAGACCAGCCTGGGCAATGTGGTGAAACCCCATCTCTACAAAAAATAGAGAAATTAGCCGGGTGTGGTGGTGCACGCCTGTAGTCCCGGTTATTCAGGTGGCTGAAGTGGGAGATTCGCTTGAGTCTGGGATTGCGAGGCTGCAGTGAGCACAGTTCATGGCACTGTACTGCAGCCTGGGTGACAGAGAAATACTCTGTCTCAATTTTTTTAAAAAGTGTTACAAGATTCTGATTGTTGAAGGCGATTGCCCAAAAATATTTGTAAGATCCTTATGATTCGTATGCTCAATAACTCAAGTTCATCTTCTGGAATTACTAACGGATCACCTATCAATAATTGCTTTGACAGTTTATGCTTACTTAAAGAAAAGCTATAGGACAAACAGAAATATCTTCAGAGGTTATTCAGCCCCTACTTCTATTCGTTTTTACTACAGGAGTTAGTCACCATCACAATCTGTAATAATGAATCAAGGTGGATTGCAGCAAATATGCTTGAAGTCAGGGAAACTTTCATTTCCTAAAAGGCTTCAGGATAGTTCCCAGTTCATGGAATCCCATCCCATAAAAATTCCTGTGCTACATCTACAACCATCTGATCTTTGACAAACCTGACAAAAACAAGAAATGGGGAAAAGATTCCCTATTTAATAAATGGTGCTGGGAAAACTGGCTAGCCATATGGAGAAAGCTGAAACTGGATCCCTTCCTTACACCTTATACAAAAATTAATTCAAGATGGATTAAAGACTTACATATTAGACCTAAAACCATAAAAACCCTGGAAGAAAACCTAGGCAATACCATTGAGGACATAGGCATGGGCAAGGACTTCATGACTAAAACACCATAAGCAATGGCAAGAAAAGCCAAAATTGACAAATGGGATCTAATTAAACTAAAGAGCTTCTGCACCACATCTGTTCATCAGAGTGAACAGGCAACCTACAGAATGGGAGAAAATTTTTGCAATCTACCCAACTGACAAAGGGCTAATATCCAGAATCTACAAAGAACTTAAACAAATTTACAAGCAAAAAAAAAACCACATCAAAAAGTGGGCAAAGGATATGAACAGACACTTCTCAAAAGAAGACACTTATGCAGCTGACAGACACACGAAAAAATATTCATCATCACTAGTCATCAGAGAAATACAAATCAAAACCACAATGAGATACCATCTCACGCCAGTTAGAATGGCAATCATTAAAAACTCAGGAAACAACAGATGCTAGAGAGGATGTGGAGAAATAGGAATGCTTTTACACTGTTGGTGGGAGGGTAAATTAGTTCAACCATTGTGGCAGACAGTGTGGCGGTTCCTCAAGGATCTAGAACTAGAAATATCATTTGACCCAGTGATCCCATTACTGGGTATATACCCAAAGGATTATAAATCATGCTACTATAAAGACACATGTACACGTGTGTTTATTGCGGCACTATTCACAATAGCAAAGACTTGGAACCAACCCAAATGTCCATCGACGATAGAATGGATCAAGAAAATGTGGCACACATACACCATGGAATACTAGGCAGCCATAAAAAGGATGAGTTCATGTCCTTTGCAGGGACGTGGATGAAACTGGAAACCATCATTGTAAGCAAACTATCACAAGGACAGAAAACCAAACACCACATGTTCTCACTCATAGGTGAGAACTGAACAATGAGAACACTTGGACAAAGGGTGGGAATCATCACACACCAAGGCTTGTCAGGGGGTGGGGGCTGGGGGAGGGATAGCATTAGGAGGAATACCTAATGTAAATGGCGAGTTGATGGGTGCAGCAAACCAACATGGCACATGTATATCTATATAATAAACCTGCTCATTGCGCACATGTACCCTAGAACTTAAAGTATAAATTAAAAAAAAAAATTCCTGTACTACCTCCTTTCTCAGATGTAGTGGTTCAAATATGACATTGAAGTGACTGGTGCCACTGTCAATACAATATTGTGTGATAAAATTGTAACTCCAAAAGCATTCATGTACTTATTCTTACATTTATTCATTCTTTTACTCATAAATATTCACATAATTAAATAAAAGAGGCAAAGTCCCTGACCTCATAGAACTTAAATTGTAGTGGGGGAGACAGACTATAGGTGAATAACAAATACCTTTGTGATATAATATGAGGTATTGGTAAGTGCTGTGAAGAAAAATAAAGCAAGATAAGGGAGAGGATGATGATGTTCTATTATGTTAAGCAATGGTCTCTCTGAAAAGGTCACATTTGAACAGAGACATTAATGGAAAGGATGGGAAGAAAAATGAGTGAGAATGGGTTATGAACCTGCACATTTATTTTTACCCTGAACCTCTCAAACAGCAGAGGTGGACATACCTAAACACGACCTCTTATCCCCCATTTGAATTATTCATTTGAATTTAGCACTGTTGTAACAAAATAGTTTTTAAATAGTTTTAATAAGGTGTCATTGACATACAATAAACTGCATATACTTAAATCACACCATTTCAATGTTTTGACATATCTATATACCCATAAAACCACCACAACAATCAAGATAATGAACACATTCATCACTGCTAAAAGTTTCCTTGTACCCTGTTTTTTATCATTCCCACCTGCCCTGCCCTGACCTCATCATCCCCACATAACCATTAATATAAATTGTCACTAACATTAGTTTATACTTTCTAGAATTTTTTTAATCAAGTGAATCATATAGTATATACTCTTTTGTCAGGCCTCTATTATTTAGCATAGTTATTTTGAGACTCATTCATGCTGCACTATGTATCAAGTGTTCATTCCTTTTTATTGCAGAGAGGTATTCCTCTGGATTCATATGGATTCTATATTCATATGGATATGAGTGTTCATCCATTCTTCTGTATATGAGCATTTGGGTCATTTCCAGTTTGGGGCTGTTACAAATAGTCAATATAAACATTCAGGTGCAAGTCTTTATATGGACATATACTTCCTTTTCTCTTGAGAAAATACCTTGCAGTGGAATGGCTAGATTGCAAATCAGATGTATGTGTCTGTCTTTTTAAAAAACTGCCAATCTCTTTTCCAGAATAGTTGTACCATTTTATACTCTTATCAGCAGTGTATGGAAATTACAGTTGTTCCACATTTTAGGCAACACTTGGTATGGCCAGTATATTTATTATAATTTTAGACATTCTAATTTCCATACAGTGATATCTCGTTGCAGTTTATGATGAGCCTGCACTTTTTAATGATGAATGATGTTCATCATCTTTTTATGTGCTTAATTTCCATCTGTATATCTTCTTTGAAGGGTTTGTTCAAATATTTTGACCATTTTTAATTGAGTTGTTTGTTTTCTTATCATTTAGTTTTGAAAATTCTTCATGCATTCTGGATGCATGTCCTTTATCAGACACGTGCTCTACAAATATTTTTTCCCAGTCTGTGGCTTATCTTTTTAGCAAAGTCTCCCACCAGTGACATTCAAGATCAAAAGTCTTTTCGTTATTGGTTTTTTGAGACAGTCTCGTTCTGTTGCCCAGGCTGGAGTGCAGTGCTGTAATCTCAGCTCACTGTAACCTCTGCCTCCCAGGCTCAAGCAATCCTCACACCTCAGCCTCCCAAGTAGCCTGTACTACAGGCACATGTAACCACACTCGACTAATTTTTGTATTTTTTGTAGAGACGAGGTCTCACCATGTTGCCCAGGCTGGTCTCAAACTCCTGGGCTCAAGCAATCCTCCCGCCTTGGCCTCCCAAAGTGCTAGGATTACAAGCATGAGCCACCGTGCTTTAAAGCCTGAAGATTAAAAATTTTTAATTTTGATGAAATCTAATCTATCATTTTTTCTTTTTATAGACTGTGCTTTTGGTAGCATATCTAAGAAATCTTTAAGATCACAAAGATTTTCTCCTATTATCTAGAAGTTTTAAGTTTTACAGTTAGAGTTATGATCCATTTTCAGTTAATGATAAAAGGTACAAATCAAAGTGGTTTTTTTTTTATTTTTTCCTTTCATATGAATCTCACTCTTCCAATACTGTCTGTTGATGGATCCTTTCTCCACTGAATTGCCTTTGCACCTTTGTCAAAATCAGTTGTCATTGTATGTGTGAATCTATTTCTGGATTCTCTATTCTGTTCTATTGATATGTTGTTTATCTTTATGTCAATATTATACTGTCTTGATTCTCTTCCTTTTATAAAGAGTCTTAAAATCAAGTAGTTAGCCTTTTACTTTACTATTCTTTTTCAAAATTATTAATTTGAACTAGTTTTCAGCTGATTCCTAATAAATCATCTCAAAAAACTCAGCTTCTCACAAAGCACAGCCATGTAAAGGACTGGTACTCTAGTATTTTTGTATATTTCTCAGCAACAAATCCAACTCACCACCCTGAGCTGAGGTGTTGCAAACCGTATTTCATTTTTGCCACCTGCTTCCATTGTTAGGTTCTGCAAAATAGGGGGCAATAGAGGAAACTGCACTGGTGAAGGAAGAAGGGATTTGCTCCTTCTTTGTGCTTTCTGCTCTTGTGATAATCACTCAAGCACTGCATCTCCACCCCAACAGCTGCAGTACCTCCCTGTAGCAGCAGATAAATTCACTTTGCAGTTTTTCCAATACTTGCAGGATGAGCTTCATCACACTCCTACCCCAAGGGATACCAGAACAGCACTCTCTCCTCAGAGATCTCAGTTTTAGCTTCTCGAAGTTTCTGAAGTTTTAATAATCCAGGCATTTTCCTTTTTTTTTTTCCTATCAGTCCTAGGAGTTGGTAGGTGTTTCCCACAATTGCTACCTTCATGGAACTTTAAAGCTCATTTACTTTCAGGTTAACAACTTTATACCTAGTTTAAAATTCCTTCTACTATATTCTCTCTGTTCAAATAATTAACATGGCTTCTGTCTTCTGACTAAGAAAAATGGCTAGCATCCTAATAGATCTGTGGTTCTCAAGGCATGATCCAGGAACCAGCAGTGTAAGCATCACCTGGGAACTTGCTAGAAATACAAATTATCAAGCCCTGCATCAAACCTCTGAGTCAGAAATTGGAGGTGGTTCCAGCAATCTGAGCTTTATTTTTTTTTTCTGTTAAGACCATCATTTGGAAAAATCTGAGCTTTAACAAGACCTCCAGGTGATTCGGATACACACTAAAGTGTGAGAACCACTGTAATAGACTAAGTGAGGACAATGAGCCATAGTAGTGCCAATCCAATGAAATGGTCCAATCCCAAAATTGGAAAATTATGAGCTTCTCAAGGGTGCAAGCCCTCTTTTTTCATTTAAGCCCCTGTAAACCCAAAGTCTAATGTATTAATTCAAGAAACATTTTGAGTACTAAATGAGCTTGGCTTTCAATGATGGAAGGAAAGGAAGGAAAGAAAGGAAGGAAGGGAGGGAGAGAGGGAAGGAGGGAGGGAGAAAAGGAAGGGAGGGAGAGAGGGAGGGAGGGAGGGAGAAAAGGAAGGGAGGGAGGAAGGGAAAAAAGGGAGAGAAAGAAGGAAGGAAGGAAGGTAGCTAGGTAGGTTAGTTTGGTTACACTGGTCTGTGCTTTCAGAACTATCCCAGACTTTTAAAAGTCCGTATTTTCCTCATTTCTTCCAACAGTGGCCAAGAAACAATATGCACATGGGAGTGCACAAAAACGAGCCAAGTTTCTGTGGGTGGCAAAGGGAGGAAGAAAGCGGGAAAACAAAAAATGAATGTCTCTTTTGTTCTCATGTACTTTTCTTTCTTCACTTTCTTAGTTCCCTGCAATTCCCCCTCTTGTGATCTGCTTTTTCCTGACACATAGAGAATCACACTTAAACAGACATGAATTCTACACTCCCAGGAGTGTGCATGTCTGTGCACAGGCACACACACCGCCGAACACCCAAAGTAACTTCTCTTCCCACACTTTTCCCATCAGCCTTCTGACCCAAGAGAGCAACGGGCCTCACTCTATAGTCAGCTGTCCCTCTCTGCAGCTTCTTTTTCCTAGTGGATACTTTCTATTGCTTACCACTTACAAAGTCAAGGTTCTGTTAAGACAATGCAGATTGGCTTCAGGTATATTACCGGTCAGATAAAATCCTATGTTTTACCCTCTAATTTGGAATTCACTCTCTTTCCTTCCAAAATCTACATACCAAGTAGAAAACAGGTGACTAGAAAGAAAATAGCCACCATTTATTGAGCACTTACTATATGCAGGGCTATATATTAAAAGCTTTATAAGATTACCATATCTTTGGTTAAGTTTACTCTTAGGAATTTTTTTGAGTACTATAAGTGAGATTGTATTCTTAATTTCTTTTTCAGATCGATTGTTGTTAGTGTATAGAAGTGCTACTGATTTTTGTATTTTTTTTAAGAGACAGAAGTCTTGCTATGCTACCCAGCCTGCTCTCAAACTCCTGGGTTCAAGCGATCCTCCCACATCAGCCTCCCTAGTAGCTGAGACTACAGGCACACGCCACCATGCCCAGCTTGTATGTTGACTTTATATCCTTCAAATTTACTAACTTCATCTATCAGTTCTAAGAGTTTTCTGGTAGAGTCTTTAGGTTTTTCTAAATACAATCCAACAATAATACTCCTTGGAATTTACCTAAGCAAATTGAAAACTTATGTCTACACAAAAACCTGCACAAAGATACTTATAGCAGCTTTATTCATAATTACCAAACCTTGGAAGCAACCAAGATGTCCTTCAGAAGATGAATGGATAAATAAACTGTGGTATATCCAAACAATGGAATATTGTTCAGTGCTGAGAAAGAGATTGGCTTTTGAGCCTTGAAATGACATGGAAGAAACTTAAATGTATATTAAGTGAAAGAAGTCAATCTGAAAGGGCTACATACAGTTTGATTCCAACTATATGACATTCTGAAAAAGGTGCAAGTATGGACACAGTAAAATGGTTGCCATACTTGGGAGTGAGAGGGATGAATAGGCAGAGAGCAGAGAATGTTTAGGGTAGTGAAACTACTCTGTATGATACTATAATGTTGGACACATGTCTCTACACATTTGTCAAAACCCATAGAATGTACAGCACCAAGAGTGAACTCTAATGTAAACTACGGACTTTGGGCAATGGTGATGTTTCAATGTAGGTTTATCAATTGTACCAAATGGTGCAGAACATCGATAGTGGGAGAGGTTGTGTGTGCGTGTGTGCAGTGGGACAGTGCATATATAGGAAGCATGTGCATCCCACTTATCTTTGCTGTGAACCTAAAACTGCCCTAAAAATAAGATTTTTAATTTTTAAAAAATTTAACTCTATGAAGTAAGCAAAATTGTATCAATTTTAAAATATGAAGAAATAGAGAATGAAAGAGATTGAGTAATTTACCTAAGATACAACTTAGGTAAATTGTAAGGAAATTGTAAAGGTAGGTTGTAAGGAAAAAGGATTCAACCTTCAGCAGTCATTTCCAGAATTTGCACTCTTAACTACCACAGAAGAAGAAATCTCAGAATTATAGAGTATTGAAGGTATAATTATAGAGTATTGAAGTATAAGATACCTTCATAAGATTGAAGGTATCTTAAACATTATCTAGACCGGTGGCTTTCAACCTTGGGTGCACATTAGCATTGAGGGTAGTATTTTTAAGATCCAGAAGACCAGGTCACAACATGGACCAATTAAATAATAATCTCGGGAGATGTGACCCACATGTGTGTATTTATTGAAGCATCATGGTGATTCCGATGTAGAGGAAATGTTGAGATTCACAGATTCAAAGAATAACGAAAGGCTTCCACCCACCGTGGGGCAAAAGTGCAATGCATTTTGGTTCTACTTCAAAGAATTAGTTTTTAAATCATACATGTCCAAGATTGATAGGAAGAGGTATAATTGTTTTCCTTTGACTTCTTCTTTTTTTTTTTTTTTTTTTTTTTTAGAGATGGGGCCTCACTATGTTGCCCAGGCTGGTCCTGAACTCCTGGGCTCAAGAAAACCTCCTGCCTCAGCCTCCAAAATTGCTGAGATTACACCACACACAGCCTCCTTTGAATTTTTAAGGTTTGGTGTGGTACCCAGAAAAGAGCAGGGTTAGTGGTCATATAATCTAGAATCACCTCTGACACTTATTAACCATAATCTTGGAACACTTAACCTCTCTAGAGCCTCAATTTCCTTATCAGCAAAACTAGACTACAAATAGTCCATGTATACCTTATTGACTTCCCAGTAGTTCTAAAAATCAAAGAAGACAGTGTATATTTTCAAATTTTCTTTTTCACCTGAGGAATAACACCGTGTTGGTTTTTAGTAGGTAGTGAACTTAAAGGGCACACGGTACAGGGTCTGAATCTCATTCTTGATATTCATTGACTGTTCTCAGAGAAGTTACAGAAACTTTGTGAAAGAGTACACCCATCGACAATATACACAAAGCAAAATCAATAATTTCTTGATTCTTTGGGAATTAAACACTTTGCACAGTAAATGGCACCTAAAAGTTATTCAAAAGTGTGATGTTCCCTTCCCACAGCCACTTAAATGTCTTATTTATTCCATCAGATATTTTAAATTAAAGCATACCAGGAAAAATTAATGATTACCTAACATCATTATTCACTTTGATTAAGAGTGGGTTGTCCAAAAAGAGTCTTGAACAAATACAAAGGCATCCCTTGTTCTTGGTTAGGACATCAATATGCCAGTTCTAAATGAACTTATCAATTTAATGAGAGGTCAGTAAAATGCCAGGAAGTTATTTTATTGAGCTAAACAAATTGATCCTAAAATTCACATGGGAGTTAAAAAAAAAAACATGTAAAAATAGGCAGAGGACATTGAAAAGAAAAAGCTATGAGGAGGCACTGCTCTACCTGCCATTAAAGCATTCTACAAAACCTAGATAATTAAAACAGTGTAGTACTAGTATATAAGTAGATTGGCATACCAGTAGAATAAAACAGTAAATCCAGATATATGCCCAATTAAATGTACAAATCTAGCATATGATCAAAGTGTTATATGTGAGAAAAAATTAGTCTTTTTCATAAATTGTGTTGTGATAATTGGATGACCATTTAGGGAAAAAAATAAATAAAAATAGATTAATTCCTCACACCATAAACAAGCATAAACTCTACATGGATTTGAGATTTCAATGTAAAAAATATATAAATACTAGAGAAACATTTAAGCAAATTCCTCTTTAACTCAGGCATAGGGAAAGGCTTTTAAAATTAAAAACCTAGATGCAATATAAGGGGAATCTGATAAATTTGACTATATAAAAACAGAGAATGTTTGCATGGTGAAAACAAAAACCACACACCACCAAAAGACAAGCGGCAAACTGACAGAAAACACTTGCAACATATGTCATAGACAAGGAGCTAAATAACCTAATATACAAAAAAATGCTTTAAAATTGAGGCAGAAGGCTGGGCGCAGTGGCTTATGCCTATAACCCCAGCACTTTGGGAGGCCGAGGCAGGCAGATCACGAGGTCAGGAGATCAAGATCATCCTAGCTAACGTGGTGAAACCCCGTCTCTACTAAAAATACAAAAAATTAGCGAGGAGTGGTAGCATGTGCCTGTAATCCCAGCTACTTGGGAGGCACAAGAATGGCTTGAACCCGCAAGGTGGAGGTTGCAGTGAGCCGAGATCATGCCACTGCACTCCAGCCTGGGCAACAGGGTGAGACTCTGTCTCAAAAAAAAAAAAAAAAAAAAAAAAAAAAAAAAAATTGAGGCAGGAAAGACCAAAAATCTTAAAAACAGAGAAAAATATAAACAGAAAAAATCTGGAATATAAAAATGGCCCTTATGCAATAGTATACTACTACTGTTCCAGTCTATTCAGGCTGCTATAACAGACTATATAGACTGAGTGCCTTATAAACAACAGAAACTTATTTCTCACAATTCTGGAGCCAGGGGAAGTCCAAGATCAAAGCACTAGCAGATTTGATGTCTGGTGATGGCCTTCTTTTGGTTCATAACTGTCTTCTTTCTGTGTCCTCACATGGTAGAAGGGATGAGGGAGCTCTTTCCAGCCTCTTTTATAAAAGTACTAATCCCAGTCATGAGAGCTCTACTCATTCATAACCAAATGACCTAATCACCTCTCAAAGGCCCCACCTCCTAACACTATCACATTGAGGGTTAGGATTTCAACAGATGAATGTTAGGAGTGGGAGGTAGGACACAAACATTCAGTCTCAGTCTATAGCAATTACTCACAATAAAATATGTGCAAATTAAAACTATAGTGAGATATCATTTCTCATCAATTAGATAAGCAAACATTAGAAAGCTTACTATTGGTGAAGCTGTGAAGAAACAGTCGTGTTCAAACATTGCTGGTGGGAATGCAAAATGAAGAATTCCCACAGGGAGGCAAATTTGGCAATGTTTAACAAAAATACATATTAAATCCCACTTCCAGGAATTTATCCTGAAGACACATCTCCAATACTATAAAAATACAGATGCTCAAGTTTACTCATTGCAGCATTATTTCTAATTGCAAAATATTGGAAACTACATAAATGCCCAAGCATAGAATATTGGTTGAATAAACTGTGACATATTGTCACAATGGAGTACCATGAAGCTATTAAAAGAATGAGGACAACCTCTATGAACTGATGATATAAATTTATTCCCAGGAGATATTTTGAAGCAAAAATAATGTTTACAAGTAAAATGCAATACAGAATGCTCTACAAAAAAAATAAGGGAAAATAAGATAACATATATATGTTATATATATGATATATATAAAAGCAAAAATAAACAAATAGAATTATAGCAAACTAAAAAGCTTCTGCACAACAAAGGCAACCCCATATATGTTATATATGACATATATCATACATATGTTATATACGACATATATCATACATATGTTATATACGACATATATCATACATATGTTATATACGACATATATCATACATATGTTATATATGACATATATCATACATATGTTATATATATGCTATATATGTTATATATATGATTATATATGATATATATATATATATATATATATATATGCCTCACAACCTAATCTTCCTTTATGAGGCCCCACTTCCCAAAACTGCTGCATTGAAGATTACATATCCAACACATGAACTTTGGAGAACATATTCAAACAATACATCAGCTATATTTTCTTTCAATGAGGTGAGGTTGTTTTGACCTGATTGATTCCAATGATTGGCTTGCACAGAACAACTTCAGGCCTTGTTGTTCAGTTTTTATATTGTTTCATTTTAAAGGAAATAAATTTGTTATAGATTTGAGATATTGCTACTTTAAAAGCTTCCTGGCCAGGTGCAGGGGTTCACACCTATAATCCCAGCACTTTGTCAGGCCACGGCAGACAGATCACTTGAGCCCAGGAGTTTGAGACCAGCCTGGGCAACATGATGAAATCCTGTCTCTACAAAGAATACAAAAATTAGCCAGGTGTGGTGGTGCACACCTGTAGTCCCAGCTACTCAGGAGGCTGAAGTGGAGGATTGTTTGAGCCCAGGAGGTGGAGACTGCAGTGAGCTATGACCATATTACTGCACTCCACCCTGGGCAACAGAGTGAGACTCTGTCTCAAAAAAAAAAAAAAAAAAAAAAAGGTAGCATTTCTATATATAAACAACAGACTATCTGAAAAGGAAATCAAGATGGCAATTTCATTTATAAGTTACCTAGGAATACATTTAACCAAGGAGGTAAAAACCTCTACAAGGGAAACTACAAAATACTGATGAAAGAAACTGAAGAGGCTAAAAGTCAAATGGAAAGACATCATATGCTCATGAATTGGAAGAATAAATATTGTTAAAATGGCAATACTACACAAAGCAATTGAATGTAATTCCTATCAAAATACCAATGACATCTTCACAGAAACAGAAAAAAATGCTAAAATTTATGTCAACCCACAAAAGACCCAGAATAGCCAAAGTAATCCAAAAAAATAAAGCCGGCAGTGTCACACTACCAGACTTCAAAGTATACTACAAAGCTGTAGTAACCAAAACAGCATGGTACTGGCATAAAACAAGACACATAGACTAATGGGACAGAATAGAGAACGCAGAAATTAATCCAAGTATCTACAGCCAACTGATTTTTTTACAAAGGTGAAATGGTGCTTGGAAAATTGGATATCTGTATGCAGAAGAATGAAACTAGACCTGCCCTTCCTCTATATAAAAACCGACTCAAAATGGATCAACCACCTAAGGATAAGACCCAAAATGATAAAACTACTAGAAGAAAACATAGAAGAAATGTTTTAAGACCTTGGTCTGGGAAAAGATTTTATGAATAAGACCTCAAAAGCATAGGCAACAAAAGCAAAAATAAACAAATAGGATTATAGCAAACTAAAAAGCTTCTGCACAGCAAAGACAACCCAGAGAACTGGAGAAAATATTTGCAAACTACTCATCCTATAGGGGATTAATATCCAAAATATATAAGGAACTCAAACATCAACAGCAAAAACAAACAATCCAACTAAAAAAAATGGGCAAATGATCTGAACAGACACTTCTCAGAAGACATACAGATAGTCAACAAATACATGAAAAAATTATCAATATCGTTAATTGTCAGGGAAATCAAAACCACAGTGAGGTATCATCTCACCCCAGTTAGGATGGCTATTTATCAAAAAGACAAAAAATAACTAATGCTGGCAAGGATGCAGAGAAAAGGGAACTCTTACACACTGTCAGTAGGAATGTAAACTACCACAGCCACTATGGAAAACAGTATGGAGGCTCCTCAAAAAACTACAAATAGAGCTACTATATGATTCAGCAATCCGACTACTGGGAATTTATCCAAAGGAAAGGAAACAATTATACCAAAGAAACATCTGTACCCCCATGTTTATTGCAGCACTATTCACAAGATACAGGATCAACCTAGGTGTCCAACAATAGACGAATGGATAAAGAAAATGTAGTATATATACACAGTGGCTATTCCACCATAACAAAGAAGGAAATCCAGTCATTCTCAGCAACTTAGATGGAACAGGAAGATATTATGTTATATGAAATAAACCAGGGACAGAAAGTTAAACCCTGCATGTTCTCATTCACACGTGGACCCTAAAATAAGGTGATCTCATAGAAGTAAAAGAGTAGAACAGAAGATACCAAAGGTTGGAAAGGATGGGGGAAGGAGTGAATAGGGAGAGATTTGTTAAAGGTTATAAAATTACAGCTAGATAGGAGAAATAAGTTCTAGTACTCTATACCACTGTAGGATGACTACAGTTAATAATATTCAGTTTCACACAGCTAGGAGGAACATATTGAATGTTCCCAAAACAAATAAACGATAAACATTGGAGATAATGGACATGCTAATTACCCTGGTCTGATCACTGTATATATATGGAGACATCATTATGTACCCTTTGAATAAGTATAATTATTGTCAATTAAAAATAAAATAATATAAAATCATCCTGTTAATATACCACAGCAAGAAAGTATAATTTACTTATTCATGAATTATCTGCTACTTATACTTCAAACAAATAAGCTAACTGTTTGCTCATTTACCTAATAGGCTGAGTCTAAAGAGCCATTAGTGGCTACTAGTAAATGAAATGAAATAGTTTTTTTTAATGTAATTGCACTCTGCATTTTATATGTAGTGGTTTTATGTAAAAACACCTCTGATTAAGGATTGACTTCAAAGTTAACATTTAATTTCTTGTAATTGCCTGTATAAACAAAAGGAAAATTCATAATTTAAACATTTTCTGCTGTAGACATCAGGTCATGTCCTTGCAGTTGCAATTTATTTGGCTCGATTAGCATGTAATGATTTTGACATTGGCAGGGTGATAAAAGGGAGAATTGAGAGTATGGAGGGAAGAAAATAAATGCAAGGAGGGAGAAAAAAGAGGAAATAAACAACAAAGGAAGGAGAAATAGAACATCATGGGAAAGAAAATAGAATACATGGTAAGAAAGGAGAAATGAGAATGAAGGAGAAAAGGAGAAACAGAAGATTAAAAGTTCTCTCTCGCCTGGAGGGGTGTTGAAAAGACCCTGAGCTGGAACCCTTATTCACACTTTGGTAAAAGGGAGTACCAAGTTCTTAATCGGATATGGAATTTCTTATATTTCACATTGCTCCTCTTTGTTTAACGTCAAGTTATGTAAGATAATTTATGTAAGATAAAACTTGGCTTGCATGAAAGTATTTTTTTTAATACTTGTACAAGATTTAAGCACTTGTTTTAGAGACGGATGTTAACTATAATCGATGGCTCGGTTGAGCAGAGTCTGTGCAACATGCCTGGAATTTGTAAAAATTGCCAACTATTAATAAAGCAGTTTCTTCCAGTTGTAACTGTGTGCCATTCTTTGAAGCATTCCCTGAGGAATATGTTTAAACAAGCTTGGATAGAACTTGTCATGGTATCATATAACTGCTATTGAACTGTTCTGAGCTTTGAACCAGCCATGTATCCTTTGTGTGCAAATGAAAAACAATCTGTCATAAAAGTGCATGAAAGTTGACAAGACTTTCTTTAATAGCTATATTCTAGGAATACATATTTATGAGTGTTTTTAAACACTAGCTTGCTAAATACTTACCACATTCTCAGATTGTTTAAAATATGAACCATTGACCTTAACAATTACTACAACTTACTTTGCAGATAAACTTAAACTTGTGGTTTTCTGACCATCAAGCAGCCTATAATGTTCTACATTAAAGAATGAACCTGTGTCTATATTTGCTTTCAGTATTTTATGATTCAGTGTAGACATAATTCAAAATAACTGTCTCAACTTTGTCTTAATGCTTATAATTTCCTTTCAGCATTTTATAATTAGATCCAGAAATTATTCAAAATAACTGTCTCAACTTGTGTTAATGTTTATATAATTGTCCAAACCATATCAATTATTTTCTAATATTGTATCATTATACAATGAAATCAGAAGGGTTATTTAATAAAGGCAACAATGGGGCAAGAAGAAAGTAAAGAGCTCATTTTCCTTCTCATCTAAAAGTTATTTTTCTCTTTCAAATCTTACAATTATCGATATAATTTTTTATTTAGAAATTTTGTCGTGGTTTTAAAGTACTGACTGACCTGAGGGTTGAATGGCAATGTTGCCGCAGTGATGTATGAATATTGTTAGGACACATGAAGTTTTAAATAGGAATAAGTGATGACTATATTTGGGTTTGCAGAAGCCCCTAGAATAAATGGTGTCCTCACTTTAAATTTATGATGGAGTTGATTTCAGTATTGCCAGCATTAAACACACTCAGACTTCTAGTAAAACTCACAATACTCTAACCTTAATAAGAGGCACTGCAATGCCAAGAGTGTTTTTTATATAACAGTCAATCAAAAATGTTGCCACTATCCTTGCACTTATATGTATAGCATTCATAATTATACCCCCAGTATTCCTTCTTTGACCCCAAATCATCTGAGGCACAATGATATAAAGGTAACTTCTCCACTAATTAATTCAAGGTTCATTGAGATTTATGAGCTTCTAATTTCTCTACTTAAGACATCAAGATGCCATTTCCTGCCCTCTCTGCTTGTGACATTTATCTCAAATGAAGGCTAAATAAAAGATTAGCTTAAGAATTAAGACCAGAGTCAAATGCATTAGAAAACAGAAGCATAGATAAGGAACTATAGAATTTTAGAGCTGATAAAGATTTTAAAGATAGGGTACCCAACATTACAAAGTAAACTGAAGCCCAAGAATGTATAAAGACCTTCCAAATCTTGCATAGCTGGTTAAAGACATGAAGCTGATGTGAGAATAAGTAGAAAGGAGTCTAAGTATGTTTGATAAGTACATAAGAAAGGGTAAGAAAATAAAGTCTTGGCAATATAGGTATCTATACACTATTCCCACGAGGGCAGAACGGTTTATAGTAGCGGTCCCCGATCTTTTTGGCGCAGCAGTCTCACGGAAGACAATTTTTCCATGGATGGGGGGCTGGGGTGTGGGGGATAGTTTCAAGATGCAACTGTCCCACCTCAGATCATCAGGCATTAGTTCAATTCTCATAAGGAGCACATAACCTAGATCCCTCAAATGCACAGTTCACAATGCGGTTTGTGCTCCTATGAGAATCTAATGCCACTGCTGATCTGACAGGAGGCAAACTTCAGGTGGTAACGCTTGCGTGCCTGCCGCTCACCTCCTGCTGTGTGGCCCACTTCCTAACAGACCACGGACCAGTACCGGTGCATGTTCCGGGGGTTGGGGACCCCTGATTTATCAAACACTGCTCAGAACATACCATCTAGGCTGGACGCCTTGGCTCAAGCCTGTAATCCCAGCACTTTGGGAAGCTGAGATGGGTAGATCACTTGAGATCAGGAGTTTGAGACCAGCCTGGCCAACATGGAGAAACCCCATCTCTACTAAAAATAAAAAAATTAGCTGGGCATGGTGGCAGGCACCTGTAATCAAAGCTCCTCAGGAGGCTGAGGCAAGAGAATCGCTTGAACCCAGGAGGTGGAGTTTGCAGTGAGCTGAGATTGACCCATTGCATTCCAGCGTGGGTAACAGAGAGAGACTCTGTCAAAAAGAAAAGAAAAGAGAAAATACATTCTAATATAGCTATAAGGTGTGAAGCTCTTATCTGCTGAGGTTGTTCTTCTACCACAAGCAAGAGCCAGCAGGGTTCTCACCATCCCTTTTAATATAAGGATCTGTCCCCTAGATTTACCCCATAAGCAGTGTCTATGTTGGACTACTACAGTCCTAATTTTTTTTTATCAACAGAAAATACCAGCTTTTAATCAAATGCACAGAGAAAATGTTTTAGATAATGAGGATATTCCCCGGTTTGTTTTAAATCTAAGGAAGAGGAACAGGAGGGAAGTAATGACGTGTCAGGGACAGCATAACCTCTATGACTAAGGATAAAGAGGGAAAACCTTCTTGCCCTCAAAGTGAAATCCCCTTCTATTTTAGGAAACACTCCTTTACTTTAAAGAATCTCTCAAATGAGTCACTAGGGTTAGATCATATTCTTCTGGGACATTTACTTTCCAAAGGATAAAATTTTCATGCATCAGTTAGAAAGGAAAAAATATAATCTGGCAAATAGGAGGCAGAACAATCCCTTTCCAAATGCTCTGTCTGTTCTGTCCTCTTAAGTCAACAGAGCACAGCTAAATATGGCAGACAATAAAGATCTCAGTTTTGTGAAGATAAAAAGATTCAAACCTGGTCAGGCGCAGTGGCTCATGCCAGTAATCCCCACACTTTGGGAGGCCAAGGCTAGAGGATCACCTGAGGTCAGGGGTTTGAGACCAGCCTGGCCAACATGGTGAAACCCTGTCTCTACTAAAAACACAATAATTAGCCAGGTGTGGTGGCAGGCACCTGTAATCCCAGCTACTCAGGGGGCAGAGGTTGCAGTGAGCCAAGATCACGCCACTGCACTCCAGCCTGGGCAAAGAGCGAGACTCCATCTAAAAAAATAAATAAATAAATAAATAAATAAATAAAAATAAATAAAAGATTCAAACCCAAGTCTTTAGTCCCAGGGTTTCATGTAGCAGCTTTTCTGTAGCTACTGCCCCCACAAAGCCCCTACTTTGCCTGAGCATGATGTGTTTCAGGGTGGAGAAGTGGACTATTACGGTGCTTTGAAGTATTTTTCAGCTTTCTGGCTGAAATCATAAATGTGTACTTTAAGTCAAGCTAGATAGAGACATATGAATAGATGCTGTTTTATTGCTCACCCATTTAAAATGCAAATGATAGTACCAAAAATTACCAAAGTCTACACTCCAGATGTTCCTGTTATTCACAATGGCTTTTTATTTTTTTGGCTACACTTATCCTCTCCTACATATCTCTGAATTTATTCTACCACATAACCTTCCTTATGAAAACACCTACTTATTTCTTAAATAATTTTGTTGTATATATTTAAAGAGTTGGAATCAAAAAATAAATTCATTTTCTCAAGTAATGAAAAAGCCAGATCTTCATTTCCATATCCCAAAAGTCAATTATGTAGAAATAAACAACATAAAGTGACAGACAACCTATTTATGAAGCTACATTGATTGCTCTGTGAAAACAAAAGTAGCTCAGTTTTCCTCAAGAGCATGTGAGGAGAGGTCTACAGTAGGACCTTAAAGAGAGGCACTAAAGTTCTTTGATAGGTACCCAACTCCCCATGTGAGATTGCTTAATTCAGTCTTGAACATAAAGGAAAACACACACACACACACATACACACACATGCACACACATGTGCATGCACACACACAGGAAAACTCAGTCTCTTTCTGAATGAAGGCAAAGCCCTATTGCTGGACATAAATGATAGGATGTGGTTTCAAGCATAGCAAAATATACACTCATTCTTCATTCATTCATTCATTCAATTACTCAGCAACTGTCTATTAGCAATTTCTACGTGCCAGCATCACGCTCAAATGAGAAAGACATGGTCCCTACCTTCAGAAGCTTCAAATCCAGTGGAGGGAGGAATACACTATTAACACTCTATTGACTGGGATTCTTAGCATTACAAATGACAGAAGTTACATAAGAACTTATGTGTGGGGAAGTTATTGGAGGTAACTGAATGTTCTAGTTGTAGATGTCAGGTATGACTGAGTCAAACAAAATCAACAGGCAATCTGTCTCATTCCATATTGGGGCTTTCCTTTTCTTTGATTAATTTCACTCTCAAGGCAGTTCTCACCTTATGGTGGTAAGAAGGTCACCAATAGTTCTAGGCATACATATCACCAGCTTAGGAACTAGTGTGGAAATAGAGTCCTTGCCCATTTTTTCCAACAAAAGTCCCAGAACTGACGCTAATTTAACCTAACTGGGGTCACATGCTCACCCCCGACTCACTCTCCATGACTACAGTGATAGAACATCTTACTTGGCCAGGCCAGTAGACTGAAAGTATGGGAGGGATGTTTTCACTAAGAAAAGAGGATGTCATTCAAGAAGGGGAATGGGTGCATGTAAAAAACAGATGTCCACCGCAACAACATCACAAGGCTGAGCATGAAACAAGGGTAACAGAGAGTGCTAAAGCAATATAGAAATAGAACATTTAATTGCAATGAAAGGAGGGGACTTAGGAGGCAGGCAGGTAGTTGTCAAATTCATAGAAAAGTGGCATTTTCGAAGCGGCAACTCTGGAAAAAGATCTGGGAATTCCCCACATATTTAAACATAGCTTTATCTTATGACTCAGCAATTCCACTCCTAGGTGTATACCCAAGAGAAATGAAAGCAAATGCGCATACAAACACCTGTACACAAAGGTTAAGCAGTGTTATTCACAATAGCCAAGAGGTATAAATAGTCCAAACCACCCGTCGACTGACAAATTTAGATAAGCAAATGTGGTACGGACACATAGCGAAATATTATCTGACCATAAAAAGGAGTGGAGTGCTGATAAACACTACAACATGGATAGACCTTGAAAACATTACGGTAAATGAAAGAAGCCAGACCCAAAAGACCACTTACTATATGATTCTGATATGAAATGTCCAGAATGGGGAAATAGAGACAGAAAGATTTGTGGTTGCTTAGAGCTGAAGGGAAAGGGGGACCTACAGGGTATGGGTTTTCTTTTGAGGGGATGAAACTGTTCCAAAGTTTACTGTGGTGATGATTGCACATATTTGTGAATATACTAAAAGTCACTGAATTATACACTGTAAATGGGTGAACTGTACAGTATGTAAACTGTATTTCAATAATGCCATTTTGACAAAATAATATTTAAAAGACAGGTTGGATTTCAACAAGTGTAATCTCAGGCTAGTACATATGAGGCTGGGGAGTTAATGTGACAATAGACATAGTGAGTTGCCTCACTTGTTTTACAAGTACGGCAGAGTCATGTGAGTCTCTAGAGGATGCTGTGGTGTGCAGCCCAGATTTCCCTTTCAGAACTAAACAATCTAGTTCCACAGCTACTGGGAGCACACCTGACAACAGCCCTCCACAGGAATTGCCCTCAGCAGCACAGGGCTACTCACCCAAGACCATGTCCCTCCCCAGCAAGAGCCTCCATCCAGTGACTGGTTGCTGTGAGTGTGTATAGAGGAACTGGACAGCCTTTTTTTTTTTTTTTTAAAGACAGAGTCTCGCTCTGTTGCCCAGGCTGTAGTGCAGTGGTGAGATCACAGCCTCCAGCTCCTAAGTTCAAGCTATCATCCTGCCTCAGCTTCCCATATAGCTGGACTACAGGTGAGTGCCACCACACCCAGCCAACTTTTTTGTACTTTTTTGTAGAGATGAGGTCTCATCCAGTCCGGCCTCAAACTTCTGGCCTCCAGGGATCCTCCCACCTCAGTCTCCCAAAACTCCCACAGGTGTGAGCCATCCTGCCCAGGTTCAGAATAGCTGTGAAAGGCCACTTATGCTTCAAAGCTCACCATGGGTTGTCTGAGGACTTTGCTGCGATCACACTGCAGCTTCACATCTCATCGTACCCACTCCTGGTTCCCTCTCCCGCTTCTTCCCAGAGTCTGCTTTCCATAGAATCCAATCTGCAACGTGGTGCATAGAAGATGGCGCATAAAAGGAACATAACTTTTAAACAGACTAGAAAATTAGATTTGGATTAAACTCTAGAGGACCTTGAATGCCATGTTAATGAATGTGATCTTCAATAGAATATAGGAAAGTAATCATTATAATTATATTTGGGTTAAGCAACCCAAGCAACCAGGTTAAAGAATTACCTAGAATGAGGCAAGATAAAGGACAGAAATACAAGTTAAAAAATCAATCCAAGAGTACAGGCAAAAGGACAAGTTAGTGGAGACCACAGACAGGACTATGGCAATGAGAATGAAGAGGAGGAAAGAAATTGGGAGACATCATAAGAGAATGAACTGGGTTTGATGAATGATGAGGTGAGAGATATTTTAATAGTAAGAAAGAAGATGAAAAAGACTACAAGTTTTCTAGTCTCAGAGTTGGCTAACAATAAGAAGAGTAGCACAGTGATAAGATGTATCAGTCAGGGGCCAGTAAAAAAACAAAAGCCACACCAGTTATTTTAATTGCCAAAAAAGAATATAATATAACCATATTTAGAGAACCACAAGGCAAAAAGGAACAATAAGGTACCATGGGCTGGGTACAATGGCTCACACCTGTAATCCCAGCACTTTGGGAAGCTGAGGTGGGAGGATCATTTGAGGACAGGAGTTTGAGACCAGCCTGGGCAACACAGTGAGACCCTTTTCTAGAAAAAAAATTAAAAATCTAGTAGGACATGATGGCATGCACCTGTAATCCTGGTTACTTGGAAGCCGAGGCAGAAGAATCACTTGAGCCCAGGAGGTCAAGGCCACAGTGAGCCATGATCATGACACTGTAAGACAAAGCAAGACCCTGTCTCTAATTAATAAATAAATAAACATGGTATCATGAAGTAAGCAATAGCAGGAGGCAGCTGCCATCCCTAGGACTGGGGGAACAAAAGGAAGAAACTATAATTATTAAAATATAGAAGTTTAGAGGGACCGAGTGTGGTAGCTCATGCCTATAATCCCAGCACTTCGGGAGGCCAAGGCAGGAGAATTACTTGAGGCCAGGAGTTTGTGAACAGCCTGGACAACATAGTGAGAACTGCTGTCTCCAAAATTTTCAAAAATTAGCTGAGCTTGGTGGCATATGCCTGTAGTCTAAGTTACCTGGGAGGCTGAGGCAGGAGGATCACTTGAGCCCAGGAGGTGGAAGCTTCAGTGAGCCATGATCCCATGACTACACTCCAGCCTGGGTGACTAAATGAGAACCTGCCTCTCAAAAAAAAAAAAAAAAAAAAAAAGGAAGGAGAAGTAGTAGAGTAGTAGTAGTTTGGTGGAGGAACCCCATAGATCTGGGGACTAGACCTTGAGAAGTAGGTGTTTTCAACTGCTGTTGCTGTTCCTGAGTCTGGTGGTGTCCCATGGGGCTGGAATCCAAGCCTTTGAGGAGGGCACATCGGCCAGTGATGCTGGTATTTGAAGGATGGGGATGGGAAGTACAATAAAGATAGCTTTGCAAGTGTTGGGAAAATTGCAAAATAGGAATTTACCTTTGCAACTAGAACAAAGTGCCTCTGCTGGAGTGAAAGGCACTGCAAGGGTGATGCAGGCAACAAAGAGGAAAAAGCAAGTCCCTTCTCTCTGCTCCAGCTTTATGGTCTCCTTCTGATGTCCCCATTGGCACAATCTCTGTTCCCTTGGGTTAGCTATTTAATGTCCTTAATCCTCAATTTCCTCATCTAGTAAGTGGAAATTCACATTAGTCCTACCTTATATATCATTTCATTGATACATGTAATGTGGCACATAAAGTGAGCTTTTAGTGAACACATTTCTCTAATTATTATTAAAATGGGAAACCTAGGAGGAGAGAAGGAAGTCAGTTATTTTACAGTTCGTTTTTACTCTTTGAAGGGGATGGGGGGCAGGGAAGAGTGAGTTTTCGGGGTCATGTTGAGTTTGAGTATCTTCTAGAATAGCTTTGTTTTATGTGGAAAGAGTTAAAGTGTAATTCTAGACTCAACCAAGAGGTTGATATAACTTTTTCTGAAAATAGCTATGCAGAAACATGAGCAGGGAAATAGGTATGCTCAGGGGTCAGGCGGAAGTTTATGAATCAGAAGACACTAAAGCTGTAGTCCTCAAATTCTAGTATGTATCAGAAGCACCTGGAGAGCTTGTTCAAATACAGATTTCAGGGTCCCACCCCTAGAATTTCTGATTCAGTAGGATGGTGTGGCTTGAAAAGCTGCATTTCCAACAAGCTCCCAGGTGATGCTGATTGCTACTAGTTCAAGCACCACCCTTTGAGCAGCACTGGTCCAGAAAGCTAAGGCCAGAGCTACAGTCATTGGTTAGTCTCCAGACTACATTTAAAAAGGAAGGGGAAGAAAATAATTGTTAAGAATCTACAATGCACCAAAAGTTTTGCATTCTTTAATTTAATGAGCTCAACAACCCTAGGAAGTAGGTGTTGTCATCCAATTTTTCAGATAAGTAAATTGCAACTCAGCAAGGTAAGAAAGTTGCCCAGAGCCACATGATTAGCAGGGTAGTAACACTGGGACTCAGATCCAGATCTGTCCAACTCAAAAGCCTATATTTTCTCCACTGTGTCATGCTGTCAACTTCTCTCGGTAAAGTCAGGAGGGTAATAGGAGGCTTACTGGCTAAGAAAGACCTACAGTTTACAATCAGATTTTAACTACCATCTAGATGGCAACAACTCCCAAATTTATCTTTCCAGGCCAGACCTATCTCCTGAAACCTAGTGCTCAGCTGCCAGCTCAGCATTTCCAACTTCCTCGTCAGCTTGTCCTAAGTTGAACTGCTAATATTCCTCTCAGAGGTGCTTTACCCTCAGTCTTCCCCCTTCTCGGGTGATGGCAGCTCTATCCTTACAAATGCTTCTTCTCCCACACTCCATATCTAATCTGTTAGCAAGTCCTCATGGCTGGGTCTTTAAAAGAGACCCAGATTTCCAGCCACTTACCAACACCTGCACAGCCTCTACCCTGATCCAAGCCATCAGCGTCTCCGGCATTGATTCCTGCAATAACCATACTGTTTGCTTCCACCTTCGCTCCTCTGGAGTTTATTTTCACTCTGCAGCCAGAGTGGTCCTTGGAAAATCTGAGTCAGATCATGTCCCTTTCTCCCTGAAACCCTCCAAAGATTCCTCATTTTACTCAGAAAAAAGTCAAAGTCCTGCATGACACTGACCCCTATTACCTCTCCCCTACCACTCACCTCCTCCTCTGACCTCCTGCTAGTCCTGCTTTTCCTCTCTTCACCCCAGGCACACTGACCTCTTTGCTGTTCCATAAACACTGCCAGGTACAGTGTTGCATTAGGGACTCTGTACTGGCTGTTCCCTTTGCCTGAGACACTCTTCCCCCAGATTTCTAATGGTGAGTCCCTTCCTCCTTCCAGCCTTTGCTCATATTTCTCTTTCTCAATGCAGACTATTTAAAATTGCAACCACTTTTACTCCCAGGAATCCTGACCGCCTCCTCTTCTCTATTTTTTTTTTCATTTTTTCATAGCCTTTCTAAGACACTACATAATGTACTTGTTTGTTGTGTTGATTATATATTGCCTGACTCCCACAGCCCCCACTAGAATGTAAGCTCTATGAAATCAGGGATCTTTGAATTTTGTTCACTGATGTATCTGAAGTGCCTAAAACTGTGCTTGCCACATAGTAGGTACCCAATAAATACTTGTGAAATGAATGAGGACAGAACTGAGTTCAAGAGAAACAAGAAAGTAGAAGGGATGCAAAGCGCGAGTAATGATATCAGAGAGAACTATTTCAGAACCGGAGCTTTTGGAGAAGGCTTGCCCCACAGTGATGTGGCAGCCAAGGCAGGACTGTGAGTGTGGCCTCCGGGAGGGCAGACGGAAAGGGCAATGGGCTGGGAGGAAGGACAAACAGAGAAAACCCAAGATCCAAAGTAGAAGAGCATTCCTTACCTCTTTCCTCAGAAAAGAAATAGAGATGAAAGGAAAACTGAAAAATTATTTTCCCTTTTGAAAGTGTTCAAAGTTTCACAGTAACCTTAGAAAGATATGTCATCTCTCAAATCAATGTGATTTTCTTTACTTTACACGTCTGTCTATAAAGAAGGGTAAACAGAACCAGCTTCTTTCCTAAGAACCCCTGCCATTTTCCATAGTTTGGGCTCCTGTATCATTTCTGCATGAACCAGAAGGGCATAAATAAGAAATACTTCCTAGATGGCCACAGAAGCAGCAGCTCCATCCACCCCAGGCAGAGTCCCAGGGCCTAGGCTGTCAGTACTCTCTGTGGGGGCAGTAACAGGAAACCCAACTAAGATTGCCTTAAACAAGCAGGGTAAGAGGGTGGGGAGGAGAAAAATTATTGGCTTTTGGAATGTAAAGGTCCAGAGTTTTGTCAGTTTCAGGGCTGGCTTGATCTAGGCACAGACACTGTGTCATCAGGAATCTGATTTTCTCCATCAGCAGGCTTTCCTTTCCTCTGACTTGGCATTATTTCCAGAAAGGCTTGCTCCAGATATGGCCTCTAGCATCTCTAGGCTTACATTTTCTCACAGTAGTCATCCCATCAGAAAAAAAAGAAAAAAAATCTTTGACAAGCATTCCAAGACAACTTCCATGTCTATCTCTCCTTGGCCTGACTGGTGTTCTCTCCCCTAAACAAATCACCATGCCCAGGGAATATACTCCTCTTATTGTCTAGTCCTGAGCCTAACACTTGCCCACTCCTGGAGCCAAAAGATGATCAGACCCCAAATGGACCGAATGTGGAAAAGGATGAATTCCCAAAAAGAAAAATCGGGACTCTTTTATCTGAAAAGAAGAAATGGCTGCCTAACTGGCTGCAAAGTATACTGGTGTTTTTTCAAAGTTTTATAGGAATCTTACTGCTTATATAACCATGATCTTAGGAATATGCAAGAAGCAAGGGCCAGAATTATTTATCTTAATTTAGAAAGTCCATACTTTTGCAAGAGTAAGATATTTTCAGTGACTCCCATCATTGAGGACAAGTTTGGTTTTTTTAAAATAATCCTAGACACTGCCGAGTCCTGTGTCACTTTCCCCCTTGGCAGATGTCTAATATTTCCCAGATTCAATGCTGTTAGACATTAGGAAAATACAGACACAGGCAAAATGTGCCAACAGAGCCTTTCTCTATGTCCTCCAGCCCCCTATTTTGGGGCCTCAGCAAATGGAATCACCTTGAACATTCTGTTTCCAGGTCCTCCCTCCATCTTGGCCCTGGGTTCTCCTGGCTGCCCATCATGCTGGCTCAGTCCTACCCTCCAAAAACCTCATCCTTTTCTGTTGGTTGTGGTTGTGAAAAGTTTGCAAAAATACTCTGGAAAAACTAGGACCTTCAGACCCTACCTCAGGAATCTAAAAACATCTCAAAAGTGCCCTTCTAGGACTACTCACAAGTCTGACCCTGACACCCACATGTCTGGAATCCAACAAGAAAGCCCACAAGAACAAGCTCAGGTTTTCTTTTTCTTGAATTGGGCAAGTCATCATCATCCTCTGGGGCAGGAATTGCAGTGCTAAAAGTAAATGTAGTGATTACCTACTCTGGCCCTGTCTTTTCTTAAGTAGGGGAAAAAAAAAGATTTGCAGACAAATGGTGGGAGTACAGATGGCACTACCGGTTGCTGTTGAGAAAGCCCACTTGGTGGTGATTCAGAACAGCACCAGCAATAATAGAAAGGAAAGGAAGAGAGGAATCAACACTCCCAGCCTGGTTTCTTGCCCTTTGTTATCTTGAAGCCTTATTTTATTCTTTCATTTATTAATTTATTCCTTTGGTAAATATTCATTTAGTGCCTATTATGTGCCAGGCACGAGGCGGGTCTCAGAAGAAAAAGATCCTGTCCTTCCTCTTAGACACTCAGTCTAATGGGGAGAAGAACACATAGGTACTACAATGTGCACAGTAAACCCAGAAATGGAACAGGCAGTGACAGGGGAGACTAAGGAGCATGGAAGAGGCACTCCTATCCAGCTCAGGGGCTGTGGGAGCACAGGCAGGGGTGGGGCTCGTGGAAAACCCCCTGGATGCGATGAAAGTAAGCTGAGTCTTAATGAATGAGTTGGCGGGGGATGGAGGTGGGTGAAGGAAGAACAGCATAGTGGGTGGAAAACATTTCCGACAGAAGGAGGACAGCAAAAATCAAGGCAGCCAAGATGTAGCTTGGCATGTACACGTGGTGACAAGAGAACTCAACAAGAACAAGATCATGTAGAAGTTTTTAGGGCAAGTTAAGAAACTTGGCAATGCCAACTGAGGAACTATCAACACATTTTATGCAGGGTAGTAATGTGATCCAATTTTCATTTTTGATGGATCATTCTGGCAGCCATGTCAGGGATAGATTTTAAGAGGACAAGATAAGTCAGGGAGGAAAATAGATGAAAGACTGAACCAATAAAATGGTGGCAAAGAAAGGAAGAAAGATATTTGAGAAATGCTTAGGAATTAAAAACAGAATGATTTGGGGCTTGATTGGATGTGGGAATGAAAGAAGAGTGAAACAGAGACTAGGGTCTGCTTACCAGCTGGTGACTACAAAAAGCAGGAGGCGGGCTGAAGTAATTTGCTATAGAAGGCAAGGAGAGCAGAAATCGGAACAATCTGTACTTTTGGGGTGGTAAGGATGCTAGAGCTTCTCATGAACTACATGGGTACAATGGAAAGTAAGGATGTTCAAGCCATCTTGATGGGATCTACCCAAGAAAGCCACCCAGGGGAAGAGGGAAGCTTAGGAGTTAGAGGCTGTGGGATAGACTGCCAAATGCAAGAGCTGAGGTCACTGTAGAATGCATCACTCACATCACTCTGGAAATCCCCACAGGAGGAATTTCAAAGAACACACACATGTCCCATGAAAGAACCAGACAATGTTAACCAGGATGGACAATAGCAGCAAAAATGACAAAAGAAAAAAAAAGACTTGCTTCTTGCATTAGTTCATTTTCATGCTGCTGATAAAGACATACCCGAGACTGAGTAATTTATAAAGAAAAAGAGGTTTAATGGACACAGGCTGGGGAGGCCTCACAATCATGGCAGAAGATGAAAGGCACATCTTACATGGCAGCAGGCAAGAAAGAGTGAGAGCCAAGTGAAAGGGGAAACCTTTTATAAAACCATCAGATCTTGTGAGACTTATTCACTACCACAAGAATAGTATAGGGAAAACTGCCCCCGTGATTCAATTATCTCCCATCAGGTCCCTCCCACAACACATGGGAATTATGGGAGCTACAATTCAAGGTGAGATTGGGGTGAAGACACAGCCAAACCATATCACTTCTCTTCATCTGACTGAGAAAGGCTGAGAAAGAAGGAAAGACTCTTCAGACTTGGATGTGACATTGATGTTTTGATGTTAGACTGACCTGAACCTTCCAACACAGGAAAATGAGTTAGAATTACCTAAATAAGACTTTTATTTACATAGCTGAAAGTGACTAGAGTAGAATGTACTCAAGATCTTGTTAAACAATGAAAGGAGACAAGTGTGTCACTATTGAGAACACTGTTTGAGGAAAAATAACATCAATTCCTTACTGTCTTGTTTCTCCCAAAATTTGTTCCACCAAGTTCATCTCATTCTCTAAAATAGTTACACTAACATCTTGGCACTCCCTCTTTACATAAGGTAAGGCCATTATTAATGAAACTAGAGATGTATATTTATTTCATATAGCCATCCTGATAATGAAAATTTATTTTAGCTGATCTTGTCAGATCATTAGGTCATCACCATTTTTTACCTTGACTGATAATGAAAAAGCATTATCAACTCTGTTGCTTCTTGTTGTTTGCTTGTGCTTGCCTTTAGTATAGTCTTCAAACACTTTCTTTGTACAAATCTGCTTAATCCACTTATTCTTTTGTAACAGTTTAGTTAAAACTAGATATAAGTTATAAATGCTCTTCAAGTGGTACAAATAAAAGCTGCAACATCAATCACAATACTCTGAAAGCAAATGAGTGAGGTTGCCAAGGTCAACCCTTCCCAAACACACACACACACACACACACATACACACACACAAAGTAGAGCTCTCATTGTTGCCTTGAAATACCTCAAAGACTGTGTGTAACATGTAACCATCTAATATACACTAAAGGCACCAGTGTCAATGCATATTCATTATTAGTAAAGCTTAACTTTAGATGGAAAAAAAAATGAGAGCTCTCACATTTCTGCCCACCTCTTGGGGAAAGTGGAGGAGTCATTGCTCACACTGCCCTGGAAAGCGTGTCCTCCATCTGGAGATCAACAATGAGGTCCACCTGTTCTGCAGACTCGGCCGGCTCAAGTGATCTGCCAACACTCTGGCTGGTTGCTCTTTGCTCTCTTCTGCCCTTTTGAGGTCATACTACCTCCCCTTAGGCTTTCAGGAACCCCTAGATAGTCTCAGGGAGCCCACATTACATAGCAGCTTCTACTTTTTTGACCCTGAAACACAAAATTCTGATTACTTTCCCTGAGCAATGGGAATGAGGAGTGAGGAGAGGGATTTGTCTGTGATTCACCTGTGAGTCATCTTTTAAAAGGGCACCAGGTGTCTCTCACTGAAACAGAGACCAAAGAGCAAGGTTAACCTCTGGGCAGGCATTCTACCCCACACAGAGGAAGCAGCAATCCTAGAAGGATGGGTCTTGAAGGCCCAGGTGACAGAACCAAGTGAAGGGTACCGTTTTGGGAAAGAGTTGTTGATTTATTTATTGGTTTTTTGTTTGTTTGTTTGAGACGCAGTCTTGCTGTGTTGTCCAGGCTGGAGCACAGTAGCACCATCTTGGCTCACTGCAACCTCCACCTCACAGGTTCAAGCAATTCTCCTGCCTCAGCCTCCTGAGTAGCTGGGATTACAGGCACAAACTGGCTTATTTTTTGTATTTTTAGTAGAGACGGGGTTTCACTATGTTGGCCAGGCTGGTCTCAAACTCCTGACCTCAGGTGATCCACCCGCCTCAGCCCCCCAAAGTGCTGTGATTACAGGAGTGAGCCACCATGCCTGGCCATTATTTATTGTTTTTTTTTTATTAAGTGAACAACAAGGATTCTGGTTAGATTATAAACTACAGGAGGTTGTGCAATGGCAGCAAGAACCTTCTCTTCAACTCTGTTCCCTTGAAAGTTTCTGAACTCCTTTCCACCTACAGTCATCTTAATGCTTTCAGCTTCCTTATTCCTTACTGATGCTCCCTTTTGATCCCAGCACTTTACTAATTCCCTGAGGCTATCTCACATCATTCTGCTTACCCTGAAAAACCACTACCTTTCTGATCTTTTCTAAGCTACCTATATGCTTGGACTCTTGGTAATATTTTAGATACTCCAGTTTGTCTTCAAAGTCTCCTAACTCTCCTATTCCCCTGTCCTTGAGGATATTTTTGTAGTTTTCATAGGGAAGTTTATCTTTTATTCTGGGTCCAGATCTATGTCTATTTTTCTTTATCTTTTCATGAGTATACAGTATTTGGGATTGTATCACACATAAGAATTTTTTTGTTTATACATATAGCTCTTTCATGCCTTTTTTGTGGTTACATCTTAAAAAGAATTCTGAAATAATAAAAATAGTTGGAATAAAAAGTAAAAAAAAACTTTAAAAGTAGTACAAATTGGGTTATTTTTACAAATTAAAAAGAGGTAAGAAGGACAGAGATAATGTGTAATTTTGGCAGATTTCATCACATTATCACATGCAAAATGTTGTATGAATTCTAATCTATTTTTTCCTTAGCCCCATTTAAGTAACAAATGCTATTTCCATTTTAGTGCTAGCAGTGAAATGGATATGAAATAACACTGAATGAGGATGCATATGTGTGTGTATGTGTATATTCTATTTAGTTATAGAAAAACCTACCAATCTATTCCATCATTGTTGCAATCCTTTCCTGTGCTCACCAAAACTTCTCCTAATATTAAAATAAATGTCACCAACTGTATTCAAGTAGGAAGTTTCATGTAACACTCAATCCACACAGGCTGGTAGAATTTCCTAGTTAGACACATAAGATAGTATTTGTCATACTGATGTTGGTGAACATTTTCTCTATATTCATCTTGTGAGCTGCTGCTGCTTAAATTTGAAAGTTTGTAGGAATCTGCTTAATCCACTTGATTCATGTTGTAAACCTACAAATGCAAGTTGCCAGATCTATCTATGTATTGCAAGTCTTATTAGTTCTACAGGTTCATTCCAGAGTAATAATTTGAGCAATAATTAGTGTAGTCAGTTCTCCCACATTCATCAATGATATGAAGTCTCCCTCTGTCTCCCAGGCTGGAGTGCAGTGGTGCAATCTCAGCTCACTGCAACCTCTACCTCACAGGTTCAAGAGATTCTTGTGCTCAGCATCCTGAGTAGCTGGAATTCCAGGCACACAGCACCAAGCCCAGCTAATTTTTGTATTTTTAGTAGAGACAGGGTTTCCCCATGTTGGCCAGGCTGGTCTTGAACTCCTGGCCTCAAGTGATCCACCTGCCTGGCCCTCCCAAAGTGCTGGGATTACAGGCGTGAGCCACCATGCCAGGCCATCAATTTCTTTAAAAAAAAAAAAAAACTAAAGAATAAAAGGATAAAATACTATTTTAGGTTACTTTAACCAAAGAAAATGCATGAAGAACAGAAATTGTATTTTCAAAGGCAAGCAATACTGTCTTACCTGAGCTTCCAGAATTCTTTTCTCTTTCACTTATTCAATTTTTCATTCAAAAATTTTGGTCAAGTAAAATGACTACAAAATGCACTGAGCTTTCAAGATTCCTTTTACCATGTAAAAGGAGCCATGTAGCTCTTGGTGCCTCACCAAGGGCTTTAGCTGCTCTGGCTGTCCAGCTGCACAGTTGGCTGCTAATGGCTCACAGCTGCTCTCTCCTTGAGAGAACTGCCCTCAGCCAAACTGGAACCACCTGACCCAGACGGCTGGGCTGTGTCTCCCCACCCCATTCCCTACAGGGACAGACCCCAGCCAGTGACTGGCATTTGGAGATCAAAAGCCAGTCCCCTTGCCTCAAGAGGATCAAACATTGAGGTGTAATTAGTGTTTCAGATCTTCCCCTGTGGGAGCAGGCAGAAGGTAGTCTCTGGCTGAGACCGCATCCTTGCTTAGCTCCTTCCCTTATCTTATCCTGTTTCTGCATTTCCCTTCTTCTGGGAACACTGCCCCAATAAATCATTCAAAGAAGAATCCTCATCCCAGGCTCTGCTTCTAAGGAACTTGACGTAAGATAACTCCTAAACAAAACATTTCTCAAAAAGAACAATTATTGCCTGATCATCTGAGTTAAATCTCTGAGACTGATGCCATTCTGCTCAGTATTTTACATATCATATATATAAATTAATAGTTATAACATTATTAAATAACTAATATTGATATCTACAATATCATTTACTATCTATAACAGTATTTAATATGTAAGACATCAGAGGATCCTAGTAAGCAATGACCTCTGGAGAAACCTCTTACCCTTATTTTAAAAAAAAGAAAAATAGTTGACTGGTGTATTTCAAAGCAGGCAAGGTGGAAACAATGCGCCAATTAAAGATATTCTGTTTGAGTAGCAATTAGATTATACAAGAGCAGGAATTCTATCTCCAAAAGAGGATTCACAAATTCAACTCTGCAAAATTTTTAGGCAAAATTTTTAGACAATAATAGTGGTTTCCTAGGCTTCTCTTCAGCCTGTTAGCACCTTCTAGCTGTACACAAGCTGTACAGAACGCTTAAAAGTGGTTAGGGGATCTGGCCAAGCCGGAGAAAACAGCATGATAATTAATCACCTCAACCTAGACTGAATTCTCAATGTTGTTTTAATGGCTCAGTCCTCCTCTGAGCTATCAAGTCCTTTTACAGAATAAACCTGTGTAGCCAACACTCTATTGTTTCAGCTTTAATGGGAAGATGATTCATTCCACACATATCTATTGAGTTTTTGCTATGTGCATAGTACTTTGTTAGGTGCTGGGTAGAACCCAGAGGAGTAAATATGCTGTTTGGACACCAGAGATATGCACAAAACCAAGGCTTTGGAATATTATGCTATGGAGGACCCAAACTCATGTCAATCTGGAAGTATGTCTACCTTCTCAATCTTCCTCACTCCTCTCTTCTCAGTTCTACTTTCCATCATGCATTACTCTTTTGTTTTACTTTCCCTCAGATGTATGTAACTGTTTGAAATCCTACTTCTCCTTTTATTCTATGGTTCCTCTCCATGATGTATCATCCAAACCCCTTCCTTTTATGCTTCCTAGGGAGAGGAGAATAAACAGGAATTAAGCTATTTGATTTAAAAAAGACATTATGGATTGTCTAGCCAAGGATGAAGAAGGTGCTATAGCCTAGATTCAATGAAAATCACCCAATTGCAAGAAAGCCAAATAGTTCTTTTCACATTTCTGAATTTGGCAACTGTCAAAGATAGATTCAGTTCATTGGCAGAATGAATGAGCCTAGTTAAGGATCCTTTATATTGACCTCACATTATGGAGTTTACAAATTTTTTAGACATATTCCATCTGATCTTCACAGCAATCTTGTGAGGTCAACCTGCCACATCAGAGGAAACTGAGGTTCAGGGAAGTTGAATGGCTTGTCTAAATTCACCTTGTAATAAGAGGACAGTCAGGGCTTGAATCCAAGTCTTTTAGCTCCAAGCCTTTCAACTACTCCAGGATTACCTCCAGAGCCCTGGATTCCTTCAAGTGTTTTTCTTATCATTTCTCTCCCATTTCAGACACTACCTAAATTAGCAATATAATTGTCCTTAAGAAAAGCTAATCTTTGGGATATTACAATTTACCCTCTGTACTGCCCAACTCTTTAGAAGAGTAGATAGATAATGTATGGACCATCACTGTAGGGACAGTAATTACATTAACTACCTTTCTTTCTCTTTTCATTTAGCAGGTAATGCTGCTGCAAGACGCAATATTTTACTGACCAAAATGGTCAGTAGGAACTACCAGAATTGAAATGAAGAAAATTGATGAAAGCATATCTTGCTAGATTTATGTACTATTTTTTTAAAAAAAAAACATTCCCGTACAATATAAAAGGAAAAGCAAGAACATGCATGACGAAACAAGTTTAGGTCTTTGAGTAAGTGCCTTATTTTCGTATCTGTTGTATGACTTAACTGCTTATTTTCTCATGTGAATAATAGGGATAGAGATTAATGTTCTCAACATGGGCCTATCATCAGAGTCATCCAGGCATCTTTATTTTAGGACAGTAGCTTAAAGTATTCATTCATACACAGTCTTGTATGTTGCATCAATATTCTTATGTTTTATTCATTGATGATCAATGCCTAGATCTATTGCTATTACCTAGATCCATTGACTCATTAAGAGTTACAGAATGACTAGGCGTGGTGGCTCATGCCTGTAATCCCAGCGCTTTGGGAGGCCGAGGCGGGCAGATCATTTGAGGTCAGGAGTTTGAAACCAGCATGACCAACATGGTGAAACCCCATCTCTACTAAAACACAAAAATCAGCTGGGCATGGTGGCAGGCACCTATAATCTCAGCGACTAGGAAGGCTGAGGCAGGAGAATCTCTTGAATCCAGGAGGTGAAAGTTGCAGTGAGCCACGATCGCACCATTGCACTCCAGCGTGGGCAACAGAGCAAGACTCTCTCTCTCAAAAAAAAATAATAATAATTTAGGGCCAACCTGGTTTGATCCACATCTATCTTCTTGTCCACTTCTCTTCCTCGCAATTATTTTAAAATGGATCCTTTTATTTTATTAATAAATATTCATATTCATTTCATCCATAAATATTTCAGTATCTCTGAAAACATACCCACAATGCAATTGTCACACCTAACAAAATTAATAATATTTTTAAAAATTTGTGTGATTAAATCAACAGCCTAATAAGCTCCAGCTTCAGTTGATGGCTATGTCTCTTAAGTCTTTTTTACTTGATAGATTCCCCTTCTTTTTTCCCCCCTTGCAATGTATTGGATGAAGAAACTAGATGACTTGACCTATAGACTTTCTCACAGTCTGGATTTTGATGACCGATTTCCCTGGTGTCATTTAGCATGTTCCTCTGTCCTCTGTATCTTCTGCAAATTGAAAGTGAGATACAGAGATTTGATGAGATCCTAGTTTAATTTTTTGTTGAGAACATTTTACATGTTGTATTGTGTACTTTCATCAGGAGAGCCATTTTGTGTTATTCACAGCTATTGATGACCATTGCCCAGATTCACTGATTCATTAGGAGCTACAGAATGGTGATATTCTAACATTCTTTCTTTACTTACTAGCTGCAATGCTACAATAAAGAGAAACTGTCCCTAAACAGCTGTATAATTTTCTCGATAGAGTTGGTAAATGAAAAGCAGGATGAGTACATGATTTTCCTCTTTATTTGCCAGATTTTAAAATAATAAATTATTTATTTAGCATCCTCCAAATGTGACTAATGAATTTCTTTTCTTTTCTTTTCTTTTTTTTTGAGACCGAGGCTCACTCTGTCACCCAGGCTGGAGTGCAGTGGCATGATCTTGCCTCCCCTGGGTTCAAGTGATTCTCCCACCTCAGCCTCCAAGTAGCTGGGACTACAGGCATGCACCAGCATGCCTGGCTAATTTTTGTATTTTTAGTAGAGACGGGGGTTTCACCATGTTGGCCAGGCTGGTCTCGAACTCCTGACCTCAGGTGACCCACCTGCCTGGGCCTCCCAAAGTGCTGGGATTACAGGTATGAGCCACCGCACCTGACTAAATTTCCTTTTAATGAGTATCTCCTTAAAGTACAGATGCCCAGGCCCAACCACAGACCTACTGAGTCAGAGTTACCAGAGATAGAACCTGGCCTCTGCATGTTTAAAAGTCTTCCTGAATGATTCTGAAGCATGATTTATAGCCCAGCTATTAAGAATGTCTGGGCCAGGTGACTGCTAAAGTCCATCCAAGCACTAGCATTCTGCAAGTCTATAATGTGCAATTAATTATAGATTGCATATATCACTACCCCCATTCTGCTGTATGTAACATGGCTGGTGAAATAGTGTCAATAAGATGTTCAAGGCCAGGTGCATTGGCTCACACCTATAATCCCAGCACTTTGGGAGGCCAAGGCAGGCAGATCACCTGAGGTCAAGAGTTCGAGGCCAGCATGGCCAACATGGTGAAACTCCGTCTCTACTAAAAATACAAAAATTAGCTGGGCGTGGTAGCACACGCCTGTAGTCCCAGCTACTCAGGAGACTGAGGCAGGAGAATCACTTGAACCTAGGAGGTGGAGGTTGCAGTGAGAAAAAAAAGAAGGTGTTCAGACAACAACTAGAAATTTTCAATAGCTTAGCACCCAGTTCCTTAAGAGTGCTGCACAGATAGCCAAGAATACTTTTATTTTCCACCCAAAGGGTGGAGGTTGGTACTTTCAGTTACAAATAGTTCCGGATGCCCCTATCTTCCAAATCCACACTCCTAGAGATCATGGGCACATGGATTAATGTTTGAAATTCACCTGCAGAGTCAACTCCTTTTTTTTTTTTTTTTTTTTTTTTGAGGCAGAGTTTCACTCTTGGCGCAATCTTGGCTCACCACAACCTCTGTCTCCCAGGTTCAAGCGATTCTCCTGCCTCAGCCTCCCAAGTAGCTGGGATTACAGGCATGCACCACCACACCTGGCTAATTTTGTATTTTTAGTAGAGATGGGGTTTCCCCATGTTGGTCAGGTTGGTCTCGAACTCCCAATCTCTGGTGATCCACCTACCTCGGCCTCCCAAAGTGCTGGAATTACAGGTGTGAGCCACCACACCCGACTGAGTCAGCTCTTCTTGCCATGAAGTATCCATGAAGGCAACACACATGGGTGGGATTCAGGGGCCAAGCCAACAAGACATAAATCACTATGATTATCTGCCTTTTGAAACATAAGAAAGACATTGATTGGAGTCTAGGGATAAATTCATTCAAATCCTGCCTCTCCCACTTACTATGTGAATAGTGGCAAGTTACCTAATCTCTCTGTACCTTGGATTCATTATCTCTAAAATGGGGATAGCATTATCTCTTTGAGTTAATCTGAGAACTAAATAGGTTTAATATATATAAAATGCTTAAAACAGTGTTTTGCTCTTAGATTGCTAACCACTATTATATTTAGAGCCAGGGATGTCACCTGTGTGGTAACTTAAAATCAATAACAGGAGGGCTAGGTACATACAGACCACAAATTGTGGCTTTCAAAAAGACCCAGTGTCCTTATTTTAAGGACTCTGAGATCAAGACTAGAGTAGAAAATAGTTCTCCATTTCACATTACAGGAGTGGTTACATGAATTTTGTCAGGTGGAGTGGAGAGGGTCAGAGTATCCAGAAATTTTAGTAAAAAAAACGGTTCAAACCACTACCACTCTTCTAATTAATTCCATAGTTTATGGGAGTTCAAAGCCCCCCTTACCCCTCAATAATACTTTTGGCTACTTTATGTGACTACTTCAGATTCCAGCCTCTTGCTTTTGAGAGAGACCCCATATACCAAGTCATATTCACCTAGGCGAGAAGTGCAGCCTTTTCTTCAATTTACACTCACTTCTACAGAGATTCATGAACTTAATGGGCTTTGCCAGCAATTTGGGGGAAAGATGAAAAAGAGGTTTGACTTAAATCCGTGAAAACCACCTCTTGTGTTCATGTAGATGCAGCCATCCTTGAACTATCATTCGACTCAGAGCTGTCCGATAGAACTCTATGATGATGGAGATGTTCTGCACTGCTTAGTACAGTTGCCACTAGCCACATGTGGCTTTTGAGCACTTTAAATGTGGCCAATGTGACTGAGAAATTAAATGTTAACTTTATTTAATTTTAACATATTTAAATCTAAATAGCCATTCATGGCTCGTGGCTACCTTATTTATAGCACAGCTCTAGTCCCTTCCCTGTAGCCTCATGGGCTTTTTACCCCATAGAGACCCAGTTCTCTCCATCTTTCTCACTCTAATCATCTTTTCAGATGTTCCCTTTTTTTATGCCAGGCAGTTTATCCTTCTACAAGCATGCCTTTAGCACCTGATGACAGCCACGTCTTTGGATCTCTACTTACCATGTGATTCTTAGGCATTACTTAAATTATTTGTGCCTCAGACTCATTGCCTCTTAACTGGGTATAATAGTAACTCTCAATAAGTTAATCTGAGAATTAAATAAGTTAATACATGTAAAGTAGAATACATAACCCAATGGGCTTAGCACAGGCCATGCCAAAGAAAGACATTTTTGTACCTAGAGGGAATTTTAATGAAAGATGTTAACAAATAAAATTTTCACCTTGTTGATAATACTTTTAGGCTGCACTGTCCAATGCAGTAGCCACTGGCCACATGCGGATATTTAAATTTAAATTTTAATTAAAGTTTGTTCCTCAGTGGCACTAGTCTCATTTCAAGTGCTCAATAGCCGCATGTGTCTAGTGACAATTATATTGCACATGGTAGTCATAGGAAAGTTCTACTGGGCCGTGGCAGAATATTACTACTATCTTCTTGAACTCAAGTACAAAGAATTGCCACAGTAGGCCAAAAAACAATTAGATTAGGGAATACCAATCAACAGCAGGTTTGGCCCCTTATCAATCTCACTTTCTCATTCTGCATTCTATATCCTTACCTTCCACTTTTCCCTTTTACTACTTCCTCCCCCATCTTCACAATACTAATGAAATGTATTAATAAATACCAATAAAATATTACAGACTTAATTTTAAATGATATAAAGAATATTTTCCTTGGAAGTTATTTTCTTCTAAGGCTTCATAGCAGAGGAGATTATGTCTTTCTTTTTATTAATACTACATCATATCTGGCAAAACAGGCATAATCCTATTCACTTTCTGCAGCCATAGAACAGCTAGGAACAAAAGATAACTTAATGAAGGTTTTTAATTGACTCCTATTTGCTCATAGGTTGATAGAGCTTGATGTGAGTTAGTGAAGGGAAGATAGTTCAGATCCACTGTGTGTGTGTTCACATCTATGTGTATTTTTTTTATCATTAACTGTGGTCAACAGGAACTCGTCTGGGTAGTTAACGAAAGTTCTCTGATTGAGATGCTATTCTTTTGGGCATTTGCTCCAAAGAAAAATGTTATCATTAGTATATGATGGAAACTTTCTTCCAATGCCTAGAAGCTTATCCTGAGAGCACACAGCATTACTGTGGATATTTATCTGAGTATTGGCTGCCAGAATGCTCTTTTTTTTTTCTTTTTTGAGACTGAGTCTTGCTCTTTTGCCCAGGCTGGAGTACAATGGCACAATCTCAGCTCTCTGCAACCTCCGTCTCCCGGGTTCAAGTGATTCCCCTGCCTCAGCCTCCCGAGTAGCTGGGACTACAGGCACCTGCCACTATGCCTGGCTAATTTTTAGTAAAGACGAGGTTTCACTATTTGGTAAGGTCAGTCTTGGACTTCTGACCTCAAGTGATCTGCCCACCTCAGCCTCCCAAAGTGCTGGGATTACAGGTGTGAGCCACCGCACCTGGCCCAGAATACTCTTGTTTCAATCTTAGTGAGAGCACAAATAAAGAGAAGTGTGCTTGGTAGAGAAAAGGTTAAAATGGTCCTTCATTCTGAAGAGTGTTTAGTTAGTGCTTATTTTCTATAGGGGAAAATAAAAACAAGTAAGTACAATATTTTAAAATACTGTTAAAATAAAGATAATAAAGATTTACCCAGCCGGGCATGGTGGCTTACGCCTGTAATCCCAGCACTTTGGGAGGCTGAAGCAGGCGGATTGCCTGAGGTGGGGAGTTCAAGATCAACCTGACCAACATGTAGAAACCCCATCTCTACTAAAAATACAAAATTAGCCAGAGGTGGTGGTACATGCCTGTAATCCCAGCTACTTGGGAGGCTGAGGCAGGAGAATCGCTTGAACCTGGGAGGCAGAGGTTGTGGTGAGCTGAGATGGCACCATTGCACTGCAGCCTGGGCAACAAGAGCGAAACTCTGTCACACACACACACACACACACACACACACACACACACAAAATTTACCCAACACTTTTTCAAAATACATAATTTTCACTTCAAGTAGGTTTCTGAAATGCAGCAGTTTAAGAATCCATGCATAAATAAAATAAAAATAACTCACTATCTTTGAAAATATAATTTAGCCATGTATTTTGGGTGATTTATGTGCAAATGGAAAGGGGGAGTGGTCTAGATTCAAACTCAGGTGGTTTGAGTCAGACTCTGTCAATCCTTATAAGCTGTGTGACCTTGGGCAAGCCACTTCACTTCTTTGAGCCTTTGTTTCCTAGAACTCAGAGTTTAGGTTTCTGGGTTCTCTCTTCAGGTTGGAGAATATTATAGATCTGTTTCCCCAGAAAAGAGACTCTAAGAAATTTCCTAACACGAGTTTTATGGAAGAGTGCCTCTGAGAACAACATATGTGGGGGTGTTAAAAAAAAAAAAGGCAAAATTGGGCAGAGAGAAAAAATGGGTTGCAATGAATTGCAACAGAGTTCTCAGCTGATACTACAGGGAGCTCTTGAGTTAGGATAGCTCTTCAAAGCCATTCTAAATAAAAACACAGAGGCCTGGACCTGAACTCCCACATTGGCCAGCCATGCCATAAGGGCTGTCCTTTGGCTAATGGCAATTGATACAAAAGAGTGTGAGTTGCCAGGGCTCCCAGCAGCTGGGAGAATGAGTGCCTAGATTCTGAATGAGTGATCTGAGCAGCATATGCTATAAAGAGGAAAGCCATCTCGTTTCCTGCTCTGGAAGCGATATTCATTTTATTCAGATGTGTGGTCTAACTTCCACAACCCAGCAAGACAATTGTGAGGGTCCACAGTGAACCACCTGTTTTAGGAGGGGTTCCTAGACATAGACCCTGAGATGAGGATTCATACTAAAGCAATTTATTAGGAAATGTCCCAAAACAAACCAACAGGGGAAGTGAGATCAGGAAAGGAAGAAGGCCAAGCAAGCAAAAAGCAAAGTCCTACAGAAGGTAACATAGGCTCAGTTCTACAGGAGACCTTTGGAGAGGGCATGTGTACTTCCTCAGAGTTGTCCCCACCAGGGAGCAAGGTATTCTGCCCATTTATTACCCCCTACCCTACTCTGCACTCATCAGTCATTGGTTAGGGACTGCCTCTGAGAAAACTTAACTTTCCAGGCACTTTCAACTCCCCAAGTGTAGACAAATTAGATTCCAACCGCTTGGGGGCAACCCTTCAACAAAGACACAGATGCTACCTTTCCTGGGAGTGAAACCATACAGGGAACCCATGTGCCTTAAAGTGGTAAAGGGACTGGGAAGGCTATGGATGGAGAATTCAAAACACGGAGTAGAGGTTCATCAGTTTTTAATAAACCCACGTGTCTTATTGCCCAGGTGGGCACTGAGCCCAATTATTCCAGTTCTCTGTCCTGTCTATGCTCAACTTGAGAAGAAAGAAATCGAATGTACTAATCCTTCTTTTTTTTCTTTAGCATGATAACACATTCTCCTGTAAGTAAATGCATACCAAAAAACACACACACATTTATACTTCTCTCGAGGACAAGGAATAATTTTTCGGTCAGGGCAATCCTAATCTAGATTAACAAAATACAACATCATCATAACTAGAACTAATCGTGGATTCACCCAACATTTTTCAAAATACATAAACTTCAAGTAAGTTTTTGAAACACAGCACTTTTTAAATCAATGCATGAAGTTGTTATTAGAGAATATATCTTAAATCACATGTGCCTATTTGCAGAATGCTAGGGAAGTTTCCTTTTAGTGCATCCTGGAAGAGTGTATTAGTGATCTCCTCAATGCAATAACTTTCTGAATTGCTTTTGAAAGTGATTTGAAAGAGCTTTTAACAATGTTCTTCAATACAAGTATTTGTGAGGTCATACCCCCACTAAAAATTACAATATCTGTGTTAAATTTCCTTACCTCCTTTAAAAATTAGTGATTTCATTAGATGACATCTATCAGCATTGAAGACTCATATTAAGGAGGTTCATTTCAACTAATATCTCATTCCCAAATAGTACTTCACTGTTCAAAATTAAAAACTCAAGAGAGAACCCCGTAATAAGACAAAGACTGTAAGGACTTAGTTATTTGGCAACTCCCTCTTTTATGGAGAACAATTTTGGGGAACAACACCTGCTTTACAATGACAAACAAAATGAAAGGAAGCCAACATTAACCACACTTAAGTGACGGTGTTTATTTGCAGGTGGGAAAGGAAGGCTATGAGGTGGGTGCGCAAGCTTTATTAGATTGCTGTAAATAGACTTTCTTTTGCCACCTTAGGGTCTCCTATCAAATCTAATACCAAATGCATCTCTATACAAAGGCTAAGAAAAGGGCTTTATTCTCTTTCACTAAATGACGATTTTGAAGGAATGACTTAGGTATGTTACTAAGCAGTGACTTTGATATCATACCTAAATTTTTACAATCTACATTGTAAGGTATATAGGATTATCTGTAATTTGGGGAGAATCAGATTTTTTGTTCAATTGCCTTAATTTCTATTGTAATATTGGCTTTGTCTCTAAATATCTTATGATTAGGTTTATAAATGACTATGAAGCTCACAAAAACGTCTAGTAACTAAAAAATTGCAGT
The DNA here is from genome assembly GCF_000001405.40 of Homo sapiens. NCBI lineage: Eukaryota > Metazoa > Chordata > Mammalia > Primates > Hominidae > Homo > Homo sapiens. Next base: position 23,185,326 of record NC_000003.12, read on the forward strand.
GGGCTCCAACAATTTGGTCCCTTTATAATTCAAATTTTTTATCTGCTAAAAGAAGAGACACAATATCTTATCACCTATGTTTTATCTGATTTTGATTAGGAATTTGAGCTACGTTTCCTATTCTGTTGAAGACACACCGAAACCAGACAAAGGATCTTAAGGTAAAGAACAGGAAACAGGTATCGATTTCCTTTATCCACCCCAATCCCTTTGTATCTCTTTGTATTATACTATGATGGATTAGGTGGACAGGCCAGCAAATGTTTCACATTTGCTACTGATTTGATGGGCTTTGGAAAAGAGAATTTGAGGCATACACTAGTAAAGAGAAGAATCCTTAAAACCAGGTCTGGGTCTGGGTGATAAGTTGCAAGCCACTACATCAGAAGACCCCAAACCTCCTACCTAATACCTTATTTAGGTCTCTTAGCTCTCTCTTACTAAACACACACACACACACACACACACACACACACACACACACACACCACACAAATATCTTACTGAAATAAATACTGATGTTTTTCTTAATCTAAGATTTCTTTTGGTCACTTCTGTATTTCTTTTCTTGGTGTGAATATGGTCATCAAAATTATGCTTTCTCTTTCTCACCTGTGATCTAGGACAGTATTTCTCTGGATGTAGTCCATGGAGACAGAGTGTACAAACCATGGAGGATAAAATGCAGATCCTAAACCCACTGAATCAGAGTCTAAGGAAGGGAGTCCACGAGTCTGCATTTCAACACAAGAGTCTTGTGCAAATTTAAGTTTCAAAATCACTGCTATAGGTCGTTATATAAAATTTACATGCTAAATTAAATAAACTAAGGTACAGCCCTTCTAAGAGCTATTTGACACCCATAAATAAAAAAATAAAAAAATAAAATAAAAAAAAAAGAGGCTGGGGGTAGTGGCTCACACCTGTAATCCCAGCACTATGGGAGGCCAAGGTGGGAAGATCACCTGAGGTCAGGAGTTCAAGACCAGCCTGGCCAATGTGGTGAAACCCCGTCTCTACTAAAAATACAAAAATTAGCCAGGTGTGGTGGCGGGCACCTGTAATCCCAGCTACTCAGGAGGCTGAGTCCGGAGAATTGCTTGAACCGGGGAGGCAGAGGTTGCAATGAGCCGAAATCATGCCAATGCACTCCAGCCTGTACCACAGAACGAGACTCCATCCCTGACCCCCCACCCCCCAAAAAAGAAAAAAACAAGATTAAGCCATGGAGGTACATCAGCTTCCCTGGCTTCAGGACCAGCCCAGCCTGTCCTTTCTACTCCTTTAAGGGCTTTCCCGTTCTTCTCTTTCTCAGCAGTAAATTGGTTACAGCATAATTAAGCAATCTCTGTCTGAATGTTGCTGGCCCCTCATCCTATCCCACTGCATATTTTTATTTTCTCCTGACATTCTTTCTCACTCCTTTTAGAAGAGTTAAGTCCAACAAATTGAAAAACTAAAGACAAAGTAATTACAGTGGAAATGTAACAATAGAATGGACTGCTCTCAGCCAGATGCCATCGGGGCAACTGTATACCAGGCAGCCTGTCTTCACCATCCTCCATTCCCACCTCCCTCTGTCTCACCCATTCTTCAGCACCTGTTCCCCTCCTTCCAGCCATCTAGTCACCCAAAGGATGTCCCCAGAATGTGAGGTCACCCAAAGTTCCTTCTGGAGCAATGCATCTCAGGAACCACACCTTTTGTTTTTTTCTTTCTTCCCATACAAACATTTCTGTTCTGCCTTTTGGGTGAACAAAACAAATGACAAATAACAACAAACAAAAGCAAACAAAAAAATCACCAGGAAAATCTTCTTTTTTGTATCTCTCATGCATATAGTTTTTCTTGTTTTGTTTTGTCTTGTTTGTTTGTAGAAACTGAGTCGCACTATGTTGCCCAGGCTGGTCTCGAACTCCTGGCCTCAAGTGATCCTTTCACCTTGGTCTCCCAAAGTATTGGGATTACAGGCATGAGCCACTGCACCCAGAACTTTTTCTTTTTAAATCGTTTTCAAAGAATAATTTATATACAGTAACATTTAACTATATTAAGTGTACAGTGCAAAGGCTTTTGACAATATACATCTGTGCAAATACCTCTGCAATCAAGACATATACCATTCCTCATTACCCTAGAAAGTTTCCTCTTGGTTCGCTGCAGTGAAACTCACCCCACAACTGACCTCCTAACCCCAAACAACCACTGATCTTCTTATGGTCACATTCAGACAGGGATGGCTTCACAGGTAAATTTTGCCAGCTCTAGAATTTCACATAAATGAAATCATATCATGGCTACTTTTTGTGTCCAGATTTTCCCCCATCAATATAAGGCTTTTGAAGTTCATTCACGATGTTGCATGTATGGATATACCACAGTTTGGCTAATCATTCTCCTGTAGATGGACAGTTTGTGTCCAGTTTGCAACTATTACAAACAGAGCTGTCATTGCCATTGTGTACAATTTTTCTTTGGCATATATTGTCATTTCTCTTTGGTAAAAACCTTTGAGTAGAATTACTGGGTCACATTGTAAAATTATGTTTAACTTTATATAAAAACTAACAATTATCCAAATTTTTAGTTTTATATTTATTTTATATTTTATAAAATGAATGAAATCATTTTATATTCCCACCAATGATGTATGAGCTCCAGTTGTTCAACATTCTCCCTTAAACTTAGTATTGTCAACCTTTTCAATTCTAGCCATTTGAATAAGCGTGTCATAGTATCTCATTATGATTTTAGTTTGCATTTCTCTGACAACTAATGATAAGCGTCTTTTCACGTACTTTTTACTGCCATTCGTATAGCTTCTTTTCTGAAGTACCTGTTCAAATCCTTTGCTCATTTTAAATGAATCATTTGCTTTATTACATACACACATACACGTGTGGTACTTAAGATGCTGAACTCAAAGGATTGATTTTAATGGTAGGCATCAGACACAGTAGTCAAGGGTGAAGTCTAATTTTGTATATGAAAGGTGGAATTTTTACCCCTATGTAAGCTGCAAAGCACTGGAACCCACTATTAATATTGCCCCTGCTCTGATATAACAGAATGATTGGGCACACAGATTATGGAGTCACTCTGTCTTGGCTCACACACTGGCTCCACCACTTCCCAGATGTGTGTTATTGGACAAAGTGCCCAATTAATCTGTGCCTCAGTTTCTTCTTCTTTAAAATGGGGCAATGATAATACCTCAAAAATTGTTGTGATATCTAAGTGATAATACTCACCTCAAAAATTTAACATCCTTTGAACAGTTCAAATACATAGTGAGCACTCAGTAAATATTTGAAGTTATCAGGACAAAGAATCTGAGTTTTGTTTATTAAAGTGTTCACCTAACCACATTCTTTCTAGAATCCTTATCAATACCACATTATCTCTCTCCTCCAGTTCTCAATTATATTTCTACCACTAATTTCTAGATCAGCAATATCTGGAGACTTATGTTTCGCTTGCTCCCAGGTGATTTGCAAAAACAATGGCAAAGACAGAGGTGGTGGCTGGGTGCAGCAGCTCACGCCTGTAATCCCAGCACTATGGGAGGCCGAGGCGGGTGGCTCACGGGGTCAGGAGTGAGACCAGCCTGGCTAACACGATGAAACCCTGTCTCTGCTAAAAATACAAAAAATAGCTGGGCATGGTGGTGGGTGCCTGTAATCCCAGCTACTCAGGAGGCTGAGGCAGGAGAAGCGTTTGAACCCAGGAAGTGGAGGTTGCAGTGAGCAGAGATTGCACCACTGCACTCCAGCGTGGGTGGCAGGACAAGACTCCATCTCAAAAAAAAAAAAAAAAAAGAAAGAAAGAAAAAGAAAAAGAAAGATGTGGTGTGAAGGTAGATTTTACCTGATTGCTTAAATTTTATATCAATTTATATCAGCTTTTTCCTTGGAAATCTAATTCTTTTTAGACTATAGCCACAAAGTCTTGAGATAAGTTAAAGCTCAAGAGAGGGAGAGCAACTAGACTCATTCCAGCAGGAGACTGGGAGTAACATATGACAATCCAATTATTTTATTTCAGAGAAGAAAATTAGTTTCCTCTAGGACAAACAGAGGAAGTGAAACTTTAACAACTTTTGGCTTTGAACTTCAGGAAGCCCTAAAAGTTCCTGAAAGTACGTATTAAAAAAAAAAAGAAAGAATTAAGATGTATTAGATTAATATAATAAAGAACAAAAACCACATGATCATTTCAATGCATGCAGAAAAAGCATTTGAAAAAATTCAACACCCATTCATAATAAAAACTCTCAAACTAACAATAGAACTTCCTCAACCTGATAAAGAGCATCTATAAAAAGCCACAGCTAACATCATTCTTAATGCTGAAAGGCTGGATCCTTTCTTTCTAAGATCAGGAACAAGGCAAAGATATCTGCTTTCACCACTTTTATTCTATCTTGTGCTGAAATTTGTATAGCTAATGCTATAAAAATTTTGTTTTTAAATTAAGGACATTAGATTGGAAAGAAAGAAGTAAAACTGCTTCTTTATATAATGTTGTCCTATATGAAAATTCAAAGGAATTTTACTAAAACTATTAATAAAAGACTTTAGCACTTGTATAAGATCAATAGACAAAAATTAATTGTATTTCTATGTAATAATAAACAATCATAAATGGAAATTAAGAAAACATTTCCTTCACAATGACGGTGAAGAGAATGAAATACAGAAGAAATACAAGAGTTTACAACTGACAACTATAAAACATCATTGAAAAAAATTGAAGAAGACCTAAATGGAAAGACATTTCATATTCATGGATTGAAAGACTCAATATTGTCAAGATAGCTATTCTTTTCACATTGATCTATAAATTCAATGCAATCAATCTCTAGCAAAATTCCACCAGAAAGACTGGAAAAGTGAGTATCTCTGTTAGTTTGCCCCCTAACTATTTTGGAGCCCAGGGGCAACGGTACAAATAGAAATCCCAGCCACAAACTACTCTCTTCTCTTCCTACCCCCAACCCTGTCTTACACCAGTAGCCTCATGTGCTAGTGTGTGTGTGTGTGCGTGTGTGTGTGTGTACATCCTGGCCCATAGGTACAAGTTCCAACCCTTCCTACCCTATCCCCATCACAAACAGCTTCCTCTTGGCCACCCCTTCAACACAGAGCTGTGCGCACCAGTAAAACTGTCTCCTTTCAGGAGAACAGACCCAGAGAAGTTCAAGCAGTTACTAGGAAAATCTCTCTCAGAGCCATCTGGAAAATTCCATAGTCCTGTTTACCTGAAGCATGCTCTAGAAGCACTGGCTTGGGCTCCAGATGGGCACATCTGCTAGGCCCCCCACTCCTCAGAGGAGAGCCAAAAGCAACGTTTCTCAAACTTTAATAAGCAAGTGAATCACTGGGGATCTTGTTAAAATGTAGGTTTGTAGGTCTGAGGTAAGGCCTGAGAGTCTGCATTTCTAACATGCTTCCAGCTAGTAATCTGTTACTGGTGTGTGTCTAGTCCGCAGCAAAGATGTAAAGCACGAGTCCTAGATTAGGGGCCTTACTAAGCTGGCTCTAAGGGCAGAACTCAGCTGTAGAATGGAAGTGATATCTATGGGAGTGGAAGGTGGCCCTAGGACTGCCAGGAGATCACCATCTATGACGGAGCACATTGGTAATGGCTAATGGAGGGCCAGCAAACAGTGCTTGCAGTGCTGGCACTTGAAGAGCTATAGGCTAATGGGCAAGTTAGACATTAATAAGTAATTGCAAGACATTGTGTAATAGGCAATAATAGAGGTATATATGAAGCACATAGGTGACAGCAGACATGGGGATTAACTCTTTGTTGGAAAAATGTTTCACAAAGAACGTCATATCTGAGCAGAGTGCTGAGGGATAAACTGAGTTTCCTAGAGAACAAAGACAGAAAGGGGATTCAAAGCCGAGGGAATAACTTATCTGTGGCAGGGTATATTTTCCAAAAATGGCTGCAACAATATCTCTACTCCCACAAAACCTTCTAGAAACTTTCCACTTCCCTATTAAGAAGTGAATTCCAATTCCCTTTTCCTTGTTAGGATACTTCCATGAGTACAACGTGGAGAAGTGACACCATGTGACTTACATGGCTAGATGAGAAAAGGCTATCTTCTGTCTGGTTTTCTTGGGATGCTTGTTTTTGGAACCCAACCACTATGCTGGGTGGAAGCCAAGCAGCCCATGGAAAGTCCTGGTGGGGAGGAATTGAGGACCTCACCCACAATTCCTATTGAGATCCTAGCTGACAGCCAACACCAACTTGCCAGCCATGTGAATGAACCATCTTGAAAAAAGGTCTTCCAGCCTCTGCCACACTGTTCCAGGTGACACTATATGGAGCAGAGATAAGCCACTTCCACTAAGCCCTGACCAAATTGTGGATTCATGGGCAAAATCAATGATTGTTGTTTAAACCATCAACTTTTGGAGTGGTTTGTTATGCAGAAGAGATTCCCACAACAATATCCAAAGGCAAAAAGGTGTAAAGCAGCCTGGTGTTTAAAAATATGACACAAACAAGGGCATGTTTATGTATAACTCAGCAAGTAGAAAAAAAAACATAATAAGATGGGACCTGTTGAGAATGTTTAACATTATTAAATGTTAGATTGCTTGAGCCCAGGAGGTTGAGGCTGCAGTGAGCCATGTTCACCCCACTCCACTGCAGTCTGGGCAAAAGACTTAGATCTTGTCTCATGAAAAAAAAAAAGACTAATAATCTGCTGTTGTGTGTATGCTGTAGATAAAGCCCTGGTAGACAATTTCCAAAAGAAATCAATTTATTGTTTTTACTACCAAAGTGGAAACATGATATAATTTCAGAAACAAATAAAAAACCCACCTGAATGTGGAGTGGAGGGAAAAAGTTTAGTAAACAAACCATTAGTAGTGAAAATGTAATGAAGTTGTACTATATATTCAACCATGCTTGGATTAATTATTTTTCATGGCTCTGACAGTTTCTAGATACAATGTTAAGGCATTTATATAACAACGTTTTCTTGCTGTAAAAAACTAAATTCTTATTGAAAAGAAAATACTGGCCAAGCATGGTGGTTCATGCCTATAATCCCAATCCCTCCCATGTCTGTTTTGGGATGCTAAGGCCAGAGAAAAGCTTGAGCCCAGGAATTCAACCAGTCTGGGAGACATAGCAAGATCCTGTCTCTACAAAAAATTTCAAAATTAGCCAGGTGTGATAGCACACACCTGTGGTCCCAGCTACTTGGGAGGCTGAGGCAGGAGGATTGCTTGAGCCCAGGAGGTTGAGGCTGCAGTGAGCCATGTTCACCCCACTCCACTGCAGTCTGGGCAAAAGACTTAGATCTTGTCTCATTAAAAAAAAAAAAGACTAATAATCTGCTGTTGTGTGTATGCTGTAGATAAAGCCCTGGTAGACAATTTCCAAAAGAAATCAATTTATTGTTTTTACTACCAAAGTGGAAACATGATATAATTTCAGAAACAAATAAAAAACCCACCTGAATTCTGTGGGAGATAAGTTCCCACATTCTCGGGACATCAAAGAACATAATTCTGACCTATCATCAATACCTTTGTTTTTCTCCCTAAACACACATTTCTAAAAGAACCAACCAGGAGTTTGTGAAAGATAATAAAATTTATGACTATTCTTTAAAGTTGACAATGTTATTTCCTACAAGCCTTAGGAGCGGTGGGTGCATGCTAATTTGATAGATAAGGATTTAGAATGCAGTGAATTGATAAGTCAAGATTGTTTCCTGAACTTGTGGGTCTCTTGTATTTCTTTTTATTCTTTGACACTAACCTAATGTGTCATTGAAAAGCAGTATCCCCATGCAGCATGGGAATTTATATTACATTTAGCAGCTGGAATGGAAGATTCCTGGGATGGGGATAGCTAGTGACAAGTAGCTTCCTTCTGCTCTCAGCTGATCTGACTCCTCCTGGAATACTGTGTTCAGTTCCTGACACCATATTTTAGGAGAAACATAGACAAATTAGAGTACATTTGGAAGAGAGTGCCTTAAATGGCGAGGAAACACAAACCCATGTCACATGAGGGACAAATGAAGAAAAAGGAGATATTAATTCAGGGAGGAACCAACTAATGAAGCATATTCAACATTTTTAAATAATAAAAGCTTTCCTGAAGAAGGGCTGTTGGCATTGTTCTGTAACCTCAAAAGCATATGAAGGGAAGGATTGGGAGGCAATTTTGGGGTGAAGAAAGTCAAAGCTACCCAAAGATGGAACCGGCTATTAGGAGAGGTAGATAGTCCCTGTCACTGGAGGTATTGAAGTAATTTTTTAAAGAAGGAATTCTAAATTTGATGATGGTTGGATTTGACATCCTGCAAGGTTCTTTCCACTACTGTCAGAGCTTTGACGTCCTTCAGAGAACTCCGTATCATCACCCCTGGGAGTCACCAGGTATACTCTCATATGAGCTTATAAAACAGCCCCTTTCCTTTTTTCCACTTCTTGCTCCCAGAAGTGGCAGCATTTTCTGAAGCCTCCAAAGCCTATGAAATCCCCAGAAGTAATCTGTTCTCTACCACTGGCTAAAAGGGGCCTATCTCACCTCCGACTGATCGGCCCCAAATAGTTCTGCACCAATGCCTCCAAGCTGCACCACCAGCCAAGCCACTGATAGTGCTGGGGCTAATTCCCACTCTCTGTCAGTTCCCTCAACATGGCAATGCCTGGCTTCTTCCCTTTTCTGTGTTACACTGTGCAATTGTCAAACAGATTTTGTGGGTATATGGCTGTTAGTCCTTAGTCATAGACCTTCTTCCCCTTGGACCATAAAAGTCTACAGGGGTTGAATTGGAATAATCGGAAAGCAACAGATTTTATGACATGCCTAAAATTGCCTTTATCCAGTGATATACTCCTCATCCTTAAGCAATCTTCTATGCCTCCAACCTCTTTTTCCTTAGGATCCTTCTTCTCAGGACAATGCTTGGCTCCTCATTTAAATATGACACTCCACCCTAAGAGCTTGCTCTACCACCCTCAGTACATACCTGACATTCTGAATCCTAGATTGAGACAAATTAGACTCAAGCTGTAGCCTTTCCTTTTTCTTTTTCCCCTACCTGCCCTCCCTGCAACATGATTCTGTGACTGAGGGTTAAGAGCAGAGAAAGAGGAAAATAAAAATAACAGATTAAAAAATGGTTTATGGAGGCCAGGTGCAGTGGCTCATGCCTGTAATCCCAGAACTTTGGGAGGCCAAGGTGGGCAGAACACTTGAGGTCAGGAGTTTGAGACCAGCCTGGCCAAATACAGGGAAACCCCGTCTTTACCAAAAAATACAAAAATTACCTGGGAGTGGTGGTGCACACCTGTAGTCCCAGCAGGCTGAGGCAGGAGAATCACTTGAACTCAGGAGGTGGAGGTTGCAATGAGTCAACATCGCACCACTGCCCACCAACCTGGGTGACAGACTGAGACCCTGTCTCAAAAAAGAAGGTTCACAGAAGGGGAAGGGAAAAGACTTAGATGATGTGGATGGCTTAATTAAAAATTTTGAGTGGAGTTTAATAATAATTCAGTATGATGTTTATACTCTAAATAGCATAACTGAAAGAAATGCTCTTGGAACTTAGCAGTGACAATGTAATTGGTCATTTGTCATAAGTTTCTGCTGATGAAAATCTCATTCATAAATCAGGAACAACATATTCAATAGCTTGCTGACAGTATTTGGAAAACAATGTTTCATACTCATTCAATGCTAATTATAAACTTTGAGAGTCAAATTAAGAATATATTGTATATACACTGAATAAAGATATTTACACATACACAATGTGGGTCAAGTGATACTCTCCAACTTCTGAGGTAAAAGTAGCTTGTTACCAGTGTCCCTGGCAAAGTTATGCTGAGGATTGATGGAAGGGATGGTATATGTTTTTCCTCCACTCTGAACAAGAAGAGAGATCAAGGGGAATTAGCTCTTTCATCTGAACTTTCCGTAGAGGTGCACAACTCCTCAGGGATGTAGTTTTGGAACGGGCTGGGGAAAAGAGGTCAACAGTTTGACTTCTTATGTATTCTTCACAGCATATTGCAGTGGGCCTCTTTCTCTTGCCTGTACAACAGAGAGAAATGACAGGAATTAATAAGAAAGCTAATACTCTACTCACTCTAAGCCTCTGAAGAAGAATTCAGGTATTTATTTTGGCTCTCTGAGGCCAGTCTAATGAAAGTTGAGCCTGGTACAGGATTGAACATATCAACTATTAAGCAAATGGAAGAATTAGAGGCAGGATATTAGCTATAGTCAGAAGCTCAAAGCTCAGAAGCTAGGTTAAAGCAGAGATGGTGAGCAATGGCATGAGTGAAACTCATCCCGGTTAGCAAGTCCAAGATAGATAGAAGTAGAGTGTGAAACTATGTTTGTGAACGTGCAGTTCTGATGACAAAGGTGCAAGAGGAATGGAAATGCATGGCTTGGATCACACTTTAAGAAAAAGATTTGCCTATCCACTGTGAGGAGTCCAAGTTAGCTGCTGCCAACTGGCAGCTCTCAGTGCCCTCAGGACCCATTTTAGCTTTTGAACCAAGGACATGCTCTCCCTAGGCATCCCAGCAAATGACAGAACATGATGGGAACAGTAGAAACTGGCAATTTCTGCCCAGTGCTTACAGGCAATCTTTGCACTGGAACTTTGTTAGGCTGGACGAGACTTCCTCAGCACTGCACTTCAGCATGAGGCTCCTCCTACAAACTTCTTCCTCCTTTCTCTCTTTTCACAGGTATCAGACCAGTATCATAGCCTGAAGGATTTCCCTGCCTACTCCTGCTCCCTTTCCCCTTTATCATTCGTATATAAATACATACATTTCTTGCACATCTAACTGCATCTTGGTGCCTACCTCCTGGAGGACTCAGCCAATACAAGGGGGAATGCTGATGTTTGGGTTTGGATCATAATCCAGAAAGACACAATCCCAAATGCCATAATCCCAAATGTTGAAGCCGTCAAAGATCAACCTCCTTAGACACGAGATGGGAAAATGTAGTAAGAAGTGCTCGTGTTGGTGTATATCAAATAACAGAAGAATTTCAAAAAGAGCAGGGCCACATAGAAAATGATTGTGAATGTATTTTTGGAGGAGAGCTATGTCAAAAAAAAAAAAGCAGCTATTCATTGTGATGCAAGACTTCAAACTACAGTTAATGATTGTGAAAGTCAGCCAGGTCTTCTGGGACTATATCTGTGCAATTACCTATAATCTATCCCTGTAATATATTGTTTCATATGTTGAATTTTCTTTGACTTCCTGGGCTCAAGCAATCCTCCCACATCAGCCCCCTGAGTAGCTGGTATGGGTGAGCCACTGCTTCTTTCTTCTTTTTTTAAGTTTTTTCCCCCACTATTTTAAATTGTCAATTTTTTTTTTTAACAATTTGCTATGCTATGTATTTCGTCTTGGCATCATTTCCAATAGCGGAGGTATAAATTGTGTAGAGACTTTTAAAGAGTTCTAATTTGTTTTATGCATTTTTTGCAAATTTGACTCCATGAGAGTGAATTACCACAAAAATGATTTGTATGTAAGCATTGTTCATGTATGTAAAAACATTGAAACTTCCTTAATAAATGGAGAGATGCCTTTTTTCGTACATTTGATTTGCAAAAAGTAAAATTGCCCAAGATCTCAGCTCTTCGGGCAACTGCATATGTGGTGGTGACCCACTGAGGTTTTTGATTGATTTCTTCAAAAGATTTAGGTATTTCTCACGGTATTTCAGTATGACCACAATAATAAAGCTGGGTGCACTCACTTACCAACCATAATGATATGTTTACACATTCCCTTCTTTGACCTATTTATTTATGAATATGGCTTGTCTGCTTATAACTGTGATACTCATGTGACTGTCATTAGTATACCTGAGTGTTGCAAAAATATGTATTACTGCCTATTTTATTGTGTAAACTGGCCTATGAAGTACTTTGTTGTATTTTTATGTTTCTCAAATAAATCCCCTTTTAAAATGTAAATAAATGTTTTATTTTTTTCAGAATTATATTCTTGAGATTTTGATCTTTCTGGATTGTGATTTTCAGGATTTTGGACTTTAGAGATTTTGGTCTTTTAGGATGTTGGGGATTATGGCATTTGGAATTGTGTCTTTTGAGATTATAATCAACTCCCCCAGAATCTGAGGATACAGCCTGACTAGAACTAGGCTAGTAAGATAAATCATCAACTGGGGGCCTTGATACTTGGCTTCTCTGATGGTGCTGGTTTTTCATTTGACCCTGGTTTGCATATTAAACCCAGAGACTTTAAACAAATGGCTTACCTACAGAGTCCTCATAGTAAGTCCTGGTCAAAAGAAAAACAGAATAGAAAGCAAAAGAGAAAAGAGTCTTTATTCTTCTCCATATAAGTTATGCCTTCCTCTTAATATGTAGGTGTACTAAAAATCATTGAATTATATACTTTAAATTGGTGAACTGTATGGTGAATTATATCTCAATAAAGCTGTTATTTAAAAAGTGTGCACTTCCTAGTATAGAAGGTAGTACTAAGATGCATGTGAAAGAAAATAAAAGCAATAAGATAACGACAGCCAAAAAAAAAAAAAGTTTTTTTCAGACCGGGTGTGGTAGCTCACACCTGTAATCCCGGCACTTTGGGAGGCTGAGGTGGGAGGATTATTTGAGGTCAGGAGTTTGAACTAGTGAAACCTAATATGGTGAAACTCCGTCTCTGCTAAAAATGCAAAAGTTAGTTCGGCATGGTGGTGGGCACCTGTAGTCCCAGCTACTCAGGAAGCTGAGGCAGGAAAATCACTTGAACCCGGGAGGCGGAGGTTGCAGTGAGCTGGGATTGCACCACTGGACTTCAGCCTGGGCAACAGAGCAAGAAGAGTCCGTCTAAAAAATGAAAAAGAAAAATGTTTTCTCATTTGGTCATATTTAAAAAGATTCCACATTTTTTCTTTATAGAGGCTGCAGAGAAAGCCAGAGCGTTCATGAAATACTGGAAAATATTCATTAGTATACTTTCTGAATTCATAAAAAATAGTAAAGAGCTTGTGTATTCTTTGAAATGGTTGTTGATATGAATGATGTGAAACAGTTACACCCATCTCCACAATTCTATAGTCTGGGGAAATGGCAGCTGAAAAAGCAGGTATATTTATTAATTCAACCAACCCTCAGGGATGCTTTTTCTTTTTACTAATGTGTAGGTGTGGAGATAAATAAAGCATGGTGTATGCCCTTCAGAAGTTCACAGCAAAGTAAAGAGTGTAGGCTTTTAAACAGTGTAAGGTACAGGGAGACATGCGGTGTGGCTGACCTAGAAGACTATTTGCAAGAGAAAGTGGCAAACTCAAGTGAGAGAATTACACCTAGACTTGAGGGTGAGATGATCTCCCACTTATCAAAGCACCAGGAAGACTAGTAGCTCACACTTCTATTGTACTTACTTTGCTTCAAGTCTATTCAAGTCGCAGACATACATTAACTCATTTAATCTTCCCTCTGACCCTATATAAGAATTGGCCATTCAAATAAGCCCCATTTGTAGGGGAGAACTCTGAGGCAGTAAGAAGTTAAACCACTTGCTCATGGTCACATAAGCAGCAGCAGAACCAGGATCTAGAAACAAGATAGCTCAGTTCCAAAGCATCTCTGCAATGCCCAGGAAAGGCGCCAACCAGGGCAAGGCTTTTCCGTCTGCTTCTTTCTGAGGTTTCTCCATATTTTTATTTATTGTACTAATAGCATTATAATAACTACAACAAAGAAAACCTCAACTACAATCTCATTGCTCAACAAATCTCCGATTCTTTCCTTTCTGTTTGGTTAGTCCTCTCCACAGCCAGTTCTTCGTTTCTTACTCCTGTGGTATCTAAAGACAGCCCCTCAGAACCACTTTTCTTTTTTTTCCTGGCCTGTGCTGTCTCTTGAGATCCTTTACTTATGTCTCAGTACCTCCTTAAGCCTCTATGTTTGCAGTTACTGAGAAGTTAGGTGCAATAGTCCATTTCAGGAGTTAGTGGGACTCCTCTCCCTGGAAGACCTACCATGACAGCAACCTCCTTGATACATGGAGAACTTGAGGGGGAACTTCATCATTAGTGAGCAGAGAGCATGGTGTAGTAATCATCTATTGATGCATAACAAATTACCCTTAAAACTTAGTGGCTGAAAATAACAAACATTATCTCCAGATTCCAGAGTGGCTTAGCTGGGTGTTTCTGGCTCAAGGACTTTCAAGAGTTTGCAGTTAAGATGTTGATCAGGGCTTCATTATCTGAAGGCTTAGCTAAGGCTGAAGGATCTGCTTTAAAGCTTACACATGTGGATGTTAGCGGGTCTTATTTTTTAGTCACATGGGCCTCTCCACAGGGCTGCTCACAATATGGCAGCTAGCTTTCCCCAGAGTCAGTGACAGCAAAGAGAGAGAGAGAGCATCAGTGTGTGCGCAACCAAGATGGAAGCCCTAAACTAATCTTGGAAGTGACATACCCTCCTTTCTCACAGCATTACACCAACCCTAGCATGACGTAGGAGGGGATTACACAAGGGTGTGAATACCAAGAGGCAGGGATCAGTGGGACATCTTAGAGACTGATTACCATACTCAGGCAACGTCTAGGGGTGAGAGGAGCAGCCACACTTCTATGTTTGCATCTTAATTTACATGAATGGCACCCCCTGATACTTTGCAGTGTACAAAATACACGATCATACATAGTGGTCCAGGTAGCAGTTCCTGAACAAATGGGGAAGTCAGGGGAATTTGTCCTCAGTACACTTCTATTCCCTGCTAGAATTTCATTTATTTATTTATGAAACAAACATTTTTTTAAAGCACCTGGTCGTACCTTTGCGTTGGTACTGAACTAGGTAGGTAATGGGGTTGCAGTTCTATTGGAGTTTCAATTTTCCTACACCACTGTTGCCCTTAAGTATCCAAAACATTCGGGGTGACTACAGCCTCCTTCAAGCCAGACAGTATGCAACAGATCATTGTTTTCTATCCCATTCTTTGGAAAACCTGAGCTAATATGATGTTTCTTTCAAAGGGTATAATATAAATATGTAATAACCCCTGATAATTGGGTGCCTAACAAGAACAGAAGTTGCCTAAATAAGTAGCAGGGCTCTACCAGTATAATGCTTCTGCTCAAATTCAGCCCAGTTCCCCTGAGAGAGGTCTTTTCTATCACCCATCCAGTCAAACTGGAAAACTAACTGTGGCTCTACTTACTCACGAAGTTGGCAGTAACAACGTTTTAAGAAGGACCCTTCAAAAAACATTCCAATTTGCCAGTTGCAGGGGGAAAAAACGTAGGCTCTAAATTAATGATCAGAAATAAGAAATGTAAGAAAGGAGTGAGTTCATGACGACAGACTGATGGACCAGAGCAGAAAATATAAGGAAGATGAGCTATTTGTCTTGGAGACCAAGTTTGCACCGCAGAAGAGAGAAATAGAGAAAATCAAATAAATATTTATGTCTGTAACACCAGACTCATGGTAAAGTGTCCTTAAGTTCACAGACTCCAGAGCCAAACTGCTGATTTCGAGTCCCAGCTCTGCTCCTCACTAGCTATGTGACTGTAGGTGAGTGACTTAATCCCTCCGTACCTCAGTATTCTCATCTGTACAGTGGGGCTGATTGGATAAAACCAACCTGTGTGGTGGTTGTGACCTAGTATAACTAAAGTGCTTAGCATGCTGCCTAGCACAAATTAAGAACACGGTAAGTACTAATTATTGAAGAAATTAGAAACAATACCTATTGTGTCATCAACTGAAAGAGACCAATTTCTTTCACTCGGTCATTATCTATTGAATATATACAGCACTGAACCCCAGACGACGAAATCCTTTTTCTCAAGGTGCTTTTACGTGGGAGGGCTGGGAGAGGGAGGAAAAAGAAAGCAGAAGGGGGAAACTAATAAATAAGTAAAAAAATGTATTATGTCAGGTGGTGATCATGGAGAAAAAGCAGAGGATGTGGATAGGAAGTTCTGGGGGAGGAGTGGGAGGAAAGAATGTTCTAGAGATAGGAAATAGTAAGTACACAGGTCTTGAGGCTGAGGAATGCTTGGTGTGTCCATAACTGCAAGGCCGGTGTGGCTGGAAGGAGACGAGGATGGAGTGAAATCGTACAGCTTGAGGTCAGGGGAATCCTGGCTGGGAATGGTGGGCACATCATGCAGGCCATGTATCCATATTTTGCACTTTGGCTGTTGCTCTATGATGGGAAGCCACTGGAATTTTTGAGAAGAAGAGAGACATAATCTAATCTTTGTTTTAAAGGACAGTCGGCTGTGTGTAGGTGTTGGGGAGGGAGGAGGCGGAGAGTGGGAGGTAGAAAGATCAGGTAGGAGATAATTATTGAGAGATGATGCCTTAGACCAGGACATTAGCAGTGGGGAGGGGAGTGAGACGGAGTGGACATTTTCACCATATATTTGTGAAAACAGAGTCAACAGAATTTGCTGACGAATGTGATGCTGAGTGTACAACAGAGAAGGTTCAGACATAGGGAAGTTCTGAGGACAAGGATTTTTTTCTTTTATTCAATGTCATATATCTACCACCTAGACAGTGCCTGGTATCAATAAATATTCCTTGAATAAATGAAAAGGGTAACTGATTTGTATTAAACCCATTTTGAACTTAGTAAATAGCAGTTAAAACATCTACAGTCAAATGAAGTACTGTAGCAACCATAATTTCAGCAATTAAGCAGTGAAAGATCTTCCAATCCTTTCCTCCACAAAGATAGAAGTTAATTTTGCTGCATCCCTGGACACCCCGTTGCCAACGACCCAGCATTCCGTTGGTAAGTGAGGCTGGAGGTTGGAGTGGGAGAAATTTCGTGGAAGCTAAGTTCGCAAAGCAGGTACGTTTTTTTTTTTTTTTTAAACGGTTATTTGGGATGAGGAGTACAACGGAACCTAATGTTCCCTCATGCCACCTACAGCACTGCTACTGTTCCCATATCCTTCAACTGGGCATGAAGGCAGCTTCCCACTCACTCTGACAGTGGTGCACCCTGTACCCCCACCCCTCTCTTCAATACCCCAGGGCTAAACGGCCCGAAGCTCCTCTCTACCGGCTGGTGCGCATTCTGGGCCAGGGCGAGCCAAAAGGCAGAAGGGCCTTCGTGCTGCAGTGTCTGGTGAAGACTCAGGCTTAGCCTGGAAGAAGTTTCCAGGCCAACGTGAAGTTTTCCTGTCTTGGGTACATGCGAGCCCCACGCGTCTGCGAGTTTGGGTTAGTGTGTCAACAGGGTCAGTCCCCGTATCTACTTTGCGAAAGCTTCGAGGCGAGCGTGAAGTCAAGGGCTGCGGTGGATGGGGGTAAAAGGCCTCCTCGTCCCACTGCCTGCACCGTCTTGGGGTAACCCCTAACCCCCAGCCGGCGTTTCCCTTTAATGCGCGTGCCCGGCAAGGTCCTCGCGTCCCCTCCCCTCAAGCCACCCCGTCAGCCTCGGTTTCCCCCACTTCTCCCCGTCCTTGTCGTTCCTTCCCCGTGGGACGCCCCTCGCTCACCCCCGTCAGAGCCCAGTCTGCGCGCGGGACCCAGCTGTCACTTTACTTTTCCTCGCCGCCTCCCCACCCCCTCTCCCGACCGGCGGGGCAGCCCGCCCGGGCGCGCTCCCGCCCCCGCCCCCTCGCGGCCGCGCGCCGGAGGAGGAGGGGCGGGGGGAGGAGGGAGGCGCGCGGCGCCGCATGGCCGACGTGGGGCTCGCGCTCTCGCGGTCTCTCCCGGGCGGGCGCGCAGGCACGCGCACTCGCGGGTGCGCGCGCGGACGGCCGGGCGGCGGCGGCTCCCGGAGGTGGTGGCTTCACTTTCCAGGACTCAGGGGCAGCCACAGCGACAGCCGCGGGCAGCAGCCTCAGGAGCCGGAGCTGGAACGGCCGGGGGCGGCGGCAGCGGCGGCGCTGAGGGTGAGTCCGGGCGGGCGCGAGCGCGGCGGGGACAGGCGTGGTCGGGTGCGTGGTGCGTGGGTCCGGCTTTCGGTGACTAGACGGTCCGCAGGGGACATCCCGTCCCTGGGGCCTCCCCAGTCTCCCTCCCCCTCGCGCCTGGGCAGCTCTCTCCCAGGGCTTCGGCTCGAGCCTGCGACCTGCACGGACACCCCCCCCTCAGGTATTCGCTCGGGCCGCGCCGGTGCCTCCCCTCCTCGGGCGTCCTCCCTCTCGCTGACGTCCTCCTCACTCCCCCGACCTCCCCTCCGCGTCGCAGGTCTCTGCTTACACCGCTCGTGCCCTAGTTCCCTCCTTCCTCGCTCCCCGTGCCCGGTTCCCTACGCCCCCTCCCGCGAGCCTCCTGCCCCCGTTTCTCGCCCTTTCTACCCCTCCCCCTTCTTCCCATCCCCCCCTTCTGCCTCTTCTCTCCCTGTCCTCCTTCTACCCCCTTCCGTTCTCAGTTCCCCATCCTTCTCAACCCTCCCAGCGCTTTCCTTCTCCTAGCCGCATCCTGGAACTAAGTCTTTTCAAAAGTACAGGATAAATGTCACGGTGGAAAGTGCCCGGCTTGATCTTTTGCTATTTTCCCTAATTGCATAATTGCTGCACATGGTGTGTCTCCTGGCGAGTGCCGGGTTTGGCTCCTTCGCCGCCGCACCCCGGTGGCCCGCCCGGAGAAGACCTTGTGGGGTATATTTGTGTGTGTCCTGGTGAGGGGTGTGTGTTGTATTGGTCTTTTGTGATGCCTGGCGCTTGTCACAGTTTGGAACCGAAGCCCATTTTTCTCTGGTCTCTTCTCTGCAGCCCCCACTGGCCTGGTTTGAAACTGGATTCCCTCTGTCCTCTCCCCCTTCCCGCCCACCCCACTTCTCCCCCTCTTTTCTCCGATCTCTCTCATAATGTTTTGATCTTTTTGCCCTTTACCATTTCTAATGAAGATAAAGCGTGGCTTCTTGTGGCTTTTTTCCCCCACGACCAACCAGAAATGTCCAATCCATCTTCCCTTAAGGAAATTAAGGCTGCTTTAGAAAGACATCATCCTGTGCTCGGTGGCTGTTAGACCCATTTGCATGTTTTCAAGATTCATCGTTTTGTATTGTGTATTCTTGAGAGTCTACTAAAATATTTTTATTTAAAAGTACGAAAGGAAGTGCTAGGGTTTACCCTCAAAGTATCTCGCGGTTCTAAAGGATTTTACGCTCTTCTTAGTTTTTAATCCCTGATTTCTTTAAAAAGTATGTTTCTAGATATGTGATAATTCAGTCTGGACTTTGTGAATCTAAATATTTGCCTTTACTACGGCAATTTGGATGCTCCTTGGCTCTTTGGAATTCTGTATGTGGGCTGACGCTGAAATAGAGTGTTTTCATATAATGCCATACCCCATTCTCTTTCCCCTGCAGCACCTTTTACCCCCAAATCAGGTGTTCCACTGTTATTTTCTGCATAAATGTCTTTGCAGTTAAATTTAAAGCTGGATATTGCTGTGTGCATATACTATATATTTATTTTACATTTTAGAAAAGTTTAGAAACATGAGTAGGAAGACAGCAAGACATATATGACAGAATTAAACGCTTTCCTGTTATAAAAGCTTAAATGAACACTTGGTTTTGCAGTTTTATACTAGTAGATACTGTTATAAGGCTTACCTGGGTAGTAGGCTGGATTTATGGAATGACTATAGTTGCCTTTATGTAGTCAGTAATATTTCAAGCCAAATCATTTCATTTTTATGGAACATGTGAGTTTCATTCACTGTATGTTGCTAATTTCCAGGACTGTAATTACAACATAGGGTACATAGCTAATACAAGCTTAGACAGTTTGTGTTGAAGAAGTAACAATATGTAAGCCTCTTAATATAGTTTTAGGAAGGACTACTTATTTTATGGTTAAAAATTAAATTTTACTTTGAGTTATGAAGTAAGCGTATTTATCTCTCTCAATATCTTTGAAAGTATCATTGGAGAGTAGCTGTTTGTTTATAACCCTGGGATTTAAGTTTATCTTCCCTGTAGATGAGATAATCGGATCAGATTAGCTATTTAGGAATTAATTTTAAAATGCTAATTTAGAAGATAATGTTTAAAGGATTTTAATTCAGGAATTTTTATTCATTTGTACTTCAGAGAGACAAGACATCAAGTTTACACTTACGACTAATTAAATTGATTCATAGAC
Source organism: Homo sapiens (assembly GCF_000001405.40). NCBI lineage: Eukaryota > Metazoa > Chordata > Mammalia > Primates > Hominidae > Homo > Homo sapiens. The sequence continues at coordinate 23,205,468 of NC_000003.12, forward strand.
TACTTTTTCTTCATAAAAATTCGTTGCACCTGAGTGGTACAATAATTTTTTTCTATACTTTTTCTGTAATCAAGCATTCAAAAAACAAACCCAGGAGAAATTCCTTTTATTATTGATATTTGAAAAAGAGATGTGAAAACTTTATTTCTAAAAGTTCCTATAGTGGTTATCAATGGCCTCAGATGGACTTATCATTTGTAGGTTAACATTTGGATGAAATATGTCTTAACTCAAAAGTGGGAATAATTCTTTTCCTTAATGTGAAACCAGAAATTACACCTCTGTTGGGGAATTTCTAATAGTATTTTTATTAGTTCTCTGGTGAGACTAATTTTTATTTTAATCTTCCTCTAATATTCGGCAGTAGAAATTTGAGTTTCAGATTATGGCTCAGATCACATCATTGAGTAATCTTTTTAAGTAATTATATAACTATGGCATTCGATAGTATGTAAATGCACATAAATAAGAATATTGAGAAGAATGTGTGGCTTTATAACTAATGTTATACACAACTGAAACTCTCAGCATAGTTTATTAAATCATAGTTTATTACGCTGAAGCTGCATCCTCAGTATAGAGAATATTATTTCATTGAGGTACCCATATATTTGTCATGGAATGGATTGCTCCTGTTTTAAAATGTATAAAATGATTTCTCACTCATTTCACATTTCTTAAGGTATTGCTGGCAGCATTTTGCTATATCTGAGCACCTTTCCCTGAGGATTGTTCTCTTTTTCACTCTCATGCATGCCGCCCTATCTGATATGCCATTATGTACATACTTACAAGATTTTAAACTTCTGATATATTTTAACTGAAAGAAGGTGAAAAAAAATATTAAATCCAAGAATGAGAATTTAGAGTGAAATAAAAATGAAAAAAAGCAAGAAATATGTTACGACTTTTAGAGCTAGATGTGAAACATACTGATATAAAATTTCAGTGTTCTATTAAGTGACTTTAGTGCTCATAAAAGATGTCACAGCTGTGGAGACTGGTGCTCTTCATTTACAGAATAGGTAGAAAAGTAGTCAGCTTTTCCGTTAGTATGTTTCAGAGCTGTTGGGGCAGATCTGTTTCTGTTTGGCATGGGGAGCTGTTGGGGTTGAAGGGGTGCTGGTGGTGGTGTGTGTGGTGTGTCAGTGAAAGGATTCACTATTTTCTGTTGACTCTTTGTGGCTCTGTGCTTCCTGATGCTTCCATTCTTTTGCAGTGCTTTTTGGTTTGTCTTACAAAAATTTCAGTCCATTAAAGATCGGTGTTACAACATTGCTTTGGCTTAGAGCAAGCTACAAGTTAAATCTTTAGTGATGATGAATTTTCATCAGTGTCAAATAGCTATCCATTTGGACTAAGTTATAGTAATTAAAAAATTTTGCTTTATTTGAGGTATCTTTACCTGTTCTTATTCTTGATCATATCAGAAACAGTTTTATTTCAAGTTGTAATTTGATTAAGAGTAATCAAAAGGATCCATTTCAAAAGGAATTTGTTCAGTGTACCTATAATTTTTAAAGATATATTTTTTGCTGTTAATGGTACTTATTAAGTATAGGTATTTTGTTTTTAAAAAGGTGTCTGAGAAGATAGCTATACAGTGCTGAAAGTGATTATTAGGTGACAAAACCATGGGGAGCACAAGGCCTTTTAGAGTCTGGGCATGAGTTTTGTTGGTTCAGTTCTGGATTTGTCAGAACACTTTAAGCTAGTCAGCTCATAAGGGATGTATTCATAGTCATCAAACTCAGAAATTGATTATGATAGAATGACAGTTGAGGAGAGATACTCCTTTTCACTTACTGGAATTGTTTGTGTCTGCTGTCTAGATTATAACAGCTACCTAAATATCAAGGTATTGAGGAAATTGAGTTGGTAATCAGAACTGCTTGGGGGGCCTGAACTCAGAGCAAAGGGAATTTGAAAGCCTTGAGGGATATTTTAGCCAGAATGTGGGGAAAAAAAAAAAAATCTTCAGTGTCTTCATCTCTTGTGAAATATGGTTGCTTTAGTATATAGCTGAATGCTGTCATATGGTTCAATTTTTATTTAGAATCATGCAGTCATGCAGGCCTCTGTGTTCTTCTGTTATCACAAAGGTTACTTAAAACCACTTACTAGTTTGGAGAATTTTAACCTTAGCCCAGCCCTGAGGATGTATTGATTGAATAGGGATTTGAAAGTGTCGTCCCATTTTTGTGTTCCCACAAGTATTTGTACTAACCTTCGTTTTTGTACTTAGCAAGTTGGCTAGTCGAGGTTTTTCACAGTTGTGGGACCAAAGGGCTTAGCACAGCGCCTGGTAGAGAGTAGACCCTTAATCATTTTTGTCTTATTTTCTGTAACAGCATTATTGATATATAATTCACATACTATAAAATTTACCCTTTAAAAATGTACAACTCTGTAGTTCTTAGAATATTTATTATTAGAATTGTGCAAGATTATAATTATCTAATTTAAGAACATTTTTATCACCGCACAGGGAAGCATCATACCCATTAGCCGTCACTCTTCACTACTCTCCCCTCACTCCCTGGCAACCACTTACCCATTTTATTTTTTTATTAATTTTTTTTTTGAGACAGGGTCTTGCTCTGTCACTCAGGCTGGAATGCAGTGGTATCAATCATATTTTTATTTTTTGTAGAGATCGAGTCCCACTACGTTGCCCAGGCTGGTGCTCCCTGAGCTTCCCAAAACATTGGGGATTACAGGCGTGAGGTTCACTACTGAATTTTATGTTTATGGATTTGCCTGTTCAGGACATTTCATATAAATAGTCAAACAGTTTGTGGTCCTTTGTGGCTGGCTTCTTTCACTTACCAGAATGTTTCAAGGTTCATCCATTTTGTAGCATGTAGACACAGTACTTCATTCTTTTTTATGGCTAACAGTACATTATGTGAATATACTACTATATTTTGTTCATCCATTCATTTGTTAGTGGATATTTGAGTTGTTTCCAGTTTTGATTATTATGAATAATGTTGCTATGAACATTTCATGTATAAATTTTGTATGTTTTCATTTTAGAATACATTTTGAATGGATGAAGGAAAAGTTTTAGCAACTCCCAAAGCTGCATTGTTTTGTAAATGACCAATTTAATCCATTTTATATTGAGATTTACTTGTTTTACTTTGAGGCTCATTCTCTGTGTTCTGGAGGTAGCTTACTGTAGTACAGCTAAATAAATGATTTTTGATTCTTTAATCCAGGATCTAAAATGTCCACTGAGGCACAAAGAGTTGATGACAGTCCAAGCACTAGTGGAGGAAGTTCCGATGGAGATCAACGTGAAAGTGTTCAGCAAGAACCAGAAAGAGAACAAGTTCAGCCCAAGAAAAAGGAGGGAAAAATATCCAGCAAAACCGCTGCTAAATTGTCAACTAGTGCTAAAAGGTACTTCAGTTATTATAACCTTTTTATTGTTGGTATCAATTTATCATCTTAAGTTCTATTTTTCTCTTGCATTTAATCATTTTTTCTGGGATGTCGGCCGTGAACTTCATGGATTTTTCTTTTCCCTTCAAGATGATCTCGTTTACATGGTTTTAACCATAGGGAACTTCAGTATTTAAAGTCAGTTAAATGGCAAGGCAAATTCATAACATACATTTCCATAGTGTGTTTGTGTGTTTATGTATTATCAGGGAAACATATACAGGGTGTGTATGTAAAATTGCAGTAGTTTCATTTATGGTTACTTGACCATAAATATTTTTTTTCTGTTCAGTAACACAGAATAGAGATTAGGAATCTTTGAAGTAGTTACTGAGTGAGTGACAGTTTATTTTCCACTACTCCCAGTTGGTAAAGTCAGAAATGCTGACATTAGCAACAGGTGCATCTTGGTTTCATTACATTAGTCAGTGGATCCATCTTGATACGGATTTTCTCTTTCTCTAGAGAATAGATGGATCTGGAAAGTAGGTATTTGAATGATTTTCTGTTGGTACTCAATCTCTTAAAATGATTGGCATGTCACTGGACTTAAAGGGAATCTGTTTGATATTGTTACATTATAGAATATCTCTTGGAAAATAATTTGAAAGATAAATTAAATGTAGTGTCTTTCCTGATCCTGTGATTTTATGTTCTTGCTTTGTTTTCATATATTTTACATTGACCAAGTCGGAAGTATACATAAAAGCGATCTGTAACTTGTAGGCATAGTGGAATGCCTGAATGTTGTATTACAGCTTTATATGTTATTTTATGGTGTGGGTTAAGGGGAACTCCTTTCTCAAAGATAAAAAACCATTATTTTGTTCTAGTAGACCTTGTTTTCCTTTGGCTTAGTCAGTCTACAGGGTTGGAAAGAACCTTCTCAGGACCCTTGGTGAGAGATGTTGGAGGGATGGTGAGTGGTTATTCCAAGGTACTAGAGTATTCAGTTTCCCTTTCGTGGGGGTGTATTGCTGATCTCTGTTGAAGGAGCTGTTTGAAAGTCAGAGAGCCCTGAACTTTAAACTTTGAGACCTGTATACTAGACCATGCTAGGGTGGGGAAGAGGGTTCAGTTTGTTTTGCCATCACAACACAATTACCGGGGACTCAGCTGGCTGACCCTTCTGTTTGCCAGACCACAACACAAATGACCTGCTTAGAGGTGACCTGGAAAATGGGGGGTGGGGTTAGGATGGATGAGAAAGGTGGGGAATAGAGAAAATATGACATTTAGGTGAAAGAAGGAAGTCGATGTAGGTGGGAAGGAGATGTTCAGGTACAGATTGTAGTTCCACGCAGATGAGGAAGATCTAATTCAGTCCTCAGTGTCTGATTGGGTTTTTACAGGGCCTCTTCAGTTTGTCAGAAAAGGGGAAGGATTGGTTGGCCAGGTCTGTGGGGAATAGGGTTCTGCTGGGCCTGTGCTTTATTCTATGATTGCTAGTTAGCAAAGTCACCTGTTGTGGTGAGGCTCTGCCTTTTCCTCTAACTGGGAGCACCACTATAAAATACCTTAAAATCATATTTCTTGGGTGATATGTCAAAGACCAAATTCTGCTTATGAAAGATGTACTGCTTTATGTGTGAACATGAGTTTTTCAAGTACGTGGGTCATCTTTATTTTACTACAGTATATAGAGAAAGTACGGATTATTCAAACCTAATGATAGATTTCACGAGGGAAAAATATAGAAGATATTTTTCTGCACTGTATGTAGGAGATAAAACCTAGTTTAGAGATAATGTATGTGCAGAGCGCAGCGCAGTGCCTGATTGGCAGTAAATAGAAAGTGGTTGTATTGCATTGGTGAAAATAGGAAGTCTCTTTTGAGTTGCTTCCTGGCTGAAAGAATCCCTCCATTGGCAAATTGTTGTGAATCTGTGATTTTCAAATTGTGGTTCATGATCTTCCTCTAGAAAGGTCTTCAGTTGGTTTTCGGGTGACAGTGTATGAAATGATGTAATTATGTACTATTTATTTTAAATATAAAAATGCGGCTTCACTACTAATTTTTTAATTTAAAAAACCTTATTTTCCCCTCTCTCTTCCTCCAATTCAGCTGATAGTGAAGTTGTTGGTTCTTTGCCATTTCTGCTGAACTTAGGAAAAAAATTGGGAATTATGAGCACAGAGGACCCCACATCTTTTAAGTTCACTGCCATGTCCACAGTGCCTAGCAGAGTACAGTCACAGTATTTATTTACTGGCTGCCTTGGAACCCTGAGCTTCTTATAGGGATCGGATTTTCCATGGATATTAGGATCTTAGTACTAGTGTGTTCAGAAGATTAAAAGTTAGAGGTAGTTTCAAAATAAATTTTATTTCACACTTTTTTGTTGACGATCATTTTTATTCAGATGAGAAGCCTTTCCCAAATAGTGTCATTTTATGAGATAAAGAGTAGCATTGAAGAGCTTGAACTCTAGAGACAGCATCTACGTTTGAATCTAGGTTCTAGCATTTAGTAGCTATAGCTCTGTGGTCTTTTTTTTTTTTTTTTTGAGGCAGAGTCTTGCTCTGTCACCCAGGCTGGAGTGCAGTGGTATGATCTCCAACTCCTGGGCTCATTCAGTCCTCCAGCCTCAGCCTCCCAAGTAGCTGGGATTACAGGGTTGTGTCACCACACCAGGTTAAATTTTTAATGTATTTTTTGTAGGGATGGGAGTCTCACTATGTTGCTCAGGCTGGTCTTGAACTCATGGTTGCAAGCGATCCTCCTGCCTTGGTCTCTCAAAGTGTTGGAATTACAGGCATGAACCACTGTGCCTAGCCTCTGTGATCTTGATGTATAATTTAACAGCTCAAAGCCTCGATTTCTTCTTTCGTAGAAGGAAGATGATAACGGTACGCTGTTCAGAAGGTTCTTGTGAGGACTAAATGTGATAAAGCATTTATTTGGCACATAGTAAGCTCTCAAAACTGATGCCGTCACTGATAGACTTTATGTCAGTTAAAATCTACGGTCATATTTTTCAAGTCTGTTTGGTACAAACTTTGGAAAAATGAGGTATATGTTAACCTTGGAGGCCTTAATGCTATTGTTAAACTAGAAATACTCAGATGCCGTAATTAAATACATTTTGTAGTGACTTAGGAAAAGTGCTTGCACGTAGGTGCTCAGTTATTATATGAAATGTACTATAATTGTAGAATTAATAATTGTAATGCAGTAATTATAGAATTAATAAGCTGGTATAGAACTATGATTTGAAAAATCTCATTTGTGATATTATAGAATAGTGGTATATAATACAGAAAACATTTAAGTGGGTATTTAAACAGCAGTAGAAATTAATTTCTGTCTCAGAGTTAGGAGGAAAGATTACAGTTACATCTTAGATGCATTTTTGCTTTTCTTTGGCAAGAGTTTCTTAAAAAATTGTCATGCTCTTATCACAGCCTGTTCTCTTGATATGTCTATATCACTCTTGTTATATTTGCAAGTCTGTTGTTGGACTATATCTGCAGTGACAGATTTAGATTATTTTGATTAAATTGACTAGTCAGTTCAATAAAACGTCTATTTTGAGATCTTCTTTGAATTTATTCTGCTGCTTTTACGGGTTGATACATCTGTAAATGTGAATTTTATATCATATTTATTCTAAATTAACTGTTTAGAGTGGACATGGTGATTTTATTTTTGGACATTCAATATGATACTGTTCGAGGTATGGTTTTTGGTTTCAGACTAAATTTTTGTTAGGTTGAAAGATTGATTCCACTGTATTCCAGTTTGAACTTTTATCATATGGGCTCGTCTAAGTTTGTTTTCCACATGAGAATGAAATAGTACTTTTGTAGATAATCTTTTGTAATTACTGTATTTTCTTCATTCTAAAAGTACATTTTAAAACTTTTTAATGTTTCTGAAATTGGGACACATCTTAAAATTTATGTGCACAATTATTGATGGTGTGTCTTAAAATCAATGATCTTTCAGAATCATAGATATATAGTATATACCACCATTTAGAATGAAACTCTAGACTTCTTATTTGCAATGGCAATGTGTTTTCTAAAGATTGCTTTGACATTTAAAAAATTTTAATAATTAGTTGCATGATGCTTTTTTGAGAATAAGTTCATTTTGGAAGGTTTTCGCTAGGTGATTCAATTGATTAGAGTAGGGGTTTTTAGGTTGACTGAGGAATGTAGTCTGTAAGGGAATATAGAAAGTTGTCTAGATGAGATGAAGGGTTTTAAAAAAATTCCTGCTAAGAAATTACTTTGCGAATCTGCGTATCCACACATTCATGTTCTACTTGGCTCTCAGTAAATTTTTGAATTTTCTTTAACTCAAGAAATGTATGTGTGTGTTTTAAACATGTTAGTACATATACACTGCTTCATTTTTCTGAACCCTTAGCCCAATATATTGATGTTAAAATGAGTGTTTCGTATCTTCTCTGTTCTGTATAATTTTGGTACCATATTCTTCATTTAAGTCTGAGTGAATCATGATTGTTATGATTCCCCTCCTCTGCTATTTTTTTTAAAGCAAATAACAGTCCCACACAGCATTCTTATTGTAGTCTTATCATTCATTCCTGGAACGGTTAAGGTATAAGGTGGAGTAATATACATTGAAATTTAATTGTGTATTGCTCCTTGACTTGTCTCAGGAACAATGGGCAGTTGCTGACTTCTGTATCATACTAACCTAAGAGGTGGCACTGCCTTATGAAAATTGGAAATTTAGGTGATTGTTCAGGTGATTTTTGTGTAAAATAATTTTGTCTTAAAAGTTCTGATGAGGGAAGTCTTCTTGTTTGACTTAGCAAGATAATAGTTCTCCATCTTTCACCTTACCAGCGTAAAATAATTAGCCTTAGTTTTCCTTGCCTTTTAAATGGGGACTGATAAAACAGATACTTAGAGAATTCTGTGAGATTTACCTAATCACTTTTAACGGTAAAAGATCATCATGGGAAAGGTAGACTGTAAGTGTGAATTATTGATACTTTTCATTTTTCCTCACCCTAAGAGACAGTGCCTGAAATAGGTACCTTTCTTATCCCACTTGTCAAGGCTGAGAAACTTAATACATACCATAATCACAACTTTTGAGATAGAATTGAATTGCTGTCATTCAAAACAGCAGGACATCTTACAACCGTTTAAATAGCAATTCTTAGTATAATCTTTTCTGTCAAGAGACATACAACCATTTTAGGTAACAGTAGCTCAAAATATAATATTATTGACTCACTGCTCAGACTTCTTGAATTCATCAGTAAATTGCTTTTTGTATTGAATAATATAGACCTAGAATTATAGGGATCTGGAGTTCAAATTTTATATAGAATTATATGACAGAAAATTATGATTTATCAGTTTTTTTTCCCTTAGAGACAGGGTCTTACTCTTGCACAGGCTGGAGTATGTGGTATGATCATAGATCACTGTGGCCTCAAATTCCTGGGCTCAAGTGATCCTCCTGCCTTGGCCTCCTGAGTAACTGGGACTATAAGCACACACCGCTATGACCAACAGTTTCCTGAATTTTTTGTAGAGGAGTCTCACTGTGTTGTGCAGGTTGGTCTCGAATTTCTGGCCTCAAGTGATCCTCCTGCGTCTGCCTCCCAAAGCTCAGGGATTACAGCCATAGCCACCAATACTGAGCCTGGCCCAGGATTTATGAGTTTTTTTTTTGTTTTTTTTTTAAACCTAAAGGGCAGTATAAATATAAAGCAAGATGTGTTGTTTGAAAATTGCAAAGAAGTTTTTTTATGTTAAAAATAGTTTTCTTTGACAGTTTAAGCATGCTTTTTAGAATGCCTATTCTTTTGGTTCTCTTAGTTTAAAAACAATTTTTAAAAGTTGTTCATGTTTCTGATAACAAAGTAAACAGTACATAGATTTTTTTTTAATGGAAAGTAACAGTTTTTTTATCCACCCCCTGCCCCTAGTTCTCCCAATTCCATTCCCTTGAAGCAGACTGTTTAGCTGTCTTTAGTCTTACTCCTTCTGTTGGTTTTCTGTACAACTCTTAATAATACACTTATTTCTCATTGAATTGTTAATTGAAGTAATATCTTTTGATTCCCTGCTCTGAAATATGAGGATTTAGTTTGCTTACCTATTCTTCCTTTCTTTTCCTTCCTCCCAGTTAATGATAGTTAAAATTTTTTTAAAAAGATTATTGGTTGCCTTTATAGTCTAAAAATATATATTTAAACTTCTGTTTCTTATTCCTATGAATAACATGTTTTTTATTCTCTACTTTGTAAATTGGGGATAATATCTTCTCCATCCACTTTTAGCTGGTTTATATTAGCTACACTTAATTTTACATCTTCAAAGTTAATAACATTTACTTTGTACAGTGCAACTAACAACCAATCTTCTATGCTTTGTCTGTAAGTAAAAGGCCAATAAATTATACATTTATTATAACTAAATATTCAATGCCAGACCAAACAGCATATTACGATTAGATTAACTACAAGGCCAGTGTCATGATCTCTGGGCTTCTCAATGAGTCATAGCATTGAGGCACAATAGATCAAATCTTTCTCTCCCCACCTCACCCCCAATGTCTGATACTTAATTAAAGTTATTTTACATTTTAGTTTGCTTCATATTTCATCTGTGATTTTCTTATGCAGCTTTTTTTCCTTCTGGGATTTCTGATTACTTCCCCCTATGCCCCTTTAGTAGTCTGTTTTATTGGTATACACTCTGCAGCCCCCTCTTGCCTGTCTCAACCTGTTTGATTTACACCCATTTGTTTTGTCTCGCAGAAATATATTGAAATTTCTCACTCATTGGTGACCACCACCCTTCTCTTTGCTGTTTATTCCTTTTTGCATTTTCTGTATGTCCCCTACCCACCCAGTGGGGTCCTGAATGAGTGAGAGGTGAAAGTGTGTGTGCCTAGTTGGCCATCTTTAACCTGGACTTAGCCACTGAGTTTTGAAGTGTCTGTTGTATACTTTTGTGTGAAATCCATAAAATATCTTCTCCTATATCAAATCTTTGAGACTTCTGTCATTTAAATATGGGCAATATGTACTTTGTATGCATATAAATACTTCACAGAATCCATATTAGAAGGAAGTTACAGTGTGTTAAAAGAGATCACGGAGTTTGTTCTAGTTAACTTCTATTTTACAGGACGGAAAACTGAGGCACAGGGAGAGAGAGCAAGCATGTGTGAGCAGTATTCTTGCTCAGGGACTCAATTTAATGGCCTAGCAGAATTACAATGACATTTTTTTGACTTTGAATTTCTTAGCCGTGCTCTGATTCATAATGCCTCGCCAACCTTGAATCACGTGGTTTAGAGAAGTCACAATTATATTAGTAGCATGCAGTTCCTTCGGGAAGTTGATACCAATTCTATTGGAGGGATCCCATTTATTCTAGTAGTTTGTTGTCTTGAAAAAGAAGTAGAATGAAATTGTTTGAGTTTAAATATTTTTGCTCAAATTCTTGTTTTGGTTTTTAAAGATACTTTAATCAGTTATTATTGATATACTGTCACAGTAATTACCAGACAACAGGCATCCAGCTATTAATAACCCCATATTTAAGAACCAAGGCAAAGGAGAAGAAACGGTTTTGAGAATTTTTTGGTATTTGATTTAACAAAGCCTACATTTAATAAGGTATGAATGATAGTTAAGGGATTGCCAAGTATAGTCTTAGAAAACAGTGGCGCACTTTCAGCCTTTTTGTATGTACATAGGATGTTAGATGCTGTTAAAAATAAAAGTAGAATGTAACACATGAGGATAGAGCAGGCTTAAATTTTTTTTTTTGCATGAAGCTCATGCAATGACATTAATTGCTCATGTAATATTAGGGTAGTTCTAGCCGATGAAATAGTGTTAAACTTCAAAGTCCCAACCTGGTCCAAATTAGAGGCTCCAGGAAGGAATACCATATGCATCTTGATGGCAGTTTCAGGTGTTGGAATGAGATCCCGAATCATTTGATTCTATCAGTCATGATGCTTGGATTTAACTTAATATCAGCTTTCCATCCTGTATGGGAATGCTCTAATACAAAACAGAAGTTAAAATGACCCATGAATGGTGTGGCAGAAATTTCCAGCTTTAGAAATTTTAATTAGTGCTGTCAGTGGTTCAGTGAAGTCGTAGTGTTCCTTCCACAGGTTGCATGCACTGGTAGTCTCATCCTTTAGATGCATCCTCAAAACCCTGGCAGAAATTGCAACTTTATTGTTTGTTGGATGTGATTCTTTATACAGTATTAGTATTTCAAACTAATATACCAAAGGGAAATGTTATTAAAATGTAACGTTTTAATGAAATAAATTGTTAAGAGTGAAGATATTTTTAACATAATGTTCTTTGTCTTTATTTTAAAGAATTCAGAAGGAACTTGCAGAAATCACATTGGACCCTCCTCCCAACTGTAGGTAAGTACTCATGGTTTTTTATTTACTTGTATCTTTTGCAGAAGGTGCATTTGAACTGTTGGTTTTATATGCAGCTGTTGTTGTAGTCTGATTAATTAGTAAAAACATCATTGTTGTTTGAACTTAAGTGACTGTGGAAGACAATGGTTTTTGTCATCTCTGTGCAGAAATGGAATGTTCAGCAAGTATGTTTGTAGTGGTTGAACGGAGTTGCCAAAAGTAGTGTAATGCAATAACAGTAAGACAATGAAATTATAGGGTAACAAATACACTATGACATTTTAGTGGAAGAGGTGTTAGGGCCTTAAGTGGTTTTTTTAATGATAGAATAATAGCATGGCTAAAATATGTGCTATGTTGTATTGTTATCTTGTTGGAATTTGATTTTTAAAAATGCAGACACATTAAACAGTGTTTCTTCATGGTTTACATTATTTCTTGTCGTCATTGGTTGTGACTAGGTAAGAATGGGTGATTTGAGGCAATGATGTTAAATGTAAAACTCTCTCTCCCTTTATGATCATGACCTCGAATTTTCTGGTCAGTGTTTACTTTTAGGAAAGAAAAGTGCTTACCTGGAAATGGTTAATGTTATAAAGATACATGGACAAAGAGGAGAAAAATAACCTCTTACCTTATGCTGCTGCTTTGGGTCTGGTGCAGTAGTTAGAAGATGGCTGTTTGGTTATTTTTAAGACACTTATTTCTGTTTTGAGATGAGATCAGCATTGGAACCAGGCCAACCTGGAGTTTTTCTGGTTTAAAATGATAATCTTATGCATTGAAGGTGAGAGGGCCGATTAAATAAAAATTTTCCCAACGTTGAACGCAGGTAGAATTTATTGCTTGGTATGATTTCTGAGTTTACTGATCTTACTTTTATGTAAAAACAAAGATAACAATTTTGTGTAGGAAAAATTCTAATAGGACTTACTTTGTGGTGAATCTAATATGGTTCTTCAAATGAATCATGTACAGTTTATAAACTTACAGTAATAATATTCAAAGAATGTTTCACTCAAATAGAACAAATATTTCTTTGTTAGGTAAAACCGTTTAACCTAAGACTTTTTGTCACTCTTAGGACTGTATTACATCAAAGCCGTTTCAGATGGCAGATCATTGTTTAGCTTTTGGTGGTCAATGATTATAAGTGGATGGATTTGTGGAAAAACCCCAGTTTGAATTAAACCTAACATCCTTTGTTTCTTAGGATAATATTTGTTTTAATGGTCTGAATCTTTAAAAAACCCATATTATTAATATATTACATATATTATTTTTGTAACCTTTTTTATGAACAATTGAACTGATAAATAAGTGAACTTTATACACTTCTTTGCTTAAATTTTGACAACCCCAATCACCGGCAAAATAAACAACTTTGTTTTAATAAGTTTGTTTAAGGCTCATTTTTAATAAATGAAATCCACATACAGTATCATGTGATGTAGACTGCAATTTTGCTATTAGATAAATGGGGAAAGGAACTATATAAAGGTTATTATTTAAATAAACAAATAATTGAACCATAGTTCTATTAAAAGTAAAAGAAACGTTTAACTATAGTGTCATCTGAAATTTGGAGGTTTACTTTGTCTTTGAGCCTTAGTGACATCATTACTAGTTCATATGTAAGCTCTTCATAAATAGAGCAAAATGTGTATTACAGGTTTTAATTTTTAAATGTAGAAGTCACACATAATAAGCCCTTCAAACAGTTTCAGGGAAGATATCTACTTTAGTTAATTTTCTGACTTGGGAATTTGTAAGGAAATTCTCACTTGTGGGCTGAGGATTGGATAGCTGATAAGTTTGCTTTAGAAGCTAGGTCTGCAGTGCAGTGGCTTTGGCTCCTTTTATTGATTCTAAAACAGTTGCTTGGACTGGGTCAGGCAGAGAGAAAGGTTATTTACCTTCGTATGGCACTCCCTTTGGCAAGCAAAGGGTCCTCTGTGCTGTAGCTGATAGAAAATGTAAAACTGGTTAATCAACACTTATCAGTGTGCTTGTGTTACTTAATATGGATGTTTGGTGTGCTTATTAAGTGCATCACTGTGGTCTTTGGACTGTTTGGTGTCAAATATTTGGTTGTGGTTTGTAGTTAATCTGCCCATCTGTATTTCGGTGAAAATGTGGTTACCATCTTCAGAAAGAGATTAGATTGCAGTGTTAGTTTGGCTTATTTTTGGTCAAAGTTAACAGTGCTTTTGTGGTTGATTTTTACAAGTTCTGCACTGCCTGCATTGGCCTAATGACTGTAATGGATTAATTTATCAAAATAGAGCAAATTAAAGTTATCTGCCTAATAGAAGTCAGAGTCCTTTACTTAATCAGTTAAGTCATATCTCATTTCAGAAGAAAGCATCCCCTTACTCTGCTCCCTTTGTGGATTACCTCTCCTATCACACATGCCTCTCAAAACCCTGCCTTTTGGTTCCCTGGGTAGTTGTTAGTCTGCTATCACATGTAAAGATTATATGTGAGGGAACATCTGTGGGTTTTACCTGTTTAGTCAGAGAGTGGAGAACGATTTTTTCTACTGGTTGTCTGGGTAGGGGTGGGTGTGTGTCACATTCCACTTTGAGTGTGGTTTATCCTATTTTCGGGAACCTTAACAGACAACCCAATACTGTGTGTTTGTCAGGTTAGATGGAACCTCTGAATTTTGGTGCATCTCTTAGGTGATATCTAGTTAAGCTTCTTTTGGAATCATATTGAAGGAACTGTATGTGTTTAAGCGTTGTGCAAATCTGTTATTTAAAGAAGTTGAGACTATCAAGTCACCCCGAATCACAGCATTCAGTGTAGATAAAGTTTTATGTAAGGCATTTTTAGAGGAAGTTATTCTAATATAGTATTGGTTAATTTTTTTTCAGGTTTTGAATAAACAAATATTATTTTAAAGAACACCTACAAATGATTTAATAGATTGAATTATTTCATGTAGGAGATATTTGCCTCTACATATTTCAGTTTTTTCTCACTTTATTGTTGTCTTTGAAGTAAAAATGCAGTAAGATAGTTTTATTTTTGAAGTTGGGTTAAATATGTCATCCTTTTTAAAAACATTACTCACAGTTTAATGGGTAAATATTTTAAAACAAAACTTTATAGCTAAGAAAAAATTTCTGCTCATAAAATCGTAGCGTCTGTAGGGCCATAGGCATAGAAAATTACACTTCATTTGAGTGAAATTTGGTATATGCTTAGAGTATTTCCTATAAGTAGTGGAATATATTTTTCTTGGCCTTAACTGTCATGTTGGCTAACATAACTGACCCATGACATTTGCAAGGGTTCTATCCTGAGGCCTTCACAGATCCACTGATCAATAAATGTTTTCATACTACTGCTGAGTTAGAGGTGCTGGGCAGTTGGTTAGAATTGCTCGTTACCTTGGTGCCTTGCACACCAGCTTAGATGGATAGAGTGGGTCAAATTGATGCTTTATCCTTACAGACCTCTAACAGGTAGATTCACTGCCCCTTATAAATGACTACAGGTTGTAACTTTCACAGTTCTTCACAAATTGTTAAAAGCAAGATCTTAGATCTGTGCATGTCAGTGTGTTCATTTATACTTCCTCGGTGCTAGTGGAGAACTGGCAGCTAGTGGGCCAGCAAATCTCCAGATAAAAATTAAAATTAAAATCGTCATCATCCAAAGGATAACTTGCTCCTCTGTATCACAGAGAAGCTAACTTGTTCAAATGCTATTATGATCTGCTACTGCTAAAGTTTGTATTAGGTTTACGAGCAGGGGAATGACAGAGAATCCTTATTACTTTTTGGAAGAAAAGACTAAGGTAAAATGATTTATTTGGATTTTGATTTTTGGTCTAGTAATTGAACAAGTAAAAGGAGGAAGTAAACCAAAAAAGAGGATGTAGTTATACTAGCAGTTTACACTTCTATTTCTATGTGTTTCAAGAATCTGCTCATGGAACACTGGCGCTGCTTTTTAATTTTGTCTTTTATTTGATAACAGCTTTATTGAGATATAAAGTGTAAAATTCACTTATACTTTTAGGTTTTTAGTATAGTCTCGGAGTTTTGTAATCATCACAGTCTGTTTTGCAATATTTTGATACCTCCCAAAAAATAATCCATGCCTTTTAGCAGTCACTCCTTCCCCATTTTCCCCCAGCTCTTTCACCACCAGCCCTCGGCAGCAATTAGTCTACTTTCTGTTTCTATAGATTTGCCTTATCTGGACATTTTGTATAAATGAAATCTTGTGTGCTTTTTGTGTCTGGCTTTTAAAATTTTTTTTACAAAGTGTAATATTTTCAAGGTTCATCCATGTTGCTGCATGCGTTAGTACTTCTTTTTTTTTTCTGAGACGGAGTTTCGCTCTTGTCGCCCAAACTAGAGTGCAATGGCGTGATCTTGGCTCCCTGCAAGCTCCACCTCCTGGATTCAAGCGATTCTCCTGGGTCAGCTTCCCGAGTAGCTGGAATTACAGGCGTGCGCCACCATGCCTGGCTAATTTTTGTATTTTTAGTAGAGACGGGGTTTCACCGTGTTGGCCAGGCTGGTCTTGAACTTGATTACCCAAGTATTTCTTTTTTAAAAATATTTTTAATTGAGGTAAAATATACATACATGATTTACCATCTTTACCATTTTTAGTGTAAAGTTCAGTGAATATACATTTATATATTTATATTCTTTTTTTCCTCTTGATCCCCCCACTCCCCTTCCTGGCCTCTGGTAACTACCAGTCTACTCTCTATTTTTGAGATCTACATTTTTAGCTCTCATGTAAGAGTGAGAACATGTGACATTTGTCATTCTCTGCTGGGCTTATTTCACTTAACCTTGCCTGTGGTTCCATCCATGTTGCTGCACATGACAGGATTTCATTCTTTTTTATGGTTGAATTAAATATTCCATTGTGTGTATATACCACATTTTCTTTATTCATTCATTTGTTAATGGGCACTCAGGTTGGTTCCATATTTTAGCTATTGTGAATGGTACTTGGGTAAACATGGAGGTGCAGATATCTCTTTGATACATTAATCTCCTTTCTTTTTGATATATACTGATATGCTTTGGCAATGTCCCCACCCAAATCTCATCTTGAATTGTAGCTCCCATAATTCCCACGTGTTGTGGGAGGGACTGGCGGGAGATAATTGAATCATGGGGGTGGTATCCCCCATACTGTTCTTGTGGTAATGAATAAGTCTCACGAGATCTGATGGTTTTATAAGGGGAAACCCCTTTTACTTGGCTCTCATTCTTCTCTTGTCTGCCACCATGTGATGCGTACCTTTCACCTTCACCATAATTGTGAGGCCTCTCAAGCCAGGTGGAACCATGAGTCCATTAAACGTCTTTTTGTAAATTGCCCAGTCTCAGGTATGTCTTTATGGGCAGCGTGAAAATGGACTAATATATAAATATATATACCCAGTATAGGAATTGCTGGATCATATGGAAGTTCTGTTTTTAGTTTTGTAAGTAACCTTTGTACTGTTCTCCATAGTGGCTGTACTAATTTACATCCCAACAACAGTGTACGAGCCTTCCCCTTTCTCCGCATCCTTGCCAGCATCCGCTATTGCCGTCTGTTTGATCTAAGCCTTTTTAACCTCAGTGAGATATTGCATTGTAGCAATGTTGAGCATTTTTTAATGTACCCTTTGGCCATTTGCATGTCTTCTTTTGAGAAATGTCTGTTTACATCTTTTGCCCCCCCCCCCTTTTTTTTTTTTTTTGAGTTGTCTCTCTCTGTCACTCAGGCTGGAGTGCAGTGGCGTGATCTCTGCTCACTGTAACCTCTGCCTCCTGGGTTCAAGTGATTCTCCTGCTTCAGCCTCCTGAGTAGCTGAGACTACAGGTACATGCCACCATGCTCAGCTGATTTTTGTATTTTTTTTTTTTTTTTGAGATGGAGACTCACTGTGTCACCCAGGCTGGAGTGCAGTGGCATGATCTTGGCTCACTGCAACCACTGCCTCCCAGGTTCAAGTGATTCTTCTGCCTCAGCCTCCTGAATAACTGGGATTAGAGGCATGCACCACCACACTTGGCTAATTTTTGTATTTTGAGTAGAGATGGGGTTTTACCGTGTTGGCCGGGCTGGTCTCAAACTCCTGACCTCAAGTGATCCTCCTGCCTTGGCCTCCCAAAGTGCTAGTATTACAGGCGTGAGCTGCGCTTGGCCCTTTTGCCTGTTTTAAATTGGATTATATATATATATTTGCTGTCAAGTTGTTTGAACTCTTTACATATTCTGGTTACTAATCCCTTGTCCCTTGTCAGATAGATAGTTTGCAAATATTTTCTCCCATTCTGTGTGTTGTCTCTTCACTTTGTTGATTGTTTCCTTTGCTGTGCAGAAGCTTTTTAGGTTGATGTAATCCCAGTTGTATATTTTTGCTTTGGTTGCCTGTGCTTTTGAGATCTTACACAAGAAATCTTTGCCCAGACCATTGTGCTGTAGTGTTTCAGGTCTTAGATTCAAGTCTTTAATCCATTTTGGTTTGATTTTTTTTGTGTATGGTGAGAGATAGGGGTTTAGTTTCATTCTTCATATATAGTTATCCAGTTTTCCCAGCACCATTTATTGAAAAGACTCTCCTTTTCCCATTGCGTGTTATTGATGCCTTTGTCAAAGATAAGGTGGCTGTAAATGCGTGGATTTATACCTGAGTTCTCTCATCTGTTTCACTGATCCATGTGTCTGTTTTTATGCCAGTACCATGCTGTTTTGATTACTATAGCTTTGTAATAAATTTTGAAGTCAGGTAGTGTGATGCCTCCAGCTTCATTCTTTTTGCTCAGGATTGCTTTGGCTATTCATAGTCTTGTGGTTCCATGTAAATTTTAGGTTTTTTTTTTTTTTTTTTTTTTTTACTATTTCTGTGAAGAATGTTATTGGTATTTTGATAAGGATTGTATTGAATCTGTAAATTGCTTTGGGTAGTCTTGTCATTTAAAAATATTGTTATAGTTCTTCTAATCCATGAACATAGAATACCTTTCCATTTTTTTGGTGTCCTATTTATTTCATCAGTTTTATAGTTTTCTTTGTATGAGTCTTTCACTTCTTTTGTTAGATTGATTCCTAGGCATTTTATAATTTTTGTAGCTATTGTAAATAGGATTGCTTTCTTGATTTTTTTCAGGTTATTTGCTGTTGACATATATAAATGCCACTGATTTTTGTGTGTTGATTTTGCATTCTACAACTTTGCTGAATTTCTTGACAGTTCTAACAGCTTTTTTTTTTTGGTAGAGTCTTTAGGTTTTAACATCACGTAATCTGGGAACAAGGCTGATTTGACTTTTTCCTTTACAGTTTGGATGCCCTTTATTTCTTTTCTCTTGCCTAATTGCTCTGGCCTTTGTTCCTACTTGTTACCAAATAAACTTCCATTTTTATGGATATACCACATTTTATTTTTCTTCTCATCAATTGATGGATATTTATATTGTTTCCACTTTTTTGCTACTATGAATAATGCTGTTATGAACATTTATGTACAGGTTTTTGGGTAGACATTTGTTTTCATTTCTCTTAGATATGTACCTAGCAGTGGAATTGCTGGGTTATATAGTAAGTCTGTGTTTCCTGCCAGCAGTGTATGAGGGCCCAGTTTTTCTCCACAACTTTGGCAGCACTTGATGTTGTCCTTTTTTTTTTTTTAATGATAGCTATCCTAGTAGATATGAAGTGGTATTTTGTTGTGGTATTGATTTGCATTATTCTGATGGATGATGGATGAGCATCTTTTCATGTGCTTATTGTCCATTTGTTTATCTTCTTTGGAGAAATGTTAGTTCAAATCCTGCTCCATTTTTTAATGACTTGTCGTTTTATTGTTGAATTGTAAGAGTTTTTTCAAAATACATTTTGGATATAAGTCCTGTACATCAGATATATAATT
The DNA here is from genome assembly GCF_000001405.40 of Homo sapiens. NCBI lineage: Eukaryota > Metazoa > Chordata > Mammalia > Primates > Hominidae > Homo > Homo sapiens. The sequence continues at coordinate 23,225,216 of NC_000003.12, forward strand.
TGCAACTATCTTCCTCCATTCTGTGGATTTTTTTTTTTTTACTTTCTTGATAATGACCTTTGAAACATAGAAGTTTTTGCTTTTTGTGAAGTCTAAATATCTGTTTTTTCTTTTGTTGTTTGTGCATTTGGTGTCATATCTTAGAAACCATTGCCTAATCCAAGACCACGAAGATTTACATCTGTATTTTTTCCTAAGAATTTTACAGTTTTAGCTTTTACATTTTGGTTTCTGATCCTTTTTCAGTTAATTTTTGTATGTGGTATGAGATTAGAGTCCAATTTCATTCCTTTTGGCTTGTGTAGACCCAGTGTCCCAGCACCATTCGTTGAAAAGACTATTTTTTACACTGAATTGTCTTGATACCCTTGTTGGAAATCAGTGGATCATAAATGTGAAGATTTATTGCTGAATTCTCAATTTGGTTCCATTGGTCTGTATGTCTGTTCTTATGTCAGTAACATACTGTCTTTATTACTATAGTTTTACTGAGTTTTAAATCAGAAAGTGTAAGTATTCTAACTGGTTTACTTTTTTCATTGTCTTAACTCATTAGGTAAGGCATTCCCAGTGGAAATGGGAAGAGGCTGTGACTGGACATAAACCTAACTACTGTGTCATTTTACTACTCATGGGAGCCATTTTATAGAAGAAAGTGTTTTTTTTTTTTGTTTTTGTTTTTGAGACAGAGTCTTGCTCTGTTGCCCAGACTGGAGTGCAGTGGCACCATACCAGCCCACTGCAACCTCCGCCTCCCAGGTTCAAGCAATTCTCTTGCCTGAGCCTTCTGAGTAGCTGGAACTACAGGCGCATGCCACCATGCATGGCTAATGTTTGTACTTTTAGTAGAGACGGGTTTCACCATGTTGGCCAGACTGGTCTCGAACTCCTGATCCCAAGTGATCTGCCCTCCTTGGCCTCCTAAAGTGCTGGGTTTACAGGTGTGAGCCACTGCGCCTGGCCGAAAAGTGTATTTTCCACATCATAGTAACTAAAATGGTATGTAGGGAAAGTGTGTGTGGGGGTTATTTTTTGAAATTATAGAATAGGAAGGTATTGAGACAGAAATTAGAAACAATGTCTGTATGCGTGATCTCTACAAAGAACAACCAATGCAAAATCTAATTATTGTCACTAATTATTTTTCTTCTCTGCTTATTGTAATATTTGTACAGCAGTTTTTAACTTTTGAAGGATTTCTGTATGTGATGTCATTTAGTCTTTTCAACCACTTTCTGAAACTCCTAACATTAAGTAACTTGTTCAAGGTTGCCTGAGCCTCCCAAAGTGTTGGAATTACAGGTGTGAGCCACTGCGCCCGGCCAGGAAAACATCTTTAAGGAGGGATGTGAACTTGGCTTTGAAGAATGGGTGGGATTTGGAAAGGTAAAAGGAAATAGGGATGGCTTTACGTAAGAGAATGAATGAGAGCAGAAACATAAAAGGGGAGAATTTAGTATAGTTATTCTTGGGACAGTGAGTTTAACAGGTTGGCCCTCCTTCCCATGTGGGAGGTAAGATTTGTTAGGACTTTCTAGGAAGGGTGTTAAAATTACCAGTTGCTGTAGTTTGAGGTTTAAATACTGAGTAAAAGAGAGTGAAATTGAAGTTTTGATTTAAAAAAATTGTGTCATAGAAATTAATTTGTAATATGGAGTGGAGAAAGATATAAAGAGTTTGGGAATCCAGTAAGAAAAGTGTTGCATGAATACAGGTTCAAGTTATATAAGACCTGGTGATGTGATACCATGAAGACCAAAAAAAAAAAAAAAAAGGCAGTGGAAATGGGAGACGTTTTTGAACTGGCCCACCTTGTTGATGGTGTGGTTTTGAGAGACAAAATTAATGATGTCGAGGATGACTTTAAAGAGTGTGATATTTGTAGACTAGAATGGTGATACTATTGGCAGAAGTGGATTTGTCTCTATGGCCTCTACGGATCTTAAAATTGATAATACATCCCTCTTTATTTAGTTTGGCTGCCTGGAAACTCATAGCCTTATTTGCTCCTCAGTTTTAGTAATTAATTGCATTTTGTGTAGAAACCTCAACTCTCTGGTTGTATTTGATTTTTCTACCCTTTTCCCTCTTTTATATCCATATCTTCATTTGTACTTTCATACTACATATATTTTTGTCAGCCAGCTCAGAGTCTTTTCGAGGGAGGCATATTATTGGTAAACGTACAATGTGAATAACTGAAAGTTTATGTGAATGTGTATTGGTTAGCAAAATGCTGGCATAGTTTTTAAGAGGAGTTATTAACATGATAAAATTTAAATATACATTGAGGACCTATGTTATTTATTTAGGGTACTGAATTATTTGTATCCATCTCTTTTTCCTTTATCTAAAACAGGTAATTGAGGAATATTTTTAATTCAATCCTGTGAGTTCTTGACTCAGTTGCTACAGTGTTGAGTGGTTTTGGATAGACTTTTTGAAGACAAAAAACTTTAAATAACATTGGAAATGCGTGTACTAAGTGACTAGAACAGTTAACAAGAATGGAATAGCACCTGCAGGTGGGATAGCTGCAGAGTTGGGCTATGTGTACTGTGTGAGAGGGAGTGAGGGAGCATGGTCTTGCCTTATGTTCCATTGGCAGTTCAGAATTTCAAGAGTTTCAAGCTTGTTTATATTCTCATTTCTGTACTTCCTTTTATAATTTTTAAGATGAGCTCCTTCATTACTGCCAAGAGTATGTTTTCTTTTTGCCTTTACCTTGAGGCTGTCTTTTCACCTGAGGTACAACCAATATAGGGCTTTAAAAGGCTGGCTGCTTGTTATTTCAAATGGGGAACTTTATGTATAATAGTTTGCTGTCATGTACCTGTACTTCAAAACTGTATTAAGGGAAGACAACTGTCTCAATAAAATCACCATGAGAAAAATTCTTTGCTTTGTTATTTCAAAATGTTATTGTTTTAAGTCTGCCTTTAATCATAGCTTTAAAAATATTTATTTGCTAATAAAAGAAAATGTTGAATGGTAAAGTGAGTTTAGTGCCCATTATTTCTGGTCTTTGAATTTTTTTTAAATTCTTTACTGCTTTAAAAACGATAAAATAATGTGTCTGAAAAATATATATTAAATGGTCACACTGGGACTGTATTTTATAATAGCAACAGAACATTTTATTATTGAGTTTGCCCAGCTTTATATCTAGTTATTATTTCAGATTTATTAACTAAGCACTTTAGAGATAGGAAGTGTCATATTACTCTCCAACATGTAATATTTTAATTCCCATACCCCTTTTATCTTTTAAGATATCCTGAAACTGTATTCTTTCATGTATCCAAATTTCTTTACGGTGATTATTATGCTCGTTGATTTACAATTAATCAACTAAGCTTTATTGCAAACAAATAAAATTTTTTAGTATATTTTAAGACAGTGTAAAATTTGATTTTTGCATTTTTGTTGTCAGTTTGCTTTTTGGGCTATGTTTCTAAATAAATGTTCATTTAGAACTGTCTACATTCTTCAGAATGTCTACATACTTTAGGGACCTAATGAGATGCCTTTAAGGGTATATCTCAATCCGTATTTGTGTAGAGGCAGCACTTTCTTCTAAAACGTTTAATAGAATCAGGCAAAGCCATAAGCTAAAATTCATTTTCTACTTCAATACACAGCAGGTAGACTCTCTCCACACACTTTCGCCTATTTGGAAGATGAGGCCTAGTAATAATTTGAAATGACCAAAGGAGAGGCAGAACTCTTACACCAGAGCCAAGATTTCTGCCTGAGTATCGACCATTTTTCCTCCACCTTGAATCCAGCATCCCCCTCCCAACATTCCGCTACCATCACTTCTCCTGATGCTTCAGATTACAACTCTTTTACCCGTTTCACCCAGTCTGGCAAGAGCTCTTTCTTTAATCCCTGCATTTCAGGTAGCATTCAGTTCAGTATATCTGTGAATTAGTAAATATAATTAATTATAGTAGGGAGCTAACAGCTATTGAATGTTTCCAGTATTTGAAGCAGTGTGCTAAATGCTTTACCAGCATTATCTCGTGTAATCTTTACAACTGTCTTTGAGGTGACAGTAGTTTTATTATTTATTTTAAGTTTTTTATTTCCATAGGTTTTTTGGGGAACAGGTGGTATTTGGTTACATGAGTAAATTCTTCAGTGGTGATTTGTGAGATTTTGGTGCACCCATCTCCTGAACAGTATACACTGAACCCAGTTTGAAGTCTTTTATCCCTCACCCTCTTCCCACCCTTTCCCCCTGAGTCCCCAAAGTCTGTTGTGTCATTCTTATGCTTTTGAGTTGAGGTGGGTAGTAGTTTTGTACAGCATTTTATAGATGGGAAGACAGGCTTGGAAGGGTTAAGTAACTAACTTGCTGAAGGTCACATAGCAAGTAAATGGCAGAACTAGGATTTCAACCTTGTTTCTGACTTCAGAGCTCAAGTGTTTTGAGGTCTTGCTTTTCTGTTTCCATTTGCAAAACAGATTTAGGTGAACTGCTCTAGAACAGCACTGTCCCAGTAGGACTTTCTGTTATGATAGACCTGTTCCTTATCTGCCCTGTCCAGTACAGTGGCCACTAGCCATATGTGGACATCGAGTATTTGAAAGGTGACTAGTGCAACTAAATAACTGATTTTTAATTTTAATTTAGATACCAATATGTGACTTGAGGCTACTATATTGGACAGCATAGATCTAGAAAAATAGCTTTTTAAGGTTAAACTTATAAGTATATGCTTAAACTTATGTTTATATTGGGTAAGAGTAAACTACGAGGTCATTTTGATGGTGCTTGTAGTTAGGTATTTATGTTGTGTATGTGTATAAATACATATATACATAACTACATACTACGTAACTACTTGTAGTATATATTTATTTATCTCCCCTCTGCTATCCACCATTATATTCTAAGGACTCTTAAATATTGTGGGAGACAATTTAAGTAAAATACCTTTGTCAGTTCTATTAATTGGTTAGATATTTATTTTAAATTTCTTATCAAAATGAAAGCAATATTGCAAATGATTGTTTTTAATACAGACTGTGAGGCTACTGAAACTGGAAAGTTTATGGTTCAGCAGTGTCTGCAGCCCAGAGAGAGAAATAGGACTTCCTCAAGGATGTGGAGTTTAAAAGCAAAACCAGGACTAGTATTCAGTCCCGATAGTTCAATGTGTTGCTTATTTCACTGATAGAATGTGGATGCATTTTATAAACTTAGAGAATTTAGAAAACTCATAAATAAGGAAAATTGGGAGTTCTTATCCATGATCATGAGGTACATTGGAGAAGAGTTGGCTGGGCGCAGGGGCTCATGCCTATAATCCCAGCACTTTGGGAGGCCGAGGCGGGTGGATCATTTGAGGTCAGCAGTTTGAGACCAGCCTGACGAACATGGTGAAACCCCGTCTCTACTAAAAATACAAAAAATTAGCCCGGCTTGGTGGTGGGTACTTGTAATCCCAGCTACTCAGGAGGCTGAGGCAGGAGAATCACTTGAACCTGGGAGGCAGAGGTTGCAGTGAGCTGAGATTGCACCATTGCACCCTAGCCTGGGCAGCAAGAGCGAAACTCCTTCTCAAAAAGAAAAAAAAAAAAAAAAAGAGTTGGATTTATTTTTCCTGGAGAGGTGAAGGGTCATGACAGCAGTGATGAACTGTTTTCAGAGCCTTAACATTCTTTATTAAGCTTATTCTGTGTGATTTTGGGGAGTAGAACTAGCGCTGCTCTGTTAAAGTTAGAGGGAAACCACTTTTTTTGCTTGATAAAAGCCTTCATCTTCAGCCAGGGCTTTCTAGAGAAATAATGGGAGACATCAGTACATAATGAGAGCTCTACCTTTAGAGGAACTGAAAATGAATTTATTTGCTTATTTCAGAGAGATTTTCAGTTATTAGATGGGTGATGGTAGTACTAGAATTATATTTCCCAGATTCTGGACCCTAAACAAATGAAGCAGATTTTTATCAGCTTTTGTCCTCTTCACCCATAGATTGTGACTCATTTTTCCTCTCTTTGCCCTCTTGAAACCAGTGGTAGGTAATTTATATACTTCATTGGCCCACTTAAAGCAGCTTGTATACTTGCTATCAGTTCCACATCTTAGTTGGTTAGTGAGGCTTTTATTTCCTTCTTTCCTCAAAACTTAGATTTGTAGGAAGAGGAGGCTATAGGAAGAACATGAATAAATGAGTCTGGTTTGAGGATAGGGATTGTGTGTGGGGTAGAAAACAACACAAACTCAGGACGCTTTTAAAATTTTTCTTATTAAACAATAGTCAACACAAGACTTCTGTAGCCAGATGTTTGGGGGTTTCTCTTCATACACCAAGCAAGCAATCAGTTCTTGAAATCATCAAGCAATTGAATCAGTGTCCACAAATTCAATTCTGACACTCTCTACCTGGAGGTAGACTCAGAAACTACAGATTGAGGGCTTAGTCCCAAAAGATTGTATCCTTCTTCCTACCAGTCACAAGTCCAGGCCTCTTGGAACGTCTGACTGACTTGCTTCAAATTAGGGTTCTTGCAAACCCCATCTTTGGGTTTGTTTGATTAACTAGAGTGCTCACAGAACTCAGGGAACCATGTTTGCCGGTATATTACAAAGGATATTTTAAAAGGATACAAGTAAACAGCCAGATGAAAAGATATATAGGTTGAGGTCTGGAAGGATCCTGAGCACAGGAGCTTCTCTACCCATGGAAGTGGAGTATGCTACCCTCCTGGCACCTGGATGAGTTCTTGTTCACCTTTACGTCAGCCTCCATGTGTTCAGCTGTCTGGAAGCCCTGCTGACCCTGTCCTTATTGGACCTCTTATGGAGACCTTATTACTTAGGCATGATTGATTAAATCGTTGGCCAGTGGCTATGATCTTAAGCTTCAGTCCCCTCTCCACCCTGGAAGTTGAAGGGTAAGGTTAAACCCTCTAATCATGCTTTGGTCTTTCTTCTGGCAACCAGCCTCTATCCTGAAGCTGCCTAAGGGCTGCCAGCCAGCCATCAGTCTTGGCATACCAAAAGACATCACTTTGTACATTCCAAGGATTTTAGGAGTTGTATGCCAGGAAAACGGGGTTGAAGAACAAATACTATTTCAAAATATCCATCACTTTGCTAGGTCTCAGATTATTGCATGTTGTTTCATAAATACCTTTTACCTGACGTAGTCAAGAAATAAAAATATTACTGTTAATCAAATGTTAACATACATTGAGTTCATCATCTAATGGAAATCTTTTGATTATTCATTTGTTTAGTATATACCCCTTCAAATTTATCAAACTGTGTAACAAACTGTTTAGAATCCTCCTGATTTCCCCCTCTTTCTTTTGGTCCTGGAAAAAATAATACTTGCATCCTCAAAAATTGAATAAATGTTAGTGAAGAAAAGTTATGGTTTATTTGGGATGTGTTTTCCTTCCTACATATAAATGTTGCATGAGCCGAGAAATCTTAGGATTAAAAGAGAAGTAAAAGTTTTTAAAAGATTTTAAATGATAGAATACACTGAAGAAATCATTTTTGCTCTTTGCGCATACATTGTTTCATTTATAATCGATTAAGAGACAATTATTTAAAAACTTCGTCCAATCCTACGAAAAGATGACCATCATGTGTATAGGCAAAGGCACTATTCTGTGGCACAGTTTATTAGAGTAGAATGATTTGAGACCAACATGCAAGTGGTGAACTGGAAGAAGGTGACAGATTCAGCTGCAAGTGCTGAAGGGAAATCTTTGCCTGAAGGTAGGGCAGTTTCCTAAGAGTGGCACAGCCCATTGCTTTAAGCATGAACATTTTGGTGTCAGGCTCAAGTTAGCAGGCGAATGTAGCCCTGCATTTGCAGTCTTTGGATTCTAGGTGGCTGGTTAGTTGGTGAGTAAGGGAGACTGTAGGGGTGCAGTGGAGTGAGGGAGTTGGCAATAGCCTGAGCCTGTAGGGGAAAAGTGAGATGGTTTAGAAAATGTGAGAAAGTAGGACTGTAAGAGTTTGAGAATCAGGCTCCCTTGACTAAGGTGGGGCAGGATTGGACAGGAATAGTATCAGTCTTTTTAGTTTAAGGTAAAATATTTGCATTCTTATCAAAGCTGTTGTACATCACTTCAGTAAATGCTCTGTAATAGCACGGTTCATAAATGATATTAAACAGTGTTATGGTCCTACTTTGCAAACCCCTGAGATCTGAAGTGGGTGGAATAGAATAGATAAATTTGCATTTTAAGAGGGGGTGAACAAAGGAATTCAGTTTACTGTTTTGTTGCATTAATGTAAAACCCTTTGGAAATTTTTAGAGTTTATATAATAGACACTTTGTTTTTTGGATGATATCCTAAACATTGGAACAAAACCTTATGCATTTTACTCTAAATTTGGTTATAAGGCACTTCTGGGACTACCCACATGGCTTGGATGATCTCCAAGTGGCTTTAGTTATTAATATTATAATAACAAAAGAACCTCATTATAAGTTTTGCCTAAAAGGTAAAATGGACCCCAAAGAGAACATTAGAAGTAGCCTCCAATATTTAAGTAGCAGACTTACTCAGTTCTTGATTATCTGCATTAATGGGAAATTAATAGTTTACTATGTAGTATAAGGTGAAAATATGTAGTATTTAAAAAACTACATATTCATGGGATATGAATCACAGATGGTATTTTGAATATATTATAATGGACAGAGTGTTTGAAATACTAAATTCAGGGTTTAAATAGCTTCTATCAAATGTGTAAATATAAGTGTTATAAAATGTTTGGTAAATATTTATCAAAATTATCAAATGTCAATTATCCTAAATTGATTTTTTTTCCTTCTTCAAATTATGTATTGGCCAGATGTATCTTAACTTTGAGGTCAGGGGGAAAAGCTGTTAAACAGATCTCATGATTTTTGAGCTTACTTGGGTGTGGGTTGGTGAACTGGTTGCTGACAAAATCTCTGTACAGAGAAAGAGTGTTGCACATGGTTTCTGTCATCATTCTCTGTGCCCTTTTTTTTTTTTCTTTCTTTTTTTATTCTCCAGTTTGCCATCATTTTGAGAAGTGAGGTGTTTGGAGTGGGACATGACCAAACTGAGTGCAGCTTTGTAATCAGCCAGCTGGGGACTCCTGACTGGACTTTAGAGATTTTGGTAAATTTTGGTTGAGCAGATCTTTAGTTTTCTGTGTGGAAGGTAGTCAGAGATTGATGTTCAGTTGGACACATACATTCAAATTCACTCATTGACCTTCAGCTCCTCCATGGTCAGCCCCATCAGCTGGGAATCCAGCTGGAGAGTTTTGATTAATTTAGAAAATAGAGCCTGCATTTTAGTAAGCACACTTTCCTAGGTAAGAGATTAGGTAGGCTTAAATCGATATTTACGTGTTGACAGCATTGACTTTATAAGTTAGATACAGTGGGGGTGGTTGGGATTGATGCTCCATAGTCTTTTGGAGGCTTGGGAAGGAGGTAGGGGGCAGTCTCTTGCTGTACTAATCTCTAATGGCTTAGAATAAATGTCTCTTTCTAAGTGTTTATTAGAGTTAAGCTTGAATTAGGGTTGGATACATGTTATCATGTTGTTAAGCGGTAAGAGTTTGTCACAGGTTAAGAATAGTCTCCATGTTTGATAAAGCAGCTAGTCAGAAATTAATAGGGAAATCTGTGGATAGGTTCAAAATGGTATTGGGGGCCTGGGAAATAGCAGATAAAATTATATTTTTGAAAGAATGTCAGGCGCTGATGTGTTCAGAAAATATCTCCTACTAGGTTAAGTGAAATGAGATAAGCTAAGATACATTTTGAGGTTAACATTCATTTAACATTAAATATTTTCTAAGGGCCAATATGTGATCAGCACTGTGCTGTATACTGGGGATGCAATTATGAACAAGATGGAAGGCATCTCCAGCCTTTGTAGAGCTTATGTTTTAGCTGTGAAGACAGACTGGAACTTGTTTAAAAACAAAACAAAACAGAAAAATTGCCTTTATGATGAGCTGGGGAAGTAAACAGACATCATAATTGCTATGAAGAAAACCAGGGATGAGTTTTAGTGTGGGGTTCTAGTTTTATTTTGGGTTGAGAAAGCTTTTCTAAGGAGGTGAAATCTTAATTGAGAGCAAAAAGTTGTTAGGTACATAAGGTGTGGGGGACCATTAGTATTACAAACTGCATGTGCTGAAGCTCGAAAGCAGATAGCTCTGATGTTCAGGGAGCTAGCTGGAAGAAGTCTGGTGTGGCTGGATTGAGGGGGAGTGGGGAGTGGGCAGGGGAATGCTGTTGTACAAGATGAGGTGGCAGAATGAGGTTGTGGCCAAATCAAGCAGAGTTTGGCTTTTATTAAGATCAGTCTGGTTGCTAGATTGGAGGTGGGTAAAAGAGTAGATGCTGACAGTCATCAGGTGAGAGAGGATGGTGTTATAGATTATGGCAGTAGCAGTGGAGATAGAAAGAGGGTCATTTGAAGTATGTTTTTTGAAGGCAGGTGGACAGGATTTGCTGATGGGTAAATGGCAGAGTTAGGGGGACTGTTAGAACAGAGAAAGAAATCATGGGGTTGGGTTTGAGTCTGTTGGGGAAATGGTGGTGCCTGTTTTGAGATGGGGAAGATTTCTGGGAGATAAGTGGTTTGATGGACAGGATCAAGAGTTCTGTTTTGGATGTGTTAATTCTGAAATGTCTGAGACATCCAAATGGAGATGTCAAGTAGGCAGTTGAACATGAGTTTGGAGCTCAGTGGAGAGCTGGAAATATCAATTTGAATTGTCATCAAAGAAATATTTAAATCTGTAGGAAATGATGAATTTGTGTGTGGAAAGAATATAGACAGACAGTAATACTCAAAACCAAGCCCTCGTAACATTCAGAAATGGGTGAACTAGCAGCTAGCAGAGGAGTCCTAAGGAGTTTGCCATCTAGGGGGTAGGAGGAAAACCAGGAGAGAGGTTTCCATGAAGTTGAGAGAAAAAGAGAGTCCCCTGTTCTTAGTGAGTACATCTAAAATTAATAATTAATGAAATTTTCAAGTGAATACGAAAGTAGAATAAAGTTGTAATTACTTTCTTCACCGGGAAAGTAATAAGTAAATAAAGACTATTTAGTGGCATTGAGATTTCAAGAGTAATTTCTTCAGTAATTTTGCAAGATTATTCATATTACCTACTCAACCAGACTCCATAATTGGGCTCAGGAGGGAAGGCTTTCCCTTAGAGAAGCAGAGTTCTGTTCGTCTGAATGTTGTCCAGTCAGGCTTTGGGACTTAAAAATGCTTTTGAGGATTCTTAGGTCCTTTTTTTTTTTTTTTTGGCCTGTGGACTGAACATAGCTGTTCAGTGTGTATCATTATTTATTGCCTTTCTCTTACTATAGATTATTTCTCACAGGAGAAGAAGTTATTGCTGGTAGCATGTCAGTTTACATGTGTCTAGCTCCCATCTCTGGAACACATAATTAAGTGTGGTCGACATATATTCTTCTTCATTTTTGCCGTTGAGAAAGCTGTCAGAAATGTTACATCTGGAGAACAGGAAAGACTACCCTCAAAGCCAGCGTTGGCCTAAGTGTACTCTTAAACATTTCCTGTGGATGTGTGGACCGCCTGTCTCTCTATCTCTTCATGACTTCTGCCTGTGTCTTGTGTGTGCAGAGGCCAAATAGTAGTAGCAGAGATGGAAAACCTTCTCCTACACATGTGCACCAGCATGGTCCTTTGTCTCTCTCTTTCATTTGCTCTTCAAGGCTTCGCTCAAATACTGCTTCCATTCTGTAATTTTCTCTTCCCAGCGCACCCGTGGGACCTGTTACATTGAGTTAGAGGCAGTATTACACGGTGGTTTCTTTTGGAGAGACTGGCTAGACTACGTATACATAGCCTCTTGGTTAGTTACATACCTTCTCAGTGCCTCAGTTCCTTCATCTGTAAAACCACATGGGGTTGTGTGAGGATTATATGAGTTAATACATGTAAAGCACTCAGAGTAGTGCCTGGCATATAAGGGCTCAAAAATTGTTAGTTGTTGATGCTGTTGTTGCTGTTTATAAGGCTTGCGTGCATTTCTTTTCTTCATTTGTTTTGGGAATGGTGAAGGCATATAATGTATTATTCATTATCTTCTTAATATGTTTCATGTAATAGACAAATATTTTTATGTAGTTACTAAGGCAGATAACTTCTGCATGTCTTATTTTTCTCTAAAATGGTAAGCATACATATAAGTATCTTGTTACTTGTGTGTGACCCTAGATTGCTTGGTTGTCAGTATCTCTTAATAAAGATTTTCCCTTTCATCTGTTTGTAGAAGCCTCATCAGCTGGGCTGGTATTAGTAAAAGGAAGATGACTAGAAAATTCACTTGGAGATCACATGGACTCTTTTATTATTAAATTAAATAATTCATTTTTCATGTATACAACACTCATTAATTGGGGTTGTGTTTATTGGTGAAAACATTTTTTTCTTAAAATGAAATCTTTAATTTTTTTACATTAATTATACTTAGTATGAGGCACTTTTGCTTCATTCTTACAGGTAGGCGAATTGTAGAGGTCTTACGTCTTTGCTGGGCCTGCCACCATCAATAGTTTAGGAGAATAATAGCTTTTGAAATGTATAAGGCCTTACTTAAACCAAAAAATATGCTTTACAATGCAATTTCTAACAGGGTCTTAATTCATTTGTTAATATTTCTTCAGAACGTGGGCTTAAATTTTGTTTTAAAGTCTTATACAAACTCTTGAGGGGAAATTTTTTTTTAGTGTTTTCCGCTTTAGTTTGTCTTTTTTGATGATGCAGCTCAACAACCATAAATACATTCAGGACTCACAGGTTGACATTTTAATCATTCCATCCACAAGTACTCAGAACTGTGGGGACCTGGAATAAATATGAGATATGGCCTCTTGACTTTAGTTTATAATCTTTATTGTTGAAAAAAGCCTGGTTCCCTTGAAATAGTTAGAGAAAAATATTGGAAAGCATATAGAAGGAAGTGTGGTATAGTAGTAAGATAATTCATCTAGTAGTCTTGTTCATTTATTCACTAAAAGCCTGCTGAGCACTTTCATCTCCTTAGTGTCAAAACCTGAGTTTTGTCACAAGATCCGCCACTGTGAAATTGAGCAAGTACCATTCCTTTACCAGATTTACTCCACCTGCCTTGTAGGATCATACATGATCATGTATATGAAAGCTTCTAGAACACTAAAGCATTGTGCAAATGTAAAGAGTTATATAATGTTACATTGTTCGGGAGAGGCCATGCCTGTGGTAGCAGTTAAAAGGAACAAAACTTTGAGAGTTGAACTAGTTAGGTTGGGTGGGATTTTCCCCTTAAGAAACCATCATCAGTAAAGGCTGTTTTTTAAAAGCTAGTATATAGGATTAATAAAGTACAGGTTGAGTATCTCTTACCTGAGATGCTTGGGACCAAAAGCCTTTTGGATTTCAGAATTTGAATTTTGGAATATTTGCATATTCATAATGAGCGATCTTCAGGATGTGGCCTAAGTCTAAACATGAAATGCATTTATGTTTCTTACACACCTTATACACATAGCCTGAAGGTAGTTTTATTTCTCCCATGGGGACGCTGAATAAACTGTGTATTGTGTGCCTGCGATCTGACTGGGACCTGCCACATGGGGTTAGGTGTGGAGTTTCCCACTTGTGGCATCATGTCAGTGCTGAAAGTTTTTGATTTTGGAGCATTTCAGATTTCAGCTTTTCAGATTAGGAATGTTCAACCTCTAGCCGGAGAAAGAAGATAGTTTTCTATAAGATGGAAAATTTATCCAGTCATGCCTTTTTGGAACATGCGTGAATTTGTTGAGTAACTGAAATGTATACCTTCAGGTTCCTAAATTTAATTTATGTGAGATAAAATTTGTTTCTAAGTAGTTTTATATTTCCCTCTTCTTTGAAACAGTATGAGTTTAACATTTTCTTATTAGTTTAGGACCTCATTCTCAACCTCAGTTATGATACCGTAATATAGTGATCAATTATGGAACTACTAAGTTATCGAGGTAATAGGACTCTTGTCTCATGCCCTAAGAAGGACTTCAGGCTGCCCATTTAAAAAAATTGAGATATAATTTAAATACCATACAATTCACTCTTTTAAATTATGCAATTCAGTAGTTTCTAGTGTACTCACAACGTTGTGCAACTGTCACTGTCATTACTTCCAAAACATTTTCATCATCCTAGAAAGGAACCCCACATCCATTAGCATTCTCCATTCCCCCCTCCCCCCCAGCTTCTGGCAACCACGAATCGACTTTCTGTCTCTATGGATTTGTCTATTCTGGGCATTTTGTATAAATGGAATCATACAAGGTGTGGCCTTTTATATCTGGTGTCTTTCACTTAACATAATTAAAGCATTTAGTTTTATAATAAAAAAGGCTAGGCAAATAATTGAGTGGAGGTTGGGAGGTTTAAGAGATTCCATTAAAGAAGAAGGTGAAATAAGGGGGAGAGATGAGATCAGATGAAGTTCAGATTTAGCAAACATTGAGTATTACATAAGCCAGGCACTGTGCTAAGTCTGTTGGGTGATAGAGCAGAAGAGGTTCTAAAAGATATGCTGTTTTTCCATCCTTTGCTTGATGATTTGGACTTTGAGTAGAAAGGACAGTTTTATCCTCTTGATGTACAGAATTACAGAATGAATTCTTTGAAAAGGAGTAGGAAAGCAGATCAGTCAGCTTTTGCTTAGTATGATTTATTCCTCTTTTAAAGTGTAATTTCTGTTTCTACCTAGTTTCAAGTAAGTTTTGAGGCATGTAGGGCTCTGCCACATGATGCCAGCCTTGTCCTGGGGTATAACTTTTTTATGGATCATAAAGGAGCCTGGTTAAAGTTTGGAACTATTATAGACTGGGAGAATAGGCATCTCAATAATATCCCTTTATACCTTACTGCTTATTATTTAAGGTTAGGATAATTGGGTAAACATTCACCATTCACATTTTATTAGCTGGTAACTACGCTTTCTCATTTATTCCAGAGAATAAGGACAGTCCTTCCTTTCGCCCAATTTTACTTGTTTTTCTAAATTTTATTTCTTTAGCTTAGCATTGCTTACAGGGCTTAATTAAGTTTTGTTTCATACTGTTCTGGAGCTATACTAGTGGATTACCCAATGAAATTTTTTTTCCTATGTGGTAAATTGTTCAAACACTTACCAAATAAACAGCTAACTTGGGTAATACTTTATGACAATGTGTAGCTGCATGGCAGTGTGCTTTTACTATCAATACTCAGTTCTGGTTTTATCATATTATTCTTAATAAATAGTAACAACCAAGTTATTTGGTTTAGGGAGAAAATCTGCCATGAGGTATCTTTGTGTCTGTGGCACACAGCCACACTGTTTATGCCATTATGAACCTGCAAAGCTCACTGTGTCTGCAGTGAAAGCTGCAGATGAAATCTGATAGGATCTCTTGGCATTTTCACTTCTACGATTATACATTGAATATAGGGATGAATTAAGCCCTTTGTATTGTTGAGCTGTGATTAAGATTACTGGATAGCTTAAGTATTTTCTCTTTTTGTCCACATACCCAGTAACTTGGGTCAAAATTATTAATCCATTAGAGTGTATGCAGTAACTTTTTTTCTTTTGTAGTGTTGTGACCTTTAATGATGGAGCATTTCATAGATGTGCTAAATGAAGGTTAATAACGGTGAAAATTTATTATATTGATTAGCTACTTATATATTAACACTTAAGGTTTAATTTTATTTAAATTTTATTTTTCTTAGGCTGTCTGTAAAATCTTCTCATTTAAAATTTAGCTTCTGTGGATAACTGTTTACTCATTGCCCCATATGAATATTTAATAGGCACTTCAACAAGTCCAAAACAACTTCTGCTTCCCCTCCCAAATCTGCTTCACCCAGTCTTTTTCATTTCAGTTAATAGCAAATCTGTCTTTCCATTTAGGAGTCATTGATTCCTTTTTCTCTCTCACTCTACGTTCATTCTGTCATCAAATCGTTTTTGTCCTACCTTCAGAATACATCTAGAGTCTAATCACTTCCCACTTTCTCCATTGTTACTATTATGGTCCAAGCCGTCTTCATATCTTGCTTGAGTTATTGCCACACCCTCCCAACAGGTCTCCCTTCTTCCATCCTTCCTTCTATATAGTCTATTCTTAATATGACAGCCAGAATGATCTTTTAAACATGAAAGTGAGATCATATTACTCCTTGTGTTCCCATTACAATGGCCTTTGAGAGTGATCAGGGCCCCCTTTGTCTCTCTGACCTTATTGCTTATTCTCTTGATCACTCTGCTGCCGCTACGCTGGCCTCTTCCCTGTCCCTCAAATGTGCCAGACATGCTTCCATCTTAGGGTCTCTGCACTGGCTATTTCCTCAAATGTCATCTCGGTGAGGCTAACCCTGATCACCCTACCTCAATACACCCAATTATTTTTACTCCGCTTTTTCTTTCCGTAGGAGTTAACACCTCCTAACATTTACTTCTATCAGTTTCTTATGATTAACTGTGTTGTGTATTCCCTCCCATTAGAATGTGAATATCTGAAAGACACTTACAGTTTGAAAAGTGCCTGGAACGTAGTAAATGTTCAATAAATTGCACTTCATTGATATTTATTGGCAACATAACATTATTACCACTCCTCAGAAGCCTGCCACATCTTCCCTATCATTTATACCTCTCCCCAAGCCTGATGTTTTTGTTTCTTGTCTTAATATAGAGACAAGGTCTTACTTTCACCCAGGCTGGAGCTCAGTGGCATGATCATAGCTCACTGCAACCTGTATCTTTTGTGCTCAAGCTATCCTGCTGCCTCAGCCTCTCAAGTAGCTGAGACTACAGGATTGGGCTAACACACCTAGCTAAATTTTTATTTTTATTTTTTTGTAGAGATGGAGTCTTGCTGTGTTGCCCAGGCTGGTCTTGAAACTCATGACCTCCTGCCTTGACCTCCCAAATGATCCTCCTGCTTTGACCTCCCAAAGCACTGGGATTATAGGCATGAATCATCAAGCCTGGCCAAGTCTGATGGTTTTTAAAGTTGTTTTTAGTATGATTGAATATGATTCTCATACAAATAAAGGTCTGCTGTATAGTAGTAATCTGTTGCATAGAACTTTGTTCTTCAGGTGAGGTGTGAGTCACATCCTTTTATCTTGTTTGTTTTTTTTCCCCGCCCCCCGCCCCCCCAGTATAGTCATGAGCAGTCCACAAAGCCAAAATATACATTGAAACAGAAAGACTATTTGTTAAATTTATGGAAATATGTTTTAAATTGTTTCTACAATCTTCTTTGCTTCTAAGAATTCAAATGTCACAGGAATAAAAGCTTTCACCATTTTACCAGAATCTGTAGGATTTAGATGATGGTCATTTTATTCTGTTGACAGTATGGAGCACTTTGCAGATGGATATCAGGTTAATTGTTATATTGAAAAGTGAAGGAGTACATTCTACTAACAGTCTTTCTGCTGAGAAAAATCTAATTATTGCCATTAAGGTGGCATTAAGTTAGTAAATTGGGTAAATAAACAGTTAAAATCCCCAAATTTCTTATAACATGCCATAATTGCTTTGCTTGAAAATAGTTATCGGCCAGGCGCAGTGGCTCACACCTGTAATCCCTGCCATTTGGGAGGCTGAGGCGGGAGGATCACCTGAGGTCAGGAGTTCGAGACCTGCCTGGCCAACATGGTGAAACCCTGTCTCTACTAAAAACACAAAACTTAGGTGGGTGTGTTGGCTTATGCCTGTGATCCCAGCTACTTGGGAGGCTGAGGCAGGAGAATTGCTTGAACCTGGGAGGCGGAGGTTGCAGTGAGCTGAGATCATGCCACTGCACTCCAGCCTGGGCGACAGAGTGAGACGCTGTTTCAAAAAAAAAAAAGAAAAGAAAAGAAAAGAAAATAGTTATCACTGAATAGAAATATAAGATGATCAAATAACTATTGAAGTTAAAGGAAACTACAAAGAAAATCTCCAAAGGACGCCATCCTAGTTTGTTTTTTTGTTAAGCACTATTCACCTGCTGCACTAGAGCCAGCAATATGGACAAACAATACTACTACTAATACCATTATTTGTTAGGCACTTATGAGGTAGCAGGTCTCATGCTTCATCTTTTATGCTCCCAGCAGTTCTGTAATGGCAGAGAATAGCATTTTGTTTTTCTAAATACATTCAATCTCTGAGCCTCAGTGTTCCCCTCAGACCTCTCAGATCCTGGGCCCTTTACCCTACATTTTATGGCCCGCTTCCCTTTCTGCTTCTTTCTGATCATTTTATTTTGTATTTGATGTTCTGAGTTTTCTCTAAAGAACAACATATATTCGTTTTAGATTAATGGCTTTAAGAAAATCATTTATTGTTAAGAATAGTACAGTTTTGTGGCTCAGCAAAAAATAATTCTACTGTTCAGCCATAATCATTTTGGCAAGTTTACAGCCTTTTTCTCAAGCGTTGGTTAGATTAACTGAACTTCTGAATACCTTTGTGGTATTTTAAAAATCTGAAATCACTTGTCTACAAATAGTATTTCTTTTTTTTTTTTTGGCCTTAAAGTTTTAATAATGAAATTTTTCTATGTAGTCCTCTTTAAAATATTTAAGTATAGTAGGAAGCAGCAGAGTTTGTTCCACCTAATGTCAATTCAGAGAACATTTTACATTTTATATTAAAATTATGATGCCTTAGGATCGTTCTTTTACCTGTGTATTTATTCATTTTCACACTCGGGAGTTTTAGTTGCCACTCCATATCAGTGGCACAGCCATGATGATTTTTCCCTTGTCCAATCATGAAGGTTTAAAAAAACCTGTACAGTTTTTAGTCTCTTATTATGATATCAATTAAGGTGATTTTATAGGAAGAATATCAATTAAGGGTGATTTTATAGGAAGAAAAATGTACCCTGCATTTCATTTGGAAAAAAAAAAAGAATCAACTATTAAATGAGGAAATTAAAAAAAAGTTTAGGTTTAAAAAGAAACATACTTAGGAGAAACTTTTAAGCTGCATATGCCTTATGTGAGAATTTTAACCAAGAAAGACTAAATGATCTTTTATAATTATGTTGTCACCATATGTTTGCAGATTCATATTTGCATACATTATTTATATATAAAGATAGATTAGTGTCTAGCTTTATGTGCATTCCATTTTGTAATACACATTCTTTTAGCAGGTTATGTATGTCTTCATGCAGTTGACTTTTCTGTATTTGTGTGCTTTAGCCTCCTTAATGAAGATTTTTACAGTCAAAGTGGAAGAGGGCCAACTTTTTATTGTTAGTACAGCAACATAATTAACTATACAAGGTTTGTTTATTATAGCTGAGTACTAGAACAATGCTTCAAAGAGGAAAACGTACAGAGAAGATTAGTAAATAACATAGCAATGTGTGAGGCTGGCCAATTGTAATAATGCCTTTATTGGGTGGTTCTTGAATTTGTAAGCACATGCTTACATTTTTCAGATAATAGGAATGAAAATGTGTAATTTTAATTGCTATTTCTGTTGCATTTTTATAAGAAAATAATGGAAACTTTGCTTGGATGAATGATTGTATTGGAGAAATGTTTTGTATACTTTGGTTCTGAAATACTTTGAGCTCTTTTATACAAATGAATAGTGTTAGGTAAGACTCCAAGGTACAAATTGTATTACTGCTGAATCAGATCTGAAGAACAGTGATAAATTGCAATGATTTATTTAATTATAGAATAAAAATTTGCAGTCGGGTTAATACCATGCAGCTGATTTAGAGCTTTGTTCATCCCACATTTTCTGGGAAGGTCCTGATTTCAGATACTCCTTATTTTCTTCTTATGTAAATACATTTAGAAATGAGAATATCCTTTGGGCTTATTACGGTCTAGTAAATGTCATTAACCAATATTTTAGGTACTGTGGAGATACAAAAAAGATGAGATAGTGGAAAGATGTTGAGATTGTAACCATTTACATAAAAATGGGAGGGTCATAGGAAAAAACTCCATAGAGCACTTACTGTCTGATAAAAGAGGGTATATAATTGATAAGTTTTACAATGTTTGAAAGAAGATGCAAAGAAAATATTGAGTTCTCATATGTGGTAAACATTATGCTGAATATTGTCATATTCTCATTTATTTAAATTTCACATCACCCTCATTTTATAGTTGGGGTGACTGAATCTCAGAGAGTTTACATTGTTGAAGGTCATACAAAGCCAAAATTCAAATCCTAACTGTAAATCTTATTTTCTTTCTATTAAATCATTATAAATGAATGGAAACCCTTAAAGGATATAATTCTTTCAAATTGACTGAATTGACACAAAATATTGGATATCTTTATTTAAATACTACAACTAAACTTAATAAAATATCACAGGCCGTATTTAGATCTTAAATTTATTCAGGTAGTAAGGGACCTTTGATATCCATAGTAATAGCATGAATAATTGAAGCCATCAAAGTAATAAGCCAATTTTGTTTAGTAATAATATATTAGAGTAGAATTTTACAGTTTTAAAGGGCACCATCATATCTGTTATCTTAGCATCTTAAACCTTTTATGAGGTCTACCAAATAATTGGTTTTGTTTCCTCTTGACCTTTGTAAAATGAAGAAAAACCATGCCTCTTTGAGTTCATAAACTGTGTTTTGCATATTTACACACATACATCTTTTATCCTCCCACCAATTATTTGACCTGAGGTTGAACACTTAATGGATAAGTAGGTGGATAAAATGATAAGTAAAATAACACATTTAAAAAGGAGAAGCAGGAGACTTCAGGTGAATAGCTACCCATAAGTTGTTGAAAATAATCAATATTTATATTTATTGGCATCCAGTCAATAAATATATATGAGCTAGTCTTGTTCTATCACCCAAGCTGGCATGCAGTGGTGTGATCATGGCTCGCCGAAGCCTCCACATCCTGGGCTCAAGTGGGGCTCAAGTGATCCTTCCACCTCAGCCTCCCAAGTAGTTGGGACTACAGGTGTATGCCACCATGCGTGGCTAATTTTTTTTTTTTTTTCGAGATGGAGTCTCGCTCTGTCGCCCAGGCTGGAGTGCAGTGGCGCAATCTCGGCTCACTGCAAGCTCCGCCTCCCAGGTTCACGCCATTGACCTGCCTCAGCCTCCTGAGTAGCTGGGACTACAGGCGCCCGCCACCATGCCTGGCTAATTTTTTTTTTTTTTTTTTTTTGTATTTTTAGTAGACACGGGGTTTCAGTATGTTGGCCAGGATGGTCTTGATCTCCTGACCTCATGATCCGCCCACCTCAGCCTCCCAAAGTTCTGGGATTACAGGCATGAGCCACTGTGCCCGGCCATGCCTGGCTAATTTTTTTAAAATTTTTTGTAGAGATGGGGGCCTTTCCATGTCGACCAAACTGTTGTTAAATTCCTGGGCTCAAACAGTCCTCCTGCCTCAGCCTCCCAGAGTGCTGGGCTTATAGCCACTGCACCTGACCAGTAAAGATATTTTGAGCTTTGAGTAGTACCTGGTTATTATCGGTTAAAAATGAAACATTTTATAAGTCTTTTGTTCTATTGAAAAACCACAGTGGAATATGTGTGTCTTCCCCAAGAATTATGACAAAGCATGTGGATCATTGCCTGGCATATAGTAGGTATTTGGTTATTTATTAAGTAAATTAAAAACCACAATGTAGACTTTCTGGACTTAAAAAGAAAAAAATAGAGACGGAGTCATGCTGTGTGGCCAGGCTGGTCTCCTGAGCTCAAGGGTTCTTCTTGCCTCAGCCTCCCTAGTAGCTTGGGCTACATGTGTGTGTTAATATGCTCAGCTAATTTAAAAACGTTTTTTATTGTAGAGACAGAGTCTTGTTATGTTGCCCACGTTGGTCTTGAAATCCTAGACCCAAGCAGTCCTCCTGCCTCAGCTCCCAAAGTGCCTTTCTGGGCTTTTTATTCTTTTTTGATTTTCTTCAGAAAGCCAGTTCCTAAATAATAAAAAAAGTAAAAGAATTTATTTATTCTCTTTTTATTCCAATTTATTAATTAATACTCAAATATTAATGTAAAACTAGGTTGGTTTCATATTGTTCTGGTACTGTATTGTCTTATTTTTTATTATCTGATATCTGAATCAGAAAATAACCTAGTTACATATTATTTAGTCTCTGAGTGTATTTTTTTTTTTTTTTTGAGACGGAGTCTCGCTCTGTCACCAGGCTGGAGTGCAATGGCATGATCTCGGCTCACCAGAACCTCTGCCTCCCGCGTACAAGCGATTCTCCTGCCTCAGCCTCCTGAGTAGCTGGGATTACAGGTGCCCGCCACCAAGCCTGGCTAATTTTTGTATTTTCAGTAGGACGGGGTTTCTCCATATTGGTCAGGCTGGTCTCAAACTCTCAACCTCAGGTGATCTGTCTGCCTTGGCCTCCCAAAGTGCTGGGATTACAGGTGTGAGGTATTATTTTTTAAGTAGGAGTATTTGGACCTAAACAGGCAGAATTCTTCAACAAAGTACAATGAAAGGCATTTCTTTGACAGTAGCCTGAATTTGGAGGCTCATTTGCAAAGGCACTTTCCACTGCCACTCTACCCCAGAAATTGCTTATGAAATAATTCTGGCATTTACTCCTTCTTCCTCCCCTCCCCCTTTTATTAAAGAGACTAGCTTGTACAAAGTCATTTGCAAATTCATTTGTGGTTCTCCATTTTGATTCAGATAGCAACTCTAAAGACTGAGTTATAAAAGTCTTTAGACTTTGCAGTTTAAAAGAACGATAATATTACCATGTAAAAATTCTGATTAGCATAAAGCTTTAGAAAGTCCGTTGCGTATACCAAGCCAAGTGCATTTTTGTCTCCAATTCCCAATTCTAATCAATTTCGTCCTCATTTTTCACTATTGCAAAAGTGTAGATCATGATGCCCATCTTTTTTGTAGTCGAGTACATTTTTTCTTCCATCAAAAAAGCAATTAGTGTCCTGATGTACTTCAGCTTCACACATTTCTGTAGATGATTTGATCAGGTTGTTGTCTTCACGACAGACATCTGATTGTTTTTGAATGTGGGAACACTCCTTAGACAACATGGCCAGAATTAACCCACATCCTCACTGGTGTTCCACACCTTCTCATATGTAGGAGAGGAATTTCTCTGTCATTTCCCTGAGACTGCACCTTAATTCTCTACTATAATCCTTGACTGAAGGAAAAGTTAGGCGATCAGGTGGAATTTTTAAATTGTTCCACAAAAAACTGAGTTCTGCTAGCTAAGTGGAATGTTGAGAATTTAGAACATTCAGCACAATAAAATATAAACATTAAATTTGTATGGCATTAGAACCGCCTTTAGAATTTTTAGTGGAAGCGTTAGATCACATGCATTTCACTTTAGTTAATTTCTGTAAATTCAACTATGTATAGTCTTCTTTACGAAAAGGAGAGAACATACTTGAGAAATATAATTTAAGAGTGCAAGTGAGAGTCATTCAGCCATTCCTTTTATTCTGATCAGTGAATGTGTGTCCCTGAGTGAGAGATGGAAGAAGTCCTTTTAGTTCTTGATTGCATTTCATAGTGTGAATAGCTCCCTTCCCTGACAGTGATTTTTAGTCTTTCCTAAACTTAGTCAGCTACTTCATCTGTTATTCAGCCGAATGAACAGTGAGTGATCTGTTGCAGTGCTAGAGGAACATTGGCTGTTTTGGCCTTATTGAAGAATACTTGACCGACTGATTTAAGAGCTATTCAAAGGTAATTTTGAGTATGCAATTTTTGCCTTTTGCAACTACCTTAGGACCTTATTCTGGCCGGGTGCAGTGGCTCATGCCTGTAATTCTAGCACTTTGAGAGGCTGACGTGGGAGGATTGCTTGAGCCCAGGAGTTTGAGACCAGCCTGGGCAACATGGCGAAACCTTGTCTCTCCAAAAAATACAAAAATTAGCTGGGCATGGTGGCACACACCTGTAGTCCCAGCTACTTGGGAGGTTGAGGTAGGAGGATTGCTTTGAGCCTGGGAGGCGGAAGTTTCAGTGAGCCGAGATTGCACCACCACACCCCAGCCTGGGCAACAGAGCAAGACCCTGTCTCAAAAAAAAAAAAAAGAACCTAATTCTGGAGTAAGATATGACTTTACCATAATTTGTGAATTAAGGATTAACAAGGTCAGCAGAGCTGAAGCCAAGTGAAAGCATTTGAGAACAAATGACTGAAAAATACTGGATATATGGTAAGATATGTGTAGAAAAAGAACTCTTTAAGCAATTTTCATTAAAAGCTTCTTAGTATGTTTTCCAGATACTAAAAATTTTGGTCACTGGAAACAATTGGGAAGCAAAGAGATTGATTCAGGATAAACGTAGTTAAATTAGCCAAGATTAGGGATTCCAGTGACCTTGAAAATAAATGTGTAGATTAAAATTCAGGTTATTTTAATTTGATGGCTAAAATAAAATGTGTGTATTAACTCAGATTTTTTTTTTTTTAAATTTTGAGATGGAGTCTTGCTCTTTCGCGCAGACTGGAGTGCAGTGGCATGATCTCGGCTCACTGCAAGCTCTGCTTTCTGGGTTCATGCCATTCTCCTGCCTCAGCCTCCCAAGTAGCTGGGACTACAGGCACCCGCCACCACACCTGGCTAATTTTTTTGTATTTTTAGTAGAGAT
Organism: Homo sapiens; assembly: GCF_000001405.40. Classification (NCBI taxonomy): domain Eukaryota; kingdom Metazoa; phylum Chordata; class Mammalia; order Primates; family Hominidae; genus Homo; species Homo sapiens. The sequence goes on from NC_000003.12 coordinate 23,249,847, forward strand.
GGGGTTTCACTGTGTTAGCTAGGATAGTCTCGATCTCCTGACCTCATGATCCGCCTGCCTCTGCCTCCCAAAGTGCTGGGACTACAGGCGTGAGCCACCGCATCCGGCCTAACAGAATTTTAAGAATACATATTCTTGAATGATTGCAGAGTAGGTGGTAAGTTATATGCCAGACACTGATCTAAGTGGTTTGCCTGTCTTACCCCTTTAATCTAGGAGGGTAGATAGATGCTGTTCTGGGAGCTTTATGGATGCTAGTTCTCAGTAACTCTGAGTAAGGACTGTTGTTACCACAACCTTGCAGGTGAGAAACTGCAATATAGTCACAATTAGAAACTTGCCAAAGTCACAGCCATTAAGTAGATAAGCCATGATTCAGATCAAACCACCTGGCTCCATTTCCTGTACTATTAACCTATCTTCTACGCTGGTCTTTAATTCTCTTTTACATTATTATTGTCTCATCTGTAAAGGTTCAAATGCCTACTCCAGTTCCTTGAAGTGGCTGCTTTGAGGTTTCTGAGACCAGGTCTATACTCAGTAAAATTTTTCTGAATTTGTATTAGAGGTTGTTTTATGAACATGAGATTGGAAAAATGGTGGCATGAACTCACTTCTAACTTCATATCAAACTAGATCACCAGAAAACTATTTAGTCCTATATTTTAGTATTGTTTCCTCATATTCTGTCAATTTTTGTTAGATGCATTTGTATGAAGAATATTTCTGCATCTGCGATGAAACTATTGAATGCATTGTCTCTTATGATACTCTGTTCCCTTTATAAGAATTAATGTGATAAATTATTCAAGAATTTAGTTTCAGAGAAAAGTTTCTTTCCTTATGATATGGCATACTTCCTTCTATCAGTCATTAAGAATTATATATTCTGTTGAGTTTTTCTGTTTGCTTTGGCTGCAAGAAAGCTTGGAGTTATATGTCACTTCAATTATAGTAACTTTATTAGCCTAGGCTTCTGATATGGGTAATTTCTTCTCAGTCCTCTGTGGCAGGAGTATTTATTTATTGGAGACAGAGTCGCACTCTGTCGCCCAGGCTGGCATGCACTAGCACCATTATAGCTCACTGCAACCTTGAATTCCTGGGCTCAAGTGATCCTCCTGCCTCAGCCTCCCAGGTAGCTGGGACTACAGGTGCATGCCATCATGCTTCTAATTAAAAAAAGATTATTTGTAAAGACAGGGTCTTGCTATGTTGCCCACGCTGGTCTCAAACTCCTGGGCTCAGTCCTCCCACCTCTGTCTCCCAAAGCACTGGGATTACTGTGCCTAGCCTGTGACAGGAGCTTTTAATTCATCGTGTGTGTATCAGCTTCAGGGAGCTGATGAACCCTTCTGAAATGATCAGTAAACTTGCTTGTGTGCAAGCTTGTGTGGGAATCTGGGGGAGCATCGTTAGCTTCTCTCAGATTTTCCATGACCTCCTCCCAACGCCCCCCTCAAAAAGATGAAGAACCGTTATTCTCTGGGTTGACTTTTCATTTTATGTTATAATGGTCTAATTGTGTATCTCTTATTGTAAGCCTCTGGTAGTCTCTTTGGTGATAGTTGGGCTATTAATCATACATTTACATTCGAATCATCATCCAATTTCTCAGTTGTCAGAAAGTTAAAGAGCAGCCTCTCTGTAATTTTAAAAACATGCAGTCTTGGAAACTTAAGAAAGTTGTCGACATGTTCATGCAACCCATGTACCTACTATGTTTGTTTTCTATGAAAGGAGCTTGTCTCTCTTAAATTACCTTAAATAAGTAATAGTAAATTATTTGTAAAGTGATTCATTATTAACTTCTGTTTAGAATTAACATATTCAAACCATAAAGCATGTATGCAAACAGTATTCCCATATCCTTTTTCTTTGTTTTTTAGGTAAGCAGAAAAAGTTATAAAATTATAATAATCTCTCTCGACTATTTATGTATTAGGAGATCCAACTCTTCCAAAAAACATGGCTAGGGTAAGGTTACCAGCAATGATTTGCTATACCCATACATTTATAGGCAAATGCTATACCATTAGAGGAAAATAAAGCCAGTGCTGCTAACCTCATCACTCAGATTAATTTCCACAGCTGTCATTTTAACAGTGTTATTATAGGTCTTCAAATGAAAATTATGTTAACAGGTACTCCACATAAATGTGCTGTAATCCAAGGGGGCACATGTATTATATTTTTGATTGTAGTAAGCTTTTTGGCCTAATTGACTATTTCTCTGCAACAAAAAAATTAGTTAAACTGGAAAAGCATAATAAAGCTATATGCTCTTTACTAGGTGATATCTTGGTGGTTTAAATTTACAAGTTGTGTATACATACATATTTTCCTGTTGAAGACTTGATGACTGACTGAAAATGTACCAGGGTGTCATCACCATAAAAGTTGTTGCATCTATGAACTATACAGCAGTGTGTATGATGGTGTGAGTTATAATAAACTATTCATTAGTTTTTTGCTGCATAGTTTTAGGATGCTGTAACAGTGATCTTGAGGACTATGACTTAAAAAAATGAATAACACTATCATTCAGCTTGCTACTCTGCAGACAATGTGTATGAAAAAGAATTTGTGTGATTTAACCTCAGACATTAAAATTGGTTTGCCAGTAAAACAAAACAAGATTAAAAAAAATTTTTTTTTTTAATTTTTTGAGACGGAGTCTAGCTCTGGCGCCTAGGCTGGAGTGCAGTAGCACGATCTCAGCTCACTGCAACCTCTGCCTCCTCGGTTCAAGCGATTCTCCTGCCTCAGCCTCCTCAGTAGCTGGGATTACAGGCACGTGCCGCCGCATCCAGCTGATTTTTGTATTTTTAGTAGAGACGAGGTTTCACCATGTTGCTCAGTCTGGTCTTGAACTCCTGATCTCTGGTGATCCACCCACCTCGGTCTCCCAAAGTGCTGGTATTACAGGCGTGAGCCACCACACCTGGCCACCAGATTTTCTTAAACCATATTATTTATGTCCCCGCAGTAGAAAGAACACATCAAATCTGCAGCATTGCCTTGTCATTCATTATGGAGTGTATTTTACTTTCATATCTAAATTGATTAATCAGCTTGTAAAGAGACTAGTAAGAATCCAATAATGGCTGCTGTTTTCTAAATTTTATCTTTTAATAAAGAATATGTAAGAAGCATTTATTGAATGCTTAGCATGTGAAAGATACTGAAATAGGTTCTTTGGAGGCATGCAGAGATGACATATTCCTTACCTGTGGTTTAAGGGTTAAATATAAAAGAAAATAAAACTAGGAGAAAACAGATTTGGAGGCTGACTTCTAGAAATGTTAGAAGAAATTATAAAGAAAATAATAATCGATTTGACTAGATAAAATTACACACTAAAATGCTTTTAAAAAGTATGTCTTTGGTGAAGAGGGAGGAAAAGAAAATACTCCACAAAAAGCAAACAACAAACTGGAAAAATGTATTCACAGTGAGACAGGCAGAGAATGACAAACCAGTAAAAATACCCATGATGACTGTGATAGGTAAATGGGCATAGTACACAAACTGTTCACAAAGGAGGAAATATGGTTAGTAAACAGGCATGTGGGATATGTGTTCAGCCTTGTTAGTAATCTAGGAAATGAGACTTAAAACAAGAAATTGTACATAGTGCTGCTGAAACTACTACCATTGCTACTGGACTGTGAAAGGTATAATTCTAAATTGAAAGCACATTGGTACTGTGCTTCAGTAGCAACAAAAATGTTAGTTCATAATCTTTAATTCAGTAATTTCATATAAGGGGCTCTAGCTTATGGAAAATGATAAAAAATATGGACTGTTACCTGTAACAATGAAAATGTGGAAGTGAACAATATTATGTGAAGAGAAATAGCTGAGTAAATTAGGATTAGTCCATTCATTGGATGGTTATATATCCAATAAAAATAAATAGGCAAGGTATATAGTAGTATGAAAAGATGCATATGAAAGGACTAGATTATATGTAAATTGTGATTATGAGTTTATAAAGTATAAATATGAAAAATCCCTAGAAAAAGATAATTTATAATCCTTGTGCTACAGTAATGAGTTGCAGGTGATCTTTCTTCTGACCTCTCTCAAATAGGGTATATTAATTTTAAAATTTAAATTTAGATTTGTGATTTTAAGAAAATTTAGTTCTAGCTCTCAAGGAACTGCCAGTCTAATAGGATAGAACTACACTAAAAAGAAATGTGCTATTGACATGAAAGAGACATAACCACATGTTCTGAGAGTACCCTCAAATATAGTTTTGTATTTTATGGAGTGCTTATAAAGTCTCCAGGCATATATCTGGTGGTGGGAATGAATTAAGATGAATAACTGGGTCCTTGCTCCAAGAGACCTCTGCTTTAGTTGAAGAGACTCATTTTTGCATCTAATTAGACCCTGATACCAATCACACTTTATTAAATATGCCAACTGATGCTTACATCAAGAATGACTTGAAAGCATGGGGAAGAGGTAATTTTGACCAAGGGATGCTGGGTTAATCCTGGGTTTAGGGAACATCTGGTTGCCCAGTTTCTGGAAGTGTGCGTAGGTATTTGTGGGGCAGTAATAGGAGAGTCCAGTAGCCGGTGTTTAAGAAGCTGGTCCAGGCTAGTTTGTGCAAGTTCCTAGAAATACAGAGATGAAAAAGCCTGTGTTCTCAAGGGACATGTTGACCAGTGTGGGAGCTAATAATTAACTAAAAATCCAGTACATTGGCTTAAATTTGTATGTTAAGGTATATCTGGCTTCATTGAAATTCCTATTCACAAAATTCTCATTCAAGATATTGTGTTGTTCTAATGGAAATTATAGGATACTGTGGGATTATATGGAAAGGGTTTGGGGGTGTTTGATCCTGGCTGGGGAGGAGTAGCCAAGAAGGACTTGCTATAGGAGGCCACAGTGAGCTGGGTTTTCAAAGATAAGTAGAAATTAGAAGAGAGAATGGATGTGAGGGGAAGAGGAAGCTGGAAAGGCAGGGTGTGGCCAGATAATTCTTAAGGTCCTTGTATAATCTTAAAGGGATTTAGGAACTCAGCTTCTTTAAGGCTTTTTTTTTCCCCCCTTATGTCTCATGATATGTTAGTAAGCATATGGCCATGTTTAGAAGAAAGTAATGAAAAGGATAAGCCAGTGCTGCATAAGTGGTTTCTGAAGGCATATAACCTGGCCATCTTAAGAACAGTTCGTTGAGAAATTGCTGAGATCAGTTTAAGGAGTAACTTCCTTTTTTTTTTTTTTTTTTTTTTTTTGAGACAGGGCCTCACTATGTTGCCCAGGCTGGAGTGCAGTGGCGTGATCACAGCTCACTATAATCTCCTCCCATGCTCAAGCGACCCTCCCACATCAGCCTCCTAGGTAGATGGGACTACAGGCACACACCACTGTGCCCCGCTAATTTTTGTAGTTTTTTTTTTTTTTGGTAACGATAGGGTTTTGCCATATTGCGCAGGCTGGTCTCGAACTCCTCAGCTCAAGCGATCCGTGTTCCTCAGCCTCCCAAAGTGCTGGGATTACAGGCGTGAGCTACCATGCCAGGACAAGGAGTAATATTTATTTGACTGTTTTATTAACATCAGGCACTTAAAATAACGCAGTGTAGAAGAGAAGTAAAAGATACAGGCTTACTATTTATTAATGATTTGCTGTGTCAACAGAGAGCAAACATTTAGGGATTTAGTGAGGCAGCTCAAAGGGGATTGAGAAATAAAGTTGTAGAGTCAAAGTAGAGAGAAAAAGGGCATTTCCAGATAATTGACACTGATCTAGGTGGGAAGTGATCAGTCTAAGCTCTCTCTTTTTTCTATTTTACAGAAGTATGAGCTTCTGAACATTTTGCCTTTTATCACATATGGTACCTCTGTCTTGATTTTCAGCAGATTTAGCAAAAATCTAAACTATTTTACTATTGGATACATATCACAGTATCTGGGAATAATCATACTCTCCAGCAAAGCAGCTTCTGGCCATGTGCAGTGGTGCATACCTGTAGTTCTAGCTACCCTGGAGGCTGAGGCAGGAGGATTGCTTGAACCCAGGAGTTTGAGGCTGTGGTAAGCAATGATTTTGCCTGTGAATAGCCACTGCAGTTCAGCCTGGGCAACACGGCAAGACTCTGCCTCTAAAAATAAATAAAAGACAGCTTCTGAGAGTATTTATTAGTAAACTTGCTTTCCCAAAACAGCTTTTGAGTTTAGTTCTGGAGACAGCACTGTGCTGCCTATCATAGACCACTATAAAGAGATCATTCTGTTTTCCTGCTCTTTAGAATAAAGCTAGCATATGAGTTGCAACCACCTAATTTTTCTTTCGTTCTTAATTTCTGGTTACAGAGTTCTTTTTGGGATACACATGCTTTTTAGTGCATTATGGGAAAGACTTCACTGAAGTTAATAGGATTGTATTTATAGTCTCATCATGATATTTCTAATTAAAATGATGATTGTTTATTTTAGCCATTTGTACATCTAAGTAAAATATTGTTACTGCCTTGTCATATTTGAATACTTGGGAATTTATAGAACTGTTTTTATTAGCCTTTTAAAGGATACTCCGTAACAAAGTATACGTGTGTGTATTTTCATTATATAAACTAAAACTTTTGCATTGTAATTTTTGACAAAAAAAACTGTAGCTTCAAACTATATTCTTTGAGCAGTATGATTTTTAATTAAGAACATTAAAGTTCTTAGTTATAAATTTTAAAAAGCAATGAAAGTGATTTGTTGAGGTTATGGTTAATTTCTTTGAAAGCAATTAATAAAATCCCTTTGAAATTAGGATTTATATATTTTCATAATTCTTAAGACTAAGGTCAGTAGCATGCTGTATTTTCTCTTCTGAATTCTTTCTACATTTTAACACAGTGCGTTACATATTTGATTTTTAATCTTTCACGTGGGAGCTTTATCTACTTATCTCTAAGGCCTGCATGCGTCCTTGCTCTCACACACGCACATATAAAATCACTTTGTCCTTATTACTGTCCATTCCATTTTCTTCTCCCTGAGGTTGCCAGAAAGGCCTCTGGTCTAGCTTGAGTAATATGCAGTCTGTTTCAGTTCTTCCTAACCTGCCTGCATGTTTTGATGGAACACCAGGCACTTATGTAAGAATAGAAGCCTATTTATTTAGGTCGTGTGAACCACGAAGGAACTGGCACCAACATATTCATTTCTCCCCTTTGCTACTTCAGGTCTTGAGAAGAGTGTGCTTTTATGGACCATGTATTCTTTTCTCTGGATGGATGTAGCTTGTGGGAGAAGCTATTGTAATAAGTTCTTCTGAACCACAGCTCTTCTGTGTGGGTCTTCATCTTTCAGGAGACTCCAAACCTGAACTGTAATGGTTTCATGTTATCATCTAAATGGAATGGATGTAATGACACCCAGAGCACATGGCTCAGGCTAAGATCTTTCTTGGTAATCTTTCTCTATCCAGCTCTTCATCAGAGCAGGACTAGCTCTTCACTGGTTCCTTGACTCCAGGACTGTGAAACCAGGAAATGAACTTTCCTTCTTATATTTCTGCTTCTGCCTAAGGGCCAATTTCATAAGTGGAGGTCTGCAACAAAATAGATGTACTTAAGCAAGATGAAGCTCCATTGCTTTATCTTGCTTAAGACGGGTTTAATAGGAATTTCTTCTGGCTGTTTCCCGTGCCCCCCCCCCCCCCCCACTTTTTTTTTTTTTTTTTTTTTTTTAAGATATTAGAGTCTCATGAGGCCCAGACTGGACTCTAATTCCTAGGCACAAGTGATCCTCCCACCTCAGCCTCCGTAGTAGCTGGGACTATAGGCACAGGCCACCATGGCTGGTTTTACTTTTTTTTTGGTTCATGGTACATTTGAAACCAAAACATACCCAATATCTAGTCATATTAAAATTACTTTTATCTCTCTCTCTCTTAATTTGGAGAAAATAGTATTTTGTGGGAAAATTTATAGTATATAGGCTGGCATTTGCTTTACTCTCACAATCCTATAGGATTATAAAATTAGAATTTTATGAAATATCCTATACTTGGTGTAATTCCTTATTTTCTGTATTTTTGCTTTTCTTTCATTTAGATCTCTTTCGTCTATTCCTCTACTATCATTAAAAAATTATCTTCCTAGGAGAGGTGATTATTGGAAATGGATTAAAAAAAGGTTAATGAGAAGAGATGACAATACATATGTAACTATGTGATTGGCTCTGTAAAGTATGAATAATTATACTAATAATGGTGGTTAAGCCTAGCATAGGAATGGGATTGGAATGCTAGCAGGATGGAATGGCAACTAAATATGCAAGATGAGACCATGTTATTGAGCACACCGAAGGTAAGATCAAGAATTTACATTGGATTAGAGAGGCAAAACAGTCGATTCCTCACAAGGGGAGCAAAGATGGTGACTAGCAGATATTTTCGGTAGGACAAAAAGGGAGAGCGATGTCACCAGAAGTTGAGAGTAGAAAAAGAGAAAGGATGAGTCATGGTATTGGAAATAGTTTTGATGGAAGTCATGTTAATAGTGATAGTAAAGAGAAGAAAAACAATTTAAACATGTTCGTATCAACGGACTTTAGTATGGCCTGTTGAAAAAAGTCACCTAACCTACTGCTTTTGAATGCATTGATTTTAAGTAGTTTGCCTTTGTATATCAGTTTTGTTAATAACAACGACAGTAAAATGAGCTGTCTACCCAAAATTTAGATTATTATGTTGATTATAACAAACATCTTTATTTTGGTAATGAGCTTATAAAAATGAATCTAGGTCGGGTGTGGTGGCTCACGCCTATAATCCCACCACGTTGGGAGGCCGAGGCGGGCAGATCACGAGCTCAGGAGATGGAGACCATCCTGGCTAACATGGTAAAACCTTGTCTCTACTAAAAATACAAAAAATTAGCCGGGCGTGGTGGCGGGCGCCTGTAGTCCCAGCTACTCGGGAGGCTGAGGCAGGAGAATGGCGTGAACCCGGGAGGCGGAGCTTGCATTGAGCTGAGATTGTTCCACTGCACTCCAGCCTGGGTGACAGAGAGAGACTCTGTCTCAAAAAAAGAAAAAAAAAAAAAAAAAAAAAAAAGATTCTAACCCCAGGAAAGGAGAAGGTATTTGTCATAATTGTCATAATGTTTTGACTTATACAAAATAAGACTTTTTCTGAAACACAGAAATCCTTGACAGTTTATTTCTTTAAGATAACCAATTTTATACAGGTGAATTCTTTTAAAATTGAACATTGTAGTGGAAAAGACGTCACAAGTCACTTTAGGGTATGGAAAAGTGTGGAACAGGGGCATAAATATTACCAACCAGCACTTCTGCGGGCAGTCTTCCCACATCCAGTGAGGCCCCCTAAATCACTGTCTACTTCCTTGTATATGTGTGTGTGCGTTTGTGCACATGCATGCATACATGTGTTCATGGCCATGAACTAGGAGTTATCCCAAGTGTAGCTGTGCTCGCTAAGTCTTATATTTAAGTTATCTTTTGGGCATGGTTTGGCAAGAGGTTAGGTTTTTTTCCCTTTTCTGTAAATATTTAGTGAAAGCACTCCATTGTTTGCTACTGAATTTTTTTCTTATTTTTAAAAAAGTATTGTTTGAAAACCTTACATGATGGCTTGCATCTGTAATTCCAGCTACTTAGGAGATTGAGGCAGGAAGATCACTATGGCACACATATACCTGTGTAACAAACCTACATGTTCTGCACATGTATCCTGGAACTTTAAAAAAAAAAAAGTCTTGACTCAAATATTGTAATTTTTCTTGGAGTAAAATTTAGGGGCCAAAGGCTGTATTACATGTGTGAATATAACATACAGAAAAATTACCTTACATCATATATACCCTGTGGAAATTATTTGGATGATTCAGCGTATTGGAAGAGGTTGATGGGGCCCTAACCATGAAAAACTTCAGTGTAAGATTTTAAGGTAAGAGGACCCTCGAGAGTTTTCCCAATTCTGAAACAAAAGTGAAATTCACCAGCTTTGCCTATTAACTTTTCTCTGCTTTATAGTGTCAATAAGAGGTGTGGATGGAAACACATGGAATTAGATCAGTAGACTGCAAAATCCTGCTTAAGTTCATTAAATATAGTACTAGTCTGGAATTCTCTTTTCTCACAAAAGTAAATTTTTTAAATTGAAATGTTGTTATCCCTTTTATGTGATTTAAAATAGAGTTTAATCTGACATCCCTGGTTTATCTTTTTGATTCATCACAATGGTGTCCTAGATGTGTATACAACATTGTTGGGTTAAAAATTACTGATTTGTGTGTCTTTGAAAGCATCTGAAAAGGAAATTTCTAATAGTTCTTTTTTGTTTGATGACACATTATAAATAAGCCTAATGGATATATTATGCAATTTAAAAACAGTATTGTCTAATCCATTTATTATATGTTTATAATGCTATATATTTTTTAATTTAAAAACATTTGTAAATTATTAGCCTGTGCCAAATTGTACTTGAATTATTTTCAGTCTGCCAAGAATGTTTCATTCTGTACTTTTAATTAAAAGACTGTATATGAAAACCCAGAAAATATGAAATGTAGGATATGGAAATGATACAGTTCTTTAAACCAATTATGTGTAAAAATTCACTTTTTTGAAACAGCAAGACAGTATCTCATGTGATATTGTCCCTATAATCTAATTTCTATAATTTAATGGAACTTATGGCCTGTACATGGTTTACTCCTGTAATCCCAGCACTTTGGGAGGTCGAGGTGGGAGGATTGCTTGAGTTCAGGAGTTCAAGACCAGCCTGGGCAACATAGTAAAACCCCATCTCTACAAAAAGAAGGAAGTTAGCGAGCATGGTGGTGCATGCTTGTAGTCCCAGCTACTTCAGAGACTGAGCCTGGGAGGTCGAGGCTGTGGTAAGCTGTGTTTGCACCTTGGCAGTCCACCTGGGCAACAGAGTGAAACCCTGTCTCAGGTGGGGGTTGGAGGGAGACAGTAATGGGGCTGGGCGTGATGGTGGCTCATGCCTGTAATCTGAGCAATTTGAGAGGCTGAGGTGGGCGGATCACTTGCCAAGGAGTTTGAGATCAGCATGGGCAACGTGGCAAAACGCTGTCTCTAAAAAAATACAAAAATTACCTGGGCGTGGTGGCATGTGCCTGTAGTCTCAGCTACCTGGGAAGCTGATGTGGGAGGATCTCTTGAGCCCAGGAGGCCAAGGTTGCAATGAGTAGAGATTGTGCCACTGCACTCCAGCCTGGGTGACAGAGCAAGAACCTGTCTCAAAAAAATTAAAAAGGAAAAAAAGAAAAGTAATGGAACTCAGTATTTGGTAAGCAGTGTAACTGTGGTAGAATTTTTTTTTTTTTTTAAAGCTTAGGAATTACATCTGAAAGTCTTTTAAAAAGTATAATATTCTACTTAGAAATTCAGGGTCATTTGGAATGCATTGGTACCAGAAAAAGTTTTTGTTTTCCTTTTCTCATTTCTCCCTCCAGCTTTTTTGAGGTATAATTGACAATAAAATTGTGTATATTTAAGGTATATGACATGGTGATTTGATACATGTTTATATTGTGAAACTTACCGTAACCAAGTTAGCTAACACGTGTATCACCTTACGTAGTTACCAATTTTTTTTATGTTTGTGTGTGTGAGAGAGAACATTAGGATGTACTCTCTTAGCAAATTGCAGGTATACAGTATAGTATTACTAGCTATAGTTAATTATGCTGTACATTAGATTTCCAGAAATTTTTCATCTTATACTTGAAGGTTGGTACCCTTTAACTGACATCCCCCCATTTCCCCCTACCTTTAGCTCTGGTAACCACCATTCTACTCTCTGCTTTTATGAGTTCAACTGTTTTAGATTTCATTCGTAAGTGAAATCATACAGCATTTGTTTTTCTCTTTCTCACTTCACTTAGCATAATGCGCTTCAGAATCATCCAATGTGTAGCAAATGGCAGGATTTCCTTCCTTTTTTAAATGGGTGAATAATATTCCATTTTATTGATATATACACACACTGAATTTTCTTTATTCATTTATAGGTGTATGGGCACTTAGGTCATTTCTATATCTTGGCTGTTGTGAATAATGCTGCAGTTAACATGGAGTGCAGTTATCTCTTTGATATTCTGATTTCCATTCCTTTGGATATAGACCCAGAAGTAGCATTGCTAAAACAATGTTCTAGTTTTAATTTTTTGAGGAGCCTCCATATTGGTTTCCTTAGTGGCTCTACCAGTTTACATTCCCCACAAGAATTGCACAGGGCACCCTTTTCTCCACATCCTCACCAATACTTTTCTCTTGTCCTTTTCATAATGGCCATCCAGTATCTCTTTATGGTTTGGATTTGCAGTTCCCTGATGATAGTAATGTTGAACATTTTTTTCATGTACGTGTTGGCCATTTGTATTTCTTTTTTGGAAAAATGTGTATTCAGGGCTCTTACCAATTTTTTAAATTTTAGAAACAGAGTCGTGGTCTTTTTTTCAGGCTGGACTGAAGTGGCGCGATCATAGCCCATTGCAGCCAACTCCTGGGCTTAAGGAATCATCTTGCCTCAGCCTCCCAAGTAGTTAGGACTACAGGTGCATGCCACCACACCCAGCTAATTAAAAAATGTTTTTTTGTGGAGATGCGGTCTCATTATGTTGCCTAGGCTGGTCTCAAACTTCTGGCTTCATGCAGTCCTCCGCCTTGGTGTCCTAGAGCACTGGGATTGCAGGCATGAGCCACCATGTTCAGTGTAGGCCATTTTAAAATCAAATTATGTGGGGTTTTTTTTTTTGCTATTGAGTTATATAAGCTGCTTATATATTTTGGGTATTAAGCCCTTATTAGATGTATGGTTTGTAAATGTTTTCTTCCATTCCATAGATTGTCTTTTCATTTTGTTGATTGGTTCCTTTGTTATGCAGGTTTTTAGTTTTATGTAGTTTTATTTGTTTATTTTTGCTTTTGTTGCACATGCTTTTGGTGTCACATCCAAAAAATCCTTGCCGAGAAAAATGTCAAGGAGATTTTTCCATATGTTTTCTTCTAGGAGTTTTATGGTTTCAGGGTACAATGTTTAAGCCTTACTGTGGTCTTGAATTTTTGTCTTTAGCTTCAGAAGGCAAAAAGCTCTTCTGGAATTTTGCCAGCTTGTTTTTCTGAGTGTACAGAGGGAAATTACTTCCTACTGATGAGGAAAAGCAGGCAGAAGTTGCTGTTACAGAACAAGAGATGGAGAGAAGGAACTTTTAGGTGAGAGGTGGAAAAGGTGTGTTCTTAGCTGAGATGGAGAGCATGAGGTGATACAGCAATACATATTAACTCTGTACTTAACACACTGACTACTTGAGCCATTCTGACTGCTCAACGGAATTTTGACACATACTTGAGTTAGGTAAGCAAAGAACCATAGGTTTCTTTTATTTATTTAAATCTTTTATACAGATATTTGTAAAATCTGATGTTTATATGTGAGAGCCATTTGTGAAGATACTGTATTTAACTATTTACACAAAGATCTTTTGTGTTTTTGAGTTGAACTTTAAAAGTAATTAAATGAGTTAACTTGAATAGAATTTCTGAAGAGCTTCTGCCTATAATATTGATTTTGGCTTTGACATAATTGATACTTACCTATTCTGACAGTGATAGGCTAACAGATTCAGTCCCTTATTGCTTGAGTCACTTTTTGGAACATGATAATAGCATCATGTCACCTTAGTGGAAGATGCTCATCTTTTATTTATTTATTTTTCTATAGTGGATGAGGGCCTTTCGTTTAAGAGCTACAATGATTTGATGTTTAAAAAAGAGGGTGGTTTGAACATAGCCCTGCTTAATTTTAAGGAGTGCATTTGCTTATCAAAAGATCATTTCAGTCATTTTGATTTTTATAGTATTTTGGCAAAGGCTTAAAAGGATCATTGAAAGTCCTGACTTCATACTATTTTTATAGAGCTTGGTTCATAGATGGTGTATATCTTAAAAAATCTTAGAATTCTTAGCATGTTTATTATTTTAAAATTTTGGCGAAACTGCATAGGTCAGTTGTATCTTAGAATAGATAAAAGCCTCCCTATTTTTCTTAACAAGTTCTAGATTAGACAACTCAGACTAAGTTTTTTTGTACTTCGTTTCATTCTACAGGGTATCCGTGGTGACTAATAATAATAACAGTTAACATTACTGAGTGCTTACTATGAGTCGGGTACATGATCTTACATAATTCTTACATTAATCGTATGATGTAGGTACTACCATTACCTATGTTTTGCTGTCGAGAAAATGTTGGAAGAGTTAAGTATCTTACCAAAATTTAACATTCTGGGAGACAGAGGTAGACTGCAAACCCTAGGAAGTCTTACCTTTGCTCCCTAATCTCTACAGAGGGAAATGCAAATTAGAATAAGTGTCCCAAGTGGAAGAGAAAGAACATTTTACTGTTCGTATCTTTAGGTTACACAGCTATTATAGCTGGACCGTGAGTTTGACTCTGAATTTTCTATAGCAAAAAAATAAAAAATAAAAAACAAAAAAAGGAAAAGGAAAAAAAAAAAAGGTGGGGAGGACAAAAGAGTTAGAATAGCACACATAAAACCTATTTCTTAGGAATTCTCAAAATCCCTGTGCGAGCCACAAAAGGAGTCTCTGGGAGATTTGGGATGATTTCTTCAACATCATTCCTATATCATGTGACTTTGAGTTTTTAATGGGACTGCCTCTTTTGATCCCACAAAGAAATTTTAGAATATAATGCCAAAGCATCATTTGGTAAGAATTCTGTGAGAGATCATGATGATGTGGCCCAAGTATGCATGGTTTGGTATGATTCATACATAAAATCCAGATAACTTAGGAGAATGAAATGGATGGCCTGTACATTTGCCAGTCAATCCTTGGTTTTGTATATACTTCAGAAATCAAATGAGCAGATAATATATTTAAGATCTTTGCTTTGAAATTGAAAACAAGAAACATTGTAGTAATTGTATTCATATTATTAAGCTTGCAAGTGAATGGGTAATTATTTCCAGGTTAAGTGATTGTCTTACAAGTGAAGAGAGTCAATTTTTCAGTCCTGTGAAATGCAGCATAGAGATGCCAAGTTAGATATAGACTGAAAAGTGTTCACTACATTTCCAGACAAGTCTTGTGTATTTTAGTAGTAATAGCGTCAGTAGAGTATTGCAGAGTTGTGAGTGCAAGGTGAGAAAGCGGCAAACCTCTCTGTGTAGAAATGTCTTTGTAGAAGCAAATTGCAAAGGGAAGAAGGAAAGGACCAGATGTGGGAGGAGGATTTTTGTTTAAGGAATTGAAGAGGCTTCAGACTGATTATATGCTATGAAGAAGGAACGAATGGAGAAGGAAGAATTGAAGATTAGAAAAGCAGTAATGATTGATGCTGCAAGGTGAGTATGGTTGAACTTGAAGGGGATGGAATTCAGATCATTGAGGGTGGCAAGTGGATCATCTCTACTGAGAAGTTAGGGTGTCTTTCTCACTTCAGTTCCCTCACCCTCCCCACATGGTAGTGTGGTTTAGCTTAGAAAAAGTGACTGAAGTTAGGATGTGAATGAAGCATGCATAACCAGACTGGAGAGGTGACTGGGACCAGCAAGCAGCTGTTCTATCCTGAACTCTAAATAAGGCCTGCTGAAGGGGGACTAGGGGTAAAACATGGAATAAGCTAAAGAACAACAGAGAAACCATGAATTTTAGTGAAAATAAAATGAATCCCCTTTTGCCATATCTCCTCCAGTGCATAGGCTCACTGCCTCAGAGGTTCCTTATCCAAGAATGCATGTGGTTGAGGCCACAGGGAACCATTGGTAAGGATTTCTCTCTCACATAGGAAGCTTGTTTTAGGTGGGCAGTACATTTGAAACCCACTTGGAGGTCTGTCTAATGTTGACAGTGGGGTGTTAAAGTCTCCCATTGTTATTGTGTGGGAGTCTAAGTCTCTTTGTAGGTCTCTAAGGACTTGCTTTATGAATCTGGGTGCTCCTGTGTTGGGTGCATATATATGTAGGATAGTTAGCTCTTCTTGTTGAATTGATCCCTTTACCATTATGTAATGGCCTTCTTTGTCTCTTTTGATCTTTGTTGGTTTAAAGTCTGTTTTATCAGAGACTAGGATTGCAACCCCTGCGTTTTTTTGTTTTCCATTTGCTTGGTAGATCTTCCTCCATCCTTTTATTTTGAGCCTATGTGTGTGTCTGCACGTGAGATGGGTTCCCTGAATACAGCACACTGATGGGTCTTGACTCTGTATCCAATTTGCCAGTCTGTGTCTTTTAATTTGAGCATTTAGTCCATTTACCTTTAAAGTTAATATTGTTATGTGTGAATTTGATCCTGTCATTATGATGTTAGTTGGTTATTTTGCTCATTAGTTGATGCAGTTTCTTCCTAGCCTCGATGGTCTTTACAATTTGGCATGATTTTGCAGTGGCTGGTGCCAGTTGTTCCTTTCCATGTTTAGCGCTTCCTTCAGGAGCTCTTTTAGGGCAGGCCTGGTGGTGACAAAATCTCTCAGCATTTGCTTGTCTGTAAAGGATTTTATTTCTCCTTCACTTATGAAGCTTAGTTTGGCTGGATATGAAATTCTAGGTTGAAAATTCTTTAAGAATGTTGAATATTGGCCCCCCCTCTCTTCTGGCTTGTAGAGTTTCTGCCGAGAGATCAGCTGTTAGTCTGATGGGCTTCCCTTTGTGGGTAACCTGACCTTTCTCTCTGGCTGCCCTTAACATTTTTTCCTTCATTTCAACTTTGCTGAATCTGACAATTATGTGTCTTGGAGTTGCTCTTCTCGAGGAGTATCTTTCAGAAAGTTAAGAAGGATACCCAGGAATTGAACTCAGCTCCACACCAAGCAGACGTAATAGACATCTACAGAACTCTCCACCCCAAATCAACAGAATATACATTCTTTTCAGCAGCACACCACACCTACTCCAAAACTGACCACATAGGTGGAAGTAAAGTTCTCCTCAGCAAATGTAAAAGAACAGAAATTATAACAAACTGTCTCTCAGACCACAGTGCAATCAAACTAGAACTCAGGATTAAGAAACTCACTCAAAACCATGCAACTACATGGAAACTGAACAACCTGCTCCTGAATGACTACTGGGTACATAACGAAATGAAGGCAGAAATAAAGATGTTCTTTGAAACCACTGAGAACAAAGACACAACATACCAGAATCTCTGGGACACATTCAAAGCAGTGTGTAGAGGGAAATTTATAGCACTAAATGCCCACAAGAGAAAGCAGGAAAGATCCAAAATTGACACCCTAACGTCACAATTAAAAGAACTAGAAAAGCAAGAGCAAACACATTCAAAAGCTAGCAGAAGGCAAGAAATAACTAAAATCAGAGCAGAACTGAAGGAAATAGAGACACAAAAAACCCTTCAAAAAATAAATGAATCCAGGAGCTGGTTTTTTGAAAGGATCAACAAAATTGATAGACCGCTAGCAAGACTAATAAAGAAGAAAAGAGAGAAGAATCAAGTAGACGCAATAAAAAATGATAAAGGGGATGTCACCACTGATCCCACAGAAATACAGACTACCATCAGAGAATACTACAAGCACCTCTACAGAAATAAACTAAAAAATCTAGAAGAAATGGATAAATTCCTCGACACATACACCATCCCAAGACTAAACCAGGAAGAAGTTGAATCTCTGAATAGACCAATAACAGACTCTGAAATTGTGGCAATAATCAATAGCTTACCAACCAAAAAGAGTCCAGGACCAGATGGATTCACAGCCGAATTCTACCAGAGGTACAAGGAGGAACTGGTACCATTCCTTCTGAAACTATTCCAATCAATAGAAAAAGAGGGAATCCTCCCTAACTCATTTTATAAGGCCAGCATCATCCTGATACCAAAGCCTGGCAGAGACACAACCAAAAAAGAGAATTTTAGACCAATATCCTTGATGAACATTGATGCAAAAATCCTCAATAAAATACTGGCAAACCGAATCCAGCAGCACATCAAAAAGCTTATCCACCATGATCAAGTGGGCTTCATCCCTGGGATGCAAGGCTGGTTCAATATATGCAAATCAATAAACGTAATCCAGCATATAAACAGAACCAAAGACAAAAACCACATGATTATCTCAACAGATGCAGAAAAGGCCTTTGACAAAATTCAACAACTCTTCATGCTAAAAACTCTCAATAAATTAGGTATTGATGGGACGTATCTCAAAATAATAAGAGCTATCTATGACAAACCCACAGGCAATATCATACTGAATGGGCAAAAACTGGAAGCATTCCCTTTGAGAACTGGCACAAGACAGGTTTTCCCTCTCTCACCACTCCTATTCAACATAGTGTTGGAAGTTCTGGCCAGGGCAATTAGGCAGGAGAAGGAAATAAAGGGTATTCAATTAGGAAAAGAGGAAGTCAAATTGTCCCTGTTTGCAGATGACATGATTGTATATCTAGAAAACCCCATTGTCTCAGCCCAAAATCTCCTTAAGCTGATAAGCAGCTTCAACAAAGTCTCAGGATACAAAATCAATGTACAAAAATCACAAGCATTCTTATACACCAGTAACAGACAAACAGCCAAATCATGAGTGAACTCCCATTCACAATTGCTTCAAAGAGAAAAAAATACCTAGGAATCCAACTTACAAGGGATGTGAAGGACCTCTTCAAGGAGAACCACAAACCACTGCTCAATGAAATAAAAGAGGATACAAAGAAATGGAAGAACATTCCATGCTCATGGGTAGGAAGAATCAATATCGTGAAAATGGCCATACTGCCCAAGGTAATTTATAGATTCAATGCCATCCCCATCAAGCTACCAATGAGTTTCTTCACAGAATTGGAAAAAACTACTTTAAAGTTCATATGGAACCAAAAAAGAGCCCGCATTGCCAAGTCAATCCTAAGCCAAAAGAACGAAGCTGGAGGCATCACGCTACCTGACTTCAAACTATACTACAAGGCTACAGTAACCAAAACAGCATGGTACTGGTACCGAAACAGAGATATAGATCAATGGAACAGAACAGAGCCCTGAGAAATAACGCCACATATCTACAACCATCTGATCTTTGACAAACCTGACAAAAACAAGCAATGGGGAAAGGATTCCCTATTTAATAAATGGTGCTGGGAAAACTGGCTAGCCATATGTAGAAAGCTGAAACTGGATCCCTTCCTTACACCTTATACAAAAATTAATTCAAGATGGATTAGAGACTTAAACGTTAGACCTAAAACCATAAAAACCCTAGAAGAAAACCTAGGCATTACTGTTCAGGACATAGGCATGGGCAAGGACTTCATGTCTAAAACACCAAAAGCATGGCAACAAAAGCCAAAACTGAAAAATGGGATCTAATTAAACTAAAGAACTTCTGCACAGCAAAAGAAACTACCATCAGAGTGAACAGGCAACCTACAAAATGGGAGAAAATTTTCACAACCTACTCATCTGACAAAGGGCTAATATCCAGAATCTACAATGAACTCAAAAAATTTACAAGAGAAAAAACAAACCCGCTTGGAGTTGGCGTGTAGCGTTAAAAGCTAAACTCCAAAGGCTTTTGGGGCTCTATTGCTCTTGGGGACACATTGAAATAAAGAAATGTAGAGGGCACTCAGAGACTGGACTGTGTTAGCTGGGAAGGATCACAGTCTGCCAGGAAATCAGTTCTCACCTTCCAATGGGACAGGATTTGAGGGTGGGAGTTGGGGTAGGAGAAAGGGAGCAGAGAGGAAAAATTTGTAACTGTCATGCAAAAGGCCAGTTAAGAGAATCTCAACTACTCTGGGCACCAAAGAGCAGCTTTTAGTAGATAGTTGAGTTGGAGCCGGGAGCAGCAGCATCAACAACAGCAACAGCTGAAATAGCTTGTGCAGGACATTAGAGCTCTTCATGGGTAGAGTGCAGGAAGGCCATGACAATGGAAGCAGTAATAGAAATCATACAGGGAGGAAAATGATGTGCAGCTTAATATGGTGAGATGCCCAGTAGAAAAAGGGGAAAAATGTTTATTCTGTTTATAAGGGAATAACATGTTTCTCAGCCGTAGCAGCCCCAGGGGCTAAGAATCAAGAAATAGGGATCAAAACAATACCAGGAATTTGAAATTCCTTGAAAATCTTGGTTTAGAGTCCCTTCTGTATAACTGTGCTGACCCCAGAAATGCCTTGTCCTGGTGCAGGCCCCGAGTAGCTCATCCATTTCCTGTCTGGCTACCACCCCAGCAGCAATGAGCTAGGCAGGTCCCTGCCTCTGGGTCCTTGACTGTGGTCAAGACTCTTTCCACCCCCCTCCTCCTTTTTTTTTTTTTTTTTTTTTGCCTCTCCAGTGGATGAATTTGCTCCTTTTGTGTAGTGGGCTCTCCCTGTCACAAGATGTCCCTCATCTAAGGTGAGGGTCAGGAATCCTTATTTCCTGATGCTACTCCTAGTCTACTGTTCTGTGGTAGAATTGCCTTTGGGTGCCATGCATGTGCTGCGATGGTGTATTTTGTGCACAAAGGGCTTGGCTGATCTTGTCTTTTGCCGTTCCTGCACTCTTTTGTATGAGAGCCCCACGGGCCTGGGTTATTCTGTACCTCAGGTAGGAACCTGGAACCAAGGCTTGGAGTTAGGGGAAACACTCGTTCTGGCTCACAGATAAACCCTGGGGCCCTGCAGGGCTCGTTCTGTTCTCCTTCTCCCCAAGTGGTTCTGGTATTCTGGCCCTGAGGAAGTATAGAGTACATACAGAGAAGCAGACAGGGTAGGTTCTGATACAGGTACCAACTGAGTGTTTCGGTCTCTGAAGCTTTCAGTCTTTTAACTTGCCAAAAAAGAAGGAAATGGTTTGACTGAATGGGTTATTACTGGCATCTGATATTTCTAGCTTCCTGTGTGAGAAAGTGCTCTGTCAGGTCTGATTTGTGTGGATTTTTGTTACTAGTTACAATGTTTAACAGTTTCAGGAATTCATTTAACACACTCTCTTAGGTGTGCAATTGTTTTTCTCAGGGAAATCTAGTGTTTAATTACAAGTCTCAGATTAAGAACGATAATTGTCTAACATTTATGAAATCCTGCTGACAACTAAGTTTATACTCCATTTGTTAACAGGCTGTTCCTGATTCGATCTGCTTGCATCTCTTCTAACTTGTGAGTGACTTGGAAGGAGCAGACTTCATCTTACTTCTATTCATTTCTCAATTAACTATGACTAACATACACTAGGCACCCAAAAAGTTAAGATGATAGCAGTAATGAAGAGAAATGGACCTTGAGTTTCAGAAACTTGTATTCTAATGGACCTTCAAAAGATGGCAAGTATTGTGTCTGGAATTGGTGGGTTCTTGGTCTCGCTGACTTCAAGAATGAAGCCACGGACCCTCGCGGTGAGTGTTACAGTTCTTAAAGATGGTGTGTCTAGAGTTTGTTCCTTCAGATGTTCAGATGTTTCTGGAGTTTCTTCCTTCTGGTGGGTTTGTGGTCTTGCTGGCTTCAGGAGTGAAGCTACAGACCTTCACGGTGAGTGTTGCAGCTCATAAAGGTGGCGCGGACCCAAAGAATGAGCAGCAGCAAGATTTATTGCAAAGAGCCAAAGAACAAAGCTTCCACAGCGTGGTAAGGGGACCCGAGTGGGTTGCTGCCGCTGGCTCGGGCAGCCTGCTTTTATTCCCTTATCTGACCCCACCCACAGCCTACTGATTGGCCCATTTTATGGAGAGCTGATTGGTCCATTTTACAGAGAGCTGATTGGTCCATTTTGACAGGGTGTTGATTGGTGCGTTTACAATCCCTGAGCTAGACACAGAGTGCTGATTGGTGTATTTACAATCCTCTAGCTAGATGTAAAAGTTCTCCAAGTCCTCACTAGATTAACTAGACACAGAGCACTGATTGGTGTGTTTACAAACCTTGAGATAGACACAGGGTGCTAATTGGTGTATTTACAATCCTTTAGCTAGACATAAAGGTTCTCCAAGCCCCCACCAGATTAGCTAGATACAGAGTGCTCATTGGTGCATCCACGAACCCTGAGCTAGACACAGAGTGCTGATTGGTGCATATACAGTCCTCCAGCTAGACATAAAAGTTCTCCAAGTCGTCACCTGACTCAGGAGCCCAGCTGGCTTCGCCTAGTGGATCCCGCGCCAGGGCCGTGGGTGGAGCTGCCCACCAGTCCCGCACGGCGCCTGCACTTCTCAGCCCTTGGGCAGTCAATGGGACTGGGTGCCGTGGAGCAGGGGGTGATGCCTGTTGGGGAGGCTCGGTCCATGCTGGAGCCCACCGCCAGGGGGCTCGGCCATGGCGGGCTGCAGGTCCCGAGCCCTGCCCCGCGGGGAGGTGGCTGAGGCCTGGCGAGAGTTCGAGTGTGGCACGGGCAGTCTGGCACTGCTGGGGGATCCGGCGCTCCCTGGCCTGGGTGCTAAGTCCCTCACTGCCCGGGGCCGGCCGGCTTCTCTGAGTGTGGGGCCTGCCAAGCCCACGCCCACCCAGAACTTTCACTGGCCCAAGAGCAACGCACGCAGCCCGGGTTCCCACCCGTGCCTCTCCTTCCACACCTCCCCGCAAGCAGAGGGGGCTGGCTCCATACTTGGCCAGCCCAGAGAGGGGCTCCCACAGTGCAGCAGCGGACTGATGGGCTCCTCAAGGGTGGCCAGAGCAGACGCCAAGGCCGAGGAGGCGCTGAGAGCGAGCGAGGGCCGCCAGCACGTTGTCACCTCTCAGTATGAGTGTGTTGTAGTGTATGTGTGAAAGGGAGTTTTGCAATGGGAGTATGGGATGATGTGTTAGTCATAGTTCTACAGAGAAATAGACTATCTATCTATCTATATCTCAGAGAGAGAGAGAGAGAGAGATTGAGTGTAAGGAATTGGCTCATGCAATTATGGAGACCAAGTGCCAAGATATGGAGACGGCAAGCTGGAGACTCAGGAGAGCTGTGGCGTAGTAGTTTCTGTCCAAGTCCAGAGGCCTGAGAACCAGGAGAGCCAGTAGTATAAGTTCTAGTCTGAAAGCTGGCAGGCCCAAGACCAAGAAGAGCCCAAGTTTCAGTTTGAGTCCCGAAGCAGGAAAAGACTGATATTCCATTTCAAGCAGTCAGACAAGTCTTATGGCAGGGTCAGCCTTTTAGTTCTCTTCAGGCCATCAACTGATTGGATAAGGGCGACTCACATTAGGGAGGGCAATTTGCTTCCAATTCAGCTGTTTATCTCATCAAAAAACACCCTCACAGACACACTTGGAATAATGTTTGACCAAATGTCTGGACACTTTGTGCCCCAGTCAAGTTGACACATAAAATTAATCATCACAGATGGTTTACACTTCTAAAACAATTTTATATAGTAAGAAGCAATATAGTAAATTCTCACAAAAGTTGTTGATAGTTTCTTTGAAACTGCAACTTTAAGAGAAATGATGGGGCCGGGCGCAGTGGCTCACGCCTGTAATCCCAGCACTTTGGGAGGCCGAGGTGGGCGGATCACGAGGTCAGGAGATCGAGACCATGGTGAAACCCCGTCTCTACTAAAAATACAAAAAAAAAATTAGCCGGGCGTGATGGCGGACGCCTGTAGTCCCAGCTACTTGGGAGGCTGAGGCAGGAGAATGGTGTGAACCCAGGAGGTGGAGCTTGCAGTGAGCCGAGATTGCGCCACTGCACTCCAGCCTGGGCGACAGAGCGAGACTCCGTCTCAAAAAAAAAAAAAAGAGAGAGAAATGATGTACAGCAGGTCCTTGAATGACATTGTTATAACACTGATGAGAAAAAAAAATTGGTTTCATTATATATGGTTTTGCTTAAAGTCATAGTTTCCAGGAACCTATCAGTGACATTATTGTATACTTTTAAAGCATCATGAAATAACTGAATAAGAACTTGTAAATTGCTGAATTATGAATCATTCTCCTGGTTTCCAGTATTATTTTTATTAGAAGTTGACATGGTACATGCTGGTTAAAATATGACCCAGGCTGGTTCAAGTGCAGTGTGGTGTTTACAACCAACTGATCACAGCCAGTTACAGATTTCTTTGTTCCTTTTCTACTCCCACTGCTTCACTTGACTAGCCATATATGTATGCGTGTATGTATATATGTAATAAAGTGTGATCCAGATGTTAACAAACTTGATTCTTCTTACTGACTGAATCATTATTGTTCAGAAACCCTTTGATACAATGGGAAAAAAAATGCTGTTGATATAAGAAGGGAGTCAAATATTACAGGACTGGACTGTTGATTAAAAAATTATTTTTAAAGCACAGTAGCTATGAATTACTGTGCTGTTGTATTTGTCTCTATATGTGTTGCTGATTTCTGATCTTGGATCATGTTTAAAACCAGTGGCAGTCTGTAAATACCAACAATTATTATCTTTTGATACCCTTTTAAGTTATGAAACTCATATTGTTGAAGAAATACCTGGATTCATTAAGAAAATGATTTTTTTCCCTCTTTCTTTCCCCTCTTCTTCTTCTCTCTTCCTTTCCCGACCCCCTTCCTTTCCTGGAAGGTCTTTCTGTTATATGAACAGAGTGACGAGTCCCTCTCTGTTGCCCACTGTGTTGCGGCAGGCTGCAGTGCAGTGGCAAGGTCACGGTTCACTGCATCCTAGCTCAGCAGATCCTCCTATCTCCGTCTCCCAAGTACCTGGGACTGTAGGCGCGCACCACCATGCCTGGCTAATTTTTTTTTTTGTATTTTTTATAGAGATGGAGTTTCTCCATGTTGCCCAGGCTGGTCTTGAACTCCTGGGCTAAAGTGATCTTCCTGCCTCAGAGGCACCTCCCAAAGTGCTGGGATTACAGGTATGAGCCATCGCGCCCAGCCTAAGAAACTGATTTTCAGTGACTGTATTCCTTCATATGTGTGTTCCACAATTTAATCCTAGAATTCTTTGGTTTTTAAAATAATGATACACTGGATATTATTTGTAAATATTCTGAGTAGCTCTTATTATTTCTTTACAGCAAATGCTGTGTAGGTAATAAATGGAGTGATGTCAAATAGTATCCCTTTTTTTTGAAGAGTTTTGATAAATATTGCCTAATTGCCCTTATTTATTCACTCATATAAAATCAATAATAATTACAGCTAACTTGTTTAGAGTGCTGGTCAGGACCTGAGCTGTATGTGGACTGTTCAATGTAATCCTCAAAATAACTTTTTGAGGAAGTTGTTATCAATGTCCTTATCAGGAAATATCTGAGTGCCTACTGTGTGTAAAGCGTTGTGTTAGGCAGGGGGACTGCAGTAATGAGCAACCAACCATTGTTGATGCCCACATTCTAGAGGATGTGCTTAACAATTACTGTCAGTTAATTTAATTGCGTTGTGGGAAAGGCTGTGAAAGAGAAATTTGGGCTGCTTTGAAAGTATATCACACAGGGTGAGAGAAGCGGTGCTAAGAGAGAAATTATCTTTGTATAAACATCTCGGTAGCCTAGGTGGAGTAGCCAAGGTAAAAGGACGTGTTTTAGGCAGAGGCGGCAGCATGTGTGAAGGCACTGAGGTGCTAAACGGTGGACATGTCCCGGAAGCTGAAATAGACCAATTGTGCCTGGAATACTGAGGTGTTACAGTAGATTGACTCAAGATAAGGCTGGGCCTAGATCAAATCCTGCATTGTGTTTCTGGCCACCTGAAGGATTTAGTCCTTCCTAAGAGCAATGGGAAGCCTTTGAAGTGTTTTTAGGGAGGACCCGTAAGATGATTTATATTTTAAAAAGAATGACTTACCTGCTTTGTGGACAGTGGGTTTGTAAAGTATGAAATTTTCTATTGCTCTATAGTTTCAGCAGTCTTATTCTCAGTTTTATAGGTAGAGGTGCTTAAAATTTTTAATTAAAAAGAAACAAAACTTAAAAAGAAATCCATGATCATAGGCTGGGAGGGAGAGTTGAAAGAGGTGGCTTGGGAGGAGAAGGAAAGAATGATTAGAAACTTAGAAGTCAGAGAACACCCAACTTTTTTTTTTGTCACAGTGTTTGGAAAACTTAAGTTTGTATTTGAAATAGAATATATGTTGCCCAGCAGATCCCGATTCATTAAAAATTTGAATTTGAGCTTCTCTCTATCATGATAATGCTTGCCTCCATGTCATCTGATTTCCAGAGACTACGTATCTGAGAGGATGTCACTTAAGGGCTTTAACTGAATGATACCAGGGGCTTTGCAGATTGATAAGGCATGGTGTGGGGAAGAAAAGTAGAGACAAGCCTATTTAAAAAAAATTTCTATGTCTTTTTATCTGGCTTGTGATGCCAGTGAAAGTAAGGTGGCTATCTGGCATGTACACAGATTGGTTGTTGGAGAGCCTTCATGATTTTCCATTATTCATTTCCTTCAGACAGCTCCTTTAGTAACTTAGGTACATCCTACCTTCCCCCACCAAGACACAATCAGTAAACTGATTAGAATTATAGTTTTATGGAAAAAATACACTTCATTTATTCTAATTTTTGATTTTAAATTTTAGTTTTAAGAAACAAACCTTTTAAAGTTGAATACTAGAAAACTAAAATTGTGCTGCTCTTAAGTTAAACATTTTTGACTGAAAAATTCTAATATATAAACTAAGGAGGGGTTAATTTACGTTAGCATAGAACTCCCTTTCATTTACCTTCTTTGAATCCTTCCATGTCTTCAGAAGGGAAAAAAGCTAGAAAGTTTGTAAAATATTAATATGCTTTATAATGCTTTCTACCTGCTAAAATGTATGAATCTTAGAGTGAGATCCTGATGCAGACTTGTGTGTTCAAAGGATCATGCTATTTTTTCCTTTGTACTTAGAATTAAGCTTGAGTGCAGCAAATGTATAAAATCACAAGTAGAGTGTGGGTTGTGTTTTGAAGTCTTTAATAATTATTTTCTATTTTATAAAAAATAAAATAGAAAGTTATTCAAGATATTTCAGGATACTATTTTATATTGTGAGCATTTGTACTTTTTGTGAAATTTTATTTTTCTAATGTTGATTGTGATTTGAGACTATTATATAAACAAAGATTGACAAAGACAAAGTTGCAATTTTTCATAGTATTAATATTTTAGCAGAATAATTTTTGTACTTGCTTAAGGAAGAGGAAAAACTTTTTTTATTTTTCTCTCATTCTTTAAAAACAAAAACAAAAAAATGTGAGCTAATGTAAGCAGTTTCAGTTTTCTAGGAAAACAAAGGCTTTCGTGTACATGCTTCTGATAGTAGACGGTGTGACCATATCATGTATGCGTTCTTAATAATGTCTGACATTATCAGATTGATTAACTCAGCATAGAACCTAATCAGATTTAACTATGGTTGGCAGCTGTACACTAGAAGAATAGTAATATAGTGGGAGAATAAAATCAGTTTTTTAAGAAGCTGCATTAAATACAAAACTAAAAAAAATTAAAAGTGTTCATTATCTCACAGTGACATATAAAGCTATTGTGTTCACACAGTGGCTTTCTTAAATCCATGCTGACTTATATTTTCAAAGATCGGCTACTGCCAGATGCTAGACATGCTGATAATAAGATTTTCATTTGATAATTTGATGGTGTAGGTTTCAGGCAGTTATGATTTCCTGCAGGCTTCAAGGGTCAACGTTTGTATCTACATACTGTGTTTACTGTGTAAACCTCATAGACTATCTAACTCTAAGAACTAGAGCCAAAACCACTGCTTACTTTTTCTGGGATCAACGTAAGTATTTCTCTAAGAAATAGGTCATTGCAAAGTAATCATTTCTCCTTTGTTTTTTAAAAAACGTAATCATGAAAAGTTAATAAATGATAAGAAAGAGTCCTAAATTAGGGGGCTATAAATTAATTTTAATTCTTCCATTAACTGTAACCTGGGCCTTAGGATTTAATTAGATTCAGTCACTAAATGTTTAGTGAATGCTTACTATGTGAAGGCTGTTCTGGGCTCTAAGGCTATGTTAGTGACCCAAACAGTAAAGATATTGGTGCCATTCAAAGCACTTTTTTGATGTGCTGAGAATCCCTATTGAGGATAACAGTCAATAGTTAATTACATAAGCTTTGAGGACTGATTTCTAGACTAGTGAGAAATAGCCATGACAAAAACAGTCTCACTTGCGTAAATTATTTGCACAATATTTTTCTCTTCTTGGGCGTGATACCCATTTTAGTCAGTGTTCTAAAGCTATTAAACTAATAAAACTCAAGTGAATAGTCAAATATCCAGTCGGCTTTTATGATTTGGGATTAAAGTAACAAAAATAGCTGATAAATGAGTGGAAAAGGTATGCAAATAGAATGGATCAATTGTTACCTTCTGGGAAAAGAGAATAACTGCTTTTCAGAGAGCAATTTTCTAAATCAACACTCATCAAAGTATACTTAGATCCCTTGCATATTAACACATAATTAAGTTATGTATGTATGAAAAACAGTATTTATTAAGTTTTTCCTATTACTTAAGATTTCTAATTTAATTAAGTACACCGTCATCTCTGACTAGTTTACTTAATCCAGAAAATTAAGAAATATATTTAATTCAGGAAAAAGGAACAATTGCTGCCATTTTATGGTATATTAACCCCAACAGGTCTTCATTGTAAGACAATATAATTTCTGAAGGTTTGGTAAGTGCTTGAAGTTTTGAAATTAGATAACTTTCTTTAAACTCTAGTCTTGCATAAGAGTAAAAATATTACAGATTCCAGAAGAGTTACTTTGAGGAGTTTTAAATGCCAGCAAGGAGGTGCTTATAATAAACATATCTATTTAACTATCATTGTAGCTTTATTTTAATGTATAATATATCTGGGATATGTTGTGGGTCCACAGAAGTATTTGTTGAATTGAATTAAATGTATGCTTCCTAAATGTACCTTTCAAAACGTATTGAGCAATCATGTAACTACATTAAATTATAAACTAATAAAATGATCAGTATTAATGAAATTTGAAACCAATTTAGAATAATAAAAAGAATTGATTCATGGTAGAATTCAGCAATACATTTTGCATAAGCACATTATGAAAACCTAAGTTTCCAAACCTCGGCAGTAAAAAACCAGTCATAGCAAATTATTAGATGTGATTTATGACTTATTGATAGCATTAGGATAGCAGTCACATGTTCATTTTCCAGTTTTTTTTAATAATTTGATAATTTTAAAAGGATACTAAATTATCCCTTCTTTACTGTTCTTAGAATTTATGTTCATTTTACTGATGAGGTCTTGAGTCATCGTGTAATGTTTTAAAGGTAAAAAGTTGGGTAGAATAATCTTACCATGTAACTTATTTTTTGTTGTTGTAATAAACATGGTTTTAAAACAGTTGTCACTGTTTATAATTGTATCATTCATTAATTTTCAGGTAATAAATGGACAGATTTGGCTTAGTAGTTGAGGCGTGATTTCAGGGACTGCTTACCCTGCTTTCTTCAGTATGTTAAAAAATGAATGTGAGATCTACCGGAGGAAGGAGAAAGGAAAAAAACCTTTATTTTCCAAGTTAGCAATCTGCAGTTTTGGGAAACCTAGCTTCTGGGGAAACTGAAAGCACACGCTTGGCTGAAGGGAGGGAAATA
Organism: Homo sapiens; assembly: GCF_000001405.40. NCBI lineage: Eukaryota > Metazoa > Chordata > Mammalia > Primates > Hominidae > Homo > Homo sapiens. The sequence goes on from NC_000003.12 coordinate 23,279,387, forward strand.
GCAGCATTTAAGCCTTCCAGGGTCTGTCTTACATATTCATCAGATTTGGGGAATGTCTGTGAATGTTTACAGGGAAAGTCAAATGCATGTCCAGATATAACATTAATATAACATACATTCTATATTCACTTTGGGGTGGGGTTTTAACATTAAAATGAGGAGGAATTTGGTTCTTTGCATCAAAAGGTGAACTATAAGGGACAAAGATGTTTTATGTGCCATCTCTGTAAGCCAGTTGGAACCAGCTTAGGGTCTATAGCTGCTTATCAGGAGAGAATATTTGTAAAGCTGGTGTTTTCTCTAATCAGTGCTGTTGGCTGGACCCCCAAGGTGGGGGTGTTCTTGTTAGCTAGTGTCATGTGGTCTACCAGAGTCAGTTGGATAATGTTTTCCTAGAATGAGCTTCTGCTTAACTGCAGGAAGAAAACCTTATGGCAATGAACAAACCTTATAGTAGTTAACAGTGTAGGCATACATGACCAAACTCTTTTCCCTGCTCTGGCCACTTAATTTTCTCTGAGGGTCTCATCTTAGCCACAGAGCCCATCTTGTCTGTCATCTAGGGGTACATTGTTGACAGTTACCTTTGTTACCATTCACCAATGCTTAAGATCAATTAATAGTAGACATTGTCTCTCATTCACCTATTAGGCCATACATTCAAATAAGCATGGGAGAGAAAACACATTTGACTTATTACCACGGTAAGGTTCAAATTACTGATATCACATTCTTTTTTGAGGAAGCTTTTATAGAGAAGAAACACTGTGGGTTAGGATGGGAGTTGTAGCAAAGGTAGGCTGTGGGTACCAAAGATAACTAACCTATAATAACCTATTTTGGGGAAGTGTTTTTATTAACCCTTTTATTTGTGACTCTTTTTTGGTATTCAGAATTGCACCCCTTAGTGTAATTTTTAGTGGTGAGAGTCTTAAGAGTACTAGTATTCTTTGGGAAACAAATGTTGCACATATGGCATCATCTTTCTTCCTCCTACAGAGAAGTGTTGACATGGATCAGGATCACACTGGTGCCACTTTAACTGGAAAGTTTTGAGGGATTGTGAATGGTGCTAGAGGTGGCCACACAATCTTTTTGGTCCTTCTTTGTTCACATTTTGCCTTCTTTTTTCCCATCCGTGGCTGGCAGTTGACAGTGTTGAGGTTGTCCTTTACTTGGGAAGCCTGTTGACCCAACAGCAACCCTGATGACCCAGTTGTCTTACTCACTCAGAAATGGTGCCTTCTTTTGGTGGCATTTGCCATAATTGTCCTAATAACTGTGCTTGTCACAAAACCCAATGCTTGGGCTCAGTAAATATTTATTGACTAAAGGAATGAGTACTGGAGACTAGCCTCTATGTTTCTTACTCACTTCTGTTTTTACTGATTCTGCTTTTTTCCATGAATGTTGCCTTCTCTCGTGTTTCACATTCAGAATTTTCTTAGAGAATATCTTAGTTTGGGCTGCTGTAACAGAATAAGTCTGGGTGGCTTAAACAGCATTTATTTCTCACAACTCAGGAGATTGGGAAGTCCAAGATCAAAGTGCTGGCAGACCTGGTGTCTGGTGAGAGCACTGTTCCTAGTTTGCAGACAGTCTTCTCATTGTATCCTCACTTGCTGGAGAAAGAAAGACCTTGTGTCTCTTCTTTTATAATAGCACTAATCCCATCGTCAGGGACCCACCCTCATGACCTAATATAACCTCAGTTACTTCCAAATGGCCTCACCTCCAAATTCTGTAACACTGGGGACTTGAGTTGCAATATATGAATTTTAGGGAGACAAATATTCAGTCAATAGCAGAGGTAACACTTACGTTAGTGAGGAAGAATTTTTAAAGATTTCATGTTTGTTTTAGATATAACTACTTAAAATACATGGGAATGTTTCTGTAATATAAAAAAATGCCATTGTAGTTCCATATTCATAAAGTGAAACACTTTATAAAGAAATAACGTGGCTGGGCACTGTGGCTTATGCCTGTAATACCAGCATTTTGAGAGGCTGAGACGAAGGATTGCTTGAAGCCAGAAGTTTGAGACCAGCCTGGGCAGCAAAGCAAGAACTTGTCTCTACAAAAAATAAAATAAAATAAATTAGTTGGGCCCAGTGGCATGTGCCTGTAGTCCCAACTATTCTGAGAGGCTGAGGTGGGAGGATTGCCTGAGCCCAGGAGTTGTAGGCTGCAGTGAGCTGTGATGGCACCACTGCATTCCAGCCTGGGTGACATAGCAAGATCCTGTCTGTTTAAAAAAGAAGGAGAAGGAGGAGAAACATGTTTTTCTTAAACTTTCTTTAATTTGGTTTTATGTTAATGTTAAGAATAAATAACCAGTAAATAATCTTGTAAATAGAAAATACTATTTCTGAGAATTTCATTCGCAGTAATATTAGAAATCTATTACATCTCTTAGAAATATGATATACAAAATAGTTTGAATTATTGTTATTGAAGAGGATGTATGCCAGATTTTCAAGAGTAGGTTTATTGTTTGTTTATGAAATAAAACATCAACTGCCATTTATTAAATACTTTCTTTGTGCCACAAAGAGTTTTGAATGCAATTTCAGTCTAGTCCTCAAAATCATCCTAAAAGATTGGAGGATTATGTAAATTTTGCAAATGAAACTTGGCTTTTGAAATTTGGTCACTTACTCTCAAAGCTTTATAACCAGCAAGGGGCAAGGGCTGAGACTTGAACTCATCTCCGTCTTATTCCAAAGCCCAGCCCTTTCGTCTCTTCTGTATTAAATTCCCATTCCTACATATGGATGGCCACATTGCAGTGAATACAGTTGGAAAATAATATCAGTATTGGAGCCTCTGGGAAATTTTGTTTTGCTACATTGCATTTATGAGCTTTCATCCAGGTCCTTCTGTATTCCCTGTATAGTTGGCGCTGGATGAATGTTTATTATTAATATAATGAATACATATAGCCATTCCTTTAATGACACAGTCTTACCTGCTAATAAAATTGTGTATCAGTTTCTATCTTATTATGCATGATTTTCCTTGCTCTTCTCTCAGCAGATTATGATTTTTAATAAAAGCAAAGCACACACACAAAATTCTTGTGTCGGTAGCTGATAAATTTAATAGGACCTTTTAGGAGACAAATACTCCAGCAAGTTTGTATTCACTTTATCTGAGTTGAAAATAAAATTGCTTTGTATGCTTTAGAGTAATACTACATTTGATTGTCCTGTGCCTTGTATTCTGCAGTTTGACATTTAGAGCTTTTCGTCTTTCAGGATACAAATTCTATTTTGATATGCCAACAAAATGATTTAAAAACTAAATTGAAGTTTAAAAAAATACTGTCAGTATATTGTCAAAACCGGAGAATATGAAGTAAACTTGGTTCAACTTTTTATACTAGATACACGTTACACAGAACATGTAACATTCTTTTGTAGAAGCCAGAGCAAAAATACCCACAGTGAATTAATTTGGTAATGAACTAGGTTAATTTGTAGAGAAAAGGCTTAGGTCAGGGTGAGATTTGGAGGTATAGGATATCATAGTAACATAAACCTATCAAAACATGCAGAACATGGAGAGCACTAAAATTCATTAAAAAAATCAGATTGAGTGATAATATAATGATAACTTTAGGAAATTGATAGAAACTAAACTTGAGCCCCAGTGACTCCAGAGATAGTCTTTAAACTGTTCAGGACAGCTAGAACAGGTTGGTTTTCTGATTAAAATTCTTATCTAAGGAGAAGTTGATAAATGCTACCTTCCTGCACTTGCTCCTGTAAGTTCAGGTTAGTAGGTGATGTCCCAAAGTGCCCTGAAGGCAACCAGTAAAAAACTTTTTTTTTTTCATGTAGAAAATTTGGAACTTGGTGACTCTACAGATGAAATTCAGGCTCTGAAAAGTGCTCACTTGCTCTCAAAATTTATAATGAGCAAGGAGGGAAGACTTGAAGCGTGAACCCACTTACATATTACTCTAAAACTCATGCTATTTCCTCTGTATTGTGTGAGATCAAAACAAATGCCATATCATACACGTATGCAAGCTTTCAGAAATTTAGGTCGGTGGTTCTCTGACCAAGCACAGTGGTTCACGCCTGTAATCCCAGCACTTTGGGAGGCCGAGGTGGGATCGCTTGAGCTCAGGAGTTCGAGCCTGAGCAACGTAGTGAGGCCCTATCTCTACAGAAAATTTTAAAATTAGCTGGGCATGGTGGCACACACTTATAGTCTCAGCAGATGTGTGCCACCACACTCAGCGAATAATTTTGTATTAGCTGGTGGAGGATCGCTTGAGCCCGGGAAATCAAGGATGCAGTGAGCCATGATCACAGCACTGCAATCCAGCCTGGGTGACAGAGCAAGACCCTGTCTCAAAACAAAACAAAACAAAGCCTTCTCAAAAGTGTGCTCTCCAGAGGTCACGTGGGAGGTTGTTACAAATGCAGATTACCAGGCTCCATTTCACACCCACTGACAAAGAAACTTCGGGGTGGGGCCAACAGTGTTTAAAAGGCCCTGTCCTTGATTCTGATATGTGCACAAGTTTGAGAACCACTGCTTTAGATACTTTTGCAGTTTGAAAAAGAATATGGATAAGAGGGCCTCTGAACAATGTAGTTGTTTTCCTACATAGAGCAATTTGGCCATGTTAGGAATAAACCCATTTTGTGAGTAATTAATTATAGCTTAGGTGCAGTCTAACTTAATATTTTTACTTCAATTCCAATCTCCTTTAGGGATTTTTTTTTAACTACTAAATTTGGTCAAAATTTGACTTGTCTCCCTATAATCTATAATATTTCTATTCTAGATTAGCCATGTTGAGGGAAATAAAATTTGGGTAAATATTGCATAATATTTATATTATTGAAGAGACAATTTTTTACCTTAAAGAGAAGGCACAGTATTTAATTTTAATAAATTATATGTGATTTTTAAAAATGTAAAGACTCTTTTTGGCCTTATTTGAGCTCATAAAATATTTGGACAGTTATCATGAGAGTTTGCTAAAATAACGTAAGGTGATCTTATTCTTTCCCATTGTTTTGACTAATTGTTGGTAAAGAATCTTTCTTTGGGGAGCACTCCCCAAGGCAACTTGGAAGTGTGTCCTGGGCCGCAGTTATCATTATTATTATGATTATTATTTTTTAAAAAAGAATCTTTGAAATGACTGGTTACTTGATGGTATTAAAGAATTAATATCATACATGTCTGTGTGAGGTGGGGGATGATACCTTGGGGATGTTTAATGGGGGAGTATTTGTCTTTTAAAGAAGATTCTCATTTCATTCATAAATTTTGTTTTGGTGGGTACATAGTAGGTGGTGATTATATATATATATTTAGGAATACAATGTATAAGATATAGGTACACAATGTATAATAATCACATCAGAGTAAATGTGGTATCCATCACTTGAAGCATTTATCCTTTGTGTTTCAAGTAATCCAGTTGTACTCCCTGAGGTCTGTTCTAAATTTATAATTATTACTGACTGTAGCCACCCTGTTGTTCTATCAAATACTAGATCTTATTCATTTTTTTTTCATTTTTCTATAGCTTCTTGTTGGAAAAAAAAATATATATATATATATTTATATATTTACCTGTTAACCATCTCCACTCCCCCCACCCCATGCCTCCCACTACTCTCCCTAGCTTCTGGTAACCATCTTTCTACGCTCTGCCTCTATGAACTCAATTGTTTAATTTTTAGCTCCTACAAATAAGTGAGAACAGACAAAAGTTTGTCTTTCTTTGCCTCATTTATTTCACTTAACATAATGACTTTGAGTTCCATCCATGTTGTTGCAAATGACTGGATCCCATTCTTCTTTTATGGCTGAATAGTATTCCGTTGTGTATGTGTCCATTTTCTTTATCCACTTGTCTATTGATGAACAGTTAGGTTGCTTCCAAATCTTTGCTATCGTGAATAGTGCTGCAATAAACGTGGGAATGCAGATATCTCTTTGATAAATTGATTCCTTTCTTTTGGGTATACTTAGCAGTGGGATTGCTGGATCATATGGTAGCCCAATTTTTAATTTTTTGAGCAACCTCCAAACTGTTCTCTGTAGTGGTTGTACTAATTTATGTTCCCACCAACAGTGTACAAGGATTTTCTTTTCTCAGCATCCTCCTCAGCATTTGTTATTGCCTGTCTTTGGATAAAAGTCATTTTAACTGGGGTGAGATGATACTTTATTGTCGTTTTGATTTGAATTTTGCTGATATTCAGTGATGTTGAGCACTCTTTCATATGGCTGTTTGCCATTTGTATGTCTTCTTTTGAGAGACATCTATTCAGATCTTTTATCCCCCACCCTGCTTTTCTTTTTGAGACATAGCTTTGTCATCCAGGCAGGTGTGCAGTGGCTCTCACTGCAACCTCTGCCTTTTGGGTTCAAGCGATTCTGTTTCTCAGCCACTCGAATAGCTAGGAGGATTACAGGCACCCACCACCACATCTAGCTAATTTATGTTATTTTTTAGTCAAGAGGGGTTTCACCATGTAGGCCCAGCTGGTCTCAAATTCTTGACTTCAAGTGATCTGCCCACCTCGGCCTCCCAAAGTGCTGGGATTACAGAAATGAGCCACTGTGGATGGCCCTTTTGCCCATTTTAAAATTAGATGATTAAGCTTTTTTTTATTTATAGAATTGTTTTAGTTCCTTATATATTCTGGTAATCCCTTGTAGAGTGGATAGTTTGCAGATGTAATCTCCCATTCTGTGGGTTGTCTCTTCATTTGTTGACTGTTTCCTTTTTGGTGTAGAAGCTTTATAATTTGATGTGATTCCATTTGCCCATTTTTGCTTTAGTTTCTTATGCTTTCTGGGTATTACTCAGGAAATCTTTGCTCAGTCCAGTGTCCTGGAGAGTTTCACCAATGTTTTATTTTTCATGGTATAATAGTTTCATTTTGATTTGAGTTTTGTATATGGTGAGAGATAGGGGTCTAGTTTCAGTCTTCTGCATATGGACATCCAGTTTTCCTAGAACCATTTATTGAAGAGACTGTCCTTTCTTCAGTGTATGTTCTTGGCACCTTTGTCAAAAATGAGTTCACTGTAGATGTACAATTTGTTTCTGGATTCTCTATTTTGTTTCATTGGTCTGTGTGTCTGTTTTTTATACCAGTTCAATGGTGTTTTGGTTACCAGAGCTCTGTAGTATAATTTGAAGTCAGGTAATATGATTTATTCAGTTTTGTTGCTTTTGCTTAGAATAGCTTTGGCTATTCGGGGTCTTTTGTGGTTCCATACACATTTTAGGATTACTTTTTCTGTTTCTGTGGAGAATGTCGTTGGTATTTTGATAGAGAATGCATTTAATCTGTAGATTGCCTTCAGTAGTATGGACGTTTTAACAGTATTGATTCTTCCAATCAATACTGTTTTTTTGGTGTGTATGTGTCCTTTTCAGTTTATTTCACCAGTGTTTTGTAGTTTTTATTGTAGAGAGCTTTCACTTCTTAGATTAAGCTAATTTGTAGGTATTTAATTTTATCTGTTGCTATTGTAAATAGAATTACACTTTTAATTTCTTTTTCAGATTGTTTGCTGTTGGCATATGGAGATGCTTTTATAGTGGTGAAAGTGGGTATCCTTTTTATGTTCCAGATCTTAGAGGAAAGTCTTTCAGTTTTTCCCCATTCAGTATGATACTAACTGTGGGTCTGTCATATATAGCTTTTATTATGTTGAGGTGTATTCCTTCTGTACTCAGTTTTTTGATGGTTTTTATCATGAAGGGATGTTGAATTTTATCAAATGCTTTTTCAGCAATGATCATATGGTTTTTGTCCTTCAATCTGTTGGTATTATGTATCACACTGATTGATTTGCATATATTGAACCATCCTTGCATCCCTGGGATAAATTCCACTTGGCCATGATAAAATGATCTTTTAAAATGTGTTGTTGAATTTGGTTCGCTAGTATTTTGTTGAAGATTTTTGCATTAGTGATCATTAAGGATACTGGCCTGTAGTTTGCATTTTTTGGTGTGCCTTTATCTGGTTTTGACATCAGGGTGATAATGGCCTCACGGAATGAATTGGGAAGTATTCCCTTCTCTTCTCTTTTTTAGAACAGTTTGAGTAGGATTGATAGTAATTCTTTAAATGTTTGATAAAATTCGGCCTTGAAGCCATCAGGTTCTGGGGTTTTCTTTGCTAGGAGACTTTTTATTATGGATTTGATGTCATTACTTGTTACTGGTCTGTTCAGGTTTTGGATTTCTTCATGGTTCAATTTTGGTAGGTTGTATGTGTCTAGGAAATCATCTGTTTCTTCTAGGTTTTCAGATGGATTGGCATATCTTTGCTCATAGTGCCCCTAATGATCCTTTGGATTTCTGCAGTGTTGGTTGTAATGTCTCTCTCTTTTTTTTTTTTTTTACATCTCTGATTTTATTCATTTGGGTGTTTTCTCTTTTTTTCTTAGTTCACCTGGCTAAAGACTTGTCAATTTTCTTTCTCTTTTCTAAAAACACACAGTTTTGTTGCTCTCGTATTTTCTTTATTTTGATTTCATTTATTTCTGCTCTGATCTTTATAATTTCTTTTCTTCTACTGACTTTGGGTTTGGTTTGCTCTTGCTTTTCTGGTTCTTTAAAATGCATCATTAGGTTGTTTATTTGAAGTTTTTCTTTTTTGATGCAGGCACTTGGAAGTATAAGCATCTGTCTTAGTACTGCTTTTGCTACATCCTATAGGTTTTGCTATGTTGTTTTTCCATTATCATTTGTTCCAAGAAATTTTTCAGTTTCCTTCTTAATTTCTTCATTGACCCACTGAGCATATGGTTTAATTTGCATACGTTTGTATAGTTTTGAAAATTCTTCTCGTTATTGAGCTCTAGTTTTATTCCATTCTGGCTAGAAAAGATACTTGACATTATTTCAGTTTTTTAAAATGTTTTGAGACTTGTTTTGTGGCCTAATATATAGTCTATCCTTGGGAATGATTCATGTGCTGAGGAGAAAAATGTGTATTCTGCAGCCGTGGGACAAAATGTTCTGTAAATATCTATTAGGTCCATTTTGTCTACAGTGCTGATTAAGTCTGATTTTTCTTTGTTGACTTTCTGTCTAGATGATCTGTCCAGTGCTGAAACTGGGATGTTGAAGTCTCCAGCTATTATTGTATTGGGATCTATCTTTCTCTTTAGCTCAACAATATTTGCTGTATATATCTGGGTGCTCCAGTTTTGGCTGCACATATATTTATGTTATATCCTCTTGCTGAATTGACCCTTTATCATTATATTATGACCTTCATTGTCTCTTTATAGTTTTTGTTTTGAAATCTATTTTGTCTGTATAGCTGCTCATGCTTTTTAGCTGGTATTCTTTGCACACATATCTTACAATGTAAAAAAAAAAACTTCTCTGAGCAAAAGCAATTTGACACTTCATAACGTCTAGAAATATTTTTTCAAATGTGATGTATGAATAGGAAGTAGCATACAAAAACAAATTACTGTGCTATCCCTCCCCCAAGAATACATATTCTCTCTTCACACCACGTGGCTGCTGCTGGGGCATGGGGGAGGGGTGGCATTGGCAGTTCAAGACTGTCCTACCCTCTTCAGTGACTCTTTTAGCAATATGAAGTTAAAAACCAGGTACTGTTACCACTCACCTGATGTTTAATTCTCATGAAGATGCTTTTTTGTGTAGATAGTTGTCAAATGTGATGTTCCTGCAGGGAGGACAATTGGTGGAGGCTTCTATTTGGCCAACTTGCTCCTCCTCATTTGTAAATATTTCAGTGGGTACCTGTGATTTGCTTTGAAGTACAGTAATTGGAGAAAGGGTAATGAGAGTTAACAAATACGGCTAAAGTGGAAACGTGGTCAGTCTTGAGCTGATTATTGTTGAAGCTGAATGAGGGATTTATAAAGGTCTGTTATGCTTTTCTTTCTAAGAGTTTGCTTGAAATCTTTTATACTTTAAAGTTGAGAAAACCAACAATGATACCAGCTCAGTACAGTACTCACACAGTGAAGGTTTGTTACTTTAGCTGGCATTCTTTGCAGACATACCTTATAATGTAAAGAGAAAACTTTTCTAAGCAAAAGCAATTTGACACTTTGCGACTTCTAGATACAATTTTTCAAATGTGATGGATGAATAGGAAGTAGCAAACAAAAGCAGATGATGAGGAAATACCGTTTAAGATGTCACTTTAAAATACTGTACTGTGTTACCATAAGTAGAGTGCATTTCTAGATCCTTACTACATTTTACACATCTTTTCTGATTATGTTTCTTCTTTTTATACTTTTAGGTATACACATTAGCTGAGTACTAGGAATTTTAAATGCATGCTATTTAGTTTTGAACGTTCAAGTACTTAGTTGAACTTAAGTTATGAAATTGTAAAGGAATGGTGTCTACCAGTGACATTACATTAAAGCTTTTCATAATCGAGTTGTGGTAAGTTGTTTTATTTTAAATTTCTACCGTAGGAACAGAATGGTTCTGTAAAAGTTATTTTTCTTACTGTGATATAATTAAAAAATATGACCATACTTTTGCATAAAGAATTGATAGACTATTTCTCTTACGGAGCATATATGCATGCAAAATTGACTAAAGAGGACTCATTTAAAACATTTCTAAGGGGAAATTTGAGTTAACACAAGGGTGAATATATTTTAAGCCAGTTTATATTTTAAACCACTCAATAATGTGGTTTTGAAAAGTGACTTTTTAGAATATGTATGTATATGTCTACACACACACACATACGCACACATGCAAATGATGTGTTTACCCTGCTAAGCAGTTAGATTGGTAACTATGAGGTAGCAGCTTCTGTATCTTGTTACCTTGTTAGGTCAGTAAAGCAAGTGAGGGGGCACTTTATTAGTTTGTGGACCATTCTTGAAGCTGGTGACGCTGCAAAGGGTCCAAGGCTTGCCCTCTCTGCTAGTCTAGATCACTGTTTCTGAGACTGTAATGTATGTGTAAATCACCTGGAGGTCTTGTTAAAAGTGTAGACCTTGTTTTAGAGATCTGGGATGGGGCCTAAGATTCTAACAAGCTCCTTAGGTGATGCCAATGTAGGTTTGAGGACCTCTCTTTTTTTTAATTTTTATTTTTTTGAACTAGGGGCTTGCTTTGTTGCCTAGGCTGGTCTCCAACTCTTCCGTTCAAGTGATCCTCCCACTTCAGCTTCCTGAGTAACTGGGATTATAGGAGAACGTGCCCAGTTAAGGACCAGCTCTTTGAATAGCAAAGGACAAGCTTATCATAGTTGTGATTTAGAATTTAAAACCTCAGATAAACTATGGTTATAGGTAATATATTTATACTAACTTTAAAAAATATCAAATTTTATTATTATTATTTTTTGGATTTAAAAAATGTTTCTGGCCAGGCGTGGTGGCTCTCACCTGTAATCCCAGCAGTTCTGGGGAGGCCAAGGTGGGAGGATCGCTTCAGTCCAGGAGTTCAACATCAGCCTGGGCAACATAGCAGGACTGTGTGTCTAAAAAAAAAAAAAAAAAAAAAAATTAGCCGGGCATGGTGGCATGTACCTGTAGCCTGTAGTCTCAGCTACTTGGGAGGCTGAGGTGGGAAGATCGCTTGAGCCTAGGAGTTCAAGGCTGCAGTCAGCTATGAACAATGCACTGCCCTCCAGCCTGGGAGACAGAGCAAGACCCTGTCTTTAAAAAAAAAAAACAAAAAACGTGAGCCTAGGGCTGCTTCTAGCCTATAGAATATCTTTTGCTGACTAGATGCAGATTCTCCTTGGGGTAGATGCATAGCTTGGCCAGATAAGGGACTTCTAGGTAGAACCATGCACAAAAAGGTGGTTGAATTTCAGACCTTACTCACTGGCTGCAAGCTTTTGTGCAGTATACAAACTCACAAATTACTGGTTGATCCTACCTTTGTTTAACATCTGGGCACAAAGATTTAAAAGAGTAGGAAAAAACATTTAAAACTATTGTAGTGATAACAATAAACTGCTTAAAAGGTATATAAACAAAACAAGAAATCTTTATCTGTCTTTTCACATGTTGTAATAATAAGGCTTTTGTTCACAATTTTAATGTTATTTTAAAAATTAATACTGCATTTGTTACTCAGTAGGTTTAATAAAATGCAGAGACCGTATACAAGCAACATACTGCTGACTATGTTAACTTAGAAAATAACCACCTTCACAGATTTAGCAGTCTAGGGCAGTGGTTCCCAAATTCATGGTATTGGGCAAAATGAGAAAAATAAAACAATGTAATCAGGTTTTTGTATTTATTAATTCATTCTATTTAAGGGGCTTTTTTTTTTTTTTTTTTTTTGACAGGGTCACTCTGTTGCCCAGGCTGGAGTGCAGTGGCACGATCTTGGCTCACTGCAACCTCCGTCCCCTGGGTTCAAGCAATTCTCTCACCTCAGCCTTCTGAGTAACTGGAATTACAGATGTGTGCCACCATGCCCGGCTAATTTTTTTTTTTTTTTTTTTTTTTTTTTGAGACAGAGTCTCGCTCTTTGGCCCAGGCCAGAGTGCAGTGGCACGATCTCGGCTCACTGCAGGCTCCACCTCCTGGGTTCATGCCATTCTCCTGCCTCAGCCTCCCGAGTAGCTGGGACTACAGGCGCCCGCCACCGCACCCGGCTAATTTTTTGTATTTTTAGTAGAGACGGGGTTTCACCGTGTTAACCAGGATGGTCTTGATCTCCTGACCTCGTGATTCGCTCACCTTGGCCTCCCAAAGTGCTGAGATTACAGGCCCAGATAATTTTTGTATTTTTAGTAGGGATGGGGTTTTGCCGTGTTGCCTAGGCTGCTCAAACTCCTCGGCTCAAGCAGTCTTCTTGTGTCAGTCTCCCAAAGTTCTGGGATTACAGGCATGAGCCACCTCATCCAGCTTAAGGGACAACTCTATATTCATTATTTTTGGTGTTAAAATGTCGTCTTTAAAACAGTATTGGTGGTATATGAGAGGTATATTCGTTATGTACCTTTCTGCAGACATACATGCCCATGCTACTTTTATTCCTGACCTTATTTTTTTTTCAGAGGAAGAAGTTAAGAAATTAGTTTGTGGGCCATTCTTGAAGCCAGTGACACTACATAGGGCCCAAGGCTTGCTCTCTCTACTAGCCTAGATCACTGTACCTCTCAGAGCCCCACTCACTTGTCTCCTAGGTGCCTCATAAATAGTTAGCAACAATTCTCAGTACTTCATTAAAATTCACCTCCTCCTGGGAGCCCTCCAGCCTTTGAAATAACCTGCTACTGGCTAGAGTAGCCTAGTGGTGAAGAGCTTGAACTAGACAGCCTTGGCTCTGCCACTTAATGCCTGTGTGGCCATTACATATCTTTTACAAGGTTATGTAACCTGTTTGTGCCTCTTTTTGTTCGCAGTTAAAATCAGGATAATTGGCTGGGCACAGTGGCTCACTCCTGTAATCCCAGCACTTTGGGAGGCTGAGGTGGGTGGATCACCTGGGGTCAGGGGTTTGAGACCAGCCTGACCAACATGGTGAAACCCCGTCTCTACTAAAAATACAAAATTAGCCGTACGTGGTGACACATGCCTGTAATCCCAGCTACTTGAGAGGCTGAGGCAGGAGAATCGCTTGAACCTGGGAGGTGGAGATTGCAGTGAGCCAAGATTGCACCATTGCACTCCAGCCTGGGCAACAAGAGCGAAACTCCGTCTCAAAAAAATCAGGATAATTATGTATCCTTTTTGTGGTGGTGGTTGTGATTATTAAATATTTGGCACAGTGCCAGTCACATAATAAGCACTCAGCTGCTTCATCAATATCATCCTAACGTTAGTCGTTGTGTGGACAGCAACAGATTAAGTAAAAAGTTATACCCCTACCCCAATTCTGTTTCAGTCTTTCTGTGTTTGGCGAACTTCCCAGGTGATTCTTACATTTAATACATGTGAAAACCATTACCCTAAAGGTCCTTTCATAGTGAACTTCATTTAGGACTTGCCAAAGCCACTAACATGAAGGAGTTGAGATCAAATTCATTTTGTCTAACACTATATCTCAAATGCATAATATTGTGTCTGGCATATAGTAGGCATTCAGTAAATAGTTGTTTAATGTGTGTAGCCCAACTTCATAGTTTTATGAGATAATACGGTCTTACGTTAAAAAAATGAGAGCAAACATTGGTTCTAGTTATGTTATGGAGACCTTAATGGGGAATTCACTGAAGTATAAGAATTAATTCTCTATGATTATTCTCCCTATGGCTTATTAGAAAAAGATTGAATGAGCTATTATTAAAATCATAATATGTATCTTTCCTCTAGAGTAAGACTAATAACTGTCATAGCAGGCTCTTCTCCATTTATTTCGTCTTTAGAACCATCTTTTTTAATTTTATTTAAAAGTAAGGTAGGAGATATACTTTCATTTTTCTTATTCTCTGGCATAAACTTTGTTTTTTAAATTCAGCTTTAGCCAGGTGCATTGGTGTGCACCAGTATTCCCAGCTTTTTGGGAGGCTGAGTCGAGAGGATTCCTCAAGCCCAGGAGTTTAAGTCCAACCTGCACAGCATAGCGAGCTCTTTGTCTCTTTAAAATAAATATAATACATTCAACTTTAGAAGTCATACAGTACTGTTTCTTTTGAATTGAGAAATAGTTCTTAGGCAATGAGGATGCTCCTAACTATAAAAAAGAAACATGTTTTGTTTACCTTGAATAATTTACTAGGACACTGAATAAAAATGTTAAGAAACTAATTCCGCAAGAATAATTGTGTAGTTATCTGATTTCTGAGTGAAGCATTTTCAGCTAGATAATTCTAGAAGAAAATATTTAAATAACCTTGGCAGAACTTTAACGTTATTCATAACAAAGATAGATAAAAAGCAATTCTCACCTAGCCATAATAATAAATCAGTATGTGCAGTTAAACTAGGAAAAACACTAATATTTATTATATGCTTTTTCCTAATGTATCTTGTATATATGGTCAGTTAGTTTTATAAGAGGAGGTTATTTGACATTAGTTTTCTTGCTGGGAAAACCTGATTTCCAGTTGGTGTGATGTTTTACCTTCCTTGATTACAATCTTATTCTACCAGAAATGAAAAGATAATCAAGACGTGGCTCATCTGTTTCCATTTATCTTGATCATCTATGTAGTAAGTGCAGCGTTTAGATTATTTGTATCTTTTTATTTTTATCTTTAGATTTTTATCTTTATTAGTTTTTTTATTAGATTATTTTATTAGATATTTTATTAGATATTTTTGTATCTTTAGATTATTTTATTTATTATTTTAAATAAATATAATATTTATTTAAATATAATATTTATATAATATATTATAAAATAAATAATATATTTTAAAGATTTTGTATCTTTAGATTATTTTATTACTTTATTTTATTAGATATTTTTGTATCTTTAGATTATTTGTATCTTTTTATTTTATCATTATTTGCTCTAAAGATAGTCTGTTCAGATTTGTTATGACCAAAAATATAATGATGCAGGTAATTATTGTCTTCATCCTTAAAATTACTTTCTAAAGCCAATCATTCTGCCTAATACAGGGTCTTCATTTATTTTTAGCTACCTGAAACTGAGTCTAAAACCACTTCTCTCTACTTCCTCTTGTCTTTTTCATTTAAACATGTGTAAATTTTGCAGTTAAAAATGATAAACCTATTTACATTTAGTGTTCATCTCTTCTTCTGTTGTTATTGCTATTTTCCATCTCTAGTCCTTTTCAAAAACACAGTGGAATGGATAGTATAGATCAGCTGAGATTGCTTTTTAAAAGGTTGGCAGTGACATCTTCATGCTAAATTCTAGTGTCCATTCTTGCTCTCTGAAACTATCTCCCTTGATTTTTGGAGCATTGCACTTTTCTCCACTGCTCTCTGATCCTTGCTTTTTTTGTTTATTTTTTTATTTTTGTTTTTGGCTGTCTTTGCTGGTTTCTTTTCATGCCTCAAAGTATTTTCTAAAATTAAGGCCTTAATGCTATGTTTCTCTGTGTTTTAGGGTTGCAGATTCCTCTAAAGAGGGCTGCAAGTGACATAAGGGAATGAATGGTCCAGGTGGGTACACAATTAATAAGAGAACAGATCTCTGTCCAACGGGGACAACACCACTGTTTGAGTTCAACTTACTATCATGTGGGGAAAAAAATGTTTAATGTAATCAGATCTTCTAGTGAGCCAAGAGAAGTATGGGAAGTCCAGATTTTTATGTGAAATATCTCAGATTTCGAATATCGGTGGCTAGTGGAAGTTTGGGAATACCTACACGAGAGGGAGTTTGGAGCAGTATTCCGGTTGGAACAGGGTTTATGTAGCTTGTACGTTGCACAGCCTTTGGATTTGTTGTATACATTGTAATATGCACCACTTGCACTTCTATTAAGAGTCTAGGGATTGCCTTAAAGCTGGATTTTCATAGGAAGTGCACATTTGGTAATTTGTATATATATTGTTGGGTAGTGCCCTGAAGGGAAAGGTTGATGGAGGGATTGGAGCAGATGTCCCCCAAGCCACCCTTTCCTGCCACAATGGTTAGAAACTATTTTTTAAACATTGAAATCTAAATAAACATGACCATAGGCCTCTAATATGTGGCCTCTGCTCTGAATCTTGAAGAGCTTATAGCTCTCATAGCTTCAAACATTTCTAAATAGAAGATAGAGATCTAAATTCTAGTTCCCTTTCAGTAAGTTTTCAGCTGGTGACCTGGACAAAATCACAATTCTTTGACCCTTAGTAGGCTGATATTTGAATTGGAGACAGTTCTGTTTCCAGTTCAGCTCGGGGAGCTTTCCATTCTAAAACTCATGATCTTATTGTTTTAAATCTCTATTTTTTAACTGGCCTCACACTAGTTTGCATATTATATTTCCAGTCACAAAAAAATATTTCACTACTTTAGTGTTTCTTTTTTCTTTTTTTTAAATTTTATTATTATTGTATGTTAAGTTTTAGGGTACATGTGCACGACGTGCAGGTTTGGTACATATGTATACATGTGCCATGCTGGTATGCTGCACCCATTAACTCGTCATTTACCATTAGGTATATCTCCTAATGCTATCCCTCTCCCCACCCCACAACAGGCCCCAGTGTGTGATGTTCCCCTTCCTGTGCCCATGTGTTCTCATTGTTCAATTCCCACCTATAACTGAGAACATGCGGTGTTTGGTTTTTTGTCCTTGCGATAGTTTGCTGAGAATTACGGTTTCCAGCTTCATCCATGTCCCTGCAAAGGACATGAACTCATCCTTTTTTATGGCTGCATAGTATTCCATGGTGTATATGTGCCACATTTTCTTAATCCAGTCTGTCATTGTTGGACATTTAGGTTGGTTCCAAGTCTTTGCTATTGTGAATAGTGCCGCAATAAACATACGTATGCATGTGTCTTCATAGCAGCATGATTTATAATCCTTTGGGTATATACCCAGTAATGGGATGGCTGGGTCAAATGGTATTTCTAGTTCTAGATCCCTGAGGAGTCACCAAACCGACTTCCACAATCGTTGAACTAGTTTACAGTCCCACCAACAGTGTAAAAGTCTTCCTATTTCTCCACATCCTCTCCAGCACCTGTTGTTTCCTGACTTTTTAATGATTGCCATTCTAACTGGTGTGAGATGGTATCTCATTGTGGTTTTGATTTGCATTTCTCTGATGGCCGGTGATGACGAGCACTTTTTCATGTGTTTTTGGGCTGCATAAATGTCTTCTTTTGAGAGGTGTCTGTTCATATCCTTCACCCACTTTTTGATGGGGTTGTTTGTTTTTTTCTTGTAAATTTGTTTGAGATCATTGTAGATTCTGGATATTAGCCCTTTGTCAGATGAGTAGGTTGCAAAAATTTTCTCCCATTCTGTAGGTTGCCTGTTCACTCTGATGGTAGTTTCTTTTGCTGTGCAGAAGCTCTTTAGTTTAATTAGATCCCATTTGTCAATTTTGGCTTTTGTTGCCATTGCTTTTGGTGTTTTAGACATGAAGTCCTTGCCCATGCCTATGTCCTGAATGGTATTGCCTAGCTTTTCCTCTAGGGTTTTTATGGTTTTAGGTCTAACGTTTAAGTCTTTAATCCATCTTGAATTAATTTTTGTATAAGGTGTAAGGAAGGGATGCAGTTTCAGCTTTCTACCTATGGGTAGCCAGTTTTCCCAGCACCATTTATTAAATAGGGAATCCTTTCCCCATTGCTTGTTTTTGTCAGGTTTGTCAAAGATCAGACAATGAGGGCTCTGTTCTGTTCCATTGGTCTATATCTCTGTTTTGGTACCAGTACCATGCTGTTTTGGTTACTGTAGCCTTGTAGTATAGTTTGAAGTCAGGTAGCATGATGCCTCCAGCTTTGTTCTTTTGGCTTAGGATTGACTTGGTGATGGGGGCTCTTTTTTGGTTCCATATGAACTTTAAAGTAGTTTTTTCCAATTCTGTGAAAAAAGTCATTGGTAGCTTGATGGGGATGGCATTGAATCTATAAATTACCTTGGGCAGTATGGCCATTTTCACGATATTGATTCTTCCTACCCATGAGTATGGAATGTTCTTCCATTTCTTTGTATCCTCTTTTATTTCCTTGAGCAGTGGTTTGTAGTTCTCCTTGAAGAGGTCCTTCACATCCCTTGTAAGTTGGATTCCTAGATATTTTATTCTCTTTGAAGCAATTGTGAATGGGAGTTCACTTATGATTTGGCTCTCTGTTTGTCTCTTATTGCTGTATAAGAATGCTTGTGATTTTTGTACATTGAATTTGTATCCTGAGACTTTGCTGAAGTTGCTTATCAGCTTGAGGAGATTTTGGGCTGAGACAGCGGGATTTTCTAGATATACAATCATGTCGTCTGCAAACAGGGACAATTTGACTTCCTCTTTTCCTAATTGAATGCCCTTTATTTCCTTCTCCTGCCTAATTGCCCTGGCCAGAACTTCCAACACTATGTTGAATAGGAGTGGTGAGAGAGGGCATCCCTGTCTTGTGCCAGTTTTCAAAGGGAATGCTTCCAGTTTTTGCCCATTCAGTATGATATTGGCTGTAGGTTTGTCATAGATAGCTCTTATTATTTTGAGATACGTCCCATCAATACCTAATTTATTGAGAGCTTTTAGCATGAAGAGTTGTTGAATTTTGTCAAAGGCCTTTTCTGCATCTATTGAGATAATCATGTGGTTTTTGTCTTTGGTTCTGTTTATATGCTGGATTACGTTTATTGATTTGCATATATTGAACCAGCCTTGCATCCCAGGGATGAAGCCCACTTGATCATGGTGGATAAGCTTTTTGATGTGCTGCTGGATTCGGTTTGCCAGTATTTTATTGAGGATTTTTGCATCAATGTTCATCAAGGATATTGGTCTAAAATTCTCTTTTTTGGTTGTGTCTCTGCCAGGCTTTGGTATCAGGATGATGCTGGCCTCATAAAATGAGTTAGGGAGGATTCCCTCTTTTTCTATTGATTGGAATAGTTTCAGAAGGAATGGTACTAGCTCGTCTTTGTACCTCTGGTAGAATTTGGCTGTGAATTCATCTGGTCCTGGACTTTTTCTGGTTGGTAAGCTATTAATTATTGCTTCAATCTCAGAGCCTGTTATTGGTCTACTCAGAGATTCAACTTCTTCCTGGTTTAGTCTTGGGAGGATGTATATGTCAGGGAATTAATCCATTTCTTCCAGATTTTCTAGTTTATTTGCATAGAGGTGTTTATAGTATTCTCTGATGGTAGTTTGTATTTCTGTGGGATCAGTGTTGATATCCCCGTTATCATTTTTTATTGCATCTATTTGATTCTTCTCTCTTCTTTATTAGTCTTGCTGGCGGTCTATCAATTTTGTTGATGTTTTCAAAAAACCAGCTCCTGGTTTCATTAATCTTTTGAAGGTTTTTTTGTGTCTCTATTTCCTTCAGTTCTGCTCTGATTTTAGTTATTTCTTGCCTTCTGCTAGCTTTTGAATGTGTTTGCTCTTGCTTCTCTAGCTCTTTTAGTTGTGATGTTAGGGTGTCAATTTTAGATCTTTCCTGCTTTCTCTTGTGGGCATTTAGTGCTATAAATTTCCCTCTACACACTGCTTTGAATGTGTCCCAGAGATTCTGGTATGTTGTGTCTTTGTTCTCGTTGGTTTCAAAGAACATCTTTATTTCTGCCTTCATTTCGTTATGTACCCAGTAGTCATTCAGGAGCAGGTTGTTCAGTTTCCATGTAGTTGCACGGTTTTGAGTGAGTTTCTTAATCCTGAGTTCTAGTTTGATTGCACTGTGGTCTGAGAGGCAGTTTGTTGTAATTTCTGTTCTTTTGCATTTGCTGAGGTGTGCTTTACTTCCACCTATGTGGTCAGTTTTGGAGTAGGTGTGGTGTGGTGCTGAAAAGAATGTATACTCTGTTGATTTGGGGTGGAGAGTTCTGTAGATGTCTATTAGGTCCACTTGGTGCAGAGCTGAGTTCAATTCCTGGGTATCCTTGTTAACTTTCTGTCTCGTTGATCTGTCTAATGTTGACAGTGGGGTGTTAAAGTCTCCCATTATTAGTGTGTGGGAGTCTAAGTCTCTTTGTAGGTCACTCAGGACTTGCTTTATGAATCTGGGTGCTCCTGTATTGGGTGCATATATATTTAGGATAGTTAGCTCTTCTTGTTGAATTGATCCCTTTACCATTATGTAATGGCCTTCTTTGTCTCTTTTGATCTTTGCTGGTTTAAAGTCTGTTTTATCAGAGACTAGGATTGCAACCCCTGCCTTTTTTGTCTTCCATTTGCTTGGTAGATCTTCCTCCATCCCTTTGTTTTGAGCCTATGTGTGTCTCTGCACGTGAGATGGGTTTCCTGAATACAGCACACTGGTGGGTCTTGACTCTTTATCCAATTTGCCAGTCTGTGTCTTTTAATTGGAGCATTTAGTCCATTTACATTTAAAGTTAATATTGTTATGTGTGAATTTGATCCTGTCATTATGATGTTAGCTGGTTATTTTGCTCGATAGTTGATGCAGTTTCTTCCTAGCCTTGATGGTCTTTACAATTTGGCATGTTTTTGCAGTGGCTGGTACCGGTTGTCCCTTTCCATGTTTAGTGCTTCCTTCAGGAGCTCTTTTAGGGCAGGCCTGGTGGTGACAAAATCTCTCAGCATTTGCTTGTCTGTAAAGTATTTTATTTCTCCTTCACTTATGAAGCTTAGTTTGGCTGGATATGAAATTATGGGTTGAAAATTCATTTCTTTAAGAATGTTGAATATTGGTCCCCACTGTCTTCTGGCTTGTAGAGTTTCTGCCGAGAGATCAGCTGTTAGTCTGATGGGCTTCCCTTTGTGGGTAACCCGACCTTTCTCTCTGGCTGCCCTTAACATTTTTTCCTTCATTTCAACTTTGGTGAATCTGACAATTATGTGTCTTGGAGTTGCTCTTCTCGAGAAGTATCTTTGTGGTGTTCTCTATATTTCCTGAATCTGAATGTTGGCCTGCCTTGCTAGATTGGGGAAGTTCTCCTGGATAATATCCTGTAGAGTGTTTTCCCACTTGGTTCCATTCTCCCCGTCACTTTCAGGTACACCAATCAGACGTAGATTTGGTCTTTTCACATAGTCCCATATTTCTTGGAGGCTTTGTTCATATCTTTTTATTCTTTTTTCTCTAAACTTCTCTTCTCGCTTCATTTCATTCGTTTAGTCTTCCATCACTGATACCCTTTCTTCCAACTGATCACATTGGCTCCTGAGTCTTCTGCATTTGTCACGTAGCTCTCATGCCTTGGTTTTCAGCTCCATCAGGTCCTTTAAGGACTTGTCTGCATTAGTTATTCTAGTTATCCATTCGTCTAATTTTTTTTCAAAGCTTTTTACTTCTTTGCTATTGTTTCGTATTTCCTCCTGTAGCTCAGAGTAGTTTGATTGTCTGAAGCCTTCTTCTCTCAACTAATCAAAGTCATTCTCCGTCCAGCTTTGTTCTGTTGCTGGTGAGGAGCTGCGTTCCTTTGGAGGAGGAGAGGCACTCTGATTTTTAGTTTTCACTTTTTCTGCTCTGTTATTTTCCCATGTTTGTGGTTTTATCTACCTTTGGTCTTTGATGATGGTGATGTACAGATGGGTTTTTGGTGTGGATGTCCTTTCTGTTTGTTAGTTTTCCTTCTAACAGTCAGGACCCTCAGCCGCAGGTCTGTTGGAGTTTGCTAGAGGTCCACTCCAGACCCTGTTTGCCTGGGTCTCAGCAGCAGTGGCTGCAGAACAGTGCATATTGATGAACCACAGATGCTGCTGTCTGATCGTTCCTCTGGAAGTTTTGTCTCAGAGGAGTACCCGGCCGTGTGAGGTGTCAGTCCACCCCCTACTGAGAGATGCCTCCCAGGTAGGCTACTTGGGGGTCAGGGACCCACTTGAGGAGGCAGTCTGCCTGTTCTCAGATCTCCAGCTGCGTGCTGGGAGAACCACTACTGTCTTCAAAGCTCAGTTGGAAATGCAGAAATCACCAGTCTTCTGCGTGGCTGACACTGGGAGCTGTAGACGGGAGCTGTTCCTATTCGGCCATCTTGGCTCCTCCCCTTCCTTAATGTTTCTTCGCTTAATTAATCTTTCTTCCCAATGTAGTTCATTTCTTAGTTTCTTTGTCTTTAATCATTTTCCTGATAATTCAGACTTGTGGAAAATTGCTGACACATGTCCATTCATCCTCCTGGCCCTTTTATTTCTCCTTGTCAGTATAGCTCGTATCTTTGTAATTTCCTCCATTCCAGGAGTTCTTGAGGCTTGGGCTCTCCATGATTACTTTAGGTTTCTCTGTCTCCCAGTCTGTGATGTCCCTTCCAGCCATATCCAGTCTGTTTTCAACAAAATTCTGACCACTCTACTTCTATTTTCAAAAGCCCCAGTGGTTCTTATTTCCTGCCTGCAAAGTATGTTTCTTTTTCAGATTTTCAGAGACTATATAATATTTCCCTTACCCTATCCAACCATATTTCCCACTGTGAAATAGTTATTACTACAAGTTAGGAAAGTATCTTATTACCAGTTATGCCTTTTGACTTTATTTATTGCAATTTCCCCACCACTAAAATAGCTTCATTTTTTTATTCCTTTGGCAAAAACACCGCACATTCTTAACAGCTGAGTTCCATGCTTTTCAGGAATCTTCTCTGGTGACCTGAGCACACACCAACCTCTCCTTTCTTTGAACTTCTGTTACATCTAATGAGTGCTGAATAGCTTATCATCTAAAATCCTAGATGCTTCTAGAGCTGGAAAGTAGTAGGCATCAGCTAATCATCTGTGCATTGTATAAATGACAGAACATTTGTGATTTGCCCTTGATCATATTATTTAACAGCAGAGCCTAAATTAGATCTGTCAGTTAATTTCCTATATACAGCTTGCCTGAGGTAGCATGAAAGCAGCCATAGAAAATGTTTAAACTAATGAATGTGGTTGTATTTTAATATAATGTTATCAAAAACGGACTGCAGTCCTGCTTTGGTTTGTGGGCTATAGACTGCTGATCCCTGTTCTAGAGTAGTAACTAACAACTGCTTCCCCTAATTTTTCTCCTTTGTGTTGATTTTAAAACAATGAAACACATAAACCAGGGGTCCCCAGTTCCCATGACACATACCTGTGGAACCTGGTGGCACAGCAGGAGGTGAGCCAGTGAAGCTTCATGTGTATTTACAGTTGTCCCTCATTGCTGGCATTACCGCCTGAGCTCTGCCTCCCGTCAGATCAGCGATGGCATTGGATTCTCATAGGAGCGCAAACTTTATTGTGAACTGTGCATGTGAGGGATCTAGGTTGCTTGCTCCTTATTAGAATCTAATGCATGATGATCTGTCACTGTCTCCCGTCACCCCCAGATGGGGACCATCTAGTTGCAGGAAGACGAACTCAGGTCTCCCACTGATTCTACATTATAGTGAGTTGTATAATTATTTCATTATATATTACAATGTAATAATAATAGAAATAAAGTGCACAACAACTATAATGAGCTTGAATTATCCGGAAACCACTCCCCTCAACCCGGGTGTGTGGAAAAATTGTCTTCCCCTAAACCAGTTGCTGGTGCCAGAAAGGTTGGGGACCGCTGAAATAACAGAAATCCTCACTACTGCTTTTATTTAGAAGCATTTTCAGACAAGGAAGGATGTACAATTTATTTTTATTGTCAGGTATAAATTTTCCATGTTTAATTCAGCTTTAGAAGTCATATGATAATGTTTGAATTGAGAAACATTACTCTTAGGTAATAAGAATGCATTTAAATATATCCTATAAAATAGACACGTTATGCATGAGTGAGGGGTGCATTTTCAGTGACAAGTATAACACTTGAAATCTGAAGAATTGTTGGTCTTCCATACAGCGTACTTGGAATGAAACAAAGGTTTACAACAAGTTACTACAAGAGGTAGAAATAGAACTAGGGAACAATTTGTTTCATCTACTCAAGTCTGTTGAAGTATAATAATTAACTTCTGACCATTCTTGGCCTTTTAAGTTCTCAGGGCTCTCCTCATAGGAATTATACCGTTAACCCTGCTCTCCTGGGCAAATTTCAACCAATGTAATTATATTCTTAGTCTTACCTGAATTCTCTCCATAGAGTGTAATTATCTGAGCTGGATTCTTCCCAGGGCACTGGGCTTTAGCACAGCTACTACTCTCCCTATCTTTAGTCCACGACTGTTGGGTAATTTCATTTCTGCTCTTGAACAGTTAGCTACTATCCTGCCTGAAGAATTGGCATTTTATGTTGAGTAGTGTACATTTGATTTCACTGTTTACCTTGTATAAGATTAAAACTAACCTTAGCAGGCCACTTTTGACCGTGGGCAGGTCAAAGACGTAAGTGTGGTGAAATTATAGCAGAAGGGGTAAATATTTTCAAATAAAGATCGTGGAATCAAAAACATAGAGACCTTTTAAGTTTTGATGTCAAAAACCACTGTTTTTTTCCACATTATTAAAATTAGCAGTTAAGTTTTTTTCATCTCCAGGCTTTATACTCTTAAAAATTACTGGATTATATCTGTGAATATTTGTTGTGTTAGAACAGATTTAGTATACTTTTAAAATTTGTTTAAAATATTACTAAACTCATGTTAATGTAAATATATTATGAAAAATATATTTTGAAAAATCTTGAAAAGAGTGGCCTTGTTTACAGTTTTGCCAGTCTCTTAATGTCTGACTTAACAGACCACAGCTGTTTCTGGAATGTCTTGTGATACATTATTTTACTTGAAGTATGTGAAGAATATCCTCACACATAATATGTAATTGGAAAAAGAATGTTTTAATAGCTTTTTCAGATAATTGTGGATATTTTTCTTCAATAATACACCAAAAGTTAACAAGTGGTAATTTCTGTAGGTTAATTGCTATGTGGAATCTGAAATCATATCAGTGAACTTTTCATTGTTTTCATTCTTTGTTACATTGAAATCTACCAGCCTGCCTTAATACCGGGTATGCATACATTTATTCACTTATTCATTGGAGTGTGTGTGTGTGTGTAACTTCTATTTTTTTTTCCTTGCACTTTGAGTGAATCTTACCCATGGATGATTTTGTAATATCAAGTATTGGTCATTTGGAAATTATTGGCTCTCTGAAAGATTATGCAGACTTTCCACATGTTGATACATTTCATTATGTGATATCAAAAAGTATCATTTTTAAGTAACACCACCGATCTTAGAAAAATCTTCAAGTCTTTATTGGTGGCAGATACAAGTTTTCCAAAATTCTGGTTTTTGTTTGAAAGGTCAAATTTTATCATTGGCGACAAGTACTGTCATTTTTTCCCATGGGAAAGTCTTGTTCAGTCATTATTTTCAGAAGTATCAGCTGAATAAGCATAGTTTGTCCATCATTGTTTCAATTAAAAATGGCATTCCATAACAGCTAATTCAGCTTGCAGCTTTAACAGGTATACAAATGCTTTCCTTCGAGACAGCCATCGTATTTAGGTATGCAGTAGAAATGCTTTATGCATGCTCAAAGGATGGTTTTTAATACAATTAATAATTTTTGCTGCTTTATCAAGAACAAGTGAAGCTGAATTTTTATTTCTCTTTTAACTGCAGTTAGTACAGTTTAGATACATTGCGGTGATTTGAAATAAGGCACCAGGAGTTTTACCTGCTGTTGTTTTTGCATCAGCAGTATAAATGTCCACTCAGTGAAAATGGTGAATGAGGTCTTAGTTTTATTATGAAAATAGTTTTGACTTCCTTGACTCCCTGAAAAGGTCTCTGGGATGCTCAGAGGGAGGTCCGTGTGCCACATTTGAAAATCATGGTTATAAGCCTTGCAGAGGACAGTGTTTAATGGTCCCCTTTTCTTACAGTTATTAAAATGTAGTAACCATTCTTTTTATTTTTTATTTTTTACAGACAGGCTCTCACTCTGTCACCCAGGTTGGAGTATAGTGGTATAATCACAGCTTACCGCAGCCTGGAGCTCCTGGGCTCAAGCTCTCCTCTTGCCTTAGCTTCCCAAAGTGCTGAGATTACAGGTGTGAGCCACAGTGCCCAAACCCTAACAGCTCTTTTGTTTTATTTCATTTACTTTGGTATTCTCTAAGACTATTATTATGAAACTTTGCTCATTTTTCTAGGCCTTTATTCTCAATTTTATTATTTTGTTCAAGGGCTGACATGACCATATTAACAATTATCCTTAGATGAACCTTTACAAGTTAAGTGGTAGATAAAAAAGGAAGAGACTGAAAAAGTGTTTAAGAAAACATTTACTAGCAACCTACGTGGCCACTGAAATATTTAAAAGAAACTAATTGAAGTTAACTTTTCATTTTATAACAGTGATTGAAAATCAACTGCTTTGTCTGCCCAAAGCATTCTAAGTCTATTCTGTTATTTGAGGAAGTCATTTGACTGTCTGTGTCTCAGTTCTCTGACTAGCTGACATTGCTGTAAATTTGGTATGTATGTCCAGGAATTGAAATAGGCCTCCGTGGAAAGAAATACAATTATTTATTTAAACTCTCTAACAGTAGTTTAGTTGTGGCTTGGATCTAAAGACAAATATTAGCCAATCCAGTCTATATCCCCTTCCCCATGCATTCATTGTGTTTGTAGAAATGGTATATGTCTAAGTATCAAACGAGTTGTATCTATCAAAGACAAAAATATTCTGGTTCAAATTATAGATAACAATAAGATTCCAATCAAAACAAAGAGGTAAATAAATATCTGGTCATGATCCTTTTGTTTATACTGCAAATGTCGATATTGCTTAGTGGCACTGATTGATGATTTATGGCCACACATGTACCCATTGTTTCTGCTTCACTCCTCCTGGTTGGCTTTCTTATAGTACCATTCTTCCATGAGGAATGGCAAGTAAATAAACCAGTTGATACCTACGGAGCAAGAACCACCATTGAACCATGGATGCTGATTTTAGAACCTTGCTCAACTGATGGGTGCATGATGTGCAGAAATTTTATTTGACTATTATTTATAACAATCCAGACAGACCTGTTACTCATTTTTAGATTTTCTTTAAACCAGATTCTATTATTAAACATTAATTCAGCAAGAGATTAAGCAAATCTCAACTGATGACTTAAGGAAAATTGACACATTTTCTCAATATGTTCATAGGAATTCTCTTGTTTAATAATTTAAAGATATTATAGACTTTATAATACAAAAAAGCAACAGACAAGCTGATATTTTTGGTACGATATTATTTATAATTCAAAGAAATGTAAAGAGTATGCTAACTTGGAGATGTTTTGGTTGGAAATGGTGCCCACATTTGATGACTTTCTGCCTCCCTTTCCGTTTTGTCTTTCCATGTGTCTTTTAAAAAATATATACTGTTGCAGTTTCATAGCTGTCAATGTCTTCTCTTTCTGAGGATATTAATTAATAAATTCTTCCTCCCTCTGTATAGTCATTCTTCAAGTTGCTTTTTTCTGACGCTTTCAGGTCTAGTAATCTTTGGTTGGTTGAGTGTATTTAATTGTGGACCAGGTTACTTGAATCTCCTAAGGCATTATTGCTTATTTATATACTGTCCAGCTTCCAAAGTTTATTGCTTTTACCTCTACTCCCTGTACCTCCATAATGATGTATTTATGACGTTTTACAAATTTTGCTCTATCATTTAAATAGGACTTTGGAAGGTAGCAGATGATAGTGTGTATTTTGTTCTCATCTTTACTTGAAATAATTTGCTTATTTAAATGAAAGCATCTAGACAGTAATTGAAACCATGAGTTGAGTTCAGCAAGTACTAAAGTCAATATGATAGCTTAAGAAAATGTTTTAGCAATTATATTTTTATATTGATATAGATCCCATTAAACAGTCATATGGGTTCAGGAGTATTAGTTATGAATTATCACATGTATATTTTAATTAAAATACTATAGGGTTTTAAAATTAAATTATGAATTATTTAAGAATAAGCCTATTTTTATTTACTTAATGAGTTAGGTAGTTCTAATTAGGTAAATGTAAATAGAAGTGACCATCTTAATGCCCTACAATGTAAGCAGTAATTCACAATTTGTAAAGATTTATAGGAGGACAAAATCAGTTTGATCTTGAATATGCTTAAATTTTGCACGCTTGTACATTTCTCCCAACTTACCAAGTGGCACCTTCTAGGGAAACAGGTTTCAAGAATTGTATCCTTAAGTTTTTACCAACTCCCCCCCAAATACTGTAGTAATAAGTGGCTTTGGCTTGAATAGTGGGATGTCCACAAGTGTTAGAATCAGCTATACCTGGCTTTAGATCTTAGCTCCATTACCTTTTAACCATGTCTAAGAAGAACAAAATGCAAAATATTACTGATACCCTTACTTTGGAATTATTGTCAGGATTAAGTGAGATGAAATATGTGTAGTAACTAGAGCAATGTCAGACATTCAGATATTAGTTTCCTTCTCTTATAAGCCCCTATGTAGTTTTTATTTCTTTAGGATGACAGACATGAGTTCTCCCATTATTTTCTCATTGCCTGTGCTTTATTCATATTACCATCATTATCCTTCATTGCGAAGAATCCATTACATACTATAGTGAATTAACAATAAAATTCAAGATGAATTTACACAAAAAGGAGGATATTATTTTTACACAAATAAATATTAAGGTAATGAAAACAGTTTTGCTATTGTTGACAATCATTATAAAATTGTTTACCATGTCTTGTAATTTTAAAAGTTTAGTTTTTATCATTTAAAGACAGGTATTCTTATTAGACACTTGACATCTGTTAGTCTCAAAATTTGCTATGTTTTGGATCGCTTACAAGATTAGCTGAGTGTATTAGTCAGGGTTCTCCAGAGGAATGGAACCAATAAGATATATATACAAAAGAGAATTTGTTAGGGAGAATTGATTCATGCTATTACATAGGTGAAGCCCCGCCATAGGCCATCTGCAAGCTGGAGAATGATGGAAGCCGGTAGCATGGCTCTCTCTAAGTCCGGAAGCCTCAAAACCGGGTAAGCTGACAGTGCAGCTCTCTCAGTCTAAGGCTAAAGACCTGAAATCCCCCAAGAGGCTGCTGGTACAAGTCCCACAGTCCAAAGGCTGAAGAACCTGGAGTCTGATGTCCAAGCACAGGTGGAGGAAAAGATGTACTGTTCCAGAAGAGAGAGAAAGTAAAAAGAAGAGCAAGCAAACTGAATATCCCCCTTCTGTCTGCTTTGTTTTAGCTGTGCTCACAGCCAGTTGGCATGGGCAACTGTTCTAGTTCCTGGCCACTTTGTTCTAGACCCTGCCCACTTTGAGGGCAGGTCTTCCTCTCTCAGTACACTGACTCACAGGGGTGCCTTGTTATATTTCCCAGGCTGGTCTCTAACTCCAGGCCTCAACTGGAGTTGTCATCTTCTCTGGAAACATCCTCATAGACACACCCAGAAACAATACTTCAGCAGCCATCTAAACATCCCTCAATCCAGTCAAGTTTACACCTAATATTAACCATAACACTGAGGGTAGTGAATATAGTTCACATAACATAGTTACAATAGCTTAGGTGCTAGATATTTCAAATACCTCATTCATTCATTGGCAACTACATCATCAGCCGGGCCTGGGGCTATGATGGTGAAGAAATGTATCAGTTATTTATTGCAGCATAACAAGTTACTCCAAAGTATATTGACCTAAACCTTTATTATCTCATAGTTTTGTGGGGTAGGAATTGAGGCATAGGCTGTTCTGTCTTGGGGTATCATGAGGTTGTTATCAAGATGTCTCCTGACGTCTTTCACATTGTATACTGTATGTCAGAGCATCATGTGCATCTTGAATATATATATAATCTTTGTCAATATTACCTCAAAGCTGGGGAAAAAAGATGTCTGCTGAATAGCAGCGTTTAGTCATTTGAAGGCTTGACTGGGGCTGGAGGAACTACTTTCAAGTTAGCTCAGTCACGTTCCTGCCAGGTTGATGCTGGTTTTTGGCAGGAGGTCTCATTTCTTCCCTGTATAGATCTCTCCACAGGTTACTCGACTGCCCTCGTGACATGGTGGTTGGCTTCCACCAGAGCAAACAGTCTAGAGGAAGGTGGAGGAAGATGGAGAGGAAGAGAAAAGGAAAGGAGAAGGGGGAGTCACAGAAGCTATCTAAAAAGAATACTCTCAAAAGTCACATAGCATCAGTTCTGTCACATTCTTTTTATGAGAAGGAAATCACTAAGACGGGCCCATGTTCAACAGACCGAGATTAGACTCTGCTTTTTGAAGGGAGAGATATCACAGAATTCATGGATATATTTAAAAATCACCACAATATAACACCTTTCCTTTCCAGATACTAAGTTTCACAGGTGACTTGAGACTACAGTTACGTTGGTAAGTTTATTATTGTCTAACACTGAATTAGAGTTACCAATTAAGTACCAAAATGCAATGAGAAAGTGATATAAAAGCATTATGTGCAAAAGGCATGCCTTTTTTTTTTTTTTACAAAAATTCTGCTAATTTGGGGTATTTTTGAGTTGGATATCTTACTGTCTTTTCAGATTCAGAAGATTTATAATCAGACTGACTAAACACATCTCCAAACCTTCTAATTTCTTGTTCGTTATTGTTACATGTTTAGACTGAAATAGAGAGGGAAAAGATATTACCAGGTTTACTGCAGTGTGGAAAAGCTGTTGGAGAAGAATGGGGAATGAAAAGGAAAGAGACAAGATTCTTTGGACAAGGCAGAAGGAAGAAGTTGAAGGATTCAAGTTAAAGGATAACCTTGAGCCGGGCATTATGGCTTCTACCTGTAATCTCAAGGACTTGGGAGACTGAGGCAGGAGGATCACTTGAGCCCTGGAGTTCAAGACCAGCCTGGTCAATATAACAAGGCACCCCTGTCTCTATAAAAGTACGTACATGCATGCATACTCATACACATAAAAGATAATGTCAGTTGATGGCATGAGTGTGAAAGCAGAGCTGTGTGAAACATCACTAAGGATAAGATAATAAGGATGTCATTATTCCTAGACTGTGTAGCATGATTTTTTTTTAATACTTTCAGTTCTAGGGTACATGTGCACAACATGCAGGTTTGTTACATATGTATACATGTGCCATGTTGGTGTGCTGCACCCATTAACTTGTCATTTACATTAGGTATATCTCCTAGTGCTATCCCTCCCTCCTGCCGCCACCCCACGATGGGCCCTGGTGTGTGATGTTCCCCTTCCTGTGTCCAGGTGTTCTCATTGTTCAGTTCCCACCTATGAATGAGAACATGCGGTGTTTGGTTTTTTGTCCTTGTGATAGTTTGCTGAGAATGATGGTTTCCAGCTTCATCTATGTCCCTGCAAAGGACATGAACTCATCCTTTTTTGTGGCTGCGTAGTATTCGATGGTGTATATGTGCCACATTTTCTTAATCCAGTCTATCATTGATGGACATTTGGGTTGGTTCCAAGTCTTTGCTATTGTGAATAGTGCCGCAATAAACATACGTGTGCATGTGTCTTTATAGCAGCATGATTTATAATCCTTTGGGTATATACCCAGTAATATATACCAGGTGTATATTTGGCTGGGTCAAATGGTATTTCCAGTTCCAGATCCTTGAGGAACCACCACACTGTCTTCCACAATGGTTGAATTAGGAAACAGTGTAGCTCTCTACTGTAGATGGTTAATAAAATATGGAGAACCATTAGTGTAATCAGAGAGACTTGGGTTGCCAGTGGCTGCTTGTACAACCTTGGTCAGTTGCTTACATTCTCTGTGCTTTAGTTTCTTAATCTGGGAAAAAAAATGGATTGAACTAAATCATTTCCAGTGCTAACATGTTATACCTTTGGAAAGGAACTTAGATATAGTTGAAACAATTTGAATTTCTCTAGTTTTTAGTTTTTATTTATTTAAATTTTTTCTTTTTAAATCGTGGGTACATAGTAGGTATATATATTTATGGGATACAGGAGATATTTTGACACAGGCTTACACATCAAGGTAAATGTGGTATCCATCCCCTCAAGCATTTATCCTTTGTGTTACAAACAATACAGTTATACTCCTTCATATGGTTTGGATCTGTGTCTCCACCAAATCTCATGTTGAATTGTAATCGCCAGTGTTGGAGGTAGGGCCTGGTGGGAGGCGATTGGATCATGGGGAGTGGTTTCTCATGAATGGTTTAATACCATCAACTTGGTACCATCTTCATGATAGTGAGTGAGTTCTTGCCAGATCTGGTTGTTTAAAAGTATGTAGCACCTCCCTCCTCTCTTTCTCCTACTCATAACATGTGAGATGCCTGCTCGCCCTTTGCCTTCTGCCATGATTGGAAGCCTCCTGAGGCCTCCCCCCAAAAAAAAGCTGCTGTGCTTCCTGTACAGCCTGCAGAACCATGAGCTGATTAAACCTCTTTTCTTTATAAATTACCCAGACTCGGATATTTCTTTATAGCAATGCGAGAACAGACTAATGCATGAGATATTTTGATGCAGGTATACAATGCATAATAATCATATCAGGGTAAATGTATTCCTTCCCACAAGCATTTAGATTTGTGTTACAAACAATCCAGTTATACTCCTTCAGTTATTTTTACATGTATAATTATTATTGACTATAACCCACCCTGATGTGCTATCAAATACTGGATTTTTTTTTTTTAATCCGTTAACCATCCCACGTTTCCCCAATCATCCCCCTACCCTTCCCAGCCTCTGGTAACCATCCTTCTGCATTCTCTCTCCCTGAGTTCAGTTGTTTTGTTGATTTTTTATATTGTTTCTTTTGTTTTGATTTCATTTATTTCTGCTCTGATCTTTATAATTTCTTCTACTAAATTTGGGTTTGGTTTGCTCTTGCTTTCCTAGTTAAGATGCATCCTTGGGTGGCTTATTTGAGTTCTTTTTTGACGTAGGCAAAAAAGTACTGCTCTTTCTGTATCCCATAGGTTTTGCTGTGTTGTGTTTTCATTATCATTTGTTTCAAGAAAGTTTTCAATTTTCTTCTTAATTTCTTCATTGACCCACTGGTCATTCAGGAGCATATTGTTTAATTTCCATGTGTTTATATAGTTTTAAAAATTCCTCATTATTGATTTCTAGTTTTACTCTATTGTCATCAGAGAAGATACCTGATACTATTTCTTTTTTGGTGGAGAATGTTTTGAGAATTGTTTTGTGGCCTTACATATGTTCTGTTCTTGAGAATGATTCATGTGCTGAGGAGTACACAGCGTATTCTGCAGCTGTTGGGTGAAATGTTCTATAAATATCTACTAGATCCATTTGGCCTACAGTGCGGATTAAGTCTGATATTTCTTTGTTGATTTTCTGTCTGGATGATCTGTTATATCATCTTGCTAATTGACCCTTTTATTGTTATATAGTGACCTTCGTTTCTTACAGTTTTTGTCTTGAAATCTGTTTTGTCTGATTATAGCTACTCCTGCTGTTTTTTGGTTTCCATTTGCATGGAATATTTTTTTTCTATCCTTTTATTTTCAGTCTCTTTGTGTCTTTATAGGTGAAGTGTGTTTCTTGTAGGCAATGGATCATTGGGTCTTTTTTTTTTTTTTTTTTTGAGGGCATCTCGCTCTGTTCCCAGGCTGGAGTGCAGTGGCGCAATCTCAGCTTACTGTAACCTCTGCCTCCTGGGTTCAAGTGATTCTCCTACCTCAGCTTCCTGAGTAGCTGGGATTACAGGCGCATACCACCATACCTGGCTAATTTTTGTGTTTTTAGTAGAGTCGGGGTTTCACCATGTTGGCCAGGATGGTCTCCATCTCTTGACCTTGTAATCCACCCACCTCGGCCTCCCAAAGTGCTGGGATTACAGGTGTGAGCCCCGGTGCCCAGCCTGTCTTGTTTTTTTAATCCTTGCATCCACTCTGTGTCTCTTGATTGGAGAGTATAGTCCACTTACATTCAGTGTTGTTACTGATAAGTAAGGATTTGCTCCTGCCGTTTTGTTACTTGTTTTCTGGTTGTTTTGTGGTCTTCTCTTCCTTCTTTCCTGCCTTCCTGCCTTCCTTTTAGTGAGGGTGATTTTCTCTGGTGGTATGTTTTAATTTCTTGCTTTTAGTTTTTTGTGTATCTTTGGTATGTTTTTAGATTTGAGGTTACCATGAGGCTTGTAAATAATATAACCATTATTTTAAACTGAAGACAGCTTAACACTGATTGCATAAACAAGCAAACAAAAAGGAAACTAATAACTCTAACTTGGTCTCTCTGCTTTTTAACTTTTTGCTGTTTTTACTTATATCTTGTTGTACTGTCTATGTCTTGAAAAGTTGCTGTAGTTACTCTTTTTGTTGTTGTTGTTACAGGGTATTACTTTGTCACCCAGGCTGGAGTGCAGTGGCACAATTACAGCTCACTGTGGCCTTGATTTCCCGGTTTCAAGTGATGCCCCCACCTCAGCCTCCTGAGTAGCTGGGACCAAAGGTGCACACCACCATGCCTGGCTAACTTTTATATTTTTTGTAGATAACGTGATTTCATCATGTTGTCCAGGCTGGTCTCATACTCCTGGGCTCAAGTGATCCTCTCGCCTCTACCTCCTAAAGTGTTGGGATTACAGGTGTGAGCCACTGTGGCCCGCCATAGTTATTATTTTTGTTGGGTTTATGTTTTTATCTTTCTACTAAAGATATGAGTAGTTACATCACAATTAGTGTTATAATATTCTTTGTTTTTCTGTGTACTTACTATTACCAGTGAGTTTTGTATCTTCACATCATTTCTTCTTGCTCATTAATACCCTTTTCTTTCAGATTGAAGAATTCCTTTAGCATTTGTTGTAGGACAGGTCTGGTGTTGATGAAATCCCTCAGCTTTTGTTTGGGAGAGTCTTTATTTCTTCTTCATGTTTGAAGGATATTTTAACCAGATATGCTTTTCTGAGTAGAAGTTTTTTTTCCTTCAGCACTTCAAATATGTCATGCCACTCTATGCTGGTCTGTGACGTTTCCACTGAAAAGACTGCTGTCAGATGTATTGGAGCTCCATTGTATGTGACTTGTTTGTTTTCTCTCACTCTTTTTAGTATCCTTTATTCTTGAACTTTGGGAGTTTGATTATTACAAGCCTTGAGGTGGTCTTCTTTGGGTTAAATCTGGTTGGTTTTCTATAAACTTCTTGTACTTGAATATCGACAGTCTTTTTCTCTAGGCTTGGGAAGTTCTTTGTTATTAGCCCTTTGAATAAACTTTCTACCTCTACCTCTCTCTCTTTACCTCCTCTTTAAGGGCAGTAACTCTTAGGTTTGCCCTTTTAAGGATATTTTCTAGATCTTGTGTTAGAAAATTTTGGTGCAGCTGAGCTGGCATCAAAACCACAAGACAAACTTCTTCCCACTCTTCCCCTCCCCTTTCCCCAGGCAGAGGAGTTTGTCCCCATTCCATTACCAACACAGGCCCACGGGGAGTACTGCTAGGCTACCTTTGATGTTCATGCCGATTTTCTAGGTGTGCTTCATTTTTTTTTTTTTTTTCATTTGTCTCCTCTGACTGAAAATTTTCAAATAGCCTGTCTTCAAGCTCACCAAATCTTGCTTTTGCTTGATGAATTCTATTATGAGACTGATACATTCTTCAGTATGTCAGTTGCATTTTTCAACTACAGGATTTCTGCTGGATGCTTTTTAATTATTTCAGTCTCTTTGATGTATCTGATAGGATTCTGAATTCCTTCTGTATTATCTTGAGTTCATTCAAAACAGCAATTTTAAATTCTTTTGTATGAATCGTTGCATAACTCTGCCTCTCCGAGATTGGTCTCTGGTGCCTTATTTAGTTCATTTGGTGAGGTCATGTTTTTCTGGATGGTCTTAGTGCTTGTGGATGCTCATTGGTTTTGGGGCATTGAAGAGTCAAGTATTTATTGTAGTCTTTGCAGTCTTTGGTTGTTTGTAACCGTCATTTATGGGAAGGCTTTCCAGGTATTTGTTGGAACTTGAGTGCTGTAATCTAAGTTTGTAGTCCCTGCAACTGTATTTCCATTAGAGGATACCCTAAGCTTAGTAATGCTGTGATTCTTGCAGACCTGTAGAGGTACCATCTTGGTGGTCTTTGTTAAGATCTGGAGGAATTCTCTGGATTACCTGGCAGAGACTCTTGTTTTCTTCCTTTACTTTATCCCAAACAAATGGAGCACATTCTCTCTGTGCTGAGCTACCCTGGAGCTGGTGGAGAGGTGACACAAGCATCCCTGTGGCCGCCACCCCTGGAAATGCACTGGCTCAGACCTAAAGCCAGCGCAGCACTGAGTCTTATCCAGGGTCCCCTGTAACCACTGACTGGCTACTGCCTGTGTTTGCTTAAGGTCCTAGAGCTTTGCCGTCAGCAGTTGGCAAAACCAACCAGGCTTCAGGGTGATGCCTTCCCTTAGGTCCTGTATGGGTCCAGAAGTGCCATCCAAGAGCGAGGGCCCGGAGGTGGAAACCTTAGAAATTTACCTGGTTCTCTGTGCTACTGCACCTGAGCTGCCACCGAAACCACAAGACAAAGTCCTTCCCACTCTTCCTTCCCCTTACCCCAGGCAGAGGAGTCTCTCCCTGGTCCATTGTCACCACAGGCCCACAGGGAGTACTGCTAGGCTACCTCCAGTGCTCACCTAAGGCCAAGGGCTCTTCACTTAGCTTGTGGTGAATGCTGCCACACTTGCAATTCCCCCCGTAGGGCAGTGGTCTCCCCTCTGCCCCAGGACAGGGCCAGAAATGCTGTCCAAGAGCCAAGGCCTACAACTGGCGACCCCAAGAGCCCACTTGGTGCTTTTCTCTATTGTGGCCGGGCACAAGACAAAGTACCCTTAATCTTTCTTCTACTTTTCTCAAGCAGAAGGAGTCTCTCCCATAGCCACCACAGCTGGGAATGTTCTGGGTCATACCTAATGGTGGCACGCCTCAGAGTCTCGCTCAAGGCCCACGGCATGTACTACCTTGGCTACTGCTGCTGATCATTTAGGGCCTAAGCGCTCTTAAGTCAGCAGGTGATGAATCCTGACAGGACTGGGTGCTTCTCTTCAAGGCAGTGGGCTCACTTCTGACCCAGGATATGTCTAGAAATGTCATCCAGGGAATTAGGGCCTGGAATGGGGACCTCAGGACTCTCTCTGGTGCCCTATCCTCCTGTGACTGAGCTGGTATCCAAGTTATAAGTCAAAGTCCTCTTTACTGGTGCCTTTCCTCTCCTCAAGAAGAAGGAAAGGGCCACTTTTGTTGCTGTGAGCTGTGCTGCCTGGAGTTGGGTAAGCATGGTGCATACGCTCCTTTAGCCTCCTTGGCTGGTGTGTCACTAGGTCATGTGTCCCCCCAAATGTGCTGGCTCTGAGCCCAGCACGGCACTAGGACTTGCCTAGGAATTGTTGTCCTTGTGGCCTAGACAGCCTTTCAAGTTAATTTAGAACTGTGGGGGTAAAGCTTGTGAAAGTTCCAGGCTACTGGTATGGGCAGTTCCCCTGTGGCTAGTGCTGGTCTCAATGCCTTCTTCATGGGCATCACCTGAGTTCTGCCCAGCATTGCTTTCTGCTGTGACAGGGCATCAGTGAGTTCCAATGCAAAGCCCACAGTTGGTGTGCTCTCCGTCCCCCAAGTGCACAGATTGTCTCTCCGCACCATGCAGTCTCTGCTGGTGGATGGGGAGGTGTATTAGTCTGTTTTCACACTGCTGATAATAACATACCGGAGACCGGGTGATTTATACAGGATAAAGGGTTAATTGGACTTACAGTTCCGCATGGCTGGGAAGCCTCACAATCAATGGTGGAAGGCAAGGAGGAGTAAGTCACATTTTAACTTGAATGGCAGCAGACAGAGAGAGCTTGTGCAGGGAAACTCCTCATTGTAAACCCATCAGGTCTTATGAGACTTACTCACTATCATGAGAACAGCACGAGAAAGACCTGCCCCCATGACTCAATTACCTCCTACCGGGTCTCTCCCACGACATGTGGGAATTCAAAATGAGATTTGGGTGGGGACACAGCCAAACCGTATCAGGAGGGGTGATGTCTGCAATTCAAGACCCTCTTTCTTACCCTTTTCAGTGCCTCTTTCAGCAATATGAAGTTAAAACCAGGTACTGTGATCGCTCACCTGATTTTTAGTTCTTATGAAGGTGCTTTTTTGTGTAGATAGTTGTTAAATTTGGTGTTCCTGTAGGGACGACAATCAGTGGAGCTTCTATTTGGCCATCTTGTTCTGACTCCCTCTTATCTAGGTTTTAAAAAACAAGTTTCCTCCCTACTTTTTGATTCTAATGGATAATTCCAAGCTTCTCTAGTGTGTTTAATGGTTTTTTTAAAAAGGTATTTATTTATGACAGGGTTTTAAAAAAATTTTTTTTATTAATGAATGAATGACAGGGTCTTGCTCTGTCTCCCAGGCTGGAGTGCAGTGGTGTGATCACAGCTTACTGCAGCCTCAGCCTCCCAGGCTCAAGTGATTCTTCCACCTGAGCCTCCTGAGTAGCTGGGACTACCAGCAACACAGCTAACCTTTCATTAAATGGAAGCCAATAGCAAATCAGATTATACAATTAGCACTAAAGTTGCTATTTAATCAATATATATTTTAAGAAATATATTCATCAATAGGTTATAACTTGAAAGTGTTTATTAGAGAAACAATGTATTGGTCCATTTTCATGTTGCTGATAAAGACATACCCAAGACTGGGTTATTTATAAAGAAAAAGAGGTTTAATGGACTCACAGTTCCACGTGGCTGGGGAAGCCTCACAATCATGGCAGAAGGCAAAAGGCACGTCTATGTGGTGGCAGGCATGAGAGAAAATGAGAGCCAAGTGAAAGGGGAAACCCCTTATAAAAACATCAGATCTGGTGAGACTTTTACTTACCACTTATTCACTACCACGAGAACAGTATGGGGGAAACTGCCCCCATGATTCAATTACCTCCCACCAGGTCCCTCCCACAACATATGGGAATTATGGGAGTTAGCATTCAAGATGAAATTTGGGTGGGGACACAGCCAAACCATATCAAACACTTCCCAAAATTTACAAGCAAGAAAGAGTTAAAATTGGAAATATATCTGTGTAAATAACAATCTGCCTATACATTGTCTTATAAATTAATTTCTCTTTACATAGTTTTGAGTATTATTTTAAGATTGCATCTTTTCCAGTGTTCCTTTTGTCAAAAAATGTTTTCATGAGGAAGGAGAATGTTGTGTGTTTAAGAAGCCAATGTATATTAAATTGAGAGAAACTGAGAGTCTTTTACTTTTACTTTATAGGCAGTAAAGTATTTACAAACCATGACTGCTTATTTAAAACCGTAAGCCAAATTTGTATTGTAGTTAATCCAAATTGATCCTGTTAAGTGAAATTGGTTAAAATCTGGTTTTATAAACTTTTTAATTTTATAAAATAAACAGGAAGGAATTGTGTTTATTTATTTATTAATTTATTCATTACTCTCTTGCTGATGTTCTCTTCGGTCTGAAATGGACCTGGCTGTTCTTCTAAAACTTAACATTCTTAGTGAGAACAGTTATAGGTGAACAAAATCTCCTTTAATGTTTTAGCTTCTACCTCTGTGAAAATGTTGTGTGTGTTAGCTTCAGTAATACGCTATGTTTTGTTTTCATTTTATAGTTTATATAGTGTTGATTGTGTGCCAGATACTATTCTGATTTCTTTTATTTGTATTAACAAATTTAATTCTTACAACAATCCTGTGACCAAAAGCTATCCTTCTCTACCAGGCATGGTGGCTCACGCCTGTAATCTCAGCAGGCAGATCATTTGAGGTCAGGAGTTCAAGACCAGCCTGACCAACATTGTGAAATCCCGTCTCTACTAAAAATACAAAAAAATTAGCTGGATGTGGTGGCAGGGGCCTATAGTCCTAGCTACTTTTGAGGCTGAGGCAGGAGAATTGCTTGAACCTGGGAGGCAGAGGTTGCAGTGAGTGGAGATCGCACCACTGCACTCCAGCCTGGGCAACAGAGCAAGGCTCTTTGTCAAAAAAAAGAACAACAAAAAACAAAAAACAAAAAAAAACCCAAAAAACCAAAAAACAACTATCCTCTTGTTGACAGATGGTTCTTCTCTGGCATCAAGGCTGATAGCTGTGTCATGGAACATAGCTGAGATCCCTAAGATCTGGCTAGCATTGGTAGTTTTTCCCCAGTGGTGGACTTAGAGAATAGTTTTCTTTCAAGAAGGAGACTTGTCACACACCCACTGCAGCCACCATATGTGAAAGTCTCCTGCCCATGGGAAAGCCAGGCTTTACTTGAGTGATTACAGTGCCTAGTGTAAAGGTACCCATGTAGAAAGCTGGGGGTTGTCATAGTCATCTTTCTCCCCTTAGTTTCTCACATTCAGTCGCAGGTACTACTGTTCTTTCAACAGTGTTTCACTTTATTAGTCCCTTCTTCCCTGTGTCCATTGAAGGAGTTCAAGTTGTTATTATCTCCAACTGGATGTGCTTAAGCAGTAGCCCCTGTTCTTCTTTCCTCTTATATATTACTCCACTCTAATTCTTTGCAAGTTGTAGGCTTGAATAGCCTTTTTCTTTCTTAGTAATGACTTTATTAAGATATAATTCACATACCATACACTTCATTCAAATTGAATAATTCAGTTGGTACATGCACAGAGGTGTGCAACCATCATTCTGGAAAGAAATCCTGTATTTTTTAATAGCAGTCACCCCAGCCCTAGGCATCTGCTAATCTACTTTGCCTCTATAGATTTGTCTGTTCTGGGCATTTCATATAAAAATAGAATCGTCTTTTAGTTAACATAATGTTTTAAAGGTTCACTGTACAGAAAGGTTACGTATTTGGCCTGGGTTCAGCCAAGGGCTTGTAGCACAGAACATCCCTCTGATTGTTCCTCGGAAGCTGCGACCTTGGATTTGTGTATAGTCTGGACTACTAGGGATTATTGTGGCTTTAGCTGGACTCTTTGATTAATCCACCCCGGCATCCCCCATCTCCTGTTAAGCTTTTGACTAGTCTGTGTCTATTGGTATCATACTCAGCTGTTTGTCTCCACTAATTCCTAACAGTATTAGTTTCCTAGGGCTGCTGTAACAAATTACCATAATCTGGGTGGCTTAAAACAACAGAAGTTAGTGCCTCACAGTTCTGAGAACTGGAAGTCTAAAATCAAGTGTCTGCAGGGCCATTCTCCTTCAGAAACCTTTAGGGAAGAATCTTACCTAACTGGTCTGGTGTTTGCCAGCAGCCGTTGGCCATTCCTTGGCTTGTATCTGCATCACTGCAATCTCTGCCTTTGTATTTACACAGCATTTTTTCTCATGTGTCTGTGTCTTTACATGGTGTTCGCCCCTATATGTGTATGCCCAAATTTTCCTCCTCTTACAAGGATATCAGTCATACTGGTTTAGGGTCGACTCTGATTAACTTACAGATTTGGGAAGGGGATTAGGACTTCAACTTTTTTGGGAGGGGCTGGCACAATTCAGTCCATAAAGAGCTTGTTCTTTACCAGCTGTGCCACTTGGATCTACCCTGCAGAGCAGGACCTGTGTGTATACTTGTTTGTGAAGACGATAGAAACTGATGTTGCCATCCAACTCCCGGCATCTAGTAGGGAGAGTCAGAGTGGCAAAACAGGCATTGCCTGGCTGCCGCTACTACCTACTTGGTACAGGTCTTCTGTAGCATGGAGCTTTGGGAAGCAGTATCTGCTGATGTTCACCAGCTGCTAAATCTCCTAGGAATAGCTCTTCTACTCCTGGGACCTACAGGAGATGAGAGCTGCTACTCAACTGACCCCACTAGAATAGCTCTTCCATAACACAGAGTTGTGGGGGAATGGGGGTAGTCTCTTATCTCGAATGCCATGGCTTCCCACTATTATGACTGAATTTCGATAGATTTTGTTGAATGAATGTTTTACAATTTGTTGTAAGCCCTCTGATCAATCTCCAGAGACTGAATCATTGTCTTTGCTAATTTTTGCTGGTTTAATAAGTGTTGGAGAGAAGAGATTTATCCAAGCTCTTTATACTCCCATTCTAGAAGTCTAGCCCCTTGAACCGTTTTTAAAAGCACCACCTTCCAGTGTAGAGATTGGGATGACATATAATTCATCAGGTAATTTATGCCGTAAGAGAATGATTCACATTAGTGTCAATGTTATTTTTCAACATACTCAACTGCTGTAAAGTTTTATAATCCTTTGTCATAAAAATAGAAATTATTTTAAAGTTTAATAGCCTGCTTTTTGTACCATAAACAAAACATAGAAGAAAAACTTAAGTGGTTAGAGAAGAATGCTAATAACCTTTCATTCAATGAGTGAAATTATTCTTGAAATATTTAGTAAGTTATATAACCAAAGTCTTCCTTTAGCTGGAAGCTGGAATTTTTCATAGTGAACTTAATAGTGCATCTCTTTCATGAGTATTTATTTGATGTAAATGTCACCATCTGGGCTGCAAATTTTCTCTTATTCAGTTAGTTGAAAGGGTCGGTAGGATACCTTTAAAACTTTAAAAAACTTTAAATACATTTAGTGCCTGCACTTAATAATTTGTATCTAAGCTGAGTTCAAGATGTCTAAAACTGGAAGCTATGAGAAATTTCTGTTTTTCCTCCCAGTCTAACATACTGTTTTTTGGACAGAATCCCCATGTGACTTGATTAATGATAAGGAATAATCACAAAGTATTTTAAAAATTATTTTCTGTAAAGCTTCATAGTCTATATCTTAAGATGGTAACTATCTCTGTGTATATGTTCATTTATTTTAATAATGCTTTTATTATTTTAGAGATGGTTTGAACCTTATATTTTGTTTAGTCCACCCTCATCATTTTGATGAAGTAATTAAGTCCAGAGAGCATGTAACTTCGTAAGCTTTACAGTCTAAGGTTACATATATAACTCTAAAGGAAAGAACAAAAACCATAATACTTCCAAAAATCCCTGAAGCAGTGCGTAGTATTTTTTCAGAAAGCTTTCATAAATACAGTGTATTTTCTCTATAATTTAATATTATCATTATTTTGTCTAGCATTAATTTGGTATCTATAATAAATAATTGATTTTAGCCTTAACTTAGCTGTAGAGTCCTAAGGATTATATATTTATATATTTTTTCTATTAGACAGGCATTTTCTTGTCTCCTTTCACAACATACGTGGTTCAGTAAAACATAAAATCACTTGTCAATAGTTAGTATTAATATAAATATATAATATCGTGTCTATACATTTCACTTAATTTTTGAATCCATGAATTAGGAATTATCTAGATTTA
Organism: Homo sapiens; assembly: GCF_000001405.40. NCBI lineage: Eukaryota > Metazoa > Chordata > Mammalia > Primates > Hominidae > Homo > Homo sapiens. Next base: position 23,323,089 of record NC_000003.12, read on the forward strand.
TTAGGCTTAAACAAATAATTATTTGCTTTGTTTTGTGCTGTACTGTTGATAAAGAAGCTGTCTATATGTTATTATATTTGATCCTCACAACCACCTTATGAAGGTAGGTTGGACAGCTTTTATTATTTCTGTTTTATTGATGAAGAATCAGGTTTGGTGTTTAAGTAAATTGCCTACATTTTATAACTTTAATAATTTGCTCCTATAGTTACCCATTTATTTTTATGTTACTGGTTAGTCATGGTAGTACTTACTGTCTTGTTTCTTCTAGGGAATACAAAAGTCTTGATTTTTATTCTAGACGATTTAAGAAGACCAATTTGGGTCATTTGGCATGACCCCAGGGCTAGCTCAGGTGTAAGTAATACGGGGTGAGCATCCCAAATTCGAAAATTCAAAACACTTTGTAATTCACAACTTTTTCAGCACCAACATAACACTGAAAGGAAATGCTCATTCAATTCTCAATTGGATTTTTGGATTTTGGATGCCCACTAGGTAGGTATAATGCACATATTTCAAAATCTGAAAAAATAAAATATCCAAAACACTTCTGGGGTTAAGCATTTCAGATAAGGGCTATTCAACTTGTGTAAGTTAAACTTCTCTGAATGCCAGGATTCCTTTTTTTCCCTTTTAGCAAACTCCTGTCCTTATTTTAGTTTTAGTTCAATGTCACCTTCTCTGTGAAGGCTGCCGTTTTTCACAGGATGCAGAAATCTCTTATTCCCCTGTGCTTTCTCATAGCACTTTTGTACTTGCCTCACTTGGTACAAGTATTATTTGTTCATGCCATGATTGATTATTGAGCTCCTTGAAGACAAAAGTTGTGATATACCTCTTCACTTCTCCATGGCCTTGAATTAACCATAATGGAGCTCAGTAAATGTTTTTAAAGTAAATGAATGAACAAATGGTACATGCTTGATGTGTGTCTGTAAACTGTATAAGCCAAACATTGTGTACTCCCTGTTTCTGGAATAACTGTGCAATGCTAAACATTTCTTTGACTACTTACTATATGATGTCTGCTGGTTTTTGCTGCATAAATATTCTGATATCTTCAGTTGGTGCTTAGCCAGTTTATTCCTGTTCCACTGCATCACTTATGATTATTTGGGACCTGGATGAAGCAGTTTCATTGTAATGTTGTATTAGTTGAATCTGTGATTTTATAAAATACGAATTAAATTTCTTATAAAATGAAGTTTGTCACTCATATTTGTCTAAATTTGTTTAAAAATAAAAATCCTAGCTAAACTCTTGCCTATCCCAGAAATGAATTTAAGGACCGTATTCCTTATGAATTATGAAGGGAATTTAAAAGGGAAGCATCCAGGAAGGTGTAATTAGTGTCTGGTAAACTGGCTCTTGTGTTTTCTCTGCCTTTCCTCTCTTTCTTTTACCAGCTACCTGTAGACCATTTCCCTGTTTATTAGCTGCAGTACCAGAAGGTGGAATAGGAAATGAAGTTTACATCCTTCAGTTTTGTTATTTGTTAGCTGATTTCTTAAATTTTAGGTGTGAAGAACTATAAAAAAGTTAGGTTGTTTGTGCTGCATCCTTATTATTTTTTGTATCCTGTTATCACAGGCATTGATGACTTATGTATAATTGAGTAAAGCTGCAGGAAAGAAAAGCACTTAGGAAATGCCTCTTCAGATTTTCAAGATCTTTTCACACCTCTCTTGGAGAAAAGAATTTAAAAAAAAAAAACCTAAATGGATTCTAATTATTTTCTTTATCTGTGGTATTTTGTTTTGTTAAATAGTGTGTTATATAATGAATAGTGGAATTGGGTTCAGTTGTGAATTACAGGAAGTGACACATATGATAAAGATTGTGGTTTTATGTCTGTTCAACAAACCACAGTGGAACTGAAATGAAACTATAAATATTTTAACTACACCAATTGCTTTCTGCCGCCAAGCAGGACTAGTCCTAATGAAAACTAGATAAGCTGATACAAAGTTGTTGAGAAGCAGTACAGAATATAGGTCCTTATGTACCATCAGGAAACTTTAGCAGTTTTGAATCTTCTAGGCACACATTACTTTTGATCAGTAAGAAACAATTATTAGGTTATTTTACTCTTTTAAGAATTGAAGTAGCCACAATAAAGCTATTGTGTGTTTTTTTTTCCTTTGGGACAAGGATTTAGATTTAATAATAAAATGTGTTTTGTATAGTAAATATTCATGAAACAATTGAAAAGCAAATAAAAACATTCAATTTGTGTACTCTTTTCACAATTTACATACTAATCTGAGGCTGGGCTGGAGGAGAAATATATTCCCACATTATTCACTTACCAGGAGTATACCATACTTTCAGAAGCTTTTTCTTGACTAGTGATGACTCTTAAGATTTTACTGTTAGGATTTGAACACTTGTAGGTCCTTTAGTATACAGAAAACATTAGATATATTTAATGGGATAGCATAAGTAATTTCCATTCTCATTCTTTTCTTGAGTTTTAAAGTCTAAACCCATAGACTTACACACTTAGTCTTTGTCCACTAGTCAGAATGTTTACACTTTGCTAAGTAGTTATGAACGTCCTCTCCGGTGTATTTGTTTCATTTTTCACCATGTGAGGCTTGACTGCTTAGTTTGTGTGAGAGAATGTGCTACTGTGAGAAATATAATAGTGAATATCTAACCCCTCCGTATCACTGACCTTCGGTCTAGTAGAGGAGAGACCATTATAAAAATAACTAGGGAGCCCTTATATCCTAACTTCTCTTATCCTGGCAAAATTATCAATATCACCCTTTTTCACTTTCCAGTGTTGTGGTTTGGGTGATGAGTGATATAGTCACACTGTGAGTAATGAGGGGAAAGAACAAATATTTTTAACCTGATACTTTTTCTGAATTCATGTTTAGGTGGTAGAGGATACCATTTGATTCTTGGAGACTCCCAAATATAATTTTCTGTCTCATTTTGACTTCTTGTAGATACATGCTTTGTAATCTTTTATTTTTATTTATTTATTTTTGAGGTGGAGTCTTGCTTTCTCGCCCAGGCTGGAGTGCAGTGGCGCGATCTTGGCTCACTGCAACCTCCACCCCTGGGGTTCAAGTGATTCTCTTGCCTCAGCCTCCCGAGTAGCTGGGATTACAGGCGCCTGCCACCAAGCCTGGCTAATTTTGTATTTTTAGTGGAAACGGTGTTTCACCATTTTGGCCAGGCTGTTCTCGAGCTACTGACTTCAGGTGATCTGCCTGCCTTGGCCTCCCAAAGTGCTGGGATTATAGGCTTGAGCCACCGTGCCTGGCCATCTGTAATCTTTTAAAAAGGAAGAGAAGGGTACCAATTATCTGGCTTTTCAAGATTTTTCAAAACATTTTTTGAAAAATTTCTGAGTTTTTGGAATTAACCCTTTGAGCAGCTGCTGAGATTTTTATGTTCTTAAATTGGTTAGATTAAAAGAAACATTTAAGATGTGTCTGTCCCTTGCCTTTTTCTAAATAATTTATGATTAATGTCACATATCCTATACAAAAAAAAGTATGAGGTTGTATGTAGTTTTGACTTGAGATTTTCCAGAAGTCTTTTAATGGCACATAAAGGTTTTTTGTTTGTTTGTTTTTGTTTTATACTTTAAGTTCTTGGGTACATGTGCACAACGTGCAGGTTTGTTATATATGTGTACATGTCCCATGTTGGTGCGCTGCACCCATTAACTCGTCATTTACATTAGGTATATCTCCTAATGCTGTCCCTCCCCACTCCCCCCACCCCACCACAGGCCCTGGTGTGGGATGTTCCCCACCCTGTGTCCAAGTGTTCTTATTGTTCAATTCCTACCTATGAGTGAGAACATGCGATGTTTGGTTTTCTGTCCTTGCGATAGTTTGCTGAGAATGATGGTTTCCAGCTTCATCCATGTCCCTGCAAAGGACATGAACTCATCCTTTTTTATGGCTGCATGGTATTCCGTGGTGTTTATGTGCCACATTTTCTTAATCCAGTCTGTCATTGTTGGACATTTGGGTTGGTTCCAAGTCTTTGCTATTGTGAATAGTGCTGCAATAAACATACATGTGCATATGTCTTTATAGCAGCATGATTTATAATCCTTTGGATATATACCCAGTAATGGAATGGCTGGGTCAAATAGTACTTCTAGTTCTAGGTCCTTGAGGAATCACCACACTGTCTTCCACAATGGTTGAACTAGTTTACAGTCCCACCAACAGTGTAAAAGTGTTCCTATTTCTCCACATCCTCTCCAGCACCTGTTGTTTCCTGACTTTTTAATGATCGCCATTCTAACTGGTGTGAGATGATATCTCATTGTGGTTTTGATTTGCATTTCTCTGATGGTAATGGCACATAAAGTTTAATCTGCAATACGGAATCTGATATACCACCCCTTTCCTCTCACCATCATCTACTCTATTTTACTAACATGAAACTCCTTAAGCAGCCTTTTAACTAGGACAAATACTTGTATCAACCAATACAGAAAGATTATTTATTGTTCTTATAGGCAGGTTTGTTTGTGGCTGCAGTTAGTATTAGACTGTCACTTGGGATGTTATTCTGGAATTGCTTTTTCTAATTCTTTCAGTGAAGGTATGTGACTCGTTCTCTTTTTTCCTTTTGCAAAGCAAAGGCTCGACAAAATTTTATAGACTGGTGAAACATTTTGCAGGTCTGAAAAAAGTGTTGTAAACCTGCTCATGAGGTTCAGACAAAACTTCTGTGCATAAATTAGGAGTTGGTGTTGTCTAGGAGTTTGTGAAGATTAAGTTTTTCAGGGTTCTGATTTCATGAAATGTCATTCTAGATTTCTGTCAATCTCAATTATAGGATGATAGAAGTATGCTGATTTCTCGCTTAATAATTATGTAGTATTTGCAATAAGTATACAATAAGAACTTATGTACTTATTGTACATATTATATGCAGTATACAATAAGTATACTTATGTTGTCTTATTACCATAAACAGAGCAGTGGTCATGATATATAAATACTGAGGAAATCAAATGTTTTCTTTTTTTGTGATCTAATATGAAAATCAATGCAACATTTCTGGATAATTTGCGACAATAAAAAAGAAAAGAAATATGAGGCATGCAGTAATCTTGACAAGCAAATTTCCTAATTTGCAAAATAAAAAATTACATTAGATAATCTCTAAAAAGAACCTTCTATCTCTGTGTCATCTTTGAATCTATAAAATACAGTTGGTCCCTGACTTACAATGGTTAGATTTAAATTTTTTTGACTTTATGATGGTGCAAAAGTGATAAACATTCAGTAGAAAATGTACTTCAGTGTGGTATTCAGTGAGTTACAGGAAATGTTCAACATTTTATTTAAAATAAGCTTTGTGTTAGATTGTGCCATATTTTGCCCAACTGTAGGCTAATGTAAGTATTCAAGCATGTTTAAGATAGGCTAGGGTAAAGCTATGATGTTTTAGTAGGTTAGGTATATAAATGCATTTTTGACTTTGGATATTTTCAGTTTATGATGGCTTTATTGGGATGTAACACCATTGTAAGTTTAGTCACATCTGTAGATTCATTTAGCTAAAATGCCGTAATCTCTCTCTCTCTTTTTTTTTTTTTGTTTTGAGACGGAGTCTCGCTCTGTCGCCCACGCTAAGTGCAGTGGCGCGATCTTGACTCATTGCAACCTCTGCCTCCTAGATTCAAGCGATTCTCCTGCCTCAGCCTCCTGAGTAGCTGGGATTACAGGTGCCCGCCACCATGCCCGGCTGATTTTTATATTTTTTGTAGAGACGGGGTTTCACCATGTTGGCCAAGCTGGTCTCGAACGCCTGACCTCAAATGATCCGCCCACCTCGGTCTCCCAAATTGCTGGGATTACAGGCATGAGCCATCGTGCCCGGCCTAAAATGCCTTAATCTCGATAGGCTTTTTGCACATGCACTATTTAAATTGAGTACAATACTCAATACTTACGCCCTTGCCCCCTTCTCCCTGGATCTTATTTGCTAAAGTAGACATTGATTTCTCTTGAAAATGTAACAAAATTTTTGTTGAACATTTTAGTGTTTAGTGAAAAGATGAGAATTCTCAGACATGAATTTTTTATTTGATAATAGGAAACTGTAGTTATAGGGGAAAGTCAGTATTTTGAAAAGGCAAACCAAATAGGCAAATATTTATGGAGTTTCTAACACAAGCAAGGCTCCCTCTGTCAGAATGGACATCAGGAAATGTCCACTGAGTGAACATTCAATAAATTTTATCAGTTGCTGTGGGGGATAAAATTATATATAATTTTCGCTTTATAGTTTGTTTTGAATGTTCTGGAAACAGTTAAAAGTAAATGAGTGTTTATATTTTGCCGAAGTATCAAGACAGAATAGTAGGCAGACAGTTGGTATTTAGGCAGGCAAAAGGGCAGATTCTCTGCCAAATGGTTGTAAATGAATTGACGCAAGGAATTTAAATATTAAGCTTTGATGAGAGATTGTTAAATTTTCTCAATATTATTGTTTCCATTGGTATGCAAGCTAATTAGATACAACAACTAATTGGAGCCGGTGGCTCAGACTGGCTTGCCACCATTGGCACACACACTGGATGGCGGCACAGTTGTTCTGATTGTTGGCTAGGAAGTCTTCCATCAAGGCTTAGCTGTAGTCTTATCTGCAAATTCCTCCTGGTCTTCTCTGGAGAACGTTGCCGTACATGGGTCTTTGGAAACAAGGAATTTCCCAGGAAATCCCCACCATCTTTACTGTCTGTGATATTAATACAATTTGTACTCTTCCCTTTTAAAATATTTTAGTGATCTTAAAACTTGACCACTCTGGAAGAATGGAGAAGTTCTGTATTTGGCAAGAATAAAAAGTATTACAAAGCATCCTGCTTCTGCATTAAGTGGTAGTTTACAACAAAGCTGCTGATCTTAATTGTGCATTTAAAAAAACAGGAATCTTGTTAAAAATTTTTATTTCTGTGATGCTACCCCATACATTTTAGTACAGTAGGCATGGGATAAAAGAAACACTCGAGAAGCTAGCCTTTCCTCAGCTTTCCTAGAATGGAGACTGCCTCCTAAAATATTCAGAAGTCAGAAATTATTTTAAAACTAAAGTGTTAATGAGCAAATTTAAATAAAGTTGGTCTGTAAATATGTACTTCAGAGCTGAACTTAGTACCCTCTTTTCACAGCTCTAAATGTAATACTTTCAATTACATGAACTCATTAGTCTCTATTAGCATACTTCCAGGCTTTAGAAATAAAGACTTTGAAAGAGCTCTTCTCTTATTTTATTGTATGGAAGTAAACATTGAAAAATAAAGAATCCTTACAAAAGTAAACTTAGTCTACGTTGCTGGCAGAATACATTTATTCTATAGGAGGTAGGTGACAGCTGTTTTTAAAACTTTGACACATAAGTACAAGAAAGATTAGAATCCTGTGGTCCACATTATATATTGAATAGTACACGAATTACAAGGAGGAATGATTTGGGTGTCCCCTAATTGAGTCACTTGAATTTGGATAAGGCAGAGTGCTTTCCCTGGAGGTGTATGGAGAGAATTCACATGACCCCTTCATTGTCCAGCAGCTTTATGCATCAAGATTGGACTAGAAAAAATGTGGGATGAATGAATTTAGGATTCTAAAATGCTCCAGACTTTTCAGTTCTTTTTGTTTGCATAGTTGCATTCTAAGAACAGATCGAATTACTATCCTAGGCTCAGAAAACACATTTGAGGTTAGTTTTGTCCAAAGAGCATATTTAGTCTTCCTTAATAAAAGTATATAAGAAAGGATTTATTGTTATTAAAAAAGATTAGAATGAAACTGTTAAGCTACTTAATTTTTTCTAATTATCTTTTATGATTCTGTAATACCTAGGTAGTTTATGCATATAATTAATATATTAGTTGACTATTCTTGCTTTTTTCTTTTTTAAAAAAATTAATGTTTGCATGGAATATCTTTTTCTCTTCATTTTCTTTCAACCTATTTATGTATTACTTTGGATTTTAAAAGTAAATCAAAGCGAAGTTCACATCTTAAATGTTCTCATGAAGTTCTTTTGAATTTTTTCCATTAGTGTCAGAATACATGTTTGGGTAAGTGGCACAAACACTTTTAAAATGTAGAAAATGGAATATTGGTACAAAGCAGAGTAGAAACAGCTTGATTCAATAAGTCAGTCTTTAAGTCATTAAACAGATATTTGTTCAGTACCTGATAGGTGCCAGGTTTAGGTGCATTGTTTAGGTGCCAGAGAGATAGTAATGAACCAAACAAAGAAAACAAAGTACTGCCAACCTGGAGTTTACATTGTAGTGGAGGAAGAAGAAAATGAACAAATAAACTATATCATATGTCAAAATGTAATAAATACTTTGGAGCAAAGTCAAGCTGGGAAGAGAGCAGAGAGATAGCTGTCAATGGATGGGGGCAGGGAGGGGGGTAAGGTGGTGATTTCAGATAGGGTGATCAGAGAAGACCTCTCTGACAAAGTGACACAAAGACCATAAGATGGTGAGGAGGGGACAAGGTGTGCTAATTTGTCTGGTAGAAGAGTGTCTGAGGTAGAAAAGGGCATGCTGACATGTTAGAGGGACCAGTGGGAGATTAGAGTGACTGGAGAGGAGTGAGCCATGGAAAGAGTGGGAGGAGATGAGAGAGAGGAAGTAGGGGATTGAGCCATGATGAATCCCGTAGGATATGGTAAAGACTTTGGTTTATGTGAGATGAGAAATCACTAAGGGTTTTGAACAGAGTAGTCACATGATTTAGCTTACATTTCTAAAGGAACATTTGGTCATTTGTGTATACTTGTCTAGTTGCTTAGTAAATGACAGCAGAAAGACAAGAATTTAATGCAACTAATTTTAAAATTTTTTTTAAAAGATGAAGTTGGACTGGATAATTTTGCATGGCCTTTTTACTTCTAAAGTCCTATGCTTCTTTACCTTAATACGGATCTGAAATAATTGATTTAAAAAATTTTAAAGTATGTAAAGGAATATTGTGGAATAATTTGTATTAATGCTATTGCTGTATATTTTGTATATTCAGTGCTTTATTATTTATATCTTTCCACTTTTTTTTCTTTTTGAGATGGGGTTTCGGTCGCCCAGGCAAGAGTACAGAGTGGCATGATGTCGGATCGCTGCAGCCTCGACCTCCTGGGCATCGATCCTCCTACCTCATCCTCCTGAGTAGCTGGGACTACAAGTGCTGTGCCATTATGCCTGGCTAATTTTTGTATTTTTAGTAGAGATGGGGCTTCATGATGTTGCCCAGGATGGTCTTGAACTCCTGGGCTCAAGCAGTCCACCTGCCTCAACCCCCACAAGCATGAGCCATTGTACCTGGGCATCTTGCCACTTCTGAAAAACAAATGCATACATGGCAATTATTAAAATAAAGATAAATCACTGGGGAAAAACATTTAAAAGCATGTGACTTTAAAATTTAAAAACTGTATGTAATAAGATTTTGAAGAAAGAAAAGTTAATAGGATTTATGTAACGAAAGAAAATAATTGTGACAGAAAACTGGGCTAAGGAAATTGGTGCATTTGAACACAAATTTTAGCTTTGAGCTTCCTGGCAGCCAGTGGGGTGTGTGTGTGTGTGTGTGTGTGTGTGTGTGTGTGTGTGTGTGTGCAGCTATGGATATCTCTCTAGGAAATTTATCAGGTGATGTTTTTGTTTGAGAAAAGGAGTAGTATTTAGTTACCTGGGAAATCACTTCTAGATGCCAACCAAATGTGTGTCACTAAGACTTGAAATCATTTTGATAATTTAAAAGAAACCCAGCACTTTATAAGACTCCCTTGACACTTCTAAAAAGTGATGACAGGTGTGCATGGCTGTTAGCCCTGGAAAATACAGCTATACGTTTCGTTTTACAGGTGATAAAAGCCTCTATTTTGAAGCAGAGATTTGTGAAAATTACTAGGAAAAGTATGACATTGGTGATGTATTACTCTCCCTCATCTGCAGGTCCCACTGATATCTCTATATTGGTTCTGTTCTTTAATAGATCATAATTTCAGCCTTAATCTGAAATACCTAATGCCCTGCAAGGCTCTCTGAGACTAGTGGTTTTCAAACTGTGTTCCAGGGGATCATGGAGGCATGTCAAATGCAGAGAGTCCTGAGCTTCTAGAGCTTTGAAGAAAGGGTTCTTTTTCAATTTAAATGTTTCTTAAATTTCATACCCAGTGTTCATCAAATATGATATTTATCTATGTCTCTTTCGAAGGCTATAAAAGACTGAGAGAATAAGTTATAGGACATTTCAGTGACTAGCCTTGGTTATTTTTTTCTTTAAGAGAAACAGAGTTATTAGGACTAAAAGACATTTTGATGTTTCATATCAGCAGTAGGGAGGGAGAACCTCAGGGACAGGTTTTCCTCCCCAACTCCCCCTAAACCTTTTGTACTCCTAGGAGACAGATTTTCTGCCACAAAATTGCCTGCCATGCCTATTTGACTCAGTTTTTTTCACCTGCAAGAGAAAAAATTAAGACCCTACAAAGCTTTCCTAGCCTTCATTTGTTTCCATTACAAGAGAATGATGAATGACAGTGTTAAAATAATTTGACAGTATTTATAATCTTGTGTATTATTGTTAGTAATAGTAGGAGCAGTAGTATCTCGTAGTAGTTCGCAGTGTAGAAAATATTTGCTTCTGAGTATTAAAGGACATGAATATATCTGAGAGATATATCTGATATATGTCTGAATGTATTTATGAGAGATATATTAGTCATCACCTCCACATAACATGAATAAATCAAGCTTTGTAAAGGTTAGGTAACTAGCCTAAGATAACAGACTAGTAAATACTAGAATCTGATACTCAAGTTCAGATCATAGAACTTAAGATCTCATGTTCTTTCAATTGTATTATTGTTAAATTAAAAGTTTCAGTTGTTGATGCATTTTGTCCTCACAGAAAGATCAACATTAATTTGATTCTTTGTATTATTTAGAAAAGAAGCAGTTTCTATCCTTACTCAAAACTTATCTTAAATTGAAATATGCACTCTCATATCTAGTAACAAGACATATTTTATTAGGTTGGTGCAAAAGTAATTGTGGTTTTTGCCATTAAAAGTAATGGCAAAACCTCGTAGTAATAAAATAGTCTGTACTGATTTTTCTTTTAAAAAGAGATTTAAAGGTTTCCTCATCTACTTTATTCTAGTAAAACTTACTAGTACTTTGGGGATGATTTATTGTATTTTTTTTTTGAGATTATGAGAAGACTTTCAAGAAATCTCTTTGTCTTTGTCTTCTAAGCCCTCGAGATCTCTTTCTCCATCACTATTGATGGGGCACAGCCGTTGGTGTGTAAACGTCCTACAACTGCGTATTGGTGGTACCTACTCATAGGAAAAGATTTTAGTGTACAAAAAGAGGCTAGTATATTTATATTTCACCATTTTTTAATGACCAGAAATTCCAAAATAAAACATAGTAAGTGAAGAAATTATAACTATAATTTCGAAGTTTATTTTAAATAATCTAGAATGACTTTTGGATAAAAAGGTATGTTTTGAATAAGAATGCAAACAAGAAAATAATAGCAAACATTCAGTAAGCTGTACTAGCATATTTTGGTACTGATGAAAGATCAACTGTATTATGTTTTTCCTTTTGCTAAGGTGATGCTTTTCATGCCTCCAGGGCAGACCTTCTAATGTATTTTTCTGGGCAGGAGCACATTCAGCCACAGGCTTTGGAAAAAGGCAGTTAGCTATATGATTCAGATTGATCTTATATTGATCAGCTATTGATATGTGAATTATCCAGAATAGCTGTCTGTTCTGTTTGAAATTCAGCTATTTTTTTTCTTGGTCTATAAAGATCTTTACATTTATGATGCAATTGAAATTTCCATTTTGTGAAAATTTGAGAGAAAGGAAACTTTTGAGCCTTAAAAGCTCTGGCAGATATCACATTAAATATGCACATAAATGAGTACCATTCCTAAATAAAATGATTTATTTTCCAGTTGTATAGATTTCCAGGCATCTTAATTCTTCTTTTGCTGTGCTTTCAAATGGGTTATTTTGTGGGTCTCAAATATATTTCCTTAAATATTTGGTGAATCCTTGGAGTTAGAAGAGAAAGGAATATTACCATCATTTTATTAGTGCTGGTCAATTCTGATGGGGGTAAAAATTAAAGAAGCTGATATGGTAAAGACGAAGAAAAAATAAAAATATGGGGAGACTGACCCTGGCTTTCATTGGCGTAGTTCATTTCTGCCCTTCCTTTCTATAGATTTAAATAAAGACAAGTATTTATTTTGACTAAATCACAGACATATAAGGCATTTTCGGGGGTAGATTGCGGAGGTAGTAAAATAAACTATAGTATTTCTTGGATTTGCTTATTTCTTGTAGCAGTGTCTATATTAATGCATCTTGAATTTTATGCAGTGTAATTACTGTTTAGTGAAATTTAAAAAAGGTTTTTTAAGAGACATGGTCTTACTCTGTCACTCAAGCTGTTGTGCAGTGGCACTATCATGGCTCACTCACTGCAGCTGGGGACTCCTGGGCTCAAGTGATCATCCCACCTCAGCCTCCTGAGTAGCTGGGACTACAGGCATATGCCACCTCACCTGGCTAATTTTAAAATTTTTGTAGAGATGGGGTCTCACTGTGTTGTTCAGGCTGGTCTTGAACTCCTGTGCTCAAGAGATTCTCCCACTTTGGCCTCCCAAAGTGCTGGGATTACAGGTGTGAGCCACCACGTCCAGCCTTAATGAATAATTTTTTTAAATTGAAAAGTCACAAAACTTACTACGAACAAGGTAAAAGGTGTACAGTTTGACTTAGCTCTTTGCTCAAAAATACTGATAACATAATAAGTAGGGTAAGCCTCCCCAGTGCCTCAAAATACCAGATACCGTGTTCATCATTCTCTCAGACATGAGTGATTAAAGTAAGATTATTTCATTTTTTTATGATACCTGCTGTGCTCTTGAAGAAGACTGTCTTATTTTCACTTACTAGTAAAAGTGAAAGAGGAACATTGTTTTAACATTTTAAAAATAAAAATTATTTTTTAATTATTGTTGATTTGAAATAATCAGTTTCCTAATATGTTGGTTCAGGTTTCCTGAGATGCAAGGAAATAATAATTGTACCAGAATGGGGGGAAAAGGAGGGAAGAAAAAGGGGAAGAGAGGAGAAACCAGTTGCAATGAATTATAGTCCTTATCATGTTACTTTCTGAGAAATAAAATGGGCTTCTGATTCTAAAAAATATACTGTATCTGCAAGAGTAAAAGTCGTAATCTTTCCCATATTTCCTATAGGCAAATTAAGTTACTTTAGTGGCAAAGTACATTTAAAGGCCCATTTATTTCTTCAATCACATGATAGTAAAAGTTTTGTCAGGAGGTCTGCTGAACTGAGAATACAGAATCAGTGGCAGTGACAGAACATCTAAAAATTTCCAATCACCATCTCCTTTAGACATACTGGTCCTTGCATTAGTCCTTAAGCCAACATAAATGATCTTTAATGTAAAATTGTAACAAGTACATAAAGCAGGCTAACGTAGATATTGCGTATCTCAAAGCAGTTGGATTTAAAATAAGTGATAGTTAACGAAATCCAATACTGTAATGAACTTTTGAGAAAAAAATAGTTGATTATGCTTTTTAATTGTGTGTTTGGGGTTTTGGCTTTTATTATTACTGTTAATTTGGCCATAAGCTCATTATGTTAATCAGTTTTAACAGTGTTTCTCCATTTGCTGGATAAGAATTTGGCTGATTGGCCGGGTGCGGTGTTGCATGCCTGTAATCCCAGCACTTTGGGAGACTGAGGCGGGTGGATCAGTTCAGCTCAGGAGTTTGAGACCAGTCTGGGCAACATGATGAAACCCCATCTCTACAAAAAATAGAAAAATTAGCCAGTGTGTTGGCACATGCCTGTTGTCCCAGCTACTTGGGAGTCTTGAGGTGAGAGGATCACTTGAGCCTGGGAAGCAGAGATTGCAGTGAGCCGAGATCATGCTACTGCACTCCAGCCTGGGCAACAGAGTGAGAGCCTGTCTCAAAAAAAAAAAAAAAAAATTCAGCTGATTACTACTTTATAGTTATATTTTCAGCATTAGCTAGGCAATATAATGCAGCAGAAAGGATCCAGAAGTCTTCACATCCATAAAAATTATAGAAAGTGTAGTTTCTATGTATTGCTGGTAGTTGTCAGTCACTATATCTAGCTAATTTTCGATAATATCTTTTGGTTCATTTATTCATTTAGGCATTCATTCAGTACTAATTCGGCCCTGTTTCTGTGCTGTACCCTGTGTCGAGCACTGGGATGTAACAGTGTGCAATACAAAGTCCTTGTCCTTAAGGAATTGATAATCTAGCTGGGAAGGCCTACTTGATGAATTACAGATGAGTTTAGCACAAATTGTCATTGAGAGATGCTGTGTGCTTTAGGACGATTTCACATAGGAGTCTAACCCAGACTGGGAGTTCAGGGACAACTTTACTGAGGAATAATATTTAAGTGAAGACTTGAATGATATATAAGAGTTAGCAGGACTAAGGCGGGGATGTAGGGAGAAGGAGTACTTATAGTTTAGTGGGAACAGTATGTGCAAGAACTGGAGTATGAAAGAAGAATTCAAAAAGGTTAATATAGGTGGAATGTAGAGAATATTGAGTGACTTGAAGCTATAAAGATTGGTAGGAGTTAGATCATGCAGTGTATTTTAGGCTACGCTGAGGATTTTAGACTTTATCTGACATATAGAGAAAGCCATCAAAATGAGTGAAAGTAGAGTGATTAGTTTGTCTATTTAAAGGCTAAGCCCCTGGAGATTGGAGGGAAGCAAAATTGGATGTGGGGAGATGACCAAAGGCTGTGGCGGCAACTTGACTGAAAGATGTGGTACCTTGAGGGAGAAAAGTGGGCAGTCTGAGAGCTACCTGGGAAGTATAATAAACAAGACTTGCAAACCATGAGAAAAGATTACTTAAGATTTCTTCCTGGTGTTGCTATCACCAAGATGGGTAAAACTGGAAGTATTTGTTGGTACACTTCCAGTGGTTGTATTTGTGTGGGTGGGCATGTTATTTGTGCATTTTATGATCAAAATGTGCAGTCTAACTGGCTCATTAAAAACTTGACAAAATTTAGGTGAGTTAGCAATTCTGAAACAACTTTATGTGTAGTTTAAGATTAAGCAACTAAATATGTGGTGGATATTAAGAGTTAATTTTTTTAACATCAGAAAAAAAGAGCTAGAAATAAGGTAAAGGGGAATCTATAATGAACCTTGGATTAGAATTTGAGATATCAGTATGAATGAATGGAGATAAAGAGAAGGTTGCATATATGTGTATGTGTACATGTATGCCTTATATATTTCTTACTTCTGTTCATGAGAGGGCCTAGAAGCAGTGACATCATAGCTCCAGTCAATACACCCAGTACCAGATCTTGGGTTTAAGTGCCAGGCACCAATAAAAGGAACCAGAGTTCCTTGGAAAAACTGAATTGGGGACTGGGACTGGGACTGGGGAAGTACAGGATGAAAGTGGCAAAATGTTCAAAAAATGATGGGAGCATGTCAAAAGAATGTATGAGCCAACTCTAAGGAGCTCTCAGTGGCCAAATTAGGGACACTTTGAGCACTATAATAATGGGCCATAACCCATAAAATAAAAAGTGGTATCCAGATATAATTAAGTAAATTCAAACGGGAGAAAGGAACACACTTTCTTGCCATGGAATTCCAATTAGTAAATGAAGAGTCATTGATATAGGAAATTACCATTTGAAAAGAAACACTACAGTAATAATTGTTTTAGGTGAGAACAGTTAGTGGACAATGTAAGATGGTTATAAACAGGATATTTACAGTCACAAAAAGATCTCACTAAAAGATATTTACTATAATTATAAAGGAATCATAGTAACCTTACAGTGGAGAAAATGGACATCTTCTTAACCAACTAATCAAAGTAGACATACTAATAATGAGACATGGATATCATGCATTTTCTGATATGATGTACTGAGAACGACACAACATTACTTTTGTGGTATTCTTGACAAAATGCATATCCTGAATTTAATCATAGAAAACATCAAACCCAAATTGAGGGCCATGCTACAAATTATTGACTAGATTTTTAGAAAGTGTCAAGATTATGAAATATGAACTAAGCAACTGTGCCAGATTAAAGGAAACCAAAGAGATCTGATAACTAAATGCAGTGTGGTATTTGGATCAAACACTGGACTAGAAGGAAGATATTAGTAGGACAATTAACAAAATTTGAATAAGGTTTATAGATCAGTTAATAGAATAATATCAGTATTAGTTTCCTGATTTAGATAATTGTACTGTGGTTATATAAGATGTTAATGTTTGGGGAAGCTGGGTGAAAGGGATATGGGAATTCTTTGTGTAATGCTTTGTAAAGTCTGAAATTATTTCAAGATTAAGAATTAAAAAATTACAAAAACTTAGAGACCCTAGTTAAATGTTTTCTTTAATTTAATGAAGGGAAGAGGAGATGATATGGTGGGGTTGGTTTTATTAAATTTGACTTTATAATTATGTTATGTTTAAATTTTGATTCCTGAGTATTTACTTCACTTGAGGATTTTTTTTTAAATCTTCCCATTCTCTTAAACATTGTCTTGGGAACAGATGTATTTTTATTGTGTTAGCAAGATGTGTCTTTAAAATATTTTCTTGAAATACAGTAATTGCACTTCTAGAAATGGATTCATTTTAACCTGATTTAAAATAATCAAAGTAGTCAGAGTGATTAATTTTATGTTTGTTTTAGTTTATTTTTAATTGTCAGGAATAACGGGAAATACTGAAATATTTAGAGAAAAAGAGTTAGGATGAAAAGAGGGAAAACATTTAAAGTCTTTAAATATTTGGATAATACTGTGAATTTTCAGTTGTTAACTCCCATTTAATACATGGATAAGCTGAAGCCTAGAAGCTTAACTGTTTTGCCAGGACCTACGTAGTTAACCTATATTGGAGGTGACATTTTAACCTGTGTCTGTATGTCAGGCTCCAGATTTTCCCACAATACTGTAATGAATAAAAGATGTATATATTCTACTGAATTGTAAAGAGCCATTACTCTTTAAAATTTTTTCTTTTTGCCTGTTTGATAATCATGTTTTCAGAATGCACAGTTTTTAACATTTATTTACATTAAATTTTTAGCTAAAATACAGAGTATTTATAAATTGGTTATGGAAAAGTGAGGAAAAATAATTTGCATCTACTATGCACTATATTTTTTTCTTCTTGTGAAGCAAGTGCCTGTCATGCTCTGGAAAATATAAATATGAAATCTGAACAGTTGATGATTATAAAAATAATTACAGGTTGCCATTATGAAGCACACAGTCACACCTAATCCTTTAAATAAATGTGCTTAACTACACTAAAATACATGTTTTAAAATGTTAAACAGAGACATTCTAAAAAGACACGTGAAAACCATTTAATTTTTTTAAAGAAAAAGATGCTGAGTGGGTCCATAGTGGGAATTATTTTAAAACAAGAAAAAAGAAATCTTTAGCCCTGGAAACCCTTCTTGGACTGCATTAGAAATAAATTTCCTGATGTAGCCTGTAAGTCAGTCAAAACAGGGAAGACTGAATGCTGGGAGCAATAGGTGTGTTTGTTAACTCTGAAATACTGAAAGTCAGAAACATGTGAAAAGGATGGTCATGTTAAGTAGGATCTTTAAAGTCGGTATATAAACCATTTCTTTGCCTTCTATTCAAGCAATATACTTTCATCCTTCTGTTGTGTTTCCTCAATTCCTACACTTTGTTTTCGTACTCCCCCCACCAGGAATGAGGCACCAACACCAGTGGGAGAGTTTTAGATTCCTTAGAAATTCTGCTTATATAAGTGAGTACATCAAATGATCTTTGCCACAAAAATGATGAATGTTTCTTTTGAAATGCAGACCATGGTTCCAAGAAGTTTATGCTCACAGAATCAGGAGCCTTGCATTGAAAAGGTGTAAGTCTTGCTAATAGCCTAAAAGTCTATTTTTTTCACCCAACTGCAGCATTAAATATTGGAGGTAAGACTACAGACCTAAAGAGCAGACTGGGAAGCAACAAATTATCTTATTGGTGGTGATGTTCCTTATAGTAACAATGATGAACTTTTATAGAGCACTTCCTGTATGCCAGACAGGAACCCATTAACTCATTTAATCTTTACAGTTGTTTAAGTACTCATCTTATCCACATTGTGTGGATGAAGAAACTGAAGTATAATTAGATAAATTTACCCAAAGCCACACTATTGAGATTCTACTTGAGGGCATTGTAGGTCTCATTTTGGACATATGAACTCTGGTAGTTATAAATACAGTATATGTTTTTCTAGTTGTGTCTTCACCTAGAATCTTCAAGACCACAAGCTAAAGGTTTGAGTGTAGGTAAGCTTAGGTTTAGGGTCTGCATTTGAGCATCTTATCCAGCTGACAGCTGTGAACAGAAATTAAAGGTAGCATTTTAAAACTGTGTCTCCCACAGCTACTCTTATCTGCATAAACTGTATTCTAAAGCATAATCATTTCCCCTCTTTTCTTTCACTTCCTTCTTCTCGTTCTTTTTTTTTTCTAAAAATACTTTAGTAATTTTAATAGTGTAGTAATTGATCAAACTATTTGCTTGCAAAAGTATCTGGCCAATTTTTTCTTTGTGAAAAGTAAACAGCAGTCAGCTAGCTGTGTATCAGTTTATCTTAGTTCTGAAAAGGAATCAATGAGAAGATGTAAACAATTATGACAAAACCAAGACCCAAACCACAAAAGACTTCAAAGATTAAGTAATTATGTATACATAGTTCCATATAACAAAACTAATAATTGATAGTAGGGAAGTAAAAGAGAACAAACATTTGTTGATTTCTTGCCCAAGCATTAGGTGTTTACAAAATGTATTGTTTACAGTGGAGACTTTGAAATTTCAAATTCATTTAGGTTAGTTGGAGGAGGGAGGAAAGCTATTGACAGAAACACTATTTATTTCTGTCTAGCTAAAAAGAGGATTTAAGCATTATGGGGGGTACTTTGATTTAGTTTAGTTTTTTTTTTTTTTTGAGACAGGGTCTTGTTTTGTTGCCCAGGCTGGAGTGCAGTGGCACAATCATGGCTCACTGCAGCCTCAAGCCCCTGGGCCCAAGTGATCCTCCCACCTCAGCCTACCAAATAGCTGGGACTCTAGGCACACAGTACCATCCATCAAATCTTTTGTGGAGATGGAGTTTCTCCATGTTGCCCAGGACCTTAGCTTATTTGATTGCATAGTTTATTTAGCACAGGAGGGGATATGATAGGAGAGCTCTTCCTTCCGCAGATAAAAATGTTCTCTTCCGTGCTTATAAACATTTCACTTTAGTCTCTATGAGATTGTGTGAATTTTTCTGTGGTCGTAGGCTACATTTTCACACTACATAAACTATGCCCCTGGTTATAGAATGCACATGCATTCTGCAGTACACCAATGTATTTGTTTGTAGTTGGCTTTATTATTTATTCGTATGTGTATATTTAAACATTCCTGACTTGGTTCCTGACACCAAGAATACATACATGTATATTTTCTTGGAAATACTATGGAATATAAATGAGTATTAGCATCACCCTGCGTTGATCAGGTGAATTTGATAGAAATGGGAGGGGAAATTTTCTTAATAAGTCCTAAACCCAAGAATAAACTTTTATATTTTTTTTTCTGCTTCATAGCTGTGGAAAATTATTGCAACCAAACTATTGAAACCATTCTTAAAGTTAAAAGAATTGTTATTTTAGGACAAATTTTGAAGATAATACTTTTTTGGGGGTGGGGAACTTCTGCTGTTATTGTTGCTGTGCTGGAGGAATGGTGCTTATTCTTTTGGTAGCATAACTAGTGGTCTGACATGAAAAACTCTTAAAACTTACCCTATATTGGGTCTTTAACTGCTATTTTATGTTAAAACCTTACATATTAGTATGTATATATATATGTGAATGCATACATATACAAACTACATTTTCTTATTTTTAAAATATCTTAAGGTACATGAAGGAGTTAACATGTTCATGAAACATTGTGACATGGAAAGGTACTTAGGACTTAGTCTAAAATGGAAAAAAAAAAGCAAGACGCAAGACTGAATATGTAGTATATTCAATTTAAAAACTTTCTGGCCAGGAGCAGTGGCTCACGCGTGTAATCCCAGTACTTTGGGAGGCTGAGGCAGGTGGATCACCTGAGGTGAGGAGTTCAACACCAGCCTGGCCAACATGATGAAGCCACATCTCTATTAAAAATACAAAAATTAGCTGGGTGTCGTGGCACTCACCTGTAGTCCCATCTACTCAGGAGGCTGAGGCAGGAGAATCGCTTGAACCTGGGGAACAGAGGTTGCAGTGAGCCGAGATGGCGCCACTACACTCTAGCCGGGGCGACAGAGACTCCATCTAAAAAAAGAAAAAAAGTTCTGAAGTGAACATGTGTATTACTTTTAAAGTAAACTTTTGTGAAGTATGTGGCATGCTCCTCAAGTGAACACATCTGTGTAATCGGTGCCAGATTTAAAAAAAGAACATTGCCAGCCCTCCTTTCCAAGGAGACCTCGTGCCTCCTTCACTTAGCCACTGTCTGGACTTCTCACACCATTGATAAGTTTTGACTGTTTTGGGACTGTACATAAGTGGAATTATACAGTACTACTTTCCTATGTCTGGTTTCTTCTGCACAATATTGTTTGAGATTCGTACTTATTTTATGTAGTTGTAGTTTATTCTTATTGCTGTGTAATATTCCATTGTGTGATTATATCATAATTCATTCTATGTTTATGGGTAGTTCTCAGTTTGGACTTAAATCATTTGTTACTTTTATCATTCAAAATGGATTTTAAAAACCAGAAATATCAACTAAATCTAGTTTTCAAGTGAACTCTCTTTAAATTTGCAGATGTACTGTGCTAATTATTCTGCAAATTAGCTACTTTGATTTGATTTTTTTTCAGTCCTGATTTATCAGGAGTTTACAGATTTGGGGATGTCTAATCATGTTATTGATTATGTTCAACCTGTTTTTCTTCAAGCATGAGTACTTTGATTTATCTGGTTAAGAAATTTTCAGTCCTTCATACTGAGGTCTCAGTCATCTTACAATAGAGACAGCCAGTTTACTCCCCACTTTCTAGCCTCCGACTCTTGAAAGCTTCCAAGAAACACATCCAGAGGTCACATATTGGGCAACCGAAGGCTCATGTGAAAAAGCCTTAGAGCCACAAAAACCTTGCGCCTCAGTCATTAATGTAATTTGGGGCAGATTTTATGAAGCAAACTAACGCCTTTGAATTTTTTTTTTTCAGTTTTAACGTGAGTATAATTACTTCCACTCCTTTTTCCACTTTCCAGTCTCTCCGAGTTGCGTCCCTAAAGGATCCTGCTGCAAGAAATGAGTGAATGAATGAAGATATTAAGAATTAAAGTACTGATGTTAATGAGAGCATGGGTGATGTGGTTTGGATTGCTTGAGGCCAGGAGATTGAAACTAGCCTGGGCAACATAGTGAGACAAACCTTGTTTCAAAAAAAATAATATATATATATACACATACACACACTAAGTGAGGTGGTGTGTGCTTGTAGTCCTAGCTGCTTGGAAGGCTGAGATGGGAGGATTGTGCCCAGGTGACAGAGCGAGACCCAGTCTGTATTAAAAAAAAAAAAAATTAAATGTTGTATACTTAGCACATAAGTGATCATTAAATGTTTGATGAATGAATTAATGAGGAAAGATTTTTTTTTTGAAAAAGAAGTTTTATGAGGAGAGAAAACATTGCATATGTAAGGCATTATCCTCAATTCCATTGTGGACTCTCCCCCAGGTGTGCAGCCTTGAATGATGGAAATATCCTCATGAGATTCTGAAAGAGGAGGAAACGAATTTTGCCCTTAAATAGGTGTCAGTACAGCTGCACTTATTTGCACATTTCTAGTTCTGCCTCTGACTAGAGATCAATTGTGATGACTTTGAATTTGTAGACCATCTGCCTGTCAGTGCACTTAAAATTGCAACTGATCTTTATAAGCTGAGTATAACTATTATTGTAGCAAACAGCAAATTAAGTGACTATACACTGGAAAGAGTTAGGTTCATACCTCCTTGAAGACTGTGAGCTGTTCTTTATTTGGACACCTGGTATTAAACTCTTATTGGTTATTAATATTTGGGACAGGTTAATGAAGACAATATTTTACAGAATATAGCAGTTTTCAATATAATAGATTCAATACAACAACTTTTTGTGTGTTTATAATTTTGTTACTTATTATTTACCATAAGTGGTTTAAAATATACGTGGCAAAACATTCTTTAGAGCTTTGATTGCAATAATTATCACATAACCAACACCTCTTAAGTATTACGTACTTAAGAAGGAACTTGAACTTTATCTTAACACAATAGCATTGACAAATTACTCACAAAATTAGTAGTTGTGGAAGAAAATAGGTATAGGAAGAGTAAGTCACTGATATTGAGTAAATTAAAGTTATAGACATTAAATTACAGACAATAAAATTATAGAAGCACTAAATAGATAAATTGATTTTTTTAATGTCATGTTAAGCATTTAAATTGCCTTTACAAAATATTCTTCACAGTCCTTGGAGAAATTGCTGCTGTATATTTGATTAATATGTGAACAACATTTTTATTGTTAAAATATTTTCTTCATTCCTTTCAAATTTGTATTTAAGGTTAGCAGAGCCTCAAGCAGTGCCTGAGTAGGAAAGTGATAAACTGACACCACACTGTAGAGGAGGAAGAAAAACATCTCACCAACGGCAGACAGCAGAAACTAATGGTTTTCAACTGTTGCTGATCTAATCAATCATGGTGCTATGATATAATCAGTTCTGTGTGATTCGTTTGTTGTTCTACTGGAATGCATTGTATTCCCTTCTTATTTTTAAGCCCCCCTACTTCTAGTTTTCGCCTTTCTTAAAAGGCAATTTCTAAGATTGTGTTTCTTTTAAAGCCAATAAGTAATTGTGAAAGACAAACTCAGAGCCTGTTGAATTTCAACAAAAGTTAAGTATTTTGTAGGACATACAACAATAGTGTTCTTTAATTAAAATACTGAGCCATATGAAAATTTGTCCAACATTTGGTAAATGCCCTTAGTTGAATCGTTAATATCCTAGATAGTAAAAGATTAGTACCTTTTATCTCTAGTCTACTGGGTACAGATTTTGCTTTCAGATACTATCATCACATCATCACACACAGGTTGAAGATGACATTTTCTCACCTGTTAAGGCATGACTTTCAGTAAAATGTATTTAGCTGTCAGAGGTCTGCAAGCAGTCCATCAGTTGAGACATGATGCTGTTTTGACCGATATTGGTGACATTTTAAAAGCTACACAAAAATTCATAATTATAAAAGTGTTCACTGTTTCACTAAAGACTGTGTAATGCATTGCATATTAATTAATAAGATGTTCTCTTTTAAATGCTATCCCTAAAATGTACTTAATGTTACTTTCCATTACCATGCATAAAGTTTTAACCATTTATTCATGCCATTAGAAAAATGTAGACTTTTCCTTTCTTTTCGGTATGTTCCTTTTACTTTTCTACTCATTATAGAGTCATGAACAACTATGGAAAAACACACTTTGTTGATTCTTTGTGATGTTTTTGAAAACTTCGTTCATATATGAAAACTTCTAATTCACCTTGCTTTCTGAAGGAGAAGACTAAGTTACATATGAGCCCTGTTTTGAGTAATGTATTACTATTAGTATTACAGTATGAAAGATTTATAATCAGAAGCCCCTTTCCCTTGAAGTGGAATTATTCTCTATGGCCATTAGTACTTAGGGTGATATACTATCTTCAGTGCTATCCTGTGCCTTTCCATTTTTGTCATGCTACTTCCCTCTCTTTACATCCCTGCCCACCTCCACTTTCTGCTGTTAAGAATAGTCCATAGGGACTGTAAACTAGTTCAACCATTGTGGAAGACAGTGTGGCGATTTCTCAAGGATCTAGAACTAGAAATACATTTGACCCAGCCATCCCATTACTGGGTGTATACCCAAAGGATTATAAATCATGCTGCTACAAAGACACATGCACACATATGTTTATTGTGGCACTATTCGCAGTAGCAGAGACTTGGAACCAACCCAAATGTCCATCAATAATAGACTGAATTAAGAAAATGTGGCACATATACACCACGGAATACTATGCAGCCATAAAAAAGGATGAGTTCATGTCCTTTGCAGGGACATGGATGAAGCTGGAAACCCTCATTCTAAGCAAACTATCACAAGGAGAGAAAACCAAACACCACATGTTCTCACTTATAAGTGGGAGTTGAACAATGAGAACACATGGACACAGGGAGGGGAATATCACACACTGGGGCCTGTTGTGGGGTGGGGGCCTGGGGGAGGGATAGCATTAGGAGAAATACCTCATGTAAATGATGAGTTGATGGGTGCGGCAAACCAACATGGCACATGTATACCTATGTAACAAACCTGCACATTGTGCACATGTACCCTAAAACTTAAAGTATAATAATAAATAAATTACATTTCTTCCAACGTATTTATCAGCTACAAAAGGGGACCCTTTTAATCTCCCTCTCACCAACTACTACTTCTGTGTCTCAATTTGTCATTAAATCAAGTGAGGAATGTTTATTCTTAGAGCCATCCTTAAAAAAGAAAAGAAAAGAAAAGAAAATATCTTGCACTTATCTTTGGTTGATGACCTAATATCTGGAACACTGTTTCTTATTAATAAGTTTGTGGTAGGCTATAATAAACTCCATATAAAGCCATGCCAGTTGTGCACATGTACCCTAGAACTTAAAGTATAATAAAAAAAAGAAGGGGTTCATAAGCACCCTGTAAACACTGAAGCCTATTCAAAAGGAGAGGGGTAGGACACATCTCACCATCAATCATCGCAAGACGACAATGGTATGAATAACCAATGTTTACTTCATACAGGGGCTACTTAAGGAGGTCACTATATCTCAATGTGAAAACTCCAATGAACCAGTCACTATGTTCAATTGAAATCAACCTAGAGAACCTTATCTCTCTGCATAAATGCTCCTGCTGCATGGTTTTTCATGGCCACTGGTGGAATTCTGTGATGGGGGAACAGGAAATCTGGACACAGAAGGGTGGGAATAAAATGAGCCTGTGCTGCTTTCAAAAAAAAAAAAAAAAAGAATAGTCCATAGGCTAAAGCTTATTGCTAGGGTTACCACCTAGAACAGGGAAGCTTAATTGTGAATTAGAAAGTAGATTTTTTTCTTTTTCAAAGTTCAAAGATAAGACAATAGCCAGACATTCAAGTGGTTAAAGGATTTTCTGAGAACTTCCAAAGCTGGGTTTTTACCTAACAAAAAGCATATTTGGAGGATTATTTTATGTCATAATCATAGTAAGAAGAGTAATTCTAGACACCAAGGACTGGTCAGTCCATCCCATTTAGGTATGGGGGACTGAGGTACATAGATTCAGAGTGGGTGAGGCTAGGGTAAGAATGATACCTGGGCCCTGAGGAGGGAATAAGTTCCCTTTATCTTAGAGGTGAAACAAAATAGAACTTTCACAAAGGCCAAAGAGTAATCCCTAAAACTGCAGGCTGTTGCTAGGGTTTCTCTGGGTATGGCCTGCAAAACCCACAGACTTTTGGAAAGTCTTGTTTGGAGCAAAGTGCCATCTCTGTCATAGCACAGTAGTAATGAATAAAGGATGAAGGACAAAGCCAAAGGGCAGTTTTTATAGGGTTCTGCACACTCCAGGGTAATGCAGAGAAAGCAACCAAGAGTTTTGACTATCCCCTGACCACCCCCCCACCACCTCCCCGCAGGAGTTGATAGTACTGAGTGGGCTGCAAGACTGAAATTGGCTTGGTTTCAAGAGGGAGGAGGAGGCAGCTCTATGCAGATTTCTTGTGAACAGAGAGATTGGACATCTCTCTGCAACTACTGGCACAGCTTGCCTGCTGACCAAGTGGATGAAGTCAAAGCAAAACCTGATGCTGAGAAGTGAAGCTCATGAAAAGCCATCCTGGAAGGACAGTAAAAGAAGTCATGCTTCAGGGAGGCAGCCAAAATGGCCGAATAGGAACAGCTCCAGTCTACAGCTCCCAGCGTGAGTGACGCAGAAGACGGGTGATTTCTGCATTTCCATCTGAGGTACTGGGTTCATCTCACTAGGGAGTGCCAGACAGTGGGCACAGGACAGTGGGTGCAGCACACTGTGCGCGACCCGAAGCAGGGCAAGACATTGCCTCACTCGGGAAGCGCAAGGGGTCAGGGAGTTCCCTTTCCCAGTCAAAGAAAGGGGTGACAGACGGCACCTGGAAAATTGGGTCACTCCCATCCTAATACTGCGCTTTTCTGACGGGCTTAAAAAACGGCGCACCAGGAGATTATATCCCACGCAAGGCTCGGAGGGTCCTACGCCCACGGAATCTCGCTGATTGCTAGCACAGCAGTCTGAGATCAAACTGCGAGGCAGCAGCGAGGCTAGGGGAGGGGCGCCCGCCATTGCCCAGGCTTGCTTAGGTAAACAAAGCAGCCAGGAAGCTCAAACTGGGTGGAGCCCACCACAGCCCAAGGAGGCCTGCCTGCCTCTGTAGGCTCCACCCCTGGGGGCAGGGCACAGATAAACAAAAAGACAGCAGTAACCTCTGCAGACTTAAATGTCCCTGTCTGACAGCTTTGAAGAGAGCAGTGGTTCTCCCAGCAGGCAGCTGGAGATCTGAGAACGGGCAGACTGCCTCCTCAAGTGGGTCCCTGACCCCTGACCCCCGAGCAGCCTAACTGGGAGGCAACCCCCAGTAGGGGCACACTGACACCTCACACGGCCAGGTACTCCTCTGAGACAAAACTTCCAAAGGAACGATCAGACAGCAGCATTTGCCGTTCACAAAAATCCGCTGTTCTGCAGCCACCACTGCTGATACCCAGGCAAACAGGGTCTGGAGTGGACCTCTAGCAAACTCCAACAGACCTGCAGCTGAGGGTCCTGTCTGTTAGAAGGAAAACTAACAAACAGAAGGGACATCCACACCAAAAACCCATCTGTACATCACCATCATCAAAGACCAAAAGTAGATAAAACCACAAAGATGGGGAGAAAACAGAGCAGAAAAACTGGAAACCCTAAAAAGCAGAGCACCTCTCCTCCTCCAAAGGAACGCAGTTCCTCACCAGCAATGGAACGAAGCTGGACGGAGAATGACTTTGATGAGTTGAGAGAAGAAGGCTTCAGACAATCAAACTACTCCGAGCTACAGGAGGAAATTCAAACCAAAGGCAAAGAAGTAAAAAACTTTGAAAAAAATTTAGACGAATGTATAACTAGAATAACCAATACAGAGAAGTGCTTAAAGGAGCTGATGGAGCTGAAAGCCAAGGCTCGGGAACTACGTGAAGAATACAGAAGCCTCAGGAGCCGATGTGATCAACTGGAAGAAAGGGTATCAGTGATGGAAGACGAAATGAATGAAATGAAGCAAGAAGGGAAGTTTAGAGAAAAAAGAATAAAAAGATATGAACAAAGCCTCCAAGAAATATGGGACTATGTGAAAAGACCAAATCTACGTCTGATTGGTGTACCTG
Organism: Homo sapiens; assembly: GCF_000001405.40. Taxonomy (NCBI): domain Eukaryota; kingdom Metazoa; phylum Chordata; class Mammalia; order Primates; family Hominidae; genus Homo; species Homo sapiens. Next base: position 23,350,772 of record NC_000003.12, read on the forward strand.
AAAGTGACGGGGAGAAAGGAACCAAGTGGGAAAACACTCTACAGGATATTGTCCAGGAGAACTTCCCCAATCTAGCAAGGCAGACCAACATTCAGATTCAGGAAATACAGAGAACGCCTCAAAGATACTCCTCGAGAAGAGCAACTCCAAGACACATAATTGTCAGATTCACCAAAGTTGAAATGAAGGAAAAAATGTTAAGGGCAGCCAGAGAGAAAGGTCGGGTTACCCACAAAGGGAAGCCCATCAGACTAACAGCAGATCTCTCGGCAGAAACTCTACAAGCCAGAAGAGAGTGGGGACAAATATTCAACATTCCTAAAGAAATGAATTTTCAGCCCATAATTTCATATCCAGCCAAACTAAGCTTCATAAGTGAAGGAGAAATAAAATACTTTACAGACAAGCAAATGCTGAGAGATTTTGTCACCACCAGGCCTGCCCTAAAAGAGCTCCTGAAGGAAGCACTAAACATGGAAAGGAACAACCGGTACCAGCCACTGCAAAATCATGCCAAATTGTAAAAACCATCAAGGCTAGGAAGAAACTCCATCAACTAACAAGCAAAATAACCAGCTAACATCATAATGACGGGATCAAATTCACACATAACAATATTAACTTTAAATGTAAATGGACTGAATGCTCCAATTAAAAGACAGACTGGCAAATTGGATAAAGAGTCAAGACCCATCAGTGTGCTGTATTCAGGAAACCCATCTCATGGGCACAGACACACACAGGCTCAAAATAAAAGATGGAGGAAGGTCTACCAAGCAAATGGAAAACGAAAAAAGGCAGGGGTTGCAATCCTAGTCTCTGATAAAACAGACTTTAAACCAACAAAGATCAAAAGAGACAAAGAAGGCCATTACATAATGGTAAAGGGATCAATTCAACAAGAAGAGCTAACTATCCTAAATATATATGCACCCAATACAGGAGCACCCAGATTCATAAAGCAAGTCCTTAGTGACATACAAAGAGACTTAGACTCCCACACAATAATAATGGGAGACTTTAACACCCCGCTGTCAACATTAGACAGATCAACGAGACAGAAAGTTAACAAGGATACCCAGGAATTGAACTCAGCTCTGCACCAAGCGACCTAATAGACATCTACAGAGCTCTCCACCCCAAATCAACAGAATATACATTTTTTTCAGCACCACACCACACCTATTGCAAAATTGACCACATAATTGGAAGTAAAGCTCTCCTCAGCAAATGTAAAAGAACAGAAATTATAACAAACTGTCTCTCAGACCTCAGTGCAATCAAACTAGAGCTCAGGATTAAGAAACTCACTCAAAACCGTGCAACTACATGGAAACTGAACATCCTGCTCCTGAATGACTACTGGGTACATAACGAAATGAAGGCAGAAATAAAGATGTTCTTTGAAACCAACGAGAACAAAGACACAACATACCAGAATCTCTGGGACACATTCAAAGCAGTGTGTAGAGGGAAATTTATAGCACTAAATGCCCACAAGAGAAAGCAGGAAAGATCCAAAATTGACACCCTAACATCACAATTAAAAGAGCTAGAAAAACAAGAGCAAACACATTCAAAACCTAGCAGAAGGCAAGAAATAACTAAAATCAGAGCAGAACTGAAGGAAATAGAGACACAAAAAACCCTTCAAAAAAGTAATGAATCCAGGAGCTGGTTTTTTGAAAGGATCAACAAAATTGTTAGACCGCTAGCAAGACTAATAAAGAAGAAAAGAGAGAAGAAGCAAATAGATGCAATAAAAAATGATAAAGGGGATATCACCACCAATCCCACAGAAATGCAAACTACCATCAGAGAATACTACAAACACCTCTACGCAAATAAACTAGAAAATCTAGAAGAAATGGATAAATTCCTCAACACATACACCCTCCCAAGACTAAACCAGGAAGAAGTTGAATCTCTGAATAGACCAATAACAGGCTCTGAAATTGTGGCAATAATCAATAGCTTACCAACCAAAAAGAGTCCAGGACCAGATGGATTCACAGCCGAATTCTACCAGAGGTACAAGGAGGAACTGGTACGATTCTTTCTGAAACTATTCCAATCAATACAAAAAGAGGGAATCCTCCCTAACTCATTTTATAAGGCCAGCATCATCCTGATACCAAAGCCGGGCAGAGACACAACCAAAAAGGAGAATTTTAGACCAATATCCTTGATGAACATTGATGCAAAAATCCTCAATAAAATACTAGCAAACCGAATCCAGCAGCACATCAAAAAGCTTATCCACCATGATCAAGTGGGCTTCATCCCTGGGATGCAAGGCTGGTTCAAGATATGCAAATCAATAAATGTACTCCAGCATATAAACAGAACCAAAGACAAAAACCACCATGATTATCTCAATATATGCAGAAAAGGCCTTTGACAAAATTCAACAACACTTCATGCTAAAAACTCTCAATAAATTAGGTATTGATGGGACGTATCTCCAAATAATAAGAGCTATCTATGACAAACCCACAGCCAATATCATACTGAATGGGCAAAAACTGGAAGCATTCCCTTTGAAAACTGGCACAAGACAGGGATGCCCTCTCTCACCACTCCTATTCAACATAGTGTTGGAAGTTCTGGCCAGGGCAGTTAGGCAGGAGAAGGAAATAAAGGGTATTCAATTAGGAAAAGAGGAAGTCAAATTGTCCCTGTTTGCAGATGACATGATAGTATATCTAGAAAACCCCATCGTGTCAGCCCAAAATCTCCTTAAGCTGATAAGCAACTTCAGCAAAGTCTCAGGATACAAAATCAATGTACAAAAATCACAAGCATTCTTATACACCAATAGCAGACAAACAGAGAGCCAAATCATGAGTGAACTCCCATTCACAGTTGCTTCAAAGAGAATAAAATACCTAGGAATCCAACTTACAAGGGATGTGAAGGACCGCTTCAAGGAGAACTACAAACCACTGCTCAATGAAATAAAAGAGGATACAAAGAAATGGAAGAACATTCCATGCTCATGGGTAGGAAGAATCAATATCGTGAAAATGGCCATACTGTCCAAGGTAATTTATAGATTCAATGCCATCCCCATCAAGCTACCAATGAGTTTCTTCACAGAATTGGAAAACACTACTTTAAAGTTCATATGGAACCAAAAAAGAGCCTGCATCGCCAAGTCAGTCCTAAGCCAAAAGAACAAAGCTGGAGGCATCACGCTACCTGACTTCAAACTATACTACAAGGCTACAGTAACCAAAGCAGCATGGTACTGGTACCAAAACAGAGATATAGATCAGCGGAACAGAACAGAGCCCTCAGAAATAACGCCACATATCTACAACTATCTGATCTTTGACAAACCTGAGAAAAGCAAGCAATGGGGAAAGGATTCCCTATTTAATAAATGGTGCTGGGAAAACTGGCTAGCCATATGTAGAAAGCTGAAACTGGATCCCTTCCTTACACCTTATACAAAAATTAATTCAAGATGGATTAAAGACTTAAACATTAGACCTAAAACCATAAAAACCCTAGAAGAAAACCTAGGCATTACCATTGAGGACATAGGCATGGGCAAGGACTTCATGTCTAAAACACCAAAAGCAATGGCAACAAAAGCCAAAATTGACAAATGGGATCTAATTAAAGAGCTTCTGCACAGCAAAAGAAACTACCATCAGAGTGAACAGGCAACCTGCAAAATGGGTGAAAATTTTCGCAACCTACTCATCTGACAAAGGGCTAATATCCAGAATCTACAATGAACTCCAACAAATTTGCAAGAAAAAAACAACCCCATCAAAAAGTGGGCGAAGGACATGAACAGACACTTCTCAAAAGAAGACATTTATGCAGCCAAAAAACACGTGAAAAAATGCTCACCATCACTGGCCATCAAAGAAATGCAAATCAAAACCGCAATGAGATACCATCTCACACCAGTTAGAATGGCAATCACTAAAAAGTCAGGAAGCAACAGGTGCTGGAGAGGATGTGGAGAAACAGGAACACTTTTACACTGTTGGTGGGAATGTAAACTAGTTCAACCATTGTGGAAGACAGTGTGGCAATTCCTCAGGGATCTAGAACTAGACATACCATTTGACCCAGCCATCCCATTACTGGGTATATACCCAAAGAACTATAAATCATGCTGCTATAAAGACACATGCACACGTATGTTTATTGCGGCACTATTCACAATAGCAAAGACTTGGAACCAACCCAAATGTCCAACAACGATAGACTGGATTAAGAAAATGTGGCACATATACACCATGGAATACTATGCAGCCATAAAAAATGATGAGTTCATGTCCTTTGTAGGGACATGGATGAAATTGGAAATCATCATTCTCAGTAAACTATCACAAGGACAGAAAAACAAACACCTCATGTTCTCACTCATAGGTGGGAATTGAACAGTGAGAACACATGGACACAGGAAGGGGAACCTCACACTCTGGGGACTGGTGGGGGGTTGGGGGAGGGGGGAGGGATAGCATTAGGAGATATACCTAATGCTACATGACGAGTTAATGGGTGCAGCACACCAGCATGGCAAATGTATACATACGTAACCTGTACATTGTGCACATGTACCCTAAAACTTAAAGTATAATAATAATGAAAGACAAAAAAGAAGTCATGCTTCCTCTTATATCCAAATGCCAACTTGGTAAGAAGGGAGGAGATAACTGTAGGGAGGGGTAGAAATTTTTATGGATTAAACAGCCAAAGCAAAGTGTTTTAAATCAGAAGATACTGAGATGCCTTTTTAAATGACACGGTTGATTTTTTTCCTGTGATGATTTGAAATAGCGACTTGTAACTAGAAACAAGTTTAGAAAATACAGTTACTTTTTTTTGTTTGTTTGTTTCATGCCCTGGATTGTGGCTGACCAGTTTATACCTACTGTGCTGGAAAAGTTTAAATTATAAATTACTGTCACAGTCTCCGTAGATACTAAAATCTCTGATCTATAAAACCTGTATTGCATGAGCAATACTGTCATTCCTCCTTTTTCTATAACAGTTATTAAAGGAGAAGAACTATGCTACGATTCATGTGTATTTACTGAGCATATAAAGCAGTCTATGCAGTTCGTACATACCTCTCTCTAAATGCATTGAGGAAAATTATATCTCTTACGTAAATCATCTAAGACTTTCTGAATTTTGTTAGATCCTGCCATTTCTTGTTTTACACAGGAGGCTGCCAGCTATCAACTGATTGAATTGATTACTTCATTAAAGCTAGAAATACAGATCTGATGAGTTTTGCAATTAATTGTATAGAAAGCTGGGCTTGGAAAAAGAAGAGGATGCACTGAGTAGCAGAGTAGACCTGATGCTCAGTTAAACCTAAACTGCTACTGGTACAGCAAGTCAGACAAGCAGTCTGGACCTTACTCAGGGTCAGGAGAAAGCGGCAAATCAGAACCCAGGAAGAGAGTCAGGGAACATTATGGTATATACCCATTGAATTTAGATGATCAAGAGTTTAAGCCAGACAGTAACCTACAGGGCTACAGGGCAATAAAGAGTCACACGTAACAAATCTTTGTTGTGAAATAGACAAATATTTCATGCTATTTCAGAAACTATTCCCAGAGTTGAGCAGAGTAAATCTGCAGTTAGGCAGTGTTAGGTAAGTGAAAGAATCATGTGAGGTTAGGACTAAGGCTTCATCCTGATGTCAGCCTGTGGTGGTACATTCTGACACTAACTGCAGACAAATTTCTCACCTTCATATGTTTCCTGAAAACTTATCCCGAATTTATTTTTGTTAATTATCTCATCTCCTCTTATACCCAAGTGCATTCCTTGACTCAACTTCTCATCTTTCTTTTATGTATCCCAAAAAAGTTTGCTCCTCATCAGTGTCCTTTACACTGTAAAATTTTTGCCTGAGAGTATTCTCTTTTAGAAAATCTTCTCATATCAATTCCAAGTAGTTTTAGGTGGAAGCACAGAAACACTAAATCTCTGTTGTCAATCAGGTTATGCTAAATTATGCTGCATAACAAACAACATCAAAATTTCAGTTATTTAACACAGGTCTCCAACCCCTGGTGCCAGTTTATGGACAAACTGTCTTCTGAAAAACTGGTCCCTGGTGCCAAAAAGGTTGAGGACCGCTGATTTAACCCATCAAAAGTTTATTTCTCCTCACACAGATACACTGTGTAACTGGGTGATTCTCTGGGGTGACTGACTTCGTCTTGGTAGTTTAGCAATCCAGACTGCTTTGATCTTGTGGCACCATGATTGCTATGGCAGGGAGGGGAGATTCTGTAGAAAGTCTCACACTGGCAATTAAATGCTTTGACCTGGCTTAAGTATCATTGGCCAGAATAGTTGCATGGTCTTACTTCACTGCAAGGAGTGGGGAAATACAACCCTTGCATGGGCCGGAAGGAATGGGATATCAGAATGGATAAGTACAAAGTCACTAGTACACCTTATTTGGGCAGTGTAAGGTTTTTGTGGTGATTATTGATTTCTGAGAAGCAAGAAATTATAATGGTGTTTGTTACCGTAAGTGCTTTTTTTAATCTACCCATTGTCTAATAACCTTTAAAATATTTCCTAAAGGGCAGGTTATTTACTGAATCTTGAGGATGCCAGTGCCTGGAGATATGTGTGTGTGTGTGTGAGTGTGTATATGTATATCTGCATACACATAAATGAGATTATATCCATAGAAAATATTTGATTCTTTTTCAGTTCTTAATATCTAGCATAACAGGCAGGTTTAGCATTTTTTTAAATAATCCTACTGTCTTAAAATGGTATGTGGAATTATGTTCCCAAGAGGATCTGAAGAGTATGAGGGCATAGCCTTCCCATTAAATCCATTAATTCTCTATGGGAGCTCCATATCAGCAGCTTCTGTTTCCAGAAAACAGTAAATATATTGAATGGAGAGACCATTAAAAGAAATACAGAAAGCTTAGATGTATCTCTGAGGGGCGATTTGACCCCAGCAACAGTATCTGACTCCTTATTATTTATAAACATACGGTGTCTACATTTAGGAAAAAATTCTTCTGAAATTGGTAAATCTTCGAAGACGGAAGGAAATCTATTTAATTTTTTTTGACACAAGGTCTCACGCTATCACCCAGGCTGGCATGCACTGGCACAATCACAGCTCACTGCAGCCTCGACCTCGTCAAGCGTGATCCTTCTACCTCAGCCTTCCAGGTAGCTGGGACTGCAGGTGTGCACCACCATGCCTGGCTAATTTTTTTATTTTTTATAGAGATGGAATTTCACCATTTTGCCTGGGCTGGTCTCGAGCTCTTGGGCTTGAGTGATCAGCCTGCCTTGGCCTCCCAAAATGCTAGGCCAGGCATGAGCCACTGTGCCTGGCCCAGAAATCTATTTTAAAAGGAAGAAAACTGATAGGAGGACCACTTGAAAAAATATTTATATGTACTGTAGTTGCCCTTTGTTTTTCTGTCAGGGTTTTGAATTAGCTATGTTGAATGAGAGCTCTCAGTCAGCAACTACTGATTTCATTTCAACAGAGCAAACACAAACATACTGAACTTAGATTTTAGAAAAATAACTTTGTGTATGATGGTTCACAGAACCAGTGGTGATGGTTCACAATGATGCTTAAAGGTTCATCAAGCCCTGCCAATAAAATTAGTCTGGGAACATTTAATATGTTTGTCACAATAAAATGTTCTATATAACAAACCTCTTTAAAGGAAGTGGTGGAAATTAGTTTCTAACAGCTGCATCAAATATCAATAAGTACGTTTGCAAAAAACTGAGCTGATAGTTGAGACTTTTATTTTAGGATTGAAAAAAACAATCTGAGAATTAAATTCATATACTGGTCTACAATTATAAATTACAAATAATTTATTATATGGTTAAAACAATCATGCTTTTTATTTTGCTTCTACCTCTTTTATTTAAAAAGTAGCTGTAAGAATAACAGAACTGAAATTAAGTATTTAAATATCTAAATATTTCTTGCTATGGAAAGCAAAAAAGCTGATGTGCTTTAAGTTATTGTGCCATTGTGCATGAACTAACATGGGTTGTTGAGTGCTTGCTTATGTCTAGGCATTGTTACCTATTTATTATGTGTAGTATCTCCTTTGGTCCTATTATTACCTTGTCAAAATTAACATTCACATATATCCAGTAAATTGACCAAGGGTACCTAGCCACAAAGTGTTAGAAGCAAAATTTGAATCCACATGTATGTTCTTTTCATTATACTGTTTTTGAGATTTGGAATGGGAGTGGCAGAGACAAGGGGATGATCATGAAGCAGCCATGATCTGATCTCATTGCCGTTTTTGACTATTCAACTATTCAACATCATGAACATTACCTTTTTTCAGATTCTTTATTTGCTGCTTTTCATGGACTCTGGACAAATGACTAGTTTTTTGTCTTTGCCTGTGTTTCTTGTACTCTTTCAGGATCATTTCCCTACTCTAATGATGTTGCTAAGGGGAATGGCAGAGTGCTGGTCCTGTCATCTTTATTGCTAACATCTCCTTTGAGAAATATGGTTCTGGCAGGTTTTTAGAATGTAGATCAACAAGATAAGAGTTGTACTAGGCCTTCATAAGCAGTGAGGACTGGAGAAATCACCTAGATTCCTCAGGCCAGATATGAATGGGCTAGTGTTAGCTCATAGTACAAATTTCTTTTCTAAACAAAAGACTATCTCCTTGTTCCTTCTTTTGGAATTAAAAGTTGCTTGTAAATAACTTTTTCATAATCTCTATAACTGGTGTCTACAGATTTTGGAAACAGCTTTAATGGTAGCATATTTGAAATGATCTTTGATCTATTAAAAAAAATTTGTAGCACGTTTAGAAACCAACTTAAGATGCAGAACTTTTCTTTTTTTGCCTTTCTCTGGAAATTTCTAATGATATGTCCTTATCTTTGTGTAATTCTTAGCTGAGCATGGAGGTGTTTTTATTTTTTATATAATTAATAATTTTATTACTCAGGAAATTATACTTGCACCTTGAGGACACCTTGAAAATTTGGAATTCCAGTGTACTCAGACAGGGGAGATTCATGAAACATAGATAATTGAATGAAATATGAACTAGCTTTCTAATTGAATGAAATATGAACTAGCTTTCTAAACTCTGACTGTAGGATCACATCCCTGAATTGTTAAGGGTATGGAGAAAAATCTCTGAGCTGCCACCAGAAAGCCAGTCCTCTCTCTTGATGCCCCAGGAGTGATCTAGGACTCTCCCCAGTGTTCAGGTTAGTGGTTTTACCTGCTGGTCTAATTAGTTTTCCTTGGCAGTCTTCAGTTCTTCTTTCAGATCAGAAATAGTATCCCCAAATGGAAAGGCCCCATAATAGATGAATTTTTATAAAGGGCCTAAGTATTTGAATATTACTGTAAGACATCATTATTATAGCAGAGTGACACGATGTTCCAAAGTATTCCCATAGTCATCCAGAAAAGTTCAGCATGTTTATGCTGTACAGTAACAAAAAGAAGTGAGTGCTGTAACTTAGAAAAATTCGTTTTAAAAAAGTCAGTGTTAAAAAAAAAGTGAGTCCTTTCTCCCTATTACCTTCCTTCCTTTGTGTAACAAAGATTAATTTTACTTCTGCTGTGTGCCAGAACAGTACTGAATGCTGTGGATACAAAGATGAATAAAACATGTTCTTTGTCCTCAAAGAGCTTGCTATGTAATTGTTCAAATAGACATAAGAAAATAATTAGAATATGATGTAGTATTTTGATGGTAGTGTTCAAAATATTTCTGGAGAGCATAGAAGAAGAGATAATAATGAAATCTTCCTGACATGGTATGCGGGGGACCTATCAGGACTAGCTTCAGGTTCATGGTGAATTTTCCAGTTAATACTTCATTTTCCAGTGGTGTCAAATAAATGAGGTACAGCTATATTTTTGAAAGATTACCTGTTTGGCATTTAACATCATTCCTCTGGGATTTTACCCTGTTTTGAATGGAAGGTAGCCTTTTTGAAAGAAGATGAGCCACTTTTGTAAATTTAGTATGAAACATTTTGAGCTCCTCAAGAAATTTCTTTATAATTTCTAAATAAATGGGACCTAATTAAACTAAAAAGCTTCTGCACACCAAAAGAAATAATCAGCAGAGTAAACAGACAACCCACCGAGAGAAAATATTCACAAACTATGCATTTGATAAAGGACTAAAATCCAGAATCCACAAGGAATGCAAACAAATCAGCAAGAAAAAAAAATCCCATCAAAAAGTGGGCAAAGGACATGAATAGACATTTCTTAAAAGAAGATATACAAACAGCCAACAAAAATATGAAGAAATGCTCAACATCACTGATTATCGGGAAAACGCAAATTAAAACCACAGTGAGATACCACCTTACTCCTGTAAGAATGGCCATAATTTAAAAATAAAAAATAATAGATGTTGGTGTGAATGTGGTGAAAAGGGAGTCCTTTTATACTGCTTCTGGGAATGTAAACTAGTACAACCACTATGGAAAACAGTGTGGAGATTCCTTAAAGAACTCAAAGTAGAACTACTATTTGATCCAGCAGTTCCATTACTGGGTATCTACCCAAAGGAAAATAAGTCATTATGTGAAAAAGACAACATGCACACACATGTTTATAGTAGCACAGTTTATAATTGCAAAGTTATGGAACCAAGCTAAGTGCCCGTTGACCAATGAGTGGTTAAAGAAAATGTGGTATATAGACACCATGGACTACTACTCAGCCATTAAAAGGAATGAAGTATGTTCTTTGCAGCAACTTAGATGGAGCTGGTGGACATTATTCTAAGTGAAGTAACTCAGAAATGGAAAACCAAATATTCTATGTTCTCATTTGTAAGTGGAAGCTAAGCTATGAGGATGCAAAGGCATAAGAGTGGTATGGATGTTGGGGACTCAAGGAAAGGTTGGGAGCAGGGTGAGGGATGAGTTGGGTACAGTGTACATTACTCAGATGGTGGGTGCATTGAAATCTCAGAAATCACCACTAAGGAACTTATCCATGTAACCAAAAACTACTTGCATCCCCAAAAACTATTCATATAAAAATAATAAATACAATAAAATACAAGGTATTATTGGATATTCTTTAGCCATAGAACCATTTTTTAGAAAATCATGTATTTGAATGTTGAGTATAGTACAAGACCACTATCTGTATAATCTTATGTAATTTAAAAGTTTTAATTGTATACATACTTAATCTCATAAATAGTGGGTACATATCTGAGAATAATTTCATAAAAAAGCTCCTTAAAACGAATTCACTTTAAATCAAATTCAGGAAGAAGGGGCCAAAATGGTGAACTAGTAGCACCTAATGTGCACCACTCTCATGGAGATAAAACAAAAGGGCTAGTTAACCCTGACCCTGTAGGCTGATGATCTGAGAAACCACATTAGGGTCCATCAAGGCAGCAGGGGGACACAGAGAGCAGAGAGGAACAAAGAAGGGCATCAATCTATCTGGGCTCAGTGTGGAGCCAGGAGAACCTCCCAAACATGGGAAAGAATGAGTGAGTGTGAGCTTCCTGGGGGAGCACATCCCCCTGCGCTTATAGGCTGAAGCAGAGAGCCCATTTTGTGTGGGGGCAACTCTCGAGTCCAAGGAGACCACTTTGAGACTTGGGCCCTGGAGCAGACCAACACTGGCACCATAGCACCAATAGAACCTTCAGTCATGGGGCCTGGGAGCAGTAAGATTACACCACTTCTGCCCTCCTCCCTCCATCCCTGCTGGATGAGGCTTGGTGTCAGCTTCTGGCCTAGTGGTCCTGCTTCTGTCTGAACTCGGACAGAGGTCCTGGCTTGCTATTGTCCCAGGAAGGACCCAGATGGCAGGGTGGGCCACCCTACCCACCCCTGCCACAGGTAGCCAGGCAAGCAATGCCTGCTAGAGTTTCTGGCTCAGTAGTCCAGCTTCTGTGTGAACTTACCAAGAGGGTGCAACCTCCCTTTGTCCTGGGAAACACCTGGACAAAAGGGAGAGTGACCTCACCCCAACCCTGTCACAGGTAGCCAGGTAGCAATGCCTGCTAGAACTTCTGGCAAACAGTCCCACATCTGTGAGAACTCAGGAAGAAGGTGCAGCCTACTGTTGCTTGTAAAGTGTCTAGAGAGAAGGGGTAGGTCACCTACAAAGGGAACCCCATCAGGCTAACAGTGAAAACAGGCTTTTCAGCAAAAGCCCTACAAGTCAGAAGAGATTGGGGGGTCTATATTCAGCATTCTTAAAGAAAAGAAATTCCAACCAAGAATTTCATATTTGGCAAAACTAAGCTTCATAAGAGAAGGAGAAATAAGATCCTTTTAAGACAAGCAAATGCTAAGAGTATTTGTTACCACCAGACTTGCTTTACAAGATGTCTTGAAGGGAGTGCTAGATATAGAAAGGAAAGACTGTGTTACCAACCATCACAAAAACACATTTAAGAACGTAGACTAGTAATGCTATAAAGCAGCAACACAATCAAGTCTGTGTGATAACCAGCTAACAACATGATGATGAAATCAGACCTGCATATACCAATATTAACCTTGAATGCAAACAGGCTGAAAGCCCTAATTAAAAGGCACAGAATGACAGCTTGGATAAAGAAGCAAGATCGAACTGTATCCTCTCTACAGGACTCATCTCACATGCAATGACACTCATAGGCTATAAGTAAAGGGATGGAGAAAAATTGCCCAAGCAAATGGAAAACAGAAAAAAGGAGGGGTTGGCATTCTACTTTCTGACAAAATAGACGTTAAACCACCAATGATCAGAAAACACAAAGAAAGGCATTACGTAATGGCAACAGGCCAAATTCAACAAGAAGACTTAATTATTCTAAATATATATGTACCCACCCCTGGAGCACCCAGACTCATAAACAAGTTCTTACAGACCTATGAAGAGACTTGGATAGCCACACAATAGTAGTGAGAGAGTTCAACAACCCACTGACACTATTAGAAGATCATGGGGCAGAAAACTAACAAAGATATTCAGAACCAGAGCTCAACATTTGACCAAACGGGCCTAGTAGACATCTACAGAACTCTCTACCCAAAACAACAAGATATACATTCTTCTCATCTGCACATGGCATGTACTCTAAAATTGACCACACAATTGGCCATAAGACGATTCTCAGCAACTTAAAAAAAAAAAAAACTTACCAAACACACTCTCAGACCAAAGCACAATAAAAATAGAAATCAATACTAAGAAAATTGCTCAAAAGCATACAATTACATGGAAATTATATAACCTACTCCTGAATGACATTTGGGTAAACAATGAAATTAAGGCAGAAACCAAGTACAACATACCAGAATCTCTGGGGCACAACTAAAGCAGTATTAAGAGGGAAGTATATAGCACTAAACACCCAGAGAAACGGACTAAAAAGTTAAAAGTTAAAAGGATCTCAAGTTAACCTAACATCACACCCAGAGGAACCAGAGAAATGAGCAAACCAACCCCAGAGCTAGCAGAAGACAACAGATAACCAAAATCAGAGCTGAAATGAAGGAAACTGAGATGTAAAAAACCATACAAAAGATCAACAAGTACAGAAATTGATTCTTTGAAAGAATAAATAAGATTGATATGCCACTAGCGAGACTAATAGAGAGAGAGACAGAAGATCCAAATAAACAGAATCAGAAATGACAAAGGGGACATTACCACCAACCCAACAGAAATACAAAAAAACCCCAGAGACTACTGTGAACACCTCTATGCATGCAAACTAGAAAATCTGAAAGAAATGGATAAATGCCTGGAAACATACGACCTCCCAAGATTGAACCAGGAAGAAGTTGAATCCATGAACAGACAAATAATGAATTATAAAATTGAATCAGTAATAAAAAGCCTGCCAATCACAAAAATCCCAGGACCAGACAGATTCACAGCCAAACTACTGAATGTGTAAGGAAAAGCTGGTACTATTCCTACTGAAACTGCTCCTACAAATTGAGGTGGAGGGAATCCTCTCTAATTCATTCTGTGAGGCTAGCATCATTATGATACCAAAACCTGGCAGAGACACAACAAAAAAGAAAATCTTAGGCCAATATTCCTGATGACCATAGAAGCAAAAGTCCCCAACAAAATACTAGCAAGCCAAATTCAGCAGCACATCAAAAAGTTAATCCACTGTGATCAAGTAAGCTTTATTCCTGGGATGCAAAGTTAGTTCAGCATACACAGATCAATAAATGTGATTTGCCACAAAAACAGAATTATAAACAAAATCACATGATCCTCTAAATAGATGCAGGAAAAAAAGCTTTTGATAAAATTCAATATCCCTTCATGTTAAGAACCCTCAACAAACTAGGCATTGAAGTAATGTACTTCAAAATAATAAGAGCCACCTATGACAAACCCACAGCAAACATCATACTGAATGGGCAAAAGCTGGAAGCATTCCCCTTGAGAACCGGAACAAGGCAAGGATGCCAACTCTCACCACTCATACTTAACCATAGTACTAGAAGTCCGAGCCAGAGCAATCAGGCAAGAGAAGAGCAATGCCAAGAGGAAGAGAGGAAGTCAAACTATTTCTGTTTGCAGATGATATGGTTCTATAACTAGAAAACCCCATAGCCACTGCCCAAAAGTTCCTAGATCTGATAAACAACTTCAGTAAAGTCTCAGAAGACAAAATCAGTGCACAAAAACCAGTAGCATTTCTATACACCAACATCATCTAAGCTGAGAGCCAAATCAAGAACACAATCGCATTCACAATAGCTACAAAAAGAATAAAATACTTAGGATTGCAGCTAATCTGGGAGGTGAAAGATCTCTAAATGAGAATTACAAAACACTGCCCAAAGACATCATAGGTGACACAAATGGAAGAACATTCCATGCCCATAGATAGGAAGAATCAAGATTGTTTAAAATGGCCATACCACCCAAAGCAGTCTACAGATTCAGTGCCATTCCTATCAAACTACTGATGACATTCTCCATAGAATTAGAAAAATTATTTTTAAATTCGTATGGAACCAAAAAAGAGCCTGAATAGCCAAAGCAGTCCTAAGCAAAAAGAACAAGGTTGGAGGCATCACATTACCCAACTTCAAACTATATTACAAGGCTACGATAACCAAAAAAGCACAATAGTGGTACAAAAAGAGACACACAGACCAATGAGACTGAATAGAGAGCTCAGAAATAATGCCAGACATCTACAATCATCTGATCTTTGACAAAGTCGACAAAAACAAGCTATGGGGAAAGGACTTTCTATATAATAAGTGGTGCTGTGATAACTGGCTAGCAATTTGCAGTAGATTGAAACGAACCATTAGAGAAATGCAAATCAAAACCACAGTGAGATACCATCTCACACCAGTCAGAATGGCCATTATTAAAAAGTAAAAAATAATAGATGCTGTTGAGGTTGTGGAGAAAAGGGAACACTTATACACTGCTGGTGTGTGTAAATTAGTTTAGCCATTGTGGAAAGTAGTGTGGCAATTTCTTGAAGAACTTAAAACAGAAATACCATTCAACCCAGCAATCCCTTTATTGGGTATATACCTGAAGGAATATAAATCATTCTCCACAAAGACGCATGTGTGTGCTCATCACAGCACTATTCACGATAGCAAAGTCTTGGAATCAACCTAAATACCCATCAGTGGTAGACCAGATAATGCAGTATGGATATACCATGGAATACTATGCAGCCATTAAAAAAGAATGAGATCCTTCGCTTTGCAACAACATTGATGGAGCTGAAAGCCATGATGCCCCATGTTCTCTCTTACAGGTCAGAGGTAAACATTGAGTACACATGCACACAAATAAGGGTACAACAGACACCAGAGCCTCCTAGGGTGGAGGGTGGGAGGAGGGAGGGGATTGAAAAACTGCCTGTTGGGTACTATGCTTATTACCTGGGTGACAAAATAATCTGTATACCAAACCCCTGTGACATGCAATTTACCTGTATAACAAACCTGCACGTGTACCTCTGAACCTAAAAGTTAAAAAAAAGAAGAAAAAAATACCCTGGGATCAGACATTTAGAGTAAATTGTGAAAAATTACACTAAAACTTAGACATATAAGTTGATTTTAGTTCAATTAAGAAAATTTGTATAACAGAAACTATGTTCTAATTATAGAAGAACAATGAAAATTAGTGTTTATTGGTATTTTTTGTATGTACAATAGCACATAATTTTTACAAAAAAATAGTAAATTGCTTCTATCAGTTTTTCTAAGGGACTCTCTTAGTCCTTGGCAGACAAGTCATTCTGAAGAATTTATCCTGTCATTATCCTTTTTGATTTTCTCATCAGGGCCTTTGAATGTGATCCTGCAGTTCTCCATCATCCCTTTAATGGATTTCATGAAATCTTTTAAGTGATTTTCAGTTTCATTATAAAATGGAATTAATTTGCCCTGTGTTTGTTGACAAACCAATCTTTATGATAGAATGGCTGTGATATATTTGGTTTACAATCCAGTTTCTTGGTATTAGAAACTCTGAAGTGATGTCTTTTTGTTTGCTTATGAGTTGACTGATGGCTGGCAGCATCTAGGTAGCTTCATGATGGGGGCTGGTCACTGGAAAAACCAAGGCAGGATTAGAGGGGTGGGGCTGAAAGTCACACCAACATCTGTGCTGAAAGTTAATTTGATCACCAATGGCCAGTGGTTTAATCAATCATGCTTATGTTATGAAACCTCCATAATAACTCGAAGGGTTTGGAGAACTGCTTGATGACTGATCACGCAGAGGGTGGTATGCCCAGGAAAGGCATGGAAGCTCTGTGCCCCTTCCCCCCATACCTTGCCCTATGCATGTCTTCATCTATATCCCTTGCAGTATCTATGTGGAAGTAAGCTTAAGTATTTGTGTGAGTTCCGTGATTTCGTTCGGGCAGATTAATTGAACCCAAAGACAGGGTTGCAGAAACCCTAACTGGAAGCCAGTGGGCAGACGTTCTGGAGACCCAGACTTGTGACTGTTGTGCAAAGGCGGAGGGGTGGGAGGGCAGTCTTGTGGACTGAGCCCTCACTTTGTGGGATCTGAAACTACCTCCAGTTAGGTAGTGTCAGAATTGAATTGGAGGACACCCAGCTGGTGTCCACTGCAGAATTGATTGCTTGCTTGTTGTGTGGGGAAAACTCTTCACACATTTGCTCACAGAAATCTTCTGTGTTGATTTTTGTTGTGGTGTGAGAGCAGAGGAACTGTGGTTTTCCGTACACAGAATGGTCGATACACATATAGATATTTGGCTTTGGTCTAATTTTGTAAGTGGTCATTTAATTAGCATTTTCATTTTGTGATGGCATTTGATTTCCTATGTACTGTGTTTTTTTCAAACTAGTATACATCAATATTTTTTAACACAACATTTCATTTACTCTTAATTATTTATATTATGTATAGTTCTCACTTCATAAAAATTATAATCCTAATTTAGAAACCAGGTAGATTGTGAAATGGCAAAGTTGATGATGATGGCTCCTCCAATGACAGTGATAATAGCTGCCATTTGTAAAGCTTCTACTCTATGCCAGCTGCTGTACTAGGTAGTTTAATAATCCTTCCCACAACCTCAAAAGATTGATGTTAATCACCTGACTTCATGGATAAAGAAATTCAGGAAATTCGTAGAGGCAATGAGTGTCTTACAAGTTAAAAACAAGCCATTATAATGATCAAGTTTGTGTTTTTTTCCAAAACACTATGTCTTTCTTTGGTTTATAGAAGCATTTACTTCAGGGTTTTCTCTATAAATTAATTATATTTTTGGTACATATAATATAAAGTTGATAAAAATTGGAATAGCCCACAGTTGTAGGAATACTTTTCTATGTTATTATTTCTATCTGTATTATTAATGCAGTGGGTGTTAATCTTATAAAAATTATTTTTTCCTTTTGCTTTTTTTGTTGAGAGGTATTTCACAAATACTCCTTCTTCAGCAGATTTGAATCAAAATGGAATGGAAGATGTGGAATTTATGAAATTGGATTTTCACAACAAAAAAGTCATAAAATATACTGTAATGTTTTAAAAATGGCTTGACTGTACATCCATTTCTAATAGTTTATTTTCAAAGAGAATGGTGTACCATTTCCCAATGACTTCTTAATGGAAACCAGTGATTGCCATTGGAATTGCAGTTATTTTACAGTGTGTGTGTTTATATAAACCATTACTCTAAAATATCAGGTTGCAGCTTTGGTATGTGAATGAATTGAAATGAACGAAATTTAGATATTTTACTGTTTTTTATAGCTGCAGAAACTGGAATTGCAGATACTAGTCTTGATTTAGCCTATGGTGAATTTTCAGTTATTTGAAAGTTTTATTTCTCATTCAAAGAGTAGCTTTTATCATGGCCTTTGGTCAGAGATGCTGTTTGTATTGTTAAAATAAAAATCTCTTCAATATCAAATAGTATATAAGGAAGGAATCCAGAATTAGCCTGTTAGGCACACACAGCTTTGTGGTCCCAGGAATAATGGCATTCTTGAATAGTAACTCCTGAGATCAGTAAAACTTCAGAAGTTATTGCTTTATTGTCATTTTTTTACTGTTTGTCCTCTAACATGTGTGATTAATAATACATTTCTCATGTATAGCCATAATGTGCCATTGAGTTTTGGATCTTTTGATTACTTGTATTCTCTCCTAAGACAAATAATGGGATTGCATTCTTAAAGCTACCAGTTTCTTGCAGGTTATTATTTGACATGCATATTACATTTTTGGTACAGCTCATTTCCAGGGACTTGCTCTGTTGCTATTTCTCACTCAGCATGTTTCAGAACTACCAAACCTGCTGAGGCATTAAGCATACTCTTTGTATATGCTCTTAGGAATATGGGAATTGCCCATATCGAAGCCAGTCATCCAGCCATCATGTGTGATTTTCTGCTTTGAACACATTTTTGTCTTGTGTTAGAGGTAAGCATTAAGGTCCTATGAGTCTCCTACTTCAGCAGTCATATACAGAAGATAGAAACTTAATTTTGATTGCATCCAGTGATGTTTTTATATACCCTGAAAGCATGATGTTTTATAATTCTGGTCTAGTGTGTTTGCAGTTTTGTTTTTATTTATATGTATCTCTAAACCTAAAACAAGTTTTTATAGAGGAAATTTTAGGTAAATTTTGTATAATTTTTTAAAAGTTGTCAGAAATCTTTATTTTACATCTGTTCCCCCTTTAGATACTAATATCCCCATGTGGGAAATGGAAAATGTAAGTTCTCCATGCTGTTGTAAGGGCTGTAAACATTTCTCAAAAGCTATATCAACGCAGTCACCAGAACATGTTTCTGCTCTGTTGCATGTTTGTTTCCCCATCCTTTTACCATTGTTGCATTTTGTTTTTAGTGGCCCTAAGAAGCCTGCTTCTTTAATTTTTTTTCTTTAATCCTGTCTACATTCTTTGTTAAACTTTTGGTCTTTGTCACTTCTAGATTACTTTACTACCATAGATTTCCCTTTCTGTCTTTAAGTTTGTTATTTTGAATCACTTTCAACTTTTTCTGTGACACACTAGTGAGGAACTGTTCAGAGTGAATTCACTAGGTGGCTAGCATCTTAGAGTCAAAACATAAAATGTTGAAATTGATTAACTAGAGATAGTAATGTCAATTTTTAAGTAATTAAACATTGTCTAGTTTAGAACAAAGTAAACCCCATTATAGAAGTGGGAATTTAGGAAGAGGGAATGCCCTGTTGTTATATAGCCTTTCTGTATAAAATATTATAGGAAATATAGAATCAGATTTATGGTAGTTAAGAACTTTCTAAATGAATTTTAGTATATTTTCACAGGAATGATGTGAAAAGAAGAATGGATGAATGTTATCTGTGAAATGGTGAGAAAAGAAGGAACTGTGAGAATTGTGTTTTGTTATTTAAGGACCTGTGAAGGAGATGGAGGAGATCATAAGTTCCACCAGTGGTGGAGCTAGATCTCCTGGATTCATTTGAATAGAAAAAGAGAGGATATGTTGTGTTCTGTAGATGAAGGCTATCAAAGGACACCTCAATGGAAGATCCCAGGAGGAAGGTGATAAACAAATGGAAGGTAGACTTGAGTGTAGCTTTCTTCTGAAATGGGAAGAGAGTAGAAGTAAAAGCAGAAAAGAAAAATGAGGCTGTTGCTTATAAAACTTGAAAACGTTTAAAAGATTGGGTAGTAGTTAGAGTCTGAGTAACTAACATTTTAATAAATAATAGAATCTATAACCAATTGTGTACTTTTTTATTTTAAAAAATTTTTTTAATAGAAATGGGGTTTTGCTCCATTGCCTAGGCTTGAGTGCAGTGACACAATCATGGCTCACTGCAGCCTAAACCTCCTGGGCTCAAGTGATCCTCCCATTTCAGCATCCCAAGTAGCTAGGAGTACAGCTGCATGCCACCGCACCTGGCTAATTTTTAAATTTTTTGTAGAGATGGTAGTCTCACTGTGTTGCCCAGGCTGGTCTTGAACTCCAGACCTCAGGTAATCCTCCCACCTCAGCCTCCCAAAATGCTGAGATTACAGGTGTGAGCCACCCTGTCCAGCCTGTTAACATATTTTTAATAGATGTTTTTGAGTTATTAAATACCCATACCCTGCAGCATTGTGGATATTTTATGTTTTCTCACTCAGTGTCACTGATTGGTTCTTTATAGTCTCTGAATTAAATATATTTTCAAAGTAGCATGTTTTCTACCAAGCGAGGTATTTTATTGTTATTTAATTATTGACATCCTTGAAATAAGAGTGGCTTTGTATTTAAGAGGTATATGAGGGAACACAGCTGAAAAACAAGAGCATTTTTGTTAGAAATATATTGGGGATAGGTGCTGGGGTGGGAGGGAGACTCACTAAGCCAGCAATTTTCAAAAGTTACAGTAGTATATATAAAATTTGAAGTTAATTGAGAATAACTAGAGAATGAAACCTTCTGAATAATAATAGAGATAGTTTTGGGAGGCAGGAAGGGAATGTCTTTGGTTGCGATAATGTTTATTGCTTTGATCTAAGTGCTGATTACATGGGTGTATTTCTGTCTTAAAAGTCATTGAGACTGGGCACCGTGGCTTATGTCTGTAATCCCAGCACTTTGGGAGGCCAAGGCGGGTGGATCATTTGAGGTCAGGAGTTCAAGACCAGCCTGCCCAACATGGTGAAATCCTGTCTCTACTAAAAATATAAAAATTAGCCGGCTGTGGTGGTGGACACCTGTAATCCCAGCTACTCAGGAGGCTGAGGCAGGAGAATCGCTTGAACCCTGGAAATGGAGGTTGCAGTGAGCCGAGATCACGCCACTGCACTCCAGCCTGGGTTACGAGTGAGACTCCGCCTCAAAAAAACAAAAAAGAAAAAAGTCATTGAGCTGTATAAAATATAAATAAAACTTAATGTTTATACATTTTGCTGTATGTAAATTATATCTCAATTCTTAATGCAGGAAAAAGCACACTCCTAATGGGTACTTCAGACTGGGATTTTTAAAAAATTTCTGTTTTGTTTACTAAGTGTACTGGATATACGTCTAGTATCATCTTTAATGTTACTTTAAAAATATTCTTTAAAGTGATACCACTGGAAGAAAAACTAGCCAATTTATTTCACTTATAACTGTCATGAGCTGAAATTTCCCAACACTGACCTCTGTTTCAGATTCCTGCTGTTGCCTCTGCACTATTAGTTGGTGTCAGCAGGGGGTTAGCAGCACTCAATTTAACCTTGCTATTTGTATTCTGTTTTGAATTTTTTTCTTTTCTCATTTAACTTCCTTACATGGATTCTCCATTTTAAAGATTGTGCATGCACCATGGGGTCTGTACAGTGAAAGACTGTAGTACAGATAAGCATACAATAGAAGCACATTTAAAGATAATGTGAAGCTGCTTTTCTTTTTTTTCTTGAATAGAGGCATTGCTGTGAAAATCATTAAACAAGAGAAAAATTAAGCCTACTCATGCTGTTATTTTTCCGTTAAGATTATAGACCAGTTTAAAATATATAAGAACTATATAGATATGGATTAATTATACATTTTATGTCCATTTAGAGGGGCATCTCTGTGACTGTTGTGCTTGTAGCTAGCCATGGACAGAGACTTATTGGACCAGAAGTACTTCTTTTGTCTCTCCCACATTAAAATTTTAGAATCTGTTATGACTGAGACCACATCCACTATTCTTATTTCAATGTGCCCCCTCTCATTGATCCCTCTACTCCCTTCTTGGACCTTTTATCTTATAAATGCTGGGACCTTCCTATTCAAAGCAGTCTTCTACAGCAGGATAGGAAGTCATGGGTAATTAAAGAGGGGCCTCTAAACTCCAGACCCTTCCTCCTCAACTCCCCATGGAAACTGTCTCCCCTGAACAGTGCTTTGTAGAATCCTAGTGAACTTAAAGACTCACTACTCTTATGAGTGGTCTTTATCTTTCTCTGAGTGGGTTCTAAGTAAAACACCAGGTTGGTGGAAATGGAAAGGAAGGACGGCTGGCTCAAATTCTGGAGATACTATATGAAAAGGAATAATGAGACACTCACTGTCCTGTGGGGTAAGCAGGAAGGAAAGCCTAGCTTCCCATTCCACAGCCTCCAATTCCATTCATTTCCAGCCACTGCTTTGTACAGCTCCAGCACACTCCTCTCCTGGTCTGTAGTTCAAGATTCCACTAGTTTCATCTCCAGGTGCCAAAGACACTCTGCTTGGTGCCTAAGACACCAAAGTGAAAACAACAGCCATGGAAAACACTTCCAGTTAAGTTGAGGGAGACCGAGATTTCACTATGTATAGCAGGGAGACTTGCATTCCTGTTAGCTCAAACAGATTCTGAAGGCATTTCTCCAGAGATGCCTTGCTTAGGTGAATGGGGAGTGTAATAACCCAGGTATTGTATTTTAATATTATAATAGTCTACTCTTATGCTAGGGTGACATACATCCTGGCTTGTACTGGATGTATGTCACCATCCTGGCATAATTGTTGTTAGTAAATTGCTTCCCCTTTTATTCCCCAGAAGTTTGGATGGTAAATTATATGGTCACTATACACATAACAAAAATGGACTTCTCAGTCCATGGGAATTGTGTAACAAAAGCCCCAAATGTAAACATATGTCATTAAGTAAAGTTAAAATGATAGTGATGGTGTTTAAAAATATCGTAAATGCAAATGTTTATTAAATGTTCTAAAAATCAAAACAAAAAACCTCTTTTGTCAGGGATTCTTGTTACTATGATATAATTCCTACAGGATGCTTAATAGCACTGCCCACACAATGGATGTGAAATAACCACCTAATATTTTAAAATATTAAGTCAAAATATAATGGTATAAAATCTTTATAATAGAATACTTAAACGTTTCAATTAGGAATTTCAGCTTAATAAAATTACATGTTTAAATTTGTCGTATTCCCAGCTCTTTTAAATTAAAGAACCAATCATGGGCCTTCATTTTGAACATTGTTTTAAAATCATGTTAAATGTAGAAAACAAATAATGATTAAAAACAGAGATATTGGTTTTAGGAGATAAGTGTTTCACATTTATTATTTACCTTTTTTAAAAGACAGATTATGTAAATTATTCTTCAAATTTAAATGTATAGGTATAAAATTGAATAAATAAAACAAGTTTTAGTAAGAAAACTATTTTCAGACTTAATACTAACCAACTATTGCTAATATACTATAAAATGCTACTTAGGCAGGTTATAGACTCCAATTATTATAGTTAATGGCCTCAGTGGCCTCACCTTGCCTTAATCTAGGACATAAAGCATGCAGAACTCGTAATTTAATTATCACCTGTTAATATTGGCTCTAAATTCATGTCTCCCCTTTCGGGATGAAACTGCAGTGATGAGCCAATTAAAAATCATTATCTTCCTACTGAAAACACCAGCCTGCTAACTACACCACAGTATACAAATCTGCTGAGACTTTCAAGAAGAAACTTACTGCCTCTTACCTTTAGGGAGTGCTGAATTAAATTATTTTCGGCCATTTATAATTCTAATATTTTGTTTTAATTATTTATTTTTTTGAGATAGGGCCTGTGTTGCCCATGCTAGTCTCAAACTCCTGATCTCATGCAATCCTTCTGTCTCAGGCTCCCAAGTAACTGGGATTACAGGTGCTCACAAATCTAATTTTTCACATCTCTAGATTATATGAAGATTGTATTTTTTAATTATTACATACCTTAAAAGCCATGAGAGAAGTGGAGAGTTATGTTATTCTATAGTAATAAATGGCAGAAATGAAATCTGTGCTTTTATTCGTATTTACATATCATGAGATATAAAAAAAAAATCAGAGAATGTGGTGCTATAAAAGGGTTGTTAGCTTATAAAATCCCATTGATATGTACTAGAGAAATGTGCAGTTGATTTACAGGAATTTATTAGAAACTTTGCTCTTTGTGTACTCTCCTGACATTGTGTACTCTTGTACTGAAATCTAATTTTATAATTGACCCATGGGAATCAAACTCTGGAAAATTGATTTGTGCTAACCAAACTCACAAGAGATTGATTTATAAACTAGTAAATCACTTTTTAACTTACTATGAGAATGCTACCTGATCCAAAAACCTGAAAAATTTATGGTGTGTTTTTGAGTTTTCGCTACTCTCAGTTCAGGCACTATAGTGAATAAAGAGGTGAAAAACACTTAGTCCTCATCCTCAATGAATTTATAATCTGGCGAGAAGACTTGGACAGCAATACATAGAGTACAAGTCAGACTACAATAAATGAGTGAGTGATATGTTGTGGTTAAATGTTTAGTAGAGGTTTTTTGTTTCTGCTAGGCATACTCTTGTAGTTGGGAAACCAAATTATACTTCAGTGGATATGTTTTAAGAGATATTTCTTTCAAGCCATTATTGGATAATAAATTAACTTTCCCTTTTCTCTGCATGTTTCTATATAAAGAATCAGGACCAACAGCCCATAATTAGGACACCTTTGCTCTTGAATATGCTCTAGACACTACAAAATTTTTTAAACCCTTAACAAGTGCAGATACATGAAAAGTTCACTCTTGTTGCAGTTATTACACCAGAATCTTTCCTTCTGTACTGTAGATTAATTCTAAAGTTAGTGCATAAGGCAAAAATTAAATTATATGTAGCCAAAGTGCTCTAAAAATTTCATAAATGGCTTATAGAATACATACTGGTTTTGTAAAACTGCTCAGTAATATACAAGTATAATGTTTGGTAAATCATGATATATAATAAAGCATACATAATCCAAACAATTTTAAAGTATTCTAATTGCAGTATTTTAAAGGAGTTGTTTATACAAAGGAATCTTAATAAATTAAATGTATGTGCCATGTATATCCTCTGTCATCATACTCAAGTTTGTAGTTTTCTTCCATTGAGTAGATTTCAGGTGGGCCACTATCTAACAGTATATATTGGGATACTTACCTGTTAAAATACAAGATAGATTGTGTTGCTTTTGAGGAGCTTTTCTATAGCCAGCCTGTTTTAGACTTTTTGCGTGGATTTGTTTTGTGTGGTAGAAGTAAGGAGATGATCAAGGTATGATTTCATGAATCACATAGTTTATTGCCATACAAAGAGAATTTTTTCCTTAGGTTCCTAGTGCGTAAAGAAGGGGAGAATAACGTGAACAGATCTCACAGGGAGTATACTTGATAGGTAAGATACGTGAACCACAAAGTGAGTAAGTTCCAAAATTATTAAAGGCGTTGCCCAATTAGGATGGAAGCCGTCTTCTGTGGAAAATAGTCTAATTAAAGATTGAGGTGTACCTTTTTACAACCTTTGTACCATAGAGGTCAAGCCTATAGAGAAACTGGCTTGACCAATACAGTGGAGATCTGTTACCACAGGTAAGGTCCCTCAAGGCTGAGGGTGGTGCCAGTAGTGGCAGGCAAGGCTTCAGAGATTAGCTGGAATGATGTTGCCCTGTGGCAATGTCACAGCATGTCCTCTTGGTCTTTGGAGAACATGTAGCTTGCCACAGTCTGAACTCTCAAAGTGTCTGTCAAACTCTTAGTTTTATATGTATTTTGAAGTCCAGTAGTTGAGGTCAGCAACTCACATATGAGTTCTGATAAGGTGTGATGTGACATTCGCAAGGGGAGGGGTACCACTGTCACATTCTCTAGGGGATGAGGGAGAAAACACTCCAGCTTCTTCTTATAGCAGAACATAAATCATTCACATAGCAAACTATGTAAGTGTTTGGAATCATTTCACAGCAACATAACAGGATTCTTACTAGTCTCAGGCATCCTTCCTAGATTTGGATGTTAGTCATACTTTTCTCTAATTACTATATTCACCCAAACATACATGCAGCTGACTGGCATTGGGTCCGTGTTCTGTTTCTGACCATGGATAGCTTACCAACCTACAAGGAAATCAAGCCCCTGACTTGGCTGTTATTTGCACTGTACTCCATCAGCTGAGCCTCAGAACTCATCTACCTGAAAAAGTGATAAAATTGTCTCATTTAGCAAGCACACTGAAGCAAGACTAGCTGTGTTCAGCCTGCATCTAAAAGTGTGTTACTCTGTGACTTGGCTCACTGTAATAGTAATTTTGAGGTAATTATTAATGATAGTGTTTATGGTACTAACTGGTGCCTGATCATTTTCACAATAAGGTTGGTATTATTTCCATTTTTAGGAGATCAAAGTTTGCAGGATTTGCAAAAGCCTTGATTTGAAAGCCAGTGGCAGAGCCAGGCCAGAATGATGGTTTTCCCCATCTAAAGTCAGTCAGTGGTCTGCTTATCTATGAGATCATGGCCATTATACCAAATATTGGGAGGACCTGGTGAAAGATGCTTTTAGGATCTGGCATCGAAAATGTAGAGCTCATGCTCTGGAATCCAAGAGTTGTAAGAATTTCCCTGTTCTCCTTAAGGGCTGGGTGACTTTCAGCAAGTTACTTTAAACTTTTCAAGCCTCAGTTTATCCCCCTTAGGGATTTTCTGATAGTTAAATGAAATAATAGGTAAAGTGCTTAGCACAGAACCTGATATATGATAAGAGCTTAGTAAATATTATTTGTTTTTTAATCTTGATATTTAGAATTTCAAGTTTTCAACAGCTTTTATGTACATCTCTTATGTACATGTGTATTGCCAAATGAAAGCCTGTTTTTCTTCCTAAAAATGACTAGATATTATATAACTCTATAGGTAATGTTCTTATGAGGGCACACATAATCACCACCACTCACAATACCTAGTTTTGGAATCTTAATTATTCCTTCCATAATATTTTCTTAATCTGCTATAATGTGAGATATATGACTACAGCTGAGAGATATTAAAAGCAGAACAGGAAACCACAGAAGTTTCTTAAAATAAAAATACAAACTGAGCTCAGAAACATGATTTTTATATACATATCTGAAAAAGAAATGTAGCCAGTGAGCAGAATATACTCAAAGCCAACCACAAATAAGCAGTAAAAAAAAAAAAAAAAAAAAAAAATACTGCAGTTTATTTTAAAATTGTACACATCTTGCTTTCATTAGAGTATATAGGAATTTCATTATAAAATACATTTTTAAAAATTTAAAGGTACATATGTGCTTTGACTGAATAATTCTGTGATGTTGATTATACTCTAAAGTATACATGTGAAGCTAGAGTTGAATATGAGGTGCTGCCTTGTTCTTCCAGACTGTAATAGCGTGTATGCTATGTGGCCAAACCCTGTCCTCTGCAGAGACCAGCAAGTCAAACCCATGTTTCTCAGAGCTTGGTTACATGAGCTCTTGGTAGCACATGTACCTATATGTAAAATATTTATAGATAGCTCTCAATTTTTAAAAAGTAATGTACAGTAAATTTTATGATCACCTTCTAATTGCAAGTGAATTGGCTTCTGTTTTTGAATTGACAGCTTCCCTTTGAAATTCATTTACTTATGCTTTTTTAAAAAGTGTGTTGATTTTAAAAATCAGCATGAAAACTAGTATGAGGATAGGGAGAAAGTACAAATGTTACACTCAGCTGACTGAAGTTTTGGGGACTCTGAACTAAACAGAACTGTATAGTTGATATTTTAACTTAAAATATTACCTGTTTGGCCTACCTAATTTTTACTTGAGAGAAAAATAACATTAATACCTATTTTCTTTGTCAAATCTCTATAACACCCTTTAATTACTACATTTTTAGTAGCAGTGATTTGCTGACATTTGTGCAACCCCTATGTTGTGATCCATATACTTCTCAGTGACTGAAGTATTTTCTTTAAAATTAGTCCTGCTATATGTTTATGTAAATCTTTGGGAGAGGGATTTCTTTTCAAAATGCTGTTTGACTGTCTTGTGAGATTGAATGTCTGTGATCAAAGTACTGAAAAATTTAAAATACATAATTATGAAGTAGCTCCTCACATCTGAAGAAATGTTCCACAGAGATTCCACCATGTTTCTTCAAGATTATGTATTTATTTATTTTTTTATTTTATTTTTTTTTATTATACTTTAAGTTTTAGGGTACATGTGCACATTGTGCAGGTTAGTTACATATGTATACATGTGCCATGCTGGTGCGCTGCACCCACTAACTCGTCATCTAGCATTAGGTATATCCCCCGATGCTATCCCTCCCCCCTCCCCCGACCCCACAACAGTCCCCAGAGTATGATATTCCCCTTCCTGTGTCCATGTGATCTCATTGTTCAATTCCCACCTATGAGTGAGAATATGCGGTGTTTGGTTTTTTGTTCTTGCGATAGTTTACTGAGAATGATGATTTCCAGTTTCATCCATGTCCCTACAAAGGACATGAACTCATCATTTTTTATGGCTGCATAGTATTCCATGGTGTATATGTGCCACATTTTCTTAATCCAGTCTATCATTGTTGGACATTTGGGTTGGTTCCAAGATTATGTATTTATTGAGTTCTAATTTTCTCTCGGACATGGTACTAAGACATGGTGTGATGGGAGAGAGAGATGTTAGAAAGACACCTCTCTGAGGAGGTGACCTTTACGTTGAAATTCTGAAGAAAGTAGGGCAGGTAAGCTCTAAGTAGAAGGAAAATATGCAAAGACCTAGGGCAGAAAGGAGTTTGGTCCGTTAGACAAACTCAGAGTAATCCTGTGCAGTGGGAGCTTAGTGAATGAAGGGAAGAGAAGTGAGAGATAAGTTTGGAAAAGTGAGAAGGAATCAGTGGGGCAGTCTTTCTCCCAGATACTGTCACTTTATCATAAATTAACTTAGTGAAACTACACTAGAGCTAAAACTGTTACTTTACCTTGAATATAAAGGGAGAAAATGCTAAGAACATTTGATTACTGTAAAAAAAAAAAAAAAAAACCCTGAAATTGCGAACTTCTCTATTGGAAATTTAAAAAAAATCATTTTGTTGAAATTGCTATACTCTTGTGGTAGTGACTAACCATCACTACCATCCCATTTCTTCTTTATTAAAAAAAAAATTATTTTTCTAGAGACAGGGTCTTGCTCTGTCACTCAGGCAGGAGGGCAGTGGTGCAGTCCTAGCTCACTGCAGCCTGGAGCTCTAGGGCTCAAGCGATTTTTCTGAGCAGCTAGGACTACAGGCACATGCCGTGACTACAGGCGTGTGCCGCTATGCCCAGCTGATTTTTAAATTTTTTGTAGAGACTAGGTTTTGCTATGTTGCTCAGGCTGGTCTTGAACTCTTTGCCTCAAGTGATCCTCCCGCCTCCACCTGCCAGTGCTGGGATTATAGACGTGAGCCACCGGTGCCCAGCCTCACTTTCTTCTTTAGCAGGCCTCCCTGCCCTATACCTTCTGCTCATATTTAATGCATAGGCCCTACAGTCAGATGAAATCTTCCTGGGAATTGATTTCCCTGACCTTAATTTTCTATAGTCCTGTTTTTACCTTTCGTGTTCTGTGCCCAGCTCTGTTGGAATGCTTATGCACCTACTATCAGTGACTTTGATCTGGCTGGAGGGGTTCTAAGTCCATATGCTCCCCCTTGATTTAGAATTGGATTCTCTAGTACTCTGTATTTCAGGTACAGTGTAGGTTAAGTGATTTTTTTTTGAGCTGCCATGAGATTTAAGCACTTTATGTAAAACAATTTAATTAGGTAAGTGAATTCCAAGCTCTAAGCACTAAGGTAGGTAGACCAAGTTTTGAAACATAACTAGTTTATAATTTGGGAACCGTTTGAGTTAAACTGTATTTTCATCTTCAGTAGTCTTGTTCTGTGCCTCATTGTTAGGGTCCACAGTATTGCCATTGATAGTGTTGTTAATGAATAGAATCTTCATGCCTCCTGTTCTCCTGACTGGAAAGGGCACTTTATTTAATTCTTCTTTTCTAATGAAGACTTTTAGATAATCTTCTTATAAATCTGCCTTTTGATATTTTTTGTTTTTATTTTCCCACAGTATACACAATCTGAAGATCATATTTTCATCTGTCTTGTATAGGCTTAGAATAAAGTTAAGGTATAGATTAGCTCTGGATTCAAATCAGATGGTCAGGTAAGATCTCTTTCTGGGAAACTGTGGTAAGAATGTGTAGAAAAATATTCCTGGCAACAAAGTTAGAAAAACTATCCAAAATTCCAATAAATCTATAATTTTCACTGTCCATGGAGAAGAAAAAAATGTCATTTGATCATATGGCATTAGTTTATGAAGTGTCTCAGAAGAAGGTAAGTTATGGGTATTTTTTCAAGTATGTATAGGATTTAATTTGTTTAGGAAAAAGCACTCTAAGGTAATGGGTGTGTGTTAGTCATTCTGTAAGAGCTCCGCATTATTACTCTGCTGGACCTGTCTGCCAGTACCCCGGCTAGCTGAAATTCAGGCACATGGAGCATCACTTATCCCCCTGAATTATGTTAATATTAGGAAGGGACAAATTACTTAATAAAAGATACTGTATAACATTTTATGAATATCATTTAGAAGTAACTGCTGATAACTTTTTCTGTCAATGAGAATTACTGTTCTTTATAATTGTGAGTCTCAAATTTTATCTATGTTGACTTAGATGAAAATAAAGGAGTTTTCTTGTTTGGGCATGGTGTTGATTATGTTAACAATATATTGTTAGATGCTGTTTCCCAGTGTTTGAGGCTGCTTTGCCCCGGAGAGTGGAGAAGGATGTAGACTGAGAAGGTGGGAGGCGGAATGGCTGCTTACTGTGGGGTCTCACAAAATTCTGTTAGTTGGTCTTCATGATCTAAAGATTCTTCTCCATTCCCCCGCTACTTTCCCATCCAGGGGATTATTCTCGCAACCCACTTTTTAAAACAGTTGTTTCAATTTGAGAAGTTGTTAATTTTACTTATGATTGTCAGTTTATG
Source organism: Homo sapiens (assembly GCF_000001405.40). NCBI lineage: Eukaryota > Metazoa > Chordata > Mammalia > Primates > Hominidae > Homo > Homo sapiens. The sequence goes on from NC_000003.12 coordinate 23,382,098, forward strand.
ATTATTTTATTAGGTATATTTTATGAAATATCAACAAACTAAGGTGATTTACACTACTCTTCATAATTACGAATACTTTAATTTTTTTTTTTTTTTTTTTTTGAGACGAAGTCTCGCTCTGTAGCCCAGGCTGGAGTGCAGTGGCGCAATCTCGGCTCACCGCAGCCACCACCTATCGGGTTCAAGCGATTCTCCTGCCTCAGCCTCCAGAGTAGCTGGGATTACAGGTGTGTGCTACTGCACCTGGCTAATTTTTGTATTTTTAGTACAGAGGGGGTTTTACCATGTTGGCCAGGCTGGTCTTGAACTCCCAACCTCGGGTAATCCGCCCACCTCAGCCTCCGAAAGTGCTAGGATTATGGGGATAAGCCACCGTGCCCGGCCTTACTTTAAAATCTTAAACACTGGTTTTACTATATGAGCGTATTAATGGCATATTTGGGAGAGAAGTTGATATTCATATTTTAAAATAACTCCAAATTTTTATCTTGAGCGAAGTAGTATTCACTATACATAATTTATTATTTTACATTTTCTATTCCTAACCAAATTAGACATTTTAAAAAACTCTGAAAAATCACAGCTTTGCTTGTGGACTCCATTTTGTGTAGATAATTAAGATCCATGGTTTGAATACCATTTAGGCTTATCAATACAAGGAAATATTACTCCTTAAACAAATAACTGTTGTAAGATTGTGTCTTTTTCTGTAGTTTCTTAATACATTTAAAAACATGTGCAAAGGACCAGACATGAAGGGAATGACAGTTTTTAAAAATCAAATTGTGAAAAGGTTAGTTTTTTTTTTGTACCAAGGAGGTAAGAGTCAGGAGGAATAAACAGGTGTAAACTGTAAAGAGCATTGTAATGTACGTTAAGGAGCTTTAACTGAAGTCTAAGAAGAGTAGTTGAACACTTTTAATAAGAGTAACATTTTCCAGTTGAGTTTTAGGAAGTACTGGCAGAAATTGAATAATGAGTTTAAAGGAAGAAAAGTAAAAGTAGGAAGAACAGTTAGAATGTTACTGTATTAATGTGGGTGATAATTGATTGGATGTTGTTGTAGGGGTCAGGGACTCAGGGTTTTAACTTAGTCCATGTGTGGATAACACAGTTTTTTTTTTCTTTTTTGAAGTATATTGCAGTATAAATTCAGCTGTGGACATACTGGATTTAAGTTGTCTAAGACTGATGTAGAAATGTTCAGTGAGCAGTTGAACACATACATTAGCAAACCTTGAGGAAAATCTGGCTTGGGAATATAGATTTGGAATCTAGCAAATGATGATTAAATTTAGAGAAGTAGACGAAATCAACAACTATATAGAATGAAATAGAAGCCGATTGACTTTTAAGAGATGAGCATTTTATCCCCCTTTTTTTTTTTCTGTTTAACTGGTAAGCATTGCAGTGGCACTGCATACCTTTTTCAATGCAGATGTATATTATTTTAGGCATATTATGGATTAAATTGGCATCTGTCGGCCACTCTGTAAACCTAATTATTATTTATTTATTTGGAAAAGATACTGAGGTTTTTTTTGTTTTGTTTTGTTTTACAAGTGTTGGGGTGTAACTTGCTTGTAAATTTGGAGCCTGGCAATATCTGAAAATATATTTTCTTCTAGAGCCCTGCTTAGCTCAGTTTTTCCCTTTCTCTGAAGCTTGATGATATATACTTAATGCTGTAGAACTTTTAAACTAAGTTATTCTTTGTTATTGTACCAATATGATTTTTTTTTAGGCTGCTGAATAGGGAAATAGTATATCCATCAATGAAATGCATTATTTCTTTAAAAAAAAAAAAGGAAAAATTTCAGTTTCATGCCATATAAAACTATTAATAAATTAACCTCACAATTTATCTAAGCCCTTAACGTGCTCAAAGTGATGGTTTGTGTTTTGTTTTGTTTTGTATTTTTGGAGATTGCTCTGTGTCCTGGGCTGGGGTACAGTGATGCAACCATAGCTCACTGTAACCTTAAACTCCTGGGCTCAAGCAATCCTTCCACCTTAGCCACCAAAGTGGTTAGAACTACAGGCATGCACCACCACACCCAGCTAAGTTTTTTGTTTGTTTTTGGAGACAGGGTCTCACTGTGTCACCCAGACTGGAGTATAGTGTCACGAGCATGGCTCACTACAGCCTCGACCTCCTGGGCTCAACCAGTCCTCCTGCCTCAGCCTCCCGAGTAGCTGGGACTACAAGGCATGTTCTGCCACACCCAGCTAATTTTTGTATTTTCTGTAGAGTTGGGGTTTCTCCATGTTTCCCAGGCTGGTCTCCAACTCCTGGTCTCAAGCAGTCTTGCCACCCCAGCCTTCAAAAGTGCTGGGATTACAGGTGTGAGCCACTGCGCCTGACCTTGAAGTCTTACACTAAAAAAGGGAGCAACATTTCTACCCTGGAAAATTTGCTCTTTGGACATTTGATGTAATTTTTATTCTTATTTATTTATTTTTGAGATGGACTCTCACTCTGTCACCCAGGCTGGAGTGCAGTGGTGCGATCTTGGCTCACTGCAACCTCCACCTCTGGGGTTCAAGCAATTCTCTTGCTTCAGCCTCCCGAGTAGCTGGGACTACAGGCACATGCCAGCACGCCTGGCTAATTTTTGTATTTTTATTAGAGACGGGGTTTCACCATATTGGCCAGGCTGGTCTTGAACTCCTGACCTCGTGATCCGCCCACCTCGGCGTCCAAAAGTGCTGGGATTACAGGCGTGAGCCACCACACCTGGCCCCTGGATGTAATTTTTAAAACCAGACTCATTTCAAATTCTGTCTTAGTGTAATTTAGATTTTTGTGTCTTGACAATAATGAAAAATATTTCTTCTTTTTTTTTCTTTTTGAGATAGAGTCTCACTTTGTTGCCCAGTCTGATTGCGGTGGCATGATCTCAGCTCACTGCAACCTCCATCCCCCAGGTTCAAGTGATTCTCCTGCCTCAGCCTCCCAAGTAGCTGGGACCACGGGCGCACACTACCACACCTGGCCAATGAAAAATACTTCTAATGATGGTTGTTAACTGCTTTAAAGAAATAATTTAATACTTTTTATGATGTTTGTATTACATTGTCCTTTGATTTGAGTTGCAACTGTTATTTACACCTTCTTTCCCTGTTTGCAAGCGATTGTTTTAGGATCATGTTCTTTTCAGTGGTTTTGCTGTAAAGGAATCACTTCATTTCTGATTATTGCATTTACAAAAATGATTGTTTCTTGTCTTCCTTGAACTGTGTTTTATCATTTGATGCTGTGATTCACTGTGCTCCTAAAACATTTCCATCTGCCTGTTTTGTGATCTTTCTATTTTAGATCACCATGCCACAGCTGCTTGGATAGCCTTCTGTCACCTATTTTCAATAGTGTCATATAGCATCCCGCATGGTTTCAAGGATGGTAAATTGGCTAGACTCCAGGGCTTGCTCTGTAATCCTGCCTTGTCTGTTAATGTCAGGTGTATCTCACAGCTGATGCTGATGAAACTGCTTAAAGAAATCAGATATGATCTTTAGCAGAGCCAAATCTCATTTCCATATGTGGGTTTAAGTTCTGTTTTGATCAGCTTCTTGAGGGCAGAGTCCTCAAAGTCCTACATCATGGAATGCAAGATTGTGTGGTAGAGACAAAAGTCGTAGTAATTTAGAAAAACCATCAGCTTCTTGTACTGGCTTCTCACAGATTGTTGCACTTGAGCACATTACATCTGTATGCTGGATGAATAGGAAGTTTTTCAATAAAGGAGGACATTCCAAAAATAGGTAACAGCTTAGCCTGATACATAAGTGGTAGCTGCTATTATTGTCATCATTTTGTTTTTATTATTATGATTGTGAGAACTGGATAAATTGGGAAGGAAAGTAAAACAAACTAAATTTTTTCAACTTATTTGATGCAAAGCTAGTTCTAAAATCGAATAGAATTACAAACATTTATTAGTGTGGATCATGTCTGAATGCTCAGGCTATTTATCTCTTTAACACTATTTCATATAAGTAGTTGTCTTTAATAATTGTAGAATGTCTTAGCCTGTTTGGAATGCCGTAACAAAATACCATAAACTGGGTGGCTTATAAACAACAGAAATTTCTTTCTCATTTTTCTGGAGGCTGGGAAGTCCAAGATTGAGGCACTGGCAGATTTGGTGTCTAGTGAGGGTCCCCTTCCTTGTTTATAGAACAGCACCCTCTCCGTGGCTCCTCACAGGGTGGAAGGGGCAACCAAGCTGCCTCAAGCTTCTTTTCTAAGGGATCCTGACCTCATTACCTCCCAAAGGCCCCACCTCCGAATGCAATCAGGTTGGGGGTTAAGATCTCAACATATGAATTTAGCGGGGACACGAACATTCGGACCATAGCAGAAAGTATCCGTAAAGGAATAAGAATGATTACAGGTAGTTCGGTTCTTAAAAGGCGTGAGTTTATTCTGTAGATGAATAATAAAACTGTTTGTCTAATTGGTATTACCAAACCAGAACAATTCAGCTATTATATTTATTTTCATGGATTTATTTAAATGTATAATGAGTTTTTAATATGAGACAAGCATATTGAAGTGAATTTTTACATATTAAGAGCCATCGTCACATTATTGTTTGACAGATACTGCTTTTGAAAGTAAGCTAATCAGTTCATTTTTGTCAAGTATTTTATATACTCAGAGTAGGGAGTAGAATTTTGAATTTGAAGTAGAATGACTGTTTTCCTCTGTCAATACATATGGCTTATATTTTAGATTTGCTGGCCATTCAGTTTTCATACATTGTGACCTGTTGTCAGAACCCATATCTTCATACTTGGATCAGAAAATACAATTCCTGTTAATAGTGGTCCCTGCTGCCTGACCTTCTGATCAGTTACAGTTTACCCAAGTTGCTGAATTAGAAAGCATTTTAAAGTACCTGCTATTTGAAAAGTACCTATAAAGGATTATGAAAAAGAACTCTATTTGAGGCTAATATCTACAAAGACTTTCTGATTTCAGGGTAGGAGTAGAGTTCAAAATGAAGCAAAGTTTAAGACGCACATATGCAGATGCTATTAGCAGTACTTGTTTCTGGGAAGACTAAATGTAGTATTCCTATTCCTGATGGTTTAAATAGACTGGTTATAGATTTCTGTGGTTACAGGGCAGACGTTGTAATAGAGGCTATGAGATTTTCTTCACATAAAGCACTAAGTACTATTTCTTTCTTTGTATTTATTCTTTAGTTCTTTTCAAAAGGTGAATTGGATTAGATTTTGCTTCTATCTCAGGTAAATCCCCTACTTTCAACCTCTGCAAATTTGCTACTCTTTTATTGTGTCTGTAAAAACCAACCTTGCATGAATTGTGTCCCTTAAGTGCTATGATTGTGATTCCCTTTTTTATCTATAGGACACAGTTTTCTCATGTTTGTCTTTTCTTGTCATGGCCTTTTTTAAGTGAAATGACATATCAGAAAAGATCATGATGAGGCCCCAAAATAGTCTGGCAATTTTGTATAAAATTAGTCCCTGTTATCAATGGCTCATGTTTCTCTCTTTCTTTACCATCTTTAATTATTTGTGTGTGTGTTTTTGCTGTTAGGTATTGTTTTAAGCACTCAACCGTTGAAGTGTAGGTATGAAGTGCCTGACAGGCCATTGAAAATAAACGAAGATAAATTACAGTTGTAGCAGAGGTTTCAGTCCTTGTTATTCTTGATATGATACCCTCATTGTCTCTGGCGAATTCCTGTAGACCTTTAAAGTGGCTTGTCAAATTGCTTAACAGAATTAGACTTTTTCTCTAATGCTGCTAGTGGGGTCACATCTAGAATTGTCTTTCAATGTGATCTAAAAATAACATACTGCAAAATTACAGAAGAGACATTTGGATGAAAACAACCAAATGACTGAGAGGAATAGCCATTAAAGAGGACAAAAAAATTCCTGAAAAACTGAAACTTAGTTTCAAGCAAATGGAATTGGGCCTTATGCTGCTTTTTCCAAAACACCTGATAATTCTCAGCTACCTAAGAAAAATTACCAAACCTTTTTCAAAGAAATTAAGGTCTGTGCTGCAATACTGTTCTTTGCAGTATTGGCTCATAATCACATTAGGGAGTAAATATTCTAAGACTATTAGTAAATAAGGACTGCTTAAGCAATATTTGCCTGCTTCTATAATTATATTGTAATTACATTTTATCATAGACAGTGAAATATGTAGCACCTTTTGCAGGTGGAATTCTCACTGCTGGTTTGCCTTAAAATATTGGCATTTGGGGATATTCTCTCTGCTAATTAATATTGTTTGTTCTCTTACATCTCTGTTCATAATGAGACAGCTCTCTGTTAGACATAGAGAAGTTATCTCACTTGAGAACCTTATGATATCTATTTACAAGTGCATTTTTGTGGAAATATAATTTTAAAGAATGTCCGAGAGGTTTTAAAGCTTTTATTAGCACCTTAAAATATATGTAGCATTTTTTCATTTTATTGCAAAGCTACATGTTAATACTCTAATGCTAATGAAATATTTCAGATTATTTTATGCATTAGAAAACAATTTCTTTGACATCAGCTTCCATTCCATTTATTTAAATAGTATTTTTTAAAAAAAATATTTGGTCTTTGTTTTATTAAAAACATAATTCAGGCCAGGCACAGTGGCTCACGCCTGTAATCCCAGTACTTTAGGAGGCCAAGGCAGGCGGATCATGAGGTCAGGAGTTCAAGACCAGCCTGACCAACATGGTGAAACCCCGTCTCTACTAAAAATACAAAAATTAGCTGGGTGGGGCACATGCCTGTAATCCCAGCTACTCAGGAGACTGAGGCAGGAGAATCACTTGAACCTGGGAGGTGGAGGTTGCAGTGAGCCAAGATCGTGCCACTGCACTCCAGCCTGGGCGACAGAGCAAGACTCCATTTCCAAAAAAAAAAAAAAAAGAAAAAGAAAAAGAAAAAAACATAATTCAGCAAAAGAAGCAATACACAAGAGGTAAACAATGACTTGCCTACCCTGGTCCCACAGGGGCAGTGGCAGGACTGATATGAAGACGCTTACCTCCTCTGCCATCCCTACAATAATCTATGTTTTTTTGTCATAAATAAAAAGAGTATCACTTACTAGGGAGCAGATGAGATCACAGCCTCAAGCAATCCTGCGGAGCACCACCTGGCAGAGGCTGGCTTCCTGTATTTGCTCAAGCAAGCTCTGTGAGTTGTGCTTCCTTATTGTCATGGATCTCTTTTCATGGTGCATCCCCATTCCTACATTTAATCACACACATCTCAGTCAGAGCTCTAGGGCTTTATTACGAATGGAGTTGACTGCTAGAGAGGCCCCTCCAAACTTTTTTCTGTACCGTCTTCCCTCCCAAGACATCTCTCCGGGGAGGACATTAGGGAAAAGGAAATCTGGAGAGAGTGAAAGGTGCAGTGCTTTCTCCAAAGTTCTCCGAAGCAACCACTGAGTCTTTGAAAATCTTCTGATGGAAGAGGTAAGAACTTTAGCTCTCATCTTCAAGTTCCTTCATGTCTACATCCTGGGGGGCTTTTGTCTTATTTTGCCCTTTGAGCTGTGGTTCACTAGTCGTGGCTGGCTTTGAGGGGGATTTCACTTCCATCGCTGCCTTCTCTTTCTGGGCAAGTCAGATCCACTAGAGGGGTTTTCTGTGCTTCTTCCCCGATAGAGTAATGTTGGTAGGTGCACTGGATACCCACTTCTTGAGGTGATGTGGCAAAATCAACCCTTGGTCTGTCACAGTCCTGACCACCCAGTGCCTCAGTTGCAGTTCCCAGTTCAACACCTGCAGGTGCCTGAACAGCTGCTTCTTCGATTCCAGCTGGAGAAAAAGATGCAAATCAAATGGAGGCAGTTCATTGCAACCTGGAACTGCTGCACCAGGCAACCCCAGTTCCTCATTGATCTCATCTCAGGCAAGACAAGAGGGCTCCTAGATGCTTGAGGAAACAAAGTTGTGGTCCCCACTCAGCCACCATTCTGGGCTGGTTGATCTTTCTTCCAGGAGCCTGAACTAGTATTGATGTGGATAAGAGGAAGGGAAATACTGGGTAGAAGTGGGCAGTTCCCCAGCAAAGGCCCCACCCCTAAGCCTGGAAACCGAGGCCCTGAATGAGAACAGTTATCCCTGTTTTCCCTCCCAAATGTTACATTTTTGGTCTGCCCTGCCTCCCTCCCCACTTATCCTGTACCCATATTAACCCCAAACCTCAGCTGGTAGAGACGCAAAGCAGCTGAACATCAAGAGGAGTCGCAGCACTGATTGTCGGAGACTACAGATAGATGTGGCTTAAGTTGAGACAACATGGCTTCAGGGAAGGATCACCTTCTTCCTGCACCATCCCCTTTCCAGCTCCCCTTTTGCTGAGAGCCACTTCCACTGCTTAATAAAATCCTCTGCATTCATCACCTTTCAGACCTTCATGTGACCTGATCCTTCCTAGATGCTGAACACGAACCCAGGTACCAAGAGGGCAGAGTGTAAAAGGCTGTCTTCCTGACTCTCCACTGAGCTGGTTAACAGCTGTCTGCAGATGGCAGCTGCTAAAAGAGCATTAATTGTAACATACCCTTAGACAGTGCTGTGGGGCCAGAGCCCAAAAGCACTTCTGCACCTGCTTGCCTGTGTGCTCCCTCTCCCACAAGGGGTTTGAGCTCAGTGGTGGCCAGGTAAGCGAGCCATACCCCTGTTGCAAGTCCCACAAAGGGGTCAAGGGAACTCTCCCATCTTGTTATCTTGTTGTATATGAACATGACAAGAAACATCATTATATCTTTGCTTTTGGCGTTCATGCTTACCTATATGTAGACCACAATTGTAATCATTCAATTTGAATAAATAAGTAATAATGTAGATATACAAGTTTATATCTGTATATATAATAATGGTTATATAACAACTAATACTTCTTCAATGCTTATTGTTTGTTTATGAAATGCTATTTGTTTTACATACATTGGAAACATTTAATCCTTAAAATAATTCTATGTGGTTAGGTATATTATCACTATTTTGCAGATGATAAATCTGAATCCTTGGTTTCAGGATGGTTGTTTACTTACCCAAAGTCATACAGCCAGCCAGTAGCATTTTGTCACACTTCATAGTTGGAGTTCTTATCTACATTATAAGTTAATGATTAGGTAATTCCTAGAAGTCAGCCTAAGTTGCCAGTTATATTAACTGCTACTTAAACTATACATTTTTAAATCTCAGTTCTGTAATAATAGTAGGTTTGCAATAGACTTAGAATGTATATGCAAACCATAGTTCAGGAATGTGGCCACAGTATGCCTGTGTATTAGCACATTCACTTGTCATCAAAATTTTTGTTGGGCATCTACTATATGCTGGATACAGGCATGATGCAAACATTTAAAAATATGGCCACTGTCACAGGAGGCTTAAAATCTTGTTATGAACCCAGTTAATGAAGTGTTTGCACTATTATGCATTTGGATTTTTAGTTGACTCATTAAAATAAACTAAATAAATTAATAAATAAATTACATTCAGGTATTTCTTGCCATCTGATTTTCTTTTGTTTCCTAAGCTTATATACTGAGAGATACTGCATTAACCGCATATTTTTGGCTTCTGAAATTTGAAGAGCCAGTAGCAGTGAAAGCTTGAAGAGCCAGAGAAAACAGCCTCATCTCAGAGAGTTTATTCTTGAGTTTGGGTAGTGTGAGTTCAGTTAGGGAGAGTTTGGATTGTGAGGGATGTGTATATCATGTCTTAAAATAGTATATCAATAATAAATAGAACGAAAGGGTGATTTAAGACGTTATTACCCCTCCACCATTGTTCTATTATGTACCCATTGAATATAAAGATATTCCTCAGGAATATCTATTCCTCTCCAAAAATAATTGTCACAGTAATTTAATAACTGAATTTTGTATACATCTTAATGTTCTGTTTGTGCTGGCTTACATATATGTAAGTAAAATGGTTTATCATGTTTTAATACCCAAGTATTGGGTATTAGAAGAATTGAAAGATTATCTACATAACAAGAGTGTATAGTCTTGAAAAAGTGGAGTCTGTTATGCATTATGCTTAGACAGATGGCAGAATGGAAAGCCCTCTTTTAAAATCAGCTTTTATAGTATGGCCTAGCGAATAATATATAACATTATGCTAGCACACTCAACCAATTTGTTTACTCATTCACTCAACAAATTGAGTGCCTGATATGCATGAGACTGTGTAAACTGTATCTGCTTGGTGCCTGGCCCCTGGAGATTAAAATCCAGTTGAGTTTTCTACTATTCAAGAGATAGTATTTGTAGTCTGGAAACAAGTAGCTTGGGTTTGCATTCTGGCTCTTCTACTTACTAGCTGCTTAGCCTTGGGTGAACTGTTGAACCTCTTTATTTCTCAGTTTCCTCTTATAGTTTAAAAAAAAACAAAACAGGAAGAAGAAGAGGGAGGGGGATGATATTAAGAGCATCTACCTTATGGAGTTTTATGATGTTAATAAACAAATGTATGGAGAGTTTTAGAACAGAATATTGCATGGTCTAATTAGAGCAGAATATTACCTAGTTAATTAAATAAACAAATATATGAAGAAGTTTTAGAGCAGAATATTGCCTAGTAAAATGTTAGCTCTTTTTATTATTTTAATGTGGAGACAGATGCTTAGAAAAACTGCACGTTAAGAGGTTCTGGGCTTAGTCCAGAAGGGTCAAGAATGACTTTCCTTGAGATATGATATGGGTCTGAGAAGTGAAAGATGAATAATATTGACAGATTGAGAAGAGAGAGGAGTAGAGTAAGAAAATCCCAGGCTGAGAACAGCAAGTCTGAAGGCCAGGAAGGGGCAAGTCAGAGTGGCTGAGGACAAGTATAGGCCACAAGTGCTAAGTGAGGATGCGGCAGAAGTGGCGATGGAGGCCAAATCTTACAGAGCCTTGGGAAGCCTGTGAAGGAAGATTATCATAAAAGCAAGAAAGTGACACAATCAGATTCTCATCTTACAGAGATCCCTCTACATGCGTTCTGCAAAATGTATGTGGGGAGCACAACCAGATGGCTGTTGAAGGTAAAAGATGATAGCTTGGACTAAGGTGGGAAACAGATAGAAGTGGATAAATCAAATTATATTTAGGGGATAAAATAGACATGACTTAATGATTTATTGGATAAGAAGTATGAGGGAGAGGAACTGTCTGTGAAGACTCCCAAAAGTATCAGATAGATGACAAATAGATTACAGATAAGTCAGGAAAGTGAGGGAATGTCCTAAGAAGATGCTCAGGATATATGAGAGTTTGCTGATAAGAAGTTTAGAGCAGTGATTCTCAAGATGTGGTCGCTGGACCAGCAGCATCAGTATCACCTGGGTGCTTGTTAGACTTGTAAATTATCAGGTCCTGCCCTGGATTTATAGAGTCAGAAACCCTGGGTGTGATGTCTCCCTAATCTGTGTTTTAACAAGTTTGCATGTGATTTGAATGCACAGTAAAGTTTGAGAACCACTGTTTTAGAGGCACGGTGGAAAAGTTGAGGAAGAGGGACAAATGAATGTTAGAGTCAAGCCAAGGACTTAATTTTATGAAACAATAATGCTTTCACATAGGGGTCAGCAAACTGTAGCCAGTGGGCCACATCTGGCCGACTACCTGTTTTTGGACAGTCCACAAGCTAAAAATGGCTTTTACAGTTTTTTTAATGGTTAAAAAAATCAAATGACTATTATATGACACATGAAAATGATATGAAATTCACATTTTAATATTCATAAAGTTGTATCGGGACACATTTGCACTTACTCACTTACATATTGCCTACATCTGCTTTTGTACTACAATGCAAGAGTTGAATAGTTCTGACAAAAAGTACACAAGGCTGAAAATTCTATCTAGCCCTTTATAGAAAAATATTGCTAACACCTGCCTTAGAGCATTACTGTATTTGTTGACTGATGAAAACAGAAAAAAGCAGCATGGGGAGTTTAATACTCTGGTCTGTAGGCAGAGGATGGACTGTGTGCATAATGGACAGATGTCTAAGCTTGCTTGGTTTGGAAAGATGCGTGCAAACAGCATGGTCCTTGTTTTCTGCCGTATGTGGGCCTGCAGTCCCAGAACACGCAATTTTGCCTAAGATAGTAATTTACCTGGTTCTTTTTGTAACAAGTTTTGGAGAGAGAGTTTTTATGAAAATGGATCAATATTTATTTTATACAGTGATGTTTTATCAACAGTGTTGAAAGTACGTTGTGTAAAAATATTGTATATTTTTACGAAATTGTGTAAATGGTCTGCTGAGGTCCTCAAGCATGTTCACCATGAGTATGACTTTACAGTTTGCTGGGTAACGTTCAGCCTTATCATGGGAAAAAAGTGAACTTTGGAAATTCTTGCTTTTGGTAATGGTGGATGAGCTTGTTATAGACCGTGCTTCCTGCCAAGAACAACTAGAAAAACTGAGGAAGACAAAATCTGTTTGATGGCAGTGAGGACTTGAGGTATCAGGATTCTAGAGAAGGAAGTACAGAGGGAGAGACTCAACTCTGTCCCTACCGTTAATCCTCAGTCATTCGCTAATTCTCAGCAGTAGCTAAGAATCTGAGCAGAACTCTGGTACTGTTCTGGAGCCAGAGGTTAAAAATTGGAATCCAGAGATTGCTAAGAAGGAGTGGTCCAGGTAAACAGCCAGGTTTTCATTTCGATCCCCAAAAGGTAGAACAGCACTCAGAAGGTGTTCTACCTTTGAATAGCCAGCTTTCAGTCCACTCAATTCTTGATTGGAATAAGGTGATCTGCCAGAGTATTGCTTTGATTTTGCTATTGTTACACCAGCCTCTAAATCAGCAAAGCTATTGAGCCCAATAATTAAGTCCTCTGTGTGGACCCTAGGAATAATAATCAAACCAGTGGGGAGGAAAAGCCCTCCTCTTCTGAAATAGCAGAACAGGAAGAGAAAGATCATTTTCTACTTCTTGTGTCATGGAGGTTAAAGGTGGGAAGCCCATAAGAAGCCTGAGACTTGGTCAGAAGGAGGAGCGGCTCTTTGTATAGATGAACGTGTTGAGAACCACCTTTATCCCTCACAGCTTCCATCTTAAAATGTATTTAGAACTACCTTTATCCCTCACAGCTTTCCTCTTAAAAAGCAGCCAAACAACAGAAAATCCATCCAGGTCTGGATTCTAGTAAAGTCATTTCCGGATACCAACTAGGTCGCTTTGAGGTGGAGTTTCAGCACCTAAAAATCCCCTGCTTTGCAGTGAAGGGTAAGATGAGAGAAACAGGCAATTGGAGTCATTCTGTTTTTTCCTTTTTGTTCCAGGGTAGTTACATGTACTTAATTTGTTTGAAACATGCAAGTAGATTATGGAACATTAATATAAGCTGTCTATAAGTTATCCAACCTATCCGAGAAGCATTCAACAGTAGTCACTGTGTATTTGGGTGAATTAGAATATAATTGACTTCTCTAGTAGACTTTTGAGCTGAGTTCATCCTTCTGGTTTGTTGACTCCTCACCTGGTTCTCTATCGAATTCATATTTTGGAAGTCATACCTCTTTTTTTATTGTTAGTTTTTAAGGGTGAATCCAGAATCTTCTTTAATTTCTAATGCTAACAAGGGCATAGTCTTAAGTTTTCTGTTTACTTTATTCTGAACTGCAAAACTAGGAAGGAGAATCGGGGTATAAGTGCTCTCTGTTCTGTCAGCTCACATGCTTCGTAGCATAAGCAGGTGTGTGATGATTATTTCAGAGCAAAAGGAAAGACTTAGTAAAATTTGTATGTATGTATTCAATTTGATTATAGCTTCACTAAATATACAAGTGAATATAATGAAATGGAATTTCATGCAACTCAATTAAATTAGCTTCTTTACCACCATATTAATTATCCAAATTTTATTAATTTGAAATATTTTCTTACATTGTTACTTTAACAACAAATGCGTCTTCAAATTAATCATCTCTTCTGTGTATTGAAGAATAGTTCTTTTGATTGTTGTGCTCTTTAAGACTTTTTAATGCATTTTCTATATTTAGTTATTTCACAAATTAGTATAATGGCTATAATTATAATAATTTCTTCTAGTATATGGCAGAACTTAATTTTGCCTATGAATTTGTAAACATTTCCAGAAGATAGAATATCTTAAGAATGGATTTAAAATTTGGGATTTGGGCCAGGATCAAAGTTCTTGACCTCATAGTTTCAAGCATTTATTTTTTATATATATATATATGTATATATATACGTATATATATATATAGCATTTTATTTTATCTATATAAAATAAAAAATTATATATGTATGTATATGTGTATAGTATATATACGTGTACATACACTGTATACGTCGTATACATACATGTATATACACATACATACATATACATATACAGACACACACATATATATATAATTTCCAAACAGGCTTTACTAAACCCCCTGAGGTCTCATGACACAGTAGAAAATCATGATTTAGTAGAAAGAGCATGGTCGTAGGAATCCAGTAGATCAGTAGACCTGAGTTAGAGTCCCAAATCTGCCACTTTCAATCTGTATGGCCTCAGGCAAGTTACTTAACCTTTCTGTCTCTCTGTTTCTTTATAAAATGGAGATAATAATAGTAACTTCTTCATAGGAGTAAATAACATAATACAGGGATAAATAACATAAAATACAACAACGTTTGACTCATAGTGAGCACTCAATAAATGTTGTTATTCTTCTTAAGAACAAAAAAAATATGATTTTTATTACTTCATCCCTGCTGTAGCCAAGCATTATGCAGGACAGGGGGGATGTGGTCACAAACCAATGTGGGTGGACAAGTGGGAGCTAGAAAGGTGAACAATAGAGTGTGATACCTGCTTTAAGTAGAGACTTGTGCAATGTGCTGGCTCTTGTGAGAAGTGGCTAACTCCCATTACATCATTTCCTCTTCCTGACACTTTTCCAGTGTATGATTATGCCCATTTACAGATCCAGAGAGGGTTATAATTGAAACATCAGTCCTCAGACCCCTAATCTTGTCATATATGATCGATCGTGCTACAGTTCTATAGTGAATGAATGCCAGGTAAAATAAACAGCTTTTTGAGCACTTACTAAGCATTTAAAGCATTTTCTCACTTTTTGTGGGAGAATACAGAGGAATTGGAAGACCTAGTTGTCATCAAGAAGCTTACAGATATGGGATGGCTAAATAAAAAAGTCAATTCAGATTGTATGACAAGATAGTGACTACAGATAACTACTAATAAGTAATTACTGGTAAACTTTTGAACAATTTTGAAAATTGTGAACAATAACACTTAGAAAAATGGAGATGAATAAATGTACTGCATAATGAGTTATTATAAAGTGAACATCCATTAACTGCCACCCAGGTTGTAAAATAGGACATTGCCAGCTTCCCCCCTCCAAGAAATCTCCCACATTCCCTTTCCCAATCATAACCACTTCTTTTCTCCCATAGGTAACCACTGTTTGTTATAATCACTTCCTGGATTTTCTTTATAGTTTTACCATCTCAATACATGGGATCATATACCGTCTACATTTTGGTGTCTGGCTTCTTTGTTGGACATTAAGTTTTTAAGATTTATCCATGTTGTAGGGAACTGTAATTTGTTCATTTTCTTTGAAGTAGTATTCCATTTATAACTATAGCACATTTATCTATTTCACTGTTGGTGAACATTTTAATATAATGGTTTTTTTAAGCTCCAGACTCCAGGAGATGCCTGTTTCTTTTTTCATTCTCAGACATTGTTACTTTCGTTCAGTTGAAGATGTCACACATACCTATTCCCTTGTGTAGAGTGAAAACTAATTTCTCCCTAATTCTTTCTAGAATGATAAATACTATCATTTTTCTCCTCGGTCTGTTATATAGCCACTTCTTACAATGTTGATTTCTATTGTTCAGTTGAACTCAAAAGAAACTTGGGGCCAGGCGCGGTGGCTCACACCTGTAATCCCAGCACTTTGGGAGGCCAAGGCTGGTGGATCACCTGAGGTCAGGAGTTCGAGACCAGCCTGGCCAACATGGTGAAACCCTGTCTCTACTAAAAATACAAAATTTAGCCAGGTTTGGTGGTGGGCGCCTGCGATCCCAGCTACTCAGGAGGGTGAGGCAAGAGAATCACTTGAACCTGGGAGGCAGAGGTTTCAGTGAGCTGAGATGGCACCACTGCACTCCATTCTGGACAGCAGAGCAAGACTCCATCTCAAAAAAAAAAACAAAAAAAAACTTGGAAAGTGGGATTCCTTAACACCTTTGGATTTTTCCAAAGTAATCACTATGTTTTGGAATGTCTAATCTCATCATCTTGGTCTTTTTGCTCTGCCCAGCTTTGGGAATGGCTGGCTTATCATGAAGAGCCTAAGAATTCTGATTTTAAGGGAAATATCATAGTGATAACTTGTGGTGGGAAAAGTTAGAAGACAGATGTTTTCCATGAATACTTGTGGAGAACTGAGTATACATTATAGGTATGTATATTAAAGGAATGTGTGTCTTAAGTGAACATTTCATCTTAACTCCATGTTGATGTCAAAATGATACTTTACTTAGGTAGTTTTTACTTTGTTACCAGTAGTGTAAGTATTCTGAAACTGTTAGAAATTGTTTCTCTGCCTGGAAATTTCAAGAAATTCGGAAGACAGGGTTTTATAGCAGTGCCTTCACATGGGGGATGCATCTTATTTCTTTATAATGATCTGGGTTTAAACCTTGAAATCAAGTCCCAGAAACACAAACTTTATGAATCAAATACTTATTATAAATATTAATGTAATTGTCAGAAAACTGGTAGAATAAGAACTTTTTCTTAGATAAAAATAAAAACTGTGTGTGTTGAATTTGAAATTAGTCGCCCTTTATACGTGGGGATATGTTCCAAGACCCCAGTGGATGCCTGAAACCTCAGATAGTACCAAACTTCATTGCTGTCGGTTGAAACACATTTCTCATGTCTTCCACTCATGTATTTAATGCCTTTTCCATCTTAACTAATAGGCATTTATCACGTTTCTTTTTCCTTCTTTATAATTTCATAGATAGAACATCGTTTCTTACCATAGTAACCTCAGCGTAGGATTTTTCCTTTCCTGTTCAAGTTAAGAACGTTTATCTTTTCACTTAAAGAAAGCAGTTTATGCCTTCTCTTTGGCATATTTAAATTGCCAGCATCATTTGCACTTTGGGGCTATTATTAAATAAAATAAGAGTTACTTGAACACAACACTGAGATATCCTGATAACTGAGATCTGGTAACTGAGATGGCTGCCTAAGTGACTAAAGGGCAGATAGTGTACACAATGTAGATGCACTGGGCAAGGGGATGATTTACGTCCTGTATGGGCTGGAGTAGGGTGGTAGGAGGTTTCATCATGCTACTCAAAATGGTGTGCAGTTAGGTTGGTACAAAAGTAATTGTGGTTTTGCCATTTTAATGACAAAAATCACAATTACTTTTGCACTAAATTAGTATATGAACTGTTTATTTCTGGAATTTTTCATTTAATATTTTTGGGCTACAGTTGACCTCAGGCAACTAAAACCTCAGAAAGGGAAATTGTGGATAAGGGAAGGACTACTATAAAATGAAATTTAAACATTTAGCATGTAACCAATTTAAATATTTACAAAATCGTATGGACAACTCAGTTTTCTTTTCCTGCTCAACAATACTTTACATTATAATGTACTGTTTATCATTTGCATCATGAAACATTTTTATTCACATTAATATATTGCTAGTGTGGAAATGGAAGAAGAAAACAGTTGATGTCAGACTCTTCCTCACTTTTGCTGAAGGGATTGCATCTTTATTTGGCATTTGAGTTGAGAATTGTGCTCCTTACTACTACGCAGGAGGCCACTTTTAACTGCTCCCTTCTCTTGAACATTACAATACTTTAGAGCATGAAAAAAGCAAACTATCTCTATGTGAACTATTACTACTCCACTGATAAAATGCTGAAAGAAATATTACCGTCATATACAAGTCTAAAAAAAATTGCTGCAGATAAAGTCTTATGAAACTCCATTAATGTAGTTTCACAGGGATTCTTAGCTTATAGCTTACAAAATAAAAAGGATTGTCAAAATACCAAGCTTGGAAAATCATGTTCCTGTTATAGAAAACATAAACATTCCTACAGACTAGAATTCTTACCAATTTCTTTGTCTAATTAACCACATTCTGTCATAACGGAAAACGGATAAAAAGGAATGAAGCTAGCCTTTTATTTTATTTTCTGTTTTGAGTTGGGGTCTTTCTATGTTGGTCAGGCTGCTCTTGAACTCCTGGGCTCAAGTGATCCTCTTGCCTCAGCCTCCTGAGTAGCTGGGACTACAGGTGCATGCCACTGTGCCCAGCTCTGCCCATTTAATGTATTGATGAGGAAAAATAGTAGTGGATGAGTTTGTGCATTCTGTGAATAGGAGCATATGGTCAGCAGTTACTTCTCAAAGTTCATCCTAAGATCTACAGGTGGACAGAGAGGAGAATAAATGAAACACACACACACACACACACACACACACACACACATCTCAGGCCTTTCAGTACTATAATTAAGTACAGGAATTCATTTATTATCCACTTAAATAGAAAGCCACATTCCCTATCAAATTACAGTAGCCTTTAAAGCTTCAAATTCACTTTTTAATAGGCCAGACTTCCTTCCCTCCCTTTTTTCATCCTCTCCTCCTTTCTCCTTCCTTCCCTCCTTCTTTCCTTCTTCTACCAGTATTTATTGGGTACTTAAGGCTATTCTGGGTACTAGGGATACAGCTGTGAACAAGTTAGTTTTCAATGAGTTTATGTTTGAGTTTGAAGAGACAGGCTGTAATCAAACAAATAAATAAGAAAATAATCAGATGTGAAGATGTGCTCTGTAGATAATTAAAATGGAATTCTGCTAAAGAATGACTGGTATGTTCCTTTAGAATGGTTGACTAGGGAAGGCCTTTCTCAGATGGTTATATTTAAGCTATGGGCTTGAGTGTCTTAGAAGGAATCATCATGTTACTGTCTCTGGGAAGAACATTCTAGGCTAAGGAACCAGCTAGTGCAGAAGGCAGGAACCCACTTTGCCCACCAGGTAACAGGAGAAAGATCAAGAAGCTAGTAGAGTATGGTGAAAAGGTAAGTCTAGAGAAATGAGCAGGAGTTAGAATACAAAACACTTTGGAGGCTAAGAATTATGGATGAAAAGAAAACAAGAATAATGTAGCAGCTACTGGTTATTGACTCACTTTATGCCAAATACTATAAGCACATTACCTTACAATCTTTAATTCTCACATTTGCTTAGGTTAGTGTTGTCACCCCCACGATTCAGGTGAGAAAACCAAAACTCAGAATCCGTTTGCTCAAGATCACCTTGTATGTGAAAAGGTAAAAACGTGGGATTTTATTTGCGCTCTTGTCTGATGGCCTTCAAAACCTGTGCTCCCAACTTACTATGCTGTAAAGAAGCTATATCGTTCTAACTTTCTCCTCCTGTCCCATTCTTCCCTTAATTAATATCTTCTTCAATTATATTGGTCCTGGGACATAGCCAGAGAACTTCATTATATATACATATGTATAAATATATATTTTTAGGTGGAGTCTTGCTCTGTCGCCTAGGCTGTAGTCCAGTGGCCCTATTTTGGCTCACTGCAACCTCTGCCTCCTGGGTTCAAGCAGTTCTCCTATCTCAGCCTCCCGAGTAGCTTGGGACTACAGGCATGCACCACCATGCCTGGCTACTTTTTTTTTTTTTTTTTTTTTTTTTGTGAGATGGAGTCTCGCTGTGTCACCCAGGCTGGAGTGCAGTGGGGCATCTCAGCTCTCTGCAACCTCTACCTCCTGGGTTCAAGCAATTCTCCTGTCTCAGCCTCCCGAATAGCTGGGATTACAGGCGTGCACTACCACGCCCGGCTAATTTGTGTATTTTTAGTAGAAATGAGGTTTCACCATGTTGGCCAGGCTGGTATAGAACTCCTGACAGGTGATCCACCTGCCTCAGCCTCCCAAAGTGCTGGGATTACAGGCGTGAGCCACCGCGCCCGACCCCAATCTTATATTTGGTTTTATTTCTCCCATTTGTCTCTCTAAATCCCTTAGTTGATAAGTTAATTACACTATCTTTGTTTGAAAAGAATATAAACTTAGAACAAGACTAGAACATTATGAAACAACTTCCACGTAATGTCACACCAGGACAAGTTATTATCAAGTGATCTTACGTGATAGTCACTAGTACTTCAGGAGATAAGTTTGCCGGAGGAAGTATATCAACAATTTACTAAAAAACCATTTTGGCCAGAATGGTTTCAAAGTTTTTAGTTCCATTAAAAACTAGTGGACATTTCCCAAAAACTAGTACTAGATGAGTGTCAGGGTTGATTAAAGTTTAGAAATTGTTTTAAGAACTTTAATTCAGCTGATATTTAGTTGCTAGCCCACATGTCCTGAAGATTTTCAACCATCTTTGGTTTGGAAATTATTTGCAAATAACATATGATCACCTTTTATTAGGTATTTAGAAAAAATAACTTCATCTGACATTTGTCTCTAGGTATATGGTTGTGATGTCATCAGGGTTACAATACAATAAATACTCTAGTTATATGTTTTAAATAGGAATATATAGCAGTAGTACAAAGTCTCATTTTTATTTCAGTAACTTTTCAGAATGTTGCCATCTGATCTAGCTCAAGACCCTTAGTTTGTGACACTCACTTGAATACTTAGGAAAAGTCTATGGCTTTGATCTGATGCCTGTTTGGGCATCAAACCAGAGATGTGGTTGAGTCCCAACCAGAGTTTAACCACAGCTCAACCACCCTTGACATCCTTTGACATACCTTAAGCTTTATGGGCCAAAGGCTGCTTGAGGAGGGGAGTACATGGCAGCCTCAGGGGCAGATTGAGTGCTGCTTTTAGAAACTGAGGGACAGGCTGATCTGCCTAGAATATATTGGATCTTGCTATGTAAATGGTTTGTATACATTCAGAATCAAATTAACAAAAGATAAAAAAGACTAGTGAAATTGAAATTATTTGACTTCTTGAACAAATATAATTATTTTTGCACAGTTACCACTAGTACTTTGCAATACTTGATCTAAGCATTCAAACACCACCCCTGTGGGCAGAATTTTATGGACACTGCAGTGACTGTCAAAAACATGAAAATTTCACATCTTCCCAACATTTTCAGTTTCACTTCTCCATTAATAGTCACTACCTTATTTTTAAAATCAAACCTTGTGTTGTGTTTAGCTGTTTGTAAATTGCCTACGTCAAACGATACAACACTCTATTGGAAAGTTCTTTGTTGGTTCTGAATATACATACTTGGCTTTTCATGGAATAATGCTGCAGCCACATAACAGAACTCTGTCATCAGTGTTTTAAATCCTGAGTGATTATATGCATTAAATGTCATTGTAGGGGCTGGGCACAGTGGCTCATGCCTGTAATCCCAGCACTTAGGGAGGCCAAGGCGAGTGGATCACCCAAGGTCAGGAGTTCAAGACCAGCCTGGTCAACATGGTGAAACCCGGTCTCTATTTTCAAAAATGCAAAAATTAGCTGGATGTGGTGGTGCACGCCTGTAGTTCCAGCTACTCAGGAGGCTGAGGCTTGAGAATTGCTTGAACCCGGGAGGTGGAGGTTGCAGTGAGCCGAGATTGCCTGGGCGACAAAGTGAGATTCCGTCTCCAAAAAAAAAAAAAAAAAAGCCATTGTAGGATAGTAGTAATTTTAAAAACATAGAGGACAAACAAAAAGTACTTTCTACTTCAATCCAAGATGAAGAATTAACCATGTCAGTAACGAAAAGGTGGACCATTGCAGCATCTGTCATTATTGTTTCTCATTTTGCCTTCTTCTTCCTGTCTTCTCCCCATTGCCATCTCATTTTCTCTGCAGCCATGAGCAGGAACTGTATGCAAAGTACAAAAGACTGTATTCCTGAAACAGAACTTGTTGACCCCATTTTCTTGACTCTTATTTGACATTGCTTTCTAAGAGAAGGGTTTTGGATTACACACTCACACACACACACATATGTACACATTCATAGTAATAAATGTATTTATCAACTCAGTTGCAATGAGATTCTGCTTGTTGGAATATCATATAATAAATAGCTATATTGGTATTTATTGAACATTGGCTTTTTATATGACTGCAATAAGATTTGATGCTAGTATTTTTAACTGTTGCTCCCTCTCTGCCTCCATGCTTAGCTGTTTAACATGACATTCATTCATCAAAAATAAATGTCCAAGTCAATGGAGTGTTTCTGTAACAGATATTAGTCACCTTAAACTTGTTACTCATAGCCCATAAACTCTTATCATTCTTTCTCAGATAACCCAGTTGACCCTACATTAGTAGAAATTGAGAGCTCTGAGTTCATTTTTGTTGTTATTTGATGAATATATCACTTGGCTGACTATTAGGAATGTAGCATTTGGAATTGTATAAGTAACAGGTTAAGACTGTGTACTGATTTCCTTTTTAAAAATTCTGTTTTATGAGTTTGTTTATAGCAACACAAAGTACCTTCTTTTTGCATAGCTTTTTGTTCATCAGCATTTTTTGCAATTTTAAAAAGCATGATTTTTATGCTTCATATTTAAAATAATCGCTAACTGTAGCGTTTAAATATTTGCCAATGTATGTCTGTCTGTACTTAATACTCCTATGGCAACAGGCAGAGAGAATTTGCCTAGAAATTTCCATCACTTTTCTGCACTGTCAAATTATATTATGCAGTTACAAGTATATTGAATACAGGGAAATCTGAGATACAAGTAGTTAACACATTCTATTTCCCACTACTCTGTTCAGTTCAGCCACTTCGTTAGCATTCTGAAATTTGGCTTATATACTTTGACTCAGATGCGAAGGTGTTTTTCTGATACTGAAATGTGTGGAACAAAGCTGGAATTTAATTGACAGTTGCTGCTGCTGTAATCAGTGAATTTTTGAAAAATACAGCAACAGTTTGCTGTACAATATTTTTGGGTTTGCTTTCATTTTAAGATTTTTACACATGGGAAGTCATGCGAAACAGTATAATGTGGTAGACCATTGTAGGTTTGAATTCCAAATATGTCTCTTAGCTTTTTACACTTGGTCAAAGCATTTATGCCTCTGAGCCTTTGTATCATTTTTTAAAAAATGCCAGTGATACACCTGCCTCACTGATTGTAAGAATGAAATGAGGTTATGTAAAACAACTAACACAGTGCCTAATGCTTTCATTTAGTCTTGAAGTCCCAGAGCTTGTTAGTGGCAGAGCCTGAAAAGCCAGCTCTTCTGACACACAGAAGTACTTTCTCAACCATGGCACACTGTCTATTATTTTTGGTTAGTAGGGAGTATGAGTACTGGCAGATGGTTATGCAGAGCTATGACTTTTTTCAGGTAATTTTTCCCCATAAAATTTTATTAGGGATTTTCCTCAAGAATTCTAAAAAGTCACTCAAAGTCAGGTGAAAAGTGAGGGGAGGAGTATAGAGGTGTCCAGGCTTTTGACTGGGTGATTGAAGATAATGGGGCCATCCACTGAAATCTGAAGCACAGGAGGAAGAGAAGCAGTTCTAGTGAGATGGCAAGTTCATTTACCACACTCTTTAACATTTTGTTTAGTTTTAACCTTTATTTATGGATAATAAAGGTTAATATTAATAATGATTTATTTTAAGGCATTCCCAAATTTGCATAATTCTCCTTTTGGAGATACCCTTTTATCTCCAGTGCAAGTCTGGATCAAAGTGATAGAAATTCCATGCAGTGCTATCTCTGATGCCATGAATTGGTCACTAAGAAGAATTGACTTTTCCATTGAGTTTCCCATAACTAGGGCCAAGTTAAAATCTCAGCCTTTTCTAATGACATTTTTCTCCATGAAGATCTTCTCAGTTGTGAAGAATATGTGTTTGTTAAAAAGTAAATGAAAAATTAAAACAATAGCCTGAGTATAAAACTGGGTTACTTAAAAGTACTTGTAGTTTTACATTGACTGCCTGGAACGCAGAATTATAAAGTAAAAGACAGTGTTAGACAATATTTCCAAGGCTCTCCAGTTTGTAAAGATTTGTTAATGGATCTCCCAGTTCCCTTCCTGTTTCTTTCTCTTGCTGCCTTCCTTTTCTGATTCTCTTTTTCTCTTTCTTTTTTATTTCCACAAATAATGCAGCATACTGGAAAGGGCAGGTCAGGACAGCCTAGGTTCAGAATCTGGCTTTCACATACTACTTGTATGACCTCGAACTGATATGTTTAACTCTTTGACCAAACCTCCATTTGCCAGTCTGTAAAATCGCAAGACTAATACCTACCCTAATGAGGTTATTGGGAAAAATGAGAAAACAGATTTAAAGAACTCATCTAGTTAGTAAGTAGTAGTTTTTAATATTGTTGTTATGTATCCGCTTGAAACTGTAGAGAGAAATAAGACATAGTAAAACTTAAATAAGTAAATGTAGTGATTTATGGGTTCCTAGGTGGAAAGATTTTGGTTAAAGAGAAGATTGAAACTAATAGTTAAAATGGGTTTTCTAAAAGATTATCTTTGAGGTTATCCCTCTTAACCTTGTGTTCTGTGACCATGACAATTGACTGTAAGGAAGATGGAATGAGGAAACAATTCTCCTGCCAACATAAAGAAAATCTGTATGCCCAGAGGCATGCATATCCAGCCGTGTTGGAGAAAGTGCTTTAAAATTCAGCCAGCAACACTTGATACCTCCCTATTGATGAATTGCTTGCTAAACTGTGCCACAGAGTATTCAACTTAATTCACTTAGCTCTCTTGGCACAGCTTCTTTATGAAGTCAGTGTCCCCCATGAGGAGGGCAGGGGCTGGGGTGTGGAAGGGTCCACAGGAAAGCCCATTCCAAATTGTAAAGCAATCATATTTGGTGATACTTTTAATTCATTGGATTATTCCCTTCCCCAGTTCCCCAAGTATTTTGGAGACAAATTTTTCTTCAGCTTCACATGTTGAAGATATTCTCCAAAGATGTCATCAAGAAGGTATAGTCTCCCTTTTTCTCTTGAGAACCCTGACTTTCAGAATGGCCTGGAAAAAAAAAAGGTCTTGACCACTGTGCAGGTGAGCATCAAGCTTTACACATTTTTTTCCCCATTTTTTTTCTGGAAAGAATAAAAAGATTCAGATGACATCTGAGACAACCTGGTATAAACAGCCCTAGTCTAGCTGCTACACAGCTGCTTAGTTCTGGTTCTGTGACCTTAGCTAAGATCCCAGTGTCCACAAATGTAAATGATATATTGACATCTTGACATCTTGATTAATTGGAGGGTTTTTTCTGAAATATTTTAAACTTTTAATTCTGAAAATGTTCAAACATACACAAATGTAAAGAATTGATCCCCTGCTCCCGTACTCATCCCTCTTCTTTCACTACCGTCAACATTTGCTACATCCTTTATCTCCTCTGCGCCCCTCCCTCTACTTTTTATGGTTTGTATGTTTGTTTTGGGAGGAGTGCATGTGTGTGTGTTTGTGTGTGCATGCGTGCATGTGTGTGTGTGTGTGTGTGTGTGTGTGTGTGTGTGTGTGTGTAGTATTTCAGAGAAAATCCCAGGCTTTATGCCGTTTTACTCCTAAACCTCTGTACATCTCAAATAAAACCTAAAACTTTGAGGTCTGTTACCTCTGCCTCTGCTTACCCTTCTGGGAAATAGTTACCAATAATATAGGAAATATAAAAAATTCTGTTTCCCAAAGATTTCTGATTCTGTAATAGTCCTGTTTCAGTAATTCTTAATTTGAAGTTTATAGAAATTAGTGGGTATTGGAACCTTCTGAAATGAAATACAGATACTTACCTTTATGTGTAATTGTGCTTCTGGTGGGGGCGGGGGAGATGGGCTTTTATTAAAAAATACAATGTCACTGAAGTAAATAAAACTTTTAATGAAGAATTTATTAAAAAATACACTAGCACATCATGATAGTGTTTTTGTAGAAGAAAAGTAAGCTGTGTCTAATTCTGTATTTAGTAAGCCAAAGCCATTTAGATATTAAATACATGCTTTACACAGGTTTTTTAGAAAAGAATAAGTTCACTTATTTAGAGTTAGGTATATTTATGGCCTCAAGATAAAGTTGTTAGTCTCTTACAGTGTCTGTAAAGAAATAAGACTTTTCTCCTTTTTTTTGTGCTAATGAAATGTTTCCAAAGGACATTCATTTTAGTATTGACTTGGGTTTGATAATTTATTTGTTTAAAATTTGATATAATTTATCTAGAAAATCTTTAAATCTGGATCACACTGGGCATCTAAACCTTTAAATTAAAATACATCCTGCAACTTTGGTCCTGCAGCAGTTTTTCTCAGTAGAGAATGAGGAATTAGCTTAAAGCTGGTAAGTGTGCCAACCCTAGGTTAAAGCTTTACATCTGTTAAAGTATATGACTCTGATGACTGGCTCCTGGAGGTCATAAATCTTCTTGCTAAGATATATAGGACCTGAATTTGAAGTGAACTTTTGGCAATTTAACACCAGAGTTGGAAATTAGACTAGTGAAGATGGTAAAAGCTGCTGCTCCCTGGAGCAGCTCTGAGCTGGCCCTCATAGGCTATCCATAAGTGTCACGATTCACAAAAAACTAGCAGAGTTTTTCCAGTACTGTAGTTTAATTTTTGTTTCTTTTGGGAGTATACTTGTTACTTGGAGTATTGGTTTATCATTTGTCAGTTTTTGTTCTTTTGCCTTACCTTGATTTAGTATCAAACATGAGCAAATGCACAGGGTTGTATTAGCCTTTGAGTTTTATGTGACTCAAAGAAGAGCCCTTGTATTTGAATAATGCTTAATTCCTACTTCTGTGGGATGTTATTAAATATGAGTACCCACAGTATCCAAAGCAGATTATTAATGATTATTACACCATGACAAGGGTGGTTCTCATCATACTTCATAATTAAAGAGGATGATTCTGATGGCATTGTTGGGCTACATTCCTGACCATTGGCTTTACTTTCTCAGGAATAATAGAATGTGGATTGTGTTGCCATTCCTTTCTGCCATGTGCCTTGGGATGAATGTAGATAGACAACTGTGAAAAGATCAGTTTTTAAAAATTCAACACAACATCACTAAAGCAGAAAAAGCAGAGTGTTACACAGTTAGCTCTTAGAAAACAGGTATTTGGGTCACAGAAAGAAAACGTTCCATGGCTGTGATGTAATGCCAAACCAAAGTCAGCGTATTTTCAGGTACACACAAAATAATCAAGTATTAATATGATGTACAAAGAACATAGGAACCCTTTGGGTAGAAACTTCTAGATGTAACCTCATGACTACTGCCTGATTATCATGCTCTTACTGAGTAGGAGAAGACAATGTGTGGTTTCTCCTTCCAGTGAAATGTATACCCCATATATTTCCCCTGTAATTATAAAAGGCAACTGAGAAAATGGATGTTGTAATTACTTCTGTATTTTGCATTCTTTGTACTATTACTGATGTGTGTTCTTCCTTAAGAATCTGTATTAATTTCCCAGGCCTGCTGTAACAAATTACACAAAATAGGTGGCTTAAAACAAAAGAAATTTATTCTCTTGCAGTTCCAGAGGCTAGAAGTCTGAAATCAAGGTATCAACAGGGCCATCAATGGGTCCCTCAGAAAGCTCTGTGGAAAAATCCTTTCTTGCCTCTTCCTGTCTTCTGGTGGCTGCTAGAAGTCCTTAGAGTTTTTTAGCTTGTATTGGTGTTACTCCAATCTCTGTCTCTGTCATCACACAGCCTTTTTCCCTGTGCTGTGTGTCTCTGATTCCAAATACTGTCATCTTTTCTCTTATACAGTCACCAGTTACTGGATGTAGAGCCCACTGTGATTTACTGTGACCTCATCTTAATTATACCTTAATTACCTGTTTTCAAATAAGATCACATTTGTGAGTTCTGGGGGTTAAGACTTGAACATATCTTTTTGAGGGACACAGTTCAACCCAGTATAGAGGCCATGGTCATGGGTAAGCAGGAGGATAAGTTTTCAGTGTAGATTTGGAGTTATGGTTTTGGTATAATACTATTAACCTGTTAATCACAGAATTTAAAAGTGTCTGTCAATTATCTGAAAATATAATGGGAACTCTTGTTAAGTGAGGGATGATTCCACTTTGTGTAGAATATTTTATTTGCTTAGTTTCTCTTCCTCTGCAGCATTTAAACAACAGTTTTAACCTTTAGGCTATCTTTTCTTGATTTTCCTCTTTTAAATTTTTCATTGCTCGCATACTTGAGATAGATTTCAAGCCTTAGAGCACATACTCTCATGTGTTGAGAGTAAAGATAGAGTGAGAGAGAACTTAGCTGTAAACCCTATTTAGCATACATATAAAGTAACGAGGCATGTTTTTATGAATGTTCTAATAAGCCTTGCAGTTTATTATGAGGATTAGGGTTGAATAATGTTATTATAAAGTGTGTATGTAGTACCTTCATCTTTTCTACTAATTTTATTCCCGAAATAACCCTGTGAAATTAGAATATGTATTATCTGCCCTTAAAAGATGGAAAAACAAGTGTATGTAGAAGTAGTATGAATCCTGTCCAGTGTACAAAGTGGAGATATATGTAAATAAGGTAAAAGCAGAAAACATCAAATGTCCCCTACTCTCAAGACATTTATAACTGAATGCAGGGTGCAGACAAGTTAACAAGCAATTCTGTCTGATGTAATATAACAGCAGAAGTGTCTGTAAGGTGTTTTGATAGCAAATGGGCATGGGAGAAGATGACAGAAAAAGAAGCAAAACGCTTGAAAAACACTTAAAGAAGCGACAGACTTTCTCCTTACTTTTTCCCTTTTTTTCTCATCCCCTCCTCTCCCTCCTCAAACTAGGGTATAGTTTGTAAATTTTTTAAAGTTCATTGAACAAATTAAAAAAAGAGAATGATAACTGCAGAATACTATAATGTGCTCTGGAAGATCAGGTGCAAATATTTCACATCACAGAACAAAAACATTAGGAAAGGGCAAGACAATGTCTGTTCCAGGCCTAAGGAAAAGCAGGATTCAGGCAGCATGCTCTTCCGCCTCAGTTGAGGCTGTGGGTTGAGCCCTCTCTGCTCCTGAACTGTTGATAAAAGTCAGGGTCAGCAAAGTCAGAAGCAGTTTGGCTGATGATTGGGAGTCACTTGCGGTTGGGAAGATTGGACCCTGTAGGGGTCTAGAGACCTGTGCTCTAGATGATGCCTCCACATCTGCTGGTCTTTGTTTCAGGCTTCTAGACTTTGGGGAGAAAAGCAAGCCTTCTCCTTTACTCTGATGGTCCTTTGCCTCTTGCCTGATGACAAGTAAAATGAAACTCCACTCCTCTTCTTTCTCTTAGAGATCTCAGGATAATTCGAGACCTCACCTGTCTATCTTGGGTTATTGAGGACCTCCTGAGAGGAGCGAGGAGGTTTTGGGGGTTGAGGTCAAATTTATATGTGCTAAATTAAACATTTTAAATTTCTCAATATTACAACTTTAAAATACTCCAATAATTTCTTCGTCTATAATTGTATGTCAAAAGCATGATAAAAATGCCCTAGTTGTCTACTGGATAGCAATATCATCTTAGGCAAGCTACCTAAATTCTCATTGGCTCATTTCCTTCAACTAGAACGTTGAGATTGAGAGTCTGTGAAAATTAAGTACTTAGTGTAGTACATACTACCTTCTAAGGGTTCAGTGATTGTTAGCTATTGTTATAATTATTATGTGTGATGATTTGGTCAGTTTATGAAGATCTTTGACACATATTTATTAACCATGAGTTATTAAAATTAATAGTTCTAATTGCAGTACAAACGAAATCACAGTTGCTTGTCTACAATGTATATAAGTGTAGAGAGAAGTAGAGTTAATTGCATACTGACTGGTCATAAAATTAGCTGCTCTGATAATTAAGATTCTTGTGCAAGCAACACTTAGATGACAGTGTGGACCCCATATCTAGCCAACTGAGTACAAGGAAAAGTAGAAAGCTCCCCCCAAGATGGTGCAGAATTAGTTACCAGTTATAATCCCATATTTAAATAGGATGTAATAATTAATGTATGTAAATGTAGACCATAGTCGATGAAATGCATTGTAATTATTTGTAATTTTCATTTTCACTGTCTTAAAACGTATTTGTGTTTTTAAAGAAAAGATAGTTGTCCTTGTTAAAAATTATTTTGCCTTATGAAGGACCTTGTTTGTATACTAGATCATTTTGGAAAGGTAAAGTTAAATTTCGTAGTAGTGACAGCAGCAAGACTAAATTGGTTTCAGAGCACTTTCAAAGGTGCAGCGCTCTTTGCAGTTGATGTTTCCTGCTAAGCATTTTTGAAGAGCTAAAACTATTGAGCCACTCTTTGTGAAGTTAGAGGTAGGCTGCTAGTAGAATTCCTACTGGTTAGTAGAACAGTAAATTCAAACAGGTTGGAATGCCAGTTCTTCAAGATGTTTGGAAAATGCAGTTCAACTCAGAAACAGGACTTAAATTAAATTTGGACACCTGATTATTATTACCTTAGTTAAGAGTTCAGAAACAACTCTTCTTTCCTCATGCCTTTATTCAAGTACACTGACAACATACTTTAGTGCAGTGGTTCTCAAGGTATGGTTTAAGGACCCCAGCATCACCATTGCCTGGGAACTTGTTAGGAATGTAAATCCTCAGGCCTCACCCCACATTTACAGAATTAACAACTTTGAGTGGGGAGCCAGAACCTTGTGTTTAACAAGCCTTCCTGGTGAATCTGATGCAGCTAAAGCATTATCATTCCTTTTTATAATTGTTGGCCCTTACCCAATTTAAGGCAAATTTCAAGAAAAAACTGACAACCTAAAGAAGTATTGTGTCATAGATGGGGAACCAAGATGCTTATTGAAAGACACAGGAAGGGGAACATCACACTCCGGGGACAGTTTTGGGGTGGGGGGAGGGGGGAGGAATAGCATTAGGAGATATACCTAATGCTAAATGAGGAGTTAATGGGTGCAGCACACCAACATGGCACATGTATACATATGTAACAAGCCTGCACATTGTGCACATGTACCCTAAAACTTAAAGTATAATAATAATAAAATTAAAAAAAAATCTGAGAAAAAAAAGTTAATTTAAACTTTAGCACATCGTATGGTTAACACTAGGTAAAATTTCCCTTTTGAAGTCACTAATATGAAATACATACCACATTTGTTTTCTGCAGCAGTAGAGCTAATATACTTTGACCTTTTTTTCCCAAATGATACTTTATAAGTCTTCAGGGGAGAGATTGAAAGTATTAAATTTCAAGTTACAACCATCATCATTAAGATCAGCTCAGCCTTAATCTTTTGGCCTTGTCCCTGCCTTTCCCTGCAGTGCCCCAGCCAGTCTGTACTTTATTTCCTTCAGCTTCTAATGTTTTTTCTTCACTTTTGGTGTAAAAGATTCTCCTCTCTCTGCCTGGAACCACTCCTTGGCCCCACTCTTCCCCTTGGCAAGCTCATTCTTTAGGTTTTAGCTTAGACATCACTTTCTTGAAGTAAATTTCCCTTACCTTCTCTGTGTTCCCACAGACCCTTATGCTTCCTCTTTCCTAACGTCATCCACTAGAGAGTAATTGCCTGTATTTTGTTCTCTAGGCCCTAATACACGGTAAGCTCTATAAGGTCAGGGATGCTCCCAGGCTACCAGCACTGCACCTGGTACATGTCAGGCATCCAGTGCATACCTGATGAGTTGAACAAATGAGGAATCATTCCACTACGTAACTAGCAACTAAGCATTCAAGAGATCAGTATGAATGCATATATTTATCGTTATTACTATATATCTGTATATCTTGGTTTTTACATTTGTTCCTTCTTTTGTATGTTTGGAGAATAAAATCCTTTATAACTCACTGCATCCCTTCCTTAGGAACTCTTAATACATCTGCCTCATCCCATTTATCTGTGTCTTGAAAGGGAATAAACAGGACCCAAATGGTAGATTATCCCAATGTACAACAATTCAGCATGAGAAATTCCATGTTAATGACATTGTTACAGTATAAAAGAACCTTTTAAATCTGAGACTTGGTTTTATAAATCCTGTAATTAACCTTACAGAGAACCATATTGGTCCATTTTTTCCAGTTGTCAAGAGAGACCCCACTGGCTGGAGACATTCAATCTACCTTACTCTGTTTCCAGTGAGTGAAAATATCTTCATCTGTCTATGTGAGCTGGTGCACACTTGTTAAAGGTCCTGACATAGTGCTTGGTATACTGTAAGTGGTAAATAAATAAGAATTGCTTCCCTTCCCTCATTTGAGCTTTCAGAAACAGGGATGGTGGTAAACCGTTCATGAAGGATCCACCTCCACAATCGAGTCACCACCTACCAGGCCCCACCTCCAACAATGGGGATTACAGTTGAACATGAGATTTGGGTGGGGACACAGATTCAAACTATATCACATTGCAATGGTAGGATCAGGTAACTTTCTAGTGTGATCAGTCATCAGGATCTTCTGCTAATTTGGAGGAGGATGCTATGATATGTGTCTCCTCAAAATTCTTATGTTGAAATCTCATCCCCAGCGCAATAATATTAAGAGGTGAGGCCTTTACAAAGTGATTAGGTCATGAAAGTGGAGCTGTGATAAGTGGGATTAGTGCCCTTATAAAAGAGGCTGAGGAAGCTTGTTTGTCTCTTCCACCATATGAGAACACGTAAGGTGCCATCTGTGAGGAACAGGCCTCACCACATACAGAATCTGCTCATGTCTTGATCTTGGACTACCTAACCTTCAGAACTGTGAAAAATAAATTTCTGTTGTTTATAAAGTACCCAGTCTAAGGTGTAGCAGCCGAAATGGAGTTAGAGTGTTTGGTGTGAGAACAAGACATGAAGACTTTCATGATTTTGTGTGCAACTCAAGAGGTGTGAAGCTACTGGACTTGCTAGATAGTTCTCCTTCCATACAAGGTTGGGGAACTTGTAAGATATTTCTGGGTGTCACACATTTTGAATGTCCTTTACTTCCACTGATAAAATTTATTTCTAACTTTTTTTATGCGTATAGATGAACTTTTCCTTGGTAATGCAGGTAAAGATATTAGATGCAGGTAAAAACACTGGATTCCTCTGGAGTTAAAAATCCTGATTAAAGTCCTTCACATACTAACTAGCCATTCCTGGAGTGATAAATCCTAACTAGGTCCTTCCAGTGATACCTTGCACACAGAGATACATCCTATGTCTGTATCAGTATTTTTCTTCAAATTGCAACTCTGATCCATCAGTGGGTTGTAAAATCAAATTAGCGAGACCAACATCCTTTGCTACCATAGTATAGGATGGGAAGGGTATGGAATGAGGCTGGAGTACATTACATGTAAAAAATTGTTTTTTGAACCTTTCCTTCCTGTTATACATGTACACATCATTGTGTAGTGCTGTAAAATGCATTTCTTACTGTGGGTCGTGGAGAAAAATGTTTGAAATCAGCAGTTAGTTTTTAAAGTAGATTACAGGTGATGTACATCTAAAAATTTAGCCAATTCTAGGATTATAATGGTTTGGAATTTGCTGACTTTTTGTAGGTCATATCAGTAAATAAAACCCTTTTCCATATTTCTGAAATTATATTCTTCTTTTTTATTATTATTATACTTTAAGTTCCAGGATACATGTGCAGAACGTGCAGGTTTGTTACATAGGTGTACACGTGCCATGGTGGTTTGCTGCACCCATCAACCCATCATCTACATTAGGTATTTCTCCTAATGCTATCCCTCCCCTAGCCTCCCAGCCCCCGAGAGGCCCCAGTGTGTGATGTTCCCCTCCCTGTGTCCATGTGTTCTCATTGTTCAACTCCCACTTATGAGTGACAACATGTGGTGTTTGGTTTTCTGTCCCCATGTTACTTTGATGAGAATGATGGTTTCCGGCTTCATCCATGTCCCTACAAAGGACGTGAACTCATCCTTTTTTATGGCTGCATAGTATTCCATGGTGTATATGTGCCACATTTTCTTTATCCAGTCTAACATTGATTGGCATTTGGGTTAGTTCCAAGTCTTTGCTATTGTGAACAGTGCTGCAGTAAACATACGTGTGCATGTGTCTTATAGTAGAATGATTCATAATCCTGGTGGTGACAAAATCTCTCAGCATTTGCTTGTCTGTAAAGGATTTTATTTCTCCTTTGCTTATGAATGTTAGTTTGGCTGGATGTGAAATTCTGGGTTGAAAATTCCTTTTTTTAAGAATGTTGGATACTGGCGCTCACGCTCCTCTGGCTTGTAGGGTTTCTGCCAAGAGATCTGCTGTTAGTCTGATGGGCTTCCCTTTGTGGGTAACCTGACGTTTCTCTCTGGCTGCCCTTAACATTTTTTTCTTCATTTCAACCTTGGTGAATCTGACGATTATGTATCTTGGGGTTGCTCTTCTTGAGGAGTATCTTTGTGGTGTTCTCTGTATTTCTTGAATTTGAATGTTGGCCTGTCTTGCTAGTTTGGGGAAGTTCTCCTGGATAATATCCTGCAGTGTTTTCCAACTTGGTTCCATTCTCCCCGTCACTTTCAGGTACACCAACCAAACGTTGGTTTGGTCTTTTCACATAGTCCCATATTTCTTGGAGGCTTTGTTCCTTCCTTTTTATTCTTTTTTCTCTAATCTTGTCTTCACGCTTTATTTCATTGAGTTGATCAGCAGTCTCTGATATCTTTTCTTCTGCTTGATCAATTCGGCTATTGATACTTGTGTATGCTCCACGAAGTTCTTGTGCTGTGTTTTTCAGCTCCATCAGGTCATTTATGTTCTTCTCTAAACTGGTTATTCTAGTTAGCAATTCCTCTAACCTTTTTTCAAGGTTCTTAGCTTCCTTGCATTGGGTTAGAACATGCTCCTTTAGCTCGGAGGAATTTGTTTTACCCACCTTCTGAAGCCTACTTCTGTCAGTTCATCTAACTCATTCTCCGTCCAGTTTTGTTCCCTTGCTGGCGAGGAGTTGTGATCTTTTAGAGGAGAAGAGGCTTTCTGGTTTTTGGAATTCTCAGCCTTTTTGTGCTGGTTTTTCCTCATCTTCGTGGATTTACCTACCTTTGTTCTTTGATGTTGGTGACCTTCAGATGGGGTTTCTGTGTGGACGTCCTTTTCGTTGATGTTGATGCTATTCCTTTCTGTTTGTTCATTTTCCTTCTAACAGGCCCCTCTGCTGCAGGTCTGCTGGAGTTTGCTGGAGGTCCACTCCAGACCCTGTTTGCCTGGGTATCATCAGCGGAGGCTGCAGAACAGCAAAGATTGCTGCCTGTTCCTTCCTCTGGAAGCTTCATCCCAGAGGGGCACCTGCCAGATGCCAGCCAGAGCTCTTCTGTATGAGGTGTCTGTCAACCACTGCTAGGAGGTGTCTCCCAGTCAGGAGGCATGGGGGTTGGGTCAGGGACCCACTTGAGGAGGCGGTCTGTCCCTTAGCAGAGCTCGAGGGCTGTGCTGGGAGATCCACTGCTCTCTGCAGAGCCGGCAGGCAGGAACATTTAAGTCTGCTGAAGCTGCACCCACAGCCTCCCCTTCCTCCTAGTGCTCTGTCCCAGGGAGATGGGGGTTTTATCTATAAACCCCTGACTAGGGCTGCTGCCTTTCTTTCAGAGATGCCCTGCCCCAGAAAGGAGGAATCTTGAGAGACAGTGTGGCTACAGCGGCGCTTTGCAAGCTGTGGTGGGCCCTACCCAGTTTGAACTTCTGGCGATTTTGTTTACACTGTGAGGGGAAAAACCACCTACTAAAGCCTCAATAATGGCGGGTGTCCCTCCCGTGCCCAAGGTCCAGCATCCCAGGTCGACTTCAGACTGCTGTGCTGGCAGTGAGAATTTCAAGCCAGTGGATCTTAGCTTGCTGGGCTCCGTGGGGGTGGGATCCGCTGAGCTAAACCACTTGGCTCCCTTGCTTCAGCCCCTTTTCCAGGGGAGTGAACGGTTCTGTCTTGCTGGCGTTGCAGGCACCACTGGGGTATGAAAAAAAATCCTGCAGCTAGCTTGGTGTCTGCACAAATGGCCGTCCAGTTTTGTACTTGAAACCCACGGCCCTGGTGGCGTAGGCACCCGAGGGAATCTCCTGGTCTGCAGGTTGCAGAGACCGTGGGAAAAGCGTAGTATCAGGGCCAGAGTGCACCGTTCCTCATGGCACAGTTCCTCACGGCTTACCTTGGCTAGGGGAGCGAGTTCCTGGACTCCATGTGCTTCCTGGGTAACGCAATGCCCCACCCTCCATGGGCTGGATCCGCTGTGTAACCAGTCCCAGTAAGATGAGTAGGGTACCTTAGTTGGAAATGCAGAAATCACCCACCTTCCGTGTTGATCTTGCTGGGACCTGCACCCCAGAGCTGTTCTATTTGGCCATCTTCAAGCCAGGCTCTAATTTTTGTATTTTTAGTAAAGACGGGGTTTTACCATGTTGGCCAGGCTGTTCTCGAACTCCTCACCTCCGGTTACATTATTCTTGTATAGAGTTGTCAGCCAAGATAGTAACCAGAGATGTTTTGTTTGTTGAAAAGTACATCTTAAGCTGGGCATTCCATCAATAATAGACTATTTTCTGGAGATGTTAAAAATCACTGTTATGATAGATCTGTCATGATAATATTTAGACGCTGTGACTCTTCAGAACAACAGTGAAGAAAGAAGATGTGATGTGATGATTACAGCAGTAATGACTCTGAGCATCAGATTTAGTGGTATTTAAGTTATGCTGTTACTTTGCAAGTGATACTTAAATATGGTTAAAATACCCTTGGCAGTAAGGATGTTAGATTAAATGACTTCCCACCTGTTCCAGTCTTTCTGATTTTTCTTTCACAAATGTTACTTTTTTTTTTTTTTTGAGTCAGGGTCTTGCTCTGTTGGCCAGGCTTGACTGCTGTGGCATGATCATGACTCCCTGCAGCCTCAATCTCCTGGGCCCAAGGGAACCTCCTGCTTCAGCTTCCTGAGTAGCTAAGACTATAGGTGTGTACTACCACATCTAGCTAATTTTTTTATTTTTATGTTTTATTTTGTAGATGTGAGGTTTTGCTGTGTTGTCCAGGCTGGTCTTAAGCTTCCTCCTGGCCTCAAGCAGTTATCCTGCCTTGACATCCCAAAATGCTGAGATTACAGGTGTGAGCCACCATATCTAGCCCACAAACATTAGTTTTCTAATTAACTTGTAATAACCCCCTAAGCTTTGCTGTCTCTGGCTATGCTGATGGTTCTAATATGGGAAGCAGTTACCACCCCCACACCCTCAATGTGTACTCTTTGGTATTGTTCTACCTATACAGTGATGAGTTGTCAACATGTAGTACACTTTCTTTACCAGATCTCCCTAAGATACAACACAACAGTGCCTAGCCTGGAAGCCACAAAGGACTTCAAATAACACAGAGAAGTGACCCACCAGAATTACCTGGGAAGCTTTTAATAAGTTGTGGATGTTGCTTGAGAATCTGTGCTTTTGTTATGCAGTGTTCTTGCAGAGATTATTTCCACTTGCCTGCCGTGCATAGTTTTGAAAAAAGCCAAACTAGATTGTGAGCTCCCTGAGAGCAGGGACATACTCCTTTCCCTCAAAATTATGGCCTTTGTGTCTCGTATACCTTCTGACAGATATTAGGCACTGAATAAATTTTTGTTAAATGAATGAATGAGTCTTTGGTTTCAATGACATTTGCTTCTCTTGAGGAACCTGGTTAGTTGACATAAATTGCATGATACCACATAGAATGGGGAAGCTCTCCCTTTCCTCTCTCTTGCTCAGGTCTGCAGAAGTCCAAGGGTCTTCTGCCTCTCCCTTCAATTAAATTTCAAAACCAGCAGTTACTACTGTTGGGTGTGGGACAAAATGCCTACTACTGGTGGGCTGCTAAGACTAGGCATGTACATACAAGAATAAACACAATATATATTTAGGCGTTTGAATGGATACAGATGCCTAAGAGAGAGAGTCTATCATGAAAAATTTGAACAAGTAGCCCTCATCTACTATAAAACCTACAGTTTTCTAACCTGAATTATTATTGTTTCAGTTATCTGCTAAATGTAAGCTCTTTGACGGCAGTATCTATGTCTATTCATACTTGTAGCCATCATAGCATCTGACACAGTGCATTGCATATTGTAAGAGCCCAGTAAATGCTTAATGAGGGTATATATGGATCAGATTGCCCAGAAGGAACTCTATAAATAATGATTGAATATCTTCTTTAATAAAATGAGGGAACTGGATCAGAAAGTCTAAAAGAAGTTCCCTTTATTGCTCAATTTTTATGATCCTGTGATTTAGAAAAATAATTTTAATGGGCAGTTTCATAGTTTGAATGACATATTATTCAGGCTTTTTAAATATAGGTGTTAGAAATGAAGCTTAAAGCAGTTGGAAGCAATAGAGAATAAGGCAGGAATTAAGTACTTCTAATTAACAATGCTAGATAATGTCAGTGACTGTTTCTTGTATCTGTACTGTAAGGACAAATGCTGTTCATAGTTGTAACTTCTAAGACAAGGCTTTGATTTCTTTACAGTATTCTTCACCTACACCAGAACCACTTGTAAAGAGGCAAGAATATTTACTAAGAGTTGAATCATGATATGTTTTTTTTGCAATATATTGTTTAAGGTTTCTTTTAAGTCCTGCCTCTTTCAGGAAGCCTTTACCTAATAGTTCACTTCTCTCCAGGAAAGGACTGATCTTTACATGTATATCTTTCTGTTACTGTATTTAGGCCCACAAAACCCCTAACTAGATATTGCCTATGGGTTAAGAACAGAGTAAAGATATGAAGAACTGTTTTCAGACATGTAAAATAAGGTAATGTGAATCATGTAGAAGAGACAATATCTTTATTCCTTTTACTCTCAAATCATAAAAACGAAAGTTATAGGAGGGAAGATTTGACTTAATAATAGGGAGAATGTTTCTGAAAGGTAGAACTCTTTGGAAGGGACATGATCTACTTTCTACTGTGTGCACTAGTAGTGCTTAGGCATCTTGTAAGGATTGTTGTGCAGGGAGTTTCTCTTTCAGCTTGAAGGTCAGCTAAATATATCATCTGAGAATCTGTAATTGAATTTAACAAATATTTTAGTGCATCTTTGCAGTAGGCATTAAACTCTACATAATTAGGTGATGGCTGGTATCTGTTACAGTCTAGCACAACTGGCTTAGGAGGCAAGTCTTATTCTTGCAGCACTATTCACAGTCACAAAAATATGGAATTAACCTAGGTTTCCATCAATGGATGATTGGATAAAGAAAATGTGGTGTATGTATGTAACATGGAATACTATTCAGCCATAAAAAAGAATGAAATCATGTCTGTTGCAGCAACATGGATAGAACTGGATCTCAGCTCACTGCAACCTCTGCCTCCAGGGTGCAAACAATTCTCCTGTCCCAGCCTCCCGAGTAGCTGAGATTACAGGCACCTGCCACCACTCCTAGCTAATTTTTTGTATTTTTAGTAGAGATGGGGTTTCACCATGTTGGCCAGGCTGGTCTCGAACTCCTGACCTCATGACCCGCCCACCTCGGCCTCTCAAAGTGCTGGGATTACAGACGTGAGCCACCATACCTGGCCTGGAGGCCATTGTCTTAAGTGAAATAACAGAAACAGAAAGTCAAACACCACATGTTCTCAATTCTAAGTGGGAGCTAAATAATATGTACACATGGCCAGAGGGCATGGAATAAGAGTCATTAGAGACTCAGGTGCGAGGGAGGTGAGAGATAAGAAATTATCTAATGGGTACAGTCTTCACTATTCGGGTGATGGTTATGCAAAACACCATGTTTAGCTTTCCCAAATAATAGCACAGTTATTGAATGAGGGAAATGTGGTATAATGGTAGCAGATTTGTTTACCAGTGTTGGCCAGCAACCAGGAAATTAGTTGGTCAGTGAGTCACAACATTAATGGGGCTGCCAAAATATCCTCTAATGAGCTGTTTTGTTGTATTGAATGAAGTAATTAATAATTTTTTTAATTATAAATATTTATATTCCAAATAGAAGTAGAAGTTGGTACTTAATATTGAACAGACTACACCAAAGAAGTAGGTTAAGAGAGAATCTTTTAAGAGAAACAATTTTCTTAGGTACTTTAAAGGAGCATTAATAATAAATACGGGGATAGAGAGTAGGAGGTAAGTTGGCTATTTTAGATAACATGGGCAGGTTAAGTTCTTCCTGAGAGACAACACTTGAATGGTAGAGAAAGTGGTCAACTGGAGCAGAA
This sequence comes from Homo sapiens, assembly GCF_000001405.40. Lineage (NCBI taxonomy): Eukaryota > Metazoa > Chordata > Mammalia > Primates > Hominidae > Homo > Homo sapiens. Next base: position 23,422,363 of record NC_000003.12, read on the forward strand.
TGCCCCATCTGAAGGAAGAATCTACTCTGCTGCTTCCCAGCTGCAGCTTACTGTCACCAGTCCAGTGTTGCCAGGACTACTATTTTTCAAGAGAAACCAAGATTCCATGTTTCTTTATGAAAATTTTTAAACTGAGCAGATAAACAAGCATATCTGAAGAATAGATTATCTTTTCTGTCAGTTTGTGACCTGGGTGATGCTGTCTTCTGAGTCCTCAGCCCTATGTTGGAACAAAGAAAAAGGCTTTGAAGAAACCAGAGAGCTGCTTTAAATACTTGTGGGTTATCAGGTGGAAGACAGATTTGACTTGTTCTATTTCCAGAAGGCAGAACAGAGACAGGCAGATTTTCACTCAAGGAAACACTTAACAATTAGAGCAGACTAGAAATAGAATAGGATGTTTGCTTGGAAATTCTTCTGTTCCTGGAAAGTGGTGTTCAAGCTAATAGTGGATGATGAGTTGTCAAAAGTGTCTAGGGAAGGGTCTAGGTAAGATGACATTTCAAGTTCCTTTTTATCTTGAAATTCTTGAATCACCAAGATCTAGATCCCTGTTCAGCTCTTCTCCATATCTTCACCTTCATGTTCACAGCTGAGTTATCACCTTCCCATACTAGGAAAGTCAGTATGTAAAGTCAGTTTCTTAAAGGCTTGGTTTTTCTGTGTGTCTGCTTACATAATGAAGGTTCATTGGTTTACAGTTCTTGTTTAAGATGTCCTTTGCATGTTAGGTTCATTGGTTTGCAGTTCTTGATTAAAATGTCCTTTGCATGTTAAGCAGTCACAAAACTTGAAATTAAAGCTTTTAGAGTCTCTGAAGCTATAATTGTTTTATTCTCCCAACTGCGCATAAAACGGTTTGATAGCTAGTGCTTTAACTAAAGCTAGTTGTGTTCGAGTTCTAACTTTGCAGCTGTCTTGGAGATCTAATACATTAGCAAAGTGAAGTGAAGTAAAGATATATTTTTCAAAAGTCCTTGAGTGGGATTATCTTACACTTTATTATTTATCTTGATACTAAAGATAAGAAATAGATCTCTGCTATTTCATTTTTCTTTACTCAGTATACATAACTTTTTGTCAAGAGTTAATATAGAAGTATGTCTGTTTCTCTCATAACCCTTGTTTTAATGGTTAACAATTGTTTATTTCTTATCAGGATGAGAGTTAATATATTGCCATCCTTGATAAGAACTCTTGGTCTAATTTTACTTATAACTGCTTTAATTACTTTATAACACACTAATGCCATAATCTATATAATGCTTGCATGTCCAGTGCGTGTATTTATTTCTAGATCAGTGATTGTAATAGGTACTAGGTGCTTAAAAATACCTATACTGGAATATAAGCAATTACATTTTTTCAAAATGTATGGAGTCTTTATTATGATACTCATGAATGTTTTTAATGAGAATATGATAATAAACCCTACATCTCTTCCTAAATCTCCGATCAGTAGTAGTGTGACCTGGTGCTACCTATCAGAAGAATGAGGGCCCTCCCTTAGCAGTGGAGTACTGAAAACTGTATCTCTGCCTCTCCTCCTTCACACCCTCCTTCAATTCATGATCCTCAGGGAGACTTATTTTGCCTAGTTTAGTTACTGAGTCTGGTGGTTGACCTCTTGAGTAATGAAAGGACATTACTGAGAATTTTGAGAGTGCTGAGAGTGAGTGGATACTTTTAAGGTTTTCTCTTCAAGCTTTTGTTCCCTAATTTGGAAAGGTAAGTAATGTTTGATAATCTTACTAAATTCCACAGTTATTTATTCTCTCAAACCCTTCAGAAAATACCCAATTGAATAAGATATAAATGTTTAAGGAACTTTTTTTTCTATGTTGAACCAGATAAATCTAAGAAATAAAAGAAAAGCTACATAATCTGCAGTATAATATTAATGAAAATACAGCAGAGACTTGCAGTTACCATGTTAAGGTACAGATGATTTCCTAAATGAATTCATTTGTCTATGATCAGTAACTAAAGAAGCAGCTAGCTGGGGTATCTACTCTTGTAGGGGAGCAGGTAGCCTTTCTGGGAGGAGAGCACATATTAACTGACTTAAACACCTTTGTTTTTTTTTTTTTCTGTATTTGCTTTAAGTGATACTGAATTTGATGGCTTTTTCTTTGGCTTGCTAAGGATAAAATGTAGAAAATTTAATTCTGCTTGGATTAATGAACATATTTTTAGAATCTTGTACAAATTGTAGCACTAATGAAAGGTCCTCTGCTCCAGGCATAAGGTTTCATTTAAGAATGAAAAAGCAAATTGAGCTAATGTATTGTGTAAGAGGTTTGTAGTTAAATACATAAAATGATGTCAGTTTGATTTCAGCTGGAGCTAAGGTACTCTGATAGCTATGAGATGTTAAAATAATAGAAACATTTAAAGAAGTATGATAGCTGAATTTTATATAAATAAAGTAGTTTGATTTTTTATAACTGGTAGCGTTTATTTTACTTCAGTGATTTGGCAGAGGTACTAAGCCAAATAATTTTTAAATTGGTTTTATCTTAAATTGGTTATATCTGGTGGTAACATTTATGGATAATTAGAGTCAAAATAAGCAATTGTTTCATCCTTTTCTACTTTACCATGTTTTAAACATTTGAGTTTGGAAAACTTAAATTATATACAAAGTAGAAAATTAGTATAATAAAGACTTTAAATCACATTTATCAATGCACAGGGAATCGTGTTTTAACTATACCCCCACCAAACATATCTTGCCTCAGATTTTAAAGCAAATTCCAAGTGTCAATCCTTTCCTTATAAATATTTCAGTATGTATCCTTGAGTAAGTCCATAAGGACTAATTTCTTTTAGCATAACTATAATGCCATTAAAACAGCTACTTTTTAGTTGCAGATAAGAAGTAGGGTAGGAATTGCTGGGGTCTAACCCAGTTCTGATGACATTAAATAGATCCTAGATAGTTGGACAAATCATTTAACTTTCTTCTCTTCCTGCTCTCTTGTCTTTTAAAGGGGGAAGCTCAACTAAATTTTCTTTAAAATCCCATCTGTCTCTGAAATTTGTTAATTTAAAAAATTAGACTTCTAGTTTCCAGACTAGCATGTAAGGAGCTTAGAAGTCATTACGTCAAAAAATAAACAGGTTAAAAAGCTGAACAAACTGAAAAATTAACAGTTCTTCTTAGATCTGTTATAGAAGCAAGGTTACAGGGTAAACCACTCCCACCACCCCCAGATTGAAGAGACAGGCAAATACAGAGAACAGGAGCAGAAGCCTCTGCAGGAATCAGCATCACAGTAGGAAAACCTGAACTGCAATTGATAAATTGCTGGGGCTCAGGATATACAAGCTTGAGAGTGAAAAACTTTAGGGGTGACGAGTCATGAGACCTAATCATAGGACTATAGAATGCTCTACCCTCCCCCGCTTTCTTACCCCCACTTTCTTAGCCCTATTTTCTGCAGTTCCTTTTACCCAATTCACCATGTCCAGCTCTCAAGAAAAAAATTACAAGTGTACTAGAAGGCAAATAATACACTTCGAAGAGACAGAACAAGCAACAGAACCAGATTCAGATATGGCAGGGCTCTTGAAATTATCATATCAGGAATTTAAAACAACTATCATTAAAATACTAAGGGCTCTAGGGATAAAGTAGATGCCATGGAAGAGCAGATGGGCAATGTAAGCAGAGAGGTGGAATTCTAAGAAAGAATCAAAAAGAAATGCCAAAGGTGAAAAACAGTGAAATAAAAATGAAGAATGTTTTAAATGAGTTCATTGGTAGACTTGACACAGCTGAGGAAAGAATCTAAAACCTTGAGTATATGTCAGTAGAAACTTCCAAGATAGAAAAGTAAAGGGAAAAAAGACTGAAATAAACTGAACAGAATATCCAAGAACTGTGGAACAACAATAGGTGTATCATATGCATGATGAGAATACCAAACGAAGTAAAAAAGGAAAGGAACAGATTAAATATTTGAAGCAGGAACAACAGAAATTTTCCTGCAAATTAATGTCCCACACTAAACCACAGATTCAGGAAGCTCAGAAAGCATTAGGATAAATGCAAAAAAAAAAAAAAAAAGCTACACATAGTCATATCATATTCAAATTACAGAAAATCAGTGATTAAAAATCTGGAATGAAGCCTGATGGGGTGTGCAGGGAGACCTGACTTAGAGAATTATATCCAACATTTCCTCAGAAACCATGCACACAATAAGAGAGTGAAGTGAAATAATTAGTGTTGAGAGAAAAAAACTTCCAGCCAAAAATTCCATACCCTGCAAAGTTATTCTTCAAAAGTGAAGAAGAGGTAAGACTTTCTAGCTAAACAAAAATTGAGAGAATTTGTTGCCAGCAGATCTGCTTTGCAATAAATGTTAAAAGAAGTTCTTCAGAGAGAAGGAAAATGACATAGGTCAAAAACTGGGATCTCCATTAAAAAAGGAAGAACATCACAGAAGGGATAAGTACAGGTAAAATTTTAAATTTTTTATTTTTCCTATTTTTAATGGACAGATCAATCTGTACAAAATAATAGCAACAATATATTGTGTGCGTATACACACACACATATATATATACTTATCTAAAAGTAGAAAGAAATAACAACAATGGTACCAGGGATGAGATGGAAGAATTAGTATTATTTTGTTATTAAGTACTTGTGTTACCTGTGAACTGGTATATATTTGAAATATATTTATTTGAAAGTAGGCTTCGATTAGTTTTAAAGGTATTTTGCAAACCCTAGGAGAATCATTTTTCAAAAAGTTAAAGAAGTATGGCCAGGCAGGGTGGCTCATGCCTGTAATTCCAGCACTTTGGGGAGGCTGACATGGGCAGATTGCTTGAGCCCAGGGGTTCAAGACCAGCCTGGGCAACATGTTGAAACCCCATCTCTACCAAAAAAAAAAAAAAAAAAAAATTAGCCAGGTGTCATTGTATGTGCCTGTAGTTCCAGCTATTTGGGAGGCAGAGGCAGGAAGGTGATTTGCACCTGGGAGGCATAGGTTGCAGTGAGGCAAGATGATGCCACTGCTCTCCAACCTAAAAAAAAGTATAACTGATAATCTAAGAGAGAAAATGGAATTATATAAAATGCTCAAAACCACAAAAGGCAGAAAAGGAGTGAAAGTAAAAAATAGGAACAAAGAACAAGGGCAACAAATAGAAAATTGTAACAAATCAATAGATAATAATTAAACTATATTTGAATGATCAGTTTGAATAGCAGTGGCCTAAATATACAAATTAAATGTCAAGAGATTGTCAGCATGGATGAGAAGCAAGACTCAACTTTATGTTGTCTATAAGAATCCTACTTTAAATATTAAAACACATGTAGAGTAAAGATAAGTTACTGGGGAAAGATATACTATGCTAACACTAATCCAAAGAAAGTGGGAGTACCTATATTAATTTCACAAATAGAAGACTTCACAGCAAGGAAAGTTGTCAGAGATGAAGAGGGGCATTACATAATGGTAAACGGGTCAATACTTCAAGAAGACGTAGCAATCCTTAATGTGTATGTGCATAACAACAGCATATCAAAATATGTAGGACAAAAACTTACAGAACTATAAAGAGAAATAGATGATTTGGCTATTAAATAGTTAGAGACTTCAGGACCCCCTCTATCAGAAAGTGATCCAGCAGGCAGAAAATTAGTGAGGACATAGTTGACCTCAACAGAATCATCAGTCAGTTGAATATAATTGAAATCCGTTTACTACATTATACACCACCACCACAAAGCACATTCTTCTTAAGCTCACATGAAACATTCACCAAGGTAAACTGCATTCTGGATCATAAAACACACCTTAACTAATTTTAAAAATGCTGTGCGACCACAATGGAGTTAAACTAGAAATTAGTAACAGAAAGATAGCTGAAAATCTCAAAATACTTGGAGATTTGACAACATTATTATAAACACATGGGTCAAAGAAGAAATACCAAGAGAGATTTTAAAATATTTTAAACAATGAAAACAAAAACACAGCCTATCAGAATTTGTGGGATGCAACGAAAACAGTGTTTAGAAGGAAATTTAAAGCATTGAATGCAGAGGTTACAGAAGAAGAAAGATCTAAAATCAGTAATCTAAGCTTCTACCTTAGAAAAGAAGAAAAAGACAAGCAAATCAAATTCAAAGTAAGCAGAAGTAAAGAAATTTAAGAATTAGTGTATATATTAATGAAATAGGAAACAGGAAATCACAGAAAATCAATGATCTCAAAAGCTGGTTCTTTGAAAACATCAATAAAATCAATAAGCCTCCAAAAAAAGAGAGAGAAGACACACGTTACTAACATCAGAAACAAAAGAGAGGGCCAGGTGTGGTGGCTCACCCTGTAATCCCAGCAATATGGGAGGCAGAAGCAGGAGGATTGTTTGAATCCAGACTGGGCAACACAGTAACACCCCATTTCTACAAAAAATAGCCTGGTGCCACCACATCACAGTTACTCAGGAGGATCACTTGAGCCTGGGAAATGGAGGCTGCAGTGAGCTGTCATCATACCATTGCAGTCCAGCCTTGGCAACAAAGTGAGACTCTGTCTCTTAAAAAAAAAAAAAAAAAAAAAAAAGAATTGAAAAAGAGGCTATCACTACAAATATTTTGAACATTAAAAGGGTAATAAAGAAATACTATAAACAACTTCATGTCCTAGATGAAATGAACCAATTTCTTGAAAGATACAACCTGCCAAAATTCACACAAGAAAAAATACACAAACTAAGTAGGCCTTACATATATATTAAAGCGGTTGAATCAGTAACTAATAACTTTCCAAAACGGAAAGCACCAGGCCCAGACTGGTTCATAAGTGAATTCTGTACATTAAAGAAGAAATTATACCAATTTTCTCTACAGTCTTTTCTAGAAGATAGAAGCAGAGAGAATCCATTTTAATTCATTCTGTGAGGCCACCATCCTAATACCAAAACCAGACAAAGACATTGCAAGAAAAGAAAACTACACACCAAAAAATTTCATATAATAGGCGTAAAAAATTTTAACAAAATACTAGCAAATGGATTCCAACAGTGTGTAGAAACAACTATACACCATGACCAAATGGGATTTATCCTGGGTGTGCAAGGCTGGTTCAGCATTCAAAATTTAATTAATATAATTCATCCCGTCAACAGGCTAAAGAAAATTCTCAGGATCATATCAATAAAGAAAGGGCACTTGACAAAATTCAACACCTATTCATGATAAAGACTTGGTAAACTAGGAATAGAAGAGAACTTCCTTAACAACATTCTGCTCTTACAGCATTGTACTAGAAGTCCTAGCTAATGTAGTGAGATAGGAAAAGGGGCAGGGGAAAGTATACTAATTGGAAAGGAAGAAATTAGACTTTCTTCACAAATCATATGACCATTTATGTAGAAAACCGAAAAGAATCGACAAGAAACTTCTGGAACTAATAAGCAATTATAGCAAAATTGCAGTATACAAGATTAATATACAAATGTCAATTGCTTTCTATATACCAGCAACAAAAAAGCAGAATTTATTTATTTGAGATGGAGTCTCGGCCTGTTGCCCAGGCTGGAATGCAGTGGCACGATCTTGGCTCACTGCAGCCTCTGCCTCCCAGGTTCAAGCAATCCTCCCACCTCAGCCTCCCATGCAGCTGGGATTACAGGTACATGCCACCGTGCCTGGCCGAAGGAACATTTTTATTAATCATGGTTATAGTAGTAGGAGTTAATTCTGGAAAGGTTAGGTTTTGAGATTCAGACCCCTTGAATGTTGGACTGAAGCAGTCTGTCTAGTGCTTAAGAATATAAACTCGATGCAGACTATTTGAGCTTGGATCTTATCTCTGCCACCTTCTATAATAGCGCAGCTTATTCTATAATCGACATAAATGGTCATATGATTTGTGAAGAAAGTCTCATTTCTTCCTTTCCAATTAGTATACCTTATCTCCCATCTTCTATAATATAGCACTTAAATATAGGTTACTTAACCTGTCTTTGCCTTGTTCCTCATGTGTCAGGTAGTGATAGTAACACTACCTACCTCATAGGGCTGTTACAAGATTAAGAGTTCATCCATTAAAGTTTTTAGAACAGTACCTGGCCCACATTAAGCACTTAATATGTTGGCTATTATTCTTGGTGGTTGTGTGGCGTTTTTTTTGTTGTTTTTTTGTTTTTTTCTTTGAGACAGGGTCTCACTCTGTCACCCAGACTGAAGTGCAGTGGCATAATCATGGCCTCAACCCCCTGGGGTCAAGCAGTCTTCCTGTCTTATCCTCCTGAGTAGCTAGGACTACAGGCATGTGCCACTGCCCCTGGCTTATTTACTTATTTCTTTTGTAGAGATGGGATATCCCTATGTTGCCCAGGTTGGTCTTGAACTCCTTGCCTCAAGGAATCCTCCTACCTCAGCCTTCCAAAGGGCTAAGATTACTGGTGTGAGCCACTACACCTGGCCTGTTTACTTCATTTTTTAGGCAATAGTTGACAAGTTTCTGTATACATAAGAATCAAATACAGAGTTTATGAAATGCTGGATCTTATTGCCAGAGCTTTTGATTGAGTGGGAGCTTTCAGTTGAGTATAGATTTGGCCAGTGAATCATAACAAATATGAGGGTAATTTTGCTGCAGTAGCCTACAGCCTTTACTTTGAGAAACTGCAGAATGTTCTAGAGATTCAGTGCTGACTTTACAACAATGGAGTGGGATGGGACAAGTGGTCTGTTGGGAGAATTTATCTATTTGGTATCTTCACTGGGAACTGGAAGTGGGTGAATAGAAATAAAAGGGTTTTGAGATGAGTGCTTGAGATACGACAAAGGAAGTTTTCACAGGCTTTGGTGTGAAAAACCACTTTGCTATTTTGAGCCTTTGTGACTCAAAGAAGATGGTACACTGAAGAAAGAAAAAGTCAGGAAGATGAATCTGTTTGCTAAGGATTTATTTTGTTTAATGTGATTGAGGTCCACTGGGGTCATGCTTAGTGAGCTGTTCAAAGATGCTTTCCTGAATGTTTCTGCAGCGGGAAAGCCACAGAAGTAGTAGGTTGTCTAAAACAATAGTTGCCACCAGCCAGCTTTCCAGTTTTTCAGGAAAATGCTATGAGTACAATATATTAATATGGATAGATTTAAATCATTAAAAAAACTTCTCTGATGCCTGTGAGCTGTGGTATATGTCAGCTGTTAATTTTCTTATCCTTTTCTTAGATAACATTTTATTTAATAGAGCTGTCTTATAAGTTGTAAAGTGAGGTTTATAGATTTACCATCACTTCTGACATCTTCAGATCTCCTCTTTAAAAGTACAAAATAGAACTTTGCAGTAAAAATAAAATAGTATAAACAGATTTTTTTTTAGCCTCTGAAAACCACTATATATTAGTTTGCATTAACCACTATACGTAGAAATATCTTCCTGTTCAAATGTAGTTATGTGATACTTTGTGAAAATAGGGCCTTAATATTTAGGGGTTAAAATTAATTCAAAATATTTTCAGTAAGAATGGGCCAACTTGGCCCACATACTGTAGTACAAGCTGATAAGTAGTCATTAGAAGATGATGATCTAAGACTACTAAATAAGCTCTCACAGACAGGTCATATGAAACCACGTTTATATCTAATGATTTAAGTGTAAAGCATGTAGGCAAACGCTACTAGTCATCACACTGTAATGTACAGCTTTCAGTACAGAAAATTTGGATAAATGTTCTGCAGCTATATCCAGAAATCAGTTTTTCATTAATTTCTCTTTCTATGTTTTGTCAGATACAGTAATTATATCACAAGCAGTCAAATTCTAAAATGGTATGTGTAGAGAAAAGAAGCAACAGAGTTCTTGCCATTCCTAATTCTGATTACCCTAATTTGGGATAAATATTTCCTTCTTAATTAATTGGTTAATGCATTAAGATTGTGAGCTGAAAGGTATCATAAGTGCAATTATTATTTGTATGAGGATTCTTCGTTCATAATTGGCAAAAAGTGAAACAAAAGGAATAACCAAAAATCATAACAAATAGCATCAGCATTTAAAAGCAAATTTCTAGAAATGATTACTATAGGACTTTAAACAAATTTTTTACATCAGTGATATGATTTTTAATATTTTTAATATTCAGAAGGCTTTTTATGTAAGTGCATATATCAACATTATCAGTTATACCTTCTTACTGATAAATTCCTGCTGTCAGTCTCTCCACAGCTCTACCATGTTCTTTTTCTCCTTACTTTCTCGTCTCAAGTTCATTAGTTGAGAAGGATGCTTACTATTACTCTGTCCAAATTTGGTAGTGGTTTTCTCAATTTTGGGCATTTCATGTTCAATTAAAATTTATTTAATTGAACTTTTGAAAGAACTTTCCCAGCCATATAGAGATGTATTTACATTATAGATTCATTTCCAGATAACAGTCACACAGAGACTTCTTTTCTGTTACTTTTTTCTTGCCTTTGATAATGACATTAATAATTTAATAATAAACTATTAACATATTAACAGATATAATAGATGTTAATATTAATATAATTTATGTGTGGTTCTATAAGAATAGACACTTCGATATCATGATAGAAAGATTCTTGATTATGATGCAACTTGAATATATTAAACACTAAACTTTCAGCTTATGATGCCATTAACAGAACTTTTAACTTATGATGCCTTTAATACTTTATTCCTGTGATAAGATGTGAATGGAAGGAAAAAATAAATATTACTTTTTGGTGGAAAAGTGTACCCAGTTGTTTATTCATACAGAAAATAATTATTGAATGTCAGTTTCTGTATGCCAGGCACTGTTTCAGGCACCTAGGATACTGTGGTGGACCAAAATCTTATACTCATATCTTTTCTCCCAAGTGAATTTTGCTATATCATTATTGTGCTCCTCTATAAAGAATTAGAATAACTTCATAATAATAAAAAATTATAAGTTGACTCCATTAAAAAAAAGCTGAAAAACAGCTGATTAAATCCTATTGTATGTAAAACTGAATTTTGTTTTATGCGTGCTTCTAGATAAATAGTGATAGAGTTCTTGAGTGTTTTAATGAAGTGTTTTAATGCAGGTGAATGCTTTGGACTGATGTCAACAGTGAATGTTAATGATTTTTGAGCATGGTTGGCACTATGAATTGGTTGTTTTTAATTTTTTGAAACTAAGTACATTGACGCAGATTTATATGATCTGATGATATCTTATTGGCTATGATTAACCAGAATATGTGATATTTAAACGTTGAAAATGCATTAAAGGATCAAGAAAACAGCTTGTCTTTATGACTTTTTTTTTTTAAGTTTTAAAAACACTGAGCCAAATTTTGGATTTAACATTCCCAAGCTATGGCCTAAGAGAAAGACAAATTTAACAGAATGAGAGTAAATGAAGGGCTGGCCCATCAGTGATCTCTTTTTATAAATTTACAACTTCCAAGAAAAGCTAACTAATAGAAGTATATCATGTCTTGCTTTTTCACAAGATGTAAAATACGGGAATACATGTAGACTAAGAATGGTAAATTTTTAAGTTACCTCGTTTGTAAGGGAAAAAAGATTCCCCTTTTTTCTCATTTACATTTAAAATAAATCCTCAATATTATATGGAACTATTTATAATATAGTGAAACCCATTTTATTTGAACATACAAATATAAAAATTTCTGGTAGTCTGCAGCTAATATGCACTGTCTGAAGCTAATAGGTTGTGCAGAATACTGCTGCTATTTGAGTAAAAGTTAATGCTTTTGAGACCAGCTAATACACTTAACTACACTGTATGAGCTGTGGGTGTTCCGCTTATTTTTATTACAGGCTTTATTACTGTGCAATTTTGTTGTACATTAACAATCATCCACTTTAAACTAGTGCTTAAATACTTATTGAATGTGGTAGCCAAAGAGCAAAAAAAAGATCTCAATGTAACATCCAATTGCTTACTAACATAACCTGGATTGTGATTTATCTCTAATTTTATGACAGTAATATTTCAGTATCAAACTAGAATTCTGAAGAGAATAAAGTTTGCATCCCCCAAATGACACAATTGTGCATTAGCTCTACTTAACTAGACAAAATTTAAAGGCAAAAAATTCTTGGTACGAAACAGATACTCCCAAAATGATCACCCTATGTGTGTCCAAAGGAGTTCTCACTATATTGTGTAAGTCTTCTTCCCTCCATTATTTAAATAGTTATAAATTTTCATTTTATTATGTGTATATTAGACTATATATTTTATAATTTTCCTCTCTGTAAATGTACAAATATGCAAACTTGTATAAATTAGGTAATTGCATAAAAATTGAAAGGCATAAAGATGTACTACTGAGTTCAGGAAACAGTTGGATTGGGGGTGTGTTTAATAAGTAGCACAATTAAGATGTGAGAAGGAAAAACTGAAGAAAAGGAAATTCTCTCAGTGTAATGCTTTATTAGCTCCAATTTTCCCCTTGTCTCTTATCTGAAGCAAGTGATTTTTTTCCATTTGCTTAAAAATAAAGCATTTGCGCACAGAATGTTAGCTCATTAAAAAGACCTTTATTGCCATAAATCGCTGCATCATTTGCATATCCAGATTCACAGAATCAAATTACAGTTCAACCAAGTATTTAGTATCTGGAAAGCAGTCTTGGTTTCATGTCTACTTATTTTCCCAAAACTCTTGTTAATTCTCCTTATAGTTGTTTTCTTAGTGGCTGAAATTAAGTGATGTCTAGTAAATAAGCCAGATTGCTTCTTAAATAAAATCTGGCCTGTTATTTATGTCCCCACCTATTGTTTCAAACTCTATAATTTGAACTTACACACTTGAAATCAATAGTAATAGTTATGGTGATAGGGACAGGTGATGGGATAAGGATTTTATTAGTAGAATCAGTCATGAGTCTAAAACTGCACTGCTAGATACAACACACAATAATAACTGCTAGAGATAATACTTAACCGTAACCTGCAGAGTAAATATTCTTAATCCTAGTTTACAGAATAAAAAGCTTGGAGATAAAAGTTAAGTTACTTGGTGTGAGGTCTGATTCACACAGCCAGTAAGTGGTGGTTTTGGTCACTTCCTCCTCACCCCTTTGACAAGGGAAGGATTCCTGCCATAGGGTTATGAGGATGGCTGAACACGTCAGTTGGGCTCAGCAGCAGTTAGTTACCTATGTTCACAGCTAAGGCAAAGAGGACCCTGTGCCTCAAGTGGGGTCACGTGGAGTTGCACTTGGGAACAGAGTAAACAACTAGGAGCTATGGGAGGCAGGCTTTGTAGTATCAAGAGGGTGGGGGTATCCCCTGGTTCCCATGGAAGGATGTGATTGGCTTGTTTGAATAATTCCTCAAGCTGACAAGAAACTGAAACCTACTATTCAAGGATAAGGAAGAACTGCATCTGGCCCCTTTGGTAAGGTGGATGGTTTCGCTAGGGGCCTTTATTCATGAGAGCAGAGTGGAGAGGGGAACGTATGGGTTACGTCGGTGGTCCCCAACCTTTTTGGCACCAAGGTCTGGTTTTGTGGAAGACAGTTATTCCACGGCAGGGGCGGGGCAGGCTGGTTTGGGGATGAAACTCTTCTGCCTCAGATCATCAAGCGTTAGTTAGATTCTCATAAGGAGCGCACAGTCTAGATACCTCGCACGCACAGTTCACAATAGGATCCCCACTGCTATGAGGATCTAATGCCACTGCTGATCTGACAGAGGTGGAACTCAGGCAACAATGCTTGCTCCCCAGCCGCTCACCTCCTGCTGTGCGGCCCAGTTCCTAACAGGCTACAGACTGTTAGCAGTCTGTGGCCCAGGGTTTGGGGATCCCTGGGTTAGATCATTCAAGGCCTTCCCGATTTTACCAGGTGTCAAAGCGGCACATGATATTGAACCTTAATTTTAGGTGTTATACCACAGTGGCTAAACTAGAGTTCTGATTGTGAACTTTCATGACTCCAGTGCCCAGGTTCATTCTGCTGTTCCATGATATTTTTCTTCTTGCCAGAATGACATGTTAACATTTCGTTAGTAATTGAGTACTTTGCTTTCACTGGGCATTTCTTAGTCCTGCGTTCTTCAGAATTCGTACACTGTAGCATCTGTTGTATTCTCATAGAAAACTGGAGCGCTCTCATTTAGAAGACATTTGAAGATTTGTTTTCCTTTAAAGGAAAATCTGAGTATAAGTTCTAATTATATCTTGATTTACAGAAGATTTTTTTTTTTTCCTATTCTCAAAGCTGCAGTGAGCTGCGATTGAGCCGCTACACTCCAACCTTGGTGACAGGGCAAGATGCTGTCCCAAAAAACAAAAACAAAAACTATACTCCCTCCCCAAAACAAAATCTTATTTTTCCATGTTCCATCTTATTTTTATTAGAACGTCTTAAGTTCCCCCTCTGCAGCCATGAAACTGGCATACCACAGGTCTGGAATGCCTCTCTGTCTCTCCATTTGTATCTCCGACATTAGACCATTTCAGCCACTCCTGCATGCAGTTACACCCACCTCATTTTTATCACAGTTAGGGAATGTTTCACAGAGTATTTTGCATAATACTATGAGCTGGGTGCTACAAGACATTTAAAAAATAATAGCTGGTTTCTGCCATTGACACTCTCACTGTGGAGAACAAGACATAAGAGTTGTGTAGTGTAAAGGTAAATCAGTACACATAGAACCCAGACTCCTAACCCAGGCCCACAGGCCATACGTGAGCTGGCCCCTGCCTGCTTCTGGAGGCTCATCTCTTGTTCTTTCTCCCTTTCACTTGACTCTGGCCACGTTGGCCTTCCTTCCACTTCCCACACACGCCAGGTTTTTCTCATCCCAGGGCCTTTCTCCTTGTAGTTTACTTGGCCTGAAAAACTCATCCTTACATGTCTGACTCTCTTTTTTCAGGTCTCATTGCAACTACTATTTATAGGGATAGTTCTTCCTTGACCATGCCACCTAAAACTGGCCCTTTTGACTTTTCCATGCATAGTAGGTCCCATGCCACCCACTTAATACCTGTGTAATTTTTCCAAGATGTTTAATTTCTCTGTGCCACAGTTTGCTAATCTGTAAATCCAGGAGTATTTTAATAGATTAGGTTTTTGTGACAGTTAAATGCATTAATATCATGTAAAGTGCTAATTATAAGAATCTCTGGCATATAGTGATTGCTCAGCAAATGCAATCAGTTTCTGACCTTCATCTTCATCATTAAGGGTAAAAGAAGTAGTGTAAAACGTAAGTACTATAGGAGCTCAGAAAGGAGAGGAATGCCGGAGGCCCTGAATCACCATGAACACTTTCCTTGTGACAGTAGAATCGAACCTCACTGCTTCTGTATAGTGTCTGGCATGTTTCCGTCAGACAGGCACTCCCTCCTCCTTTGGATTTCTACGTCCTTTTGGTTCTTTGTGTGATACTTGTATCGTAGATTGTGTATATGTTCTCACAGAAAAGGTCATCCTGCATCTCTGCATCCTCAGCATTGTGTGCCGCACACAGGACAGGTGGCCACTTATTTGATTAACATGAGAAAAACACAGAGATTCCATGAAATCAGCAAGTTTTAAACACCCTCAGTGTGGGCAGTAAATGCAGTATGAGCACAGTGACTACAAAGATCAGTTACTGGAAATGACCAAGTTGGAACAGTGAGGGGCAGACTATTGTATGGTCTTAAATTGGCTTTAGAGTCAGATTAATTCAGCAGATTTGAAGAGCATCATTTCATGCCAGTGTCTAAGCTCAGATTGTAGGATCACAAACATGAACCAGTACAGGTTTCTGTAAAGCATTTTAACTTGATTCAGGTGGGACTTCAGTGAGTAAAGCAAGAAAGGTGTTCCAGACAAGCTTCAGAAAGAGCAAAAGTAAAGGTGCAGAGTTGAGAAGGTTCAGGAATTCAGGTTCTCTAGAGAAAAGATTTCCTCATGCTGGAGCAAGAGGAAATAAGGCTGAAGTGAGGGGGTCCAAATTATGGAGGATTTAGGGTACCAGAACCAGAACATCAGCTTTATTCCATAGGAGCCTGTGGAAGGTTTGAGCAAAGGATTGGCAGAAATAGTACTCAAAATTAGATGATACATTTCTGTATTTTCTGTAGTGATAGAAGTTCCTTGAACTTAAATTTGAAAAGGTTTGAATTAAAAGGGACAGATGTTCTCAAGTTATATACTAGACATTTTCAGTAGTTGTACGGTTTTTGAGCTTTTATTAGTTGGTCCTAAGTAAGTTTTATAGCATTATGATAGGCAGTTGGTGACAGCTTAGTCATGTGTTCTTTCTTGAGTAATAATTAAAGTATTAATATTTTTCCTTTTCATTATATTTTATGCATCATGGTTTGATATATGCTTGAAATATTTACTAAATTAGATATTGCTGCATGTGGTCCATCCCACATATAAATGGAAAAGAGAAACTTAACATAGTTCATAAATTAAAATATTTGGTTTCAGCTGTATTCATATTGAAACCATAAAAGAATCAGAATTACTGTGGGTTTATGATTGTCAGGTTACCACCATCACTACAAATTTTCTGATAACAACATATTAGTATTCTGATAAGGTTTGTGGCTTCTTTGCAAGGATATTTGAATACTACTCAACACACTACATAATGGTTAACTATTGTTGTCTTTATTTTAAGGAAGGCATGAATATTGTTAGATTTGCCCCTAAGTAATTGAGTGATCATTTTTATATACAAGAAAATCAGAGTAGAATGCAAAATTTGGAACAGGAACTCAATAATACTTATAAATAAGTTGATTCAAAGAAATGTTTCAATTTCTTGACATTGAATTCATGATGTTTTGCTTTTAACATGTGATTTTTAAAAAATACTGTTATGTGTACAGGGGAAGGCTAACCTGAGACTTTCCCTTCATGCGTATTCTTCCTGTGCACTGCAAAAGGAAACTGTGTGACTGCTTTCCTTCCTGACTGGCCATCACATAGGGTTACTGGCAGATGCCAGGAATCCAAGGACTAAAGGAATAAAGGGTGTGTGTTATAGTACCTGCGCTAAGAGATACTGTCAAACTCAGAGGCACCCCTCCTCCTCCATGTCTTAACCCTAGAATTGTTTTAGAACTTCTTATGGATAAGTGTTTGGATTAAGGGAGATCTGGGAAATGGGATTTGAATTTTAAGCAAGTGAGCCCTGGGGATGGCTAGCTGCCCAAAGTCTCTAGGACCCCAAAGAGATTATGAGAGAGAACGTTGAGAGGTCTGGAATGAATTATACATACTCTTATAATGAACTTTCTCCAGCTTGTCCTTGAGCAGCTGTCTCCATCCCATCCCTCAAGTGCTTTGGAACCCACATCTTATAACAATGGAAAGATAGATAACCTTTTATTTTAATGTGTTTATTTTTATTTTAATGTATTTAAGTAGTTTAAACACTTTCAGCGAAAACGCATTGTATTTCTCACTCCATTCCTCAATCCAGATGTATAACTAAAGTACCATAGTGCTGTCCATTATTAGCCCATTTTGTGTTTTAACCTATACAGTTTGAGGAACAAGAAACCTACCTGACATCAAGATTATACTATCAGTGAAGCCAGAGAAGCTATACTTATTCATTGTAGACATTCTTATCTTTTTAAATTTTTTATATTAAAAAAAAAAAAGAGGCTGGGCATTGTGTATCACGCCTGTAATCCCAGTGCTTTGGGAGGCCGAGGTGGGTGGATCACGAACGAGGTCAGGAGTTCAAGACCAGCCTGGCCAAGATGGTGAAACCCCATCTCTACTAAAAATACAAAAATTAGCCAGGTGCAGTGGCAGGTGCCTGTAATCCCAGCTACTCGGAGGGCTGACGCAGGAGAATCGCTTGAACTCAGGGGTCGGAGGTTGCAGTGAGCCAAGATCACGCCACTGCACTCTAGCCTGAGTGACAGAGTGAGACTCTGTCTCAAAAGAAAAAAAGGAAAAATAATGGGGTCTCACTATGTTGCCCAGGCTGGTCTCAAACTCCTGGACTCAAGCAATCCTTGCATCTCGTCCTCCCAAAGTGCTGAGATTACAGGCATGGGCCATTGTACCCGGCTATCTTATCTTCTTTATATAGATATCTAATAAGATGTAAAATACTGACCTGCATTATCTCCATGTTAACATTTACACTTCAAAATCTGTAAACGGACCCACGTTCATACGCGTGAACAGAAATCTTTCAGCAACAAAAGAGAAAATTGTATTTCTCGATAGAAAGGAAGTGGTCAGATCATGCCAGCCAAACAAATCTGTCAGGCTTTGAAATATAGAACCGTTAGGTAAGATACTGAGAAAAAGGATAAAGTAAGATCAGCCTAAATGTTTCAGTCTAGTTAAGTTGATTTGTATATTACTTAGAAATTTCATTTTCAGGGAAATAGTTTTCAGATTTAAATAACTGTAAAGAGCTGAGTTATTCTTTGACTTGGATTTAAAAAAAAAGAAAAAAAGTGTCCTGAAGTCATTTCCTGCCAGTTTGTCCCCCCAACTTTTTTTCCTGCTCTTCCTGTAACTGGTTCTTGTTACGGCAATGTAGCTGTATATTTAAATCCTAAGAGACTCGCTTATTGTGAGTAGGCAGGGTCAGTAGTCTGCTGAAACAAGCACAGGAAACTTGAAACACCTAGGGGCTATTTTAAAAATCCCTTGCCACTGACATTTTAGTTAGAATTCTAAAGAGAGAATGGGCTGTTTGGATACTGAGCTCCAGTACAAAAGAGCTGGGGTTTTTACACCGACTTGCAAACCACTAAAATCATTTGACCTGGTGTTGTGTCACTTGGGTATTCTGAAGCATCAGATGAAAACTAATATCCACCCTGCAAGGTTGGCAGGCAACAATTGTACCTGTGAAGTGAGCATCTATCAAAGAATTGGGGAAGGAAGGCCGGGCGCAGTGGCTCACGCCTGTAATCCCAGCCAGTACTTTGGGAGGCCAAGGCGGGCAGATCACGACGTCATGAGATCGAGACCGTCCTGGCTAACACAGTGAAACCACGTCTCTACTAAAAATCCAAAAAAAAAAAAAAAAAAAAATTAGCTGGGCATGGTGGCGGGCGCCTGTAGTCCCAGCTACTCGGGAGGCTGAGGCCAGGGAATGGCGTGAACCCGGGAGGCAGAGCTTGCAGTGAGCCGAGATCGCGCCACTGCACTCCAGCCTGGGCGACAAAGCGAGACTCCGTCTCAAAAAAAAAAAAAAAAGAATTGGGTAAGGAAACTTAATGTGTGGAGGAGATGCCACCATCTCTGAAGCACAGACTTTGTTAGAGGAGCTCACTGACTTGTTCCTAATAGTCATGTGGTTGGGGCAGGCCTCTAGCACTGCTGACAGGTAGCATTGATTCTGTCTCATCTTTAAGTTATAGCGTATTCAGTATTGCTTTATGCTATTATTTTTGAAAGGAAGTTGTTAACTGTACAACACTTTAGGTGATATTATGAGCTAACTATTTTAAATATATCATTTTTTTTAATTACCAAAAGCAGTGTCAGAAAATGAAACTCTTCATTTGGGTCGTTTAAAACACATTTGCTTTTGGTGTACCACTTATATTCAAAGACGTTTCATATTTATTTAAGTACTTTAAGAATGTTATTACAAAGCCTTGCTTTGTGATTTAAATTGAAGTTCCCTAGTGTTCATATTGTTAGTTAGAAATTTAGATTTTAGTTCTGTGACTTTTATATTGTTGATTGTAACTTTGGACTTATGTGGCCTGTGTAATACATGCTACAAAAATAAAATCTGGGAGTAAAAGAACATATGTATATTTTAATAAAGACCTCATTAAACATTAGTAACAATAGGATAAGGAATATTAACTGAAACAGACAGGAAATCAGGGTGAAGATCAGGCAGAACTGATCCTTTTATTTACACCAAACTAAATGCACTAAAGAGAAGTTTTAATGAACTTAAGGAGAATACCAAAACATTTCTAAATTTAAAAAAAAAAATGAATCCTGCTACTGATGGGTATATAGCATTAATCTCCCACCCAACCCCCCAAAAAGGACTTGTCTGGCTTCTTGTAAGAGAGGGTGATATTTCATACCTTAATCTTGTGATTAATTCCAAGTATTAAGATCTGTCTTCTGATCCTAAGTGTTCGTAAAGACATATAAAGCATTTTTATGAACTCTTATGCCCTCCTATGTGTAAGGAAGAAAGTCTTACTATGAAGTATAGTTTTAAGTATACTAAATTAAAATGCCTTACATAAGGCACTGAGCTTTCTGTGTTGTTTTCTATAAGATCTTATAAAAGCCTGTTTTATGAGCTTTTATTTTTTGATGTCAGAGCGTTTTTTAAAATCCAAAAGAAATTTTCAAAAGGTAGAATTTTGTAAGTGAATAACTTAGCCAGCCAGATCATCCTTTCCTCAGTCTGTATCCACTACCAGTTTGCCTTCCAGAGATGCATAGATAAGGGGGCGTGGTTACTGATTCTTCTGCTTTCCTGTAGCTCTGCCTGGGGTTTCCCCTCAGAGGAATGTGGTTTGAAAAACTTCCTCCATCACTACTTTGTTTGCAGTATGTATTATTTAATTTTCTTTGATAATATATCAAATATCTATATTAATAATTGAACCAAATTTAGTAATTTAAAATTAACAGCTTGTATATTAGATGTATATTACCTGTGTCCCCTACTAAACTCCCTCACAATAACAACAGTACTTTCCAGTTTTCTACTCACCTCTCTGGCCACACAGCATTCTTCTTTTCTGGCCATTATCCCTCTCGTGGCCATTAATGGACCAAGTGTTAGGTCTTCTTCTCTTTTCTCTTCCTACTCTGTCTTTCCCTCTGAGTGATCTCATCTCTGCCTGTGGTTTCACTTACCACCTCTGAACTCCAGAGGAATGACCTCAAATATCATAAAGGCACCACAGACTATTAGATCTGTCTTAGCTCAGCTTCCCCACTAAGAAGAGCCGGAAGCAGAGCAGCATGTGCTGTTTATTAGGGAACATAATCCCAAGAAGTAGAGTGAGAAACAAGGAGAATATGGTTTGGTAGGGGTGGAGAGTCAATACATGGATAAGCTATTGTGGTACCTGCCACCACTCAGTCCTGTAGGTTCGTTCCTGAAAACTCTCATAAACTGTGCTTTAAGACTGTACCTTGTGAGAGAAGAAAGGAGGAAGAATTTTTTCATTAGTTTCTGTCTCCCATTGGCCAAAGATTCATCTTTCAGTATATTAATTCCTCCATGGGGGTATGCAAGTGGGGAATCCAAAGCAGCGTCAACGCAGATGCCATAGAGTACAAGGCAAGAACTGCCCCCCGAGGCATGAGGCAGGGAACTGTCAGATGTACCTATGTGAAATTGGTGCTGGTTAGACAGCTGGACTAAGATACAAGTAAGGTTGAGAAGATCTGAATGATGCATAAAAGATGCCCAGTATAATACACCCCTTTAACCACTGAGATCCATTCAGGCTCTACATTATACGTAGCTTCCATACTACGATATGAGGCCTCCATTTTTGTGAGAATAAGATGCCTTCACTTCATCCCTGAGATCAGAGGTTATGTGCAATCAGTAACTGAATCCCCTTCAAGGTGGAGCCCTGCCACACTGTCCGAAAGACTTTAGACGGGACAGTTAGAGAAACAAATTACAGTCCCTTCTGCTGCAGCTGACCGTGAGGCAGTAATTGATACACATCTTCTATCACTCATTTTAGGTTTTCTTCACCAGTTTTGTTTTTTTTTTTTTTTTTGCCAGCTTGTGTTGCTTGCCTGCTGAAATAAAATATGACTTATGTCCCTCAAATGTCTGAGCCCTTAGTTGCCTTGCTGTTGTTGATCCATGGTTGTTGAAATATCCCATTTATTGTAACCGCTGGCTATGGAAGCACCACGAGATACCCCAGTGAATCTCTCAAGTTCTGGACATATTTCTTCTTCCCCCATTGTGTAGCTGCAGTCTTTGCTTCTTGTGGTGGTCCAGATTGAATATTCCTAGCAGTAACCTGACTCCCTTTTTTCTACTGATGTACTGGCTTGAGGAATTCAAAGTATCCCAGCAGTATAGTCAGATCTTCAAGTTTATTGGAACTCTTACATGTCCACTGGTGGAAACAATCACCCCTTAACCCCATCTGGAAGTCAGAACCTCTACCTTAGTAGAGATGAAAGTAGGATGGGTAGAAAACACAAGTTTCACAAAGTCAACCCTACTGTCATCCTTCAGTTCCCAGACCTAAGTATTGAAGCTGTTTATAACACAGCACCCTGTAATGGCCATTGCTTCAATGCATATGCATATACCATACCCTGGAGGGCAGTGCTCCAACACTGCAGGAAGTCATCTTCAAGATGTCTCTTCAGCTGATATTTTTTAATAGGCTATTCTGCCTACCTATTGGGCCAGCTGTTATTTGTGAATGGAGTGTACGGTAAAGCAAATGGATTCTAAGGGGATGTGCCCATTGTCATACTTCTTTAGTTATAAGATGGGTACTTTGGGCCTAAGACAGTGTTTGGTGGGATGCCATGTTGATAGATCAGTTATTTTATAAGCCCTGGAATGGTGGTGGTAGCAGAGGTATTGGGAGCTGGAACTAAATCCATGTTCAGATTAGGTATTAATTCTGTAAAGACAAATCATTGCCACCCTGCCACCAACTCTTTTACTCCCTCTACCTCCCCACTCCCATGTAATCTTATGCCAAGTGATCGGTTTCCTTGAGTAATGATGTCATATTGAGTGGTTGTCATCAGTCTCTTTCATTGGCAGTTTACGCATTTAGCAATAGCTTTTCAACATTGGTGAGAGGAAGCACCTTGGCCACTCTATTATGGGCTCACTATGTCAACTCTGTGGTGGCCCAAGTGGAAGGCTGGCTGACAGCCATAGAATAAAGTATCCTATTCACCTCATTGTTGATATTAGACAACACACATGTTGACATGCTCCATTTTGGTAGATACCTCCTGGTAGTTATTGTGAGACACACAAATGCCCCTGATTTGTGCCCAATTCATTTTTCCAGACCTCCTTATCACATCATCTTTCACTGTTGTTTTCTAGGCCCCTGATCAAACAGCCAGACACCATTTACCACTGCCAATGAATCAGAGTATATCTGTAGCTCAGGTCATTTCTCCCTCCATTTGAAATGGATGACCACCACATATACTGCTCCGGTTGTTCTCATCTGCCAAACTTCTTTTACCACAGTTCTTTAGGTCTGCTCCTGAATAAGGCTGCAGTGCAACAGCAGTTCATATTTGGCTAGATCGGAAATCCTTTTTGCCTTGACAGTTGGTCATGAAGGAGAAAGGCGTTAGTGATGTGGGAGTCTGAGTTACCTGTGAATGTAATTTTTTCATGCCTCCTGAATGTGCCTGTGCCTAATCCCAAATATACCATTTCCATCATACAACGGGTTGTTTCTCTGCCCGTCTTGCTACTCAGTGGGTACTTTAAGTCACAGACTTATTTGTTGGCACATAGTGAGGCATGCAAATTCTCTTAGGGCCCTGTAACATACTAGGATTTGTTTTTCTAGCAGAAAGTTCTTCTCTGCCACTGAACCCCAAGGATCAGCATTGTGACTTCTCTTTTGGTGCTTGCCAGAGACTCCACAGCATTTTTATCCGTCAATGATAGGTCTTCAGCCTGGGGGAACAGAGAGAGACCCCATTTCTTAAACAGAGAAAAAAAATAGGTCTTGTACCATGAGATCCATTGGTCACAGATGCACCATAGCTGGGACCTGCTACAGAGTCTTCTTTATCACACTCGGTCACTCTTGAAACTGGCATCCTTCGGGGTCTCTGATAAATGGATCAAAACGGTGTTAAAAGTACTGCATATAAATATACAGCCTCCAGGATCAAAGAAGGTCCACCTTTTTCTTAACAGTAGATTTGAGAGATGCAAAAACTTGTTTACCTTAAAGAGGATGTTCTCAGCATGGCCTGGAGCCCTGAACTCCTTAAAAAGTTTGGCAGTGTGTGCCCATAACCCTTAATTTTTGTGAAATGTCTGCTATGTGTATTTTACTTAAGCTGGCTAGGGTACTTTCCATTTTGTGCTAACCAGATGCAGTTAGTATGCTATCATGAATATAATGGAATGTGAAGATATCCCGGCTGACTGAATTTTGAGTGAGATCGTAAGAGTTAACATTGCCCTGGGGAAGGATATTATGGTCTCTTTGCCATTGTGAAAGTTACCTGCCTTTCATCTTCCCTACTGATAGGGACTGAGAAGAAAGCATTCACCATATCAGTAGCTGAGTACCAAATTGATACCATATCTGGCATGCCAGTTACTACTGGGGATTCTACCAGTTTAAGGTTACAGTTATTCATTATCCG
Organism: Homo sapiens; assembly: GCF_000001405.40. NCBI lineage: Eukaryota > Metazoa > Chordata > Mammalia > Primates > Hominidae > Homo > Homo sapiens. The sequence goes on from NC_000003.12 coordinate 23,446,691, forward strand.
TCTGTTTGGTTTTTTTTTTTTTTTTTTTTTATCCGTAGGGTCATAAAAGGTATAGAAAGAGAATATGGTGAGGACCACCACCCCTGCATCTTTAAGTCTTTGATAGTGCTCTTCTCTGTAGTTCCCGAGACTTGGGTCAAAACTTTATTAATTAATTGGCCTCCATAAACCCTCACTCTGACCAGAAGAGCGTGCTGGCATTTCAGGTCCCCCAGTATTGGTGTAGTTTAGAACTCAATTGTAATAGGCCTCAAAAAGTTTGGGATTTCCCTTTCCCCAGTGCAGTTATCCATGCAAAACAGTCCTTACATGCTGTTTCCTCTGCCTGACACATTTCATTCTCCCTGCTTTCCTTAGGTATTATCTGATTTCCCTGACTAGGTCAGATCAGCCATATGTTACTAAATGATGTGCATCTTTTTTTCAGTACTTACAACAGTAGTAGTTTTATATTAATTTTCTGTGTTTATTTAATTAATGCCAGTCTCTATGTAAGTTCCCTGAGAGTAGTGTCATTACCTGTTTGTGCACTGCCCTGTCCCTTGGTGCCTGTGTCACATATTAGGTGATTAATAACTATTTGAGGAATGAATAGTTAGATGGGTGAAAGGAAGTGAAAGAAAAGCATTTTGTCCCAACATCAGGAGCCCTGTTATTGTATCTCATCAGTTCTAAGAAGCCTATTTTTACATATTTTAACCTTTCTGATATCAATTACTTTGGGACAAGTAGTTATTGTGAGTTAGTTGTAGTTATGCATTCTTTAAAAATCTTGCAAAAAGAATGTCAGCAGTTTGGAAGAAAATTCCAGGGGCAGTTGTGGAGAGAAATTTCAAGATACACTACCTCAACAATGCTCTTGATGGCACAAAGGACTACATTTTGTGGAAAAACAATTATCTCTGAGCTGAAAAATGATTCAGAAGAATTAAACTCCAAGTGTGAAGAAGTTTTAGTAATTCTTTTTTTGTTCATGTAATCCTTTCTTTGTGCTCAAGTGTGATATATAGCAAACATGACTGTTACACTTATCAAGAGACCCCTTTCAAGAAGAGTAATATAATTTTTGTGTGATAAGAAATCACTATATTACAGCCTAATTTAGTGAGCTTTTCTCAGTGGTTTGTAAAGTGATGGTGCACCTTATTTTATAGTCAATGAAATATGGTATTACATGGTTGTCTTCAGAGCCTTTATTAACATTCATGGCATTTTGTGTGAATTAGAAAAATGTATTCCTTTCTGCAGGCCAAAACAGCCTTGCAGCTGCATGTGAGGAAGAAAGGTTATTAGGAAACTTTGACAGTATAGCAAAGTAAATATAAAATCAATGTTCAGAGGAGTAAGTTTCTGTTTTTAAAAATTATCTCTTTAATTAAAGGCAGTATTTTTTTTTCTAATGGATAAGCCAGTTGTGAAGAAGTTTTTATCTGTGGATATCAGGGTCTTTTAGGGTAGACAGGAAGTCTAACAGAGTTTAATTTTGACTGAGTCTGTCGAGGTTAGTGACCCCGTAATCTTTTCAGAATGAAGCTCTTGCCACGAAGCCTTCCAGTTCCACCCCTAGGAACTTAGGTCAACTCCTGAAAGGCATTTCTGTTTTTGATGTTTGATGTAAATCTTTATTCTTACATCTTTGGCAATGTTTTTGTTTGACCATATACTCTGGAACTACTTTTCACACTGATAGTGTCAAAAATTTAATTTTCACAACTAGCAGCAGGTAAGCCTAACTTACCCATGTTATGGAGATTTGGAATACTATTAGGAATAGTCTACTAAGTTAGTATTTTTTAATACATGACCTAATATGAGGATTCTGATTGGAAGCTAATTGGGAATGATATTAGTTCCTGTCGTGAAAGTATTTCAACTTTTACAGTAACATTAAATACTTGGGATCTAGATATTTTCTATTTAAAATAAATTTCTCTCACCAATTGGAGGGTGATAATTTGTAATTCAAATGTGTTACCTAATTTTGTATAAAATACCTTTTCCTGGTTATGTTTCCTTTCTTTATCCTCATCTTTCTTGTAATGTAGACAGAAAAGTGCAGTTTGTAGTAAGCTGACCTCTGAATTGCTCTTTGGGAGCGTAGTTACAAGGGATTAAAGGGGCCCTCTGCAACTCCAGAGATTAGGAGATTAAGTCAGGCAGATCCAGGATCTCTGGTACCTGGTGGGAAAAATAATGTCACAAATTTTAGTGCACAGTTCCATCTGTTTACTTCTTCTGTCTCCTTTCTTGGAGTTCACCACAAACTTATATTTTCTGGTTTTTCAATGGCTTTTAGAAATGTAATATCCATCATCCATAGAGTTCTATTGAATTGCCCTCTTACCTAACAGCCCAAAGGTATACTATGGCATGCCATTGTAAGTATACTAGCAGAAAGAGTTTAAACTGGAAAAATTTAGGGTAACTCTTATGGCATTACAGAACGTCAGTAGGAATACACCTATCACTTTCCATTGAACTGTGTGTGCTGCAGCCCAAACAATGAAAATGCTCATTTTGTAGAAGTGAAAACATTTGGTAAGTGTAAGGGGGATTTTTATTGTTAGCCACATTTTTAGATATCAACAGACTGCTTACATGGATTTCTTAAAAATTTTTTGGAGAATAAAACAACAGATCTTTGTTTCCATTGACCATTACATCATCATTATTTTAGTACCAAATCTCAGAATGTTCACAAGAAGTAACTGGATGGAATTTAAATATTTGCTTCTTATTTTCAACTCTGATTTTAAAAATTCGGATGGGGTAAGAATGAGAAGCTGTGGAACTTGGTGAGGTTTTTGTTATATCTGATTACATTTGCTCTTTTCACCACTGTCTGTTACTGATAATTAAAAGACAATTATCCTTATTTTTTATCCTGATTGGAAAAACCATTATCTGGTTCAATCTAATCTTTTCAGCATTTAATAAGATTGAAAATTCTTATGACAGTTCTGGTAATACTGCAGGTGATTTTTTCCTAGGGGACTCAGGGGCAGACAGAATCAATCACACATCATGATTCATCAGTTCTAAAAACTTATCTCATATAATTCTGTTTTGAATTAACTAAATAATCCAGTAAGCAGTGTTTTTAATATCTCAACGGGGAAAAGTTTTAAAGCTGGCTAACAATGAAATTTCCCATTTTTCACTGGCAGAAACCCCAGCCCTATAATGGGGAAGGTCCCACCAGTGCGGAGGCCCCACATGGGGACCCCTCCCCCTAGTGAGGAAATGTACCCCTGAAGAGGCATCCTCCTGGCCACTGGGCCCACTGCTACCCTGCCACGTGAGTACAGCAATGGCTTTGAGGACCTCAGCAATTTTTTCATTTATTGGTGGCCATTTGTCTGTTATGGGAATTGGCCAGGCCGTCTTCCTTTTCATCCCTTAAACATTTCAGAAAATGAGATAAAAGCCTGCTTTTATCCCCTTGCTTCTTTTTTGCAAGTTTAATAAAAAGAATTTGTTTGGATAAAGAGGTTAGGACTATTGGGTAGAACTCAGTTAAGTGTGATTAGTGAAACAATCTGTTCATATCTAGAGCAGTACTTTTCAGTACAACTTTCTGCACTGATGGAAATGTTCTCTCTCTGTGCTTCCAACATTGTAACACTAACCTCATGTGGCTACTGAGTCCTTGACGTGTGGTTCTAGTACAACTGAAGAATTTAATTTTAATTAATTTTAATTAATTTTGCTACATGTGGCTAGTGGCTACTAAATGGGGCAGTTCATGTCTATATTTAATGCTGTGTGCCTCTTTTAACATTGCTATAGATACACCTCTTTACCTCTTTCATTATCATCTCAGAAAAATTTGCCTTGTATTATATTACTAGAAATATGATTCTTTAAAAGTGAGGAAATAAATTAAGAATTCTGATATCAAAATGTATTCACCAACATTGCCCTTATGTAGTTTTAGTTACCTTATGATATTAAGAAAATTTATTTAATTTTAAAATTATGAAGTATCTATTTAAATATTCCGGCTTTATTTTCTACTTTACGTTTTAATTTGCAACTTAATATGTATATAGAAGTAATTACACACATTAAAATAACTTTTTCATTTTATTTCTTTTTAATGAGAATATAAAACACCTTACATTAGTATAGTATGTGCAGTGCTATTACTAAAACAATAAATTTAGCACTTACTAATTATAATATGGTATTTACAAGTTTCAAAGTTTTATTCCAGTAGGTGGGTTACTGAAATTACAGATTAATTAAATTTGTAGTTTTACTGGCTGAGAATAAATGACTTTCCACTATTGAGCTATCACTAAAAGTTGCTGACATCATAAAATGTTAATAAGAGAAACTTCTTGGAAGATTTGGGAACTTTTTGTACTATCTTTGCAATTTTTCTGTAAATCTGCAACTATTGTAAAACTTTTTAAATGTTTATTAACTGGGCACGGTGGTGCACACTTGTATTGGAGGCTGAGGTGGGAGGATCCGTTGAGCCCAGGAGTTTGAGTTTAGCCTGAGCAACATAGCCTCTCCTCTTAAAAGCAAATAAATAATTTTTTTTGAAAAATTGCTCATGTCAAATTTGTCCTGCTATCCATTTAGATTCATTAATTTAGCTGTATATGCATCTAAAATAAGAATTCTTAGATCAGTAATAGAGGTAGTACTTACCTAAGTCTCATTACATGGCATCCTCGAAACATCCTGAGCAATACTTATAATTTTACAGATGAGGAGGCTGAGGCATGGAATAAAGAGTAATTTGAGCAGGGTTGCTGAGCTGATCGGTGTGGCAGGTCTGCAATTGATAGCCAGGAAATTTAGGTCTTCAGTGAGCGCTTCTGACGACTATACCGTGTTATCTCTTAAGGAGTCTTGATTATGTAATGTAAGATTTTGTCTCTCTGCTATCAGTGTAGTAAGATGTACTTTTTGCTATAAGAAATCCAAAATAAGCTAATATCCTGGTAATAAAGTACTTTTACAACATGAAAAGTATAGAGGTATGCTTTATTTCTATTTCAGTAATTCAAACTTGATTCTCATACAATCGTTAGTTATTTTTATGAGCGAGGAATATGTTCATAGTCTCTCAACAAGAAATCTCTATGTTGGTGGAGTTTTAAAAAATATATTTATGCTTCCCTAAGATAGTGGCCAAGTTTGAAAAAAATAGAGCAGTACCTAAAGGGTAAGAGGGATGGATGTTGTTGCTTATCTCATAAAGATAAATTTTTATCATTTTTATTGAATTATTACAGGGTTGTTTTACCATCAACCTGTTAATGTTATTCTTACTGGAAATTAAATTATAGAGATTTAATTGTTAAAATCTAAATATGGAAAAGGTTGGTGGTGAGTTTTCAACAATTCTTTGAGATGTTTTTCTGGGCTTTGGAGAGTATTTCTTTGGCTGAAAGTGGGGAAGAAAAAGGATGGAGTTACTTGCATAGTTCAAAAATTGTTGCAGCTGGAATATGTTAGTTCATATCCTCATTTAATGAATGTTCTATATCCACTGGTGAATTCACACTTTCAACAGCACGATATATCTAGCTACTGTGTGGATTTAAGGTCCTACATTTACTTGTCAGCAAGAGACACAGTAGGAAGTTCTTTAAGAAAATGTGAATCATAAACAGGTGCAATTTTTATACAGAATCTTTTTTTTTTCTGTTAGTGAGTAGACTTTTGAACCAGCTGACAGTCCTCCATTGACTCTTCCAAAGTATTTGAATTTGGAACATGGTGTTTTCTTGATAAGAATGTATGTTTTGAATCTATATTAAAATTTTTGAGAGACTTTAGAAAGTTTAGTGTAAAAGTCGTGTTTATAAAATATGGGAATTCTAGTGCACACTGACCAGTTAAAATTTATATTCAGATTGTTGATTTAGAATAACACTGTAACTTGATCCTAGTTATAATCTTTATTAGGCTAGGTGATAACTGTTACCCAAATGGTTGAGTTGCTACTGCATAATTCTGTGTTGGTCAAAGATGAGAACAACTTTATCCCTGATGGGAGAAAGACATTTTAATGTTATCATTCTGTGAAAAGGAGGGTATGTCAGGAGGTCTGGTGAGGGCAGTAGGGAGGAAAAAGACTTGAAGGACCATAATTTACTACAAAATGCCTATGATCTAACAGAGTTAGGATGGACAAGTTCTTTTTATGCCGTCTCTTGAGTTCTGTTCTCCACAGCACGCTGGCACACCCCTTTACTCAAATAGCAACTATGTATTCTGGATTTCCTGGAACAGGCCAACTTTTTGGTATTTCATCCTGTTTTTCCCATAAGTGCACTAATACTGCTTAGACTCTATGTCCCATTTTTAATAGTATCCTTAGAAAAATAACTGCTCTTCAAAGTAAATGATAGGTAAAATATTTTGGAGCATTTGGCAGTGGGGAAATAATAAGTATTCTTAAGGCTTAGGCACCGAAGTTTGAATGTGCCTTCCTATAACTGGCAAGTGCTACTTCTGGTAGAGTATCCTAATGGTTTAATATATACCATTTTAAATATGTCAGTTAAATCAACGTAGTTGTGGTGTTTTCAACTTATTTAAAATATTGAATTTTTTGTTAAAATGAGCAACTATTTTTTAATTCATCCATTTCCGTTGGAAACAATATGTTTGGAGGCTCTCCATTTGTTTCTGTTTTTTTTTGTGGTGAGGAAAGAAAAAAATACTTTATATCTTTAACCTGTTTTTTAAAAAGAAAGTTGGCATGAATATGTCTTAAGGGAAGTTAAACAGAATATATACCCAAAGTATTAACAAATGAAAAACAAAGACTACAGTTTTAGCCTACTTTCTCTTTCCACATATTTCACTTCTCATTTAAAAATTGTATGCATCTTTGAAGACTAGAACTGAGGTGCTTACAACAGTGGTTTGAGGATATTTTAAAATCCCTTTTTATATATTTCTGAATCTGGAAAGGGAATCATTGATGATCTTAATAAAATATAAATCAAGATATTGCATATTAACGACTTTATAAAACAAACTGTGAATACATTTGTCATTATAGATTTTCCTAACCCTCTGCAACCAACAGAGCTTTCTTGTAGAGCAGTGTATTACAGCTTTCCTTTCAAAATGTATTTGTACATTGGCCAAGGAAGCATCTCTTCATTGTGAAGATGTTACAAATATCTTGATAGGGGAAGAAACTTTTTCTGAGCTTATTATAGTGGTGCTAGTTACCTTTTAAAGAAGATACACGTCTAGTAGTAAACACCTAGAATGTCTGCTATAAAATAACTTAAAGGTATAGTTTTCTATACTCTTTAATTTTACAGAAGGGAGGCAGCATTCTGAGATATTTGCATATTGTGTAAGATTATGTTGCTAAATGTAAGTATTTAATTTGTTAGAATCATAGACTCCTAGAACTTGAGGAATAAGAGGAGACTTGTTTTACCTTTGTCAGTTTTGTTCTGTTTGAATTTTTAAGAAGCTAATGAATTTTTAGATCCCCATTAGTTGCTCTTTAAATTATTTTAATACTTTATAAACTGATTTTTTAAATTTTAACAGTACTTAAATGTAATAACTTTATACCATGTGTTTATTAGTTATTAACTTACAGTAGAAAATCTACTTGAAACAGCTTATTATTTTAAAAGAACAAAACGCTTTGAAAAAGAATGGTTTATTTTAAAAGGTGCCACCCATGAATGCAATCCATATTTTAAAAGCTGAGAGTTGGGTAAGACCTTTAAGGGAGGTCTCATGTCTGAGCGCTTTCCATCTACCTGCTGAAGTCTGATTTAAGTCTCATCTGCTACCTTGTATCTTTAGTCTCATAAAGAACTTTAAGACAAAAATTATGGAATAAATTGCCAGAAAAGCTAAGAGAAGTTTTGCTTACAGTACAAGAAATACCTCATATAACACAGACTGTGTTTCATCCTGCTAATGGGATAGCCCAACAGCTTTCTTCCATCCGTGTGTGATGTCTGGGTATGCCTATATGAGAAATAATACGTGAATATGCACCTAGAATAACAGCTCTTTTAAAGTTTTGTTTGAACTAAGTGCAAGTTTGGCAAGATGCCATACTATTTTTTGATAGCATACAAATTCAAGCACTAAAATAAAAGACTACCTCCTGGTAAAGTGTTGTACAGTGTACTTCCTAATTTAGCTGAAGCTAAACTCAAAATTTGAACTTTGCATAGAAAATGTTAGGAATTTTTTTTGTCTGTTTACCTTACGTTTTGCAGTATTTTGTTTCTTTATGGGTGTATCCGAGATTATGAAAAGTCATTGAAGCCAAGTGTGGGGACTTGATCCCTAAGCAGAATTCACTGGATTATCATGTCTTCCTGCCTAACCCAGGTCTCTGCATGACAAGAATAGTTTTAATGCAGATTTTGCTCTCTTCTCTTTCTGAGAGACCTGAAAAGTTTAGCTTTCCAAAGGCTTCCCTGCATGCGAGGTAAATAGATGGAGCAGAACTATCAACAATCTATAATTAAGCAGCTTGACTACCTGTCAATAGGAAATGCCCTCTGTGTCTACCACACAAGTGAATTACAGGAACCTCAGAGATACTGCAGGTTCGGCTCGAGACCACAGCAATAAAGCAGATGTTGCAACACAGTGAGTCACACAAATTTTTTGGTTTCCCAGTGCATCCAAAAATTATGTTTATACTGTATTGTAGCCAATTAAGTGTGCAGTGACTTTATGTCTAAAGAGGACAATGCATATACCTTAATAACAAGTACATTATTGGGCTAAGCACAGTGGCTCATTCCTGTAATCCCAGCACTTTGGGAGGCAAATGCAGGAGGATCACTTAAGGCTAGGAGTTCAAGACCAGCCTGGTCAACATAATGAGACCCCCATTTCTACAAAAAATTAGCCGGGCTAATTTTTTAAGTTTTCAGCTTAGGCGGAGGATCACTTGAGCCCAGGAGTTCAAGGCTGCTATGAGCTGGGATCACGCCACTGCACTCCAGTGTAAGCAACAGAGCGAGACCCTGTCTCTTAAAAAGAAAAATAAGAAAACTTTATTACTGAAAGATCCTAACGATCATCTGAGCCTTTAGGGAGTCATAATCTTTTTGCTGGTGAAGGGTCTTTCCTTGATGTGGATGGCTGCTCACTGATCAAGGTGGTGGTTGCTGAAGGCTGGAGTAGCTGTGGTAATTTCTTACAATAAAACAACGATGAAATTTGTTGCATCAGTTGACTCATCCTTTCACAAAAGATTTCTCTGTAGCATGAACAGTTGTTTGGCAGTATTTTACCCACAATGTAACTTCTTTCAAAATTGGAGTCAGTCCTCTCAAACTCTGCCACGGCTTTATCAACTGATATTATGTAATATTCTGAATCCTTTGTTGACATTGCAACAGTGTTCATAGCATCTTTACCAGGAGTAGATTCCATCTTAAGTAATCACTTTCTTTGCTTATTCCTAAGAAGCAACTCTTCATTTGTTCAAGTTTGATCATAAGATTGCAGCAAATCAATATCTTTAGGCTCCACTTATAATTCTAGTTCTCTTGCTATTTCTACCATCTTTGCAGTTACTTCCTCCATTGAAATCAAACCCCTCAAATCATCCATGAGAGTTGGAATCAACTTCTATCAAGCTCCTATCAACTTGATATTTTGACCTCATCTCATGATCACGAATGTTCTTAATGGCGTCTAGAATGGTGAATCCATTCCACAAGATTTTCAGTTGACTTTGCCCAGATCCATCAGAGGAATCACTGCGAATGGGAGCTATTGCCTTACAAAATGTATTTCTTCAATAATAACACTTGAAAGTCAAAATTACTCTTTGGTTTATGGGCTACAGAATGGTTGTTGAGTTAGCAGGTATGAAAGCAACATTCATCTCCTTATACATCTCCACCAGAGCTCTTCGGTGACCAGGTGCATTGTCAGTGAGCAGTAGTGTTTTGAAGAGAATCTTGTTTTTGAACAGTAGGTCTCAACAGTGGACTTTAAAAATATTCAGTAAACTGTGCAGTAAACAAGTGTGCTGTCATCGCAGCTTTATATAGCGTAGGTAAAGTTGATTTAGCATAATTATTTAAGGCCCTAGGATTTTTGGATTAGTAAGTGAGCATTGGCTTCAACTTAAATGTCACCATCTGCATTAGCCCCTAACAAGAGGGTCAGCCTGTCCTTTGAAGCTTTGAAGCCAGGAGCTGACTTCTCCTCTCTAGCTCGGAAAGTCCTAGATGGCCTCTTCTTCCAAAAGAAGGCTGTTTGTTACCCACACAATGGGTGGGTTTGATTGCTTGGTGGATGACAGTCCATTTACCATAATCGAGGATTCAGCAAGGAGATTTTATTACTTGTAATAAGAAGAATGCTGAGGATAGTTCCCAAAGCAAAACCTTCCTGAACAATGGTGAAAACAAGCTTTTATTGGGCTGGTTAACTGAGTCATTGTATGTTGAGGTGGAGTAAAGGCAGCACCCGAGCAGTCCCTGATGATGCTTCTATATATGCTGCGTGTATAGAAAATGGGGGCTAAGCTTCTCTCTGGGCAGGGATTTTAGTATGCATTGAAGGGAGTTTGCCAAAGTTCATCTGCAACTGACGCATCTCTAGATCCAACTGGTTTTTCTGGGGCTAAGCTTCTTCCTGGAAGTTTTTTTGAAATAACAAAAGCTCAAGGTATAACACTTACAAGTGAGTGCTTTTTCACAGTGGATACCCAAAAACCCAGGGACCCTAAGCTACATTTTGTCTGCACTGAAAATCTAGACTTAAATAGCCACCTTCATCAGTGATCTTAGCTAGATATTCTGGATAACTTGCTGCAGCTTCTCCATCAGCTGCTGCTGCTTCATCTTGCACTTTTTTTTGTTTTTTGGAGGTAGGGTCTTGCTCTGTCACCAAGGCTGGAGTGCAGTGGCGTGATCACAGCTCACTGCAGCCTCAACCTCCCAGGCTCAAGCTCCTCAGCCTCTCAGGTAACTTGGACTACAGGCATTCACCACCATATCCAGCTACTTCTTCTATTTTATGTAGAGATGGGATCTCCCTGTGTTGCCCAGGCTGGTCTCAAACTCCCACATTCCACTTTTATGTTAGGAAGACTGCTTTTTCCTTTGTGTCTCATGAGCTAAACCTCTATAGCTTCCAGCTTTTCTTCTGCAGTTTTCTTACTCTCTTAGCCTTCGCAGAATTGAAGTTAGTTACAGCCTTGCGCTGGATTAGGTTTTGGCTTGAAGGAGTGATGTGGCTGGTTTGATCTATTCAGACCACTAAAACTTTCTTCATATCAGCAATAAAGCTCTTTCACTTTCTTATCATTCATGTGTTCACTGAAGTAGCACTTTTAATTTCATGCAAGAACTTCTCTTTTGCATTCACAACTTGGCTAACTGTTTTGCACAAGAGGTCTAGTTTTCTGCTTGTCTGGGCTGTCAGCATGGCTTCTTCATAGGCTTCATCATTGCTAGCTTTTGATTTAAAATGAGAGAGATGTGATTCTTCCTTTCATTTGAACACTTAGAGGCTATTGTAGACCTAATTTCAGTATTGTTGCGTCGCAGGGAACAGGAAGGCCCAAGGAGAAGGGGAGAGAGTAGAAGGTGGCCAGTCAGTGGAGCAGTCACACAACATGTATCGAGAGTTTGCCATCTTCTATGGGTGTGGTTCATGGTGCCCCAAAACAATTAAGATTCTAACATCAACAATCACTGATCAGAGAGATCGCTGGTGGTGGTGGTGGTGGTGGTGGTGGTGGTGGTGGTTGTTGTTGTTTGAGACGGAGTCTCTATCGCCCAGGCTGGAGTGCAGTGGCGCCATCTCAGCTCACTGCAAGCTCCGCCTGCCGGGTTCACACCATGCTCCTGCCTCAGCCTCCCGAGTAGCTGGGACCACAGGCGCCCATCACCACGCTGGGCTAATTTTTTGTATTTTTAGTAGAGATGGGGTTTTACTGTGTTAGCCAGGATGGTCTCAATCTCCTGACCTCGTGATCCGCCCACCTCGGCCTCCCAAAGTGCTAGGATTACAGGTGTGAGCCACCGCGCCTGGCCAGAGATCACTGTTCACAGATCTCATACTAATGAAAAAGTTTGAATTAGTGCAGTAATTACCAAAATGAGACACAGAGACATAAAGTGAGCATGTACTGCTGGAAAATGGTGCTGATGGACTTTCTTGACACCTGATTGTCACATATCTTCAATTTGAAAAACAAAAAAATGCAATATCTAAGAAGCACCGTAAAACAAAGGGCAATAAAACACGGCATGCCTGTAAATGGCAGTAAATCAGAAAGTAAGGTCATCATGAGGTTCCTATATCATGTGTGCATTCTGATTTGATAATTCTGATTCCATCTCATTTTTTACAAATGGGTTTGAACTAGATCTCCATTTGTGTTCAATTTTCTGCCTTAATTATGTGCCCATACAGATTTAAACTAAACACAGATCTTCTGTGGTCACAAATTATTGACCTCTGTTATGTTTTCAAAGCCTGCCAAATACTTTAAGTAAGCAAATCTATCCATGGAAAATTCTATAAGGGCTACCCTTTGGCTCCTAAGAGATAGTTTTTGGAATTTTTTTATGGTTCAGATATTTTTGTAGCTGATTCAACAAAATGAACTTTTTAATTTCATAAACATTCTTCTCATTGACAAGGCAGATGTGACTAAAAGAGATGAGAAATAATAAGAACAAAACTTGTTACTGATACATATAGTTGAATTACACCCAAAAATAGTTCAACAGTTATTAAAAACTGCTTTTTTGAGAACTTTTAGCTCTTCTCCAACTTGTAATCATGAGAAAATAAGTGAGTAGTAACAGGACCATAATGTTTTTACAAATCCAGACACCTTTATGAAACATTTAAACTATCCAGAACGTAAAAAGGAGAAGAAACAAAGGCTGTTGAACAGTAGGAGGGCTATATAAACACCTCCAGGACCTCTGTAATAACCTTTCTATTGCTCTGAGTTCTGCCATACAAACTCAGCATGTGAACAAATTATTCATGCCTCGGGACATATTAAGTTGTTATGGAAGTTTCTGGAGAAGGTCCACCAGCTGGTGTAGAGAGCTATTTTGCCTGTCTTAATTGCATATTCCTTAGAATTTCTGTGATCTGTAAAATCGCAGGCCAGAATGAAGCCCCCTTTTCTTAGCATACTTTCTGTGTAATGAATTTAAATATTTGTGTTAGTTTTAAATGCTGAAAGGGGAATGAAAAAAAATTACAAAATGTACTTATGCCAACAGTTCTCTTATGGTTAACTAAAAGTATTTTTCCCCATTCCTTAATTTCAAATCCTGTGAGTTTGGGTAGGGGTCGAGTGCTTGTCTCTGTTTTCCAAATGAAGAATTCCTGGCAAGAAGATTAAGTGACTAAGCCGGCTGTGTACATGGCAGTGCTGGGCAGCAGCAACACAGTAGATGACACTTTCAAGTTATTTTTATTATTTGGACCAGATGCATCTGGTTGGCACCTTGAGCCAATGAGCTGCCCTCCCAGAGGTCCTCTGGCACAGAATTGGAGTTAGTATGAACACCAGAGATATAAGATAAAGCATTTCAGAGAACACTGAAGTTAAATTCAGAAGACCTCATTCACATCTCTGCCAAATCACAACTACCTTAAGTGAGCTTGTGAAAATGCGCTTTTTGCCTACCATACAGAATGCTTATCACAGAAGTGTTATTGCTTAGTACTCAGGCTCAAATTCTGGCTCTACAACCTCTGTTCTGTTTCCTCATATGTAAAATGGAAATGGCACCTACATTATGGGTTACATGCGAGGCTCTTAGCATGATTTTTGGTGTGTAATAAGCCCTCTATTGATAGGAACAGCAGTAGCAGGTAGACTCTATATTGATATATAATCAGAGGAGTTACAATATGTATATAAATACCGATAATATAAAGTGGAAAGTTATGCATTCAATTAGCATAATTTAAAGCTCTTTGGTAATTACAGAAAGGAGAGATTATTTTCTTTTGGGTTGTCATGGGAGTGTTCCTGAAAGAGGTGGTTTTTGAGCTTGGCCTTAAAGGATGAAGATTTGGGCATGCCAAGGCAGGAGGAATTGAAAGTGGTGAAGGACATTCCAAGAAGAAGCAGAAGTGTGAACAAAATTAAATGTTTTATCATTGTTATTTTATTGATTTTTAAGAAATTATATTTAATTCACCTTTTGGCCATGTATGTATGTTTATATGAACATAGCCTGCTGTTTTAGGTTCTGAGAATCCTTACAATACTGTTTTAAATCAAGATATTTTTGATTTCTGCAGAAAACCAGTAAGGTTTTCTTATTTCCATTTTATAGATAAGGAAACAGACTTCACACTAGTGATTGGTAGAATGGGAGAACCCCAGTGTATAAGCACTAAATTTCATGTGTTTCCACAGCACTGCACTGCCTCTGTTAGACTTTAAGTAGAAATAATTTACACACCGTCCACCATATTCCCCAAAGTTGCTTTCTTAAAATGTGTGGCATATTTAGAAAAGTTGGAGAAAGTCTCGGTGACCTCATATAGATGTAACCCCAAACCCACAAATAACTAGTCATAGTACTTAAAAGGCAGCCACAAATCATGTGTTTTATTAACACCATGTGTGGTGCTCCATCTTGCCACCGTTAGCCAAGCTCTTGCCTCAAGTTTGCTAGGTAACTTATCTTTGTCTTTAGTTTATTAAATTAAAACTGACCAATAAATGAGTATCAGGTCTTAGAGCTGTTCAGCAGTGTGGTAGAGGAATCCTATTCTTGACTCTTGACTCATACATATTTGAAAAAAAAATAAGGATTTTTATTTATTCATATTAGGAAATTATGTTAATAAATTCATAATAGTCAAATCATTTAAATAGATACCTACTTCTAGACCATTGTTCTCCCAGCAATTTTCTATTTACCATTAGTATGATTTCCTTTATACAGGTTTTTTTTAATGTAGATAAAATATCCTGAGTTGCATTTATAATACATTTTAGTTGAAGCAATAAGACACAAAAGCTCATGTTTTTTCATAAGGTCTCTAAGACAGATATCTCCAGTATTAGATGAACACAGTGTATTTCCCAGGATTATGCTATTGCATACTTGTTACATTTTGAATATGAAGTTAACATATTCTGCTTGAAATGTCTTGATTACATTGCATGTTCTGAAAACTCAAACTATTCCAATAAAACTGTTACTTCAAGAGTAATATGACTATATGATGTGACATTTATATTAAATGTGATTTTCATGTACTGTATAGGGTTTTTTGTATAACAAACTAATTTCATCCAATTCTGGTTGCATTGTAAACTTGGGGGTGAGCTAAAGTGATTTGTCATAAATATCCCACTATGGAATTTATTCTGAATGAATTGTAGCATATTTCTCATTTTTAATAATATAAGGTTAATATCATTCAGTATGAAATATATTTTCAAAAATGCCTCCCCAATGCTGTCACTATTGTATAAATTTTAACTTGATGTCTGCATTGCCTAACACTTTCTGTACTTTATCTGCTGTTCTTAATATTGCTAAGATTCTTATAGGAATATATGCCTTTGTTGCCCAGTGTATAGCTAGTATCAAGAACACTTGTTACCATTTTGGAAATGAAGTAGTATTTTCAAGCTACCAAGACAATTGAGGAGTTTTGAAATGTTAATAATTCTCATTATGTGGTAACGGATTTTAGAAATTACTGCATTTACTTTAAAAGCCCAGTGCATCTCTACTTAGTCCTTTATTGATAGTGTTCATCAGTCTTCACAGGTGTATGATAATGTGTAATGAAAAGTACAGCTTTTCACATCTTTGCTATTCACGACGAACCCTGAATCCTCATGTTTCTTCACCCCAGCACAGTCCTTTCCCTACTCCTCTTTGCTAGGCACCAGTCTAGGCAGACAGAGTAGGTAAGTGACATTAGGAACAGGACAAGATTAAGTGACACCTGGGTGCTACAAGGCTGAAGAAAGGACCAGACCAATTCTACGTCAGATTTCAATGTGAAAAAAAATACTTTTGATGCCTTCCCGTCTCATCTTTTGCATCCCTCATTATCTCTTATTCTCCTGATGATCCTCCACATCTGATAGAAGAGTTACAGTTCTTTTACGTCAGGGGGTAACTGTAACCATCAGGGGCTCTGGAACCCCACTTATCAGCATTGTGGCTTTGGGCAAGTTAGTTAACCACTCTGTGCCTTAGTTTCCTTGTCTGTAAAATTCGAATGGTTTGTAATGGTGCCCCATCCCAACTGGAATGTAAAATGCATTAAACAGTGCCTACCATATAGTAGACACTGTAGAAATGTTGGCAGCAATGGTATTATGACAATAGGTTCATATTACAAATTAGATGGTTAAGGCCTTATGGGTGAGACTTTATATCCACGCTAAAAGGAGATCAGTAAATGTTGCATTTACTGAATGTTGCATTAATGAAAAACTTGCCTTTACTTGTAAGTGCCCCTTACTTAAAATTATCTCTTTTTCCCCCTTAAAACATTAATTCTTTCAGAGTATACTCTAGTAAGGGTGTTAAAAGAAAAAAAAAGATGATAACTAAACCAAACAACAATAAGGTGGGAATGATTAGTGGCTGCACCCTAGGAATGTTTTTTATTTAAATCATATTAATTTGCAAAATTCCAGGCAGCTTGGAATTAGGAAGAGGAATCTGGGCCGGTAACCTGAATATCCAGGTCAGTTTAACTTCTCACGTCAAAGAAAATACTGCTTTACTATAAGCAATGAGAGGTCCAAGATTCAGTTTCTACCATATATTGACTCCTAGTAACTAGGAGTAGTCATAACCATTACCCCAGGTCCCACAGAACATTTAGCCTGTGGGACCCTCTTTGACTTGAGATGACCTGACTTCTTGGGTTCCCAGATGCTGGAAATCTTGCAAAGAGGGCCTCAAAGTAGCTTCTTGATCTCATTAAGTTGTTCTCTCCCCTCACCATTGTTTCTCTAAAATGTTTGGCTGGCTTTTTAAAAATAGTACATAAAGTGTATTATTTCTCCTTAATTACCACACAGTGTAATGTGGTAACCATTGGATGCCTTATCAAATATGTTTGAGATTGAGCCCATTTAAAATTTATTCCAATACAGTTCTAAACTCCATTCATGCCTAAGGATTGTCATTTACTGTAATATAGCATGGTCCTCAGTCTTCCACTCAAAGGAATTAGAGGAATTAATGCCAGTCATTTTCATTAAACCCTTTTAATGTTAAAGATCATAATGTTCTTAAATGTTCAAAATATACAGAACATATGAACTGTGACATTGGGCTCCATTTCAAAATAGCATGTTTGCATATCCCTGTTGTGGCTGTTTTCCACTTCTAATGGTCATAAAACCCTGGCTTATATTTAGCAGAAAATCAACGACTTTGACAGAGGAGCTTAGCCTGGTAACAGCGCAAATTAATAACCATCTTTAATAGTAGTGAGAACAGTCTTTGAAGGGGTAAGCCAAAACCTGACCCCCGAAATCAACAGTATTGTCAAAGTATTTTACGGTAGATTGGCTGTTTAATCTACTATTTAAATGTACTTACTAGTTTTATCTAAGGAGACAAAACCAGTAACTTACCTTTATAGGAAATACTTTAGTTAAACTGTAGTGTAATTGCAGTGCTCCAGATTAACTACCCTCAAGCAGTAAACTATATTGGTTGCAGTATAGAAAGGATGTCTGCTTAGTATCTGCATAATATCAACCATTGACATAATTTTTTAGATTTATTTTTAGGACCTTCCAAATACAGGATACTATTCTAAAACCTAATAAGAATAGGGGAGATATATATATATAAAGCTATGCTTTAAGAGTTCATTTAGAAACTTTATTTTACTGTGCTGGAAAATACTGTGTCAAGTTGTACTTAAATTCAAAGACAAAATAAATTAACTGTGACCTTAAATCAAAATTTAATTATGTAGTACCTATTTCTTTATCTTAAAATGTGAAGCAAATAGTTATGAGGGCACAGTTGGTGTAGTGAGAAAATACTTCTCTAGTTACTGTAATTATGGGATAATTAAATAACCTTTCTGAACTTCAGTTTCCTCATCTACAAAATGTGAACAGTTCTTGTACTGCTTACTTCTTAGTGTTTGCATTGGGAATCAAATGAGATGATAATGTGAGAAAATGCTTCTTTAATTACTAAGTGTTTTTCAAATGTCTGTGAAGTCCTAAATACAAATCATAAAATTAGCAATGTAGAAGACTCTAGGCTGCAGCTACACATGTGTATCTTCGAAGAGTATTTACCCAACATCCTTTGAAAAGCAAAGAAGTAACCTGAGCTTTCATTGACACACAAATTTTCATCTTAATTTTTGTGTCAAAGAGATGTTGCTTCATGTAGCTGATAAGCTAGCATTTATTGACTTCTTATTGTTATTTTAGATATTATTTCTGCTAATCAACCCTTATTTCTACATGTCATATCATTTAATCTTCCCAACAATCCTTTGAGGTAGGTAATGTTAGTAGCTTCATTGAGGGAACTGAAGTAGAATTGCTTAAAGGATTATCTAAAACCACACAGCTAATAAGTGGCCAAATGAAGACTGAACTCAGAGCTGTGTTATTCCAAAGCCCAGGCAGCTCTCCTGGCCCCCAAAGTAGGCAATTGGAATCACACTAGGTATAATATAGCTTATCCCATATTAAAGCACCCCCTCACCCAAATCATAACTTCTAAAAGACCTATTGTCATAAAATAGTTTTAAAACTTGGTACCGTAACTTTTAGCCATAAAAGGGACCAATAGCCTTTGCTAATTAAGAGTACTGACAGATTCATTACCTGACTTGAATGCAAGTGAATGACTGGCCTCTCAGAGACCACCAGTGGTTACACAGTGGCCAAATTGGAAATTCATTAGCCAGAATAAGAAGTACTGGAAGAAGCAGCTGCTAACTTCTACCTTCTCTTTTTGCCACTTCCCTGATCAGATCTACAGAACCCTGTATCTCTAAATCCCACTCATCCTTCAGCTTCCCAGCTTGAGCATAACTGGCTTTTTTCCTTAACTAATGATAAGTATCACCACATGTTTAAAGAATTAAGCCATTTTAATTGAATTCCTACAGAAGCCCTGCTGAACAGTAGATAGCAAAGGAAAAGTGTATTTGTTTAACTATAACTCAGAGTTATATAGTATGCCTCACATTCTCACAAAAATTATTTTTTGACTAAGTTTCTAGCCTGAGAGCAATAGTCTGCATTTATGGGCCTAGGTACACATTCTTTAGAGTTGGGTAGCTTCCCCTAATAATTAACACGGTTATTGAGGAATGCTTTTTAACCATTCTTGTATTAGGATGCCACCTATAAAGATATCATCCAAAATGTGGCACATTGTCACCAGAAGTATGCAGAATGATTACTGGTAGTACAATATAAACATTTTTAAAAATTATAATTATAAATGTTAATTTTCTGTTAGGAAAAGTATACAGCCAGCACACCAAAGCCATGACTTCATGATTTTTTAAAGTTGAGGTTAAACTAGGTATTTTATTTTTAAAAAAGTTAAAAGAAATGTCAAATGAAGAACCCTTCAGTTAGTACCTGAATAGGCAGGTACACATATAAGTGAGATGTGGAAAACAGTGGCCTGAAATACGCATGATGATCTCAGCACTAGTTGTCTACAGTGCAGCGTCCTGTATGACAGAGTCTTGATCATCCTGCCTTTGTGGCATTCTGTAATGAAAACTTTGGATTGGCTATTACTTTTGTTATAGTGAGCTTATTAGGGAATATTTTGTCCCTTGCAGAATATTTTGTCCAGCTTCAAAACAGCCTTATTCCTTCAAAATAAGGAGTAGTCCCAGAGTCTGTTTTGTTTTTGTTTTTGTTTTTGTTTTTTGTTTTTGAGACAGAGTCTCACTCTATCGCCCAGGCTGGAGTGCAACGGTGCAATCTCAGTTCACTGCAACCTCCGCCTCCTGGGTTCAAGCGATTCTCCTGCCTCAGCCTCCTGAGTAGCTTGGACTACAGGCACCCACCACCACCCTCAGCTAATTTTTTGTATTTTTAGTAGAGACAGGGTTTCACCATATTGGCCAGGCTGGTCTCGAACCCCTGACCTTGTGATCCACCCACCTCAGCCTCCCACAGTGCTGGGATTACAGGCATGAGCCACCGCACTCGGCAGTCCCAGAGTCTTATTTCCTTATTTTTCTTATAATGACATATTCATTATTTGCCAGCTCCTTCACAATGGGAGAGGCTCTGCAGAATTTACTGTGATGAGTTTGCAAGGTGAAAGCAAAAGAACAATTATTTTTCTTGGTAGTTTAAATGAGATCTTGCTATGGAAAAGTCTGAGGTAAAACCCCAAAGCTGTTTCTCCCCCAAAAAAGTAGGTATTTATTTAGGAAGTAAAGTTGGCAACAAGGAATATGTAAACCTCTCTTAAATATGACATGTATGTTTCATTAGGATTTCAAAGTAACTGTTTATCAGGTAATATACAGTACTACCTGTGTTTATAACTTCTGACTTTGACTGCATGAGAAACCTAGACTTGAAGGTTTTCTTGACTTTTGATCTTTTAAGTGTGTTTTTTACTTTGTGGTTGTGTTTGAAAACAATTTAACTTGAATGGCTAAGATTCGTGCTTTGGGAAAGTTTTTTGTTGTTTAATCTGTTGGTTTTCATTGAAAAACTGCTGCTAGAAACAATGTGAATTTTGGAATCCAACTCGCTTGGTTTAGAATACTGGGTCTCGACTTCTCACTGCTCTATGACTTTGAGCAAATTGGCGCCTGACTGAGCCTCAGTTACACAAACTGAACATGGGCCTAACAATCCTTACTTCATGGGGTTGCAATCAAGATTAATGTAGGATACTATAAAAGGGTTCCTGCAGTGTTGGACAGAATAAATGGATGGTAGCTCTTAGTTTTGTTTTTTTTCAGTCTATAGCTGCACTGTGATCTATGGTTATGTAACCCCACCATTTATAGCCTCACTATACTTCTAAGTAGCTATATTAGTACGTTCTCACACTGCTATAAAGAACTACCTGAGACTGGGTAATTTATAAGAAAAAGTTTTAATTATGCTCACAGTTTTGTGAGCTGTACAGGCTTCTGCTTCTGGGGAGGCCTCAGGAAACTTACAATCATGGCAGAAGGTGAAGGGGAAGGAGGCACATCTTCACATGGCCTGCAGGAGAGAGACAGTGAAGTGGGAGGTGCTACAAACTTTCAAACAACCATATCTTATTAGAACTCTATCACAAGGACAGGAAGGGGGAAGTCTGCCCCCATGATTCAGTCATCTCCCACCAGGTCCCTCCTCCAACACTGAGGATTACAATTAAACATGACATTTGGGTGGGGACACAACCAAACCATATCAGTAGCCTTCTTTCCTTGAACTTGCCCTAGAGAGCCTCCTTATTCTTGCTCCACATGGACCATTCAGGATTTTGCTATTCACTGTGTATTTTTAAGTCATTTCTCCTGCCCACCTCCTTTCCTGCCAGTTCTGCATCCTATTTCCCCCTTTATTTCAGTCTTTACTGTTGTTTTCTCTGGACTTTCAATTGTTAGCACACACTTCAGCAGTTGTTTTTCTCTACTTCCTTGATTCAAATCTTATTTCTCCAATAAAATCTATGTACACAAGAGCAAAGAAGACTGTACCTATACTTTTCCCATATTATCTACAATTGCTTGGCATAGTGCCAGAAACAAAAAAGATGTTAAATCAGATGCATTGAAAAAATGGGAAAGCAGTGGTCTTAAAATAAAAGCCCAAAACATTCTGATACATTTAGTTTAGGTATAGTTATACTATATCGAGTACAATACTAACTACCCAGTAATGGAAATGTAATGGAGAAAAGAAGAGGAAATACACTAAATCCCTTATGTGAGACCTAGATTCAAATTCTGTTTCTCTACTTGCATGACATTAGGCAAGTCACCTAACATTAAATGTAAAATTGCAGGGTGCAGGAGATGGGGAGAACAAACCAAACAACTAATAAGTACAACAGACTTGGACTCTGAAGATTGAAATCTTGGCTCTGGAACTAAATAACTGCATGCATCTTCTTGAACAAGTCATGCATCTCTTGATTTCCCTCATCTCTAAATTTAGCGTGACAAAATCCATCTCACAAGGCTGTTAGGATTAATTAGAACTTGTGTGTGTCGATGCCTGGTATATTGTGGGCATATACTAAATGTTAGATTTATTTATCAAAAAAACTCTGTGGATCTTATGTGACCTCATTGTAGAAATGAGGGACTTTAGTTAGCCAATCACTGAAATCCCCTTGAGCTCTTAGTTTTGGGCAGGTATAACAAAGTACCATGGACTGAGTGGATTGTAAACAATAGAAAGTTACCTCTCACAGTTTTGGAGGCTGGATGTACAAGATCAGGGAACTGGCATGGTTGGGTTCTGGTGGGTTCTCTGTTCTGGGTTACAGACTACCAACTTATCACTGGATCCTCTCATGGCAAAAAGAGAATAAGAAAGCTCTCCAAGTTTCCTTTCATCATATTGTTGTTAGGATTTAAACATATCAATTTGTGGGGGACACAAACATTCTATCCATAACAAGTTCCAACATTCTACATCAGTCATCTCAGAGAGAAGATAATAGATAAAGAATGGATATTGTTCTTTTTAAGCTCACTAGGGATTCCTAACTTATCTACAGGAAACAGTTGTAACAAATAGAGAAAAATTGATGCCTCTAAATTAAATATGGTACTAGTAAAATATGTATTATTCATACTATGGCTTTACCTTCATAGTAATACCAGTGGATATCTATGGCATCTTCCTCCTGTGTTTTGATGTTTCATTTTGCCCAGTAAGAACCTCCCTATATTGCATGCTTAAATGATAAAGTATCTCAGTAATAAATAAAGCAGAGTTGAACCTGCCAAGTTGACCGACAGTTCACTGGTAGAAGAAGAGCTATATTTTATAATGCATACATCAGGTTTGACTTCTCCTTAATATTATACATGATTAAACAAGTTCAAAGAGAATATAACATTGATTCACTGCATTTCTCAGTGAAGGATTCTGCCTGTTGAAGAGAAGAATGTAATCTATTGCCAATTGGGGTTTTGTATTTGAAGTCCTCTGATTTCTAAAATAAGCACAAATTGTTTTCTTGTCTTTCATCTTCACAGCCTTTCTATGCATAGAAATCTTGAATATGGTCTTTTTCTGGCAAGTGTCTGAATAAGGGTTTACAATGCCTTGTTTATCTGACAAGCAACCATGTTGGCAAATATTTCAAGGCTCCAGTAATACTAATGTGAGTCTTTAGGTAAAGGAAGCTGGTTATCTGTCTGGCACATGGGAAGACTTAAGAGCATTGCAGTAATGAACTATTTCCTTAGAATGCCAGGTTTACCAGCAATCAGATATGGAGGCCGCAATTAATACATTAGGATCCACCAGGAGGTCCTAAAATTGGGTCTTGTAGAGTTTCAAAAGAGATACTGTTACTGTGCCCCTCCTTTTCCCACTCTGTTGGCCAAAGTTCTGAGTATGGCACTTCCCTCCTTGCTTCCTTGAGATCTCAGCATTTAGTGAAGTGAAAAGTTCTCTGCTCACAAGAAAGATCCTCCCCCCAATCCGGGGTTTGACAGACAGGTCTATATGGTGTGATTCCATGGATATGTGGTATATAATATGCCAGAATGTTTGACCTACCAGGTAGGAATCTAACCATATCTTCCTCCACAAGCACTAACATTTAGGATTTTGGTTTTTGTTTTTCCTCAAGTTGTTATTTTGAACATCTTATTTGTAAGTTCTCTGAGGGAAATTGAAATTTAAAATATCTAAGACAAAGAGGAAAAATCTAATTGAGTTGATCATTTCTGAGATTACTTTAAGTCTTTGTAAACTTAGTTTAAATTTTCACATTTGTTCCAAGTAAATACTTAGAAAACTTAAGAACTGCATTTGATGCCACAGTTGATCTTCTGGCAGCAGATAGTAAATGGGAGAAAAGTAAAGCCAGTAAAAACGGTTCTTAATAGAAATGTAAAGGAATTTAATAAGTATATATTCTGTTCTTAAGCCTTTGAAAACCATGAGAGATTACTTTTATAAAAATATATATATTTTTTTTTGCGTGAACTCCACTTCTTGGAGCTCAAGTTCTTGGCCCAAATTGTCTCTGCAAATCTGTATTATGAAAGTCTATTCTTAGGTATGGTTTTTAAAGGATGACCCCTGGACAGTTATGTTCCGACACTTTTAACCATGTAACCCTTTCTTCACACAAAAATATTTCATTGAAGTACAATATCTACAGTGAGCCCCCTCTGTTTGAAGTGGGGTAAAGAAAGAAAAACAGAAGTCCACATATACACACAGACATGCAACATGTATGCATAAATCTGTGGTTTCAAAGGTCACAGTTTGAAAATCCTGAGTATTTTACTATGTTTTCATTAGAAGGACAGCCCCAGTTTTTCAAATTCTGAACTAGACCTTGAGCAATAATTATTTTAAATTTAAAAGTACAAACTACAGGAAGAAGATTCCTGAAAGATGGTAGCAGTAGTGACATTGTTCTTTAATCTCATCATAAAACAGAGCAAGTAGGATATCAAAACCAAAAACCTACAGATAGCAACAACCTCAAAGCTAAGTATCCTTATAAACCCCCAAATACTAGCAGGTAAGGACAAACTGCCAACAACTACAAAATCAGTGTGGGATCAGTAAATGTGTGGAAGGAAGCAAATGTAAGGAAACAAGGTGGTTGATGGGTCCTGAGAAGAGGAAAGCCCTTGAAGTGCCAGCAAATACTCATTGGAAAGCACAGCAAGCCAATTACATAGCAACCACTGAGATTGCTTGGGCGTTTTTGTAATGTTTAATTCATAGGTGAATAAAGGAGACTGGAAAGTGATTCAGTTTGATAGTGCTAAAGCAGTCTGGGCCTTAAAAACTCCTGAAGCAGACAAACCAAAGTTGTCTTCCAGAACAAATGCTGTCACTGAAGGAAGCTACTTGAAGTAGAATCCAAATTAAGCAGTACAGGACAAAAGGGGAGAAGAAACAAAGTCCATATAAAAAGTGGGCAAGGACAACAGAGTAGGCAGTCCCACAAAGTGGGAGACCACATTTTGTAAAATCACTTTGTGAAAACAATTGAAAAGACAGCTTTGGAATCATTAAGTTGGGAAGAACTAGGCTGGACTGTCCCTTTCACAGTACAGGAAAACATCTTTAAAAAAAAAAAAAGGAAAACAAAAATGGTTAAAGCCTTTATAAGATAAAAGAATACAGGGCAAAATAACGTTCCTACAATGAAAACATGCCCCAAAAAATCCACAAAATAGATTAAAACTATGAACTATTACTTCAAAACAAGCTAAAAGAAGTTTTTTACATGATATCCGAAAGGAAAGACAAATCCAAATTAGAAAAGACTCAGAAATTAGGTGATTGAGTAAAAATCAATGGAGTATATAAGATATTTTAGAAAGGAAAACATGAGCCACTTACTTTCTGTCCAGCCAGACTTACCTTCAGTTACAGCTCCCCCAGACAATCAAATATTGCTCACATGAGCCCTTGCTGAGAAATCTACTGGAAAATGAGTTTCAGACAACCAAAATGAAAAACAAATTGTAGAGACATCAGAATAAGGACTGGTGAAATTTTGTTTCTTAGCACTTAGATACAGGACCATGTGACTGAGTCCTGGCCACCGACAAGGGGTAGCAGAAATACAAGGTACTTCCAAGCACCATCCTCCATACTTTTTTCACTGATTTGTCAGCTAGGTACAAAGGATCCAGCAAAGTATTCTTTGTCACCAATAGAAATAACTTCACAGTTATTCCAGATATCTTTAAATAATGCTTCATCACCTCATTACAATTTTTAGACCTAGCAGATTAAATTGGATTTTGTCATTTATTATTAAATCTGTAACACTTTTTTTTTTTTTTTGAGACAGGATTGCTCTGTCACCCAGGCTGGAGTGCAGTGCCGTGATCACAGCTCACTGCAGCCTCAACCTCCTGGACTCAATCCTCCCACCTCAGCCTCCTGAGTAGCTGGGACCACAGGCGCACATGCTACCAAGCCCAGCTAATTTTTTTATTGTTACTTTTTGTAGAGACAGGGTTTTGCTGTATTGCCTATGCTGGTCTCAAACTCCTGGGCTCAAGCGATCCTCTCACCTTGGCCTCCCAGACTGCTGGAATTACAGGCATGAGCCACTGTGTCTGGCCCTGTAACACAAAAGTTTTTAATCCTTTGATAACTTTATTTCAATATAATCTATTTTCTTTGTGATACTGTGCATTTTCTGTTATGATTTAAAAATATTATCCTGAGAAAAGGTCCATATGCTTCACTAGACTACCAGATGGGTCCATGGCACCTGATTTAAATGGAAGAAGACAGGGTCTTTAAATTAAATGGGAGCAGAGTGCCTTTCCCCCACTCTATCAATACACATTGAAAATGACTTGAGCCAGAAATAGTTTTTGTCATGTTTAAATGGGAAAAAAAAGCACAAAGGAAAGTTTTTTATTTTATTCAAATGCTTTTTTAGAAAGAACATTAATATTTTCTTAATGTTTTAGTAGTTTTTCATTATTCAAAATCAGTTTACATGGTCTTTACTGATTATCCCCAGGGGTCAAAAAAAGCACCAATCTACCTTTAATTTTTGTGGTTGGGAAAGCTAGACCAAAGTGAAAAAAATTTTTTTGTAGTATTTCCATAGGTTTTTGGGGAACAGGTGGTATTTGGTTACATGAGTAAGTTCTTTAGTGGTGATTTGTGAGACTGTGGTGCACCCATCACTTGAGCAGTATACACTGAAGCCAATTTGTAGTCTCTTATCTCTCACCCCCTTCCCACCCTTTCCCCACTGAGTCCCCGAAGTCCACTGTGTCATTCTCATGCCTTTGCATCCTCATAGCTTATCTCTCACTTAAGAGTGAGAACATACGATGTTTGGTTTTCCATTCCTGAGTTACTTCACTTAGAATAATATGCCATTAATTAATTCCTTTTTATGGCTAAGTAGTATTCTATCATATATGTGTACCACAGTTTCTTTATCCACGCATTGATTGTGGACATTTGGGTTGGTTCCACATTTTTGCAATTCCAAATTGTGCAGCTATAAACATGCATGTACAAGTACCTTTTTCATATAATGACTTCTTTTCCTCTGGGTAAATACCCAGTAGCGGGATTGCTGGATCAAATGGTAGTTCTATTTTTAGTTCTTTAAGGAACCTCCACACATTTCCATACTGGTTGTACCAGTTTACATTCCCACCAGCAGTGTAGAAGTATTCCCTTTTCACCGCATCTATGCCAACATATATATATTTTTTTATTTTTTTGCGGGAGTAAGATGGTATCGCATTGTGGTTTTGATTTGCATTTCCCTGATCATTAGTGATGTTGAGCATTTTTTCATATGTTTGTTGGCCATTTTTATATCTTCTTTTGAGAATTGTCTATTCATGTCCTTAGCCCACTTTTTGATGGGATTGTTGTTTTTCTCCTGTTAATTGTTTAAGTACCTTGTAGATTCTGGATATTAGTCCTTTGTCAGATGTATAGATTTTGAAGATTTTTCCCACTCTGTGGGTTATCTGTTTACTGACTGAAGTGAAGATTTATTTCTTACAGTCATTCTAGTCCTCATTTTAAAATGCAAATTTGGTACAAAGTACTCTTTTCTGAAGGGAACGTGCAGATTTCAGACACAAATACACGTTATTGTACATTTCTAATAATCTATCACAAAAAAATCATAGAATTATAATGTATAATTTTGGAATTTATTGTTGAAGGGGGCTTTGGTGATATCTAATCCACCTTCCTCATCTTCATAAATTAAGGATCTGAAAAGTTTAAATTTATATATGGTCACATTTACCCTGGTCACACAACTGGAATGGCAGTCTAGAATAAAACTATGCTGTTTCCACTTATGTGGTAATAATGCGTTAGACCAATTACAGTCTTACACAGTCTTCATCTTCCTCCCCTTTCCTCCTTCCTTCCTGTCACAGCAGAAAAGGTGTCAGTGCTTCTGTCTGTGGTTTAATCCTCCTTCCTGTTTGGACATTTTGTATGCCCCGCCCTTCTTATCCCCCATTCACATTCCTCTCTAGCTTTTCACATCCAGACTTCTAGAAACAGAAACACATTGTCTCTCCTTTAATTTTTTTATTTCTTAACCCACAACCGATGACAAGCATTTCACTCAAATTGCTCCTCTCAAAGTCACCAACTGCATTTTGCTGAAAGTGATAGAACTTTCTCCATGTTTTCCTTCACCACTCTGCAATACACAACACTGTTGACCACATTCTTCTCCTCGAAGTGCTCCTTCTCTCAGCTTCTGTGATACCATATGCCCCTGAGTTTCCTCTTGTCTGGTTGCTCTTTCTCACCCTCCTCATCTGTTGCCAATACCTTTAAATGTCAGTAAGTGTTTCTCAGAACTCCCTCCTAACTCCCCTCCTTTTGCAGTGCTGGTTCTGTCATAACCTAATCCACTCATAGGGGTTATAAAGACCAACAGTTGTGAGCACTGTTGACTCACAAATCTCTGCAATACAGCCCTTTTTACCTGAATTTCATACCTGGCTGGCATCTGCAGATGGACATGCTACAAGTCCTCCAAACTCAATATGATCCTTTTGTGTCTCAACTCTGAGATGTATTACTTCTTTCCATGCTCCTGTCATTACCACCATCATCTTATACCTCAGTCACTATAAAGCCCTGTAACTGGTCTCATGTCCTCAATCTCAGCTATATCCTCACTGCTATCAGGGTGATCTTTTTCATATGAAAATCTGTTGTTCCATGAAAGGGTCATATATGCAAAGTGACTCCTAAACTCAGAAGGAGCCAAGAAACCTAAGGATAAGGCTCGCAAATCCAGTTTTTCAGGAAATGGTAATTTATTTGGGAACTTACAGATGGAAGCATACTCTTGGGTGGCAGCAAGACAGGTAGATCTGCACACCACTACTGCCCAGACCGGGGCTTTTATACCACAGGGAAAGGGTTTACAGGCTCTATAGAAACAATTTAAGACAACCCACCAGAACAGGCAAGAATGCTAGGTACATCATGCCTGTGCAGTAATTTGTGCTGTACCATCAAGATTGCTTTGATCTAAAAGCAGGATTTACAGTGAGTACATGTTCTTACACTAAAGACAGCTAGTAAAATAAGAATCAGGAGGCCTTCACAGGACTGGAGTTAATCAGAAGTCAGCATTGTGGATTAGTATTCAAGATGGAGTCACTTTTGTCTAAGCATCTGTCCATGTTCACTTATCTTTTCAAAACCTCTCCTCTTCCTTCCCTTTCCATATTGTGTTCTGCATTGTCTAAGTGACCCACCAAGCAAATTTTTTGTAAAGTGGATTTTCGTTCCCTTACCTAACTTACTTTCCTCAATATTGGGTTGCCTTTCTATCTACCAAACAGTAGGATTCATACCTGTCTCTGAGTGTTTGTGGCCATTGTTTTTGAAACTTAAGAAATAGAATTGGTGTTTTGAAAACTTGGATATTGTCGTAACACTGATAGTGATTCTGTGGGCATAGGACATTGAATGTAATTATTATGCTAGATACCCTAAGACTTATGAAATTGGCACTAAAGCACCATTAAGAGATACTGACCCACAGTTTAAATTTACTCAGGCCAGGTGCAGTGGTTCATGCCTGTGATCTCAGCACTTTGGGAGACCAAGGGAGGAGGCTTGCTTGAGGCCAGGAGTTTGAGACCAGCCTAGGCAACATAGTGAGACCCTGTTTCTACAAAACATTTAAAAATTAATGGGGTCTGGTGGCATGTGCCTGCGGTCCCAGCTATTCAAGAGGCTGAGGTGGGATGATTGAGCCCAGATCAAGGCTGCAGTGAGCTGTGATCATGCCCTTACACTCCAGCCTGGACAACAGAGCAAGACCCTGTCTCAAAAAAGAAAAATAAATTTTAAAAAATTAATTTACTCAATCTAAATGGTTTGATTTTTAATTTTACCATGTTTGGTGTTTAATAAACTATTCTTTGTTATTTCCATTCTTTCTGTTATAAAAGCTGTCACGAGTTACTGCTTCCAATATCATACATAAAACAGGACTAATCAAATTGGATTGTGCCAACATTTTAACTGAGGAGTCCCAGAGTATTTCCATTTGTAGTGTTGATTTAATTCTAGAAGTTTGTGTTAAGTTCCTTATTGTTTCTTTTGTTGAAAATATTCTCTATCTTTATTTTAACATTATTTGATGAACTAAAGAGATGTAATTATTAACAAAATTATCATTTTAAAATTTTACATTGTGAATACTTAGCATGCTGTGGTCATAAACAGTGTAATTGTGTTTGCAGTGAATAAATTGTTAGCCTA
Organism: Homo sapiens; assembly: GCF_000001405.40. Taxonomy (NCBI): domain Eukaryota; kingdom Metazoa; phylum Chordata; class Mammalia; order Primates; family Hominidae; genus Homo; species Homo sapiens. The sequence continues at coordinate 23,477,124 of NC_000003.12, forward strand.
AAATAGAAAGAAGTCTTACATGAATTAGGACAAAATTTATCTTGATGTTTTGCAAATCCTTAGCCAGCTGTGAATATACAACTAAATAATACTACACTTCACAGAGAAAGCAATTTATCATGTGTGAATACATTTTTAGGAGCTTTTGTATGATTAGTTTTGAAATAGAAAAATGCAACTTGTGTAAGTAGAGAAATTTCACAAAGTAATAGCTAAATGTGTACCACATTTAGCTGTGTTTTAGGGAGGTTGTTTTTAAAAATAATTTGGAGTCACTACCTTAAGCCTTGTTTTATTATTTACCATTATTTCTCACAATCAGTATATTACATGTATACTTGTTTATTTGCTTACTGTTATCTTCCCTTCGCTAGGATATAAGTTCCATGAAATGAAGAACTTTGGACTTGTCCACTGCCAAATCTGCAGCACATAGAACAGTGCCAACATATAGAGGGATCTTAGGATATATTTGTTGAATATATGAATAAGTGAACAAGTAAATTTTATTTAGCATCTTTTTTACTTTTTACTTATCATGTTTTGAGGATTTCTCCGTGTTACTGAAGAGTAAAATACCTTTTTAAGGAAGAAATCATGGTGTACCTACTGATGTACTTTGGCAGTGTCCCCACTCAAATCTCATCTCAAATTGTAACCGCCATAATCGACACATGTCATGGGAGGAACCCAGTGGGAGGTGATTGGATCATGGGGGCAGTTTCCCTCATGCTGTTCTTTTGACAGTGAGTTCTCACAAGATCTAATGGTTTTATAAGGCGCTTTTCCCCCTTTGCTCCTCACCCTTCTCTCTCCTGTCACTCTGTGAGGAAGGAGGTGTTTGCTTCCACTTCTGCCATGATTGTCAGTTGAGGCCTCCCCAGGCATGTGGAACTGTGAGTCAATTAAACCTCTCCTCCATAAATTACCCAATCTTGGATATTTCTTTATATCAGTGTGAAAACAAACTAATACACCTATTCCGTCCTCAGCACTTTTTGTCAATGTTACAAGTGTCAGTTCTTTATGAATTCATAAATCCAATAAAAAGTGTTGTTCTAGTATTTATTATGTGGCAGACATCATCACAGCTGCCTAGTATGCAAAGATAAGTAAGACACAGTGCCTGCCCTCAGGGGACTCCTAGACTGTAAAAGACAGGCAACAACATAACCAGGGGTAAGGATAATTTATTTTGCTGGTTAGGAGTGAAACCAGGTTTTACAAAGTGGCTAACTCTGAGAAAATGGCAACAGACTGATCACCAAAGGAAATTTAAACAAATATATGACAATTAGAGAGTGATAGAAGAGGATAGTGATATTCAAAAGAAATAAGACTAAGTACAAATAGAACACACAGATTTCCAGGTCCCATCAGGGAACAAGTTCAATATAAGTCAGTAGTTTTCATACATCAAGAACTGATGTGAAACAAAAATATTAAGAATAGAGCCTCCAAAACCAAAAAAGTAATATTTTTCTTCCCGTAGAAGAGAAGCTGGTCTTTACTAAAGTAGCAAATTCAAATCTAGTCTTTACTAAAATAGCAAATTCAAATCTGTTCTCATTTGATCATCCTTTTACCTATTATGTGCAGAGAGTCATCTTAAAGTTAGATTACAAAAAATTAAGAGGTGAGTCATGATGGCTCTTGCCTATAATCCCAACACTTTGAGTGGCTGAGGCAGAATGATCACTTGAGCCCAGGAGATCAGAACCAGCCTGGGCAAAATAGGGAAAGCCCATCTGTACAAATATATATATATATATATTTTTTTTTTAATTAGCTGAGCATGGTGGCACATGCCTGTGGTTCCAGCTACTCAAGAGGTTGAGGTGGGAGGATTGCTTGAGCCCAGGAGATGGAGGCTGCAGTGAGCTGCGATCATACCACAGGATCCTTTGTAATAGTGTCACAGGATCCTTCAGGTGTTGCTTTTCTAGCCAGAAACTTCTGTGGTAGGTGGTGCCTTTGCTTGGGTTTTGCTTGGGCCCACTGGGCTCATTCCACCCACTTGGCCTGGAATCAGCTGTGCTTGACTCATGCTACCAGCCTGGATCCCACATCTGCCAAGGGTGAGCCAGGCACGGAGCAGTGAGAGGTGTGTGAGCAAACAATCATGGAATCTAGTCACTGTGCATAGCCAGGCATGCCAGCTGCTGTGGTGGGGCAGGCAGCTCCATGCAAGACTGTGGCTAGATCAGACGTACCACAAGTGACTTCTGCTACAGGCACCTGCATCTGAACAATGCATCTGAACGCAGTGGCAACCAGAAACTTGGAGACCCCAGGAACAGCAGAGCCTCAAAAAGGATGTCAACAGTCCTAGCTCAGGGAGCCCCTAGGCCTGGGCTCCCCAGAGGGCCGTAGCTCTTCTCTCTTTCTCTTCACCCACAAGATGGTGAGTTGGGGGGTAGGGGGGGTATGTTTCAGCACTGTTTGTATTACAGCTCTTTCAGTCTCACCATTTGGTGGGTCCCAAGTTCTTGTTCCACATCCAGGAAGAATGAGATTCGGACAACTGGAGGGTGAGCAAGGTGGAAAGGAGCTTCACTGAGTGACAGAATGGCTCTCAGGAGACCTGAAATGTGTAGCTCCTTTTTGCAGGCAGCTTGTCCCAATGAATGTCCAGCTCTCAGCAGAGAGGAGACCTGTAGTGGCTAGCTCCTTTCTGCAAGCAGGTCATCTAGAGGAGTGTGTAAGTCTGGCTGAGTCTGGGGTTTTTATGTGCTCAGAATGGAGGCAGTACATGCTGACTGGTCCATGGGCTGTCACGGGTGGGCCTGGAGAAAGCACCATCTGGTTGGCCAGGTGGTCATCAATGAAGTTCTCACTCCAGGCTGCAGACTTTGCTCAGAACTGGCAGCCCAGCCCACAGGCTTCAGGCCATCCCCAGCCTGAAGGTGGAGTTTCACTGGGGACCTGCCCCTTCCCGCCTAGGAACCTATCTGCTTTTCATACCATCCATGGCACCCAGGCTGTCTGTGCCAAGAGGCGCCCACAGGTCCATGCCAAGCTGCCCGCAGTGCCCCCGGCCTCCCTCCTGCACTCGTAGGTGTCTAAAGTCTGGAAGGAGCCTGTGCAGCAGGGGGCTGGTGTGTCAGTGCTGCCCTGAGCATGTTCATACCCAGCTGGGTTGTGATAGCACCCAGGCCCACCCACAACTTTGCTCCACCTCAGAGTGGATGCCCAGAGCTGGGAGAGGCCAGGGAGTGGGAACAGGTACTTTGAAGCCTATGGGGGCAGGGAGCTTCCTAGGCCCCCAAGAGTGCAGGGATGCCTTGGTCTGGAGCCATGGCTGGGTGGCTGCAGCTGTGCCTAGCAGCACAGGGCTCCTGCCCCGCCAGCTTAGTAGAGGGTGGGGCTCCCGCCTGATCCCAGCCCCGACCGGTTCCATGGAGGGTGCAGCCCTCGCTGCGCCTCCCCCACTACAGCTGGCATCCGTACAGCAGCTGCTGCAGAGAGGCCACTGCCGCCATGAACAGAGCAAGACCTTGTCTCAGGAAAAAAAAAAAAAAAAGAAGAGGATTCAGAGATCCAAGAAAGGCATAAAGGTGGAAAATAAAAGCCATTTTAAATGCTGTAAAATTGCTTAGTACAGAAAAAGGATTTCTACCTTCCTAACTTTCCAGTAACTGAAGGGCATTGACAAAATGGTTTTTTGAACAGAAATAGAGGAAAGGGCCTTATATGTAGCAAAATAAAAATGAAACTAAGCATTAGAGAAACCTTTCTAGTGTAAGAAATATTAACCAAATACTTGAAAGTCAGTAATTGGCGAAACTGCCTTCTTTGATTTAGGGGGACATCCTGCATTTTGTTGGCGGTCTAGAAACAAAGATTTATTGTTTCCAATGATTTGGATAAATAGGGTATTCTTTGATTCAAAATTATTAGATACAACATTTTAGCAAATATATGAAGTATCAATGGCTTTTGTAATCTTAACATATAAATAATGAGAGTTAGATTTGGATTTGGGTTTTGATCTTCCCAAAGGAAAATTAAATTCATCAAAGCAAAGAAGCCCAGCTGGCATAAGCACTTGACAGATTCAAAAAAGATAGGACTGTTGGTTGTCTATAATATATTCTATTCTCAACCTTTTGTTTCAGCTTTAACATTTCTATCCTTTCAAATGCTACTCTATCCCGTCCACCTGCATCAAATGAGTAATAGCGTTTTACAAGTAGTAGCAATTTTTCTGAATGTAAGACAATGAGTGGCCATCTTTAGAAGGAAATTGCTTTTTAAGAATCAGGCTATCGTTTCTCATTTGAACTAATTAGTTGGTGCCTTCAGAGCTTTGCTTTCATATACTATGTATATCGTAGTTGTACTACGTCCTTTGCATTTGTTTCCATCTATAAAGAGTACAATTAGCCTTTTTAATGCTTAGTTCAGTCACAATTAAAGCTCCCCTAATGGTTAGGGATTGGTCTTTCCAAGGCTGAGAAGGTGTTTTTAATTATTCATTCCTCTGTTTGTGTCTTACAGCAGCCTCAGCTGTGCTTTATTATTCAAAGGTTAATGCAAACTGAGAAGTGGATAAATTAAATCTGCCTGGCAGCCAACAACCCAACATGTTAGCAGACACTGTAAGATGGGGATGGGCAGTGTAAGTTATTTCCATTATTGCAGCACTGCCAAAAGCAAAAACCACTAAATCCTTCAAAGATAGCCGACGTTGACAGGAATTATTAAGGGATACTACAAGTTGATGGTTCTTAAATAGCAGATCTTCTGTAAAATCTGTGTTTGTTTTGCTTACAAAGAGAAGGTAGTGGCAGAAATCTGAGAGGCAATAATAGCTACTGTAGAAAATTGATGTAGATACCATGACTAGTGAACTCTGTATAGTATTAAATCACCAACTCGAGTGCTAGAAGTCACTTCTATAAATGTTTTACAACAGCCAACTGCAAAATCTCACATGAAAGCTAGGGCATAATAGACCATCCTTAGACAACTAAGCAATTGAGTAGTGAACTGTGACATAATGTGAAAGTGCTGTCATAACTTCACTCTTTTGAGCAACAAGATGTTTCTAGAGCCTTTCATTTGCTTCCTTTTGAAAATGTGTATTTATAGAACTCAGAATTTTATAGACTCTTAAGAGGGTGCCCTCTAGAAATACTGACCACAAATGATGTGGAAGGAAAATAACTCATTTTATCAAGGGAAGTAGAGTTTATGAATATACCAAAAGCCAAAAAGTAAACTTGCGTCTTCTGTTTGGTTGCTTATCATCTCTTTCCACCAGGATATTCTGTGTGGCTCATCTCTTAAAAACTTGTTTCCAGCTGGGGCTACACCTCCACCAAGAGCCTTCAGAGCTCAATTAATTACCTTCCATCACTTTTCTGTGGAACAGAAAAGGAAGATAAACCTATGTCATGCTGCCCACGCTGTTCTTGACTCCCTTTGACCGAAAACCCATCTGTCTTCCTAACCTTTGCTGATGGACTAAAGGAAAGAAGGAAGGATAGGTGATGAAATCTGAAATCTGTGCCTGTCATTGACAGCCTGGATTATTATTATTTTTTTTTAACACAAAGCCTAATTCTTTCATGAAAGCCACTGCAAAGTTTTAGGAAATCCAGGTTTATGAGATTAAATAGGGATTTAAGGAGGAAAAAAGTAAGTAGAGCAACCTGATTTGAGAATAATAATCCTATCTCACTTAGTTGTCACTAAGGTTAAAGAAGATGATGAATGTGAAAATGTTTTGTCAACTTGATAAGCCTATCCAGAGATTAAATATTGTTAAATAAATTGCCAAATAACTAACTGAATGTTATTATATAAATATTGTTAGTTTAATTGCTAAGTGTTTAGGAGATATTAGGACATACCTATAATTTCTTCAGACTATAATAACTCTAATCTGTACTTTTATTGGCACTTGTTTGTAATTCTAGTCAATTCTGGTCTCTTAAACAGAAAGGTAGTGAACTAATGTTGACACCATTTAGTTTATCATTGCTGCTATGGTCTTCTGTATCTCCTGCTTTCAGTCCACACTAAGCCTTGCTGTCAGAGTGTTGCATGGAAAAGAAGATGAGCTTTTCAGTGCTCGTCTAGGTTTGAAATACAGTTTCATCATTTACTGTGTAACCATTGCCAAGCCACTGAATTTCTTTGACCTTTAGTTTTAGATAACATTTAAGTTTGCAGAGTGACAGTAATTTGAAAAATATATGTGAATGATAATACTTAGATTTTTAAAGAACCTACTCTTTGCCAGACACTACATTTGACACTGCATGTATGTAAATATAAAATGTCTTAATTCTTATTATAACTTCACACGGTAAAAAGTGTTACCTTTTTTACAGATAAGAGAACTGAGGCTCAGTGGTATGAAAGGTGTCTGGCTTAATGTCTGGCACACAGAAGATGCTCAGTAAATGGTGAATATTCTTATGTGGATTTTATTATGTGTTTCCTATTTAGAAATTTCCACTAGTGCCTATCAAACTTTTAATGTACACACCAATCATCCAAGGACCTTGTCAAAAATGTAGTTTCTCATTCAGTAAGTTTGCCCAGTGCTGCTTCTTACTGGACCACACTTTGAGGCCCTCAGTGACTCCATAGTCTGTAATAGTAGTTCTATCATGGTGATTCTAGTTGTTCATTAGATTCTGATTCATCTGGTCTGATTTGGGATCTAGGCCTTTTTGTTGTTGGGGCAGGGTGGGAGTTCCAGAAGCTGTTCAAGCTCTTTTTAAAGCAGTGGACTCCTTTTATTCAAAGAGTATTTAAAGAAATTATGTACTGACAAGGTACACAAACACAGCGGAGTTTGTCTTGTTGAATCTCAGCTGGGGAGGGAGCAGCGAACTTAATGACCCCAAAAGACCTCAGTGGAGCCCTGCAGCTCCTAGGAGCAACAAATTTGAATATCACGGTTCTCCAGAGTACTTTTGCAATTCTTTATTACGTCATTTAAGGCCCTACACTATCTAACCTCAGCCATCCTGGTATATCTGCTGTTCTTCCAAAGGGCAACCCGCTTTCTTCTCCCTGCCTTTTTCCATGAAGTGCCTTTAGCCTGTTATGCTTTATCTCCCTATACCAGTTAAAATCCACTTCACCTTTCCAGCCCAGCTTAATTGCTTAATTGCCACCCCTTTTATGAAGCCTTTCCCTGGAGGAGATGTAGTTCATGTCAGAACCTCCTGTGGGACTTGTTCAAACCATATACTTATCCTGAGAGAACCTAATGTTTCTTTTTCTCAGGTCGGTGCTGAAATGAAACATGGTACTACTGTGGTATAAGACAGGGTGAAGAAGCTCACCTACCAGGAAATGAAAACTTTTTTTTTTACAGGGTTCCCATAGCATCTTGATTATGAATCCTGTGGAACAAATACGTCTTACCTTCTCTCTTGTTGCCCAGACAGGAAGCCCTTTGGGAATCAAGAATGTTCTTTATCTTGCCTAGATCACAGTACAGTGATGAGCACTGATGCAAGATGTGTATTACTCCATTTTCGTACTGCTGTGAAGAAATACCCAAGACTGGGTAATTTATAAAGAAAAGAGGTATAATGAACTCACAGCTTCACATGGCTGGGAAGGCCTCACAATCATGGCGCGAGGTGAAGGGGGAGCAAAGGCAGGTCTTACATGGTGGCAGGCAAGAGAGCTTATGCAGGGGAACTGCCCTTTATAAAACCATCAGATCTCGTGAGGCTTATTCACTGTCAGGAGAACAGAATGGGAAAGACCCACCCCCATGATTCAATTACCTTCCACTGGGTCCCTCCATGACACATGGGGATTATGGGAGCTACAGTTGAAGAAGAAATTTGGGTGGGAACACAGTCAAGCCATATCAGTGGGTAACTACTGAAAATAAGTCTCAACACCATATAGCTAGTATTTTAGTCCTGTGGGAGTCTTGATTTCCTGAAGTAATCATAGAAAAGTTTTTAAGTGAGTCCACTTAACACTACCTTTTTTTTTTTTTTTTTTTTTGAGATGGAGTCTCGTTCTGTGACCCAAGCTGGAGTGCAGTGGCACGATCTTGGCTCACTGCAACCTCCACCTCCAGGGTTCAAACCTCCCAAGTAATCTCAGCCTCCCAAGTAGCTGGGAGTACAGGTGCCTATAACCACACCCAGCTAATTTTTGTATTTTTAATAGAGACAAGGTTTCACTGTGTTGGCCAGGCTGGTCTCGAACTCCTAACGTCAAGTGATCCACCCACCTCGGTCCTCCCAAAGTGTTGGGATTACAGGCATGAGCCTCCACGCCTGGCCTCAACACTACCTCTTGTTGGCAATCAATCAATATCTTTTATTGTTGGATTATTATTTACAGAGCCTATTTTAGCCATCTAGCACTTTTCTTCTTGAACAGGTCTGACATTTAGCCTTTCTTCCCCTATTAAAACAAAAACAAAAACAAACAAAAAAAAAACCTCTCTTGTTTTTGTTGAAGTAGTAATGTGTGTATATCATGGAGGTGAGAGGATTAATTGTAAAGCCACTGTTTCAGAGTATGTGGGAACTTTGGCCTGGCGCTGCCTTCAGATGTTATAGGATGGATGATGCAAAACTGAAGGTATTCTTCACTGAATTATAAACCAAGAATGGTGGGACTTATCAGGTCATTTGTGCATTTCTTTCATGATCTCAGAATTTAATGGGGAGAAGTATGGGGGACAGAGAGAGACATTAGCATGCAAGATGTCATACAGCTGGTATAGAAAATGGAAATTAGAGCCTTTAAAGAGAAACTCTTACTGTTTCCATGGTATAAGTGCAGAGGTCAAGGAGGAGGTGAGCCCTACTAGTTTCTTGCTTTGCCTGGTAACAACAGTAGTGTCATGGGATCCTTCAGGTGTCGCTTCACCAGCTGGAAACGTCTATGACCAGCAGCGCCTCTGCTTGAGTTTTGCTCATGCCTGCTGGATTTGTTCCACCCACTCGGCCCAGCAGGCTGCACTCAGCTTGCACTACTGGCCTGGATCCCACACCTGCCAAGGGTGAGCCAGGCACAAAGTGGCGAGGGGTGTGTGAGTGAGCAATCATGAGGTCTGCCCACTGTGCACAGCCAGGTACACTGGCTTCAGTGGCAGGGAAGGCAGCTACAGGTGCCAGCTCCGTGCAAGGCTGTAGCTGTACCAGATACACCACAAGAGGCTTCCACTGCAGGCACCCACATCCAGACAAGGGGAATGCAGTGGCACCTGAAAGCTCAGAGATGCCAGGAACTTCAGAGCCCCATAGAAGGTATTACAGTGTGTCACAGCTCTGGCTTAGGAAGCCCTGAGATCTGGGTTCCCAGGAAGGCTGCAGCTCTTCTTTCTCTTTGCCCACAGCATGGCAAATGGAGGAAAGCATGTTTTCTCGGGGTCATGTTTCAGCTAGTTTGTGCTGCAGCTCTTTCAGTCCCACCGTCCTGCTCCGGCCCATGGCTCCTGAGCTGACCTGACCCCACCACTGCAGGTTTCAAGTTCTTGTCCCACGTCTGGGAAGAATGAAGTTATGCAGACAACTGGAGGGTGAGCAAGACAGAGAGAAGCTTTATTGAGTGACAGAACAGCTCTCAGGAGACTCAAAGTGGTAACTCCTTTCAGCAGGCAGGTTGTACCAATGAGTATCTGAGTCTGGCTGAGTCTGGGGTTTTTATTTGCTCAGAATGGAGGAAGTAGGTGCTGACTGGTCCATGGTCGGGCCTGGAAAAAGCACCATTCGACTGGCTAAAAGGCGTCAATGAAGTTCTCACTCTAAGTTGCAGACTCCACCTTGGATTGGCAGCCCAGTCCCCAGACTTCAGGCTGTTCCTGGCTTGAAGGTGGGATTTCACTGGGGTCCCACCACCTCCCACATAGGCACCTGTCTGCCTCCCACCACCATCAACATGCTATCTGTGGTGCCCAGGCTGTCTATGCTGAGGGGTGCCTGCAGGCCCATGCTGAGCTTCCCTCAATACCCCCGGCCTCCCTCCCTGAGTTCGTCAGAACCCAAAGCTTCAGAGGCGGCCAAGGTGGTGGGGGCAGGGGGCTGGCATGACAGCACCACCCCAAGTGTGTGCACACCCAGCTCGGTCGCAGCAGTGCCCAGGCTCAGCTACAGCTTTGCTCTGCACTGGAGCAGGTGCTGGGATTGGGAAGAGGCCAGGGAGTAGGAGCAGGCACTTCCAAGCCTGCAGGGGCAGGGGGCTTTCCAGGTCCTGAGAGCACAGGGATATCCGAGTCAGAACCACTGCTGGGCAGCTGCAGCTGCGCCTAGAAGTGCAGGCTCCCACCCTACCAACTCGGTAGGGTCCGGGGCTCCCACTGGGATCACCTGTTCCCTGCCCCTGCCAGCTTCACAGAGCATGCAGCCCCAGATGTGCCTCCCCCACTGTGGCCAGTGTCTCCACAGTGGCCAATCCGGTTGCGCTACTACCGCCATCAATAGTATAAACTTACATAGCCATTACTATGAGCCAGGCACTGTTCTAGGCACCTTACATATATTAATTCATTTGATGCTCACATCAACTTTCTGGAGTAGCTACTTTTTCAGAGATGGACAACTGTAACATTAAGAAGTTAAGTAACTTGCTCTGAGTTACAAGGTAAGTGGGACTGCCAGGATTTGGACGCTTCATCTCTGGATCTGAAGCATACTTTCTTTACCACCATGTTACGGTAATAGATTCATGTTTTACAAAAGATATTTCTTTATTATTCTTCAACAAGCATTTATTAAGTGTCTCTGTGTGCAGGTCACTTTTGCTGTTAGTCTTCTGGTTGAATTGTCTTCCACTTCCTCTGCTTTGATAACGTTGGCTTCCAGACAGCGTGGTAGAAGAGACAGTGTTGATGGGTCTTGGAGCTAGATGATTGTGTAAGGAATATTTAAAAAAAAAAAAATGCAGGTAGTAGGATGTCACAACCAACCTTTTTAGGAATAAACTAGACAACTGTATGAAGAAATTGTTTATTATTTTCATAGCCAAGAAACAAAAGATGTTCTCAGCCAAAGAGAAGTATATTGAGTGTCTTGTAGATATTTAACCTACCTTGGAAACAACTTGTCTTGATAATAACTCTTTATACAGATTACATTTCTTTTTTTTTTTTTTTTAATTAGACTTTAAGTTCTGGGATACGTGTGCAGAACGTGCAGTTTTTTGTTACATAGGTATACCAGTGCCATGGTGGTTTGCTGCACCCATCAACCTGTCACCTACATTAGGTATTTCTCCAAATGTTATTCCTCCGCTAAGCCCCCTACCGCCCCGCCGACAGGCCCCGATGTGTGATGTTCCCCTCCCTGTGTCCATGTGTTCTCATCGTTCAACTCCCACTTATGAGTGAGAACACAAATTACACAGCTTAACTAGTCTGTCTAAGATAGTTAACTGTCCCTCAGATCTGCCCCATCTTAACTTCTAAATGGAATTTTTACTGTGATTACTTTTGTAAATATTAGAAAGTAATAATTATGCAATTAGAATGATACCGGGAAGCTTTACATTTCACCGTGTATGAGTGGTAACATTTTTGAGAATTGAAAATTTTTGAGAAGCGATTTGGCTTCCTGAAAACTGTGTAGGGGCAGCAATGGTTTACCCTCTTGTCAGAAGCTTGTTTATACTGCAGATAAGATCGGTAGATACATTAAAACTCCACAGTTTCCCTGCCTAACAGGTGGGAGGTGGGGGCGGAATTAATTTAAGAAATATTCTTTGCTACATTTGCTAGCTCATAGGCCCAAGTGTTCTTACAGTACAGATAAGAGAGGCTATTTCTGGAAGCCCTGAGTACCTTGAGGCCTTTCATTACATATTTGAAACATGCCCAGGATGAAAAGGTTGAAAAATATACTCAGATGCTCATCTTAATCTCTGGTGTCCTGTCAAGCAGGGTAGTTTATCATAATGGTTACCTTTCTGGTTTTTTTACTTCAGTCTTCGTATCTAATTGGCAGATGTAGTGACAGGATAAGAGTCTTCACTTTAGAATTAGAGCAGTGGTCCCCCACCTTTTTGGCACTAGGGACCAGTTTCATAGAAGACAGTTTTTCAACAGACGGCATGGGTCGGGGAGATGGTTTTGGGATGATTCAAGCACGTTACATTTATTATACACTTTATTTATATTATTACATTGTAATATATAATGAAATAATTATATAACTCACCATCATGTAGAATCAGTGGGAGCCCTGAGCTTGTTTTTCTGCATCTAGGTGGTCCCATCTGTGGGTGATGGGAGACAGTGTCAGGTCATTAGGTACTAGATTCTCATAAGGAATACACAGCCTAGATCCTTCACATGTGCACTTCACAGTAGGGTTTGCATTCCTGTGAGAATCTATTGCCACCGCTGATGTGACAGAAGAGGACATTAGCATGCAAGATGTCATACAGCTGGTATAGAAAAGGGAAATTAGAGCCCGTAAAGTGAAACTCTTACTGTTTCCATGGTATAAGTGCAGAGGTCAAGGAAGAGGTGAGCCCTGCTAGTTTCTTGCTTTGCCTGGTAACAACAATAGTTTCATGGGATAATGCGAGTAATGCGAACAATGGGGAGAGCCTGTAAATACACATGAAGCTTTGCTCACTCACCTGCTGTGTGGCCTCCTTCCTAACAGGCCACGGACTGGTACTGGGAGTGGGGGACCCCTGGATTAGAGGGTTCAGGTTTTCTTCTCTGGGTGTGACCTTGAGCAAAGCACTTCACTTTTCTGACCCTTAATATTATCGCCTTTGAAATGAAGGCCTTCAATGGAAGTGTTCAGCGGGGAAGGAGCCTTTTCATTTTTCCTAAGTATTCCTTTCTTTCCCCTTCCCCCCATATGCATGCTGAGAATCACTGCTGAAGTGAGTCATTTTTACTGCAAGGAAAGGAAGGTATAGTGGAAAAGGGAAAAAAATGTTGAGAACCACACAGCTCATTTCTGGAGTCCTTTCAGCTAATTAAAGGATTGCAGATATTATAATTCAGTATTTTAATTCTGATTGATTTTATGCCTAATTGTCCAAGTGAATGGATTTCTAGTCCAGTTCTAATGCTTGCTTGCTTCTGTGTTATAAAAAAATTGAACTCTAGATGGTTTCCAAAGTCTTTATAATCATAACCTATTTCTAACAACCTATGTATATACATGTTGAACATCTGAAATTTGAAAATTTTAAATCTGAAAAACTTCTGGTCCCAAGCATTTCAGATAAGAGATACTTAACCTGTAAAAAGTAAGACTTAGTTCTTGTTGATTCCGTGGTTGGTCTTTATGTTTACAAGTAAATGCATATTATAAAAATGTAGCTTAAAAAGAAAAGGAAGAATATACAGTTTTTCCCTGTAGTCTTTCTTCCTGCTTCCCAGTTTCTCTGCTTATCCCTGCTCACTACTTTATACAGTTATGTCTCTTAAAATTTTAAGTCTGTTGGCATAGTTGTGTACTCATTGCAAGGTATCCACACATTGGGAAAATTAAATATACACGCACGTAACACAAAAAGAGGCAGGGAAGTCAAGGAGTGTCATGAACTTACTGAGGAAGTCTTCCTTTCTCAGTGACTCATAGAAGGCTCGTTTACTCTCTAAGCTTGCTGGCTACTGCTTTCCCTGGGAAAAGGAAGTATTATGATGATTAAGTAGTAGTTATTTTTTCATTTAAAATATTCTTTTTCTTCTATTTCTTACTCTCTGCTAAGTTGTTGACAGTGATAACAAAGGGTACAGAGTAGGTAACAATAGTGACTTTAAAATGATATTTGGTGAAAGATAGCCAAAATCATTTTTTTCATCTTTACATCTCAAATCTGTAAAGTGTGATTGAGGGTAAATATCATTCCCATTTATTAAGCATTCACTGACAAAAAAGTACAAAATAATTATTTTTCTTGGAATATTTCAGGAGAATTAGAACCAGATGTTTAAGGACTAGGAAGAAGCCTTATGGGGGATAAAATTAACAGTCCATTTCTGCATGGAGTTTAGTGTATGAAATGGGTCTTTTCTATCAGCGCTATTATATCCTAACTTCCTAAGATGTTTTGGTAGACTTTGGCAGTATTGGTTTTTTAAAAAAAAATTAATGAATACAAATACAGGGAATCTCAGGAGTCTATGGAATACTAGTCTTCATTTGTCCTCCTCTCAGACACTACAGTACTGGCCTGTTTCTGAACACCCTCTGGGGCATAGGGAATGCCTTTTCACTGTCAGTATAGAGTTCTTTTTTTCCTTTGATCCAGTTAATGCTGTTTCTTAATATGTCTTCTTCCCCCAAAATTAGAGGCCTATGTCTATGTTTTTATAACGTTTATATTTGCACAGAATGTTACCACTTCCAAAGGAGAACCTAGTACAGCCTTTAGGGGATCAGAAAGGTTGCAGCCAAGTTAAGAACTAGGGGTCAAATAGAATGGTCAGACCTACAGAACATCTTATGCAAAAGCCAGGAGACAAGAAAGAGCCCAGCTCTCTTGAAAGCTCTGCAAGTAATTCCAGTATGATTGGAGTAATAGAGTTGAAGGGGAGCTTTGGGATGGCAAGGGATGGGACCAGAAGTGTAAGCAGGAGCCAATTCTTTATGAAAGACTTTGTATGCTGCAAAGGACTTTGGGCTTGATCGTGAAGAACCTAGAGAAAGCAGGGAAGCAAAAGATCCTACTTAAAGGAGTTTCTGGAAATTGCCCTAGCTGCAGTTTGGTAAACAGATTGGAGGGAAGCACAACTGGAGGCAGGGAAACCATGCAAGATGCTGGTGCCATAATCTAAATGAGAGCTGATGCGGCCAATAATCAGAGTACAGAGATAACAATGAAGTAAGATTCAACAGGATTTGGGGGACTTAGAGCAGAGGAGAAAAAAGAGGCATGGTCAAGGATGACTCTCAGATTTATGACCAGATTAGAGATGCTAACAGTTTGGTAGGTGATTGTCAAAGGTAGGTAATGAGATACCCAGAATGAAGGTGAAGAGACTAGGTAGCTGAGGGTAGAACCCCTAAGTAGGCAGACATTGAAGAGGACAAACAACATGGAGTAGAACCCTAAATTAGAGGGAGACTGTCACTAGAGAAACACCTTCATTATTGTGTTGTATGCCAGAAGCTCAATATCCCTGCAGCTAGCTTCCAAAGGGACTTTGGACATAGGTGCAATATATAGTTTGAATGTGAACAATGTACTTTCCCACAGGAAGGATGAATTCAGTTACATGGACTCTGCTTATAAGCAAGGATTGCTAAAGCTTTTGAAAAATCCCCTCATCTTCTTCTCACTACCCTATTCCCTGGTAATTTCAGGTCAGTTCCCTGGACTTACAGGGACTGAACACCTATTCTTCAGACAAGATACTCCCTACCTGATCAATCACACACATACTTTAAGAGAATTTCACTGGGTTGTAGGATTAGCAGACAGCAATTCTCACTTGCTGTGTAGTATGATTAGATTTTTTAAACACACAGTTTAGGTATCCATTACCATTAAAAGTTTATTTTCAGCTAGCTAATTCCATGAATACTAATTTTAAAAAGCCCATTCCCCTTTGACTTCTTCTAGTTATGCCATCAATTATAATCCCTTCAATCAAGATTTAGACTTAACAATATACATAGCTTATGTTTTTTCAGCATTTGATATGTTCAAGCAAGGTTCTAAGCACTTTTTTTGTAATAATACCATTAAACCTCCCAATAACCTCCCAACTTCTTTGATTCATGATGTAGAAATATAGTGTGAGCTATGTATGTAATTTTAAATATCCTAGTAGCCACATTAAAAAGAAGAAAAAAGAAATAGGTGAATTTTATTTTAATACATTTTTAGCCCACCATTTCAACCTGTAATTATTATTAAATAATTATTAAATAGATAAATAGTAATTATTAAAATTACTAATGAGATATTTTACTCTCTTTTGAGGTACTATTATCTCATTTTACTTAAGAAGGGATTGAGGCACAGAAAGGTTTAGTGAAAAGTGGTGGCAAGTCAGACACATTCTTTCTGTGGAGCCAGAATCCCAACATTGCCGAGGCATCCTTCCTCTTTACCTGTCCCAAAGTCAGTGTTAAGTGAAAAAGCAGTAGACACAGCCAAAAACTCTTGGTCTTAGAATCACAGGTGTGGCACAGCAGATTGAAAGTATTCAGTATATCTAAAGCATCTTATGATCTTTAAGATGCTAAGTAAAGACAGCGAGAGCCTATTTTCATGATTTTTATTGCATGTAATATTTCAGCTGTACATAGGGGCTCATCCACTGTAGGCTGCAGCATGGGAAGCTGAACACAGTTTGATTCTGTTGCAGAATTTCTCCTGAAGCAGCAACCTTGGGCATTCAGCCAAATCGTAATTTGCTGATATTTTTCATTCTAAAAGATTTACCTCATTGTGTTTTTATTTTGAAATTTAACTATGAAAGCTTTAGGTTTTTTTTCTTATTTAAAAAATAAAATCTGAAAATAAAACAGTAAGGGAATTGATCATTTTCAGAATGTTGCAAGTGGGAAAACATTACTTAATAACCTAATACCTGAAAATCCTGTTGTTAAATAAACATTCTATTCATTGATAATTTGGATTTCCTAAGAGTGGCAGCAGTGGATATACATGATTTCTAAAGTTCTGCTATATCTAAATATACATCATAAGATTAGGTTACAGAATCATTATTTTTTTTTGATGTACACATCTTTGTAGCCTTGTTTTTCAGTCCTGAAACCATTCTTATAAATTTACAAAGCAGTCAACCTCTTTGAGTGTATTTTTGATCATCTGCAGCGTGTAACAGCAAGCACAACAGCAACTGACATTTGGAGGGTTACTATTTTCCAAGTTCTGTGAGTACAGTTCTACTAAAAATTTACAAGATTTGTGCTATAATGATCTCATTTTGCAGTCAAGGAAACTAAGACATAGAAAAATTACACATTTACCCAGGTCCTAACAGGCTTTAAATGCCAAGGCTAGGATTCAGACAACTTAGTCTGACTCCAGAGCCTGTTTATGTTCTTCATCATTGCTCTGTACTGCAAGTGTCCTCTGGCACCAAATTTTATTTGTTCAGCTTGAGAGATAAGTGATCATTAAAAGATTAAAAGATTTCTTTCTCACTTCTTGATTCATGATACAGAAATATGATGTGAGCCATGTATGTAATTTTAAATCTCCTGACAGCCAGACTAAAGGAAAAAAATAAGCAAAGCATATTTTCATACATCTTTACGCCAATACATTCCAAGTATTACCATTTCAACATGTAGTTGTTCATTAATAATTATTAAATTAATAGGTAAATAGTAATTATTAAAATTATTAATGAGCTATTTTACTTTCTTTTGCATTAAGTCTTCAAACTTAGGTATATATTTTACACATACAGCACATTTCAATTTGCCCTAGCCACATTTCAAGTGCTTAGTAGCCACATGGCTACCATATTATACAGCAAAGTTTTGGATGTTGGGTTCTCAACTGGTACATATCCAAATAGGAGTGGGGCAGAGGGCTGTGTAGTTCAAGAACCACTGCTGTAAGCTTTGGGATTTCAAGTGATACATTTCTAAAATGTTAGAAGAGTCCAGGTTGCTAAAACCCAATTTTTATATGAGGGAAGTAGTATTAGTTTTATATGCTTTTTTCTTTTTTTTTTGAGAGTCTCACTCTGCCACCCAGGCTGGAGTGCAGTGGCGCAGTCTTGGCTCACTGCAACCTCCACCTCCTGGGTTCAAGCAATTCTCCTGCCTCAGATAGTATCCCATCTTCTATCTCCTGGGATAGGAGTATTTCAGATACTCCTCCCGAGTAGCTGGGATTACAGGCGCCCACCACCACACCTGGCAAATTTTTGTATTTTTTTTAGTAAAGATGGGGTTTCACCAAGTTGGCCAGGCTGGTCTCAAACTCCTGGCCTCAAATGATCTGCCCGCCTCAGCCTCCCAAAGTGCTGTGATTACAGGCTAGTTTTATGTGCATTTTAAAATACCAGTCTGTTTTCAAGATAATTTGTTGCTACTGGCTAAGATTTCTTAAAGTGGCACACTTTGACAGCATAAACCAATTCAGAGTGATAATATTAGCTGTGTTATTTTAGTCCACTGTTAATAACTACATAGACAGCTGACTGACTTCAAAGAACCAATAAAACTTGGAGTTCTGACTGAGAGCCAAATAAAACTTGGAATGGGCAAAAATTGAGTTTATGTTATCTGCAGACATTGCCCTTCTTGGTGAGATACTGCTGTCTTCTGCTTCAGAGTCCCTTCCTCAGCCACACTATTTGGTAGTGACTCCTTATTTAGCCTATATCTTGTAATTTACTGTGGTTACCATTCTTGGGAGGCCATTTTAAGATTTCTTAAAGTGACCCAGAGAAATCGTAGCTTGGTATTTACTAAATGTGTTTGTGTATGTTATTTCATAGCTGTATACGCTCACCTGTGTGTACTTTTTAACTGAATTTATTCATCTACCTTGAAGTAATGTTGTAACTATAAACCTGTGATTTTCTCTACTTTTAAGCTCTTCCTTCTGATAAGCTTATCTATTCATATTGGGTTTAATTATAGCTCAGGGCATAACCATGTGTATTATTCATCTGAGTGAGTGAGCTTGTCTGGCAACAAGAGGCTGTTGTTGCCAAAGCTTTATTGTCATCTGGGCTGAATATACTCTGTCTATGCCTCATTGCCAGCCTCAGGAAAAGGAGGTAATGGGGTGATGGGGGAGGAATGCTGTACTCTAGTCCCTTACACCACTGCTTCTCAATATATTCCAACCCTTTGCAATAAGCTAGGATAACTGTGATTTTATTTACTTCATCCTTTTTTAAACAAGAGAAATCAAACACTAGAAATAAAATGTAACTCTCCTTCATTTCCTATCTCTACATCTGTTTCCTCCCATCTCCCCATTCCACCTCATCCCTTGTTGTTCTCATAACCACTATCATGAATTTAGGTTTATCTTTCCAGTTAATTTCTTAAAAGACTTTGACATAGATATGTATCCATAAATAATATAAAATATTCATACAGTAGGACCTGTAAATTCATACAGTAGGATCTTTTTTTTATTTATACAGTAGGATCACATTGTACATATGCAGCAAGTTGCTTTTCTCACCATATTGGTAGACCTTTGACATAATTTTTCTTAATATAAGAATTTGGTACCTATGTAATAACGTATCTAACACATGGTAGGTGAGAAAACCTAGTAATAAAACAGAAAGCACCTGAATCCACTGCACACACTGAGAAGTGAAACATACCCAGAACCATTGAAACTCCAGTGTGCTGCTTCTCCAACCTCTGCTCCTACCCAGGAAACCACTCTTCTGAACTTTTTTCTTACTGGTTTTCTTTTCTTACCTCATATTTATGTGTCCCTCAGTAGTATATGTCCCTGTTTGCTTGTTTTTAAGCTTTGTAGAAATAGTATCCTACTGTATAGATTCTTTTTAGTCTTAATTTTTTATTAAATGTATTTTTAAGATTCATTCATGTTAATCTGTATATTGTCACTGCTATATAGTATTCCTTTGGGTGGATTTACCCATTTTTCTGTCAGTAGCCATTTGTGTTGTTTCCAATTTTGCTATTATAAATAGTGCTTCAATAAACATTATTCTCAATGTCTTCTGGTGATACACACATGTAAAAGTTTCTCTGTAGTGTATACCTGGGAGTATAGTTGCTATGTTGTAAAATAGGTGTACAGTTGACCCTTGAACAACTCAGGGTTTAGAGGTACCAGCCCCCTGTGCCATCAAAAATTCATGTATAATGTTTGACTTTCTCCAAATTTAACTACTAATAATACCCTACTTTTGACAAGAAGCCTTACTCATAACATAAACATTTCAATTAATACATATTTTGCATGTTATATGTATATATGCTGTATTCTTACAATAAAGTAAGCTAGAAAAAAGAAAATATTAAGAAAGTCATAAGGAAGAGAAAATGCATTTACAGTATTGTACCGTGTTTATTGTTACCCTGAGTTTACATCATCTGTTTACAAGGTGAAATGGCAGCTAACCACAACTACAGACCTCAATCTACAGTGTATATCAAGTAATTCAACTTTTTCTTGTAATGGCATGACTTTTCTCTGCTTCTTGGGACTACTTCCAGAATCACTAGTGGCCCTTCGTATGGATCCCATGGTGTTATTTAAGGTTTACGGTATTGCACAAACACAATGAAAAATATGCGAGAACTGAGAGAGAGCACTTTTTATGGCAATACGCAATTTGCTGGAGAGATGAACTGCTCATGCAGAGATGATTTTTGTCACGTGGCATTTTAGGCATTTTAAGCAGCTATTGGCAATAGCTGAGTTCATTGCAATAGCAACAGGAGGTGGCTACAAAATTATTACAGTAGTACAGTATGTATTATAGTTACTTTTATGCAGTTATGATTTAATACTCTATGTTTGTGTTTGCTTACATTTCTTTTAAAATGCTCATGGCATCATGTATGGTTTGTGGGTATAATTTTAACTTTGTAAGAGATCGGTATATATTTTCTGGTAGTAAATAAGAAAAACTAATATCTGTGTATATTTTGTGCACTCATGACGTTCCTTTTTCTTAATTTTTCAATATTTCTAGGCTAGTGCGTTGTCAGCGAGTTTTTTCAAATTGTCACAAATCTCAAATTTTTCTAATGTATTTTCTTGAAATTTAGTTCATCTAAGTTGACCCACGCAATGCAGACCCTGTTGTTCAGGGGTCAACTGTATATTCAACTTAACTAGATGAGCCTATATTCTCATCCGAAGGAATTACTCATACTCATCAGCAGTACATAGGAGTTCTAGTTTTTCCACATCCTCATCAACATGTGGTTTTGTCAGGCATTGATTTTTGCATTTGCATTTTGTAAAATAATATTACTGAATTTTGATTTTCAGTTTCATTTCCCCGATTTTGATGATATTGAGCATTTTTCATATGATTATTGGCCATTTATGTTTCCCTTTTTTTGGAAATGTCTATGTCTTTTTTAATAGAGTCTTTTTTTAGTTGATTCTTAGGAACTTGTGTATTCTCAACACTAGTATTTGGTCACTTTTATATGATCCAAATATCTTTTCTGTTTGCAGCTTGCCTTGTCACTCTCTTCAGTCAAACTCTAATATTTTGACTTTTGCATTTAAATATTTAATCCATCTGCAACAGCATTTGTTTATTTACTGAGGGTAAAAATCCAGTTTCTCTGTTTTTCAAATATAAAAACTTTTCCTAGTCCCATCAGTTGACATAAATCAGGTTTTCATATATGTGTGGAAAAGTTTGAGGAATTTCTTTGAGCTTCCGAAAAAATTTTAAAATCAACTTGTCGAGTTTTGGTTTTAAAAAGCAGTTGGACTTTTTAATTGGAATTATGATGAATCAATTTGGAGAAACTGACATTTGATATCAGGTCTCCCTACCCATAAACTTGGTATCTCCCTCCATTTATTTAACTCTTATGAGTACTTTTCAATAAGTTTTATATAATTTTCTCCATAAAGATCTTACACATCTTTTATGACTTTATTCATAGCTTCCCTACAAGACCTATTGCAACTCATTTAAAAATACATTTTCTAGGGGCCAGGTGTGGTCCAGTGATGCATGCCTGTAAACCCAGCTACTTGAGAGGCTGAGACCCAAGAATGGCTTGAGCCCATTCTTAGGATTAGCTAAATCCTAATCTCATTTTGCCCTTCTTTTCACCTGAGAGAACTAATACAATTCACTCGACTCATGTGGGCCATATTGTTTTCAGCAAAATTCTCTGAAACTCAGAGACATGTGTACTGCTAGTAGCCATGTGGCTTCTTCACTTGCTTTGTTATTAATTCATCATCATCCAACATACTGACTTAAGAGGCACTAAGGACAAGGTACAACCTGTTCCTCAAGCACCTTCTAGGGAGGGTAGAAAGAAGCATTAGTTGCAAAACACAGTTATAAAACAAAATGATACATCTTATCCTCTACAGACCTCATTGGTCATGATGTATGGGTCAGGAAGTCCTTTGGGTGGGGAGAAAGAAAGGAAGATTCAGATGGGATATGATATTTGAGCAGAGACTTTGGATGATGAACATTGAACCTCCTTTGTGTTCTCAGTTGTTAGCAAAGGGATCAGACTAGTCATTCCCCAGAGGTCCTTCTAACTTTGAAATTTTGTCTCTGACATCACAAATAATTTCATGCTTTCATTAAACATTTGTGTTTCTACCTCTGGCCTGTAGTCCTTGGACTCTTGTTCCATAGGCGTAGGGTTGTGAATGGCAAAAGAGGATCTTGGTGTTCTTTTATGAAGTGATACCAACATATTTCACTTCTAGGATAATGACAATATTGGCAATATGAATCTTAACATGAGAGTTAACTGATTAACTTTTTGTGTTTTTATGGAATTGCTCAATTGGTTATCATAAATAGATTTTGTTAAATTCCAGCCTTTATGTAATTTCTAAGCACATTTCATTTGTATGTCTTATTTCAGTGCTGGACCCAAAGGAGACAACATTTATGAATGGAGGTCAACTATATTGGGACCCCCAGGATCTGTCTATGAAGGAGGGGTGTTCTTTCTTGACATTACCTTTTCACCAGACTATCCGTTTAAACCCCCTAAGGTCAGTATGAAGTTTTCATTGATTTTTAGCAATATGGATTATATTTCTAGATACATATACTTATTCTTAAATATGCATTCTAGGGATGCATGTCTATTCTGTTGTCACAGACAGCTTCCCAGGATTGATAGTGTATAAAATGAAACAATGTAAAAAATTGTAGGTTATTCCTCCACCCCAGCTTTTTACTGATTTCATTGTTTTTTTTCTCCTCCTTTTTCTCCTCATTATCTCCTTTCTTTGTTATATGTTTTAATGTAACATTAAAACACCATGTTTTATGGGTGAAAATGGGGGCATAAGGTTGGGCCAGGGTGAGTACCAGAGCCCAGAAAATCAGACGTAGCCTGGAGCCAGAGCCCAAGCAAGCTAAGCGCAAGAATCAGGCTAAAGGCAGAGGAAGCCTTGCCTAGGCAAGGTTTATAGCACCAGCTATGGAGGTTTGAGTTTTGGTGCCTCTAGAGTTCAGCTGCTCACATGTAGCACACATGGACTAGTATGGAAAGTATGACCCACAGAGACTTAAAAGTTGTGTTAAAAAATTTCGTAAAGTATTTATAATAGTTCATTAATGAAACTAATCAATGAAAAGTCATGTATGTTCATGTCTGATGTGGAAGAGTGCAGTGAAATCAGAACATGAAAGAATCCTCACTTATTTAAGCCAAGGTTATATACTTTAGAAAGTCTTCACATTCTTTTCTACTGCCTATAAGTCGGATATTTGACTGTTTTAAATATTGTGTCGTCTCCATTAGCATTTGTTCTCCACTATAGCAAAGGAAATGACCCTGAGGACACTATGTTTTGACTACCAAGAAAGAATTCTCGTCTGGCCCTGACTTAACGTCACAATGCACAGGGATAGAAAACTTGTTTGTATTGTGGGTTGGAGTAAACAATATAAAAAAACAAGAATAAGACTAGACGTTCACCATGACTTTCTATAATTCCCCTCCCTCCTCTTTTTTGCCCCTGCTCTTCCTTTCTTCCTTCCTTTCCATTGATGCTTAGATAGTGTTACCAAAGCAAAAAGTAGTAGCTATAATTACCCTCAATGAGGAAACCAAGGACAGAGGAACTAAGTAACTTGTCCAGCATTATGCATCAAGCAAATTGTGGTGTAAGGATTTGAATCTGGAAAGCCTGGCTCCAAAGCCCATACTTCTTCCTACATTACACAATACATTTTATTCAAGCTGTCAGGGCTGGTGGCACTGGTGACCACCAAGAGCTTGCATTTGGTAGGTTTTCAATGACAAAGCCATGGTAAATCTAATACTTATCTTCTCCCTTTACTGGATGGGACCCTTATACCTTCCTTTTCTACTTTAGACCAGCCCTTATGTCACCTGGAGTATCTGTTGTACTATGAGGGATGTAAGGACCTTTCTTTCTCAGCCTCTACAGTAAAGGATGCACAGAGTGAGGAAGGAGGAGGAAAACTCAGACCAGGCTATTGTGCTGCTTGTAAATCTGATGTGATCTGTTCCTTGAGATTAGTAGTTTCAGAAAATGTGTGGGCTTATCCTAGTTCTGAATGACAGAAATGTGTAGATTAAACAAAGCTAGAATAAGCTGGGGGGAGAGAGTCAAATCGCATTCTTGACTTTCTCCACTGAGTCGTGCACTCCACTGGGCATCAGCTCTGCCAACTCATTTCTTCTCCAGAACACTCCAGTAAGACTAGGATGTTCCCCTGTCACAGAGGAGGAAACATAGATGAGACTTAGAGAGGTTTTCCAAGAGTGTACAACCAGGAATCTACTGAAGTCTGACTCCAGGGGCCATGTACTTTCCACTGAATTATACACACTTGCCTTGGAGAAGTTGACTGGTAAAAATAGGGCGTGGGAGGAATGCTTTATCTGTCCTCACATGTTTTAGGGACTATGGTGTGGGTAGGGGTTGGACTTTATCCAGGATGGTTGGATGGGACAAAAATAGAAGCAGGAGGGTGTCAGTTACCGGGAAGTAGATTTCAGTTTTCTCTGAGGGAAATCTGACCCACAGTGGGACAGTCAACTTGTGTGTAGCTCTACCTCTGAGACACCACACTTCCCTTTACTAGGAGTGTTCAAGAAAAAACTGAGTTACTACCTGTCAAGAATTTTACCAGAAAAAATGGAATCCCTCCACATAATGAATTGGACCAGACAATCTCTAAGGAGAAAAAAAAAAGCAAACTTTGGTACCTATAACCACAATTCAAATGCACATTTGATAGGTATCTGTGGAAAGTATTTAAAAGCAAATTATCAACTCCTAATATATCAGTTTTAGAGATCAGATTCTGTAGATAGATGTGTTACTCGAGGGAGAAAAAACTTGGGGTGTAGTGAAGGCTATTAAGTAAAACAAATACTCTTATTATTAATAGTTTTGATGTAACAACTCCATGCCTTCCTAGTGTCCTGTTACTGTAAATAGTACATGTTTCAAGTTGTCTTGGGTTTTTTTTCTCTGCTGCTTGGTATTTTTCTCTCTTTTGCTCTTTTTTTTTTTTTCACGTTAGCCATGCATTTTGATTCCTGCAACATTTCCCAATACTCTGAAGAATGAACCAGGGAAGCAGTGGGTGTCAGGGGGAATTACTTATAAGAGCAGATGCTTATAAATACATCTGATGGGCTATCTGATGGTTATTTGTGTGGATATACATACCATAAAATTAGTCCGTAGCATGATTGGGTTCATGAGATAATTTTTTCCAAATTATCATAAATAGAACCTTTTATGAGGACTTCTAAACACTGCAGAGCTCAAATGTAGCTTTTAAAGGTCAGAGGAATGATTCGAGATGCCCCTTCTTGTTGCAGGAACTTTTTCACAGTAGGGCTTGATCAGGTTGAACACCCTATATTCCACTGCCCAATTTTTTAAAATCAGAGATGAGCTATTCTAGTAATTTCTTCCAGAATTTGCCTAAATTCTAATAAGGCGAGCAAAACAATTACTACCTGAGTACATAATGTTAATTAAACTTAGTATTCTAGTTTTAAATAGGTTGAGTATTAGTACTTTTCAAATGCTATATTTCAGTACAATTTTTAGTACATTGAATTTCTTATATGTTTATGCCTTTTACTTAACCTATAGCACAATTTTACTATTTCAAAGTAGGTAAGGCATTTTACATAGTATCTTTTCTTGTATGACATTGTCCATTGCATTTGATGTCAGGTCTTCAGCTGAGTATTTAACCACCAATGATAATATTATTTCTCTGTGAAAATACCTGTTTAATAGAACTCCACCTAGGAATACTACATTATGGCCAAAAAGAAAAGTGTAATGAACTGCTAGTGTGTGTAAAAGCTTTTTACACCTATTTATTTTTCAGTGTAGACATATGTTTTAATGTTTTCATTCAGTATCTTTTTAAGGTAGAAGTTGCTTTGTTTTTTGGGGTTTTTTTTTTGTCATTTGGTTGGTTGGTTTTTGTTTTTGTTTTTGTTTTTGTTTTTTGAGATAGAGTTCGCTCTTTTGCCTAAGCTGGAGTGAAGTGGCACAATCTCGGCTTACTGCAACCTCCGCCCCCTGGATTCAAGCAGTTTTCCTGCCTCAGCCTCCCGAGTAGCTGGGATTACAGGCACCTGCCACCACACTCGGCCTATTTTTTGTATTTTTAGTGGAGACAGGGTTTCGCCATGTTGGCCAGGCTGGTGTTGAACTCCTGACCTCAGGTGATCCACCTGCTTCAGCCTCCCAAGGTGCTGGATTACAACCGTGAGCCACCACGCCCGGCCAGAAGTTCCTTTACATTTTGCTGGGGATTAGCTTTTAGATTCATAGATAATTAGTTTTTAAATTTATGGGTAATTACTCCTCAGCCAGGTGCAGTTGCTCACACTGGTAATCCCAGCACTTTGGGAGGCTGAGACAGGTGGATCATTTGAGATCAGGAGTTCGAGACCAGCCTGGCCAACATGGCAAAATCCCATCTCTACTAAAAATACAAAAATTATCTGGGCATGGTGACTCACACTTGTAATTCCAGCTTCTCAGGAGGCTGAGGCATGAGAATTACTTGAACCCAGGAGACGAGGCTGCAGTGAGCTGAGATTGCACCACTGCACTCCAGCCTGGGGGACGGAGCAAGACTCTGTCTCTAAATGAATAAATAAATAAGTAAAATTACTCCTCAAAGTGCTCAAAATCTGTACTTTATTTTAAAAGTTTAATATGTAAGTATTTTAATGTTATTCATTTTGCAGCCTACATATTTGTTACATAATTAAAAAACAGTTGCAGATAAGCAAAAGGGAAAAAAATTTGCCTGTAATCTCCCCCAAACTGATTATTCATGCCATTTAGGTATATCTGTTTTAAGACTTTTGTTTCCTTCATTTGTATCATATACATATAAATATGTACACGTACATGCCTGTACATATATATACATAAACACACATACACCTTTTTACAAAAATTGGGCCATACTCCCCATGGCTTCATGATTACTTTTTAATCTAATGTTATATTTTCATCCCGTGCCATATATTATATATTTCCAGTAAACATTTAATTGTGTTACAGTTAGAAAGGGTGCCTAGTATTCCGTTGTATAAATATACCAAAATTTAATCACTTTCATGTGGCTGAACAATTAGGTTCTTCTCATTGCTTCTGTTATAATCAGTGATGTGATGAACATTCATATAATTACACATTTTTATACTTTTATGATTTTCTCAGGTTAAATTTGTTGCTGTGGAATTTCTGGGTAAAGAGTTTGCACGTGTTTATAGAGTTTTTGGTAACGATTGACAAATCGTGCTCCAGAAAAATTCTATCAGTTTACATCGTGACCATCAACATGACAGTGTAGAACTTCCCTACACTCCCCTCAGCTTTTAGGATTTTAAGTCTTTTTTACTGGCAATAGATGAAAAGTCGTATCTTATGGTTGCATTAATTTACATTTATTTGACTACCTGTGAAATGTATGACAGTTTTCATGTATACTGTTGTCCTATCTCATTATTTCTTTTCGTGAATAATATAAAAAACATTTTATCTTAAAAGTCTTACATCAAATAAAATTAACAAGGATGCTTGAAGAATTCAGAAACTAATGGAATATATTATGTTGGGGTTTTTTCCTACCAAAAACACTTTGAAAATATTGTGACACTCTGTGTCTAATGTTTCTGTTTCAGACATTCTTTCTTTTTTTTTTTTTTGAGACAGGGTCTCACTCTGGGGCCCAGGCTGGAGTGCAGTGACGTGATCATGGCTTACTGCAACCTCCGCCCAGTCTCAAGCGATCCTTTCACGTCAGCCTCCCAAGAGGCTGGGACTACAGGCACACACCACCACACCTGGCTAATTTTTGTTTTTTTTTTTGTTTTTTTTTTTGTAGAGACAGGGTTTTGCCATGTTGCTCAGGCTGGTCTTGAACTCCGGGGCTCAAGCAGTCTGCGCACTTTGGCCTCCCAAAGTGCTGGAATTACAGGCATGAGCCACCGCCGCCGGCCTGTGTTAGAAATTATAATGACTTACATCCTCACTAAGGACTCATGTTAGGTAACAGGTCAGGTGTTTGTCTTTTCAGTAGAAATGCATAGGGGTAACGCATTTTTAATTTAGCTTTTTCTGTCTCCCTGTGAATCTGTACATGACATAAAAAATAAGTGTAAATAGATTTGAAATTAGGTAGGTGAGAGAGTCACTCATGTTTGTTTTTTATTTTCAGTATTTCAGGCAACTTATGCACAGGTTAGACATGCTGTGTCCATGTTCCTGGGAAACACTGTTTTCTCTGGTAATGGCAAGAAGATAGTATCTGCTGGTGATAAAATTTGTGCCTCAGGTGTTTTATAAAACAAGACAAAAAATTACACACATCAGTAAAGTGTCTGTAAGTGAAATTAAGAATGATATTCAAAATCTTTTAAAATATAATTTGTTCTTTCACTACAAATTTTACCAAGTACATTTTAAAATCCTAGAGATCAATTCAGAGCATATCAGTTTATGGGTTTGTTTGTTGTTATTTTTTATAAAGTCTAACTATGGGTTGCTTACTAATGTCAGCTAATGCGGAAGGCCTTCACTGCTTTTGAAAAGTGAAATAGATGGGGTCTTCAGGTTTTCAAAATCTTTATTTTTCTCATTAGATTTTAACCTTAAATTGACAGGTCATGGCTACTCATAAATAAGGTAGCTAATTAGTTACGATAAGAAACAGTGATATTCAGCATCTGAAAGCCAGAGAGAGATCTGTAACTGAAGTTCAACAATGAGTTCCACAACTGCACCCTTACTCTAGATTATTATTATGTACTTGTTTTTATTGTTAATGCTACTACTCAAAGAAGAAAGTTGAATGTGTTTCCCAGAATTTTCAGTAAGAGCAGTGATTTATGTGTGTAAACCCAACTACCCATTCATTTACTCCAGCCTTGGTTAGAGAACATGCAGTTGTCATGGAATAACATGAATTGGCTTGTTTTTAACCTGAGTTCGTGCATTCATATAAAGCTTGGCCATGGGTCAAGTTCTTTCTTACATTTTGAATTGCCTATTTGACATCTCTAGTTGAACATCCAGTAGTCATCTCAAACTTAACAAATCCAGAACCAAATTATTGATTACCCCATTCTACATCAGCCAGACCAGCTCCTCTAGTCTTCCCCATATCAATGAATGTCAGGTCTTTTTTTCCAGTTGCTAAAACTAAAAACCTTACATTCATTCTTGACTCCTTTCACACAGCTAGCCAGACCCAGTCCCACTGGCTCAATCTTGACAATAAATCTAGAATCCAAACATTTCTCACCATCTTTCCCTAGAAACTCTTTGGCGCAAACCACCGTCAACTGTTCTCCTCCCTCAGATTATTGTGGAAATCTCCTATGTGGTCTTCCTGGTTCCACCCTTGTCCCTTCAACAGTACACCCCATATGCTGAAAGATTCCTTTTTTATTTTTTTGGCTGGAATGGAGTGGTGTGATCTCAGCTCACTGCAACCTCAGCCTCCCGGGCTCAAGCAATCTTCCCACCCCAGCCTCCCAAATGGCTGGGACCACAGGCATTTGCCACCATGCCCGGCTAATTTTGTATTTTTGATAGAAATGGGGTTTCGCCATGTTGCCCAGGCTGATCTCGAACTCCTGAGCTCAAGCAATCCGTCCGCCTCAGCGTTTCAGAAGTGCTGGGATTACAGGCATGAGCCACCACACCCAGCCTAAAGCTTCCTTCTATAGTGTGTCAGATTATGTAAATTATTTGCTTAAACCCTTCAGTGATTCCCAGCTCCTGAATAAAAGCCTATAAAGCCATATAGAACCACCCCGTCCACAGAACAGTTTTCAAAGTGCCAGCCATCATTTTTTACTCAAATACTCAAAGCATGCTTCTTCACAAGCCTTTCCATTTGTTCTTCCTTCTGCCTGCGTTTGTATGCCACCCAGAAATTCACATGACTCACTTCATTTCTCCCTTGATGTCTCTGCTCAAATGTCACCTTTTCAGAGAGGTTCTTGGATGACAAATTCCAACCTCCTTAGGTTCCCTATAAACTTCCTCAAACTTCCTCACAACCACTAGTATACTTGATTTTTTGCTATAGCACCTCTCCCTCTTGGTGTTATATATTTCTTTGTTTATTTATTATGTTTCCCTTTCCCCAATTAGCATGTAAGCTCAATGAACACAGAAACTTTGTCTATTTTGATGTCACTCCTTTAATCTCATCCATGTAGAACAATACCTGGTGATTCAGTAGGCAGTCAATAAAAATTTGTTGAATTAGTTAAATGCATGTAACTGTGCCCTAAGCAAAATGTTTATTACCCCCACTTCATGGATCAGAAAACTGAGCTCCATGGAGGTTAAGCTGCGCACAGGCCACAAAGGAAGTAGGTAGCAGAACCAGAATCTAAACCCAGTTCTAAACTGAGCCTTTTATCTCCAATTATAGAGAAGGTTGAGGTTGCTTATATCCCTGGAAGAAGGAATACTTGTTCCTGGATTATACACTCTGGTATGAATTAATTATATCACATTATTCTCCAACCCAAGTATTTTTGAGGGGAGAGGAAAGACAGTATGAGGAGGAAAGAGATGGTTTGAGGAGGAAAGAATGTTAGAAGAGATTTTGTGTGCCTTTCTGTTTTGCCAGGAATCCTCTTTCCGAAGACACTGGGGGCTTTTCTTCAATATGTTTCTAATTCACAGACTAACGTGTTATATCTACGTTAAATAATAAATATTGATTTCTGGATTTTGCCAGCTTTAAAGAAGTTACTTCACATTTCACAGATCATTTTCACATTTAACTAGTGTCAGAATGGCCTTGTATCCTCAGTGTCATGACTGGGCTGTCATAGGTTTGCTTACATCACATGAGTCAGTTTTTCTTTTTGGTCCGTGCTCCTTTTGATAAACTTTTAATAATGGCATGCTATCCTTAAATGTTGTGTGAAATCCCAAAATGAATGTGATGATTAAAAATTGATCAAAATGGTGTCATTGTCTTTGTGCTTTTAAAATAATGCACATTATATCTGTGTGTCCAGCCACCACCTACAATTACCACCAGTTTAGTAATTACTAAGAAGTAGGATTGGGTTTTGTTTTCAGGGCAAAGAATACCAACTTTATTGTAAGCCAAATTAAATATGCCTATAAGCTAATAGGAAATCAGCCTTTTGGTTGACAGGAAGTTTAATTTAGCCATATTTTGGGAAGATACGTTTGTTCCTAGCTTTCTATAGTCTAATGCAGTTTGCTAATTTTAAAGAAGGACCTTTAGTTTATTATTGTCTCCTGAGATGCTTATTGCTCAAGCCAGCTTAATTTTTCAGGTTGGATCAACTCAACCAACTGTACGTTTGCACAAGCCTTGAAGAGGTGGTGGTGAATCAGCCACTCTGATATCTACTGACACACCCTTATAAGAGCCCTGCCATAAAGGTGGAGGTTTCAAACAAGTATTTTACTGTGCTTCTCCATGCCCTGGAGTTCCTATCTCTGTGAATGTGACCGCACTCTAAATGGAAGTTTGTGTTGGTTGATATTACTGTCAGCATAACTGGGAGGGGTAGATAGGCCTAAATTCCTTCACGATGGATGTTCTTCCGCGGAGAAGTTATGTGAACAGGGGAGACTGAAGTGAGACATTCAGAAGCTTGGAAAATGAGGATCTTCTTTGCCTTCAGGGCTCAGAAAAGGTTCAACTCACTTACCAAAGAGGGGTGACTTTTCTAAGGAAAGATTCACAGATGACACAAGTGATACCCTCCCCTCACGTGAGTTTTCTGAAGAGAGAAGGGTAGGGTAACTCCTCCAGGTACAGTCTTCAGTATCCCAAACATCAAAGGGTATTGAGTGATCCACTCACTGGTCCCATAAAACAGTGAACACTGGAAACTCTGAGAGAAACACTCTAAGCACATAAAATTTAAGGACAATAAAATGATACTGGAAGAAATATTCTTGTAAAGAGGAAAACCTTCTGTAGTACTGAGCCAGATGAAGCTTCAGTTTTGGCATTTTCCTAACCTTACAGGAAAGGGCTTTTATGGAACCAGATCAAGACATGGAACAGACACCCTGTGTTGATTGTCTGTAAATTTGAAAACAAATTATATTTCATTGTCCACTTGAGAGATGGGATGGGGAAATAATATTCTACGTGTGATGAAAAAAAGTATAATATTCTCCACTTTATTTAAATATGTTACTTGCTTAGATAGTTATTTGTGACGTTATTTTGTTCAAGCTGGGATACAGTAGGCAGGTCTGAGTTCATTTCTGAGACTGCCTGCCAAATATCAATCCCTTTATGGCAAGTGATCAAATTTCCTTGATTTTTTCTTTTTTTTAATATATATGTTTTTTTATTATACTTGAAGTTCTAGGGTACATGTGCACAACATGTAGGTTTGTTACATATGTATACATGTGCCATGTTGGCGTGCTGCACCCGTTAACTCGTCCTTTACATTAGGTATATCTCCGAATGCTATCCCTCCCCCCTCCCCCCACCCCACAACAGGCCCCGGTGTGTGATGTTCCCCTTCCTGTGTCCAAATGTTCTCATTGTTCAGTTCCCACCTATGAGTGAGAACATGCAGTGTTTGGTTTTTTGTCCTTGTGATAGTTTGCTGAGAATGATGGTTTCCAGCTTCATTCATGTCCCTACAAAGGACATGAACTCATCATTTTTTATGGCCGCATAGTATTCCATGGTGTATATGTGCCACATTTTCTTAATCCAATCTATCATTGTTAGACATTTGGGTTGGTTCGTAGTCTTTGCTATTGTGAATAGTGCCACAATAAACATACGATTTTTTCTTTTCATTAGAGTTGGAGCAGGATCTCTCCGTAAGGTAGCAGCCTCTTAGAGATTTGTTCAAGGAGATCTAAAGAAAATGAGACAGAGAGAAATGAATGTTCCTAGTTTGCAGCTGTCCAAGAGAAGAGTCAGTACATGATCATGGCTTATTGATGAATTAGAGAAGATAGGACCACCTGTCCTTTCGCAGGTGTGGTGCAGGTCTTGTCCTGCCAAAAATAAGGAGAAACAAAGTCAGACAGTCAACAAAAATTATAAATAAAATGCATCTAGGGGACTGGGCATGGTGGCTCACGCCTGTAATCCCAGCACTTTGGGAGGCCAAGGTGGGTGGATCAGTTGAGGTTAGGAGTTTGAGCCCAGCTTGACCAACATGGTGAAACCCTTTGTCTACAAAAAATACAAAAATTAGCCAGGCTTGGTGGCACACGCCCGTAATCCCAGCTACTTGGAAGGCTGAGACATGAGAATTGCTTGAACCCAGGAGGTGGAGGCTGCAGTAAATTGAAATCATGCCACTGCACTCCAGCCTGGGTGACAGAGCAAGACTGGGTCAAAAAAAAAAATAAGATAAAATAAAATGGATCTAGGATCAGACAAAGTTATTCATACTGATTCATATAAGCATACCTATTCTAAACCATCAGGTGAATTTTTCTTATGGTATCAGTGTATTAGCTGTTAACAGAGACCTGCCAAAAATTCTTGTAGGTTGGTTGCTTTTTTAAATACCTGTTTTAAGGCTCATTTATAAAGCAGAGGTTTATTGAGCCCCTACTACTTTCCAGGCCCTTGATATATAAAGATGAGTAAGATACAGCCCTGGAAGCATGGAGACAGAAAGAACAATTAGGGGCTGACACAATAGTTCAGCCCAGAAAAGAATTAAGGCTCAGCTGTGAAGATAAAAACAAGGAGAATAATGTATAAATTCTCTTCTCATTCCATTATTAAGTAATCATGTATGTACCATGCAGTGGTCTAGATACTGAACATAGAGAAGTGAGCAATGGCATGCCCCATCTTGCATAGAATTTACATTCAAGGTATGGTAGAATAGGATTTTTTCAACTTTGACCCAGCTGACATTTTGAGCAAGATAATACTTTGTAGTAAAGGGCTACCCTTTGTATTGTAGAATACATAGCGGCATGCCTGATCTCTACCCACTAAATGCCAATAGCAATCTCCCCTGTCCCTCATTGTGACAACAAAAATTTCTCCAGATGTTGCCAAGTATACCCTGAAGGAGGGGATCACCCTGTTGAGAACCACTGTGTTAGCACTGACATCCATATCTACTGGTGACTAGTTTGAAACATCAGGAAGGACTCTCTGGTTTCTGATCTGAATGACCAGGTAGGGATATGTTGCCTGTGAGGAACTTATGGGACACCTGAGTGGGAAGTGCAGAAATGTTCAGCCAACAGCTTAATAGATCTGGAGTTCAGGTGAGTCATATGAGCTAGAGGTACTGATTTGGGAGTTAGCAGACACAGATTTGGGTGTTAAAACCCTAGATAGAATAAATGATCTCACCTAGAGAAATGGGCAATTTTCAACCCAAACTGAATTTTTGAACCTATGAATTTCCAGAATGGGTTTTCCAAAAGAAAAGAATGATGACTGAAAAAACTAACAAAGCTGATATTTTCTCTTTTTCATTAAGTTCTCACTGTTTGGGGATTGGAAAGTTATTTTCCATATAGAGTATTATTGCTGGAAAGCTTATATAATAATACCTCATAAAATATCATGCTTTTATTACAAGGAAAAAACCTCATTTGTTGTTAATAAATTATATAAATTAATTTTCTCACAAGTGCCTAAATCAGGCCTAAAATAAGTCAAAATAATTACCTGTAGTTGCAGTGGCCTTCTGCAGGGCAATGGACTAAATGACTTTTTTTAAGCTCCTCTTGAGCCTTTGGTTTCAGTTTTAATCGAACTAAAACTTATATAAGTAATGTGATTAGGATCACATAGCTAATAAGGCCAGGGTCAGGATTAGAACTCCTGGCCTCCTAATTTCCAGTCCTGCAGCCCCTACTCTTCACACCTGAACCAACTGAGCTATGAAGTGATCTTGGTAAGTGCACAGTAATTCAGTTTTTTGCCTACAGCCTTTCTTTCCTGCCTGCCTGCCTTTTTTTTTTTTTTTCTATTTATTTTATTATTTTTGTTTTTTGAGACAGTCTTACCCTGTCACCCAGGCTGGAGTGCAGTGGCACGATCTCAGCTCACTGCAGCCTCAACCTCCAGGGCTCAAGTGATTCTCCCACCTCAGCCTCCCAAGTAGCCAGGACTACAGGCATGTGCCACCATGCCTGGCAAATTTTTTTGATTTCTGAAAGAGATTAGGTCTCACTATGTTGTCACGGGCTGATCTCAAACTCCTGAGCTCAACCAGTCCTCCTGAGCTCAACCAGTCCTCCTGCCTTGGCCTCCCAAAGTGCTAGTATTACGGGCATGAGCCACTGCACCCAACCAGCCATACTTTAGGTCACTCTTTGTGTTCTTTTCTGTAGTCCCTTTTGCCTCTATTTTTGTGGAGAATTAAGGTTAAATAAGATTTTTTGTTTGGGCACTTACCAAGTTGTATATCTGTGTATAGACTGCGCTCAGTGGCTCATGCCTGTAATCCCAGCACTTTAGGAGGCCAAGACGGCCAGATCACCTGAAGTCAGGAGTTCAAGACCAGCCTGCCTAACATGGTGAAACCCCATCTCTACTAAAAATACAAAAATTAGCCAGGCGTGGTGGCGCACGCTTGTAATTCCAGCTACTCAGTAGGCCAATGCACGAGAATTGCTTGAACCCAGGAGGCAGAGGTTGCAGTGAGCCAAGATTGTGGCAGAGCAGGACCTTGACCATACATACATACATACATGCATACATACATACATAAAAACTTAAAATATCTGTACATGTACAGTATACTATATATACTGTGTATTTATGTTTCCCCCATACTTGGCCACTAATGCATTTTAAACTCTATCTCTGTGGATAAAACATTACAGTAGTTTGTTCAACAAGGAAATAACATATAAAGCAATATGTTTATTTCAGGTTATTTCCAGTTTATTTTCTTCATTTCTTTTTTCTTTTCTCTCTTCCAGACATCACTACTTCTTGTAGTGATTTGCTTTTAAAACCAAACTATTTTTCTTTTTAAATTAGTTTTAAATAGGTAATATATATACACAGTAAAAAGTTCAAACAGCACAAAAGGTATGCAGTCCTCCTCATTGCCCAGCATTCCCGTTACCTTCCCAAAGACATCTTTTATTCTGCATTTACTTTTTGCATTTACCATCTTGAAGATTATCCCATATTTGTATGTGTAGATCTTTGTTAGAATCACATAATATTATATTGAACAAGTGTACCATAAGTTTTCCTGTGATTGACATACAGGGATTTTTTTTAATCTTTTGCCATCACAAATAACGTTTCACTGAGTATCTTTGTACATACTGTCTTTGTGGACTTCTGCAAATATATCCGTGGGATAAATTCCTAGAAGTGGAATTACTGGGACTAATGATGTATGCATGTTCAATTTTAATAGATTCTGCCCAGATTGCCCTCCAAAGAAGCTATACAAAGTTATACTCCCAACTTAGGCACACCTGCCTCTTTTCCTACATCCTTATCAGTGCTGTGTGACATCAAATATTTGACCTTTATGAATCTGATATAAATAAAAGAATATTTATAATTGCTTTCTCTCATTATAAGTAAAATAATACCTTTTCATGTGTCCAGAATTTGGACTTTTTTTTATTGAAAGTAAGTGTACACTTTTTCTTATTGAAAGAGTGTGAAGAGTTTCCATATAGAAACCTATGGATGTAGTATTTTCATCTGTAGAAAGAGGCTTAACAGTCTCTAAGTTTCCTTTCACATCTTTAACTGTCAGTGATTTGTCACTGCCCTGCTTAAAACTCTTCAGTGGCTTCCCATTGCACTTAGAATAAAATCCAAACTTCTTTGTCTTACAAGGCCCTACGTGATCTCTCTGCCTGCCTCATCACATGCAGGCCCTCCTAGGCCTCCTTTTTGACCTTATGATTTGCCAGTACATTTGACTGGAACATGTTTGATCCAGTTCTTCATGTGGTCAATACCTTCTCATTGTTCAGGACTGTTCAGAGTTAGATCCTGAGAGGTACATTTTCTGACCACCTTCTATAAACAGTGCCACACTAGTTGTTGCTGTCACGTCAACCTGATGGTTTCTTTCTCACGTTACCTTCTAAGATCCAAAGACCTTATGTGCCTTACAGTACCTGGCAGATATGATTGATGAAGCAAATGAATATTCATTTAGCCTGTGTATCCTTAACACTTCTGAAATCTTTTTTGCCCTGTTGGTTTGTAGTACTGAAATATTGTGCAGTGTGTATGTGTTTTCATTCTCATTCTCCCATATCTAATCATATCTAATTCTTATACCCAGAAGGCAGGGCCTTGCTTTTCCCTGAAGATGCCTGCCATAAAGGCATCCAGTAAACCCAGTAGAAAGTAATATTTTATTATTATTATTATTATTTATTTTTGAGATGGTGTGTCGGTGCCTGACTGCATGAGAAATGACAAATGGAAGGAGGCTGAGCAGACAAGTTTGAGAAAGCACAAAAAAGTGGTTAAAGAACTTCATCAAGCTGAGACAAGGAGAAATGTCTTAGGAGTCTGGTCAAATAGAGGGGTTTCATTCAAACAAAAAGCCAAGGGGATTAAGAATTGAGGCCACAGTACTGAATTGGTGAACTCCGAGAATGTAATAAAAGTATACTAATGAAAAATAAGACAATGATTAAGCAATAGATAAGGAGTAGGAATAAACTGCAGTTTGTCTTCAGTTTCAGTATTGGGTCAAAATCTGCTCTTAGGTTTAATTTTGATCTTGTCCTTTGGAAGACCAAATAGCTGAATTTCTGATTAATCATTTCCATCATCTCTGAACCTGGCATGATCAATGATTGTATGATTTGTACTAAAGAACTGACCTTCATGTTTTCTGAAGCTTACTCTCAAATAGTTGTAGGGACAAAATAAACTTGGGGTGTGTGTGTGTGTGTGTGTGTGTGTGTGTGTGTACATATATATAGAGAGAGAGATACATACATATGTATAGAGAGAGAGATAAAGCAGATTTAGCAAGCTGTTAACAGTTGGTGAGTCTGTTTACTATAGGTTTGAATTTTTTTAATAAGTTGAAAAACAATGAAAAGCAAAGTGAAATAGGAGATATTTCCTCCTGCAGGTGTGCACACACATGTAAATACCTAACATTTGGAGCACTGTTGTTGAACAAACAGAGTGGCAGGGAAGGCTTTCTCAAGGAAGTATTATTTAGCTGGTCCATGATGGATGATAGAATTTCAATAGGAAGGAGAGAGAAGATAGGTTTATCAAGCTACAGAATGACAATGTTTTTAAATGTGAAAAATACAAGCCCTCCCTCCTCCTTGGACATGGATACCATCTCCTCCTGGCAATTCGATTAGTATGGGTGTATAACCAGCATATACTCCCTGTAAAAATTAGACAGACACTTGAAATTTTAATACGTTCTCATTAATTAAGAACATATAAAAGTGGTATAAAAATTTGAAGGGCAAGGTGCAGTGGCTAACGCCTATAATCCCAGCACTTTGAGAGGCTGAGGTGGGAGGATCGCTTGAGGCCAGAAGTTCACGACAAGCCTGGACAACATAGTGAGATCGCATCTCTACAAAAAGAAAAAAAAAAAAAAGAAAAGAAAAAACGAGCCAGGCGTGGTAGCTCACACCTGTAGTCTCAGCTACTCAGGTGGCTAAGGCAGAGCTTGAGCCCAGGAGTTGGAGATAGCAGTGAGCTATAATGATGCCACTATACTCCAGCCTGGGCAACAGAGGGAGACCCTGTCTCTGAAAAACAAAACAAAAATTAAAAAGGAGCAACCAGATTAATGTTTCTTAAGAGAACATTTCTTACATCATTCCACTCCAAAAAAGATGTTGAAGTACATGTGCATGCTTTGAAAGCTAACCTGCAGGTGGAAATTCAGAAACAGTTGTATCTTGGATACCAGTTACACTGTTCTATTACTGTATTTCTAGATACATAGTTTAAGAACAACTTTTTTCCCTCAAAAGATTGTGTGAACAACAAATACAAGCAAAAATATTAGGGGGAGAAAGAATATATATCAGAGCAATAGCATTGTTTGTTATAAAAATATTCAAAGCACCTTCTTAGAGCAGTGCATAAAACTTGAGTTTGTGAGATTACTTCAGTGAAACTGCATTATAACTGTGAACCAAATCTGCAAAACAGATGGTTGAAAGAGATAATGTTTTTACCTTACTCAGTTGGTATTAGAGAAGAAAAGCCTAATAACACTATGGTAACAGACTCTGATACCAGCAGTATCTATAACAAAAAAAATCTTGTTCCTCCACTAGGCTCAGTATAAAGTAAGCAGATGTATATTATAGCAGTCAACAGTGTTTAGAAAATACTATTCCTGCAGTATAATATCAAAGTGAAGACAAAATTCTTAAATATTTTTAATAGTGAAAGTGTAATAGTTAGAAATTTGGATGAAAAAATTTATTCTTGTATCCTCTATTCTTAACCTTTTTAATAGATTTATTTTTATGACCAATAAAGGATGTTACTTCCAACCAGGCTAAAAGTATTTTACTATGTGACTGTATAAACTAATGATACAGGTTTTTAGTACATACCTGAGAAATGAGTCTTATTAATTTAAAGTTTTACAACATCTAGCTAAAGCCATCCATCTAATTGTGGGACCTCTAGATATGTGTTCTTTAACACCTTAGAACATATCAGTTTCATGATGAACATGACCACTTTACTATGATGATATGTTAGTTTTTACTTCAAACAAAACTATTTATTTCTGTCCTTTAATACCACTAGATAATTTTGACTAAAATAGGAGGAAATAAATGAAACACTGACCAATACAGGCCTTTGAAGAAAGTGCATTCTTCTAATATTGTCAGAACAAAAGTCCATGAATCTTCTTTTAAAGGAAAAAAAGCATAGTTAGTCTTTTCTACCGAGACATCCCAGCTTTTTAAATTATTTGAACTGTTTATTTGAAGTAGACACAATGTAGTGATATGTGCCATGCTTCTGGAATTTCTATGAGTTTTATTTTCTAATATGAAGAATTAATGAAATATTTAAAATCTCAACTCTGCAATTAATATTTAAGACTTATAATCTCTGTCGACTAAAATACTAATCACAAGACTTTTTAAATTGCCTTAAATCAAAATTTGAATGACAAAGCACATTTCCCTACATAAGCTTTACACATCTCTCCATTGACACCTCCCATCTCAGACTCCCAAAAAGAAGGCACTGTAAACCTAACTGTTGAAACATCAGAAGCTCTCGATCAATTGTCATTTTTAATTATGGTATGTGTGGCCTCCTTTCAAATGTAAATATTCTGTGTTTTTCCAGTTAATTTGTTTATTGAACAAATACATGTCAATATCCTCTTTCCTAGAGGGGATAAAAATCAGTATCAGAGATAATCCCTGTCCTTATATAAATTTGTTCCCTTTGTAAATAAACATTTTTGCTAGCCTGTCTACAAAAAATTTATTTCTGAAATCTTTATTTAGCTGTACATACAACTATCAGTTTTGTAAAATGAAGTTGGCACTATTTATTTAAAAAGCCACATGTGGTGCAGTTGTTTGCTTCTAAAAGGTGGTATTGTTATACCACAGCAGACAATTTTCTACTAGATAGAAAATTTCAAAGATAAATGTTGCAAATTATATGGAAAGGAAAACAGCGGCCTAGAGTGTTTATTTAAGATAGTACTTCAGATTTCTTTTAGGGACAGGAGATTCAGGAAGCAGGAATAAAACATTAGAAAATGGGAATTTTTTTTTTCACACAATTCTGAGTCATTCTTATTCCCCCTACTCCCCACTCTTCCTTTTTTCTTTTTCCTTGTTTCTATCAGATACATTTCTACACAGCTTTAAGGAAAATTAACCCATTTTTTTTAGGGCAGTAGTCTTACAGAGAATATTGGAGGGGAAAAGATAAACCCAAAAGAACAGGCTTTGGAAGCCGTGGAATGTGAATGAAGCAAGATACTCTAGAAGGTGGAAGTAGAGACTGAAGAAATCATGTCAGAAATCATAGAGTGGTAGCAGAGATTAGATATGGACAAGTGGGGAATAGAGAAGAACAGAAGAGAGAGATTGCCTGGGATAAAAGAAAATTAGGCATGGAAATTTAAGTGGAAAACAAACCCAGGTAGTTACCATTAGATACAAATAAAATTTAAGATATTCCTCATAATACTACATATTCCTTCAGTAAGACTAAAAAGTAATTCTTGAATGCTTGCCACGAAGGCAGAAAGAGGTATGTTTGTGATAGTCCTGGAGTTGTTGAAATGAGCTGTGAGCTAGTTTATGTTTACAGT
This sequence comes from Homo sapiens, assembly GCF_000001405.40. Taxonomy (NCBI): domain Eukaryota; kingdom Metazoa; phylum Chordata; class Mammalia; order Primates; family Hominidae; genus Homo; species Homo sapiens. The sequence goes on from NC_000003.12 coordinate 23,518,529, forward strand.
GAGGAAGGAAACTTAGATCCATCCTTATAAGGATGCCTTGACCTGAAGAGTCAGAAGGCTTGCCTTAGGCTCTTCTCATATATTTGCTGCCTTCCTTTTCCCCTCTCCGATATTCTCCACAGTGGGTTCCAGGAAGTGGTGCAGGCTTGATGGGAACTGGTTTTCAGTAAGTTCTGGCTGCTGTGTGCCTGCAGTGCCTTGTCCCTTTTTCCCTCTGTCCCTGCCTCAGATTGTGGATTGTGTTGCCCATGTTTTCTCCATCTCCCCCTCCCTTATTTCTGTTTCACATATATTCATTTCTTTCTTGGTTTGGTCAGCTGTTAAGACAATATTCAAAGAAAATGGTATTAATCATATAAAAGCCATTTTGTGAATTTAGGAATAAGTTAGTGTCATCTACCACAAAGCATTTGTTCCACAAAAGGCTAATTTGAGAACGAACATCATATAACAATCCTGTTCCAAATCCCTAAAACACCTCTTTCATCATGGCATTCTCCTAAACTGCAGGATGAAAGACCAGCTCCTCAGTTTGTCATTCAACATCTACTCCTTCACTCCTTCCCTAAGACTCCAATCTTATTTTCTAACCATTTTTAAGTAAACCAATATTTGTATGTCAGGTTGGTTGCAAGGGGGTCATATATCAAGCAAGAATTAGCACATTCTCAAATAGAAATAACTAGCTTAGAAAATTAAGTGCACTTCTACTTTACCAAGGTTTTTTTTTTTGCTATTTTATTCCTTTATAACAAATGCTTATACATTATCATTTTTCTATTTTACAATCTAATTCAAATCATCACATAGTATTAGTCATGCCTGTTATAAAACCAACTAAAACTTTCAAATATTTAATAAAAGTACCCTTTTTTATTTTTCAAGTATGCTTCCTGATTAGCTGTTACTTTCAGTGTACAGTATTATGAGTATCAGGTTAGTTAACTACATCTATTCTGCATAGATGTTTAAACAATATTCACTAGAATATTCTGTGTGCTGAGATTTAAGTTATTCAAAGATTATACATGTTAAGTGAGAGTTTTCAAGTCATGTTGAAACAGTTGTTTACTTTTTTAACTGACTTGGGTTTTTTTGCCTTTAGTAATCTCACAATAGTAATAGTGAATATATATATGTGTGAGGGTTTTTTTTGTTTTGTTTTTGAGACAGGGTCTCGCTCTATTGCCCATACTGGAGTGCAGTGGCACAGTCATGGTTCACTGCAGCCTCAACCTTGTGGGCTCAAGTGATCTTCCCTCCTCAACCTTCTGACTGGCTAGGGCTACAGACACATGCCACCATGCCCAGCTAATTTTTTTTTTTTCATTATTTTGTAGAGACGGAGTTTTACCATGTTGCCCACGCAGGTCTCTTAACTCCCAGGCTGAGCCTGAGCCACCACACCCAGCCATGAATATCATTAAACATTTCTTCTCTTCGCTATTCACTTTACATGCTTGATCATTTTGTCAGAACTTGATCTGAGAAACCTGTTGAATCCCTGTGTCATTAGCTTTGCTCTGTAAAGTCAAACTGTTGAGATCTGGAATTTACATAATTTTCTTTATTATTTTTTTCTGTCATTTTCTTTAATTAAAAAAAAAACTTTGAGGGTGTGGGGTTTTCATTTGTCTTTGATTATTTTGTATTTTCCTTATAAGCTTTTTGCTTAGTATTGGAATTGACTTTACTGTGAGGATTTGAATTCCTCTCAACCTATGTCTGTTTCTTAGTAATAATAGTACCCACCTTACAGGATGAGTGTGAAGATTATGTAATAAATGCAAGTCACCTAGGACAGTGCGTGGCACATAAACATGGCATTATTGGTAGCTATTTTAATTATTACTATTATTTTTGGTTACAACTTACTGTTTATACATGTGGTATTTTTTAACTTTATGGTAAGAACATAGGGGAAAAATATGATTACCCTCAAGTATGCATACAAAGTTTGGAAATTTTTATAGTATTTGTGAATACTCTGCTACTTTCAAAGAATGTCTCTTTTGTGTGTTGTACACATAGCATTCAACCAAAAGAGTGGGAATTTGGCCAACTCTATAATAGCTGTAAATTTACTTATCATTAACAGAATCAGTCATTGTTTTACTATATTTTTATTAGTTTTAGAGACACAGAGTCTCTGTCATTCAGGCTAGAGTATATGGTGTAATCATAGCTCACTACAGCCTCATATTCCTGGGCACAAGCTGCCCTCCTACCTCAGCCTCCCAAGTAGCTAGTAATACAGGCACACACAACCATGCCTGGATAGTTTTTTAGTTCTTTGTAGGGACAGGGTCTTGCTGTGTTGCCCAGGCTGGTCTCAGATTTCTGGCCTCAAGTGATCCCTGCTCCTCAGCCTCCCAAAGTGTTGGGATTACAGGTGTTAGCCACCAAGCCCAGCTCATGTTTTTTTTTATATCATGTTTAAATATAGTTTACTTCTACACTTTTGTAGGCTGTATGAAAAGCTAAATCATCACTTCTAGCTAGTTTGACAAATACTTTGTATTGTGTTGTATATGAACTGGATTATTGATCTCTTAAAATAAATAACTGACCCTTCATATATCTATAAACATAAAATGTATTACTCCTTTCCTGAAGGATGGAGTAATCCTGTACATTATTTTCATTTTACATTTATCAAATCTGTAAATATGCTGCGTCTTACAGAATTGCCTTGGGGAGTGTGAGACCTATAAAAAATGTAAAGAAAAGAAACGAAAAGGAGGACATTCTCCTTCTGTTTGTGTTTATGTCACTGTCTTTAGTTAAACAGCAAGTGTGATATGGTCAGTCATTTATTACATGCTTTACATGGAATCCATTAACTATCTCAGCTGTTGTGCTTCCTAATTAATTGTTGTTATGTATGAGACACTTTTGCAGTTCTAAAGCCAGAAATGAATCATCTTGTCTAAGAGATGTTGGTCCTTTGGACATCTGTTAAATTATCTTCTGTGGACAGTACTAATTGATAAATAAGTGCTGTTGGCTCAACATAGCCCCACATAATGGTTGTTAAGTTTGTTATTCAAGAGCAATTGTTCTAGTACCTGACTGGGGGAGACTGATGCCTCTAGGACAAGCTCATCCAATCCGGGCCCAGGATGGCTTTGAATGCGGCCAACACAAATTGGTAAACCTCCTTAAAACATGATAAGGTTTTGTTTGTTTGTTTGTTTGTTTTAGCTCATGAGCTATCATAAGTATATTTTATATGTAGCTCAAGACGATTCTTCTTCTTCCAATGTAGCCCAGGAAAGACAAAAGATTGGACACCCTTGCTCCAGAAGGAAGATTAAACCAAGAAAGCTTTGGGTTCTGGTTTTGATGGATCCCCGTGTACCCCCCACCCCCCCAGCACTAATTGAGCACCTACTATGTATGTGCTTAATGAATTAAAGCAGTGTGAATGTTTAAATGATTATTTGTGTACCTGTTTAAGTTTAGATACCAGGTTATCTTTATTTCCACCACAGTTGTTTGGTGGAACAGCCGTTTTTAAATCCGTATGTGATTATGTTATTGGATAACTTGTCCTAAGGCACAAAAACTCATTTGTAGAAAACTCATATAACCAGCTAATTTTTTTTTTTTTTTTTTTTGAGGCAGAGTCTCGCTCTGTTGCCCAGGCTGGAGTGCAGTGGCACGATCTCAGCTCACTGCAAGCTCCGCCTCCCGGGTTCGCGCCGTTCTCCTGCCTCAGCCTCCGGAGTAGCTGGGACTACAGGCGCCCGCCACCACGCCCGGCTAATTTTGTGCATTTTTAGTAGAGACAGGGTTTCACCATGTTAGCCAGGATGGTCTCGATATCCTGACCTCAGGTGATCTGCCCGCCTCGGCCTTCCAAAGTGCTGGGATTACAGGCGTGAGCCACCGCGCCTGGCCATAACCAGCTTATTTTTTAAATTCCTTGTTTTAAATTTCTGTTTTGCTTTTTTGAGTAAATTTTTTAAAGACTTGTTAAAATCTAAGCCTTCAAATAGTGAGTTTGTACTCTTAGAGTTTTGTTTAATTTCTGAACCCCTCCACTTTTTTTTAACCCATTGAGAAGGAAACCTCTATATGCATGCCAAACAAGCATTGATTGAGCTGGTTTCAGGCAACTATGTCTTTACCAGATAGTATCTCCTTCAAAAGAAAGTATTTGAGATGTCATCTGTAGGAGACTTCTATGAAGATTTGAATCTAAATCAGCTCTTCTTTTCCTAAGGGATTATTTTATTTTATTGCCTTATGTTTTGGCATATATGGTACAGTCTAGTCTCAAACTAGTGTTACCTGAGGCCCATGAAGATGCAAATGCAAAACATTCCACAGTCCAAAGCACATGGGACTTCTATAGAAAGAAAAAAAAATGCCCACTGAGAATGAACTCACACTCAAAGATTTCTGTCTGTACCATGATACAATCTACCATTAAGGAGAATCTTCTGGAATACCATTTCTGAAACTTAAAAAAACAGAACAAGTCAAGAGACAAAATAATTGTGTAAAGATAAAAAAATGAAATATGAAATATAATGAAAGAAGTAACTAATTTAAAAAAAACACAAATTTAGAAAAGAACCAGTGAACTTTATTCATTATAGGTATGTTCCAGAAACATTCTATATAAACTGAATTTTTATAAATTGCAAAAGAAGGAATCTGTTTGCCCCTTATCAAGTCATACCAAGCATCCTGCGCTGTAGGAGTTGAGAGTAATTTGCTGTATTGTAGGAAAGAGCACTGAGAATTGAATAAGATGCTCCCAATCTTCTAAGAGATTTGCTTCCCGTGATGGGGAAAATTTTCTAGTTGCATGTTTTTCTACATTTATACATAAAAGGAAACTGAGAAAGACTTTTTTCAATTTAAATGTCTGTGGCATAAAGGTCTTTTGTTTTAAATCATTTGAATTGTACTTGAAAGCTAAAAGATAGTAGTCTTATCATGTAGCATGCTCTAGCATGTAGTTAGTATTCACAGCTGGATAGGTGTCATCTTTATGCATTATGGTTTTCAGGTGATGTTTAATTTCAGTTCCTTCACTGCCAGTTATTCAAGGGCCAGATAATATTCCTATGGGGTGGGGGGCTGGGGGAAGGTGGTGTTCTGTTTTGCTAATGTGTATTTCTTAGATATACATATTTTTCAGGATTTATTCCCTCACTATAATGAGGTTTTCCATTTTTATTTTGTCACTAATAAAAAATTAATTTTAGGGTGTATGTTAGTTATTGGTGCAGTGCTCTCAAATTGGTTTTAAGAAAAGAGCACTTGAAATCTCAAAGAGGGGATTTTTTTTTTTTATGTATACTAACAACCTGTTTAAATAAACTGTAGTTTCATAGTGAGCCTAATGATGTTAACCATACCATTTTAGAGCTTTGTTACATGATTTACTGATTCATGGCATGGGGGCTTCAAATATTTGTGGGGTTGGGGGGTTCTCCGTGGAAAAGTATTTTTAAAAAGAATGTTCTCACTGATTGCAGATTTTCTCAGTAAAAGCAAGGCACCATTTATGTCCTTATCAAAATTTTTTGAAAAATTGAAAAACATTATCATTGAAAAATTATTTTAAATTGTTATTTTGAATGTTATTATCAGAATTAGTTTTTCATCTTGGAGGTGCTTACTTTTAAACATCTTTCTAAATTATGTTTAGAATCAGTTTGTCAGAAATACTGTATTAAAATTTTTTTTATATTTATGCCTTTCATGATCTCTGTCCTCTTACAAAATTACTTTTTATTTATATATGGAGTCTTGCCTATACCTTAAAGTGATGCATTCTCAGTTAATCTTATAACTAGTAACTAGGGGATGTAAGAGAAGGGAAGAAGAACTAATACTCATTGGATTCCTGCTGAGTGCCAGGCAGGCTATTAGAACCATTTGTGTACTTCAGTCTTCACAGCTACTGTGGGTATAGCTGTTATTTTCCTCATTTTACAGATGAAGAAACTGAATCTCAAAGATGTTAAGTAATTCATCCAAAAAGAGAATTCCAGCCCAAGTCCAGCTAACTCCCAAACCCATATATTCTTTCCACAATACAACTCATGGATCATGGAACTAGAATAAGCCTTAGAAATAATCTAAGCCTCTTGTTTTGTTAGGAAAGAGAGGCTCAGAGTTGCAAAGTTAGTTATCCAAGAATGCTACTGTGTTCTTTTATGCTTTAGTCAACATAAAGAATGTTAACTCTTTCTAGAATTATTTTTAAGGAGAGATGATTCTGTGAAGTACAGAAATAGCACAGCTTCATTTTTAAGTACCTTTTAAGAGAAAGTAATGAGACAGCTGGGAGATACAGATACACACAGACACACAGACACACACACACACACACACACACACACGTGTGCACTATATTAGTTTCCTGTTGCTACTGTTACAGACTTAGTGGCTTGAAACAGTATGAATTTATTGTCTTATAGTCTTATAGTTCCGTGGGTCAGAAGACTCAAATCAAGGTATTAGCATGGCTGAGTTCATTCTTGAGGCTTTAGGGGAAAAATCCATTTCCTTGCCTTTTTCAGCTTCTAGAGGCCAACTACATTCCTTGGCTCATGGCTCCTTCCTCACATCACTTATCACATCCCCTACTACTGACCCTGATCCTCGTGCCTCTCTCTTAAAGTACCCTTGAAATTATATTGGGCCCACCTAAATAATCCAGGATAATCACCCCCATCTCAAGATTCTCCGCCTAATCACAAGGCTGTTTTTATCATGTGAGGTAACATTCACAGGTTCCAGGAATTAGGATGTGGACATCTTTGGGGCAAGAGGGCATTATTCCATCTACTGCACATGTGTACCCACACATGCAGGTGTTGGGTGTGTGTTTATCACACATAAATTAAAACCTTTGTTATCCAGGGCCATCTGGGAATTAGCCATTCTAAATAAATGTTTTCTATATCGCTATATCCAAGTCGTATTTTTAAAATTTCCTTTTTATGGAAAATGTTCCAAAAGGTGCTGTCCTCCCTGCCTTTGAAAACTGTTATTCTCAATATAATTTTACCTATCATTGAGAAAAGGTGGCTACCATTGTAAACATCAGTTATTGAGCTATGCTTCAAATACAGCTATAAATGCCAATGTAGGCGTAACTAGTTTGATACACAGAACTCAGCGGGTATTAACCCTTGCAATGGAAGTGCAGTTTGCTTTATGGTCATTTTTTATCATTTGCTTGTTTGTCAGGAACATGACATGAAGGATGTATAGCTGCCCAGCCCCCTGATCAAAATAATGTGATGGGCTTTCTGGAAAATTGAGTCAGAGATCGGAGTAGTCTTGTAGGTTAAGGGTGGGAAGACTTCTTTTCTCAGCCTCTAAACTTCTCCTTCTGGCAGTTGCAAATTCTTTGCTATTTGTCACTATTCAAAACATTATTTCCTATTTCTGAATCACTAATATCTAAGGACCGCAAACAATTCCTTATCAGTTTGCAAGTATTCTTTCTCATTTTCCCTAGTTTGTTGATAAGGTCTAGAAAAGAATGCTGGCTGCTTCAAGGGCTTTTATTAGCGAGTTTTTACCTTGATTGTAGAACATGTTTGCTGATGTAACCAGACCACTCATTTCTTAGGTTCTCTTTAGCATTTAAATAGGAAGTAGCAGCAATACAAATGTTTATGTTGGAGTGCCCGGCACATATTGAATGCTTACTGAATTTATTATTTCTATTATTAGTTTAGCCTATATGAAGCCCCTTGTGAAATAATATTATAACCTGTAGGAAAATTTAGTAAAGGAACATGGGACAGAAAAATGTTAAAGAGATCTTCTCCTTCCTCAGGATATTCTCTAGTCTTCCAGCTTTTACTCTTAAGTTATGGTTCTAAAACGCTCTTTTACCTAAAAAACAATAAGAGGTTATAACCCCTCAGAGACCACGAGCCTGTGGTGTGTTAGCATTTGTTCAACAAACAGTGGGCTCTTTATGTATGCCAGGCAGTGCTTTGGACATCAGTTGAAAGACAATACTTTCATGAGTAATTCATGATTTCATGAGGAGGTCCTACTGCAAGTATAGTATTGAAGTAGGAATATGATGGCAGGACCCCCAAAGAGGAGATTGCTTACATTTCAATAGATAAACACATAACACTTCTTAAAACTTAGGGATCAAGATTTTGTTTCCTGCTTCAAAAGGTGGTAGTTGTGGGAGTCTCTGACATTAGAACATGTTGGAACAGTCAGTGTGTCTGTTTAATTCAGTGTGGTTTAATTCATGAACACCTGTCAGAATAGAAGTTGACAAACATCATCATCAAAGTAGATCCTTTTGTTATCATTATAAAATATTCAAGTTTAAAACTCTGTCCAGAAATTCACAGGATTCTTTGCAAACTCAAATTTTATTATTTTTCATCCAGTTATACTTTGGTTTTAACGAAATGTCTCCATTTAAAACACCATAAAGTCAACAAAATTTATTAAAATTTTTAATAAAAACTGAGCAAAAGATGTGACAAACTGTAGAGGATATCCAGATAACACATAAACAAATGAAAAAGTGTTCAACATTATTAGCATTTAAGGAAATGTAAATTAAAACCACACTGAGGTATCATTACACCTTATCAAAATGGCTATAATGAAACATAGTGATAACACCAAATGCTAGCAAGGATGCAGAGAAACTAGATCACATTGCTAGTGAGAATATAAAATGGTACAACCACTCTGGGAAGGAGTATGGCAGGTTATTATAAAACTAAATATGAGCTTAACATATGACCCACCAATTACACTCTTGGGCATTTATCTGAGAGATATAAAAACTTATGTTCACACAAAACACATACACAGATGTTCATAGCAGCTTTATTTGTAATAGCTTGAAAATGGAAACAACCCTGCGATATTGTGATTTTTAATAAGAAATATATACTATTTGGTCCTGATTTTTGGCACAAAGCTACTAAAAGCCTTGCGATCTCAGAAATGTTAAGTGTCTTCTGATGCTAATGAGGTGACTGGTGGCTGGGGTCTCCTGGAAGGCCTCAGGATGGAAGCTGGTTGCCATCATGTCACAATCATGTGATTAGAGGGTTGGAACTTTCAGCCCCTTTCCCCTATAACCCTCAGGGAGAGGAGAGCATCTGAAATTTGAGTTGATCACTAATGACCAATGATTTAAATCAATCATGCCTACATAATGAAGCCTCCATAAAACCCCTAAAAGCAAGGTTCAGAGAGGTTCTGGGTTGCTGAACTCATGGAGGTTGTTGTACCCCAAGAGGGCATGGCAACTCTATACCACCCCCACCACCCCACCCCACCCCTTATGGCTCGTACCTTACCTTATGCTTATCTTCTTAACTGTTCAGCTGTATCCTTTGTAATATATTTTATAATAAACCAGTAAAGGTAAGTAAAACGCATTTATGGATTGTGTGAACTGCTTTAGCAAATGATTGAACCTGAGGAGGGGGTTGTGGGAACCCCCAGTTTATAACAGTCAGAACTTGGATTGGCATCTGAAGTGAGAAGCAGTCTTGTGGGACTGAGACCTAAACCTGTAGGTTCTGACTCTAAATCCAGGTGGATAGTATCAGAATTGAACTGTGGGACACCCAGCTAGCATCAGAAAATTAGTTGTCAGGAGAAACTCCTCACCCCACATTTGGTCACAGAAGTCTTCTGTGTTGAGAGAGTAGGAAAAACATTTTGATTCTTCCAATCTCATAGAAACCCAGATGCCCTTCAGTGGGTAAATGGGTAAACAAATTGGTACATCTATTACTGTTTGGTTCTTAGTCTTATTTGGAGAAAGAATTCTGCCAAGCTACTGGTTTAGCCAGAGAAAGAGAATTCATTGAAGGAAAATACAGAGTAGGGAGTTTATCTAGAGAGACAGTACACTCTGAAAAGATGAGGCAGGGCGAGCTGCTGAAAGAGAGTGAGCCAGCAGCACCCCGAGAGTGGTGGGTTTTTATGATTTCAGATTTTTTCTTGAAGTTCCTGCCTCTTTCTTAAGTCTCCGCCTTTTTACTTTGTTTAGTTTTCTGCATCTGCCTTAAGTCCCTGCCTTTTCCCTCACCTAGTTCCCGCCCCAAGGTTGTGGGACCCTCCCTTACTATTGGTGTGCACGCGTGAACCCGATGTTGGACACAAATTGCTTCTGCGTATCTCTTAGGAATTTTCTCCTTTGCCCTCTTCCCTTTAGCATGCATCTAGCTACATTCTGGCAGGTTAACTGGCAGAGTGAGCAATCACTGGGGTCTTAAGGGGGATTCCTTTCTGCCTAGGTATTTCCCCTCCTGTCTGTTCATATCTAGCACGCCTGTTTGGGGTGATCCCTGGGGCATGAGATTTTCCAGACTCCTTTTCTCAGGGCAGCCCTTCTCCTCCTCATGTCTGTTTATCTGCCTATTCTACCACATCTATGCCGTGGAATACTACTCATCAGTAAGAAAGGAACAAATTATTGACACGTGCAACAGCTTGGATGGATCTTAAGGGAATTGTGCAGAGTGAAAAGAACCAATTTCAATTGGTTACCTACTATACGATTCCATTTATATAGCGTTCTTGAAATGACAAAGTTGTGGAGATGAGGACAGAGTTGTAGTTGCCAGGAATTGAAGTAAAGGGAGAAGGCAACTATGGCTATCGCAGGGTACCATGAAGAATGTTTGTGATAGAGTTGTTTGTGTGTTGACTGGTGGTATTCACACAAATCTATACATGTGATAAAATTACATAGAACTAAATATACTTAATATGCATGAGTGCACATAAAAATGAAACTGGAAAAGGTCAGTGGACTGTATTAATGTCAGTTTCCTGCAGTATACTGTAGTTATACAGGATGTTTTCATTGGGGAAAATTGAGTGAAAAATACATGGGATCTCTTTATTTCTTACAACTGTACATGAATCTACAATTATCCCAGAATTATAAATTTTTAACGAAAGAACAGAGGCATTGATGCTGAGAGACAAACCGTAGGCTTTTGGATCAGCACAATTGTGTTCAAATTCTGGCTTCCACTTACCACTTGTGGGATCTTGAGCCAGTTCTTTAACCTCCCTTTGCCTTAGTTTCATCATTTTTCAAGTGGTTGCCAATAATATTATTTTCCCTATTGAGTTGTTTTGAGGGTTAATTATCAATATTATGTAAGCCACTCATTGGTTAAATTGGGATCGTAAAAATATTTTATCTTTTCATTTAGCACTTAAAGGGATAGGCACTCTGCCTTCTCCAGAGAAATTTTAATATCACGAGATAGTCTCTGTTTCATTAACTTAGGCTAGTGTCTTTATTTCTTCTTTCATGGAGTTTACTCTGTTGTTCTTTTACTACCTTCCTGAGTTGGACACTTAACTCATTAAATATCTGTCTTCCTTCCTAATGTATGTGTTTGAAACTGTAGATTTCTCTTTTACAACTGTTTTAGCTGAGTCACAAAATTTTGATATTGGCAACCCAATATTTTCATTGTCATTCAGCAATAATAGTAACTGATTTTTTTCTTTGATCCAAGAATTATTTGAAAATGAGTTTTTCAGTTTCCAAACATATGATAGGGGGATCTTTTATATGTAGATTCTGACTTTACATTATGGTCTTAATAATGTCAATTCTTTGAAATATGTAAAGCTTCTTTTGTGGCTTAGCATGGGATCAGTTTTTACAAATGTTTCTTAAATGTTCCTTAATCATTAAGTGTAGGATTGTGTCTTCATTCACTCCCTTGATTTTGTTTATCCAATTGTTCAGATCTCCAATATCCTTACTAATCTTTAGTCTGGTTGACCTATCAGTTACTGTGGTGAAAATGTCCCTCTTTGATTATAGCTATGTCATTTTCTCCTTATAATTTTGCACATTTTTACTTTGTATACTTTTGGCTATATTGTTAGATACAGCACATTCAGAATTGTTACTGTTTTCTTGATGAGTTGTTTATTTTATCAGTAACGTTCTTTGTTTCTAACAATGCTTTTTCCCTTAAACATATTTTGATCTGATAATATAGTCATTTAAGCTGTTTTTGTTAGCTAGTGTTTACACAGTATATGTATCTAGGATTTAGAATTCTCAGGAAAAACATTTCTCTTCTCATTCTAGAGCCCACGCTTTCTTTGGTAAGTTTCTTTGCTATCTCTGTCATAAGGCATATCTTTTCAAGTCCATGCATTTACTGAAAGACTAGCCATTCGAGTTTCCTAATTGATATAAGGGCGCTCAATTCTAAATTCTTGCAACATACAGGCCTAAGATTTCATCTTCTTTTTCCATGAGGGCATCAAAACCCAAACCTCCACTTTATTAAGACTGAGTACCATCTTTTACTCCCTTCCCTCTTCCCAAAACCCCACCCATGGCAGGTGCAGTCTCAGCTTGTTGCGCTTACTATAATTTTTGGTTTTTAATTCTGGGCTCTGGGAATTCCCCTTACAGATTTTGCTATGCATTTTAAAGAATGTTGGTTATATTTTCTTCAACATTTCTAGGCATTTAAGATGTGTATGTAGGTGTCATGGATTATCTGGTCTGGCATGATGCTAGAAGGGCAGTTCTCATTAGAAGTACTAATTTAACCTGAGAATGATGTCTCTTGTTCGACAACCACATAAGTCTCTAGATTTGCCCTTTCTGAGACTTCGCATCATGTAAATTACATAAATCTGGTGTTTGACTGGATGCTGGATGCCCTGGTGGAGTGGCAGCACCTGCAGAGATCTGCATGTGTGTTTTTCTTGGTTCAGAGCTATTTTGAACATAGGGTACCAAAAGACTGTCTTTAGAACCCTGAGATTTTTGTATATTTCAACTTAAAATTTAAGAACATTTATGAACATAATATTAATCAATAATATTCACATCTTATTGCCGTTTACATAACACTTTTATTAAACAGTTTTAGTAGTTATAAAACTGATTTGCACTTAATTATTTTCGTAGTTATAAAACTGATTTGCACTTAATTATTTTCAGTTGAAGTGTTTTACAAATGATATGGTCATGTTTCACAATTACATGTAAGCAGCATACAGTGGTGATCTAGCTATCACAGGGCAAAGGTAGGATGCACTAATATTACGTTTTAAAAATAAAATTTAAGAAGGAAAAGGTTTCTAAATTACAGCTAATTGTAACTAGTAATATAACTAAAATAGTAAATTGTAACTACTATAATTATACTAATATAGTTCTATGAACTGGGCATGTTATTTATATAAATGCCTTAGTTTATGTTTTAAAACTGTGTTATAGGCCGGGTATGTTGGCTTACACCTGTAATCCTAGCACTTTGGGAGGCCAAGGCAGGCGGATGACTTGAGGTCAGGAGTTCAAGACCAGCCTGGCCAACATGGCAAAACCCTGTCTCTACTAAAAATACAAAAATTAGCTGGGTGTGGTGGCGGGCACCTCTAATCCCAGCTACTTGGGAGGCTGAGGCAGGACAATCGCTTGAACCCGGGAGGTGGAGGTTGCAGTGAGCAAAGATCACGCCACTGCACTCCAGCCTGGGCAACAGAGCGAAACTCTATCTCAAAAAAAAAAAAAAAGAAAAAAAAACTGTTATAGAATAATATTTATTTTCTTTGTATTAGTACTCTCATGCTTTTTGGTGTTTGAATATTATAAATGTACAAAATCCTTAAAATAACTGGAATCTAACAAAAGTTTTCTTTGAAATTTTTTAGAAGTCAGAGTCAGTTTCTCCCCATGAACATTCCTGTAGTTGTATCAAAAGTAAATTCAGTCCCTAAAACATTTGTTAAATAACAGGACTCTTTATAAGAAGCAGAATGTCATGGTTTTGCTGTTGATGTTTATTTCTCTGTGCCCAAAATGACAAATTCTAAAATGATGATCTCTGTTGATTAATCTCATGTGCCCAAGAAAAAAATCAAGTGTATGTTAACCAATAGCCTGGGCTATTTTGTCTGATAAAATAGGCAATTTTATTAGACAAAAATTGTCTATAGATACTGTTAATAAACACTTTGTCTAACAAAATATAACTTTACATTTTCTTGTAGGTTACCTTCCGAACAAGAATCTATCACTGTAATATTAACAGCCAAGGTGTGATCTGTCTGGACATCTTAAAGGACAACTGGAGTCCGGCTTTAACTATTTCTAAAGTTCTCCTCTCCATCTGCTCACTTCTTACAGATTGCAACCCTGGTAAGAGACTTTAAATCTAGTATGAATTGGAGCTTGTCAAGATTTAAATGTCAGACCCTTAGTAACTTGTTTACTACTGCTACTACCACTACCACCACTGCTTCTACTACTATTATTGTTAAATTTTCATAGTATGTAACTATTTTCTTTTTAAATTGGGTCTTCTCATTAGTGTTTTTAAGACCTATCATTTGCCAAAAAGGAAAAAGTATAGTGTGGTAAAAAAAATAATGAAAAATCATTTTAGATGGGAAAGTACGTTTAAAGAATGAATTAAGTTATCCTGCCAAATAATAATAAAAATTCAAGTTGAATAGCTTAATCTTTAATTAGATGCCTACTAGAAGATGTTAATTTGAGGAATGTGGGCTATTAAAATCTGATAACAACCAGGCAGCACCATGCAGACGTGACCTTTTTGGCATCCTAGTAACTGTGCATCCTGACAAGCTATTATAACGGTCCTGAATGGTCTGTTCTAGGAAATACCCCAAAAGTAAACAAGGAAATACACCTCCCAAGAAAACGAAAAAGTCTATAGCCAGGCCTTTATGGCTTGCTGGTGTGCTTACCACTGAAAATTCTTAATTCCTGGGCCATGTCTTTACAAATTGGGTTTATTTTAGAAAATACAAAAATCCAAAGATAGCTATAGGGTTTTCATTGATGTTCTCAGTGGGAGAATTATTTTATGAGTAATTAATAGCTTAAATATTGCATGAGATTCCCTCTTCTACAATCATGAGTAAACTCTGTTCACTGGATACATGAAATTTTACACAAATGGAAATGACGAGTATCAGTGGGGTTGCTTAGGATCCTGGCTGTTTTATAAAACATCAAGAAATAACAGTCTTTCTACTTTTATATTTCTTTATTTTTCAGCAGTAAAATCTTTTTTAAAGTAGCAAATTAGTATTTTTTTTTTTTTTTTTTTTTTGAAACTGAGTCTCACTGTGTCACCCAGGCTGGAGTGCAGTGGCACGATCTTGGCTCCCGCAACCTCCGCCTCCTGGATTCAAGCGATTCTCCTATCTTAGCCCCCCAAGTAGCTGGGATTACAGCCGTGTGCCGCCAAGCCCAGCTTATTTTTGTACTTTTAGTAGAGACGGGGTTTCACCGTGTTGGCCAGCCAGGTCTCGAACTCCTGACCTTGTGATCCGCCCGCTTTGGCCCCCCAAAGTGCTGGGATTACAGGCATGAGCCACTGTACCCAGCCTGCCCAAAAAATAAAATTGTGCAGGATCATTATAAAATATTTTTTGAATTAATTCATACTTTACTACAGACAGTAAAGTCCAATAATGTTATACTAATTTAAAGTTAATTTTGTTCTTTCAGTCCTGTTGTTCCCATTTTAATCCCATTTGTCTGTGACTGTGTATAACCTTGTATAACCTCATTTGGAGGTAATGTTGCAAGAAGGCTTTTTTTTTTTTTTTTTTTTTGAGGTGATTTCGAAGCCTGGCCTGCTTTGCCTCCAAGTCAGCTGAAATGGAATCTGTTACCCTGAATAAGCCTGTATATGACAGCCTGTTCTCTCTACAGATATTCCTGCTTAAAGGAATAGATTCATTCCACCAAAGCCTTCTCTCAGCAATCAAAAAGACTTCTGTTCAGTGAACTAGTTTTTTTTTTTTGCTCCGTTTCAGAAAATTACAAATGCATTCTGCAAAAACTTAAAAATCACTCCTAACTAAAGCAGAACCACATAAGTAAAAGAAATAGATTTTGAAATAATGCTATTGATAGTAAGAACAAGCCTAAAAATAATGTTCCATAAAACCAAAGACAGCCTGCCTCATATGAGACTAGAAGAGAATTTGTAAAATACATGCTAACATTTAGTTTATCACACTTTTTAACACATAAAAATAAAGTTTCCTAATTGGTTTTTATGAATGTTGACACTTCTAGAATCTTAAATAGAGTTGTTTATTTTAAAGTAGTCAAATGTCCATTCTTTTGCTTAATGGACTTATTTCACACTGTTATCTGGTACACTTTCAATCTCTGTAGGTTTTTTTACCTACAGAGGTAGGAAAGATTAGGTTAGATTGAAGTTTATCTTAAATCTATCTTCAAATTATCACAAAAACAAGTTTGATAGAATAGGAATAAATAAGATTTTCCTACACTGAATCTGTAGAGCTATTTTAACCCGGAAATGCTGTCACCTCAAAAATAGGCCTTGTATAATGATACAAATTTAACTCACTTAAAAAATACTTTCTCACTCTTATCCATACATAAACTTATTTTCTAAATCTTTTTCATACTCTTTTTGTAATTTGCACTTGTCTCTTTAAAGAATTTTTGGTCCATTCCAACACAGATGTTCTTTAGGGTATGACTACCCATCCTTATCAGCATGATATTTGTAGACAGCAGATGTAGATTTGAAAACCAGTTTAATTGTTTATTAGTCATATCACATTGGATGGGTCACTTAACTTTCCACAGGCTTAGTTTTTGATATAAAATTGGGATTAGTACCAGCCCTGCCTAAATCACTGGATTCCTCTGAGGTTAAAATGAGATGGTATATGTGAAAGCCATTTATAAATGGTAATGTGTTGTTGATATTGTTACCCAGAGTATTTGGGACACCAAATGGGCCCACAATAGGTGACCGATAAACACCTACTCAGTTGAATTTAACTGGGGAGATAGTATCGAATAGTATCTAACGCCGTCACCTCAACATTGACACTTGGATTTTACAATCGAAAAAAGCTGAACCTTGACTTAGTAGGATTATCACTCAGGTGGCAGATGTCCAAACGTTATCAGCCAGTCGATGGGTGCACCAGCAATAATCATTCTGTTTTCAATGCAATTGTCTAGGTAGATCTAACTGCTGGTCTTATTAGGCCACCACTTCATGATGGTGTTTATTGAGCCTGATAGAGCATTCTTTTTTTTTTTTTTTTTTTTTTTGAGATGGAGTCTCGCTCTGTCGCCCAGGCTGGATTGCAATGGCACGATCTCAGCTCACTGCATCCTCTCCTCCCGGGTTCAAGCGATTCTCCTGCCTCAGCCTCCCGAGTAGCTGGGTCTACAGGCCCCACCACCATGCCTGGCTAATTTTTTGTATTTTTAGTAGAGACAAGGCTTCACCGTGTTAGCCAGGATGGTCTCAATCTCCTGACCTCGTGATCCGCCCGCCTCGGCCTCCCAAAGTGCTGGGATGACAGGCGTGAGCCACCCAACCAGCCAAGCATTCTTATTTGTTAGACGTTACCTGGCTTTTTCTGAGTTTAGTCTTGCTTACTAAACATTATTTAATTTGTGAATTGCCAAAGTTGAGAATACCATTGGGGAATCAAATTTCTGTGCTTTCTTATTTGTAAGTACTTTCTTCTGGAGTCATTATTTAACACATAAAATTTAAGTTCTATTTGGTTTCATCTTTTGAAGTTTGTTTTTGCTATTTTGTGGACTTTTTAAAAACTCTTAGATGTTTGGTAATATTCTTTATATGAAATCTGTTTCTTTAACAATTATTTAAAATGTGCTTATATTATGGCCTTCAGACCTATTTAAAAAATGGGTATTTTACCTCATGCAAAATTAATCATTGTGAGAACACTGACAATTAGAAGATCAACAGTTTTCCTTTACCTGATGCTTAGTTTACAGAGTTATGGCTATAAATATTTCTAACCTTTTTTTCCTTCTTGAGACGTGTATAGGTCTGTATATCATCTAGCATTATTTTATTAATCTCATTTCTATTTGTCTGCTCTACTACTGTTACTCTCTAAAGTGTTTTTGAGCTTGTTTTGTTCTAAACTCAGTTATGATGTATCATTTAAAATTTTCCCCCAAATATGTATGACTCTTATGAGACAGTCAGAAAGTTGACAATGAAACATTTGATATTGAGAAATTATTGCCAGAAATTTTTGAGCATGACAATGGAATTGTACCTGTCCTTACCTTTTAGACATCTGTACTGGACTATTTGCAAATAAAATTCTTTGATATATGGAATTTAGTTCAAAATAATCCAGAAAGATTGTAGATGGGGAGGAATATGGAAGATACTGAGATTGACCATTATAACTGTTGAATCTGAGTGATGAGTATACACATGGGTGCTCATTATACTTTTCTATGTTTGGATATGTTTGAAATTCTTCTTAACTTTTTTTAGTTGCTAAAAATCAGACATACTAACAGTGTGACATAAGTCCTCGTTTAATGTCATCAGTAGGTTCTTAGAAACTGCAACTTTTAGTGAAACGAGATAATGTATAATGAAACCAATTTTACCATAGGCTGATTGATCTAAACAAGGGTTAATTTCCCGTGGCATACAGTACTTCATTTTGCTTGAAGTTGCAGTTTCCAAGAACCTATCAGCCACATTAAGTGAGGACTTAAGGTAATCTGTAAGTGGTACGTGATTTGGCTCTCTTTTGCTCTTGAAGGGAATCATCTGGGCTCTGACCCTGGCTTGTGTATTTCATTCCCCTGTCGTCTGCCTTCAGACCATAAGCTGCCTTGTGGTGCAGCCTGGACCAGCAGGGGCTTGCATTCGTAAGCAACCATGAAGTCTTTGTCTGTCTCTCTTCAAACAGGCAGAACTATACAGGTCAGGTCAAATGAAAATGCTCTAAGCATACCCACAAACATCAACACTCAGGATGGATGAGCTGCTCCCTCTCCCTGCATCACCTTTCAAATAAAAATCAAGTATCGGTTACTCCAGTCTTAGATGTGTGCAGATCTGTATTAGAACAGCAAATAGAGCTAAGAATGGCCACTAATTAACCCTCAGCCTTGTATAGTGATTAAGCTGAGGGTGAGCACAGCTGCAGTTTCATTGGTAAAAGCTTTATTCTTCTCAAATGGACTGAGCAAAAGAAAAGAGGAATTTGCTCCCAGTGGCTCTTTTATAGTGATCTATAAAAGCTTGGGAGAATGTTTCCTTCTTCATTCTCCAACATCACAATTTTTTGTTTCAGATCACTTAAGGCCCTTTTTTTAAGCAATGAAAACAATTCTTATTCATAAATTGTCTCTGATACCTTAGCTTTGATTGTTATTAATTGCTTATCTTTGGATTAGTTATGATTAGGTAGTAAATTGTGTTAGTAAATATTAAAATTTTACAATTGATAGTGACTGCTGGTGGGTGGGAACCATTAAGTCAGATTAATTATTTCAGCACATTTATATTTGTGTAGATTATTTATACCAAGTTTGGGAGCCGCTAGACTGATGAAAGGTACATATAACACCTCAGTAGGATTCTAGTGCTTACACAATAGTGTGAACCTTGCTGCTGCATGTCTCATTCTACTATACTTGAGAACTGAAAAAGAACAATTTCTTTAACTGAAATTCAGGTAAAATGGTAAGTCTACCTGTTTTCAAAGCAGACTGTTTTAGCAGGACTACAAAAAAAAAATTTTTTTTCCTAGAACAATAACTACAGTTGGCTACCTAGATACCAGATTTCTTCTGATGCCTATGGCTTTTTTAAAGTGAAAAATATTAAGTAGAAATACGTGGCACAACATATAGCTAACTTCAGACTGTTTTCTTGTGAAAAGTTGGCTTGTCTTCTGTCAACTTCTGTCTACCTGCTAAATTCTAAAAGTCACTCTAATCAATACTTCCAAATATGGATGTGGAGAGACTCCACATTATTGTCATTTAACTTCACTGGCACCTCATACAAAGAAAAGGAAAGCTATGGTTATAGAGTTCATACTTTGCTCCTGTTGTTTAAGTAAATATTAAATAAGTGCTATTAATCAATCTACCTGGTATTTTTAATAGCAAGACAGTAAACAAAGTTCAAAACGTTTATTAAAGCCTTTGGGTTCCAATTCAGTATTACCTGTAGAATCCTGGGACACCGTCCCCTTCCCTCCCCTAAGTTTCCCATAGGCTTACTCAGATGCATTTGAAAATAATGCTATTCATAATGTTGAGGTTCTAGAAAAATTGAAGGCTTATTAAGATGGATGAATAAAATCAGGGAATATACGTTCCCTGTTTTGTGAATTAAAGAAGATATACAGAAGTGATTGTGTACCATCATAAATTTGGTTTAAAAAAACAAAAAATAACAATTCTGAGATGCTTACCTTGACCCCTACATATTTGTAAATGCAAATTTTAAATGATATTAAAAGGATTATTTCCCTACTTTGTCAATTCTGTAAAAATAAACCATTTCTTTAGTTGTCTTACAAGAGATACTGGTGTATAATAATGCAAACAAAAATATCCATTAGTTTGTAGCACTTTTACCAAAGAATGATTTTCTAGGAAATACTGAATGAGAAAGGAAAGCCAAAATTACCCCATTGTAGGCTTAGATCTTGGATTCCCTAGTTGTGAAACAAGTCAAAAGGATTCATCCTCTTTGACTCAAAGAGTTACCAAGAAAGGATTGGTAGCTTCAGGTGAGGGATGACTTCATGACAAAGCAAGGATTTCCTATTTAGCCCATGGTATTTCTGCTTTGTGTGGGCAAGTCTTTATTTATAACCAACAATTTGATATCCTCCTCAAACATCCAATTTGCCTTGGTGAAAAGGAGCATTAACTGTTTATTCTTTTTTGATAGATTCTTACTAGAAATGCTGACCTGCTAAAACTTTGTTACTTTCATAACTTAAATATACGTCCTTTGATAGGTTTGATTCTTTTAAAGATGGTTAAAACTAGACTTTACCATATTTGCTAACATATGGGATACCTTAAAAAGTGCTTTTAAAGTTTAAAGTTTCACCCTTATCTCTTATCTAACTAAAAGGGCCTTTGGAGAAATTACTTCCATTTGGTAAATAAGAAAATACAGTGTTGTGTTTATCATCTTCATGTATCTTTTCCTTACTTCTGTTTCCTTACTTCTAACGCAGGGAGTATCTGTCAACTTTACTTGACCTATAAAGTGCTACCAGCATTTTTAAAGTAGGAAGGTAAATCCCTTAGAGTGGGAATCTGTGGTTCCTTTTCTGTTTCTTTTTGACTGTTACAGAGTTGTTCACGCATCCATTTCAGGTTTCTGATTGGTGTGTTCTGTAATAGCAGGTACAGTAAAATCTTACTAGTTCAGTATAATTGAGAAAAGATCAGACTGATTTTTTTTAATGAATTGGAAATTTTCACTAAGTGAAGACGTAATAATTTTAAGTACATATAGGAAATATTAGGTAAAATGTGTGAACTAGATGGCCTCTAGACTCTCCTTTACCAAGGAAAAGGCTGAAGTGGGTTTTTCACACATTCACAAAAAATAGAGAAAATGGTTATTATAAGTCCCAGTGTGTCCCTCACCCAGCTTCAGAACTCACCTATATTTAGTAAGGTTTAGGAATTAGGGTTTTTTGTTTATTATTTATTTATTTATTTTTAGAGATGGGGTCTTGCTCTGTCTCCCAGGCTGGAGGGCAGTGGTGTCGTCATAGCTCTCTGCAGCTTCGAACTCCTGCACTCAAGCAACCCTCCTGCTTCAGCCTCCCGAGTAGCTAAATATTCTCAGATAATATTGTTTTAATACCATTAATTTTCATGAAAACCATTTTTAAACAAGACCTAGTAAATGTCAGAACAGGTTGCTGCATCAGAATTAAGTTAGCAGTGGTGAACTTAAGGGTATGTTACTAAAAGATACAGCATGTGCCCTGTGGAAGATAAGCCACTGAGTAAAGTTTGATGCCCTTTTGTTTGTTTGTTTGTTTGTTTGTTTGTTTGTTTTGAGACAGTTTCACTCTGTCTCCCAGGCTGCAGTGCAATGGTGCGATCTCAGCTCACTGCAACTTCCACTTGCTGGGTTCAAGCAATTCTCCTGCCTTAGCCTCCTGAGTAGCTGAGATTACAGGCGCGCACCACCACGCCCAGCTAATTTTTGGATTTTTAGTAGAGACGGGGTTTCACCATGTTGATCAGGCTGGTCTCAAACTCCTGACCTCGTGATCCTCCTGCCTTGGCCTCCCGAAGTGCTAGGATTACAGGCATGAGCCACCGTGCCTGGCAGACTGACACCTTTTTAAAAAAATAGAGAGAGAGATGAAACCTCATTCTGTTGCCTATGCTGGACTGTAGTGGCACAATCAGAACTCACTGCAGCCCCCTACCGGAACTCCTGGGCTCAAGTGGTCTCAAGTGATCCTCCTGCCTCAACCTCCCAAGAGCTGGGACTATAGGCACATGCCACCATACCCAGCTAGTTTAAATGTGAAATCAGGCTTTTTAAATGTGAAATTTTTAAACATGAAATTAAGAGAAATTATTTAAACAGCATGTTTAAACAATACATATTTGAAATTAAAATAATGCATTGTTAGTGTTATGGAAATTCCAATCTGAAACAGCATAATAAAACAACTCTAATTATTCAGTAATTGACTTGTGTGGACAAAACATCCAGATGATTGAATGACATTTTCTCTTTTTACTGTGAATACTTAAGATTGTACAGTATCTTGGGAGAAATGTTGTAATTATGAAAATTTGAAGAATTAATGTAACACTACCAATGTCTGAGTCAGATCCCATAACAAATGGGCAGTTCTCTTTATTTTACTTATTTTCTGACTCAACTTTTCATTCAGTATCTAGCCTGGGCAAGGTGCTATCAGTAACAACACTCACAGTGCCTCTTCCTCAGAAAAGAAAGCGCTTCCAAAATGTCAGATTAATTATTCCTATACAACTGTAATAACTACTTTCTCTTTTTCTTCTCTTCATATTTGTTCTTTAGTAGATCCTGGAGCTTAATGTGTATTATGGCTGTTGAATTTTTCATGTCATATTGGTGAATAATTCACACAATAAGCAGTACAAGAGTTTGCCTAAATTACTAGCATATTTCTTTCTGGAGCAGGTCTGTTCCTGGAAAAAATTACAAATCAGAATATTTTACATGTATTGGAAGAACTTTCTGCTTAAGAGTATCCTACAGGGAAACCTGTTGCCACATGAAGCTTTTATAAAGTTGAATTTTTGGAAAATGCAATGGTTCTTCCCCACCACCGCCCCAATTCAGCACTGTCTTCCTTCTGAAAGCATTTTCCCAAATAAGACATATTGTTTGTGCTATTCAAGTGCCTCGGCCAACCAACAAATGCCTATCTGACTATGTGCCTATAGGCTGATGTAGTTAGTACCTTTTGACGTGACTCTTTACACCAGTGAGGTAAACCACCTTCCTTGCATACATTGTGACCACATGTGTACTCCAGTGACTTTCTTGTCCAGACTGGCTGGCTCCTGTGATGGAAAAAATGTTCATACACAGACTAATTTAAATACATAAGGGAAACTAGGAAGAGTGCAGGCCTAGAGAAGATGTCTTCATAGTTTATCTAGCTTTGGATGCCAGCATTATATTTTTATAAGAAAAACTCTAGAAAAGAGTTCAGCTTACAATGCATGAATAACCCCGCATCACTGGGGCAAAGGCATATTAGAGTGCCAGCCACCCGTGGTCATCGTAGGAGGGTACATTTATCTGAGGGATGTGTATTTTTTAATCTTGGTAATAGCCTACTAGGGATGGTATATTTTAACTTCAGCCTTACTATAAATGGTTCTGTATCTGCGGGTAATGCATCTTTTCTGTAGATTCATAATCAAAATAATGTGGTTAGCTTAGAGTTGGGGTTAATCATATATGAGTTCAAAAAGTTAATAGTCCATGTCCAATTTGGTAAAAGTTTGTAAGTGAAAAATTACTATTTGGGGGAAGTTTTTGTTTGCTTCTTTGATTTGCTGGAGAAATGATTTAAAGTTGCAGTATTGTAACTAGGCAAAGAAGCCTTTGATTTAGATACATGTGGGAGTTGCATTTGGGGAACTTAGGCCATGTGTATCTTCATAGTATTCATGGTGGAGAGAGAGTGTTTTCAGGTGAAAAAGAAAGTTTTAGATTCATTCCTTAATAAAATGTATTTTCTGTATTGGCTTTTTGTTATTTTCAAAATTGATGTATCTTTATTATTTTTTCTTATACAAATAATACCTGCTTATTAATTTTTAAAAATCAGTCGTCTTTTCAAGATAAGTATTTAATTTTTATTTGAGGCTCTTTGCTCTGGGAACTCAAATTTGGTGGGACCCAGCAAAGTATATTTGTCAGTTAAGTTTGTCTGGTTATAATCTTGGTGTAAATTTAGACACGTTGACCTCAGGGATTTAGCCTTGGCTTTGACCTGCTTTTGCTTAGCATTTCCCTATGCATATTTTATTGTCTCTTAATTAATATAAATGTCGACATGGATTAGCTGTTGATACAAATTTTCTTTTATAAAGTCCATTGCTCTCCCTGCAGTAGTAACCTCTAATTGGTTGGTTTAGAAGTTGATCTTGGCTAGGTGGCTCATGCCTGTAATCCCAGCACTTTTGGGAGGCCAAGGCAGGAGGATCACTTGAAGCCAGGAGTTCAAGACTAGCCTAGGCAACAAAGTGAGACCCTGTCGCTACAAAACATAACAAACACTTTTACCACTTCTATTCAACATAGTACCAGAAGTCCTAGCCAGAACAATCATTCAAGAGAAAGAAATAAAGGGCATCCAAACTGGAAAAGAGGAAGTCAAATTATCTCTGTTTGCCAGTGATGTGATCGTATACCTAGAAAACCCTAAAGACTCCTCCAGAATACTCCTAGATTTGATAAATGAAATCAGTAAAGTCTCAGGTTACAAAATCAGTGTACACAAATCAGTAGCATTGCTGTATATCAGCAACAGCCAAGCTGAGAATCAAATCATGAACTCATTTCCTCTTACAATAGCTGCAAAAATAAAATAAAATGCCTGGGAATATAGTTAACCAAGGAGGTGAAGGATGTCTGTGAGGAATACTACAAAACACTGCTAAAAAAAAAAAAATAATAATAGATGACAAACAAATGGAAATACATTTCATGTTCATGGATTGGAAGAGTCAATATTGTGAAAATGACCATACTGCCCAAAGCAATCTACAGATTCAGTGCAATTCCTATCAAAACACCAAAATCCTTTTTCACAGAATTAGAGAAGACAGTCCTAAAATTCATATGGAACAAAAAAAGAGCCCGAATATCCAAAGCAATCCTAAGCAAAAAGAACAAAGCTAGAGGCATTATGTTACTTGATTTCAAATTATACTACAAGTCTGTGGTAACCAACAGCATGGTATTGTTATAAAAGTAGATACATAAACCAATGGAACAGAATATTGAACCCAGAAATAAAGCCAAATACAGCCAACTGATCTTCAGCAAGGCAAACAAAAACATAAAGTGGGGAAAGGACACCCTATTCAACAAATGGTGCTGGGATAATTGGCAAGCCACATGTAGAAGAATGAAACTTGATTCCTGTCTCTTACCATATACAAAAATCAACTTAAGATGGATTAAAGACTTACATTGAAGACTAAACCATAAAAATTCTGGAAGAAAACCTAGGAAAAACTCTTTTGGGCGTTGGTCTAAGCAAAGAATTTATGAGTAAGACCCCGAAAGCAAATGCAGCAAAAACAAAAATAAATGGGACCCAATTAAACTAAAAAACTTCTGCACAGTGAAAGAAATAATCCTCAGAGTAAACAGACAACCCACAGAATGGGAAGAAATATTTGCATACTATGCATCTGACAGAGGACTGATATCCAGAATCTACAAGGAACTCAAATCAGCAAGAAAAAAACAGTCCCATCAAAAAGTGGACAAATGACATGAATAGACATTTCTCAAAAGAAGATATACAAACGGCCAAGAAACATATGTAAAACTGCTCAACATTACTAATAACCAGGGAAATGCAAATTCAAGCTACAATGAAATTCACCTCAGCCCTGCCAGAATAGCCATTACTTACAAGTTAAAAACAGTAGATATTGGTGTGGATGTGGTGTGAAGGGAATGCTTGTACACTGCTGGTGGGAATGTAAATTAGTACAAGCTGTGTGGACTATGGAGATTTCTCAAAGAACTACAAGTAGATCTGAAGGGGTGGGTTGCCCCTCCACACCTGTGGGTGTTTCTCGTTAGGTGGAACAAGAGACTTGGAAAAGAAAAAGACACAGAGACAAAGTATAGAGAAAGAAATAAGGGGACCCAGGGAACCAGCGTTCAGCATATGGAGGATCCCGCCAGCCTCTGAGTTCCCTTAGTATTTATTGATCATTTGTGGGTGTTTCTCCGAGAGGGGGATGTGTCAGGGTCACAAGACAATAGTGGGGAGAGGGTCAGCAGACAAACACGTGAACAAAGGTCTTTGCATCATAGACAAGGTAAAGAATCAAGTGCTGTGCTTTTAGATATGCATACACATAAACATCTCAATGCTTTACAAAGCAGTATTGCTGCCCGCATGTCCCACCTCCAGCCCTAAGGCGGTTTTTCCCTATCTCAGTAGATGGAACTTACAATCGAGTTTTATACCGAGACATTCCATTGCCCAGGGACGGGCAGGAGACAGATGCCTTCCTCTTGTCTCAACTGCAAGAGGCATGCCTTCCTCTTATACTAATCCTCCTCAGCACAGACCCTTTACGGGTGTCGGGCTGGGGGAGGGTCAGGTCTTTCCCTTCCCACGAGGCCATATTTCAGACTGTCACATGGAGAGAAACCTTGGACAATACCTGGCTTTCCTAGGCAGAGGTCCCTGTGGCCTTCCGCAGTGTTTGTGTCCCTGGGTACTTGAGATTAGGGAGTGGTGATGACTCTTAAGGAGCATGCTGCCTTCAAGCATCTGTTTAACAAAGCACATCTTGCACAACACTTAATCCATTTAACCCTGAGTTTGACACAGCACATGTTTCAGAGAGCATGGGGTTGGGGGTAAGATCATAGATTAACAGAATCTCAAGGCAGAAGAATTTTTTAGTACAGAACAAAATGGAGTCTCCTATGTCTACTTCTTTCTACACAGACACAGTAACAATCTGATCTTTCTTTTCCCCACAAGATCTACCATTCAATCCAACAATCCTACTACTGGGTATCTACCCAAAGGAAAATAAGTCATTTATATCAAAAAGACACCTGCACATATATGTTTATCACAGCGCAATTGACAATCGCAAAGATATGGAACCAATCTAAGTGCCCGTCAACCGATGAGTGGTTAAAGAAAATGTGATATGTATACACCATGGAATACTACTCAGCCATAAAAAAGAAGGAAATAACATCTACGGCAACTTGGATAGAGCTGGAAGCCTTTATTCTAAGTGAAGTAACTCAGGAATTGAAAACCAAATACCTTAAGTTCTCACTTATAAAGCTAAGCTATGGGCACACAAAGGCATACAAAGTGATATGGATAATTGGAGACTCAGAAGAGAGGAGGTGGGGCAGTTGGTGAGGGATAAAAAACTATATATTGGGTAAAGTGTGCACTACTCACGTGTAGGTATACTAAAATCTCAGACTTTACCACTATACAGTTTATCCATGTAACCAGAAACCACTTGTATCCCTAACACTATTGAAATAAAATTAATTAAACATTTTTAAAAATTTTTCAAAGAACTTGATCTGATTGAAAAGTCACTGTATCTTATGAAAATTCTCTTCAGTTTATGTTTAGAAGACTTCATTTTGGAGTTACCCTTAAAAATTACCAGTGACCTATTTTTGTTGTCATTGTTCTTGTTGTTTAGAGAAACAAATATTTCACTTAAACAAACATCATTCTTTACTCACATGTCTTTTACTCAGAACTATTTGCCCAAGAAATGATTCAGAGTTTCTTTGTTTCCCTTACTTGAGGAATTTCTGAAGTCAAGAACATTTAGATTTTTTTTTTTTTTTTTTTTTTTTTTTTTGGATTCGGAGTTTTACTCTTGTTGCCCAGGCTGGAGTGCAATGGTGCGATCTCAGCTCACCACAACCCCCACCTCCCAGGTTCAAACAATTCTCTTGCCTCAGCCTCCCGAGTAGCTGAAATTACAGGCATGCACCACCACGCCTGGCTAATTTTGTATTTTTAGTAGAGGTGGGGTTTCTCCATGTTGGTCAGGCTGGTCTCAAACTCCCAACCTCAGGTGATCCGCCCACCTCAGCCTCCCAAATTGCTGGGATTACAGGCATGAGCCACCGCGCCCGGCAAGAACATTTAGATTTTAATTAATTTTTAAAAATTATCTTTTAATGAAGATAATGAAAAGATAAAGATTATAGTGGTGAAAACAGATGATTAATTCTCTCCACTCTAGAGTAAAAATAACTTTTCTCTAATGACAGGGAGAGAATTATGTATTAGTATATATGCCAGTTATACATGCTTTTTTCCCATAGTTTTATCCGTGCTTTTTTGATGACTTGGATTATTCTGTTTCTGTTAGAGTTATTTTATTGAGCATACATATTTTATTGCAAATTGACTCTTGTTTGGCAAAGTGAGGTGTATAAATAAGAAATTAAGTTTTTTTGCTTATGGTAGGATCAAGGAGCACATTTTGTAACTACCCTGCTCACTATTTGGGTTTATTTACAGCTTCTCTCAAGAGAGGAATAACTGTGTCAGGCTTTGCTAAGCAATCTCGTTCCAACAATAAGACATTTTTTTCTGTGTCTGTTGTCCAGCTGTTTAGTAGGTTCTTGGTCTCCACACTAACAGAAAGGTTTCAGGTGTTACTCCCAGGCAGGGATTTACCACAGGTGTGTGTCTTTTCCACCATTTAAAATACCCAGAAATGATGAGATTATTAAGTAGCTGACTATGGTCTGTATACTTCTCTTAGTTCTTCACCAGTTGCTGCTTTTGAAATTCTTAAGTGCTATTTCTTTATTGGTTCATTTGTTTTGCTATTTAGATTTATTTCCCCATTCAGTCTACATTTATAATGTGGTGGTCTGTTAATACAGTAAGCTTGTTATTGGTAAATGGAGTCATTCTAGTGAAATTTATTGTCAGAAACACCTGTACCTGATTTATAACTAATGCAGCATGGATTTTACTTTATGCAAATTAAACAAATGTGTTTTAAAATTTGATAACAGCATAAAACACCCTCGAGGATGTTGATTGCTCACCCTAACTCAGAAGGCTCTCAAAGCTGATACTTCTCTTCCTAAATAGGAGACATTCTTTTCTCAGTAGAGATCCCCATGTGGCTGTCACATTCTTTTTTCAGGTCATCTTTCAGAATGTACTACCTTCTGAGACCTCTGATACTACCCACCCAGCCCTAAGGAGGTCCCAGTGAGGTGATCACATTGACTTTTAAAAAACTTTTATGCCCAGAGGATTTGTTAAGGAAGCTATTCCCATACTTTGAAGTAGCTGATGTCCTCAGGGACCTGGTGTGAATACCGGAGGGAAGACTGGAGGGAAGAGTGATACTCTTAAGGTTAGCATTAGACTCTCTCCTCTGCCTGCCTGCAGAGAAATAGCCAAATCAGTGTGAACTACTGGCTTTTATATACATATGTTCTCACATCAGCTTACTCATGACTGCCTTCTAAAGACTGCCTCTTTCAGGAATCCTAATAGAAAAAGCAACTAAGAGAAAGAAAATGAATCACGTCAGAGGTTACAGAAATTATAACCTACACCATCTTTCACAACTAGAACATCATATAAAGCTGTTTCATTATTTTTCTTACTCCTTTTACACATTTTTCTTACTCCTCTTTGTCTTGTTCCTATCAGCCCAGGGACTCTGTTGCATTTTGCTTTACTTTCTGGTGTTTGTAATATAAAAACAATTTATCTATTGTACATGTTTTCCATTTCCAGTACATACACATGCACAAACCCCACCTTCACCTCAGGCTTTGATTTGACTCCACCTTCAAGCTGGAAGCCTAACCCTCTATGGGAGTCACTAAGATGGAGCCAATGGCAAACTGAAGTGGACCAGCACTTACTTACTTCTTTAAGACAGAACTTTGCGGTGTATTCTTGGTTGTTCCTTCTCTCTAATCCCTTTTCCCGTTAGCTGGTCTCTTCTCTCTGCATTTCCAGCCTCCTGATTTTTCTGCTGCTGTTTCTCTTCTCTTTTCTTATCCTTATGGTTCACGTGCTGCTCTCCTCCTTAACTTCATTTAACCTTGCTTGCACTCAGTAAAATATTTAAAAACAAACAGAAGGACTTCCAAGCCATATTTTTTATTTTTTAAGAGTAGCTTTATTTATTATTATCTCTATAACCATATGACTCAGCCTGTACTGTCTGTTAGACCAATATATAATCTTGGAATATCCCTTTTCACTTCATGTGCCAAGTTGGTGGCTCCTGTTCTTCTGGTATGCCAGGGCAAGAATGGCCCCATCAGCTCTCAAAAGAGGTACATAGTAGCAACTCTGAAAATGTGGCTGAACACTGTGAGTAATGTTGTAGTTCTTGCCAGTCTCAGCCAGTACCTACCTTCTTAATAAATGGCCTCTTTCCCCAGCTAAACTGTTTCTTTTTTTAACCTACTTTGGAAAATATATTAAAGTCCTATACTTTGTAAGCAGCACTGCCAAAGCAGTATCATGCACATAGCATAATAATCTCATTTTGATGTTCTAAAGTTCTTTCTTTGTCCTTTGTAATGGATGGCAAGGTTTTAAATGAAAACACTGGAGTTGCTCCATAGCATGAGATGGTTTTTTATTGTTTTGCTCTAAGCTGTTGCCCTGATCTCTACTACATTTATGCCTGATTTCTCTAAGTCATAGTGACATGCCCTTGCATGCATCTTTTCAGCAAACCTTATGATGCCTATTGCTAGACTTATCAGTGTCAGGTCATGAGAACAATGCAAGGTTATACCTTGCCATGTTAAAGAAAATTAAGTCAAAGGACCTAAGTTATACTGAGTTTTGAAGCTGTCAAGAAAGCCAGAGCCTTGGCCCAGCTCTCTCACTAACTAGCTAGTGACCTTGGATAAATCGGTGCCCTCATTTGTGAATTAAAGATTGTACTTCTGACCCTATCTTGCAGCATTATTGTGAGGAAAAAATGGTATGTGTGGACCTCTGTAAACACTTTGAAGGCTATGAGTATCATTACGTGGAATGTTATTGAACTGAAAGTCCATATTAGCTGTGTTAGGTGTGATGACCTCGCCTTTGAGATGTCTAAAAAAGGAATTTCAACCGGGCGCGGTGGCTCACACCTGTAATCCCGGCACTTTGGAAGGCTGAGGTGGGTGGATCACCTGAGGTCAGGAGTTTGAGACCAGCCTGGCCAACATGGTGAAACCCTGTGTCTTCTAAAAATACACTAATTAGCTGAGCGTGGTGGGAGGTACTGGTAATCCCAGCTACTCAGGAGGCTAAGGCAGGAGAATCGCTTAAACCTAGGAGGCGCAGGCTGTAGTAAGACGAGATCGCACCATTGCACTCCAGCCTGGGTAACAGAGAGAGACTCCATCTCAAAAAAAAAAAAAAAGCAATTTCATTCTCA
This sequence comes from Homo sapiens, assembly GCF_000001405.40. Taxonomy (NCBI): domain Eukaryota; kingdom Metazoa; phylum Chordata; class Mammalia; order Primates; family Hominidae; genus Homo; species Homo sapiens. The sequence goes on from NC_000003.12 coordinate 23,550,063, forward strand.
GCATAAAATCTTTAGATAACTCCTTTATAGTTTGTTAAGTTTGGAGTTTCAAATGTGGTGGAATTTACTTTCTATAAAAAAACTAGTAGGAAGAATGAATTATAACTCAAACTTGATTTAATGATTTTAATTTGCTTTAGGCTCCTATTTTTATAATCTAGATAACTATTGAGGATTATCTTCTGTCATCTATAAAATGAATTATGAGTCTGCCTCTTTATTCCCAGCACCTATAATGTACAAACTGTATTCCCCTATGCAACCCCATGTGGCCAAAGGGCTCCCCGTGAAATTGCCTTATTTCAAGCCCAAGCCTCTTTTAACCTTGACTGCTATCCCCACTGTTCCTTTGCTTTTACTCTGTATAAATCTCAGGCATAAGAGACAACTTAAAATATGTCAGGATATTATATTAGATAACAAAACTCCTAGAGGTCAAAGACTATGTTGTCCAGAGAGTTTTGTTATCGCAAACTCCTGGAGGTCAGAGACTATGTCTAGTTAAGATGGGAGTGAAACTCAACTTTTTCACTTCTGCTTCTGGCCATGAAGAATAACAGGAGCCAGATTTACACTCCTACCTTAGACTACCTTTCTAGTTAGAAAACTAGACATTCCCTGAGAGGAGAAACAGATGAAGTAAGCCCTACAATTGTCCCCAGCTTACTGCCTAGAAGCAGTTTCCAGGATACTGTACAAGGAGAAAGAAACCAAAGAGAGAGGCCAGCAGTGTCACTGAGTTGAGGAGACAGAGATAGGAGTTTGGGAAGATCAAGATGGCTAGCATTTGTGGGGCAGAAACCCAGAGAAGAGGGATTGTACAGAGAGAATGCCCTAGAAATCTGAAGAGAGATCCCCTTGAGCCTTTGGTTAAGTTTGCATATAATCATCAAAAGATCCTGCCTTATTAGTAGGGATGAATTACTCTAAAGACTACATTGCATCTGCTCTAACAGTTTAAAAGCAAGTTTTGAAAGTATCATACTGTTCCTAAATAACTTAACTCCCTGTTAGAGTAAAATGCAACATTCTTTGGAATAAGGTACAACATTCTTTATGGAAATACAACAAATTCCAACACTCAACAACATAAAAATTGCAGTGTTCAACATTCCATAAAATATTACCACGGACTTAAAAGGCAAGAAAAGAGAATTCATAACCAGTTGAAAAATAAATAAAAATGGAAAAGACTAAAACATTTTTGTTTATAAAAGGGCAACCTTTTAAGTTAATTACTAAAGCATTATAACTTTGGTAAGTATTCTCAAATTGATTTAGTTCTTAACTTCATGAAATGTGAATGCTTTAAGAATTGACCAGCATGTCTTTTGCTTAGTTAAAACCAGAATATTAAACTGAAGAGAAACTTATGTTGGCTCTATATTAGTAGAAACATGCAAACAGCTATACTATTCAAACTTGCTAGTAACTTGGGGCTACTATCATTACTGTTACTGTAGGACTTACATGGCTGGCCATTTACAATCTAAAGAAATGTGAGTGGGAAGTAAGAGAATCACAGAAACAATATGTTGCCTCATTGGATCTTTGAGAAGGTGTGGTTAGAAAGAATGGGGGCAGCTGGAAGAGGATTATCCTGGAGTAGAGGACAAAGAAATGTGGGGATGAGAGAGTAAAAAGGATGACTGACTAGAGGGCCTTGCATGGTGGGAGATGACGATAGGGATGTAAAGCATGGTTTGCTGTAGCTGGTCCCAGGCTCGGCTAGGGCCTCGTATAAGGGTGTGTGCTACGGACTGAACTGTGTTCTCCCCAAAATTAATATGTTGAAGCCCTAACTCCTAATGTGACTATATTTGGAGATAGGGCTTATAAAGAGGTAATCAAAGTTAAACTAGGTCATAAGGGTGGAACCCTGATCCAATGGGATTCATGTCCCTTTAAGGAGAGACACCAGAGAACTCTGTCTTTCTGCCTTGTGAGGACACATCCAGAAGGCAGCCATCTATAAGCCCCCAAGAGTCCTCGTCAGAAACCACATCAGCCAGCACCATGATCTTTGAGTTCCCAGCCTCCAGAACTGAGAGAAATAAATTTCTGCTTTTTAAGCCACCCAGTCTATGGTTTGTTGTATGGCCACCCGGGCAGACTAATACAGGTGTATTAAAGTTTTAGTCAGCAGCCAGGCTTGGTGGCACCCCCCTGTAGTCCTAGCTACTCGGAGGCCAAGGTAGAAAGATCACTGGAGCCCAGGGGTTCGAGGTTGCACTGGGCCAAGATCAGGACACTGCACTCCAGCCTAAGCAACAGAGAGAGACCCCTTCTCTAAAAAATAAAGTTTCAGTCAGAATGTCAATAAAAATATTCTGCATCATGTACCAATTCCCAGGGGACTGAGGGTGTTGAGTAGATCTGGATTTCATGATAAGCGCCTGTTTAACTAAACTAATGGGTTGCTTTTCATCTAGGCACAAGGTAAAGAAAGCATAAACAAGGACAGTCACCAAGGAGAGGTTTTGGGTTTTAACATTTCTACAGTTCCAAGAAATAAATAGGAGTTAGCACAAAAGGAGGTGTACGTTTGTTTCTGCATTCCCACTCTACAGTTGATTGTCTTTGTACAATCAGCTTCTTTACAAATTGTACTTTGGAACTTTTAAGAATGTAAGGTTTTGTGGCATTTCTGTTAGCTGACCTCAGTTCTCCATCAGTTGTTGCCACATGAATGCAAGTACATTCTGAAATGCTATTCAACTACCATTCAAGGCTTTGAACAGGCAGCTATTGCCATAACTCATTCAGAAAAACACCTCAAGATTAACTAAAATTGTCTTTATTCCATGCTGTTTTCAATCCAGTCTAAAAACTACCAACATGTGTATAGCAAAATTAATTTTGCAAAATGTACGAATAGTATTTTCTATGTAAATTTTTTTATGTTAAGAAAAAAGTATTTTACTTTCTAAGTTTTGATAAACCCTTTCTTATTGATTTTTAATCTCCTTGATTATATCCACCCTGGAGTTTTATGGATAAAAGTTGAAGATGATTGTAGGAGAAAAATGAGAGAGAAATAGAAATTTTCTCTTTTGTGTTAATGGTAAAGTTAGCCTACTTACCTAAAGATAAAATTAATAAATTACTTGACAGATTTTCATTGTTAATATAGCCCAAAATGCTCTATATTTCCCTTTTATAGTATGATAGAAACCTTTGGTCACACTTTAATAAAACAAAATGCTATATTAAGAATCATTGATATTACATTATAAACTTTATGACCTCTAAAAAAAAAAATAATTTCAAAGAAGCATAACTTGTGAGCATGTGGTAAAGCGGCATCCCACTGAAGATCAGTGTTACTGCTTTTAATCTCTTTTAAGTTAATACTTCAGTATACTGGTAGCTATAACTATAGGGCCTTTGTTTTGGTCGATGATATTTAACCTACCATTTATGTTAATAAACTGACATTGCTCTTAAAGTAGGTTGTACATTAACCACCCAAAATTGGACATCTGTTGCTGAAGGAAATGGTTTCATTTTCTGAATGCCTCTGTTCCCTTTATAGTCATTTTTTCCATTATTGACAATAGTTATTTGCATTTTTGTAGACATGAGGAGGCTTTCTCAAAAGCCGTATCCATCTAATAAATAAATTCAGTAAAGTTACAGGATATAAAATTTAAAATCTAGATAGAAAAGTCCATGGCATTTCTGTACACAAGTGACAACCTAGCCAAGAAAAGAAATCAAAACAATCCCATTTATGATAGCATTTAAAAATTAAAATACTTAGGAATAAATTTAACCAAGGAGATAAAAGACCTGTACACTAGAAAATGATAAAACATTGATGAAAGAAATTGAAGAAGACACAAATAGAAAGATATTTCATGCTCATGGACTGGAAGAATTAATATTGTTAAAATGCCCATACTACCAAAAGCAATATGCAGATCCAACACAGTCACTATCAAAATCCCAAGGGCATTGTTCACATAAATTTAAAAAAAAAATCCTAAAACTTACCAAAGACCCTAAATAGCCAGAGCAATCCTGAGGTGGGGTTGAGGGGGGAAGAGATATCACACTTCCTAATTTTAAATTTTATTTCAAAGCTATAGTATATAGCTATAGTAATCAAAACAGTGCAGTACTGGCACAAAAACAGACACATAGACCATTGGTACAGAATAAAGATTTCAGATATAAATCCAAACATATATGGGCAACTAATTTTCAAAAAGGGTACCAAGAAGACACAATGGGGAGAGGATAGTCTCTTCAAATAAATGATTCCGGGGAAACTGGATTGCCACATGTAAAAGAATGAAATTGAGCCAGGCACAGTGGCTCATGCCTGTAGCCTAAGCTACTTGGGTGGCTAAGGCAGGAGGATCACTTGAGCCCAGGAGTTAGAGGTCACAGTGAGCTATGATCACACTGCATTCCAGACTGGGTGACAGAGCAAGACCCTCTCTCTTTAAAAAAATAAAATAAGAATGAAATTGGACCTTTATCTTACACTATACACGAAAATCAACTCAAGATAGATAAAAGACCTGAATGTAACACCTGAAGCCATAAAACTCCTCGAAGAAAACGTGGGTAAAAGCTCCTTGACATTAGCCTTGGCAATGATTTCTTGAACATCACACCAAAAGCTCAGGCTACAAAAGCAAAAATAAATAAATGTAACTACATCAAACTGCAAAACTTCTCCACAGCAAAAGAAACAACAAAATGGAAAAGGACAACTACAGACTGGGAAAAAAATATTTACAAGCTGTATATCTGATAAGGGGTTAATACCCAAAATTTATTTTTAAAAAAACTCATACAGTTCAGTAGCAAGAAAACATATAATCCACTGGACCTGAATATACCTTTTTTTTTTTTCTTTTTGAGATGGAGTATGGCTCTGTTGCCCAGGCTGGAGTACAGTGATGTGATCTCTGCTCACTGCAGCCTTATCTCCTGGGTTCAAGTGATGCTGCTGCCTCAGCCTCCTGAGTAGCTGGTACTACAGGTGCCTGCCACCACGCCCGTCTAATTTTTTGTATTTTTGGTAGAGATAGGATTTCACCATGTTGGCCAGTCTGGTCTTGAACTCCCGACCTCATGTGATCCACCCGCCTCGGCCTCAAAGTGCTGGGATTACAGGCATGAGCCACCATGCCCAGCCTGGTCCTGAATAGACATTTATCCAAAGATGACATTAAAATGGCCAATAAGTATATGAAAAGGTGTTCAGCATCACTAATCATCAGGGAAATACAAATCAAAACCACTATGAGATATCACCTCGCACCTATTAGGATGGCTGTTACCAAAGAGACGAGGTTAAGTGTTGGCAAAGGTGTGGAGAAAAGGGAAACCTCGTATACTCTTAGTGGAAACATAGATTGGTACAGCCCTGAGGGAAAACAGTATGGAGGTTCCTAAAGAAATAAAAAATGGACCCATCATTCCCTCTGCTGGATATATACCCAAAGGAAATGAAATACCACCTCATATAGATACCTGCACTCTCGTGTTCATTACAGTATTCTTCACAGTAGCCAAAATATGGGGAAAAACCTAGGTGTCCATCAGTGGACAAATAGATAAACTGTGGTGTATACATACATACATACATAAACACACGCACATACACAGAGCAGAATATTATTCAGCCTTTAAAAAGGAGATCCTGCCATTTACTGAAACATGGAAGGACATTATGCTGAGTGAAATAAGCCAGACACAGAAAACTATTGCATCTCATTTATATGTGGAATTTTTCTTTTTAAAGGTCAACTATATAAAGATAGCAAATAAAACAGGAGTTACCAAGGTTGTAGTGTGGGGAAGGAACTGGAAAGATGTAGGTCAAAGGATATAAAGTAACAAGTAGAAAGGTCTCGTGTGCAACATAAGGACTATAGTTAATAATAGTGTCTTCAGGATTTTTTTCTAAATGAGTAGATTATAGCTGTCTTGCCATGGGGGTGGGGAGGGAAATGGGTAAAAGTGTTAGGTGATGGGTATGTTAATTTGTTTCACTGTAGTAACCATTTTTCTATATATTGTATCTTTTAACAACGTGTTGTATACCTTAAATATACAAACTTTTTTTTTTTTTTTTTTTTTTTGAGATGGAGTCTTGCTCTTTTGCCAGACTGGAGTGCAGTGGTGCGATCTCAGCTCACTGCAACCTCCACCTCCCAGGTTCAAGCGATTCTTCTGCCTCAAGCTCCTGAGTAGCTGGGACTACAGGCGTGTGCCACTGTGCCCAGCTAATTTTTGTATTTTTAGTAGAGACGGTTTCACCATGTTGGCCAGGATGGTCTCAATCTCTTGACCTCATGATCCACCCGCCTCGACCTCCCAAAGTGCTGGGATTACAGGCGTGAGCCACCATGCCCAGCCAATAAAATTTATTTAAAAAAAAAAAAAAAAAAGCTATACTGAACAAGATAGGGCCACCTCAAAAGTAAACGTGAAAAGAAAGATTAGAATCATTGATAAGGCATTGGTATTAAAAACCAGCTTATCCTAGATTTAAGATGAAAGCGGTATTGTGGACATTTGTTAAGTCCTCCAAAACCACTAATAGCTTATTTGAGGTTAAAGAGTCCTCCCTTAAAATATGTACTACAAACTTATGGTTTAGAATTTCACTGTTTTGCCTCACACATGACTTTACAATGTGTAAATCAGGAATCCAGCATTTCTTCCCGTATACCAACAAAATTTATATTTTAAATTAACTCATAATAATCTATATAATTTTAAAGCAAATGCTGACATTCTGTGACCCATAAATAGCACACATGGAATTGGTATGTCCTGTAGAATTATTGCTTTCTTTACCTATCCGTAATGTACAGTAAGTCCTCATTTAACATTGTCAGTAGGTTCTTATAATGAGACCAGTTTTACCATAGGCTAATTGATCTAAACAATTGCCAAGTCCCTTCGGCACATTTCTCATCACAGACATATCACCAAACTCCTAAAGGAAGACCTAAAACACTCCTAATACTAAACATTGAAATAGATGTGAGCTATCCATACATTTAAGAAACACTAAATACAAGTAAGATAATTATTTATCCAATTTTAGGGAAATCAGTGAATGACGGTGTTTGTGTTGGTGGTGGACTAAATCAAATAAGTTTTTGCAAAGCAAAAATTGTGAGGAGCACCTCCTACAACCATGCAGTTCAGATGCTAACCAATATGGCAGGCTCATTGAATGCTTTCATACTACATCATTTACTGTTGCGCATTTTGTATGATTATCATAGACTAAGCACTTCTATTTTACAATCCTTTGTATTCATTCATTCATTTTCCAGCTTGTTTATTCCAGTTTAGGATCTCAGTCAGCTAGAACCCATCCTGGCAGCCCAGGGTACAAGACGGGAACCAACCCTGGACAGGATGCCATTCCATCGCAGGACACACTCACACACAGACCCATGCTTCCTCACACTGGGACAGTTTAGATACACCAGTTCACTTAAATACACCTTTGGGGTGTAGGAAGAAACTGGAGTACCCAGAGAAAACCCACACCAGACGCAGTGAGAACATGCAAACTCTACACAAACAGTGGCTCTGTCAGGAATATTATTTTTTCTCGTCAACCAACATTGAACAAAATGACATATTGGAGACCCTGCTGTAGTTAATGCAATTGATGAGATTCAACTTCCCCATCATTAACTTACTTTTTCAAATATAAGGAGCATAGCAGCCTCATCTATAACTTTTTCCAAAGGTAACTTCCCACTTCTTTATCAGCAAGTCACTCTGTCACTGTATTTTAATATCCTCTTGTCCACAAACCAGGCTTACATAGTCTTCCTTGGAGTTTATAGGGATCTGACAAATTCTTTCAGAAAGTCAGCATAGCTTTTTGTCTATATTGACATCAACACACTAGGTCAGCCTATGCGTCTAAGAGAAACATGTCAACATGGCTGTCTTACTGCGTTTCTCATTGTTTTTCTCTAGAGTGATATCCCTTGAAGGTCATATTACAGATCGTTTTATCAAAGGCATGTCAACAATAGTAACTGGGCAATGGTTGGTTTCACCTAATGAGATAAGTCCTCCAAAACCACTGATAGCTTGATGCCCTAACAAAACCCAGTTGTCTAAATATTTCACCATGACTTCAAACTAGTCTCAAACTTAACATAATTGATCTGCATGTTTCATTCTCAGTCCTCAAGAGTACATTGCTTAAGATGTTTCTTCTATAAGTATAGGGTGAAAGTGCAGATAAATCCAAGTGTGCAAATGGTATTTCACTTCATTATTCCTCCTTCTCTGCCCCTCAGTTTATACACCTGGGCAAACATAGATGTACAGACATATCTTTATGTAGTTATGTATATCTTTACAGCTTGATGCCCGAGTCTCAGACTCATGTAAAAGCAAATCTGGTAAATGAATTCAGATTATGACGTTTGTACCATCCTGAAATCAGTCTCCAAGAAAAGGTTCAAGATACCAACTTATCAGCAGATTTTTTTCTGAAATAAAGACTCTCTTCATGGTTAATTTATAGAATCTTATTCTTACTGTAACTTTTAAATTGGAGGAGATTGGGAGGCATGACATATACCAACTTTTTGAATATGGCATTGTTTCCTAGCATTGGTCAATGGGATATTGCCCATCCAGGATGAGGATATTAATGTGACTATTTCAACTCTTCTCTTCACTGAAATCTGTTCATCTCAGTGTTATTTATTGCCAGGCACAGTGGCATATGCCTGTATTCCCAGCTACTTGGGAGCTGAGGCAAGAGGGTCCCTTGAGCCCAGGAGCTCAAAGACCAACCTGGGCAACATAGCAAGACCCCATTTCTTTTTATAATTGTATTTATATTAACTGATCTGAGTGCTAAAAATAAATTGTATAGACACCTTTATTCCCATAATTAGTTATTATCATTCCTAAGAAATTCTAATGAGGTTAGTCAAATAAGTCACTGGAAAACTGAAGTCTCAACACAAGAGTAATATAATGATTTGCTTATGGGTACAGGCTGAATATATTAGAACTCCATGAACTTTAGTTTTGACAGATTAAAAATAACCAGCTAATGAAATTAAGCACTGAAGCTTTATTCTTAGGTTATCCCTAGAGAAATAATTCCTCATTTTTATTTTGGCTTATAACTTGATTACAAATTGAGAGTTGGCTTTTTTGTACCTTTTATGGAATTCAAGTGCATTTGATTAAGCATTTAACATCACTCCCAGAGGCAAGCAATCTCAAAGTGTCACTGGGCATGGTAGGCATTAAACATCCTGGTTTTTCTGACCTGTAGTCAACCTTAACCGTGACCTATCACCTCCTCACCACACACTAGATTACCTGGAGGCCCTTCTCTATCAGAAAGACTATACTAGAGATTTGAACTTCGTACAAGTGAGAATTAGATTTAAATTACTAAGCTGATTTTCATTTCCGATTTTAATCAAAACTTAAATACTTGTCTCCAGAAATAAAAGATAGTCATGTTTAACTAATACCAGCAGCCCTGTGGCTGTCCTGCCGTGAGCAGCTTATCCTCCCTCCCCCACTCCTTTCCTTTCTTTCTTTCTTTTTGTACAATGTTGAGTTAAGGTCACCATCATCTACTCATCACTCCAATAAGAATTTTAAGTCTGGTTAAAATATTAAACATGAATTGACACCACAGTGGTTTGGTATCATGCACGTTAGAAATAACTGCTCAAGTTAAATGCTGATGTTTAATTCTTTTGTTATCTTTATAGGAATGGTTCTCCAGTATTATTTTATTACTGATTTTTTAATGATTATCCTAGACTGGGTAATTTAAATATGTAAAGCTCTGTAAGTACATACTGGACCTAATTTGCAAGTAAAAATATACCTCATGCACATAGTGGGTGTGCTCTTTAGAGGCCAAGAGGCTGTTCAGTATCTGTCTTAAGATGTACCTCCCACTCTGTATCTGTTTATTAATATGGGGCTAGAAATATCTTTCTTTTTATATATGTATATATGTATTTTTTTATTTTATTTTAAGTTCTAGGGTACATGTGCACAACGTGCAGGTTTGTTACATATATATACATGTGCCATGTTGGTGTGCTGCACCCGTTAACTCATCATTTATATTAGGTATATCTCCGAATGCTATACCTCCCCCCTCCCCCTCCCCCCACCCCACAACAGGCCCCGGTGTGTGATGTTCCCCTTCCTGTGTCCATGTGTTCTCGTTGTTCAATTCCCACCTATGAGTGAGAACATGCGGTGTTTGGTTTTCTGTCCTTGCAATAGTTTGCTCAGAATGATGGTTTCCAGCTTCATCCGTGTCCCTACAAAGGACATGAACTCATCCTTTTTTATGGCTGCATAATATTCCATAGTGTATATGTGCCACATTTTCTTAATCCAGTCCATCCTTGATGGACATTTGGGTTGGTTCCAAGTCTTTGCTGTTGTGAGTAGTGCCACAATAAACATACGTGTGCACGTGTCTTTATAGCAGCAGGATTTATAATCCTTTGGGTATACGCCCAGTAATGGGATTGCTGGGTCAAATGGTATTTCTAGTTCTAGATCCTTGAGGAATCGCCACACTGACTTCCACAATGGTTGAACTAGTTTACAGTCCCACCAACAGTGTAAAAGCATTCCTATTTCTTCACATCCTCTCCAGCATCTGTTGTTTCCTGACTTTTTAATGATTGCCATTCTAACTGGTGTGAGATGGTATCTCATTGTGGTTTTGATTTGCATTTCTCTGATGGCCAGTGATGATGAGCATTTTTTTCATGTGTCTGTTGGCTGCATACATGTCTTCTTTTGAGAAGTGTCTGTTCATATCCTTTGCCCACTTTTTGATGGGGTTGTTTGTTTTTTTCTTGTAAATTTGTTTGAGTTCTTTGTAGATTCTGGATATTAGACCTTTGTCAGATGGGTAGATTACAAAAATTTTCTCCCATTGTGTAGGTTGCCTGTTCACTCTGCTGGTAGTTTCTTTTGCTGTGCAGAAGCTCTTTAGTTTAATTAGATCCCATTTGTCAATTTTGGCTTTTGTTGCCATTGCTTTTGGTGTTTTAGACATGAAGTCCTTGACCCCCATCCCTATGTCCTGAATGGTATTGCCTAGGTTTTCTTCTAGGGTTTTTATGGTTTTAGGTCTAACGTTTAAGTCTTTAATCCATCTTGAATTAATTTTTGTATAAGGTGTAAGGAAGGGATCCAGTTTCAGCTTTCTCCATATGGCTAGCCAGTTTTCTCAGCACCATTTGTTAAATAGGGAATCCTTTCCCCATTTCTTGTTTTTGTCAGGTTTGTCAAAGATCAGATAGTTGTAGATGTGTGGTATTATTTCTGAGGGTTCTGTTCTGTTCCATTGGTCTATATCTCTGTTTTGGTACCAGTACCATGCTGTTTTGGTTACTATGGCCTTGTAGTATAGTTTGAAGTCAGGTAGTGTGATGCCTCCAGCTTTGTTCTTTTGGCTTAGGATTGACTTGGCAATGCGGGCTCTTTTTTGGTTCCATATGAACTTTAAAGTAGTTTTTTCCAATTCTGTGAAGAAAGTCATTGGTAGCTTGATGGGGATGGCATTGAATCTATAAATTACCTTGGGCAGTGTGGCCATTTTCACGATACTGATTCTTCCTACCCATGAGCATGGAATGTTCTTCCATGTGTTTGTGTCCTCTTTTATTTCATTGAGCAGTGGTTTGTGGTTCTCCTTGAAGAGGTCCTTCACATCCCTTGTAAGTTGGATTCCTAGGTATTTTATTCTCTCTGAAGCAATTGTGAATGGGAGTTCACTCATGATTTGGCTCTCTGTCTGTTATTGGTGTATAAGAATGCTTGTGATTTTTGCACATTGATTTTGTATCCTGAGACTTTGCTGAAGTTGCTTATCAGCTTAAGAAGATTTTGGGCTGAGACAATGGGATTTTCTAGATATACAATCATGTGACCTGCAAACAGGGACAATTTGACTTCCTCTTTTCCTAATTGAATACCCTTTATTTCTTTCTCCTGCCTAATTGCCCTGGCCAGAACTTCCAACACTATGTTGAATAGGAGTGGTGGGAGAGGGCATCCCTGTCTTGTGCTAGTTTTCAAAGGGAATGCTTCCAGTTTTTGCCCATTCAGTATGATATTGGCTGTGGGTTTGTCATAGATAGCTCTTATTATTTTGAGATACGTCCCATCAATACCTAATTTATTGAGAGTTTTTAGCATGAAGCGTTGTTGAATTTTGTCAAAGGCCTTTTCTGCATCTATTGAGATAATCATGTGGTTTTTGTCTTTGGTTCTATTTATATGCTGGATTACGTTTATTGATTTTCATGTGTTGAACCAGCCTTGCATCCCAGGAAAGAAGCCCACTTGATCATGGTGGATAAGCTTTTTGATGTGCTGCTGGATTCGGTTTGCCAGTATTTTATTGAGGATTTTTGCATCGATGTTCATCAGGGATATTGGTCTAAAATTCTCTTTTTTGGTTGTATCTCTGCCAGGCTTTGGTATCAGGATGATGCTGGCCTCATAAAATGAGTTAGGGAGGATTCCCTCTTTTTCTATTGATTGGAATAGTTTCAGAAGGAATGGTATCAGCTCCTCCTTGTACCTCTGGTAGAATTCAGCTGTGAATCCATTTGGTCCTGGACTTTTTTTGGTTGGTAAGCTATTAATTATTGCCTCAATTTCAGAGCCTGTTATTGGTCTATTAAAAGATTCAGCTTCTTCCTGGTTTAGTCTTGGGAGGGTGTAAGTGTCCAGGAATTTATCCATTTCTTCTAGATTTTCTAGTTTATTTGCATAGAGGTGTTTATAGTATTCTCCGATGGTAGTTTGTATTTCTGTGGGATCGGTAGTGATATCCCCTTTATCGTTTTTTATTGTGTCTATTTGATTCTTCTCTCTTTTCATCTTTATTAGTCTTGCTAGCAGTCTATCAATTTTGTTGATCTTTTCAAAAAACCAGCTCCTGGATTCATTGATTTTTTGAAGGGTTTTTTGTGTCTCTATCTCCTTCAGTTCTTCTCTGATCTTAGTTATTTCTTGCCTTCTGCTAGCTTTTGAATGTGTTTGCTCTTGCTTCTCTAGTTCTTTTAATTGTGATGTTAGGGTGTCAATTTTAGATCTTTCCTGCTTTCTCTTATGGGCATTTAGTGCTATAAATTTCCCTCTACACACTGCTTTAAATGTGTCCTAGAGATTCTAGTATGTTGTGACTTTGTTCTCATTGGTTTCAAAGAACATCTTTATTTCTGCCTTCATTTTGTTATGTACCCAGTAGTGATTCAGGAGCGGGTTGTTCAGTTTCCATGTAGTTGATCGGTTTTGAGTGAGTTTCTTAGTCCTGAGTTCTAGTTTGATTGCACTGTGGTCTGAGAGACAGTTTGTTATAATTTCTGTACTTTTACATTTGCTGAGGAGTGTTTTACTTCCAACTATGTGGTCAGTTTTGGAATAGGTGTGTGGTGCTGAGAAGAATGTATATTCTGTTGATTTGGGGTGGAGAGTTCTGTAGATGTCTAAGAAGTATCTTTTAGTGTGCTCAGCAAGTCATGTTATTTTCTTTGATGTATTTCTTCTTTGAAGCTTTTAACCTCTTTGTTTATCTGTATTGCATCCTTTAAAGAATTCAATAAATTTCAAATTGACCATTTAAGGATATAAGCAAGAATACTCACTAAAAGTAGCTATAAGTGAAATATTGGTAAATAAAATTAAAAGGATCATTTATTCTATTAATATTATTTGCCCCAAGTAGTTAATGAGGTGTGTATTTTCCGTAAGACTGCATTGTTTGTTTTTTTCTAGGCCTAAGACAGTATAGCATGTGTGAGGGCCAAAAGTTTTGTCCTGTTACCTCTGACAAGATGGAGCAAAACTTAGAGGTCTAGAGGGTTGATTTAAGCTTCCAAAAACAAAAGAAAGAAAGAAAGAAAAAGAAAAGAAAAGAGAAAGAAGGAAGGAAGGAAAGAGGTTTTTTCTGTTTTTTTTTACCATTCCTAAGAACAACCATGTGTTTGTGTGTGAAGAATGGTTATTTAAGCAGGGAAAACATTATAGGTACACGTACAAATGATACCTGATTTACAAGTAAAAATATAATTGATGATGTAAATGTGAGTGCATTCACATTTAGGGGCAATAGGTCTGTTCATTGCCTCTCCCCACTTCCCACCCCAAAATACAGCTCTGGACATATGCATGATCAATATGCAAATATACACAGCATATTTACATTGGAAACAAATGTAGCTAGTTATAGAAAAATAGGTGGAGCTGTTTTAAGCATTCATTAAATCTCTCAGTGCAAGGGGATGAATTAAACTTTATAAGGCTGCTATAAAAAGAACTATTTTAGAATTTAAATATGGCTGTATAATGTAGTGCTTGTTACCATGTTCAATTTTAACACCCAAATCCAATCTCCAAAAAATACTCCAAATGAGGGTACCACATTAGGGAACCTGTGACTGTGCCCACCACACAAGCATTTTAAAATTGGGGCCTCAGCATGTCTCATTTTATACAGAATTAAAAGGAAATTCCTTGAATTTCCAAACATAATTCTGTGGTTTGACCAGTCTTAAGTAAATATGATGTTGAGTTAGGGTCCTGGTAGATAGGATTCTGTCAGCACATCCACGGGGTAGAAAGCCTGGTGCTTTCCACCTGTTACTGGTCTGCGCGGTCACAACCAAGAAGCCAGGTTTCTACAACTCATGTTCTTGTCTTTAATGATGTATCTTGGAGAAAGAATTAAAGTAGTGTAATATAAATGTTGAAATGTATGTTTAAAAATTAAAACACCAATGAGGGTCACATTTTCATGAAGAATGACTGGCACTGCTACTTACATGAGAAGTAATAATCAAAACCAGGCATATGAGAAGGGCAAGGAAAAGGTGCAGTTGTGTGCCAGACATTGTGCTAGGTACTTTACAGTGGGAGAGTGGGTGGCGGCTTTCAGCTGTGTAACTTGAAGAACCGAAAATTCCTCCTTGTCAAAAAAGTAAACAATATACACACACACACAGACACGCTTTTGTTCCCATTATTTTGTGTCAGTTTCATTTATTTTTGTTAAATATAGCTTCTCTTTATGGTTCTCTTTGAAAATGTGCATCCCTCTGGGAGAGATGACACATTAGGTGACAGTCACATTATGATGTGAGTCAAGGTATATGAACGTGTCAGGAAGGGGAAATAGGTCCCGGAATTAGCCAAATAGGGAGGGAGGGAGGCAACCAGATGCAAGCCGGATTTCCACTACTTTACAAAGCTGCTGTGCAGTCTTTTAGAGAGAGGCCCAACTCTAATTATTACACTCTCATGAACAGTGAGAAACTTGGAGATTTCTTTTGTATGTCCTTATCCCAAAAATAGGCATGGCTTTTTTTTTTTTTTTTTTTTTTTTTTTCAGTGAAAGAGGTTTGCAGCTGGACTGGGAGAATTAAGGTGAGAAAGGTCAACAGGTTACAGAGGCCAGTGCAACAGGGCTTGTTAGACGTAATCAAAGACCTGCTTAGGGAAGCTGCAGGAAGCAGAAGGTTGGGATTTCCACCTAGGGAGGTTATAGGGGCCCTCTGGCTAAAGGGAAGTTGGCTCAACTCTGAAAAGGTTTAAAATCCAGTTTAAAATTCTGATTAGGAAAATCCCACAATAAGCAGTTGGTCTTTTTAAATGTTTCCCCTCTCACAGGGCAAGATGCTTCTGCCTAATAGTTCAGCATCATTGGAAAGGACTTAGTGTGTTCGCAGATCACTTTGATAAGCGCTTCTGCCACCTCTTTTCTTTCCTCCTTTTTGTGCTTTAAGAACCTCCGTCATGAGATCGTTTTCTTCTTTCTGAGATTGGTCTCCCTAGGGAAGACCAGAATGACAATGTAGACTAAATTGTTGTCCAGAGTTGTCATTCATTTGTTGCTTTTGAACTTAGAGAGATGGAAGCCACTACATATTAATGCGTTGTTTTAATGTATAAGCCAACACCTCACACTTACTGAGCATAAAGTTTTTTGCCATGTATTTTCCCTTTTTTGCAGTAGTCTTAGCCCTCTGTCAAATTAACATGTTTGCCTCTTTTGAAAACTCATATTTCCTCCTGAAACAGTAAGAACTAAGGAGAAGAGCAAAGCATTGGAACAGTCCCTGCTGAAGACAATAGTATGATAAGAACATTGAAAAATACAATTTAATAGGCTAAAATGCATTTGGGACATCAAGTTATTGGCCAGAATGCATCTTTATGCATAGCAAGCCTTGCCAGTGGGGATCTCATGGGGAGTAATGGTGATTAAAAGGTTTTTGAAGAGCGAAGTTGTGTAACCAAGCTTGTATAAGAGACTGAAACTTGGTTCATCTCGTAGTGGACAGCCTGAAGACAGACACTCCAGACATGTGTTAGTCCATTTGCATTGCTATAAAGGAATAACTGAGGCTGGGCAATTTATAAAGAAAAAGTTTTATTTGGCTCACAGTTCTGCAGGGTGTACAAGAAGTATAGTGCCAGCATCTGCTTCTGGAAGGGCCTCAGGAAGCTTCCAATCAATGGTGGAGAGTGAAGGCAAGTCACATGGTGAGAGAAGGAGCAAAAACGAAAGCAAGAAGTTGCCACACTCTTTTGAACAACCAGATCTCATTACCACTCATTACTGAGGGAAGAGCACTGAGCCGTTCATGAGGGATCCACCCCCCTGACCCCAACACCTGCCACTAGGCCCTAGCTCCAACATTGAGGGTCACATGTCAGCAGATTTGGAGGGGACAAATACCCAAACCATATCAAGAAAGTATTTGGTGGCCCAGTTAAGAGATGACAAAGGCTACAAAGAGGAAGGAAAGGGGAAAGGCCAAGAGATATCTGGGAATTAGAATCCTCAGGACTTAGTTTCCTTACCACTATGGCAGTATCAGTAGTGACTGTGTCCCAAGCTCAAGAAAGTGAACTTGACTGTGCCTGGTCTCTCACAAATTTCCAGACCAGTCTTAGTGAGGTAAAAAGATGCATTCTAGGATCAGTGAATATTATTTAGTCATTTCATGTACCCAGTGGGTTAATGCTTCTATAACTAAAACAAGCCATTCCCCCTTTTCTGCCAGCAGAAAGATGGAAAACAAGGTTCACAATATGCTTCCCGTGATGTGTTAGGATTTGTTTGGTCATGATTTTTTATCCATAATAGAGGGATATAGTAAGAGTTTGAATCCCAGAAATAGAACTGCCCACTTACTTGGCTGAGGCAGGGGTAGGGGAGAAGCACTGTGTGTGGACAGAATTTCGTCAGGTGGTAGAACATGTTGCCTAAGGGGTTTAAACAACAGTATGTTCGAGTTCAGGCAAGATGTCAGTAAAACAGGAAACTACTGAATACAGACTAAATGTAAGAATCTTTATATATGATAAGAATCGAAACCTTCAGGGACTGAAAGAAGGTCATGGGGAATCTGGAAGACCAAGCAAAAGGTCACTTATAGGAAATGGATCATGTCTGCTTTAGATTCAAAGCCAAGACAGCTGTATATTAAACCCCAAAAAGTGGCACCAGACCTGTCAGAATGCTCACCACGCCAAGTCAGTGACTTAAAGAGTCAGTGATCCTATGGGTATAAATATCAGTTAGGCCCAAGAATGGAAATGAAGAAGGATGTCTAGTCTGGAAGAACCTGCCACCACCCACAAACTAAGTCATCTTGACCAATAGGTTGAACTGTACATGAATCCATATATTAAACAAATACTTACTGCATGGTCATCTGTGGTATCCTATATCCTAGACACTTTGTTGGTTTTGTGATATAAAACTGAAAGAGACACTGCATCCCTCAAGGAGAGGGGGAAGTTGGCAGGCACAGAGCAATAAGTTTCCTCCTTTTTAGAGGTAATGGTTGGTCCCACCTTTAGCAGAAGATTCATATAACACCCTCTCACAGGAGAGAACAAGAGCAAGGCCTCAGCCCAAATCAGAGCCCACACTTTCAGTGGACAGTCACTCCTCAGCACAGACAGCACCCATGTGACTCACCAGACTCCCTTGACCACAGTTTTTCCACAGTCAAAGGCAGGCAGAATGGTCTATAAACTGAAACCACTGGGTTATTTTTATTTCTTGGCTCAAGTTCAGATTCCCACACGTGGTGGAGACCACGGATACGTAACAATGTCTAGGGCATGACTGTTGTATTCACACCCACTATCACAATTCCCTTGTCCTACTCTTACCCACTGAAGAGGAATGTGAACAGAAAAGACTTTGGGGGGTGGAATTGATATATTTTGCAGTACTAGTTACTAGTGGGTGGACTACATGTGAGGATTATGGAATAAAAATTTTTTTGAACAAAAGGTGTGCATTATAAACAAGTCTCATTATATTATTATTATCATTTTTTCTTTCGAGGTGGGAGTAGACAGAAGAGACAATCAGGATAATCTTGTCTGTCATAGCCAGAGAACATCAGAAAAATACTCCATTTAAAGAGAATTTATTTTCTCTGGCTGGCAGAAACAAACGCTTGTATATCTTATATATAATTATATACATATATATGTATACATATATACACACACATATATATATGTATACATATATACGCACATATATGTATACATATATACGCACATATATGTATACATATATACACACATATATATATACATGTATATACACATATATATGTATACATATATATATATATATGTATAACACTTTATAAAATACCTGGATACCTGGTGGGTATAGACTAATGCAGAATAAGCTATTCTTTAAAATCTAGTATCCACAGATAATAACAAGTATTGGTGAGGAAGTGGAGAATTAGACATTGCTAGTGGGAATGTAAAATGGTGCATCTGCCTTGGACAGCACTTTAGCAGTTCCTTACATGGTTAAACATAGAGTTATAAGACCAAGCAATCCTACAACTAAATATATACCCAAGAGAAATAAAAACATATGTCCACATAAAAAGGTGTACACAAATGTTCCTTGCAGCATTATTTGTAATAGCCAAAAAGTGAAAACAGCCTACATGTCCATCAGTTGATAAATGGATAAATATAACTGATATATTCATACAATGGAAAATAATTTGATAATAAAAAGGAATGAAGTATTGATGCTACCACACGGATGAACCTTGAGAACATGCTTTGTAAAAGAAACCAATCACAAGAGACTACATATTATTCCATTTAGGAAAAGTTTTCAGATTAGGGAACTACCTAGACACCAAAGTAGTTTGATTAGTAGATACCCAGACCTAGGACTGGTGGATTTGCCAGCGGGGAGTAACTGCTAATGGGTACAGGGTTTCTTTTTGGAATGACAAAAATATTCTAAAATGGATTGTGGTAATGGTTGCCCAATCTGTGAATATACTAAAAACCATTAAAGTGTGCACTTTAAATGGGTGTATTGTATGGTATGTGAATTACATCTCAATAAAGCTGTTTTTAAAAACCTAGCTTCCAATATCTTGGCATCTTGGCCTGTTTCCTCCACTACTTGCTGCAGCTAGAGCTTTTTGCAGTGGTATTTGGGAAAAGTAATGTGTGGACCTCTGGTATCTTAAGTCCTCTACTGTAAGGATATTTTCTGAGATTTCATTAAAAATTATTACTTAATTAAGCCTGGAATTGCAACCCAATAGCTTCTCAGTAGGAATACACCATCTGTGCTGTTCTTTAGATGAGTTTATTCTAAAAGGACATTTTATATTTCAAAGTGTGCATTGATTTAATGTATGTAGCACTGCTATATAGACTTACAGGCTGAGTTTTTAAGTTTTTAAAAATATTTTATCAAGTATATACAGCCATTGTATTTTTACTGTTTTATGAGCACTATTGACTCAAGGGGCGTTAATTTTGAATGGTTTTAATTTTATCCAGTTACTGCCTTAGGCTATGTTTTGTGGAATCTTGCTTTTCTATCCCTTAACAATATCTAGCAGATCTTTTAGCACTCACTACTGCGGGTCACTTTCTCATTATTAGAAGGTCAACCTGGTCCATTTTTAAACTCCCATCTTATACCTGATTTAAATCTAATATCTTCTTTCTACTCCATCAAAATGCGAGGAACATGGTCTGGTACCTCCTTTTTCCCCCTAATCAAGCCGTAACTCCTTGCGGGTGAG
Source organism: Homo sapiens (assembly GCF_000001405.40). NCBI lineage: Eukaryota > Metazoa > Chordata > Mammalia > Primates > Hominidae > Homo > Homo sapiens. The sequence goes on from NC_000003.12 coordinate 23,570,192, forward strand.
GGATAGGTAATAAGTGAGAACAGTGTCCCTTTACCTAATTTCACATGGTTGTCATCTTCCTGCATCTTTGGCAAATACAGCCTTGCCATCCATGCCTTCTGGGTAACAGGTGTCAAAATGCTTCTTCACATTGGGTAACTGGGAGAGTTCACTGCCCAGTTCCCTGATGTTGAAGACCTAGCCTAGACTCAACCCCCTTGCCCAGCCCAGCCCATTTCCCAGTAGTGTACTGGTAAATGTTTAACAAAAGGCTGGGCAGGGGTGGTATGTGTATATGTACATACCTAAGTTTATTGTACATTTTACTGATGTAAACAATGTATAGTAAATAATTTACAACAGTAAACAATGTATAATAAATAATTTATAAATTATAAAATATACAGTACTCTTAAATGTAAATTTCATATAGCCAGCTGATTCTTCCAGAAAGGCATTGATATTTGCCAAACTCTTTCCTGTGTATTCATCCTGTGATTGCACCTGACAAATGAGTATATTTCTAACATGACTGTTGGGTGATATTTTCATTTAAGAAATAAGACAAAGTGAAACAAAGATGTCAGAGCTTGTTTTTAGTAATGTCATGAGCAACTTCTTTGCTAAATCAAATAATAGTTTTCAAATACTAGAAGAATGTGTCCTCCAATTTTTGTACTGTTCACAGTGTGAGGACTCTAGAGATGATAGACTTTTAAGTTTAATCTGCATTATTAGCATCTTCTTTATCACTTCCTTAAGTCTAGACAGTCAACAATAAATCAAGTCCTGATTTTGTACCATTTTTGCATTTCAAGTTGCCAACATAACTCTTAATAAATGGATAATTGGGACAAGATGCATGCTAGCACAATTTTTCCCACCATGCACATAGACAATAAAAAAGTAAGAGCATAGAGGGTAATAGTAAACTGATTAAGAAGTGATGAGTTTTTAAGTATTTTCTATGTTTGTTTTTAATATTACCTATTTAATTATAAGTTTGTATAATGTTTTAATAATGGCTCCAGAGCACCACTGCCCCTCACACACAGCATTCTTCTAAGAATCTCTTTGCTATCAGAGTCCCCTCACCTGTGTGCTCCTTTCTTTTTTTTTTTTTTTTTTTTTTTTTTTGAGACAGAGTCTCGCTCTGTCAGATAGGCTAGAATGCAGTGGCACAATCTCAGCTCACTGCAACCTCCGTTTCCCAGGCTCAAGTGATTCTCCTGCCTCAGCCTCCCGAGTAGCCGGGATTACAGGCGTGTGCCACCACGCCTGGCTAATTTTTGTATTTTTAGTAGGGACAGGGTTTCACCATGTTGGTCAGACTGGTCTCAAACTCCTGACCTCGTGATCCGCCCATCTCGGCCTCCCAAAGTGCTGGGATTACAGGCGTGAGCCATCACGCCCAGCCTGTGCTCCCTTCTTGATAGGACACTGACAAGATAGCAAGGATCGTACAGACCGCTTTTTTTGCCACTTCCTCTCTCTACTCAGCTAGTCTAGGAGCAGGTCAGCAGGTCAGCTACCTAAGCAACTCATATCTGATTTAAATTTCCAGACAGGGATAACACTCAAGAGTCTCCTTGAAGACACTCTGAATCTTTACTAACGAATCTCTTGGTACCCTCCCGAAGTGGCTTTGAGAAAGGAAAGCCATCTTTTGGAGGGGAGGGTGTGGAGAACAGGACACCTCCACTGCCACACAAACTACACTCCCAAGGTAGTAGCTCAGTATTCCCACAAACGTCCTTTCTCTTCTTTTTCATGTTTTATGTTGGACTCCTGGAGCTGGCAGAGCCAGCTTATCTTAATAAGTCCTGAGGGAGATATTAATGTCTCCTTGGAATTTGGGATAGTTAATACCTCTTTTAGTATCCCTGGTTATTGATTCTGAAGCAGTAGCACATGTTGCTAGATTTAGGCAGTTTTATTTAGCATTCCCAATTTTAGATCTAGTTTGATAATGTCCATTATTTGATTTAAATCATGGAAATGATCGTTTTTCTCCCTTAATCACTACAAGTCACACACTGTTATGTCTTTTGAGGATACTTAATCTTTCTGGTTTGGGTTAAGCCTATAATTAGTAGTCAGGTTTTTCTACCTTCCAAACTACAAAAACCCAACTTTGTCCTAATCACTTCATTTTAGACTCAGAGGAATTCCAGTGTTTCTAAATCCTGATAACATTATATATGTATGTATAATTTTAATTTTTATTGTAGATTCAGGGAGTGCATATGCAGGTTACAAAGGTATATTGCGTGTTGCTAAAGTTTGGGGTTCTGTTGATCGTGTCACCCAGATAGTGAACATAATACCCAATAGGAAGTTTCTCAGCCCTTGCCCCCTTCCCCGACTCTCACTCTCCTTTTGAAGTCCTTAGTGCCTTTTGTTCCCATCTTTACATCTGTGTGTGCCCAGGCTTAACTCCCACTTATAAGTGAGACAATGCAGTATTTGGTTTTCTGTTTCTATGTTAATTCACTTAGGATAGTGGCCTTCAGCTGCATCCATGTTGCTGCAAAGGATATGATTTTGCTCCTTTTGATTGCTGCATGCTATCCCATGCTGTATATGTACCACATTTTCTTTATCCAGTCCACTGTTGATGGGCACCTAGGTTGAATTCATCCCTCTGCTTTTGTGAATAGCGCTGCAGTGAATGTACAAGTGCAAGTGTCTTTTTGGTAGAACAATCTATTTTCCTTTGGGTATATACCCAGTAATGAGACTGTTGTGTCAAATGGTAGTTTTGTTTTGATGACATTATTTAGAGGGACATGAGAGTCCTATACCCTGGGGTGAAATGCTTTAATTGCTCCAAGTATTAATCTCATCAAGATTAGGGTTCTCAAAAAAAAATTACAGAAGGAAAGGAATGAGGTACGATGAGGACTTAATTTACTAGATATCAAACCCTACTATAAAGCTATAGTGATACAAATCAGGAGTGAGTAAAGCAAAAGACAAATTATTCCGTTGAAAGAATAACAAGTACAGAATCAGGTCCAGATACACATAGGAAGCTTGTGTATGATAAAGTTAACATTTCACATAAAAGTTACTGTAAATATAGGAGAAAGTAAATACGCAAAGATATTTCTAAACTAGTGCAGTGAATATAGAGAGCCTTTATAAACATGCATCAAACCAGAAAATATTAAAGAAAGATGGACTGCTTTGAATTCTTAAATTTTTTAAATTTATATTTGGCCAGAGACATCATAAGCTAGGTTAAAGGACAAATCATATACTGGGAGAAAATATTTTTTCCACACATAATAGATGAATCGTGTTATCTTTAGAAGTGCACTAAATTTATTTTGGCTGAGTACTAAACAGCCAGTATTAAAATCAATGAACAGCCTAAGGCAAAGCTGAATGTTCCCATCATAAAATGACCTTCTGAGATATAAGAATAAATATGAAATTTTATTTTCAAGAACTTAATGTTACAGTTTTATTATTAAAGCATCAGTATGTTTTTAAGGTTTGTCATTATGATGTACCAATATCTTTTCTCAGTGCTGCCAGCTGCTAGGTGGTTCCTCCACACTTGCAATACCTAAATAGCTGCTTGTTGTCAGCTGATTAAAAGCGTGGATTTTGTGGGCAATGTACGCCAATATGGGTTACTATTCATGGAGATTGTGCTATTAGGTCAATAAGCTCTCCTTTTTCTTGAATAGTAACAAAAGGGTAAAGTCTTCTCAACTCCTAGACTTAAAAACTTAGCTGATGATGACACACTGTCATTGAAACAATTTCACAAACTAAAGCTGTGTGCAATGCTTAAACAAAACACTTTGACTGAATAAAAAAAAATGTGGTACATATATGCAATGGAGTACTATTCAACAGTAAAAAAGAATGAGATCCTATGATTTGCAACAACATGGACGGAGCTGGAGGTCATTATGTTAAGTGAAATAAGCCAGGCACAGAACGACAAGCTTCACATGTTCTCACTTATTTGTGAGCGCTAAAAATTAAAACCACTGAACTCATGAAGATAGAGAGTAGAAGAATGGTTACCAGAGGCTGGAAAAGGTAGTTGGTGTCAGAGGGAGGGAAGTGAGCACAGCTAATGGATACAAACAGTTAGAAAGAATGAAAAAGACCTAGTGTTTGCTAGCACAACAGGGTGACTATAATAAAAAATAATTTAATTGTACATGTTAAAATAACTAAAAGAGTACAACTGGATTGTCCATAACACAAAGGATACATGCTTGAGGGGATGAATACTCCATTTGCCATGATGTGATTGTTATACATTGCATTCCCATGCCTTATCAGAGTATCTCATGTACCCCATCAATATATACACCTACTATGTACCCACAAACATTAAAAATTATAAATTTTTATAAAGAAAGCAGTTTGCAGGCTGATCTCAGTGGCACACACCTGTAGCCCCAGCTACTTAGAAGCCTGAAGCAAAAAAGGATTGCTTGAGCCAAGGAGTTTGAGGCTATAGTACACTATAATCATGCCTGTGATTAGGCACTGCACTTCATCCTGGACAACATGATGAGACCTTGTCCCTAAGAAAGAAAACACTTTCTCAATATTTAAGAAGCAGACATAAGACTTCTGCCATTACATTTTTATTTCTAATACTTTTGCATTCACTTGCTGCTTCACACAGTCACCAGATGTGCTACACTTTATGCCAGCAGCTGTTGCTTGTTACCAAGTCATTTTCTTTTGGTACAGGTTGAGTGTCCCTAATCTGGATATTGAAAATGCTCCAAAATCTGAAACTTTTTGAGCACCTACATGACTCTCAAAGGAAATGCGCATTGGAGCATTTCAGAATTTGGATCTTCAGATTAGGGCTACTCAGCCTGTATTAGCACTTGCAGTGGATAACATTAAAACCATGTTTGTTCCAGCAGCCTTTTAACATGTGGTGGCTGCTCTTCTCTCTCATTTTGAACATTTGTGTGAATACATGTGTAGACAATGCCAGATGTTTCCTTCATATATTATGTAGTTTGTCTTTGGCTAAAAGAGATTTTTAGTCCCAAGTTACATTCAGAATGCTTACCAATATTTAAAAATCAGTATTCAGATACTAACAGTAAGTCCAAGTGATGATGTTATGCTTACTATATGTGATAATAACCTATATGATCTTTGATCTCTACAAGTTCAGTAAACCTGGAAATGACATTGAATGAGGCATTTGCCTATTCCGTCTTCCAAAAGCTAAAGCAAATTTTGACCGAGTACTGAGGCCAAAGCTTAGTTATAGTGTGTTTTCAATATTTATAGTGTATAAAGTGTTCCTTCATATTAGAAAAAATGGACTAAGGACATGAACAAAATACTCACAGAAGAAATACAAATGGTGAACAAACTTGAAAAAATGTTAAACTTCAGTAGGTATCAAATTAAATACAGGTACAACGACAGATTATTTTTCTGTTAGTTTGGAAAAAAAACAAAAAAGCTGATAATGAGTTGGTGAGAATGCCCAGAAAGAGAGTAAATTGTACATACTTTTATTGAAGGGTGGTTTGGCAGCATTTACCAGACATTTAAAATGTATACAGTGGTCCAGGAATCTGCCCTCCAGAAGTACTCAAATATGTCCTCAAAGATTTATACAAGACTGTAATATAGTTCTAACAGCAAAAAATCAAAATCTAAATGTGATCATAAGGGGAGTGGAAAAATGAATGCTGACTCACTATGCAAAGGAATGCCTTATAGTTACTAAAACTAATGTGCTAAGTCAATATGTGCTGTCTCAGAAACACAGCTACGGTACATTGTTACAGAAGAAAATGCGAGTTGCAGAATGTCTGTGCGATTTCTATTTAAATAAATAAAATATGGAAGGATGAGGGTCAAACCATTAACTGTAGTTGCCTCAAGGTGGAAGGGGGTATTGAGTTGAAGAGAAGGTAGTATTTTTTTACTTTATACATACTTCTGTATTATTTGAATTTATTATAATGCACATCTGTTATGTTTTAATTTTATAAAAGATTTAAATAAAACTAGGCTAGACCAAACCATGGAATAAAAGTATTATGAAAGAAACAAAAATTAATTATTTCTCTCATTTTAAGACAACTCACAGATAGCCTCCAGTGACTTGGGGAGCGAAAAGAATAACATTAATCAAAGATACAGTGGAACTGCCGGAGGACAGTGGATCATAGCCTTGAAGAATCCAAGAAATGGCAAAGTGCAGGCCACAAATTCCAATAACAAAATAATTATGTTTAAAAAAACATAATTTTTAAATTATGTTTACATAATTAGAGGAGAAAAGTGAAAGAATGCTGTTAAAATCACCACCATGTCCCTATCTCTGACTTCCTAGTAATCCTTGAGTAGAGACAGGACAAACATCTATGATGCAATCTATTTATAATGCTAGTGCTGCAAAGGAACACCTGCCTTGTGGAGTGACTGTGCTATATATGGCTGTTGTTGTGTGTATACCTTATCTACTTATATTCTTCTAATCATCCATCCATCCATGCAGTAAACATATAGGGTAAGAGGGATACAGAGATGACAGACAGTCCTGTGAGGGGAGAAACTTGTTTAGCACTGGTTCTCCAGTACCTGGAACAGAGTAGGGGCTCAATAAATATTTGTTGAATGAGTGCATGGGCTCCCGTCCAGTGAGAAAACAGAAAAGTAAACAGACAGCTAAAAGGCAGTACTGGCACACCTCGTTTGACAGTGCTTTTGTGTTTCACATATACTGTTGTTATTGTTTTTTTTTTTTAACAAATTGAAGGTTAGTAGCAAGCCCGTGTCTGTCAGCCCCATTTTTCCAACAGCGTGTGCTCTTTCATGTCTCTGTGTCACATTTTGGTAATTCTCACAATATTTCAAACTTTATTATTATATCCTTTATGGTGATCTGTGATCAGTGATCTCTGATGCTACTATTGTAATTGATTTGTAATGGCCTCTAAGTGTTCAAGTGAAAGGAAGAGTCAAATGTCTCTCACTTTAAATTGAAAGATGGAGATAATTAAGCTTATTGAGGAAAGCATGTCAAAAGCCAAAACAGGCCAAAAGTTAGGCCTCTTGTGTCAAGCATTAGCCAGTTGTGAATGGAAAGGAAAAGTTCTTAAAGAAAATACAAAGTGCTACTTTGATGAACACAGGAATGATTTAAAAAAAAAAAAAAGCAACACACCCTTATTGCTGATAGGGATTTAGTGGTCTGGATAGACAGTCAGACCAGCTACAACACTCCCTTAAGCCAAAGCCTAATCCAGCATAAGGCCGTAACTCTCTGCAATCCTGTGAAGGCCGAGAGGTGAGGAAGCTGCAGAAAAAAAGTTGGAAGCTAGCAGAGGTAGGCTCACAAGGTTTTAAAAAAGAAGCCATCTTCCTAACATAAAATTGCAAGGTTGAGGGTGACCAAGGAACAAGGCAGGTGCAAGATGTAGAAGCAGTTGCTGATATAGAAGCTACAGCAAGTTGTCCAGAAGATCTAGCTAAGATAATTGATGAAGGTGGCTACATTAAACAGATTTTCATTGTAGATGAAACAGCCTTCTGTTGAAAGATACCAATCTAGGACATTTATAGCTGGAGAGAAATCAATGCCTGGCTACACAGCTTTAAAGGACAGGCTGACTCTCTTAGTAGGGGTCTAATGTAGCTGGTGACTTCAAGTTGAAGCCAGTGCTCATTTACCATTTCAAAAATCCTAGGACCCTTAAAAACTTGCCTGTGCCTACTCTGCCTGTGCTCTCTGAGTGGAAGAACAAAGCCTGGATGACAGCACATCTTTTTTAATATGACGTACTGAATATTTTAAGCCCACGGTTGAGACCTACCTCTCAGAAAAAAAAAAAAAAAAAGATTCTTTTCAAAATACTAGTACTCAAAGATCTAATATCCAGAGTCTACAAGGAACTTAAACAAATTTACAAGAAAAAAAATTTAAAAGTGGGCAAAGGACATGAACAGACACTTCTCAAAAGAAGACATACGTGTGGCCAATAAAAATATGAAAAAAAGCTCAAAATCACTCATTAGAGAAATGCAAATTAAACCACAATGAGATATCATCTCATGCCAGTCAGAATGTCTATTATTAACAAGTCAAAAAACAACAAATGCTGTCAACATTGCAGAGAAAAAGGAATGCATTTACACTGTGGATGGGAGTATAAATTAGTTCAACCATTGTGGAAGACAGTGTGATATTTCAGTGACCTAGAGGCAGAAATACCATTTGACCTACCAGTCCCATTACTGGGTGTATACCCAAAGGAAAATAAATTATTTTGTTATTAAGATACGTGCACACATATGCTCATTGCAGCACTACTCACAATAGCAAAGACATGGAATCAACCCAAATGCTCATCAATTATAGACTGGATAAAGAAAATGTGATACATACACACCATAGAATACTGTGCAGCCATAAAAAGGAACAAGATCATGTCCTTTGCATGGACATGGATGGTGTTGGAAGCCATTATCCTCAGCAAACTAGCACAGAAACAAACCAAACACCACATGTTCTCACTTATAAATGGGAGCTGAATGATGAGAGTACATGGAAACATGGTGAGGAACAGCACACCCTGGGGCCTGTCAGAGGGGGCAGGGAAGGGGAGCATCAGGAAGAATAACTAATGGATGCTGGGATTAATACCTAGGTGATAGGATGATCTGTGCAGCAAACCACCATGGCACGTGTTTATCTGTGTAACAAACATGCACATCCTGCACATGTACCCCTGAACTTAAAAGTTAAAAAAAAATTTTTAAATACTACTACTGGTTGATAATACACCTGGTCACCCAAGAGCTCTGATAGAGATGTATGAAGAGTTGAATGTTGTTTTCATGCCTGCTAACACAGCATCCATTCTGAAGGCCATGTATCAAGGATTAATTTCAGCTTTCAATTCTTATTATTTAAGAAAACTAGGCAGGGCGTGGTGGCTCATGCCTATAATCCCAGCACTTTGGGAGGCCAAGGTAGGTGGATCATGAGGTCAGGAGATCGAGACCTTCCTGGCTAACATGGTGAAACCCCGTAAAAATACAAAAAATTAGCCAGGCATGATGGCAGGTGCCTGTAGTTCCAGCTGCTCAGGAGGCTGAGGCAGGAGAATGGCGTGAACCCAGGAGGTGGAGCTTGCAGTGAGCCAAGATCGTGCCACTACACTCCAGCCTGGGCAACAGAGCAAGACTCCATCTCAAAAAAAAAAAAAAAAACCTAAAAGCCTGGGTGTGGTGACTCATATCTGTAATCCCAGTGCTTTGGGAGGCTAGGTGGGAGGATCACTTGAGGCCAGGAGTTTGAGACCAGCCTGGGCAACATAGCAAGACCCTTTCTCAACAACAACAACAACAAAAATTAAAAGTTAGCCAGGCATGACGGTTTGTGTCTGTAGTCCTAACTACTTGGGAGACTGATACAGGAGGATCACTTGAGCCCAGGATCGCGAAGTTACAGTGAACTACGATCGTACCACTGCACTCCAGCCTGGGCAACAGAGCAAGACCCTGTCTCTTAAAAAAAAAAGAAAAAAGAATACTATTTCCTAAGGCTATAGTTTCCATAGATGGCGATTCTCTGATGGATCTGACCAAGGTAAATTGAAAACCTTGTGTAAAGGATTCACCATTCTGTGTGCCATTAAGAACATTTGTGATTCATGGGAGGAGGTCAAAATATCCACATTAACCAGAGTTTTGAACAAGTTGATTCCAACTCTCGTGGATGATTTGAGGGTTTCACAACTTTTATTGGAGGAAATAACTGCAGATGTAATGGAAATAGCAAGAGAACTAGAATTAGAGTAGTACCTGTAAATGTGACTGAACTGCTATAATCTTATGAACAAACTTGAACAGATGAAGAGTTGCTTATTATGGGTGAGCAAAGAAAGTGGTTTCCTAAGATGAAATCTACTGGTGAAGATTGTTTGAACACTGAAATGACAACAAAGTTTTTAGAATATTACATATAAACTTAGCTGATAAGACAGTGGCAGGATTTAAGAGGCTTGATTCCGATTTTGAAAGAAGTTCTGTAAGTGAAATACTGTCAAACAGCAACATCACATGCACAGAGAACTCTTTCCTGAAAGGGAGAGTCGATCGATGCGGCAAACTGTATTGTTGTCTTATTGTAAGAAATTGCCATAGCCACCCCAGCCTTCAGTAACCTGATCAGTCAGCAGCCATCCACATTAAGGCAAGATCCTCCAACAGTAAAAAGATTACGACTTACTGAAGGCTCAGATGATTGTTAGCATTTTTTTAGCAATATTTTTAAGGTATGTACTTTTTTAAGACATAATGCTATTGCACACGTAATAGACTACAGTATAAACACGCACTGGGAAACCAAAAAATATGTGTGACTCACTTTATTGTGACATTCACTTTATTGCGGCAGTCTGTAATCAGACCTGTAACATTTCCAAGGTATGCCTGTATTTGCAGTGCAATGATAGAGATATGAACAAACAAATCAGAGATGGGACACATAAGACTGCTAGGAAGCCCCTGGAAGACATCCTCAGGGAGGCTATGCTTGAACTAAATGTTGAGAAATGAGTAGAAGCCTGCCAGGTAAAAAAGTAGAAAAGGTTATCCCAGGCAGAGGAACCAACATAAGCAAACAAACATAATCATAAAAGAGCAGGGCTTATTTTTTTATTGCATATTTTAATAACTTGATTCAGGTAATCAGATGTCCCAGAAAATATCCCAAACTTTACAAAATATCTTAAGTTTTAAAAATCCTTATGGTAATGTCACGTAACTTCCTATCTAACGTCAGATCTGATTCATGTTAAACACGTTTTGCATATGGCAAAGGGCTTTTATTTCAGGTAAATGGTGAAATTGTTGGTCCTTTTATTATTTTTTTAATTTTTATTTATTTATTTTTGAGGTGGGGTCTCACTCTGACACCCAGGCTGGAGTGCAGTGGCACAACCATAGCTCCCCACAATCTTGAACTCCTGGACTCAAGGGATCCTCCAGAGTAGCTGGGACTATAGGCATGCACCACCACACCCAGCTAATTTTTAAAAATTTATGTAGAGGCGGGGTCTCGCTATATTGATCAGGTTCATCTTAAACTCCTGGCATCCTCGAGCAGGGCTTATTTAAAAAGCTGAAAGTCATTTATTATGGTTAAAGCATGAGGGGAGGAGGCTAGAAAGATAAAGTCTGGATCACAGAAGACCTTGGGAGCCATGCTGAGTTTGGATTTTATCTGAAGAGAATGTCTTTAAGAAGACAATCAGGTATATATTCTTAAAAGATGCACACAAATACATATTTGTTTTCAATTTGTATATGCTTTACAAGGATTAATTCACTTAATTCTCATAACAAACTATGAAGTGTAGGTACCATTATTCTCCCCATTTTGCAGTTGAGGAAACTGAGGCACAGTAATTTCCCAAGGTGACCTGACTCCGTGGTGGAACTAAGTTAAAAACCCAGACATTCTGGATCCAATGCCCATGCCCTTTTCCACTATGCTATACTATCTTTGTGTTTCTTCAAGATGTGTATGTTTTCTTATGAAAGGGGAATAAAAAAATTTTTCGTGTAATTTCTTCCATACCACCTACCAACCAAGATAGAATGTTCTTTGGTCTTGCAAATAGAGTCATTCAGCAGTTCAGCAGTCTGCCTGTCTTTTCTCCATTTCCTCAGGATTCACTTTCCTCTTACCACTTAGCTGCTGCTTATCCCTTTTAGTCTGGATTTTTTGTTTTAGTTTCAGGGGTACATGTGCAGATTTATTATATAGGTCAATTGCATGTCACAGGGGTTTGATATACAGTTGGTTTTGTCACCCAGGTAATAAGCATAGGTAGTTTTTCTATCCTCACCCTTCTCCCACCCTCCACCCTCAAGTAGGCCATGGTATCTGTTGTTTGCTTCTTTGTGTCCATGGGTACTGAATGTTTAGCTCCCACTTATAAGTGAGAACATGCGGTATTTTGTTTTCTGTTCCTGTGTTTGCTTAAGATGATGGCCTCCAGCTCTATCCATGTTGCTGCAAAGGACATGATCTCATTCTTTTTTATGGCTGCATAACATTCTATTGTGTATATATACCACGGTTTTTTTCTTTATCTAGATAGTCTACCATTGATGGGCATTTAGGTTGATTCCATGTCTTTGCTGATGTGAATAGGGCCATGGTGAACATACACATACATGTTTCTTTATGATAGAAATATTCCTTTGGATATACCCCGTAATGGGATTGCTGGGTCAAATGGTAATTCTGCTTTGAGTTATTTGAGAAATCACCACACTGCTTTCCGCAGTGGTTTGTGGAAACGCTTTACACTCCCACCAGCAGTGTATAAGCATTCACTTTCTTCATAACCTTTCCAGCATCTGTTATTTTTTGACGTTTTAATAATGGTCATTCTGACTGGTATGTGATGATATCTCATTTTGGTTTTGATTTGCATTTCTTTAATGATCAGTGATCATTTTTTCCTATGCTTGTTGGCCACATATATGCCTTCTTTTGAGAAATGTCTGTTCATGTCCTTTGCCCACCTTTTAATGGGGTTCGTTTTTTGCTTGTAAATTTAAGTTCCATGTAGACTCTGGATATTAGACGTTTGTTAGATGCGTAGTTTGCAGATATTTTCTCCCATGCTGTAGAGTGTCTGTTTATTCTGTTGAGTGTGTGTGTGTGTGTGTGTGTGTGTGTGTGTGTTGTGTGTTTGTTTGCTGTGCAGACTCTCTTTCATTTAATTAGATCCCATTTGTCAATTTTTGTTTTTGTCGTAGTTGCTTTTGGAGTCTTCATCATGGAATTTTTGCCAGGGCCTGTGTCCAGAATGGTATTTCCTAAGTTGTCTTCCAGGGTTTTCATAGTTTTAGGTTTTACATTTAAGTCTTTAATCCATCTTGAGTTGATTTTTGGATGTGGTGTAAGGAAGGGGTCCAATTTCAATCTTCTGCATATGGCTAGCCAGTTAGCCCAGCACCATTTATTGAATAGGGAGTCCTTTCCCCATTGCTTATTTTTGTCAGCTTTGTCAAAGATCAGATGGTCGTAAATATGTGGCATTATTTCTGGGCTCTTTATTTTGTTCCACTAGTCTATGTGTCTGTTTTTGTACCAGTATCATGCTGTTTTGGTTACTATAGCCTTGTAGTATGCTTTGAAGTCAGGTCATGTGATGCTTCCACCTTTGTTCTTTTTGCTTAGCATTGCTTTGGCTATTCAGGCCCTTTTTTGGTTCCATATGAATTTTAAAATAGTTTTTTCTAGTTCTGTGAAGAATGTCATTGGTAGTTTGATAGAAATAGCGTTGCACCTGTAAATTGCTTTGGGCAGTATGGCCATTTTAACAAACTTCTTCCTTTCCATGAGCTTGGAATGTTTTTCCATTTGTTTGTGTCACCTCTGATTTCTTTGAGCAGTGATTTGTAATTCTCATTGTAAAGATCTTTCACCTCCCTGGTTAGCTGTATTTTATTTTCTTTGTGGCTATTGTGAATGGGATTGTGTTCTTGTTTTGGCTCTCAGCCTGTATGGTGTTGATGCATAGAAATGCTACTGATTTTTGTGCATTGATTTTGTATCCTGACACTTTGCTGAAGTTGTTTATCAGGTCAGGGAGCTTTGGGGCAGAGACAGTGGGGTTTTCTAGGTATAGAATCATATCGTCTACAAACAGGGATAGTTTGACTTCCTCCCTTCCTATTCGAATGCATTTTATTTCTTTCTCTTGCCTGATTGCTCTGGCTAAGAATTCCAGTGTAATATTGACTAGGAGTAGTGAGAGAGGGCATCCTTGATTTGTTCTGGATTTCAAAAGGGGTATGCTTCTAATGTTTGCTCATTTAGTATGATGTTGGCTGTGGGTTTTTCATAGAGGGCTCTTATTATTTTGAAGTATGTTCCTTCAGTGCCTAGTTTGTTGAGGGTTTTTAACATGATGATATGTTGAATTTTAAAAGCCTTTTCTGCATCTGTTGAGATGATCACGTGGTTTTTTGTTTGCGTTGTTTATGCAATGAATCACATTTGTTGATTTGCATGTGTTGAACCAACCTTGCATCCCAAAGTTAAAGTCTACTTGATCATGGTGGATTTGCTTTTTTGTATGCTGCTGGATTTGGTTTGCTAGTATTTTGTTGAGGATTTTTGCATCTACATCCATCGATCCCTTTTAGTCTTGTTCCCTGTCTCTGTCCTCCCTTTTCTAGGTGGGACTATAAACCCTTTGGCTTCCAGGGTACCCAGTGTAGCTCCATCCATTAAAGAGGCAAGGTGGGAGTTGTCTGAGCCTTTTTCCTCTAGAATCAAAGGTGCACATACCACAGATCTCAAAAAATGCGAAGAGGTAGATTACGCAATATGACAATCTTTTTTTTTTTTTCTGGAAAGACGGTCTCGCTCTTTCGCCCAGCTGGAGTACAGTGGCGCAATCATGGCTCACTGTAATCACGACCCCCTGGGCTCCAGTGAACCTCCTACCTCAGCCTCCCAAGAAGCTGGGACCACAGGTACATGCCACCACACCCAGCTGTTTTTTGTTTTTTTTTTTTTTTTTTTTTTTTTGTAGAGATGGGTTCTCACTGTGTTGCCCAGGCTTGGTCTCAAACTCCTCGGCTCAGGCCATCCTCCTGCCTCAACCTCCCAAAGTGCTGAGATTACAGGCATGAGCCGCTGTGCCCAGTTGGTATGACAGTCTTTCACTCGCTTGCAAATAATAGTGATTGTTAGTTGACAGGTATGTACTCTTTGCTTCTAAATTGTGTAGGGAGACAGAGGTGAGATAGAGGAAGTAGAGGTGAGTAAGAAGAAGGTATGTTCCCCTTCATCAGTGATCTTGCAGTCTTACGCTTTCATTCAGGTTATTATTTTATGACTGGTATTTTGTTAACAAAAATGCCATGATGCTGGCTTGGAGCAGCGGCTCATCCTGTAATCGCACCACTTTTGGAGGCCAAGGTGGGAGGACACTTGAAGCTAGGAATTTAAGACCAGCCTGGGCAACATCTGCCGTCTCTACCAAAAAAAATAAATCAATAAACTGGACATGCTACTGTGTGCCTGTAGTCCCAGCTACTCAAGAAGTTGAGGCAGGAGGATTGCTTGAGCCCAGGGGTCAAGGCTGCAGTGAGCTATGATCCCACCACTGCACTCCAGCCAGGGCAACAGAGTGAGACCCTGTCTCAAAAAAAAAAAAAAAAAAAGACATGATTTTTATTAAACAGATGAGGAAATGTGATTTAGAGGAAAGCTTTGTATACCTAACTTCCATCTCTATGATATTCTGTTAACCACACTGTAGATCCTATACTTCTGCCTCAGGAAACCTCTAATACATGCCGTACTGGTGTTTGGGAGAATTAAGTACTTGAAGTCATCTAACTCTGTTCTGCATAAGTCTGAACATGCTCCTCTTTTCAAAAGTGTAAATAATTTTTGAACAAAAACAGAAAATGTGGGAGGCTTTGATTTCAATTTACTTATCTACTGATAAATTTTGTGGCTTTTCTTTAGTAAAAATGAGGAAAACTGACAGATGATAATCTCAAATATTAATAAAGATTTGGGAAAATAGTAACAATCTAGAAACCCAAAATGATGGGAAATATTTTCTTCTTGTTAGAGAAATAGGGTACAGTAATTTATGTTTGGAGCCTGGCTTGGATGGCAGAGTGAAACTGTCTCAACAAAAAAAAAAAATTATTTGGTTGATAACATGTTTTTTTTTTTTATTACCTTTTAGTGTTGCTAAATTCATGACTTTTATTTACCATTTATTAAGTTTAACATTCTGCTAAGAAACAGTATTTTCAGACTTTCACATTGAAAAGTCCTCCCTTAATTAAGCATATACAATTTACCATTTTCAGCAGAGATCCATTTTCACAACTAGCTCTTCAGGATTATTCCACTGAGCTGAATCTTTATGTGCAGCATATGAAAAAGTAGTTTGTAGCCTTTTTCTCCTTTCATGAAATATTAGCTTAAACATCAGCACTGCTACTGGGGGTAATATTCAGAAAATCATAGGGACATGTAAATTGATATGAGAAGATAGTTACTATGTTGAATAGAATTTTAAGTGAACATCAAATACTAATTGTTAGTGGTCTTTTTTATTTTTTTAGAAACAGAGTCTTGCTCTGTCACCCAGGCTGGAGTGTGGTGGCATGATCACAGCTCACTGTAGTCTTAAACTTCTGGGCTCAAGCGATCCTCCCACCTCAGCCTCTCAAGTAGGCTGGACTACAGGGGCACACCACCACACCTGGCTAATTTTTGTTATTTTTTTGTGGAGTTGGGGGTCTCAGTGTGTTGCCCAGGCTGGTCTTGAACTCCTGGCCTCAAGCTGTCCTCCACCCTCAGACTCCCAAAGTGCTGGGATTACAGACGTGAGCCATCTGACCCAGCCAATAACATGATTTTTTTAATTCCTTCATTGTGTATTTTTACTTTATCCCTTCATTTTATACTTTAAACAAATTTAAGATTTGTATAACTTCCAAAGATGCATGCATGGTAATGGTCCTCACATCGTTGTTTTTAAAACAAAAGTTGGAGAGTACCCAAACATCTAAAAACAGGAAATTCGTTCTTAATTCAGGTATTAGAAATGATGAAGTAGATCTACAATTATCTATGTAAAAAGTTATTTACCATATCGGTATAAAAATCATAGTTATTTTTTAAAAGATTACAAAAGCAGACTATAAATTAATCCCTTTTTTTTTTTTTACATCATGTGATTAGAAGTGTAGGAAGAAAACATACCACGATGTTAACAGCAGTTTTCTTTGCGTGGATTTATACACGAGATGGTCTTTACTTTCAACTTCCTGTCTTGCATATTGTCTGAGGTGGTTTTCTAAATTATTATTAATTACTGTTTTATAGTTAGTGTGTATAATTTTACAGGTGGAAAAAAAATTTTTTAATCAAATTTGAAAACGTAAAAGAACCTTGAAAGCAATTAAATGTTAAGCATGCAAAAAAAAGTTTGCACAACGCACGCTAATTGTTACCAGCACTCTAACTTGTTTTTAATTGTTTCTCCTTTTGCCTGTACTGAAATACTATTAACAGTTGATATGACACATTTTCCCACCCCACAGCTTCTTGTTCCCTTTATTCTTCATTTGTTTCCCTCCACCCCCTTTGAGCTGAAGTGGCAGACCTGTCTTATTCCCAGTGTGTACACTCTGGATGTGGGTACAGTTTGAGGTGGAACATATAAGTCAGTGTTATTCTTCTGACATTGAGCCTTACCTTCATCAGTAAGTTAGAATGGATCTTCAATGTGTTTCACTAATATAAGTTCTATTTAATTAAACACCTATCTTGAGTGATACAGACTTAAACTATTAAGGATGCCCACGTTTCACCCTACTCTTTGCATTCTAGAATGCCAGGAATCAGAACAAGATTACTTTTTTTGAAGGTAGAGAAATGTGACTCAGATTTCACTTTGGCCCCTATTACTCTAATGTCATTACTTAAGCTCAAGTGAAAGGCTACATTTTTAAAAAAGTATCCTGGCCAATTGCCAGATATTTTGTGTCTGTATTTGGTAGTGCTGGTTTAAATCTTGTTGAATCTTGACTGGACTGGGTGAAATGGTAGAGTTTTCATTTCAACATCTGAGAAAATGAAGAAGAATCACAAAGAGTAGGCAGAGAGGCAAACGTTTCGAACAAACCCACATACTAAGTAGTCTACTAATTGTGATATAAGTGAATGTAGGAAACTGGCTTCTCCCTGGAATAATTATTACGAGATTTACACAATTCCAGGAAAACTTAAGCAAGTCTTGTTGAGCAGGCTTTCAAAGGCTTTGTTATCATGAGCTTCAGCAGATAGGTTAAAAAGTGGTGTTTCTATTATACCTTTCATATTGAGAACATATGACCATGAGTGCCTTACAAGGTTAGTCTCAGGATCTTCCCAAGTTGCCGGTGGTGTTGGGCCACAGACGTAGTTCCATATTCTCTACTATTTTTTTCCTACCAAACATTAGCTTTTGATGATTTTTCTCATTTTCCCTAGTGGATCCTCCTTACCTGACTGCTCTAATATACCCAAATTCCCAATACCAAAAATAGGGGAAATATAAATCGGGGAAAGAGTGAAATTAGAGAATTGGAGGGAAAAGAGTAGAATCTGGGATCTTTAGGAACCTAAGTTACTTTTTTTTTAATTGCTTTGCTTTTTGTTTTTTTGTTTTTTTGTTTTTTTTTTTTTGTCTTTTTTTTTAAAGAGGGTCTCACTCTGTCACCCAGGCTGGTATGTGGTGGCACGATCATAGCTCACTACAGACTCAAACTCCTGGACTCAAGCGATCCTGCTGCCTCAGCCTCTTAAAGTGCTAATATTACAAGCATGAGCCACCGTGCCCCAATTTTTTTAATTAAACGTTGACCCAATCAATATTCTGGATAGAGAGCTATCTCCCAGCACCCTGTTAAGTTAAGCACCCTGTTAACTAACAGCACCCTGTTAGTTAAGAGGGTGAACTCTGGCTCCAAGCCCTGCTCCACCCCTTTCTCCACGTTGGGCAAGAGACTCAGCCTCCTTATGCTCCAATTTCCTCCTGTGTCAGCTCCTTAGAAATCCATGTCATTAACATATTAGAGTTTTAGGACATGGTTAGTCATGGTGAGTGTTAGCTATTATTAACATCTATTAGTATTTTTGTAATAATGAGCTATGTAGGTTGGATGTTACCAAATTTTGAGGAAGAAGTGGACCATCTCTCCCCTCTTTTGACTGTCCAGCTCAGACTCTGGCGTCTCCTCAGATAAGGTAATCTGGCAGGAGAATGCCACCTGCCTGTGGTGCTAGCCTAGGGTAAGGAGTTGTCCAGACCGCCAAACGTCTTCCCAGGAGAGCTCATCAAGAGCCCATGAGTCCCCTGCCCACAGCCCACCTGCATTTTCTCCGTGAAATATCTACTTGAAGACAGGCATCTCACACCTGTAATCCCAGCACTTTGGGAGGCTGAGGCAGGAGGATAACTTGAGCCCAGGAGTTTGAGACTATCCTGGACAACATAGTGAGACCCCCAAAATTACAAAAAAAAATTTGAAAATTAGCCAGGTGTTGTTGCACACACCTGTGGTCCCAGCTACTCAGGAGGCTGAGGCAGGAGGAGGATTGCTTGATCCCAGGAGGTCAAGGCTACACTGAGCTGTGATCATGCCACTGCACTCTAGCCTGAGTGACAGAGCAACACCCTGTCTCAAAAGAAAAAAAAAAAAACCAATACGAGGGGAGCAAGGTGAGAAGTATGTGGTGGGTACAGGGAAAGAGAATAAGACTTGTCAAGAAATATGACAAGAGCTATCAGTAAAATACAGATAGGTGACTCTTGGGGCAGCTGGTGTGAAATGTAGTCTGTCAGCAGCAGGTGACTGGCTCAGCCGCAGCAATGGTGGTCCAGGTTAGAACAGCAGCTTCTCATCTCCTACCCTCCCACTCCTTGCCAGCTTTCTGAACACTTCTTCCCCCACAGTGCTGGTATTTACTGACTCCCAACTCTGCTTTCCTTGCAGCTGACCCTCTGGTGGGCAGCATCGCCACACAGTACATGACCAACAGAGCAGAGCATGACCGGATGGCCAGACAGTGGACCAAGCGGTACGCCACATAGGGGCCTGCTGCCTGCCGCCCCGCGGGACCTGTGCAAGCACATTCACCAAGTGCATCGGTAGCCCTGCCCACCCCTCCAGACCTCGGTTCTTATTTTCCTATTTTTATTAAATTTGGAACCATTTTGTGATGGTATGTTGTCCATCTTCCCATCCCAGTTCTTCCTGCCCCCCTTCCTCTCTCCCACGCTCTCTTTTATCTCTCATTTTATTCCCTTGTTGATTTCTGTTAACTTGAAAGATTTGGGATTTTTTCCCACCTCATCATAGATGGGAACTTTTGTTTTCAGTGCAAACAATGTTGGAGCTGTAATAGTAAGAGCTTTCTTACAAAGCTTTGTATTACTGTGTGGTTTTGTTTTTTTTGTTGTTGTTTATTTGATTTTGATTTTTTTTTCTTTTATGTGATCTTTGGGAAAACACATTCAGAATTATATCTCGTTTCTACTTAAATGTAGTGCTTAGGGTTAATTTTTTGTACTGAAGTCTTTATTGGTGGGTGCATGCTACTGGGAACAAGTTTTTGTACAAAAGCTTCAATCAGAATCACTGTGCATTACTGAGACTCTGTTTATCACTAGCCTTCTGTCCCTCCCGCAGAAGACTGTTGGATTGAACAAAATAATATGTATTTTGATTTACTTAAAGTGCTTGTAAATTTCTTAGGGACCTGCCACTTTTGACTGTGGATCAGTTGATGTACACTTGTATTATTAAAGCACTCAATAAATCACTGTGGCTGATAACTGCACTTCTGGTAACCCGACATTTGCTTTGTGTCCTGGTGACCGCTGTAGCCCTACGTGCAGTGAGGCTTGTCTAATTCAATTACAGGTTCAAGTGTATTTTTCATCTCAAACCTCTAATATTTCTTTGGAGTTGAGTTGCTTAGCATGTGGAATTTCTCCAGCTGTCAGTAGCCTGATGATTTTATGGTTGTTATAGTAAATTGCTATCATTTTACATATTGACTGGGCATTCTTTCTGTTACAGCCTTCTTTATCAACAATTAAAATATGTAACTCCAAAAATAGCCTTCTTGTGAAAGTGAAGTCTGAGCTAATCATTGTGTTCAGCCACTTTCAACTTTATTTCTCTCAAAATTGTTACAGTGATTGCCCTCAAGCTTTGTATTGTTCATTTTTGTTGTTGTTGTTGTTGTTGTTGCTGCTCTTTTTTCTCCATGATTTTAGCAAAAGAAGTAAACTCAACTGTATTGGTCACGGTCAGCCCATTCAATGACAAGGGTGTCTGTCTGGCTTCACCTTCAGGCTATTTTAGTGTGCAGCTATAGGAGGCAGAGGAAACGTGGGTGGTGTAGTTTCTAAAACACGCTGACTTGCTGATTGATAATTCAGGGTTATTAGTGTAACAAAGCGTAGTGGAAACTCCTACTCCTGCTGCACCATACAGTTACAGACCCTACCATACTCTTGGTCTCATTTAAGGAACCATTAACACCTTCACTGCTGAAAAGCAGGATTTATAAGCATAAGTCATCCACCTCTAAATATTTTAACATTTAAAATGCCTGATTCAAAAGATACAGTTTTTGTTGTTTTTAACTAGTTAAAAATAAATCCTAAGAAAATATATTTAAATATTGCAAATGCCACTTCTAAACCAAAATACCTGAGAATATTTTTTGTCTTTTTAATAACGATTTTACCATTCATTTTATTTAAAAACATTTCTCAGCATAGCAGGGCACTGTATGGTCTCTGATGCACTACTCAACCCTCTAGTTGTAGTAGAGGGAGCCACAGACAGTACATAAATGCATTGGGCAGAGCTATATTCCAGTGAAACTTTATTTACCACCATAGGCATGGGATTTGGCCCATGGGTTGTAGTTTGCCAATCCCTGACACAGACCAACATAGACTGGGGGCTGGATGAAAAACAAATAACGATGTGTCATTTCTTTCTTTAACATAAAATAAATTCAATATGGTACAACACTGATTTTTGGAAAGTTGCTCAGAATGTTTAATTGCCTACAGTTTCTCACCACAAAGTTTTTTATTTTTACTTCAGATTTTAAAATTCAGCACTAAAGGCATTGAACCATTGAAAATAAAATTTTATTAAACTGCTTTTTTCCCCTACTTTTGGCTGATTAAACCAGACCCATAATACTAATACTTTAAAGACAATCTTTATAGGCAGTTTTTAAATTAAATTTTTTTTTTTTTGGTCTGTAGCAACAAGGTCTCACTGTGTTGCCCAGGCTGGTCTCAAACTCCTGGCCTCAAGTGATCCTCTCACCACAGCCTCCAAAACTGCTAGGATTATATAGGCTTGAGCCACTGTAGCCAGCCAACACACATTTTAAGTGATAAATATATTACATTGCACATTTCACATCTACTTGTACATCAGACCATTTAAAAATGTGTTATTAGGCCAGGCTTGGTGGCTCACACCTGTAATCCTAGCTTGGGACGCCGAGGTAGAGATTGCTTGAGCCCAGGATTTCGAGACCAGCCTAAGCAACATGACAAAACCCAGGCTCTACAAAAAAATACAAAAATGAGCTGGGCATGGTGGTGCACGCCTGTAGTCCCCGCCACTCGGGAGGCTTAGGTCAGAGGATCACCTGAACCCAGGAAGTCGAGGCTGCAGTGAGCCATAATTGCGCCAGTGCACCCCAGCCTGGGCAACAGAGCAAGACGCTGTCTCAAAAACAAAACAAAATTTGTGATATTTAGGAACCAAAGATTACAACAACTCTAGTAGGAATTCTAGTCACTGACCTGTTTGTTTTCCTGTGACCCATTTTTAGGTTTAATGCCCATCTGTGATATGAAGAGGCTGTAAAACTTCTCTCCCCAACTTTATGATTTATTCATACTTCATGACAAATGTACACAGCCCTCAAAATGTAAAAGCTAGAGAAACTCCAGAGAAACCAACAAACTTAGTAGAGCTGAAGTCTAGATTTCAAATAACATGGTCATTTTACTTGAAATCTGTAATTGCAGCAGGCAATACAATTCCAATAAATTTTTTAAAATGCATGTAAAATAAGATTTAAGAGTAATTTGACACTCAGTAAACAAAATTGTTTAGCTTAAAAATACAGGGATAACATTTCTAAAATTTAGGAATTATTTTGTACCATAATAATGCTGAATTTTTCACACTAGTTACTGCTAGATATAGTATTTGTAGCTATGTTAGATAAAATGTTGGCAGATCCTTGACTGAGGCAAGACCATTGGTTATTGAGGAAATGGTTTGAGATTATATTTGTTGATCTTAAATCATTCAAAACGTTGTGTCCTTAATTTGTCATCAAGCTGCAAACAAGGGGAAGATTTTTATCTGTTCTACAGGAATCCACTGATGATAGCAACTGCAGAAGTAGTCAGTCTTTTCTTCTTATTCCAAGATTAGGAAGTAAACATAGAAGTTCATCACGTAAACTTATTTAGGAATTAAAAAGAAAGGAAATAATATGTATTCAGGATGTACTATACCAGGCTATAATAAGTCATCTAATAAAAGCTCAGCCTACCTTTTAAGGGTGTAGGTGGCCCTCAGTCGCAAAAAGCTAACCAGGTGCCAAAGCGAGATTCCCATTCAAGCATGTGACACCAGAGCCCTTACTGTCAACGACAAAACCACATAAACCTTTCCTTTGACTATGAGGGCATACCATAAAAATGAATTGGCATAATTCAGTCTTAGAGTCAAGGAGGAGCACAATTCCTAGGTGGTGGGGTTTTGCCATCTTCAAAAAATGGGAAAAAAAAATGTTGAAGAAAATGTGGACTTGATATTAGATGGGAGACCAAACAGGAGGGACCAGCATTCTGATCTTAGAGGTACTGCATGCAGATTTGATCAGCCATGGGGAAACAGGTCAGTTGGAAAACCCCTGAACTTCTCTGCATCTCAGTACTGCAATAAGAGGGGTGTTAATTATTGTCAGGCATGGCAACTTTTTGATGTCTGTATCTTTAAAAAGAGAGGTCTTCATACTTAATACTGAAAACAGTTGAAATTGCACCCAAAAAGCCCTACCAGATATCCTGACCACCTGCATTTTATTTCAAGGTAGCTTTGTAACTGTCAAAATGTCCTTACTGTACAGAACACTTTCATATGTGGACCAGGACTGCGAGCCGAATGAGCACACCCTATACCTCAGCTAGTCCTAGAATTGTCCTCAGAGGCATTGAAGAGCTGACCTAGTTATATTCTGAACCCTAACATTTTAAGCTACATCAGATCTGGAATCTTTGGGAGTTGAGACCATCAAGGAGCTTAGAGTAGCTTGGCCTCTGAGGACCTTCCATGGTAGCCATGCGTTTCCCCACATCCATGCCGCCACCTTGGGAGCCAACTGGAACATTCATTCTCTGTTAAGTAGAAGGAATGTTCACATTCCTTTCACTCTCACGTTCCCCCATGAGCACTGGTAATGTGGGTTAAGGTTATCTTAAAACAGAATGTCTTACGTCTCAGGAACCCCTTGGTCCTGGACAAACCAAGACTGTTGGTCACATGAGCTTTTGTGCTCAGAGTACCAAGGTTAAGATCTTAGGCAATGCCTGGGACCAGTTTTTCCCATAGAAATATTTAACTTAAGGACAGTGTTTTCCTTGATGCACAATGATGGCTTTAGAAGGGATCTTCTATCTGAAAAACCCTGCCCCTCTCTGTGGCTTCCACACCTAGGCCTCTTCATTCATTTCCTGCTTCTGAAGGCCTCTGAGGGATTTAAACCAACTGCAGCCTTTCTTTACATCTCTGAACATGGCTTAAGGTATGTATGTCTTTCTGTGAAGGAACAGGAGTAGTCTGAAGACTAATAAGCTTTTTGAGAGGATTTCTCAAAAGGAACGTGTGAATTTTTAAACATGGGACCCACACAGGAAAATGGGGGAGATGTGGTAACCACCGATCTCTCTTGTTTATAAATCCATACAGTCAAAGTGGGGGCCAACCCCAATTATTCCAGAATGCCCAGTGTCAGAGTTTTCACTTCTGGTTACAGAAGGAAACCTTACCCACTAACCTTGGCAACCTTTAGAGCTGTGTGACTCCCAGCCCCCGTCTCACAGCATCCCCTCCTTCCCCTTAACATGACCCTCATCCATCTTTTTAAAAATTAGATAGGAGGTTAGAGTTCAGGATGACAATCACATCCTGGTTTACAGGAAATTGAGACCTCCTGAGAAATCATGTCAAGCTATGCAACAGAAAAGTAACAGATGCTTTACAATTGGTGCCTCTGAGCACATTGAGAAACACCAACCAAGATTCTTTTCCTTAATCCGTAGTTGTACAAAGGGGCAGTGAGAGGTCACACTCTGCTGGTGAGCCTGCCGCTGTGCTAAAATTGCCTAGAAGTAAGATGATCACATTCTTCGTTGTCTGTTTGGTCTCCAACTTGAAACTACTGACAAACAGGTAAATACATGATGACGATGGCTGCCACCATGAACTTTGACAATTTTATTCTCTTTCCTTTAGACCAACAGCTGACTTTATGCTCACCACCAAACAGCCCTCAAGTACTGCGATTTGAAAATCAAAGCAGTGTATGGTCAGTTATTAGAAACCTGTGATGAGAAACTCCAGAAGCCATTATTAATTCCCCAGAGACCCCATTCACTTTAAGCAATCTATGAGGAAATTATGTTAAATTCAAGCATGACTGTGCATTTTTACTTAAATGTAAAACATATGCCTGTATTAAAGAATCCCCAAATTCCCATGTGTTCTTAATGGGTGTAGTAAAATACTAGGGTGTACTTGTCAGTCCAGATTTGGGCTACTGGATTTGGAGGCAGTGGTAATGTTTAGTTATTGCTTGGAATTTTTTTATAGATTTATGGGGTTACAAGTTAATTTCTGTTACGTGGATAGCTTACAGATTTTTAATGGGAGAGAGAAGAAATAGGTTTATATAAAAATTGTTTTTTAATATAACAAAATTTTTATAAAGTGAATATTTTTAAAGTACATTTACATAAAGATGCTACCTTGCTAGGTACTACAAAATAAAGACTGTATGTATTAAACCCCCAATATGTTTGCAAGCAATTTGCACTTGATTTTTTTTGTAGATTAAGAGGTCACAGGGTAAGTTGCTGGGTCAGCACAGTCAAGGGAGAATCAGAAATGGGTTCTAGTTAAGAAGAATAGAAATTTTGTCAGAGTGCTATTATTATTATTTATGGCAAGAGATTGAGAGTGTGTCCTCTATTTAGGGAAGATGAATGGGGAACTATGATTCCTTCTGAGGCAGAGTCTATAAATTATCCCTAATATCCATTCTCCTTTTCTTCCTTTTATTATAAATAGAACTATTGGAATTTCAGCAGGGCATGTGGCCACCCCACTAGAAACTAAATTCCTCAACCACCATGTGATAGGTTGATTACAAAAAATGGTCCCAATCCTTCCCAGTATCTACATCCTTTGCAGCTTTTCTCATGGGAAGGTGGAGTCTTTGTTCCCCACCACTTGGCTGGCCTTGTGACTTGCTTTGACCAGGAGACTCTGGAAGTTATCTTGTGCCAGTTTCCAGCCTTGGCCTCCAGAAGTCTTACACACTTCCCCACTTTCTTGGATTCCTTCCATGCCTTGAGAGTAAGCCCCAGGCTAGCCTACTAGAAGGTATGAGATCATGTGGAGAAGAACTGAGACGATCCTAGACCAACCAATCCTCCAGTACATGCAGGAACCCAGCCAAGATCAGAGCCACCTACTGTGTGGCTGATAGCAGGTGCTGCATCAGCCCAACCAAGACCAGATAAACTGTCCACCTGATCCTTATATTTGTGAGCAACAATAGAAGGTATTGACTTAAGCCAGTAAGCCAGTGATTTGTTACACAGCAATAACTAACTAATACAGTTCAAGCTAGGCATAGCCGTGGAACAAAATTCTGGTCAAAAGAAGTGAACCGAAGTGATGGGAGCAAATTTGCAGATCTCGTCTTGTAAAATGAAGCGGCCCACCCTCCTCTCCCTCTTTATTCTTTCCTGTGGTCTGGAATGGAGGTGTGGTGCTGGTGAGCCCATCGGGACCTTGTCAACAAGGGCAAGAATATGGAGCAGCAAGACCAAAGTTGTTCAGTTTTGAACCTGTTGAGATTTAAGTACCTCGAATACATCCAAGTAGAAGTGTTGGGTCACTGGATATACCAGCCTCATATTCAGGAGAGCACACGGCCCAGCATGGTAGCTATGAAGCTGGGAATCATCAGAGTATAAAGGGGAATGCAATTATGAGAGACGATGAGATTACTTGGGGAGATTAAGGGTAGAATGAGAAGACAAAGAAGACCAGAACCAAGCCTTGCAGGTGAATCACATGGCTCGCCATCTGTCCTGCCCAAAATGTCCTGAGATGACATGTTAAAACATTTTTAAGTGTGCTTATTTTAAAAATAATATCACGCCTATAATCCCAGCACTTTGGGAGGCTGAGGCGGGTGGATCACGAGGTCAAGAGATTGAGACCATCCTGGCTAACACGGTGAAACCCCGTCTCTACTAAAAATGCAAAAAAAAATTAGCCAGGCATGGTGGAGGGCGCCTGTAGTCCCAGCTACTCAGGAGGCTGAGGCAGGAGAATGGCGTGAACCCAGGAGGAGGAGCTTGTAGTGAGCCGAGATTGCGCCACTGCACTCTAGCCTGGACGACAGAGCGAGACTCCATCTCAAAATAGTAATAATAATAATAACAATAATAATAATAATAATAATATACCTGCACATTGGAAGTCTGAGGCAAGTGAATAACCTGAGGTCAGGAGTTCAAGACCAGCCTGGGCAATATGGTGAAACCCCGTCTCTACTAAAAATACAAAAATTAGCCAGAAGTGGTGGCACGCACCTCTAATCCCAGCTACTCGGGAGGCTGAGGCAGGAGAATCACTTGAATCCGGGAGGCAGAGGTTGCAGTGAGCCGAGATTGTACCACTGCACTCCAGCCTGGGCAACACAGTGAGACTCTGTCTCAAATAATAATAATGATAAACCTATACTATTAATGAAAAAAAAATACCATCAGTAGATGAAGTATTCTGAGGAATTATGGGAAGATTAAGCAACTGGAATTATTGATGAAGTCAATAGCAGAAGTGTATGCAAAGTAAAATTCATGAGGGAGAACTGCAGAGGTAAGAGCCATACCAGAGTTAAACTTCCTACCTGCTGCTGAAATGCAGGACCTGGAGCTGCTGCCCTGGACTACAAGATGTTGGAGCTGCAAGGTAGCTGGAGCCTGGGCCCCTGAGACCAGAGCACCGAAGGACCCTGTTCATCCCACCCAGACCCCAGACCTTCCTGTGAAAGAGAAGTCTGTTTTTATCTTCTTTAACCTACTGCTGTGTTGGAGTTTCTGATCTGTGCAGCTGATCTGAGCCTAACAAACGCACATGCCAACTTCACGATGGTGGCCTTGGGGGAGAAGAGGAAACAACACTAAATAGGCACATAGAAAATATTTCAATTTTATCTCTGATTTTTTAGTAAAGATATGCAGCCAATAAATATGACAAATACACAGATGTTTGTTATAGTATCATCTTTACTTCTCTATGTGTAAATTTTTTTCCAAATTAAAATGTTTAAGGTGAAAAAAAATAACTAAGCCTTACCTAAGGGAGGATAGAGTTTCGTTTCTGTATGATACATTTTGGTAAGTTTAGATTTTTAAAAGTGAATGTGCATTACTTTTGTAATCAGAAGAAAAAGACATAGCAAAAAGGTAAAATTTGGAATGGTGGAAGCAGCCTGGGTAGAAAATTGTTTCAGTAAGAATTGTTTTAACAGGAGATGGACTGGGCCGGGCGCGGTGGCTCACGCCTGTAATCCCAGCCCTTTAGGAGGCCAAGGCAGGTGGATCACGAGGTCAGGAGTTTGAGACCAGCCTGACCAACTTGGTGAAACCCCGTCTCTACTACAAGTACAAAAATTAGCCGGGCGTGGTGGCGGGCGCCTGTAATCCCAGCTATTCAGGAAGCTGAGGGAGGAGACTCACTTGAACCCTGGAGGCGGAGGTTGCAGTGAGTCGAGATCACTGCACTCCACCCTGGGCGACAGAGCAAGACTCCGTCTCAAAAAAGTAGATAAATAAAATAAAAGGAGATGGACTGGGGTGGTAGTTTGAGAGAGATGTTTGATCAAGGGAGGAGCTTTAAAAATGGAAGCTACTAGAGCCTGCTTATGATGATAAAAATGACCTAAAAGAGAAAGAAGGGAAGGGAATGTACACTTGCTGCTCAGATCATTGACATCACCTGGGAGCTGGTTAGAAATGCAGAATCTTGGGCCCCTGGCCCAGACCTGCTGAATCAGACTGTGCATTTTAACAACTCCCCAGGCAATTCACACACACATTACAGGTGGAAAAGCACTAAGGAGGGACGCACTGGGGTCACAAGCCTTTTGGTAGGAAGGGCAACCTCTGTCATTGCAGGAAGGAAGATCCTGTGGGCTGGTGTAGATGCAGGGAGACTTGTTTGTTTGGAAATGGAAAGATGAGAGAGTCACCCTAACAGTTTCTATTTTCTGAATAAAGAATAAAGCAAGATCACCTTCTAGGAGGCGGGAAGGGAATGTGGGAGGTTGAGAAGAAAGTACGAAATAGTCATCTCAGAAAGAGAAGAGTGACCTTATAGAAACATGGTAGGATTTCCAACCAAGGTTGAGTGTCCACGAGGAGTGTGAACTCATGACCTAAAAGAAGTTAAATCTAGTGTCAGCCAAGTTGTGTGGCTTTGTCCAGCAGCGTTCAGCTCATTCAGCACACAAACAAGAGAAGGCAGACAGCCAGATAAGAGAATTAAGGGACTGAATTAATGAAGGAACTTGCGAGGAACTGATTTAAGTGATGGATCCTGAAATCCATCCCTGTCATGGGGGTCCACAGGCAAGAGGAGGATGGAAGGTAGTAATTACAGATGAAATAGTGGGCTGTCTGGTATTAATACATTTCACTGTGTGATTAGTCTTTAAAGTTTCGTTATTGACAACGTAGTCAAGTTACTGTAACTGGAACAGATCTCCTGCCATTCTGAGTAGAAGAATTACTCTCCACATGACTCAGGTTTTGAAAACTACTGAGTTTATGCAATTTGGATATATGCGCCACTGTATTTCTCCACGAGTATTGAAAATTGAGGAAATTCTGTAGTCTGAATTACCAGTAAAGGCAATACGGGGTGTCCTGAGAAGGGGAAGAGAAGAATCACTAGCATGCTGGCCTGTGCCACGGTCTTTACATTCATCTCCTTCTCTAATCCCCAGGATAAGCCCTGTAAGAGAGGCATAATCACCCCACAGTTTACAAGTGAGGAAACTGCCACAGAAAGGTTAAATAACTTGCCCCAGGTTACCCAGCTGGGAAGACTGACCTTGTCAGGATTTCGGCCCCCTGGGTTCCAGACCCTTCCTTACACCTTCCCATTACTCTGTAAAAAGATCCTCTTAGTTGTGATCATATGTACAAACAGGTGCACGTGGGCCAGCACACACATTCCATAGTTCTGGCCACATTTTGTTTGGCTAACAAAGTAATGAGACACCCTGGACAGTACATTCTTGGGCGGTGATGTGACTTGCGGAAGACGGAGGTTCTCAGGCATATGGTAGCATTTCTTATCTGTAGATTTAAAAATGTTGCCCTTCTGATTGGGAAAAAATTCTTTTAGTACTATTAATGTAGAAGGCTTGAGATTTTAGAAAGCTGTGAAAATTGTGTGCCTTTGGGCAATGGAAATAGATCTCTGTGGCAGAATATAAAAGGGTAATCTACTGGGACAAGATTCTGTGTGTGTATTGTTATTATCACCACCATCATCACAATTACTACCCCTGCTGAATATGTACCCAGTAAATATTCAGCATAAAGCATCGAACACATGGTGTGTATGCATACAAACACAGGTGTGTGTGTATGTGTGTGTATATACAAACATGTAATTTCATTTAATGCTTCCTGTAATCCCCCGAGGTGTATCTTATCCCTATCACATAAAAACCCAGAGATTTTAACAGAGCCAAGCTTGCGTAGCTGCTAAGTGGCAGAGCTGGGTCTCAAACCCAGGTCTCTGTGGCTGTGAAGCCCCATGTGCAAAAGCACAGTGCTGTGCCACCTCCCAGTCCGAGTAAACTTGATACATATAATTGTGTATTTACTAACTGATGAAGTAGGGAATTACTGAGTTTATGCAGCCAAAACCCTTGAACGTAAGGAACATTCAGCATTGTGTCAAATGGACCCCAGGCAAAGCAAAATATTGTATGCCAGCTCCGCTGGGTGTAATAGCCCGTATTTCCCTATTAAGGGAAAAACAAAGCAGGAGGAAGTTAGAGCAATCCTTACAGATCAGGGTATTTGGAAGAAGGCAACACAAATCGGTCCCAGAAAAGCGCGGAGTCACCTCTGCCCTGCAGGAGCCGGCCATGGTCAGCTCTGTGTCTTCTCTTCCTTCTGGCAGTGGGTTTGTTTCTCTGTTTTTCTTTTCTTTTCTTTTTTTTTCCCAATCCCCATGGAAAGATTTCCAGTCGTTTTATAGCTGAATTCAGTGGAAAAGTAATGTTTATTCACCTCACAGCCAATTTGGACAGAGCACATTTCTATTCCATAAAGCAAGGCATTGGTACATTCATGATTCAGAATTACAGGCACATTCCTTGCGTACAGTTGTGTTTCAGCCTGGATAAAATTAAAATGTCACTTTCCTTTTTCTTTCCTGTGGATTCGCTTGAGTTGCTCTCATTAGGCAGAACTGGCACTCTTGGGAGAAATGCCAGGCTTCAGAATGAAGGCCTGGTAAATGTAACCTCATCAAGTTGCAGTAGCCGGAAAACAAGACATGAGGTGAACATCGGCATTAAGTGCACTTCTCTCTCTCTGTCTCTCACACACACACACACACACATGCACATACACACACAATCTGCCTTCCTTTCTGCCACTTTACTGAATCCACTCACAGATCACCAGTCATCAGCACCAACAGCATCTTCTAGAAGCTGATCTTCAGGCCTCCATAGCAGCCCATGCTGTTAACCCTCCTTCCTGAACTTCTTTTCTCCCTGGGCTCTGGTTCGAATCTCACGTGCCCCAAAGGTGACCTTCCACACTTCTGAATGTTTCTGATCCCTGGTTTTCTATCCTGTGTCTTCTCTCCTTCTCTCTTCCTTGGTGATCTCAGGCACTCAATATGCATGCATTTATTGCATCCCTAGACCACGTACAGTTGCAGAAGAACCGCAAAGATAAAGATGAAGCCTATCCTGTAAGGAACCGGATCTGTCTGATACTGTGAATTGTTCCCTTAAGTGGAAGTAATTCCAGCAGATTTCCCGTCCCCAAAAGGATGCAGACAAGAGAGCATGGGCTTTGGAATCGGACGAGCGGGGATTGAGGCCAGTTCCATAACCTCTCACCCCTGGGTTCCTTTCTACAAACTGGAAATGAAAACACCCACTTTATGAGGTTATATTTTAAAGTTTCTGTCAAATAGTAGGTGCTGAATAAATGTTATTATCTACCTCTCTCCTTTCCCAAATTCTTATTCTGACAAGATTTATTGATCTCCTCGTATGGGCAGCCAGACTCTCCTTCATGAGCCAGTGGGCGTGGCTGCAGCTGCTTGCCCCATTCCTATCCAGTATTCTTCACCTGGAATACCTTAAAAAGGCTAAAATTTAATTAAAAGAGGACGAGAAAGAAAATGAGTTAAGTAGGGGGTAGGGTAGAAGCACCGGATCCGTGGAGACTGAGGGGTTGTTCCCAGAAGTGATATAATTCTGGTGAAATTTGTTTCAGATATTTCATTGGTGTCTGTGTTAAAGCTGCTACTCCACCTTCACAGCTCTAGAAGGATACGCAAAACAGATGAATTGTGGGCCTACAGAGGGGGGATTTCGGATATTGTGAGTTAGAACTGGGAAGAAAACTTTTTACCACATACCTTTTAGCATGATGTGAATTTTAACCACGTGCAACTACTATATTTTCAAAAAATAAAACTAACCAACCAGAAAACAACATAGTTCTCTTTAGCAAACAGTTTGAGGACAATTGGAAGCACCATCTTTATGCTAAACTTAGCACCTTTCTCTTTTGCTAAGAATAAACCAAAATTAGCTCAGAAAGATGCCTGATCGCCAAGAGTTTGCCGACACCCAGGTGTGTCATGAGCCTCAAGACAGAACCCGGGTGCGTTGCAAACCTCATCTTTAATCGGCTGCAGGAAGCTCTATCCAGCTGCCGCACCGCAGGGTTCGCTTCACTGATGTGAGAGTGGGAATCAGGGATCAGGTTCCAGCCTGGGCCCTGGTGCTGTCTGGCCTTCAGCTCTCTGGGCCTCACTTTTTCTTTTATGAAATGTGATTTGTAAGGTCACTCTCTGATCCTCTGATCTGTGTACTGTGTCGGTAGAGTAATTAGACCTCATCCTCCCCTCCCAAGCCCTAGTGGACCACAGCCTTTCTCTGTTTCCACCCTATGAGGGCCTGAGATTCTCATGCTGAGAGTGCCTTCTTGGCTTTTGATGTAATTTCTAGAAATGCCCCTCAGACCCCATCAAGATTAAATATAGTATGTATTTTCCAAAGGCAGTTTTCAGCTACAGGAGATAAGAAAAAGATTTGGAGTAATACATTGGCAAACAGTGATTTTATTTATTTATGTTTTGTTTTGTTTTGTTTTGTTTTTTGAAACAGGGTCTCACTCTGTTGCCCAGGCTGGAGTACAGTGGTACTCACTGTAGCCTCGACATCCCAGGCTCAGGTGATCCTCCTACCTCAGCCGACCAAGTAGCTGGGGCTATATGCATGCACCACTACCCCGGGCTAATCTTTGTATTTTTTGCAGAGACGAGGTTTTGCCATGTTGCCCAGGCTTGTCACAAACTCCAGGGCTCAAGCAATCCACCCACCTCAGCCTCTCAAAGTCCTGGGATTACCGGTGTGAGCCACCATGGCTGGCCAAAACACTTATTTTAATAGTCATGTTTTTATATTTATTACATTACATTATTTATGTTTGTAATGTATTTTATGTATTATGTTTATCATCAACTTCTTTATGCCATGTGATACTGGTTTTCTGTTCATGGTATACAGTATTATGGTATTAGGTAAAAAAAAAAAAGAGCTAATGGCAAATTAATAGTATAGGTCTCATATTATTCAAGAGAACAATTATAAAGGTGGTCTAAAAAATGACTGAGGTTTGAGAAACATTGACTGCTATGGGTCAAGTTGCATCCCCTGAAGTCCATATGTTGAGTCCTGACTCCTTGTATCTCAGTATGTGAGCTTATTTGGAAACAGGGTTGTTTGCAGATGTCATTAGTTAAGATCAGGTCACACTGGAGTAGGTACCTACTGGGCAGGGCTCCTAATCAATTATGACTGATGTCCTTGTAAAAGGGAAGATTGGACACAGATGTGCACACAGGGAGAACGCCACGTGAAGACTGGAGTTGTGCTGCCACAGCCTAGGAGCTCCCAGAGCCAGAGAGAGGCCTGCAACAGACCCATCCCTAGCACCCACCGAGTGAATGTGGCACTGTTGACACCTTGATCTCAGACTTCTAGCTTCCAGAACTGGGAGGCAATGTGTTTTAATATATTTAAGCCTCCTAGGTTGTGGCCTTTTTTATGGCAGCCCTAGAAAATGAATATGTTAATGTAGATGGTTTGCGTTGCCCTGGGAAAATGGAACAAGAGAAAGATGCACAGATGAAATAACTTGGGGAAGAAGTTTGCGAATATCTCCAAACCACCAAGCATTGTCTCAACCTTTAGCAACTAGAGAGAGTGTTTCTGTCCTTGGCTGGAGGAAGCAGGTGACTCAGTGTCTGTCAGGATGCTGCTCCACTCCGGGCTTATTTGATTGGAGGACTGTGCACCTTCAGGGCTGGACTCACTACCTCGACCTAAGGAAGCTTTCTTGGAGTCTCCTTTCCAATAAGTAGGGTGTTAGGCTTAGGCTGGAGTTCTTCAGAGTCTTTTTTACCTCATCCCTAACTTTGCCAGGACCCTGCACCAAGAATTAAACACTTCTTTAACATCATTTAAATATCAGTGTGCAGGAAGGAGCAGAAAGAAAAGAAAATCATTTAAGTAAGCTAACCACTGCCATCAATCTCTGTGCAATTTGATAACCGCTGTGGTTTAAATGTGTCCCCTCAAAAATTTAGGTATTGCCGGCCAGGCACAGTGGCTCACGCCTGTAATCCCAGCACTTTGGGAGGCCGAGGTGGGCGGATCACGAGGTCAGGAGATAGAGACCATCCTGGCCAACACAGTGAAACCCTGTCTCTACTAAAAAAAAATATAAAAAATTAGCCAGGTGTGGTGGCGGGCACATGTAATCCCAGCTGTCAGGAGGCTGAGGCAGGAGAATGGCGGAGCTTGCAGTGAGCCGAGATCGCACCACTGCACTCCAGCCTGGGTGACAGGGCGAGACTCCATGTCAAAAAAAAAAAAGAAAAGAAAAGAAAACATAGGTGTTGCCAATGTGATAGTATTAAGAGGTGGGGCCTTTAACAGATTAATAGTCCCTGAGGGCGGCTCCCTTATTAATGGGATGAAGGCCCTTTTGTCTTCTGCCATGTGAGGACACAGCAAGAAGGGCCTTGCCAGACCAAATCCTGGGGTCTTGATTTTGGACTTCCCAGCCACCAGAACTGTGAGAAATAAATTTCTGTTCCTTATAAGTCACCCAGTCTATGGTGTTCTGTTAAAGCAGCACAAACAGACTAAGTAACATGGTCTTTTTTGACAGTGGTAACTGTTAGATGCTATTAACCTCAGTGCTCTCTTACTCACTCTGCAATACCATTGGACACCAGGGCAATGTCGTGACTTACAGGGTGATACGGAGAAGTTAGGAAGTTAGAAAGCCTGGCCTGGGTTCATGCTAGGTGTGTGGCTCTGTACACCCTCCCCGCTGCCTGCACTTGGCTTCCTCGTTGGTCACAAGCAGATGACAATATCTGCATATCTGCCCTTAGCTCTGCGAAGTGTTGCTGTGATGTGAAGATTGCTAACATGTAAGGGCTTTGAAATTGTAAAGACAATAAGAGCCATTCACCAAATATCTGCTGAGGACTTCCTAGGTACATGACAATGAGGGGAATACAAAAGTGTATAAAAGCCTTTCATTCTTGGAACACTTACTTTACTATATGAAGATAACACTGTCAAAAACAACTACCAAACAAAGATGTACATGTGCTGAACAAAGTAGTGTTGAATTGCATAAAAAGCTACAGCATGCAGACGGGGAAGAGATGCTGCTGCAGGCTGGATTGGGGTCAGGGAAGCCTTCCTGGGTCTTTGAGACATGAAAGCAATGGAAGAGTCTATTTCAGGTAAAAAGGCTACTGTGAACAAAGACGCAGGGCTGGACAAGGCCAGGCGTGTGCTGGAGGCATGAGAATTCCCTGTTAGTGTGAATGGAAGGAAACCAGGTGAAGCCTGGATACCAGGAGGAAGGCTCTGTATGCAACAGTTCTGCGGGAGGCTGGATGGCAGGCAACAGAACCTGCTGGCAGAGGAACCCGCTGGGAAAGCACCAAAGATGTTTGGCAAGAGGGGAGATAAAGAGACTAGAAGGGCACTCTGTGCCAGGGCTGATGGAACTGAGGCCAGGGGATCAGGGGGCAGGGACAGCGTCTGAGAAAGATGGGACAGACTGGAGGGGAGGCCATGGGAGAGTGTGAATAGTGACAACAGGAGGTGGATGCGGGGACTTCAACGAGTACCCTTGAAAGTACTCAGGGGAGATGAGGAACATGATACTTACTTGTCACTTATTAAGAGCTCTGTGGGCATTAGCCTATTTAATGTGCACAGCCCCTTATGAGCTACTTACTGTTTTCACCACTGGTTTATTGATAAGAAAACTGAGGCTGCCGGGCGCAGTGGCTCACGCCTGTTATCCCAGCACTTCGGGAGACCGAGGCGGGCAAATCACGAGGTCAGGAGATCAAGACCATCCTGGCTAACACGGTGAAACTCCGTCTCTACTAAAAATACAAAAAATTAGCCAGGCGTGGCACGTACCTGTAGTCCCAGCTACTTGGGAGTTTGAGGCAGGAGAATCACTTGAACCCAGGAGGTGGAGGGTGCAGTGAGCCGAGATCATGCCACTGCACTCCAGCCTGGGCGACAGAGCAAGACTCTGTCTCAAAAAAAAAAAAGAAAGAAAAAGAAAAAAGAAAGAAAACTGAGGCTAAGAAAAGTCAATTAGCTTGCCCAAGATCCTCCAGCAGGGAGTCATGAAACTGGAATTCACACCTGAGCCTTCCCACCTCAAAGCCTATAAAGTTTATTCAGGCACACGTTTAATAACCATGTTAAGAGACTCTTGAATTCTTTTTTTTTTTAATTTATTTTAAACTTCTTACACATATTAGATTGGTGCAAAAGTAATTGCGGTTTTCACTATTAAAATTAATTAGGTCGATGCAAAAGTAGTTGTGGGTTTTGCCATTACTTTTAACGGCATCAAAAGTTTACTTTTTGCCATTCCTTTCAGTGGCAAAAACCGCAATTACTTTTGCACCAACTTACAGTAAAATGCATAGGTCTTAGATGTTGAGATTGGTGAATTTTGACAGTTACAGATACCTGTGTAACCACCACCCAAAGCAAGGTGAAGAACATTTCATTCATCCCAGAAAATTCCTTTATTCTTCTTTCTTATCAGTCCCCCACTCCCACCCACAAGGAACACGTTCTGGTTTATGTTTCCTTGGATTGTCTTGCCTACTCCAGATTTCAGACAAATGTAGTGTGTTCTGTTGTCTGGCTTCTTTCACTCTGCTTGTTTTTGGAACTCATCCATGTTGTTGCATGCATCAGTGATTTGAAGAACTATGAACTTAGGAGTAAGAAGCAGATAAGTATGATGTTGGTAATATAAGTATCAAGGGGCCGTTCTTATTTGGCTTTCTGAGAACCTGACCTTTATACTAGTCTACCTGAAGCATGTATTTACCTGAGAGGAAATCGGGACTCGCAGCAGAAGAAAAGCTCAGGGAAAGACCAAGGCACACAGGTTTTCCTCACATAATGACTGTGGCATTAACTCTTCAACATAACGGCTCTGGAAACACATTTTGGACAATGGCTTTTTTTTCAGTACAATATCCTTTTATCCAAAAAGCACACTAAATAAATATGCTAGAAGCAGTGATATTTTGACATCCAAGGCAGGCAAAACCACACTCAGAATTTAGTTGACATAACAGTGTCTCACCAAAGAATATCATATGAAACAGACCTGAACTGTGCACCTGTGCACCTTGTTTGCACAGACTCAGTGTGCCTTGCAAATGTGAACCCGGCGAGAGAGAGAAGGAGCCAGCACCTTCTATAGCTCTCAGTTTCTTGTACATTTGTGCTATTCCCACACTGCCAAGCACTCTTGCGCTCAGCCTTTATTTTTCTCTAGCAATGTTAATCTGTATATAGCTTAAAGCATCATTTGCAGGCAAAATAGTTGTCAGCCCAAAGGTTGAAAAATGGGTGAAGTAAACATGAAGAAAGAATGAGCCTTCCAAAGAATGATGCCCTCCCTCAACTACTCTTGCTCCTTTGGTGAGTTCCAAAAACCTTTATTACCTTGCACTTTATGTACAAACTAGATTCCTCTACCTTTGTGTTGTTGTTTATTACTTGCATTACTTACTTTTATTGTTCAATGGATAGAGTTTCCTACCTGTGAAAATTATCTGAGTATCTTGGTTTGGAGGACAATGCCTCATAATTTTTTTCCATTAAAATTAATGGGAAAAATTTCTTTCATTAAATGACTTTGTCCTTAACAGCAAGAATTTCAGGAATGAATTGGGTGGTTAAACAGGGATAGATAGGTGGTATCAGACTTCTGACTTTCAAAAATGGGATTTTGCACCATGGCAGTTCTCTTGAATTGTTTTAAGTCCTTTTGTCACTCCTGTGGCATGTAAATTGGGTATTTACTTAAGTAAATGCAATGCAGATGGAAAGGAGACCCACACAGAGGTAAGAAGGAAAGGGGGAGGAGAGAAAGTCTAAGATGCTCAGAAATGGCAATTTCCTCTCACAGGCTTTGGCTTAAAGAAGGAGGGGTGGATCTGGAACTCCGCCTGCCCTGTGGCAACCTGGGCATCAGCTACACTGAAGAAGGCCAGGCAAGGCCAGAATCTGGGTAGTCCAGGCACTTAACTTTCGCTCAGATTCCACACGGAATCGGCTCCTGGCTGGAGCTCAGGGGCCTGACAAGGGTCTGTCTTGGCAGAGGCTGAAGAGTTTCTGCCCCAATTTGTGGGAGTTGAGGTGCGGGCCCCAGGCAGGGACACTTCTGGACTCTGGAGGTTCAGGATCCTAAGTTACACCTGCCACAGACTTCAAAGGACATTTCCTGAGGGACCCAGGGGGGAAGGACCTCGCCTCAAGGACCCTGCCTCCTAGGCAAGTCCCCAGAGGCCCCCCAGTGACTCCAAGGGCTCCAGATGCCAAAGCAGAGGGACCATCAAAGGGAAACACTAGGACTCCCTCAGCAAAGTCCAGACTCTGGGGGCTCTGCAGGACAAGGGACCCTGGATCTTCACCAGTGAAATTAGGGAGAGGCAGGTGGGGCGCCATAAATTCAAAGCAGCTTAAGAAACCAATCCGTCATTTGCCGCGCATAGACCTTACTTGGATTCTCATTTAAACAAACTATTAAAAAAAATTCTTAGACAGTTGGGGAAATGTAATGATGTTAAGGAATTGTTGTATTTGGTATGATAATTGCATTGTGTTAAGTTTTTTTTTTAAAGAATTCTTAGAAATACATTCTGAAACACTTGTGGATGAAATGATGAGATTTGGGATTTGCTTCAAAATGATCCAATGGGAACAGGTGAAACCTCGCTGGGCATGCATTCGTATTGTTGAACCTGGGCAAGAGGAACACAAAATTCCATTGCATTATTTTGTCTACTTTTGAATATGTTTGAAGTTTCCCGTAATAAAATATTAAGGAAGAAGGGAAGGAGGAAGGGAGAAAGGGAAGCGGAAGAGGTTTCATTATGGCTGCGGAGAAGTGAGGAAGCCCGTGAGGGAAGCTGTCTTTCAGCCTGGAAAGCTGCTTAGGATTCTGGCCACGTCAGGAAGGAAGGGCTTTTAGGAAGAAGAGAGAGCTCAGCAAAGGCCTGGAGACACATCCGAGGGCACAGCAGGTGGAGGTGGAGGATATGGGTGGCAAGGGTGGGAAGTAACTTAGCCCTGTTGTGAAGAGCTCTGGGCCAGGTGGATTGCAGGAGCCGTCTTAAGACTATGTGGCGGTTTCGAGCTGGGGATTATCCCACAAGAGCTGGACGGGCACAAGCCTCCCTGGTTGTCCTGGGGGGCCAACAGGCCAGCTGAGGCACCATCCCTGTTCTGTGCCTCTACCAGAATCCATGCAGCAGCTTGGTCTGAATTATCCACATTATTACCTGTGCCTGCTCGCCCCACTAGAGTAAAACAGGTGTCACCAAAGAAATAAAATAAAGAGTTACAAGGCCTGAAGGAAAATTAGGTACAACTACAAAGGATTCTTTGCATGGAGAGACTTGGGGGACAGGGCTGGAATGGGGGAAGAGGAAAGGACAGGCCATTGATTTTGCTCCTTGACTAAGCAACAGAGCCAAGGGGATTGTGGCTGACCGCAGGGCTGCACTCGGCCTCGAAGCCAGAGTGTGCTGCTAAAATGCCCGAGTGGAAATCTTCTATCTGGATTACATTTAAAATAAACTCTGATAGGTTGTCTTGTTTTCGTTTCTATTCTTTATATATTTAGGATTTATTTAGTACCTGTTTCTAAAAACAATTTATGGACTCTGCTAATACTAATGTGCAGGTTTTCTTGGGAAATGTTTAGGTTCTGAAACCTCAATAAATGTTCCAGCCCTGGAAAAATATGCTAATTTGTGGTTCACATTACTATGATATGTTCAAAAATAGCTTAATCGGCTGGGCGCAGTGGCTCACGCCTGTAATCCCAGCACTTTGGGAGGTTGAGGCAAGTGGATCACGAGGTCAGGAGATAGAGACCATCCTGGCTACCACGGTGAAACTCCATCTCTACTAAAAATACAAAAAAAGTAGCCGGGCTTGGTGGCACACGCCTGTAATCCCAGCTACTTGGGAGGCTGAGGCAGGAGAATCACTTGAACCCAGGAAGCGGAGGTTGCAGTGAGCCGAGATTGCGCCACTGCACTCCGGCCTGGGAGACAGAGCAAGACTTCATCTCAAAAAAAAAAAAAAAACTTAATCAACGAATGTTTTAAATATCAGGATAATAGAGAAAAAGAAGTTAAGGGAGAAATTGTGTTTCCACCTACATTTTACATGGCCTAAAAATCTATGGCTCAAGAACTCAAGTTGTCACAAAGAAAATAAGCTTGGGCAATACCTCCCCTACACAGACATCAAAAGGGCCTACTAAGCACAAAAGAGGTAAGTCTAGGAGAAAAAAAATTAGAGGGTTCTACTTCATAGAATGATTTTGAGTGTCTACTATATGAAAGGCAAATTTTGCTTTACTCTGATATTCACCAATTTTATAATTTTCCTTCTAATATTTGAGAGTGTGACGTTTCCCTTAGCCTTTAACTTAAAGAGGTGGGCACATTGCTTGGCCATCTCTCTGTGGATAGGACCTTCCTAAAAATGACAGCCCCTCGGTGACCTCCCAGCCTCCAGGGCCTGGGCGGGTAACAGCCTTTTAAAAGTTCCGTCCTCTGGGGATTTGAAAATACAGCCCAGGCCATATATAGAAGAGCAGAGTCCTCAATGGGCTTTGGATTCAGACAGAATTTCATGGCTGACTTGGGTTTAGGGAGGTCATTAAACCTCTAGGAGTTTGTAAGGATTAAATGAGAAAATTTAGGTTAAATATGTAGCCCAGCATCGGGCACATGGTGAGTGCTGAGTAAACGGGATCTGCTGTGTTATTATTATTCATTGTTGTTATTGCTGGCATTATTATTTTATGGGCATAACGAATGAGCTGGCAACATCAGTACAAACTCAAGCCAGAATCTGACACGGCCAAAATAAAACCAGAGCCGGCAACCCAGCAAAGGAGCTGGTGCTCAACAGGCCTTTAGAGTCCTCTCTCCAGCTGTGGCTGGCCGGCTGCCCGCTCTCCCTGCTCCTCTCAGCTCCAGAGAAAAATGGCTTTTAGATAAAGCTCCTTTGAAGCTGGGAACTCGCTGTAGTGCCTAAGCCTAGGGACAGCCCCCAAAGGTGTTTTTTTTCCACTTCTGTTGACGGACAGTCTGCAATATACGTATCAGCCACATTAATCATTTTTCTTTTGGGGGCCTGCTCAAGAAGGGCCTGGTTAGTCTGTGAAGGAATTCCAGAGCGAGTAGGTGGCCTTGCATCTGAGAAAGAGGAAGCTTGTTTCAGGGCCAGACAAGCGAGTGTGAAACTTCCTGCCGAGGCAAAAGGGGGCGGGAGGGGTGCAGACTTCTGGTGGGGGGTCTACGTGGAGCAGGTGAAAGGACCCTAGCGAAAGGTCTCACCCCTCCTCTGGTCAGGGTAGACTTCCATGTCCTGCAGAGAACGAGCATCTCTGGGGCTTCCGATAACTCAGCCCCAGAGGACTCCATTGGCAGGGCCACTTCAAGCTGGTTATTGCTCAGAAAAAATTCCCGGGCCCTGAACCCTGAACGGGCTGCCTTTCCTCAGAGCCAGAGGGAACGGCAGAGAGGACATGCCTTCCTGTTCTTGATTGTTTTAAAGGAGCCATGTGTCCAATAATTAGGTTCTGTGAAAAAGGAGAGAGAGGGGGAGAA
Source organism: Homo sapiens (assembly GCF_000001405.40). Taxonomy (NCBI): domain Eukaryota; kingdom Metazoa; phylum Chordata; class Mammalia; order Primates; family Hominidae; genus Homo; species Homo sapiens. The sequence goes on from NC_000003.12 coordinate 23,612,639, forward strand.
GAAAAGAAGACTAGAACGCAATGTGCTCCCCTTAGCTTGCGTAAAATTGTATAAATAAGACTTCTCAAGCGCAGTTTAGAATAAAAAAAAGAAAAAGGAGTTGTTTGCTCCAGAGTGTGGTGTGGTGAGGCGGGGTAGGAACACGTGGATGTGACTATCAACTTTCCTCGTCAAACAATCTTTCTCCCATGATTTGACAGCGAATCACCTCCTTACTGGGAAGTGAGTTTCATTTCAAGCTCGCATAAATAAAAAAAAAAAATGGGCTATAACCCTTTTATGGAGTGAGTGAAAAATGTTTTGTGTAGGTAATTAGAGCATAAACTAGAATTCACCAGGTGCTTTTATATCATTTCCATAAAGTTTTATTGAATTAAGTTAACAAGGTTTTGGATTTATATGCCACATTTCTTCAGAGGGAACAAAACACGTTCATATATATTTCCTTGATTTTTAAAAATCCCAGTGAAGTAAGACCCAGAAGGCACTATCATTCCCATAAAATAAAGTCTATGTGTAGAATATTTCCGTTTCTCTTTAGTATACTAAGATATGTTTGAACACCGTAAGAAATGCTTTTACTCACAAAAGAATGCCCTTATAATTGGTAGGAACACTTTAATTTTATTATGTGATACTGCTTTATAACCTCTCTATGGCTCTATGAATTCCAGCTTTGAAGCTGCACCTTCTTAAATCCTACTTTCTCCATTTAAACAGCAGTTTCAAAAATAATCTTTTTGAATATTTAAAAGATCAGAGGAACTGTTTAAATCCCTCTTTAAGACAGGAACATGATCGTGTAACAATCCCCCTCTTCAACAGATGCCCTAAATGTAAAATAATTATTGCATTTTCATTATAAAAAAAGAATTTATTAGACACCATTCTAGTCACTCTAGTGAGCAATTTAGAAAAGGGGAGTATTTTTCCTCTTGGGGGTTTTACCAGAGGGGAAAAAAATTAATAGAATCAAAGATGATCAGGGGATGTGTACGTTGGAGTGCAAATGCGTTCTTTTTATGAACATGGACTGCTGCACGAATTGTGTGTCATCTTTGTGCAGGGACCATGCTAATCTCCGTATCATTCCAATTTTAGTATATGTGCTACAGGAGCAGGCTCTTGTGTTCTTAATGAAGAAGCTTTCAAAATTGAGATGTAATTTACATGCCATAAAATTCACCTTAGTGAAGTGTACATTTCAATGGTTTTTAGTACATACATGAAGCCATACAACCATCATCAGTATCTTCTCCCAGAGCATTTCATAACCCCCAAAAGAAACTCCATGCCCATTAGCTCTCACTTCCCATCTTCTGGCCTCAGCCCCTGGCAACCACTAATCTATTTTCTGCCTCTATGCGTTTGCCTATTCTGGAAATTTCATACAGATGGAATCATATAATTTTTTAGGTCTGGTTTATTTCACTTAGCATGTTTTTAAGGTCCATGCATGTTGTAGCACGTATTGATACTTCATTCCTTTTTATGCTGAATAATATTCCATTGTAGGATATGCCGCATTTTATTTATTCATTCATCAATTGATGGACATTTGAGTTGCTTCTACTTTAGGGCTAATATGAATAATGCTACTATGAATATTCATGTACAAGTTTTGTGTGGACATACGTTTTCAATTCTCTTAGGTATATACCCTAGGAGTAGACTTGCTGGTCCTGTGGTAACTATGTTTAACTGAGGAACTTCCGAACTGTTTCCCATAGTGGCTACGCCATTTTACATTTCCACCAGCAATGACTTACGAAGTTTCCAGTTTCTCCATATCCTTGCCAACCATTGTGATTTTGATTGTAGCCATCCTAGTGAGTGTGAAGTGGTATCTCATGGTATCAAGAGAGTGACCACTCAGATCATCAACAAAGGTTTGTAAATAGGTTGTAATATTTTTCCCCAGAAGACCAAATGCCTACTACTTAATTGTTGCATATTCTGCAATTTCCTTCTTCCTTTTTTTTAATAAATGTTTTCAGCTTCTTTTTTTTTCTTTGAGTTGGAGTCTCAGTCTGTCACTCAGGCTGGGGTACAGTGACACAATCTTGGCTCACTGAAACCTCTGCCTCCTAGGTTCAAGTGATTCTCTTGCCTCAGCCTCCCAAGTAGCTGGGATTACAGGCACCCCCCCACCAAACCTGACTAATTTTTTTTTTTTTTTTTTTTTGAGATGAAGTCTTGCACTGTTGCCTGGACTGGTGTGCAGTGGCACGATATCGGCTCGCTGCAACCTCCACCTCCCAGGTTCAAGCGATTCTCCTGCCTCAGCCTCATGTGAAGCTGGGATTACAGGTGCCCACCACCACGCCCAGCTAATTTTTTGTATTTTTAGTAGAGATGGGGGGTTCACTATGTTGGTCAGGCTGGTCTCGAACTCCTGACCTCATGATCCACCTGCCTCGGCCTCCCAAAGTGCTGGGATCACAGGCATGAGCCACCACCCCTGGCTAGCTTTTGTTTTCTTTCTTGATTTCTTGGAAAGGAAGCTGTCAGGAGAAAATAGAAGAAGGATAATCCAAATAGACCTATGCTTCGACATGCAAAATATGCTCTGCAGATTTGCCCTAAGTGGCTTTGTGCAAGAGTAGGGGCACCTTCCTAAGTCCACAGGGAGGAGCTGTGGGGGCATCACTCATGCTACCTGGCCCGGTAGGAGCAGACAGGCTCTTGGCAACATATGCAGCACCAGAGTGCCAACCCTGCACCAGTGTCCATCTCCTCCGTAAGACGCATGTTAAGACTCTCCCATGTGCATCAAGCATTGCTACCCCCGTCCAACCAAGGTAAGTAATGGCCCCAACTCAAGTGGCCTTTAGCTCAGGGGAAGATTCCTGAGATAGGTCTTTAGTCCCAAATCTTTCAGAGCTCAGTGGCCTTTTGAGGAAGCAGGAATTTCAAAGAAGAGTTGAAAACTGGGCTCCCCTCTGAATCCAGCCCTATCGTCCCATATAACTGATACTTATTGGGTTTTTCTTTGTTTGTTTTTTGTCTTGTTTTGTTTTTGAGACTGGGTCTCGCTCTGTCGCCCAGGCTGGAGTACAGTGGTGCAATCTCAGCTCACTGCAACCTCCACCTCCTGGGTTCAAGCAATTCTCATGCCTCAGCCACCCAAGTAGCTGGGATTACAGGCACCCGCCACCACACCTGGCTAATTTTTGTGTTCTTAGTAGAGGCAGGATTTCATCATGTTGGCCTAACTGGTCTCAAACTCCTGGCCTCATGTGATCCACCTGCCTCAGCCTCCCAAAGTGCTGGAATTACAGGCATGAGCCACTGTGCCTGGCCTGTTTTTTGTTTTTAATGAACCTGTTGCCTAGGCTAGGGTTCAGTGGAGTGATCACGGCTCACTGCAGCCTCAACTTCCTGGGCTCAAGTGATCCTCCTACCAGTATAAACATTTTTTCTAGATCATGTTCAAGATGCAACAGGATCTTTATTTTCCTATACAAGTCAAATATGATATGCGTGGGAATTAAATTTGTAAATTATATTTTTTGTTTTTTAAGACAGGTTCTCACTGTTGCCCAGGCTGAAGTGCGATCACAGCTCCCTGCAGCCTCAACCTCCCCAGGCTCAGGTGATCCTCTGACCTTAGCCTCTTGAGTAGCTAGGACCACACATGTGGTGGCATGCACCACCACACTTGGCTAATTTTTGTATTTTTTGTAGAGATGAGGTTTCACCATGTTGCCCAGGCTGGCCTCAAATTCCCGACCTCAAGCAATCCACCTGCCTCAGCCTCCCAAAGTGCTGGGATTACAGGTGCGAGGCATCATGCCTGACCTTTATGATTTTCTTGAATAAACATAGACATTGACACCCCCATCTTAAAACTTGAAACTTATTTGTCTCATCTGGGTTCCTTCTTCAGGAAACTGACCCTTAGGCAAAGGACTAAAATTCACCAGATCACTGCATCCGGCCAGTAAGACACCAGTCGCTTTATTCATTTTCCTTACCCTTCCCTAGTTCCTGTTTTCCCACACACAATTCCATCCCTTCTCAGCTACATAAACCCCCAATTTTAGTCCATTGAGGAGATGGATTTGAGACTTATCTCCCATTCTCCAGGATAACGTCACCTGAATAAAAAGCCTTCTTCCCTGGTGATACTCGTTTTCTCAGTGATTGGCTCTCTATGTGGTGAGTGATGGGACCCAGATGGAACCCATGGTGTTTCAGTAACACCTCTTCCACTCAGGTAAGTGGGTATCTTGGTTTTGGCAGAGTCTGGCTTGAGCGAGTCACAGTGTTATAGGAACTCAAGACAGACCTTCTGAGGGGATGAAGACAGGATGCCAAAGAGAAATAAAAATAAACATGTGTCTAGAACGTGTGCCCCTTATGTTGTAGCATCCCAGGGAGAGCTTGAAGGTGCAGGGCCAGGAAGGAGCTGCTCCTCAGCACAAAATGACTCCACACACAGAGGTTTGAAGAAGCCCCTTGCAGAACCTGGAGATGGTCCCCTGAGGCCAAGGCTTTTACAATCTGTAGTCTCAGCTTCCATCTCCAGGAAGTCGGCCTTGAGAACTTCCTGTTTTTCAGGAAGCTGGTTCAAAGAAGCTGGTTCTGGCCTCTTCAAGGAGAACTACAAACCACTGCTCAAAGAAACAAGAGAGGACACAAACAAATGGAAAAACATTCCATGCTCATGGATAGGAAGAATCAATATCATGAAAATGGCTGCATTGCCCAAAGTAATTTATAGATTTATAGAATGTGTCTATCCCCATCAAGCTACTATTAACTTTCTTCACAGAATTAGAAAAAACTACTTTAAATTTCATATGCAACCAAAAAAGAGCCCACATAGCCAAGACAACCCTAAGCAAAAAGAACAAAGCTGGAGGCATCACGCTACCTGACTTCAAACTACACTACGAGGATACAGTAACCAAAACAGCACAGTACTGTTACCAAAACAGATATATAGATCAATGGAACAGAACAGAGGCCTCAGAAATAACACCACACATCTATAACCATCTGATCTTTGACAAACCTGACAAAAACAAGCAATGGGGAAAGGATTCCCTATATAATAAATAGTGTTGTGAAAACTGGCTAGCCATATGCAGAAAACTGAAACTGGACCCCTTCCTTATACCTTACACAAAAATTAACTCAAGATGGATTAAAGACTTAAACCATAAAAACCCTAGAAGAAAACCTAGGCAATACCATTCAGGACATAGGCATGGGCAAAGACTTCATGACTGAAACACCAAAAGCAATGCCAACAAAAGCCAAAATTGACAAATGGGATCTAATTAAACTAAAGAGCTTCTGCACAGCAAAAGAAACTATCATCAGAGTGAACAGGCAACCTACAGAATGGGAGAAAAATTTTGCCATCTATCCATCTGACAAAGGGCTAATATCCAGAATCTACAAAGAACTGAAACAAATTTACAAGAAAAAACCCCATCAAAAAGTGGGCAAAGGATATGAACAGATGCTTCTCAAAAGAAGACATTTATGCAGCCAACAAACATATGAAAAAAGGGTCATCATCGCTGGTCATCGGAGAAATGCAAATCAAAATCACAATGAGATACCGTCTCATGCCAGTTAGAATGGTGATCATTAAAAAGTCAGGAAACAACAGATGCTGGAGAGGATGTGGAGAAACAGGAATGCTTTTACACTGTTGGTGGGACTGTAAACTAGCTCAACCATTGAGGAAGACAGTGTGGCTATTCCTCAAGGATCTAGAATCAGAAATACCATTTGACCCAGCAATTCCATTACTGGGTATATACCCAGAGGATTATAAATCATTCTACTGTAAGGACACGTGCACATATATGTTCATTGTGGCACTGTTCACAATAGCAAACCAACCCAAATGCCCATCAATGATAGACTGGACAGACTGGATAAAGAAAATGTGGCACATATACACCATGGAATACTATACAATAGCAAACCAACCCAAATGCCCATCAATCATAGACTGGGTAGACTGGATAAAGAAAATGTGGCACATATACACCATGGAATACTATGCAGCCATAAAAAAGGATAAGTTCATGTCCTTTGCAGGGACATAGATGAAACTGGACACCGTCGTTCTCAGCAAACTAACAGAAGAACAGAAAACCAAACACCACATTTTCTCACTCATAAGTGGGAGTTGAATAATGAGAACACATGGACACAGAGAGGGGAACATCACATACCAGGGCCTGTCAGAGGGTAGGGGGTCTGGGGGAGGGAAAGCATTAGGAGAAATACCCAAGGTAGATGATGGGTTGATGGGTGCAGCAAACCAAGACCATGGCATGTGTATACCTATGTAACAAACCTGCACGTTCTGCACACATATCCCAGAACTTAAAGTATAAGAATAATAATAATAATAAAAAGAAGCTGGTCCTGGAAGGCCCCAGGGATGTTGGGATTTCCCCTGCATTGCCAGTGCAATTTATTTCTAGATCCTTCATTTCAGCAGCAAGATTTCCTTCTGTGTGTGTTACAAACATGCATAATGACTGAATGATGGGTATGAATGAATAATGTATGGTCAATGACTGCTAGATCCCAAAGATGACTGTCTTCTTGGGTACCTCTTTTTTTGCTCCCATCCCAAACACAACCCTGACTAGGCTCCACCAGCCCCATGTGGTGACAGCTGTGGCTTCCCTGGGTGACCCAGCACACTCCATTCAGCTGGTGAGAACTAGAGTTAGGTCAGAGCACCCGCCTGCACCCCCCAACTCCACTCAGCATCCCGCCGAACTTGGCTTAGAGCTTCCTACATCCACTGGAGGTGTGGGAGACAGAGGCAGAATTCAGATTCCCTACAGTTCTATCACCCACATCAAGGTTATAGGTTTAGCTTTATTATCTCTGGGCTTTTTCACGTTCTGTTTTCCTTTCTGATGTCCAAAGTCCTACCAAACTCCAAGACTTGAACTCCTTCATGAAGACATGCTAGTCTTATCCCACAGCAGTGCAAACTGAATATGTTTCTAACAAGTTTAAAGTTGAATAACCCCAACATCAGCAATTCAAATGCACAAAGATGGAACTCTCTTCATTTGTCTCTTACTAAAATTAACTTAGTTTTTGTGCATTCATTTTTTGCTGAAGGTGGAAAACTTAATCTTGCCAATTTAAAACAACTGGTGACTTCCAGTTTAAAAATCATGTTCTTTTGGGTAACCGTGCCTCAGGCGATCTAAGTTCCTGGGAGGCTGTACACATGTCTGCTGGCTGTGTCCTCGCTTGCCTCTGCCAGTGAGACTTGCCTTTTCTGTGTGTTGCCAGCTGTTTTTGATGTCCTTGCCCTGCAGGAGTCAGGCCGATGCCCTCCTTGTCCCAACCACAAGGCCCCTGCTGGTCCGGCAGGCCTCTGAAGTTCCACCTCGCCCCCAAGACACTGCTAGTCCACTGCCCCCAGGCCTCCATGCAGGATTCTCCAGGAGGGCTAGGTGTCCCAGGCTACACCTTGGAGAGCCAGGCCATCACAGCTTCCTTCTCAAGTACCCTGACTGATCCAAGATATTCACCCTTCCCCCTGCCATAGGGAGTTTGCTCTGAAGCAGAAGCACAGAACACTGGGCATTTGCCTCGAAGCTCTGGCCCCGCCCACTGCAAGTCTCCCTCCCTTCCCAGCTGGCGAACTCCTATCTCTCAAAGCAGGAAACTCATATTTTCATCCCCACTCCTTCTATATTTGAGACCAGTGTTCTCAAAGTGTGATCTCGGGACCAGCAGCATCAGCATCGCCTGAGGAGTTGTTAGACATAGGCTCGGGCCCCACCCCAGACCTGCTGCCTCAGAAACACTGCACTGGAACCAGCCCCCTCAGTGGTTCTGACCAGACCAGAGTTTAAGAACCACCCTCTAGTTCCAGTGTCTGCACCTGCCCCCTCCAGCTCTTGATATTTTAAACAAAATCTACAATTCCAAAGGCACTTTTCTTTCTTAGCACCAGGCTTTCAAAACTTATCTCTGCTTAAAATATTCAAAAGCCTAGCCCACAATCAACTGCACATATTTAGAGTGTACAATTTGATAAGTTTTGACTGACGTATACACAATCAAGATAATAAACATTCCCCATCACCACGAAAAGGTTTTTGTTCGGACAGGACTCTGCTTTGGGGTTTAGTGGCTTCCTTCTTCCCTGGCAGGGCAAGCCCCAGCTAGCTCCAGGCTTCAAGGCAAAGGGCAGGGGAGCTGGGAGTAGAGAGGAAGAGCAACTGGGAGAGAAAGTGCATTGGGTAAAACTTGAAAACATGATTTCACCACGGAGTCACTCTACAACTATTGTGAAGGGAAGACTAGGTTCTTAACACCATGCTGGGAACTGGGGTAGGGGGTATAGGTAAGACTGTGAACAAGACAGACATCCTGACACTGAACCTAGATCCCTGGAGGAATCCACGCATTGATGACGTTGATCCATGGATTCCTGGGAGGAGGCCACGCAGGTGCCTGAGCAGAGAGTAACAAGAGAGCCACCTCACTGGGATTCTGGGCATTGGTGAGAAGGTTTGGCGAGACCTGGAGATGGGTTGACCAGGGTGAGTTCTGGGCAGAGGAAGCGGCTCGTATGGAGGACTGGCCGCCCAAGGAGGCCCCTGAGGGAGCTGAGCCACAAGCCGGACTTTATCCCAGCGCCTGCTCACCTTGTAATGAACCGTGAGCAGCTCTGTGCCTTTCTCCCTAGGATTATTTCAATCCCACAGTGTTGACTTAAGTATTTAATATTTGTCTCTGTTCTTTTTAGTTCAGGTTGCAAGGTTGCGATCATAAACTCCACAGCTTGGTGTGTCTCTCGTGTCACATTTCTTTGTTTCTCTAAACCAAGTGTAATCAGCTGAGTCCCACCCCAGCTTACCATAGAGCCGAGATTGTCTGCCCCTCCCTGCTCCTAGGGTCCTGAGGGTCTCACACAATCCAGAACAGGAGCTAGGGACCCTCTGGTTTCTGGCCCTCACTGACAACAAGGGCCAATGACACGAGCTCACTGTCAGAGTTGAGACGGTCCTTGAGCATAAGGGCTCTGCTACTCTTGGGCCAAGCTAGGACAGGAGGTCTTTGCTGAACCTAGGAGTCCCAGTGCTGTGGGCCAACCTGCCTGGCTGCACCCCAGAGCCTCTCCCTGGGGACGCTGTGAGGGAACAGGTGTAGACTGCATTGCCTTAAAACATTACCCGCTTCCCAGTCTCTCCCCATCCCTCTCACGGCTGGCCCTGGCCAGCTACGCTCCATCCCCTTCCCTACTCATCACTTCTCCCGATATTGGCCTATTCTTTTGAGCAGAGCTGTGGGTGAGCAGGTCCTGAGGAACTCACTGTTCCCCCTCCTCAGCCAGTGTGGGGCCCGGCAAAATGCATCATTCTCCATCCCTGTGTAGCCCTCAAGGCAGTGGGGGATCTGGCTCTTTAGTGGGCTCCCCAGGCCCCGTCCTGGGTTGCCTTCCTCAGGGCAGTAACTCCTCTGGGCACAGCAGCCTCTGTGGCGAGAGCCTCCCAGGGCAGGAGGTAAGCCTGGATAGGAGTGAATCTGGAAGAGGATCTTGTGAGATTTCAGAAACTAGATCATACAAGGTACGATCACTTCTCTTTTGCTCTCTTGAATCACTCCCTCTGGGGGAGGCCAGTTGCTACATTATGAACAGCCCTATAGAGAGGCTCATGTGATGAAGAACTGAGACCTCCAGACAGCAGCCATGTGAATCAGCCATCTTGGAAGACAATCCCCCAACCTCAGACAAACCTTCAAATAACTGCAGTTCTAGTTGCAACTTAACTGCAACCTTAGGAGAGACTCAAAGCCAGAACCACCCAGCTAAGTCACTCCCAGATTTCTGACCCGCAGAGACTGATTGATATAATGTCTTAGTCTGCCTGAGCTGCTGTAACAAAGATAACCGTAAACTGGGTGGCTTACAAACAATGGAAATTGATTTCTCACAGTTCTGGAGGCTGGGAAGTCCAAGATCAAGATGCTGGCAGATCCAGCAAATGTGAGGGCCTGATTTCTAGACCACTGTTTTTTTGTTTTTGTTTTTGTTTTTTTGCTATAACCTCCCATCACAGAAGGGGCAAGGGATCTCTCTGGGGTATCCTTTATAAGGGCACTAGTCTCTTTCATGAGGGCTCTGCCTTCATGACCTAATCACCTCTCAAAGGTCTCACCTAATATTATCACCTTGGGGTTCATATTTCAACATGTGACTTTTGGGGCAAAATAAACATTCAGTACATGGTAAGTAACAAATGCTTATTATTTTAAGCTGTTAAGTTTTGGAGTTATTTGTTATGCAGCAACAGATAACTAATACACAACCATTTATGGAAAACCAGTACCACATGCTATAAATAGAAAATACCCTGAAAATAAATAAGATAAAACCTAAACAATGTCATTGAATTTTGGCTAGATACTCTTAATTACCAAGACTCTGAACCCAGACCAGCCCTCTCTTAAAAACAAAGATGGTTATGTGTTTAAAACAGTGGACAACTGCTCAGCAATGAAAAGACACAAACTACTGATATATGCAACAATGTGGGTGAATCTCAAAAATGAACTGAAGGAAACCAAACTCAAAAAGACCACATATTTTAGGATTCAATTTACATGAAAATTGAGGGCAAATTCATACAGATAGAAAGTAGATCCGTGGTTGCCTGGGGATACAGTAGAACTCTAGATTGACTATATGTGTGTACAAGAGAAATTGAGAACACTTTTTGGGATAATTGAAGTATTCTAAAACTGGATTGTAGTGATGGTCGTGCAACTGTATATATTTACTAAAACTCAGCAAATTATATATTTAAATTGGGTAAATATTATGGCATGTAAATTATACCTCAATAAAGTTGTCAAAAATTTAAAAGAGCCAGACATGGTGGCTCATGCCTATAAACCCAGCACTTTGGGAGGCCAAGGCAGGAGGATCACTTGAGCACAAGAGTTCAAGACCAGCCTGGGCTAGACAGGAGTCTCTGTCTCTACAACAAATAAAAATAAATTAGCCAGTCATGGTCCCAGCTACTAGGGAGGCTGAGGTAGAAGGGTCACTTGAGCCCAGGAGGTCAAGTGCAGTAAGCCGTGATTGCTCCACTGAACTCCAGCCTGGGCGACAGGGCAAGACCCTGTCAAAAAAAAAAAAAAAAAATAGAAAGTAAAATATTTTTTTAAATGACATTTATTTTGACTACATGAGTCTAAGCTAACACATGCCTAAAATCAACATCTCATATACCGCCAGTGACAGGTTTATTAGGCTTTGGGAATCACTGGCCCAGAGTGTCCACTCCTGCTGGCATGCTCTGTGTCTGAGCCAGACCTCAAAGCCAGAAGACAAGGAGGTTTGTGGTGATGTAAGACTTCTAGAGCCAGGCATTGACTGCCATTGTGTTTCCGACAGATAGGCCCCAGAAAATACCCTATGTCCAGCTCTGCTGAGGACTCTATTGGCAAATAGCCTTCCTTCTTGGCAGTTTCTCAAAAAGCCCTTTTGAAGTCAGAGTAGATGCTATGTTAAGTCTGTGGACTATTTTGAACAACAGACTTCTCCTCAGCAAAAAAAAAAAAATTCACTTTAGTGCTTGTGATAGATTTTATTAATGTCCCAAATTTATCACCCCTCCCTGTGCCCATGCTGTTTGCCATGTGACTTTGTAGTTCTTTTCACTAAAGAAGTGAGTCTATTTCCCTGCTCTTTGACTTTAGGCTGGGTCACATGACTTGTTTTAGCCAGTGGAATGTAAGCAAGACATGGCAAAGGCTTCAAAAGCATGAATGGAGTTGGGTTTGCCCTCATGTTCTTGGTGGACCAACAAGATGTGCTGAGGGAGTGAATGTGTGGGTGGAAACTAACAATGAGTCTCAGGTTTCAGGATTGAGCATCTAGGTGGTTAGTGATGTCACTTACTCAGATGGGCAGGACTTGGGGAGCAGTGAGATTTGTGTGTGGAGACATGACAGGGTTAAGGGAGAGTCCAGATTATGGTTGGAACAGAGAACCATCAAAATGTGAGATTTTACCCCTATTTGCAAATTAGTCCGCCATAGTTTTTTGTGTGCTGACAGAAGGCATGAAATCCTGAGTGAGAGACAAAGGTCAGTTTATTACTTCCAGGAATAACAGTAGCCAGGATAGCTGCATTTGTCCTCAGGACCATTTTGCACCTTAGAGGAAGCAAGTTCACTGACTTCTCTCTAAGTCCAGAGATGTCATCCACGGGTAGCTTCCTGCTTTTCTGTCGGTTCACTTCCACAACACAAATCAGATCACATCTCACCCCAGTTTTTGCCTCTCCCAGGTAAGTCCTCTAGCTTTCTCTTTTTTCCAGTACACACCAAGGGAAGTCCCCTCTTCTCAGAGTTCTTTCCCTATCACTTTCTGAGAAATGCCATTCTTGACCAATCTACCACAGTTCCAGCTTTTCTCCTTTGTGGCACCTGCTGCATGTTCTAATTTGTTTGTTATTTACTCAGTTGCTTATTATCTTTCCCTCACCTTAGTCTGTTTTCTGAGGCTATAACACAATACCATAAACTGAGTAATTTATAAAGAAAATAAATGTATTTATCACAGTTCTAGAGGCTGGGAAGTCCAAGAGCATGGTGCCAGCATCTGGTGAGGACCTTCTTGTTGTGTCATAACATGGTGGAGGGCATCACATGACAAGAAGACAAGAGCATGCATGCCAGCTCAGACCTCTTCTCCTCTTCTTATAAAGCCATCAGTTTTGTCCTGGGGTCTCCACCCTGGTGAACTTATCTTATCCTAATAAGTTCCCCTAGGCCCCACCTCCAATTAAAATATGGATTTGGGGATTAAGTTTCAAACACATGAAATTTAGGGGACACATGCAAACCATAGCATTCCACCCCTGGCTTCCAAAATTTATGTCCTTCTCACACACAAAATACGTTAACTCCATCCCAATAGCCCCAAAGTTTTAACTTGTTCCAGCACCAACTCAAAAGTTCAAAGTCTGGTGTCTCATGTGAAGCATATATGGGTGAGACTTAAAGCATAATTCTTCTTGAGATAAAGTCCCCTCTAGCTGTGGACATGTAAAAGTAAACAAGTTATCTACTTTCAGAATACAATGGTGAGACAGGCATAAGATAGACATTTCTATTCCAAAATGGGGAAAGAGGCAAGAAAAGGGGGTAACCGATCCCAAGGAAGCCCAAAACACAGAAGGGAAAACAACATTAAGTCTTAAAGCTGGAGAATATTCTCTCTTGATTCCATGTCCTGCATTCTGGGCACACTGGTGTGGGGGTTGAGTCCCCAAAGCCTTGGGCAACAGCGCTACTCTCACAGCATACCTGGGCTCTGCTCACACTTCAGTCCTTGAGGGTTGGAGTTGGGTGCCTGTGGCTTTCTCAGGCTGGAACTGCACACTGTTGGTTCTACGGATCTGGTCTTGGCAGCGGTCCTGCTCCCATGGCTCCATTAGGTATTACCCCAGTGGGACTCTGTGGTGACCGTGCTTCCACTACTCCACTAGGCATTGCCCTAGTGGGGACTCTCTGTAGCATCTCCGACCTCACAGTTCTGCTTGGCATTGCCTAAGTAGGGATTCTGTGGTGGTCCTGCCCTGTAACAAGTCTGCCTGGGCAGCCATGCTGTTCATGACATCCTTTGAAATCTACACAGAGGAAGCTATGCCCCACAGCTCTTGCATTCTGTGTGTCTGCAGAATTAGCACCCTGTGGATATTACCAAAGTTTCTGGCTTGTACCTTCTGGAATTATGGGTCTAGTCACACCTGGACCTGCTTGAGCCATGGCTGGGGTGGTCAAGGAACACCAGAATGCGCTCACACTTCAGTCCTTGAGGGTTGGAGTTGGGTGCCTGTGGTTTTCTCAGGCTGGAACTGCATGCTGTTGGTTCTACGGATCTGAAGCACAGATCTGAGGCAGCCCTAGGCAGGAAGCCCATGGAGGTTACCCAGGTCAGTCCCCTGAAACCATTCTCATCTCCTAGAGCTCTGGGCCTGTGATGGGAGGAGCAGCCTCAAAGGTCTCTGAAATGCCTTTGGAGTCATTCTTTTCCTATCTTGATGAATAGCCTCTGGCTCCTTTGTATTTGCACATGAAGAGTACTTCATGTGGCCAGGCTACACATTTTCCAAATTTTTTTCCTTCTGTTTCCTCTCATATCTTACAATAAGTATTAAAAGTAGCCATGCAGTAGCCTGAGTGCTTTGCTGCTTAGATGTTTCTCCTACCAGGTAACCTAGTTCATTGTTCTTAAGTTCCATCTTCTCTAAGGCCCTTGGGTATGGACATAGTTCAGCCAGCTTCTTTGCCACAATGTCATAAGGATGACCCTTACTCCAGTTCCAATATCTTATTCCTCCATTCTGCCTGAGACTTCATCAGAGTGGCCTTTACTGCCCATATTTCCACCAATGTTCTAGTCACACCACTTCACTCTAAGAAGTTGCAGACTTTCCCTAGTCTTCTTTTCTTTTGAACCCTCACCAGAATCACCCTTAATGTTCCATTTATGGCAATACAACATTTTTCCAGCATTTACTTCAAAATTGTTCCAGCTTCTTCCCAGTTCCTAAGTTGCTTCTACATTTTCAAATATTAATTATTACCAAGAGTCCCACTTCTCCATGCCAGTTTTCTGTCTTAGTCTGTTTTATGTTGCTATAACCATACATGAGACTGGGTAATATAGAAAGGAAGAAATTTATTTCTCACAGTTTCAGAGACTGGGAAGTCTGAGAGTATTTGGCGAGGGCCTTTGTGCTGCATGATTACATGGCGGAGGGGATCATGTGGCAGGAGTGCAAGCGTGTGTGCATCAGCTCACTCAGCTCTCTTCTCCTCTTCTTATGAAGTCACCAATTCCATCACAGCGTTTCCACACTGATGACCTTATCCAAACATAATTAGCTCCCAAAAGCCCCATCTCCAGTCAACATGTGGATTTGGGGATTGAGTTTCCAACACACAAAATTTAGGGGACATATCAAATCATAGCAACCCCACTGGAAGACGGTTCCCTGAAGATGGAGAACTCTGTGTGGTTCATTCAAATCTTAATCCAGCACCTGGCATGTGGAAGTTTCTAAATAAATATTTGTGGAATCCAAAATTATATTTTCCAAAGAGCAGCTTGTGTTTTAAAGGCCTATACTAGCTGGCATTTTGGTAGGATAAATTCTACCAATTACAAATTTCTTGGGAAAGATACATTTTAATAATTTCCTGTGATCTTACTATTTTTAAGGGCTTATTCAAGAAAGCATTTTATACAGGTCAGATGGCTTTTTGATGGTTTTCTTGGTTTCTTACACAAAATGATAAATGCTCTAATGAAGCTTTAAAAGCTACAAAATTAAATACAGGGGTTTTTTCCAGGAGCTGTTGCAATACACAGTTGTCTTTAAATTTCCTCAGCCCTCTGAGCAAACAGCTATATGGTAAAGGCTTTATTAGTGTCATTAGTGTTAGGAAAATCATTTGGGGTTTGAGTGTTCATAAAAACATTTCATTTTTAAACAATACTGAATATTCCCCAAATTACACACATTCTGGCAGAGCTCTTGCACACTGCAGACAAGAATGAATACACGAAATGTTGAATTATGACACAAAATACTCTTTTGGAGGCAATTTCTTTTAGTGTGTGATGTGCTCTCAGAAGTAATTCTTACATGTGTTGACCTGTTTCTTCAATGCCTCGTGTGACAGTTAAGATGCTCAAGAAAGGATGCTCCAATTAACTTCATCAGATGTGAGGATATGAGTCTGTGGAGGCTACTGTGAAAGCTTTTGTTTTTCTGATAAAAGAGTTGGATGTAATGGGTACAGCTTGTTTTTTTTGGTTGTTTGTTTGTTTTTTTGGTTTTGGTTTTTGGTTTTGGTTTTTTTTGTTTTTTGTTTTTTTGAGACAGAGTCTAGCTCTGTTGCCTAAGTTGGAGTACAGTGGTATGATCTCGGCTCACTGGAACCTCCACCTCCTAGGTTCAAGCAATTCTCCTGCCTTAGCCTCCTGAGTAGCTGGGATTACAGGTGCCTGCCACCATGCCTGGCTGATTTTTGTGTTTTTAGTAGAGACGAGTTTTCACCATGTTGGCCAGGCTTGTCTCAAACTCTTGACTTCAAGTGATCTACCCACCTCAGCCTCCCAAAGTGCCAGGATTACAGGTGTGAGCCAGCATGCCCAGCTCGGGTACAGTTTTTTTTTTCTTCGTTCCTTCTTCTGCTTTTGAAGATGGGTGTAATGGTACAAACTCTGGTGGCCTTTTTGCAACCATGGGAGAAAGCCCAGAGAAATCTCAGCGTTACCAATGGTGTCAGTTTAAGTTCTTCAGGAAGCAAATGCCTAGATAGGAGTAAATGGGCAAAGATCTGATTAGGGGATATGCCTGTATAAGGGAAAATAGGGAGGGGGCCAAATAAGACTAGGAGAGCCACCAGATTTTGATGATGTCTTACTCTATCCAACTGAAGAAGAGAGGGAGAGAAGATTGGGTGAAGGCATCTTAGACTGCTGTATAGTCTAAGGCAAGTTCAGCAAAGCCATCCAGGAGTCTTCAAGCCAAACGTGACTGTCAGAGGAGTCCCAGGTCTTCCAGGAGTGGATTGGCCTTGGTATCCCTGCCGCATAAACCACTGGTTGGGAGCCACCCATGGAATGCATGGCTTTTGCACAAACATTGCAATAGATTTTAAAGCGCAATGGCTGACGCCCTTGGTCAGTTATGCTCCCTGTAGCTGGAAGTCTGTGAGGCCACAACACCATTACTGAACCACAGCCAAAAACCAACTTCCTCTGGACTACTTGCTATCAGAGAAAAATAAGCTCCTAATTGTCTGTACCCTTGTCCCATTTTCTATAACTTGCTGCTGAACGCATTCCTACCAGAAACACCCTTCACCCTGGGTAAGCCTAGCCTCCCACCAATTCAGGCTTCTCTTTTTCTTATCCTCTCTCTTGTCTCTGTTCTTCACTTTCCCCCTCCAATTTCTCATGCAGAGCAGAGTAATTCTGTCTCTTTGATACTTGAACTCCTGCCAACACTCAGCTCTCAAGGTCCCACCTTCAACCCCAAGTTGAAGTGGCTTATCAAGTTGTTTTTCCAAAACAAACACTATTCTCTCCTTAAGAGGAATTCTGGTGCCAGGTGGTAAGATAAAAATTTCAGGGCCAGACACAGTGACTCATGCCTGTAATCCCAGCACTTTGGAAGACTGACTCAAGAGGATTGTTTGAGGCCAGGAATCCAAGACCCCATCTCTACAAAAAAATAAAATAAAAGAATTAGCCAGGCATGGTGGTGCACACCTGTGTTCCCAGCTACTTGGGAGACTGACGCAGGAGAATAACCTGAGCCCAGGAGGTCAAGGCTGCAGTAACCTGTCTTGGCCCACTGTACTCCAGCCTAAGTGATAGAGTAAGACCCTGTACTAAAAATAAGAGCCAATGATAGGGAAAGAAAGAAAGAAGAAAGAACGGAAGAGAAAGAAAGAGGAAGAAAGAAAGAAAGAAAGAAAGAAAGAAAGAAAGAAAGAAAGAAAGAAAGAAAGAAAGAAAGAAAGAAAGAAAAGAAAAGAAAAGAAAGGAAGGAAGAAAGAAAAGGAAGGAAGGGAAAGAAAGAAAGAAAGAGAGAGAGAGAGAGGGAGGGAAAGAAAGAGAGAGAGAGAAAAGAAAGAGAGAAAGAAGAAAGAAAGAAAAAAAGAAGAAAGAGAAAGAAAGACAGAAAGAAAGGAAGGAAGGAAGGAAGAAAGGGAAGGAAGGGAAAGAAAGAAAGAAAGAAAAGAAAGAAGAAGAAAGAGAAAGAAAGAAAAAGAAGTGGAAGGAAGGAAAGAAGGAGGGAGGAAGGGAAGGGAGGGAGGGAGGGAGGAAGGGAAGGAGGGAAGGAGAGGAAGGGAGGGGTAGGGAGGAGAGGGGAGGAGAGGAGAAAGGAAGCTGGGCGTGGTGGCTCATGCCTGTAATCCCAGCACTTTGGAAGGCGGAGGAGGGCGGATCACCTGAGGTCGGCAGTTCGAGACCAGCCTGGCCAACATCGTGAAACCCCGTCTCTACGAAAAATACAAACACTAGCTAGGCGTGATGGTGGGTGCCTGTAACCCCAGCTACTTAGGAGGCTGAGGCAGGAGAATTGCTTGAACCGGGAGGCGGAGGTTGCAGTGAGCTGAGATCGTGCCATTGCACCCAAGCCTGGGCAACAAGAAATAAACTCCATCTCAAAAAAAAAAAAAAGAAAGAAAGAAAGAAAAAGAAAAAGAGAAAAAAAGAAAGAGAAAGAATTTCAGCTCATTGTGCACATGCACACACATACCCATGTACACTACAATTGTTCTCTGGGGTAGGTTACTTATCTACCTCCCTAACGTGTGAACTACCTTAGAACTAAGACCATGCCTCTTTTTGTGTACCTCAATTTTATTATTAATTATTTCAAACATACAGCAAACTATCAATAATGATATAATACTCAAAAACACACCACAGGGATTTAACAATGTTAGCGTTTTACCATATTTGCTTTGAGTTGTATTTTAAGGAACAGTTTATAACAGATAATAATAACCACAATAATGCTAACATAGAGTATTGAACACATGCCAGCTGCTCTTCTAAATGCTTCACATGTATTAACCTCTTTTAAACCTCACAAAATCTGTGAAATAGATATTAATGTTGGCTCCACTGATAGGCAAGGAACCTGGAGCACAGAGATGTTAAGTAACTTGCCCAAAATCTCACAGCTAATGAGTTTTGGGGTTTTCTTTGCGGGGGGGGCGGGACAGAGTTTTAATCTGTCACACAGTCTGGAGTGTGGTGGTGCAATCACAGCTCACTGCAGCCTCGACCTCTGGGGCTCAAGCAATCCTCCTGCCTCAGCCTCTCAAGTAGCTGCGACTGCAGGTGCACACCACCACGCTTGGCTAATTTATAAATTTTTTGTAGAGATGGGTCTCACTATATTGCCCAACTGGTCTCAAACTCCTGGGCTCAAGCAATCCTCCTGTTTCAGCTTCCCAAACTGCTGGGATTACAGGCATGAGCCACTGTGCCTGGCTTAAAATATTTTTAATTTCCCTTGTCTTGCAGCTTTTCACCAAGAAGAGGCCTAGATCTTTCTTTTATTAGTTTTCTATCGCTGCATAACAACTTATCCCAACACAAAATGGCTTAAACCAATAAGGATTCAGGGAGCTGGCACTGTCGGGAGGTCCATTCACTTCGGTGTCTGGCAGTTGATGCTGGCTGTGGCCTGGGTCCCCAGCCTGGGCTTCCCTCTGACACGGTGGCTGGGTTCCAAGGACAAGTGACCCAGAGAGACAGAGAGTCAAGCAGAAGCCGAGTTGCTTTTATGACCTCAGAAGTCACATATCGTATCACTTCCACCGCATCTGATGGGTCAAGGCAGTTACAAAAGTCTGCCTGGGTTCAAGGGGAGGGAGCATAGACCCTACCTCTCGATGGAGAGGCGTCAGTTTACATCGTGAGGAAAGTGGGTGGGATGGGATATGCACTCAGTCTATCACAGATCCTGAAAAACAGGCAGCCTAATAGGTCCTCTTTCCTGGAGAAGAGTTGATTCTTTCTAACCAATTGGATTCTTCTAGAATGTATGAGAATGGCCTTAACCAGTGTGTCCACTATGAAAGCAGAGCAGGAGCAAAAGTTACGGTGCTTTTCAACTTTTGTATAGCTAGTACCATGCTTTTTTCTTTACTTGTTCAAATATTATCAGCCCTTAAAACATGGAATATACAAGCAGTCTTAAAAATCTAGCCAAGTGGCTGGGGGCAGTGGCTCACACCTGTAATCCCAGCACTTTGGGAGGCTGAGGGAGGTGGATCATTTGAGGGACGAGTTCGAGACCAGCCTGGCCAGCATGGTGAAGCCCCGTCTCTACTAAAAATACAAAAAATTAGCCGGGTGTGGTGGTACATGCCTGTAATCCCAGCTACTCAGGGGGCTGAGGCAGGAGGATTGCTTGAACCTGGGAGGCTGAGGTTGCAGTGAGCCGAGATCAGGCCACTGCACTCCAGCCTGGGCGATGGTTGTGAGACTCTGTCTCAGAAAGAAAAAAAAAAATCTAGCCAAGTCTCGTTTTCTAAACGTCTAGCGTGTTTTTCCCTCCAGTGGCGTGGGTCAGGGCCTCCCCTGCTTCACTTTGTCTCGTGAACCCTTAACCTACAGGCCAGTCAGGGCCCTGAGGTGTATTGGCATCAGCTTCATCCACAGTTTCATCAATAAACTCCTGTAACTCAGAGCAGATTTGACAAAGGTCAGGGGTGCTACATTATCCCTGCATATGTGTGGACAGACCTATTGTCTGGCTAGTTTATATTCCTGGGATGAAGCATATGTAACTCATACCTTGAAGAAATAAAGGCAATATCCTATTTGACAGTTCAAAAGACTTATTCTCCTTGTCCTGATAGAAAGTATCTACTTCCCAGAACTGAGCAAGAAAACGTAATAAAGTGGAAAAGCCTCTTGAAGAAGAGGTTATGACATTTTTGCTTTGAAAGAGAATGGCAGGTCGCTTTTAATGGCCACATCACACACGTGGTGTTCTGAGAAAGTGGCGGTAAATCGAGGAAACCCTTAATGTTTTCTTCCGTGTAACCAGAGAAAGTGCTGAGCCCACCAGGTTGCAGATTATCACCTGCTAAGGTTTTCAATCTCATGCGTGTGCGCAGAACACCAAGGCTCCCAGCAATTTCCGTCCTATCTGGAGCTGTGCATAGAGTGAGGGGGAGATGGCACTGTCTATTACAGAGAGCCTCCTTGTTTCTTTGTTATCAAAGAAAATAAGCCTTCTCCCCATTCCCTGTGACCACTTGTTTTCCATTGTCACTACATTAGTAGCTCTGCGGTTTCAGCCATCATTTTCCTAAGGAGTGAGTTATTTAAGTTCTCTAATTTAATCATCCTAAGATTATCTTCCTACCTCAATTTAATAAAGGAAATTAAAATGTGTTTTCTTTTTGTTAGTATCCTTAACTGCCATCTGCTTAAAAATGTGGATATAATCAGCCACTGGACAGTATGAGAAACAGATCATGTTTACGAAGAAGTTTCTCTCTTTTTAAAAAGCATGTGAATAAAATTTTTTAATCCCCATGAGGAAAAAAAAATCTGCCAGAATTTTGAGTTGAAAGAGATTTCATTTCATAGCAAAAACTGGTAATGTAAAATGATCTTTCCAAATATAAACCCACGGCTTCCTGGTAATTGTGTTAGTTTTAAGACAAATAAGGTATTTTTTCTAATTCAGTGTTTTCCAAAAACCCTTTTTGCAGTCTGTCTGGGAGCAATCAATGGAACTAAATTCATGCCACCTGTTCCCATTGGTTTTCAATCCTATGTATCTGGAAAATTGCTCTAGTCATCTTTCCCCAGGATGGATGATTCTGAAACCATAAATACTCTTTTTATTTTTGAGTAAGAGACATTAAGATTTTTAAACTACTTGGAAGATTGACAATTAATTTCTTTTTTCATCAAGGAAAACATACACTGATGTTTTTAAACAGCCTCATTGAGATATAATTAACAGAGTAGGCAATTTATTTATTTAATGTATATAATTCACATTTTTTATATATTCACAGAGTTGTGCAACCCCCACGACCACCCACTTTTAGAACATTTTTGTCTCTCAAAAAAGAGCAACAACATCAACAAAAAACCAACCCTATACCCATTAGCAATCATTCCCATGCCTACAGTAACTCCCAGGCCTGAGCAGACATTAATCTACTTTGTGTCTGTTGATTTGTCTTTTATGGACATTTCATATAAAAGGACTTATACAATATGTGATATTTTGGGACTGGCTTACTTAGCATAATGTTTTTGAGGCTCATCCAAGTTACAGTCTCTATCAGTACTTCTACTTCATTGCTTTTTATTGACAAATAATATTCTATTATTCAGATATACTACATTTTCTTTATTCATCGGTTGATAAATGTCTAGATTGATTCCACTTTTTAATTATTATGAATAATGCTGCTACAGGCATTCATGTTCAAGCTTGTGTGTGGACATATGTTTTCAGTTCACTTGGGTATATACCTATGAGTGGAATTGCTAGGTCATATGGTAATTCTATATTTAACTTTTTTGGGGAACTGCCAGACTGCTTTTCACAAGGCTACACCGTTTTACAATTCCACTAGCAGTGCATGAGTGTTCCAATTTCTCCATATACTCACCAATACTTGTTAGAGTCTGTATTTTTTACTATAGTCATCCTAGTGGGTATAAAGTGGTATCTTGTACTTTCGATTTGCATTTCCCTAATGACTAATGACATTTAGCATATTTTCGTGGGCTAATTGGCATTCTATATATCTTATTTGGAAAGATGTCTACTCAAATACTTTGCCCAATTTTTTAATTGGGTGTTTTTTTTGTTTTTTGTTTTTGAGACGGGGTCTCGCTCTGACACCCAGGCTGGAGTGCAGTGGCATGATCTCGGCTCACTGCATCCTCCGCCTCCCGGACTCAAGCGATTTTCCTGCTTCAGCCTCCCAAGTAGCTGGTACTACAGGTGCCCACCACCACGCCCAGTTAATTTTTTTTGTATTTTGTTGTAGAGACTGGATTTCACTGTGTTAGCCAGGATGGTCTCGATCTCCTGACCTCATGATCCACCCACCTCGGCCTCCCACAGTGCTGGGATTACAGCATGAGCCACCGCACCTGGCTAATTGCGTTGTTTTTTTAATTCTCAAGAGTTTTTTATATAATATGGAAGCACATCCTTTATCAGACATATGATTTGCTAATATTTTCTCTTGTTCCGTAGGTTGGCATTTCACTTTCTTGATAATGTCCTTCCATGCATAAAAGTGTTTAATTTTGATGTAGTCCAATTTTATCTATGCTTTCTTTTGTTTCTTATAATTCGGGTATTTAAATCTCTTCTAAGAGTTTTATAGTTTTGTTTTTTTGTTCGTTTGTTTGTTTTTTCAGACAGAGTCTCACTCTGTCACCCAGGCTGGAGTGCAGTGGCATGATCCCAGGTCACTGCAATCTCTGTCTCCAGGGTTCAAATGATTCTCCTGCCTCAGCCTCCCTAGTAGCTGGCATTACAGGTGCCTGACACCACACCCAGCTAATTTTTGTGTTTTTAGTAGAGATGGGGTTTCACCATGTTGGTCAGCCTCGTCTTGAACTCCTGACCTCAAATGATCCGCCCTCCTCCGCCTCCAAAAGTGCTGGGATTACAGGCATGAGCCACCGCACCCAGTGAGTTTTATAGTTTTAACTCTTGCATTTAGCTCTCCAATACATTTGGAGTAAATGTTTGCATATGATATGAAATGCATTCTTTTGCATAAGGGTATCCAGTTGTTCCAGCACCATTTGTTGAAAAGATTATTCTTTTTCCACCGAATTGTTGTGGCACCCTGGTAGAAAACCAACTGATGATATATATAAAGCTTTGTTTCTGGATTCTCAATTCTATTCCATTGACCTATGTGACTATGTCTATGTCAGTACCACACTGTATTGATTACTATAACTTTTTTAAATTTATTTTTTATTTATTTATTTTTTTGAGACAAAGTCTTGCTGTGTCACCCAGGCTGGAGTGCAGTTGGCATGGTCACAGGTCATTGCAGCCTCTGTCTTCCTGGCTCATGCGATCCTCCCACCTCAGCTTCCTGAGTACCTGGAACCACAGGTGCGTGCCACCACACCTGGCTAATTTTTAAATTTTTGTTGTTGTTGTTGTTTTGTTTTTTTTTTTTTTGTAGAGATGAGGGCCACCCTATGTTGCCTGGTATGGTCTCGAACTCCTGGACCCAAACAGTCCTCCCACCTTGGCCTCCCAAAGTGCTGGGGTTACAGGCATGAGCCACAGCAACTGCCCTGATCACTGTAACTTTGGTAGCAAGTTTTGAAATCAGGAAATGTGAGTCCTCCAACTTTGATCTTCTTTTCCAAGGTTGTTTTGTCTATTCTGGGTCCCTTGCATTTTCATGAGAATTTTAGGATAAGTATATCAATTTCTACCACAGACCAGCTGGGATTATGATAGAGACTGCGTTGAATCTATAAATCCATTTGGGGAATGCTGCCATTTTAGTGATATTGAATCTTCCAAGCAATGATTTATACCATTCTAATGCATTTATTGAGGACTTTTAAATTTATTTCAGCAATATTTTATAGTTTTAAGTGTATAAATTGTGTATTTTTATTAAATTTATGCCTATTTTATTCTTTTTGATGCTACTATCAATTGAATTATTTTAATTTCCTTTTTGCAATATTTCTTTTTAGTGAGTAGAAATAAAATTGACTTTTGAATATTAATCTTATATCCTGTTACCTTGATGAGCTTGTTTACTAGTTCTATTAGTTTTTTAGTAGATTCCTTGGGATTTTTTATATACAAGATCATGTCATCTGTAAAAAGAGGTTGTTTTAATTCTTCCTTTCTACTATGCATGCTTTATTCTATTAATAGTGTGTATTACATTAATTGATTTCTGACTGTAAACTCACCTTGTATTCCTGTTATAAATCCCACTTGCTCATGGTATATAAACCTCCTTATATGTTGCTGTATTCTGTTTGCCAGTATTTTATGTTTGCATTTTTGAGAATTTTTGTATTCATAAGGGATGTTGGTCCTTTTTTCTTTTCTTGTAATGTCTTTGATTTTGGTATCAGGGTAAATACTAGCCTCAAAGTATGAGTTGGGAAGTGTATCAGTGAAGCCACTTGGACTTGAGTTTTCTTTCACAGGAAGTTTGAAAATTACTAATTTGATCTCTTTACCGGATATAGGTCGATTCAGATTTTCTACTTCTCTAATCAGTTTCAGTAGTACATGTCTTTCTGTGAATTTTCCATCTCATCTAAATTATCTGCTTTTTTTGGCATGCAGCCTGTGGTATGCCCTTATAATCCCATGTATTTCCGTAAAGTCAGTAGTAGTGTCTCCTCTTTCATTTCTGATTCTAGCAATTTGAGCCTTCTCTCTTTTTCTCTTGGTCTATCTAGCTAAAGCTTTGTCATTTTTGTCCATCTTTTCAATAATCAACTTTGGTTTTACTGATTGTCTCTATTGTTTTCCTACTTTTTATTTTATTTTATTAATTTCTACTCTAATTTTTATTCTTTTCTTCCTTCTACTTGCTTCAGTTTAGTTTGCTCTTCTTTTGCCAGAGTCCTAGGGGAGAAGTTTAGGTTACTGATTGGAGATCATTCCTCTTCGTTAACATAGGCATTTATAGCTATAAAATTCCCTCTCAGCACTACTTTAGCTGTATCCCATAAGTGTTGGTATGCCGTGTCTTTATTTTCATTTAGCTCTAAGTACTTTCTGACTTCCTTTGGATTTCTCTGCCAGCTCAAATTTACTGTTGAACCCCTTTATAAATTTTTCATTTCTGTTTGTACTTTCTATGTTCAGAATTTCTATGTGGTTCTTTTTAATAGTTTCTCTTTATTGATATTTTCTTTGTTGTTGTTTGTTTTGTTTTGTTTTGTTTTTTTGAGACAGGATCTCACTCTGTTGCCCAGGCTGGACTGCGGTGACGTGATCTCGGCTCACTGCAACCTCTGCCTCCCAGGTTCAAGTGATTCTTCTGCCTCAGCCTACCAAGTAGCTAGGATTACAGGTGCCCACTACCACGCCTGGCTAATTTTTGTATTTTTAGTAGAGACAGTGTTTCACCATGTTGGCCAGGCTGGTCTTGAATTCCTGACCTCAAGTGATCCGCCTGCCTTGGCCTTCCAAAGTGCTGGGATTACAGGCATGAGCCACTGTGCCTGGCCTTTTCTTTCTTTTGTTTTTTAACAGGCACTTGTGAACATTTCTAGCTATTTTCTTCTGATAAGACATTGCTATCATATCTTCCTTTAATTTTCTGAGAAGGGTTTTCTTTAGTTCTTTGAGCATGCTTAGAATAGCTGTTTTATTTTTATATTTTATTTTATTAATTTATTTATTTATTTATTTGACAGAGTCTTGCTCTGTCACCCAGGCTGGAGTGCAGTGGCGCAATGTCGGCTCACTGCAACCTCCGCCTCCCGGGTTCACGCCATTCTCCTGCCTCAGCCTCCCAAGTAGTTGGGACTACAGGTGCCCGCCACCACACCTGGCTAATTTTTTGATTTTTAGTAGAGACGGGGTTTCACCATGTTAGCCAGGAAGGTATCGATTAGAATAGCTGTTTTGAAGCCTTGTCTACTAGGTCCACTATCTGGACCCCTTCAAAGGCAGTTTCTATTGCTGGCTTTTTTTTTCTTGTGTATGGGTCACACTTTCTTATTTTTTTGTTTGGTTTTGTTTTTGCATGCCTGGCAATTTTTTGTTGAAAACTAAATATTTTAGGTAATATTTTGTAGCAACTGTGGATACTGACGCCACTGCTAGGGGTGGTGATGGTTATTGTTTGCTGGGGTTTATTTATTTGCTTAGCGACTTGACTAAAGTAATCCTGCAAAGTTTGTGTCCCTTGCAGTGTGCAGCCTCTGACATTCAACCTCAGATTTCTCTGACCTTGTTATTCTCTTTTAGCCTGGCCACTTAGGCTAGGAATCACTTCTGGCAGGTCACCTTCTTATTGTTCATATGTTGTACTTAAGCCTGCTTAGCAGTTAGATGTTTATTGTTGGAAATGTGTGTTGCTTGAAGGTTGCTAGCCCAGTTGTGGGGGAAGGGGTTACCTTTTTCTCTCATGTTCTATTATCTTAGAGCTCTGTGGTCACTCCTCTGATCACACCCTGGAAAGGTACAGCCTTGGACATGCATACAGTCTTCCAGACTGCCAGGGAAGACTGCAATATTATTATTTACTTTATTTTTATTTGTTTATTTTTTGAGACAGGGTCTCATTCTGTCACCCAGGCTGAGTGCATAGCTCACTACAGCCTCAACCTCAAGGCTCAAGTGATCCTCCCACCTTAGCCTCCCTAGTACCTGGGACTACAGATGTGCACCACCACGCTCAGCTAATTTTTAAATTTTTATTTTTAGAGATGGGGTCTTGCTTTGTTGCCCAGGCTGGTCTCCAACTCCTTGCTTCAAGTGATCGTCCTGCCTCAGCCTCCCAAAGTGCTGGGATTACGGGCGCCAGCCATCATGCCTGGCCTCTTTGTCATCTTGATTTGCCTTTCCCCTGGGACAGAACCTGTGCAAGACTGCAAGGAGCTGGGGTCAGGGACCCACTTTTCCCAGAGTGATGAATGCCCAGATTTGCAAGTAGGTACTGGGGTGGCAGCTGTGGCAGCTGTGGATAAGCCTGTTCTTCTTGGCTTGTCCGTTGCAGCATGGAACCTCCCTACTACTAGTGAGTGAGCTGGGTGGGGGTGACAGAGGCCCCAGTATTCTCAGCCTGCTTCACCTGGAGTAGAACTTCTACCCTACAATCAAGGGAGGCAAGATAGAGAAGGGGAGTTGGTACTGCCTAGAATAGAGCTTCTGCAACACAGGGCTGGGGGCAGGAGGGGTGAAACCATACCCTCAGACTGGCAGGTGGAAAGGGGGGATGAAAAGAGAGCCCCCATCATCTTGGCCACACCTGCCCAGAGTGGAGGGTGCAGAATGGGTAGCACTTCCATTAACACTGAGCTATGGGTGCAGAGGGTAAGGAAGCAGGAGGTGGCTCAACTGCCACAGACCCTTCCTACGAAGGTTTAATATATTTTTTTGAGGGACTTTTTCTTTGTTTCCTGTACATCCTTTGAACAATTTCCAGGGGCTTTAAATTATTGCCTTTTTATTATTTTCACCACTTGAGTTGTTTTGCTGGAGAGAGGGTCTGCTGAGCTTGCTTCACCATTCTGAATGTCCTGTCCTACACAGATGGTTTCTTTAACCTCCATATTTGATTGGATTGATGGTCTTTTGACTGCTCCATTTGGGAGGAATGAAAGCTAAGAAAGTCATTAAGGGCCAAAGGATGGGAAGTAATGACTTGTGGATGTTGCCTGCAAATAGCAGTTGCTTAATGCAAACTCTGGTTGCTTCTTAAAATTTTAAATGATGTCATATTTTCTCCACTCCACCCTCAAAAGTTATCAAAACAGAATGCTGGCAGCTCACTTTCATTTCATATCACAAATAAGTGACACACAGTATTTTCAAGTTGGAAGGAGACATCAAACAAATGAGGAAATAAGTCCCAAGAGGACAGGACTTGCTATTCTAGTTTTCCAATTTTTGTAGGAAATAGGAAGTGGTAGTCAAACAACAAATGATGTCTTTAAAATGGTATTTTCAAATCGAGTACTGTTTCTGGATAGCACAAACTATTTACAACTCAGCAGGGTCATAGCAGGCTTTATATTCTCCAAAGAATGCATTTTCTTTCCTGAGACAGAGGGCCCTAGACAAAGAGCTGAATCAAGACATTCCTTCACAACAGCAACAATTTGAAAGTTCAGTTCAAATACAATTTGAAATCTAAAGAACTCAGTTGTAACATTTTAAAATAGAAAGATAATTCTCTACTTAAAAAGTTATCATGTCAGTTCTTTTTTTAAAAAAAAAACATATTAAGAAATATTTCTTTTTTCTTTTTTCTTTTTATTTTTTTTTAAGATGGAGTTTCACTCTTGTTTCCCAGGCTGGAGTGCAATGGTGCGATCCTGGCCTGACCTCCAGTGATCTGCCAGCCTCAGCCTCCCAAAGTGCTGGGATTACAGGCATGAGCCACCATGCCCATCTATTTTTTGTATTTTTAGTAGAGACGGGGTTTCACCATGTTGGCCAGGCTGATCTCAAACTCCTGACCTCAAGTGTTCTGCCTGCCTCGGCCTCCCAAAGTGCTGGGATTATAGGCATGAGCCACCGAGCCCAGCCAATATTTTAATTTAAAAAATTGTTTTAAATTTAAATCACTTCATGAATTTGCATGTTATCCTTGCATGGGGGCCATGCTAATCTTTCATTTATTCCAATTTTAGTGTATGTGCTGCCGAAGCAAGCACTCTAAATTTTGTCTTACCACAATCCTTTGAAGTAGAAAGTAGTAATAGTATTAGTACTAATAGTGGAAGTTGGGAGACTTGGGTTTTAGTTTTACCTCTTTCAGTTATTGTCTCTAAACCTTGGGGAAAAATCATTTAATCTTCTTGTGCCTCAGTTTTCCCAGAAGCTACACCCTTAGCATCCTGTGGTATTCTAGAACACTATTACTTCTAAATGTTTTGCAGAATGCTATTAAGCATTAGGAGTGGTAGAGTATTCACACCTTCATTTTGGAGGTGAGGAAACCAGACCATCTGCATATTTACTGATTTGGCCAGTATCAGACAGCCAGGGAGCAGGAGATCCAGGGCTTGAACCCAGGTTTCTCCAGGCAAATCTGTGCTCTAGACACAGAGTGAAAGTCAATGGGCTCTAACACACACAGATTACCAAGGTGTTCCAGGAGCTACAAGATGAACAAAACAAGGCCTCATCCTCAGGGCTTTTCCATGCTGCCTCCTGGCCCTTCCCACTCCTTCCTATTGTACGTAGTGTCTACTCCACCACGAGACTTGTGTCAGCATTGACGTCAAGAATATAACAGCCTCTCTTGATGTCTACCAATGCTTTGCCTCCACATAAGTCATTCAGTTTCTCTGTGCCTTGGTTTTCACTTGAAAAAACAAAACAAAACAAAAAAACCTTCCAACTGCAGTACGATGCAGCAAAGCCCAGCTGACTGCATAACGAATGTGAAACTTTAAAGTGCAGGAATGGAGTATGGTACCTGTTTCTAGTGACACCGTTTCTCCAGAGCATCTCTATGTAACCATGGTTTTCATATCCTCATAAATATACTACGACATAGCACACCGGGAGTATAGTTACGACAAAAATTTCCCATATAATAAAGGTTGTCTTGGCGGGGCATGGTGGCTCATGCCTGTAATCCCAGCACTTTGGGAGGCCAAGGCAGATGGATCATGAGGTCAGCAGGTCAAGACTATCCTGGCCAACATGGTGAAACACCGACTCTACCAGAAATACAAAAATTAGCTGGGTGTGGTGGCGTGCGCCTGTAATCCCAGTTACTCAGGAGGCTGAGGCAGGAGAATCTCTTGAACTCAAGAGGTGGAGGTTGCAGTGAGTCAAGAAAATGCCATTGCACTCCAACCTGAGCGGCAGAGCAAGACTCCATCTCAATAAATAAATAAATAAGGGTTGTCTCCAGTCTTTGTCTATATAGCTCGCACCTCCTGTATGAAGAATAACTCTTTGCTATAGAAATTTCACATAATAACATGTAAGTTAAGAATGAAGCCAGTAGGACAAGAGAAGAAGTGAACTATAAGAGATCTCCCACACAGCTTTGTTCTACAGTGCCATTCGTGTCTCTTTTCCACGAAGGCAAGCATTTCATTCCCTCACACTGAGATGAGCACAGTGATTGAAACCTTGGATAACACATAGGAAGCTCAGGGGAGAGTTGAACTGGGAAGACGTGTTTCAGTGATCTACTGCTACATAACAAATCACCCCCAAAACTTAGTGGCTTAAGCAATGATGATTAGTTCTCATTATTCTGTGGTCCCAACTGGGTCACTCTTTTGACTCTAAGCAGCTGCTGGCTGGGCTGAGCTGTTGGCTGGGACATCTTTGTTATCCTCCACAGGGCCTCGCCACAAGGCAACTTGGGCTTCTCCACAGCATGGTGGTCTCAGCGTTTCAACAGGGCAGAAGTGGAAGCTGCCCGGCCTCCTAGGGGCTAACCTGGCACAGCATCACTTCCACTACATTCTATTGGTCAAAGCAAGACACAAAAAGCTGGGGACAATGGTGTGCACCTGAGGTCCCAGTTACTCAGGAGGTTGAGGCAGGAAGATCGGGAGTTCAAACCCAACTTGGGCAGTGTAGTGAGACCCTGTCTCTAAAAACTCAAAAAAAAAAAAAAAAGCAGGCCTCAAAAGTCAACTCAGATTCGAGAGGAGGTGAGGGTAAATAGGCCCCACCTCTAGATGGGAAAAATGATGTACTCATTCAAAAATGGACGGATTGGTGTAGCCATCTTTTTTTTTTTTCTTTGAGACAGAGCCTCCCTTTGTCCACCAGGCTGGAGTGCAGTGGTGCGATCATGACTCTCTTCATCTTTGGCAGCAACCTACCACATAGGGGATTATAGAAGAGGAGACTTGTAACTTCTATGTGGTCACTTCAGACCTGCAGAGCAGGCAGGTGAGGTGAAAGAGGCTGTTTGAGAGTCCGAGCCTGTTGTAGAGAGATCAGTCCAGTGGTCCAGGTTCAGTGAGGAAATGATCTGGTAGTAGTTCTTCTGGAAGCATTCTTCTTTGGAAATTCTACAGGTAAGGCTTGTCCGTATTCCCTCTTCTCTCACCTCTGGGGAGGAATGGGGAGTTGGGTAGGGCTGATGGAGCTTGTAGAAGGTATTAGGGACTGAATCCTCTTCCTCCGAAAATTCATATGTTGAAGTCTTAATCCACAATACCTCAGAATGTGACTGTATTTGGAGGTAGGGTCTTCAAAGAGGTAATTAATTTAAAATGATGCTGTTAGTGTGGGCCCTGGTCCAATATGACTAGTGTCCTTCTAAGAAGAGGTGATTAAGACACACAGAGATGTTGGGGGAGTAAGACAAGCATGGGAAGATACAGCAAGAGGGTTGCCATCTGCAGGCCAAGGACAGGGGCCTCAGCGGAAACCCAACCTGCTGGCACCTTCATCTTGGGCTTCCAGCCTCCAGAACCGTGAAAAATAAACTTCTGTTGTTGAAGCCACCCAGTCCGTAGTATTTCACTATGGCAGCCCAAGCCGATGGATACAAAGGAGAAAGGCCTCAGCCTGAAGGGTCCGGTAGAACCAAAGCCCATGTGGAAGTGGGAAGGCCTGAAACAACAGGAGGATGGTCCAAGCCTCTGCAAATCCAAGGTGCCTGGTAGTGGGTTTGGACATAGTGACATGTCCCCAGGGTTCTGAAGCCAGGACAGCAAGAGAATCCTCCAGAGATCACAAGCCACAGACTCAGCCCCAGGCATGTCTTGTTGACCCCACTGTGTTTTTAAAGAAATTGTAATTCATCTCCACTATTTAAGCATCAGAAGTTTTTATTCTTTTAAAAACATTAGGATTTCCAGCTTCTCTTGAACAATTAGAAGACCTCGCTACCCTGGCCTCGCCTGCCTCTGTGGGTACAGGGCTGGGGCTGGTGTTTTTTTGTTTTTTGTTTTTTGTTTTGCATTTGAATATCCATCGTCAAATGAGTGTTTCCCAGACAGGAGTTTAGTGAATAACAAGTGGGAAGGAGACAAGTACATTCTATCAAATTGCATCACTTTGGGGATTGAAGGTCTTTATGGTAATTTATGTCTTGTCATTACAATGAAAAGAGTGTGATTCACCAGCTCTACTTGGTTCATTGTGATTTACAGTGGAGGAAGTTATGTAATTAGCCATATCCAGAAGAGGTAGAAGCCTCCAATATCCCAGGTAGGGCCTTTAAAGGGTTTTTGTGATCTTAAACTGAGTTTTTATAGGTGTTTCTATTTCCGGAAGGCATTGGAAAGAGCTGTAAGTGTACGCCTGTGTTCCAATTGCTTCTCAATTGACACTCTTCGATATGCATTGGCGGCCTGTGCGCCTACTTCAGTGTAATGAAAAATCTTATTATAATTTGCACATCAAACAAGAGGGGACTGGCTACTCTTGCTGGGGAGCCTTGACTGAGTTTCTAGGCTTTTGAGAAACTCACAAACACTCTCAGTTGTTAATGTTCTTTGTACATAATATTTCAGACAGAATTAGCAACAGAACTACTGCTCTGATCTGTTTGCCTTTCTTTATTCCAAGATATTTTGCATATTTTAAAGAGGATTCTCTCCGTGTTCTCAGGTTAAATTAGTTGCTCAGAGAGGCTGCAGTCTCTTTCCTGGCACTGGGTATTTGAGCTCCACTTGGGGCGGCTGATTCTGGAAGACTGTTCTCACCTGAACCTCATCAGGGCACCATGGCAAGACCTCTCAACTAGGCTGCATGGAACACTCTAGGGTCTTTGTTCCCCTCTCCTCCACCCCGCCTCACCCCCAAATCCTTCTCTTTTAGTGACCCCTTCTCTCAGCCGTGCAACCTCCACAGATACCCTCCCTACCGCCACCCTCCAACTGTCCCCAGGGAAATACACACTCTCCTGCCCTTCCTGGAAAATAACCTTGATCCACTTTTCCTGCAATCACTCGCTCAAGACTGGCTTTTCTCCTCTGGCCTGTCTGGACCAACATCCATCAATGATGTGACAAAAATTGTTGTCCATGTGCCGTCTCCTGGAAGTTCTCCCTCACTCCCCTGCAGGCAGGAATCCGTGGGGGTGGGGATAGACACCAGAGTGTGCCTGCGATAATAGGAACCCAAACCAGCATTTGTAGAGGCTTCACTGTGTGCTAGGCACTGTGCAAAGCAAGGCATTGCATGGGCTAACTCACTGAAGACCCACTTCTGTACATTGGGGTAAATCTTTGTACTATGCACACTTTACAGATGAGAAAACGCAGGCTCAGACTTGCCCAAGATCACATAGTGGGAAATACTGAAGCAGCCTGACCCTAAAGACCTAAAGTCATGCATGTATTTCGTGAATTGCTTATATATGTAGTTATACAATCCTACACTTTGTTCCAGGAAGGATTTATAATGATTCACAGAAACACATAAAGATAAGATAAAATTTTAAATTAACAGGACGATAAACCAGGACAACAGGAAAATGAGGACAGGAAAGACCGAGTGGAGCCAGTGGCGATCTCTGTACACAAAATAAAAGCCAGTGGCATTTTGTCTGCATCACAGCTATAAAGTTATGACTGTGTCTGGTATCAAAGTCATTTCTGAGCACGTCTTATCTGCACCACTGTTGGCTGCTTTAGGGCAGGGTGAGCCATCAGCATTTTCTCTCCCACATTTTATCCAACAACTATTTAATGCACAAATATAATTATGAAGGAGGATGCATCCTCTCCCTCTCTCTGTCCCCTCCTCAATCTTGCTTGCTCCTGAAACGGGAATTTCTACTTGTCTAAGGCCCTGGAGAAGTTTCTACTTTCTATGCACCTCCCAGTGGATCCACCCTGGGGGAAAAAGAGTGATTCAGTTGATTAGGGCAGTGGCAAAAGGTGCCCCATTGGCCCACATTTCTCTACGGGGTGGGGTTAGCTCTTTAAAAGATTCCCACTCCCCTGGGCATTGTTCTGTCTCTCCTTGGGCTGTTTCTCTTGGAGGTGACTTTCTGCAAGGCTCTCCTCCCTGACAGGGAGCAGGATCGGGGACAGTGTGTAGGAGCCTGCAGTCTCCAGCTGCTCTAAGTGAGCTTAGGTGGGAAAAATCAATTCAGTGGAAAGTCATGGGACAGACACTTTGGCTTCAGATCCAGGTTTGCAGTAATAAATTTGATGTTTTGATCCCTAAACTGACTTGTAGATCTGTTTCATATTTAGTTCAGAATCTGAAAGGAAAGAGTGTGAATTTTTTTTGACACTTTAAAATCTCAACTAATGATTTACTTTCTCACAAATATTTCTATTCTTAAAATAGGGGGCCTTCTGGAGCCATCTCAGTTAGGAAAACTTGTGATCGCAAGTAACCAAAAAAAAAAAAAAAAAAAAAAGCCATAATGGCTGCATTCATTTGGGTCCTATGAGAGGAAAATGCCAAGACAGGATTAGATGTGCAAGCAATTTATTGGAGCAGTGCTGGAGAAGCATAAAAAGGAAAAGGCCAGAGAAGGCAGAGAGAACCTTCAGGCCGTGGTGCTGGTCTGACGTGTATGAAGAAAAGAGGGGAGGAAGGCAGATGGAGTAGAATGTCTTAGATTGCAGTGCGGGTCCAAGAAAGTTGTGGCCAAGGCTGATGGGAATCCTTGACGCAGTGTTGCCCATTGGTGTATCCCTGTGTCTCACAGGAATAAGAAACCTGCATTGGCTGTGCTTCGTCACTGATTCAGGAGCAGCCTGTGGAAAGCGTGGCCTCAGCATCAATGTGGTGGTGAACCCAGAGGAGTGGAAACAAGGCCAACTATTATGCTCCCTGCAGCAGGAGACCTGAGTGGTGCATTGTCCTGGCCATCACAATGGCTTGATCAGGTAAGGGTTTGGTTTCTCCCATAATAATAGTTTGAATTAGGTAGGCATCTGCTGGCTTCAGGCCAGTGTTCCTGCTTTATTTTGGGCATGCCATTGTGGCCTCGCAATCACTGCAGCCACTGCAATCATCACATCTGCAGTCAGCAAGGAGAAAGGTGGAGTGGCAGCACCTCTAGCAAGAAAACCAAAACACTCTGTGAGCCTCACAGCAGCCTTCTCTTGGGTCTCATTGACCACACAGCTGGAGCATGTGGCATCCCTGGAAGGGAGCTTAGAGAGAAAAAGTTGGGGAAGAATATTGGGTCAGCCACCATGATCATGTGCCTGCCACAGAGGCCCAACATAGGCCCCAGAGGAAGACCCTGATATTGGCATTTCAAGCCCCCGCGGATGCTATGTTGGGTAGTTAATTAAACCTGGCCCCGCTGTGCCTCCAACAGAAGCTTCCTGGTGCTTCTGGGTGATCAAGTCTCGGTGTACTCCATCGAAGTCTCTCAGGATGCTTTCTAATAGCTCAGCCTGGTGCAACATAGCATACAAATTAGACAGTTCATTTCTCAGAAAAGTATTTGTATTTTCTTTGGAGAGCTGACTATGTATTTGGAGAGGAAATGGCTTGTTGTTTGCCTGCCCTATCAGGTGCTTTTACTTGTGTCCTCTTGTTTAAGCTTCCCAATGGCCTTGCGTGTGTGGTGGATGTTCTCACAGGCATTGGGGTGGGTCTCCCTCTGTCTGCTCTACTCTCCTCTGTTGTGGCAGCCATGGGATTTGGGATGTGGACACCAGGCCCACAGGGTGGGCCTGATTAATCTAAGCCAGTCAGAGTAATCTCATTACCTTGGTAGTCATTGGTGCAGAAATGAGCTTGTAACCAATCTGGCGCAATGAGATTCAGGGGAAGGTTGCTGGGCTTCTGGGAACCTGTTTGCTTGGGCTAGAGAAAAAGCCACAGGAAGAGCAGTTTGTGTCTTCAGCTAAATGTGAACGGGAAAACCAGGAGCCCTAATTGCTGTGGCTGTATCCTGTGACCCTGAGAGCAGCCCTGTTTAGAACAGATCCAACACTGGATGGCAGCCTTGGAGTCAGAAAGAGCCTGGGTCCTTGAGGACATCACTGAGAAGCTGGACCAACCATCCTGATGACCTCACAATCTGTAGACGCCCAGATATGTGAGCCCATCTGTTTCCTTATGTGAAAGTTAATGTGGTTGGATTTTCTCTTACACTGAAAGCATCTAACTGCTCCAGGTGTTATGCCCGTTTTCAGTTGAGGAAGCTGATATCCAGAGAGATGGAGTAACTTGCCCAAGGTCGCACAGCTTGTGTGGCAGAGCTGGGCTCGGGACCAAGGTCTGACTGTTGGCTCCACACCCTGCAATTAATCTGCTGTTCACTGGGAGAGGTGATTCGTGTATTTCAAGATTATAAGAACAGCTCAGACATGCTTAACTTACTAAGAAACTGGTATTGGACTTTTCACACTTTCTCTGAGTTCAGAGCTGGGCCATTTCCTGTGTAACAGGGATCTCCAGAATATCAAAAGACTTCACAAATCACAGTGGTGCCAAAGAAGACAGATTTAATACTGGTTTTCAGGATGACATCAGTTCTTTTTCTCCATTTTTAAAAGTAGGCAGTAATGATGACAGCATATAAAACAAATATATACCAGGTCGTAGCTTCCAATTTCCTCTTATCAGAATTGACAAATGTCCCACACCGTGCAGGAAGAGTGCAGTTAAGAAGGGGCACAGAGTTATCTGTGAGTTTTCATTACTTTTGTTCATTATACTGCTGCATTCCCAATCTTTTCACCCTCAATCCTGTGGGTTAAAGGACTGCAAATGCAGCAGTGTAATGAGCAAAAGTCTAAGAACTTTTTCTGGAACAACTTAAAGTCTCAGAATTGGACAGAATTTGGAGGACAGCTGGTTTAGTCCCTCCCCCGTGGCAGGCAGGAGTCCCTCCCAGAGCACCCCCTGCTAGGCAGCCATTTAGCTTTCCCTAGAAAACGCTCTGGAGAGGAGTCACTCTTTTCTACTCTCCTTGCTAGGAAGCTCCTCATATTGCACTGACTTCGTGCTTATGTATTGTTATAAACCAAGTCACTGTTCTTCAGAGCAGAATGGATACCAGCTCATTAAAAGACAAATGGCGACAAATTATCTTTGTGACTGTGTTCTCTTCCCAAGGTGATCTGATGAGCCATCAGTAATAGATACCCCCCAATAGGGTGACCAAGCCTACTTACCCCTTTACCCCTTAACTCACTCTAGGTAGAAATGGGATACACATCCTGTCTGTGAATTTGATGTAACCCAGGAGAGAGACAAGGGGTAACTTCAAGGTTTTATGTAGCTGAAAGATGACCTTCAGGCGGGGGATGACTTTGTTTTTTGCCTTATTTTATTTTATTTTATTTCAAAATCACACATTTGTTTAGCTCTAAGAGTTAAATACCACTACAAAGCTAATAATGAAAAACAGCAGTCTCTACCTATGGTCTCCCTGTCTTTACATCTTCCTCTCCAGAGGCAACCCCTTGCAAGTCTTCTGGCCATTTCTTCTGGTGTTTATACTTAAATTTCTCAATAATGTGTTGATACTGTTATTTCTTGATTTTTCAGTTTTAGGTATAATCCAATTTCTTCCTATCACAGAAAATGAGGATTGAGCATGGCTTCACCTCTCCTTCCTTTCCCTGGTGCTGCTCCTGACCCCCAACCCCCACCACTCACATGCAAACTTCCTCTTCTATCTTCCCAATATAGTTGCATCATAGTTTTTGGTTGAGTCAACATGTATTATTTAGATTTATATGATGATGTAGATCTTGCTCACAGCTGAGCCATGCAATGAAATCCAGAAAGAATAAAGAGGCATGACTGACCTACTTAACAGAGAAAACACACATGTGACCTGAGGTGCCAAAGCCCTCCCTGGAGTGTTCCACACCAACTAATTCAGACTGCGGGGAAAGGATTGCTGAAGGTTACTTGTTCTGTGCCTGCCAGGTTGAAGCAAGACCAACTGCTGAAGGGGTGGGCGAGGTTTGCCTCCCTTCCTAAGGAGGTGGAAGTGTGAAGATTTTGCACACTGGACAAATAAAGAGATGAAAACAAGGGTGAACTCAAGACAGCAAAACAAAGCCATAAACCAGCCCCTACCCGTGTGGGAACCTTGCTGAAGAGTTTGATGTTTTTCCTTTTTCCTTTGCACTCTGGGAACAGTCATATGAAGCATCCTGTTTAAATACTTTTCTCCTTTGAAGCAATACCCTCTAGTTACTCATGACCCTTCAGTGATTCACAAACCATCTTGTGCTTCCTATGAGTTGATGTAGGGTGGGCTGGGGACCAGGCAGTAAGAGAAGCCTGGCGTCTCCACATCACCACTCTGCAAGCTTCCGTTTTCTCCAGAGTGTTCTGAGTCTGTCCTCCCCAACCCCTCCCTGTCGGGCTAGGCCATTTTGCCTGCTGTCCCTCCACCGGCATTGACAAGCCCTAGGGGCACCACTGCTTAGGGGAAGGGCAGCTTCTGCATGTGGCCCTCTCCTGGAGAAAAAACATGCTGATTTTGTTTTTAAAATAAATGTTAGCTGGAGCACTGGCTCACACCTGTAATCCCAGGACTGTGGGAGGCTGGGAGGATCACTTGAGCCCAGAACTTCAAGACTAGCCTGGGCAACATAGCGAGACCCCATCTCTACAAAAAAAAAAAAAATCTCCTTAAGCTGATAAGCAACTTCAGCAAAGTCTCAGGATACAAAATCAATGTGCAAAAATCACAAGCCTTCCTATACACCAATAACAGACAAACAGAGAGCCAAATCATGAGTGAACTCCCATTCACAGTTGCTTCAAAGAGAATAAAATACCTAGGAATCCAACTTACAAGGGATATGAAGAACCTCTTCAAGGAGAACTACAAACCACTGCTCAACAAAATAAAAGAGGACACAAACAAATGGAAGAACATTCCATACTCATGGATAGGAAGAATCAATATCATGAAAATGGCCATACTGCCCAAGGTAATATAAGATTCAATACCGTCACTATCAAGCTACCAATGACTTTCTTCACAGAACTGGAAAAAACTACTTTAAAGTTCATATGGAACCAAAAAAGAGCCCACATTGCCCAGACAATCCTAAGCCAAAAGAACAAATCTGGAGGCATCACACTGCCTGACTTCAAACTATCCTACAAGCCTACAGTAACCAAAACAGCATGGTACTGGTACCAAAACAGAGATATAGACCAATGGAACAGAATAGAGTCCCCAGAAATAATACCACACATCTACAACCATCTGATCTTTGACAAACCTAACAAAAACAAGCAATAGGGAAAGGATTCCCTATTTAATAAATGGTGCTGGGAAAACTGGCTAGCCATATGGAGAAAGCTGAAACTTACATCTTATACAAAAATTAATTCAAGATGGATTAAAGACTTAAGTGTTAGACCTAAAA
Source organism: Homo sapiens (assembly GCF_000001405.40). Taxonomy (NCBI): domain Eukaryota; kingdom Metazoa; phylum Chordata; class Mammalia; order Primates; family Hominidae; genus Homo; species Homo sapiens. The sequence continues at coordinate 23,652,192 of NC_000003.12, forward strand.
CCATAAAAACCCTAGAAGAAAACCTAGGCAATACCATTCAGGACATAGGGACGGGCAAGGACTTCATGACTAAAACACCAAAAGCAATGGCAACAGAAGCCAAAATTGACAAATGGGGTCTAATTAAACTAAAGAGCTTCTGCACAGCAAAAGAAACTACCATCAGAGTGAACAGGCAACCTACAGAATGGGAGAAAATTTTTGCAATCTACCCATCTGAAAAAGGTCTAATATCCAATCCAGAATCTACAAAGAACTTAAACAAATTTACAAGAAAAAATCAAACAACCCCATCAAAAAGTGGGTGAAGTATATGAAAAGACACTTCTCAAAAGAAGACATTTATGCAGCCAACAGACACATGAAAAAATGCTCATCGTCACTGGCCATCAGAGAAATGCAAATCAAAACCACAATGAGATACCATCTCACACCAGTTAGAATGGCGATCATTAAAAAGTCAGGAAACAACAGATGCTGGAGAGGATGTGAAGAAATAGGAATGCTTTTACACTGTTGGTGGGACTGTAAACTAGTTCAACCATTGTGGAAGTCAGTGTGGCGATTCCTCAAGGATCTAGAACTAGAAATACCATTTGACCCAGCAATCCCATTACTGGGCATATACCCAGAGGATTATAAATCCTGCTGCTATAAAGACACATGCACACGTATGTTTATTGCGGCACTATTCACAATAGCAAAGACTTGGAACCAACCCAAATGTCCATCAGGGATGGACTGGATTAAGAAAATGTGGCACATATACACCATGGAATATTATGCAGCCATAAAAAATGATGAGTTCATGTCCTTTGTAGGGACATGGATGAAGCTGGAAACCATCATTCTGAGCAAACTATTGCAAGGACAGAAAACCAAACACCGCATGTTCTCACTCATAGGTGGGAATTGAACAATGAGAACACTTGGACACGGGGTGGGGAACATCACACACTGGGGCCTGTAGTGGGGTGGGGAGAGGGAGGAGGGATAGCACTAGGAGATACACCTAATGTAAATGGTGAGTTAACGGGTGCAGCACACCAACATGGCACATGTATACATATGTAACAAACCCGCACGTTGTGCACATGTAACCTAGAACTTAAAGTATAATTTTAAAAAATCTAATAATTAAAATTAAAATTAAAATTTGCAACTTGTCCAGAGATTAGGAATTAAAACCCAAACTTAAGTATCTTAAAATTTCTATCTAATACAATGGAACCAATCTTTAAGATACTCTCATTTATTAAATTTCTCCATCTGTGTTTGTATGATACTGCTTGTGTGTCTAGAATTTTTACTTCTGCCCAAAGAAATTTTGCTTATTGTTGCTAAGTTTTTAGAACACCGTCCCTTGATGGGGAAAAATAAATCTATAGGGATTTAACTAGAAGTCCTACTTCAGAGATTACTTTTCAAGATGTGTAGAAAGAAGAGGGCCAAGGAAAACCTCACTGACCTTTTCCCCCAGCAATGAAAATGTTCAAGTTTCTTAAAATAAAAAGCAAGCACCTGAGTGTTATTTATAATTTCAAACGTTCAGTTTCAGTTTCTAATCCACCAAGTCCTCCACCTCCAAAGCTCACAGTGACTTTCCTAAGCAGCTTCATTTCACACGGTTCCCTGTTGTCTGCTTTCTTTTATGGGTCTGTAAACTCTAGAAGATTCAGTTATGCAAAGGAGGTTACAAATGCTGTCTTTAAAGGAGGGGAGAAGCAGAAAGGTAAGTGGAAAAAGCCAAATGAGCCACCAGGGCTGCTTCCTGAGAAAGCTGACCTCCCTCTTGTCTTCATTGGAGGGTAAGTCCTCAGTTGACACTGTCAATAGGTCTTTGGAAACTGCAACTTTAAGCGGAACGACATAGGACAGATCAATTTTACTGAAGGCTAACTGATACAAACAAGAGTTAAGTTCCCTTGGCACGTTTCTGATCACAAAAACATTAAACTTCTAAATAAAGATCAAAACACTTCTAATTTTAAACCTTAAACTAAATGTGAGCTAAGGTACATTTAAGAAAGAATAGGCCCAGCATGGTGGCTCATGTCTGTAATCTTAGCACTTTGGGAGGCCGAAGCATGATGATCGCTGGAGGCCAGGAGTTCAAGACCAGCCTGGGCAACATAGGAAGACCTCATGTCTACAAAAATAAAAAATAGCCACGTGGCAACATGTGCCTGGACTACGTGAGTTATATCTTATGACTTTCAAGTAATTCTTTGAGAGCAAGGCATGAAGGAATTGGAATCAAGAGGAATTGGCAGAATTGGGGGAAGGGTTTGAAAAGGAATTTGGGACAGGACTAAGGCTACCTTTATTAAATGTCTGTTATCTTGTTCATTGTGGAATTTTTTAAATATCAATTTTGATTGGATTACGATGCTATATTTTTTAATTACTGAGTTTTGTTTGTTTGTTTGTTTTTGTTTTTGGCAAGCCCTTAAATTTTGTTTGCATTTAATACAAGGCCTGGAAACCAGAGAAGATGACCAATTTCAAAACCAGAGAAGCAACCCTAATATGAAGTTCCAAATGGTGTGGCAGGAAGGTAGCAAGACACCTGGGGCAGATAACAACGGTTTGAGCACCTGCTCTGTGGCAAGCTGCCTGAAGGGACTTGACACACACTTGCAGACAGTTCTCAGAAAAGTTCAATAAATTGCCCAAGGCCAAAGAGCTAGTAAGTTGTGAGCTTGGATTTGAAGCTGATTTTTCTCTTCATTGCAAAGCCCTGGGCAACAGTCTTTTTGCCATGAATCGGGAATAAACAGGAGAGAGCATGGAGATGGCAACAGACTCAATTTATGAATGAAATTCTATTTTATTACTTTTAAATACAGATAAGGCCAGGCATGATGGCTTACACTTGTAATCCTAGAACTTTGGGAGGCTGAGGCAAGAGAATTGCTTGAGGTTAGGAGTTCAAGATCACCTTGGACAACACGGGGGGTTGGTTGGGGAGGGGGAAGAAAGAAAGTGAAAGAAAAATAAATACAAATAAATACCAAAAGAGACCAGTACACTCTCCAGGGGCAAATAATGAATAATATTTCAAATCACTATCTTATTTTTTTCAACTTTATTGAGCTATTATTGAAGTAGATAAGCTGCACATATTTCCATGTAAAAGTTGGTCAGTTTCGGTGTGTGCATACCCCTATGAAATCACTCCCACATCAAGATAGCATTTTCTTTTTTTTGAGATGGAGTTTTGCTCTTGTTGCCCAGGCTGGAGTGCAATGGCGCAATCTTGGCTCACTGCAAATTCCACCTCCCAGGTTCAAGCAATTCTCCTGCCTCAGCCTCCCAAGTAGCTGGAATTACAGGTGCCTGCCACCACACCCAGCTAATTTTTTGTATTTAGTAGAGATGGGGTTTCACCATGTTGGTCAGGCTGGTCTCGAACTCCTGACCTCAGGTGATCCACCCGCCTCGGCTTCCCAAAGTGCTGGGATTACAAGTGTGAGCCACCACGGTTGGCAGGATAGCATTTTCATTACCCCCAAAAGTTTCCTGGTGCCCTTTTGTAATCCATCCCTTCTTCCATCCCTGTTTCTAGGAAAGCATTGATCTACTTTTGTCACTATGGATTCGTTTGCATTTTCTAGTATTTTACACAAATGGAATCATGCAGTATGACTCCTTTTCATTTGGCTTCTTTTACTCAGCATAATTACCTTGAGATTTGCCCTTGCTGTTGCATGTATCAGCAGTTCATTCCTTCTTATTACCAAGCAATATTCCATTGTATGGACATACCACAATCTGTTTATCAAGTCATTCACCTGCTGATGGTTGTTTTCAGTATCTTAAAGTTCCCATGTACACAAGTAGCACATTTTTAGACCACTTGGATGTGATTTGAAATTATGTGTTCTCCCTAAACTCATGATTACCCTTATATAGCAGGGGCAATGCTATGCGTTCACCTAACCCTGCGTCCCATTACTTCTTCCTGGGAAGATGGAAAATACACGTCTCAGCCCCTTTGCACATAGGCAGGGCCATGTGCAAATTTCCGGTTTCTCTCTTCCCCTTAGGTGGGGGAGTGCGGGCCATGACTGAGCTGGTAGAAGCGCTGGGTGGAAACAGGTAGGGCCGCTGAGCCACCAGATGGAAGCAGCCACCTTGGAAAGCACTGGCCTGCCGTGGACTTCATGCCCAAGAGAAGTAACCTTTTCTGTGATTTGGGGCTGGTTGTTACTGCAGCACAAGCCTAGCCTTTTCTGACTAACACACCTTAGCTTAGCAAACCCTTTCTTTATGAACACAACAAGAAGGCATTCCTGGCTGAATTTCTACCAAAGCTGAATGGAATGCAAATTAATGAAGCTTTTACTATTTAGAATTGTCTAAAAATGTAACTAATACTGTACAGCTACAGACTTCCCTTTGGTGCATGGAAAAGCAATATAAGTATTCGGAAGAGGTGAATGGGAAAAAAACATTTATTACTCTTCATCATGTACCAGCAACTCACCTCCATCCACTTCTTTAATCATCACAACAACTCTAAGGAGATATTATAGCTTCATTTGTACTAAGGAAAAAACTGAGACATGAAGAGGTTCCCAGGGATACACAGCTGGTAGGTAGCAGATTTGGAATTAAAATCTAGGTCTGCCTAACTGCCAACTGCCTGTTTATCCCATCAGATGGGGAAATGCAGAAAGAGGTGAGCAAAAGAGCCCCTATGGAACAGCTATCCACTCTTCACTACATGCTAAGGCCATTAGCAAAAGGAGAAAGGGGAGGTTCAGGCAGGGACGGTCTGAAAAGCAGGTGGACAGCCCCAGCTATGGACAGGTGGTCACGGCACACAGCCAGAGTCCACCCGTTTGTGGCCAAGCTGACTCAGTGAGGTGGAGGGTGGGCTGGTGGAAAGAGGAGGGCTCGCAGCCAGAGTTTGGGGCTCAAGAACTATCCCTCAGGTGTTTGTGGCCTCAGACAAAGGCAATTAACCTCTTCACGTCTCAATTCCCCAAGTTGAAAGTAGGAATAATGAATAGAAAACAGACAGAAAACTCTAATACTATGTAAGTTCAGGCCTGTCCCAGTCTCCTCTGCCTTGGCACACACCCTAGGTGACATTTGCAAGATTAGTGTAGATAAGATAGGTGTGAGAAATGATCTCCTGGCTCCTCTCAAAAAGGCATATTGGCAAAGTGTTCTCTGTTCCAACTACTTTTCAAGTACAGCTTGTACAAACCTCAGGTCTCCACCTGTGATTAACAAGAAGACACTTGTGCTGGTTGCAGCGGCTCATGCCTAGCATTTTGGGAGATCAAGGCAGGTGAATCACTTGAGCCCAGGAGTTTGCAACCAGCCTGGGCAATGTGGCCAACCCCATCTCTACAAAAAAAAAATAGAAAAAAAATAGCTGGATGTGGTGGTACGGGTCTGTGGTCCCAGCTACTTGGGAGGCTGAGGTTGGAGGATTACCTGAGCCCGGGAGTTTGAGGCTGCAGTGAGCCATGATGTCTCCACCACACCCCAGTATGGGTGACAGAGTGAGACTCAGAAAAAAAGAAGAGAAGAAGAAGAAGAAAGAAAGAGAGAGAGGAAGGGAGAGAGGGAGGGAGAGAAGAAGGATGGATGGAAGGAAGGAAGGAAGGAAGGAAGGAAGGAAGGAAGGAAGGAAGGAAGGAAGGGAAGAAAGGAAGGAAGACATGTGAGAAACCTACTGGCTCAAGACCCTCTGAGACTGAGAACCACTTGATTCTAACTCTCGTCTCCTTGTCAAACTTCTCTCCCTAAGAATAAAGGAAGGGTAATTGGGCCAGCTATGAAGTCGCTCACATACTCTAAGAATTTGCCCATTTCTGCAGAGGAGGCAACCCAGAGAATGCTGGGAGGGAACATTCTTTTTGTCAGCCATAAAGAGGCCCAACTCATCTGCCCTGTGAGGTTCCCCAGCCCAGGATTTAGGAACTGAGCTAAACATATTACAATTAGCAATTCAACATCTTGCGTTTACAGAAATCAAGCCATAGCTATGTGATGAAATATTAAATATATGAAATGGCCACCTGTGTAGGTTCAAAATAGTTCATTCTAATATATTTTATCATTTGACAGATTCCAGAAAGGAACATGTTCTCTTACTAACTTAATACTTCTTTCCTTATTCTTCCCTGTTTTTTTTCTTTAAAAACATCAGATCTGAGCAAAAAGATGGAAGATGAAATATATCTATTAAGTAAAATTAAAACTCAACCTTTAAAGTTTTATCTTCTTAAACAATAAATAAAATGTAATTTTTTGCATACTAGATGTATGGAACTCCGCTAAGTATTGAGACTAGGAGACGGTGTATACAACCATAGCACTTATTTTGTCAGTGAGAAAATATATTTTAAAAAGGACTGTTCAATTGCTCGCATGAAATAATCTGAAAAAATTATGAGAAACCAAAACGAAGCATCACCCCCCAACACACACAACAAACCCCACTCTGAACTATCTGTAATAGAACTAAAGATATTTAATTATGTGATAGAGGTCCTAGTCTTTGGGTTTTATTATTGGGTATTATGCCCCATAGAAACAAATCATTGGTCAATTACAAATGTATTGAAGCATAAAATACTTTATTAAGGCTGTGATTACTCAAGTGTGGTTTCTGAAGATGCCTGCACCTTGCTGGGTTCATTTTCACTGGCTTTAACTTCATCCTCCATGGCGCTTCTAATCTATGCAAATGGTTAGCATATCCATGTACTTAATAACAAATTACTGGATCTATTACATACTTAAGTCTTTGGCTATGACCATGTAATTAGATCCCTGGGTGCTTTAAAGGAGAGGAGCTTCATATAAATAGAGAGAAAACAATAAACACGCATGAGTTGGCCTGCCCATATGTTTTACATTTATAACCCCCAGTGCTGGTGCCCAGCAGGCACTCAAGGAACACGGGTGTTGGTGAGAGGGGTTTTATTGGGGGGCATTATTGAATTCACCAAGCCTGGCTGTAAGTCAGCATAAAAAGGTTTTAAGTATAAGTTGATGACATTAAAGAAAAAAAAAAAAACTCTAAGGTAAAAGAAATAACAGAATAATTTTATATAAGCTATTATAAAAACCGTAATCACAAACTTCTAGATGTAAGAAAAACAAGTTTAGGCCTATATGCAATTACTAAATGGAAAAGAAGGAAGGAAGAGAAACGAAACGACACTGTTAGCTGTTGACAGACTAGAGGAAGTGAAGCTCTCGGCTACTTGATATAAATAAACGTTCATTGAACACAAGAGGTTGTGGATGATGCCACCCCTGTTAGGCATTGAAGCAGAGGTGCCCCTTGGGGTCAAGTCCCCAGCTGTGGTGTCACTCCTCGTGTTCAGCAGCCGTCCTAGAGCAAATGTCCACCTCGTACCACTTCAGATTTTCTCCTCCCTTTGTTTTATCTTTCTTCTTCCCTTTCCTTTCTTTTTCTCCTAAGCAATCTTTAAAATAATTTTAAAATCCTATAAACATTCTAAATTGAATTCCTCAGGCAAGCCTCAAACTTGATCTTCATTGTTCCTTTTCAAAGTTCCAGAGTTTAATACTTTCTATTGGTTTGAAAAAAAATTCTAAACACAACACACTAAAAACGCAGCATGCCCACCACCCAGAATGAACAAAGATTGACATTTTGTTATTAAAAAAAAATTAGAAAGCAAGAGAATATTACAGATACAATGAAAGGCTCTTTTGTCCCTGACTTAATCTCATTCTCTTCTCTCCCTAAGACATGCATGATCACTAAGCTAGTGTGTCCCTCCCGTTCTTGTTCTGTGCTTCTACTAAGTGCACATGTGTCATAAACTGCAGTGTGGCTGGGTTATTACTTTACAGTTACAGGAATGTATACCCATCTGTAAGTTGCTGTTTTCACTCAGCACTGAGCTTGGGCCATGTGTGTGCATAGAGACAGCATTCACTCCCATGTTTCACCCTATGAACATTCCTCAGCGTATTTATTCCCATCTTGATGGCAGTTCAGGTTGTTTCCAATTTGCTGACATTTCAAATGACACTGCGATTTTGTAGAGTGCACGTGGATTCCACTTTTGTATGTGTAGCCAAATTGCTCTGCAAAGTGATGGCAACCAGTTGACCCTCCCACTAGCAGCTCCTGTATAAGAGCTTCTGTGTCCCTGCATCCTCTCAGGCAGTCAATTTTGTCAGACTTTTTGATTTCTGATAATCCGATGGGAGCTCTTTGGGGTTTTAACCTTCATTTTCCTGATGACTAGGGAGGTTGAGCACACGCTCTATGGGGGATGTTGGCCGTACTTACTCCGATGTGCCCTCTTTGTCCCTGTCCTTTTTTATTTTTCTAATGGAGTTAAAAAAATAATTTATAGTTCTTTGTATATTTTGAATATAATCTTTCATCTGTTTTATTTGTTGCAAACATCTCCTAGCCTGTCATCAGTCTTTTAACACTTTTATGATGTCTGCTACATATATTTCCAGGTGGTTTTCATTTTGAACTCAGATGTATCCACTTTTTGAGTTCAGCTTTCTTTTGCATCCTGTCTAAGAAATCCTTGCCTGTCCCTAAGATTAAATATTGTAAAGTTTTATATAGGTCTTCAGTCCATGAGGAATTTATTTCTATATGGTGGGCAAGGTGGAGACCTAATTTTATTGTATTTTTTCCATTTCAATAGCCAGCTGTCCTAATATCCTGATTTGTAGGGCCATTGCTATCACATCCCAAGTCCCAAATATAACTAGGATGGTTTCTGTGATCTTTATTCAGTCCTATTTATTGTATCTTTTTTCTATCTTTCTACCCGGTTTATCTACACAGCTGCCAGGATATAGTAAGTCTATGAAGTGGTTATTTGATTTAATCAAAATATGCATGGAAGGCTATAAGTAATTTTTTGGTTTCATGAAAGAGCGCTGAGGAAGGTGAAGACTGCACTTCTCTTTGGATGGGGTTTAGTAAATGTTAAATGAAACCAAGAACCAGATAAGGAAGGGTTGGGGGTATGGGAGAAAAGAACTCAAATTTGTTGAGCACCTAAAACTGTGCCAAGCGTAATCTTGGCTTGTTGTGTTAATCATTTCATCTTCTGTGCTTTGAAATCAGTTTTATTTGTTCCCATTTTACAGATGAGAAAACAGGAGACGCAGAGGAATGAATAACTTGCTCAAAGTCATATAGTGAGTGGGTAGGAGGGTTGGGAATGACACTTAAGTCTGTCTATCCCCCAAAGACTTTGACATCTCTGCCACAAAAACTAAAGAATGTTTGGCTGGACAGAACATCTCATCTGGGATACTGATGCTTCTCGTCTAGGAGAAGTCACTTCACCCCAACTCATTTGAGTTTAGGGCTGGGAGTAGATGGTGGCCCTCAGCAGAGCTCAGGTTTGCTGACATCTGTTACAGTGCACCAGGCAGTTTACATACATCATCTAATTACCTCAACAACAGTCCTGCAAAGGAGAAATGATTAGCCTACAATTTCAGACAAGGAGACTGGGCTACAGAGACAATAAGCATTTTCCCAAAGTCACACTGCTATGAAGGTGTATTTTCAGGGCCGCAGCTGGTCTATACACCTTCATGTACATTAGATTACAAAGTCAGCTCCTACTCCTTCCCCCTTACTCCTAGGGAAGTAAATGTTGAATGAAACCAAGCTCTACAGAGGCTTGACTGGCAGAGTGTAGGCTGGATTTCAACCTGCCGACTGAAATCCGTGCATGGAGGCTTGACCCTAGGTTGGTCTGACTCCAAAAGCTTGTTCCATTTCTGGTACATCCCATTGTTTTAGACTAGTCCTCACAAACTTTTATGGTTCCACACCATTCAGTTGAGACAAAAGACTGTAATGGTCCACCCATTTCAACCTTCCATGGAAGAGCAACTAGATAGTAACAAGAAGAGGTTGTTTACATGTAGATGTTTTATTTAGCTGTAGCTGTGGTTAACCACGATGCATACTAGGTCATGAAATCTGTTTATTAGGAAAAAAAGTAAGTCAAAGTCGTGATGCCAAGTGTTTTCACAGCCGGACCTCTTAGGAGAGGACAAAATAGAGTTCTGTGCATCCTCAAGTATGGTGCTAATTTTGTTTATAAATTCCTAGTAAGAAGACCTGAGTGGTACATAAAAATGGAAGTCGGTGAAGGAGTTGCATTTTTTAATTAGCTCACAGCCACCAGAGACCTCACTTTGAAAACCACTTCCTTAAACAAAAACAAAAGTCAGACCACACTGACTTTCTTTGAATTCCCAGTAGAAATCCTAGTATGGGAATATTCGGGAGCGTTTATTACCGAGTACATAGATGAGCTGTTCCCCATTCTTTCCAGATGTAGACACTTTTCTGAGCTGTGTCCACATGACAATGGCTTGTCGAGGCACACAAACCACAGGCACAGATCTGAAATGATGGCAGCCCACTCGCTTATAGAGAAAGAGACAACCCGAATGTAGAACCGGAAGGAGCCATGAGAACTGGAATCGGATTATCCCATAAGAAATGATAAAACGGTTGTTATAGCCGTGCCAGAAATATGACCAACTAGAAAGAGTGGGGACAAATGACTTGATGGAAGTTTTAGGGGAAAAAAAAATAGATTCCACGTGTCTTAAATCCAGATATTGTTCTCAAAAGACCATGTTTAATAGCTGAGTGAAGCAAAGAACAAAATAATGCCCTTCAGGGAGAAATAGAGAACCTGAAACCAATAACAGCCTCCTCTACATTTATGGCTTTTCCTGACTGAGCAGCTATTGGCTCAAACTTAATGGAGTTAAGGCATTTATTACCACATTTTCTTTTTACCTGGATTCTTGTTGGCCTCCTTAGCTAATTTTTTTTAGTTCAGTACCTGTCCTTCAGGCTATCTTTCCATAAAAAAGGCAGCAAAATGATGAACTTTTCTGCATTGTTCTGGGCAAAGAAATGACCACTTCATTTGCTTTTCGGAGAGGGGATCCTGTTTTTCTTTTTGTACAGTCCTCACTCTGACCAAGAGCGTGCAGCACCTGGATCTGGTGATTCAGATGTTCTGTGACCCCAGCTTCAGTCCTCAAGGATTCCTTTCTATTTGGACTGAGGGCCGTGGGTGTCTTTTCAGTGATGAGACTGAAAAGCAAAAACTCATTCTCAGTTTGCTGCTCTTGGTGTTCCTCTGGTTGCATTTTCCAACTCCGTCTGTGACCCAGCTGTGTTCTCAACAATACCTCAACTTGATGGGGCTTGGCACTTGTTTCTTTTCGTCAATGGTGTGTTATGAATAAAGCTTGTAAAAGCTGCTTCCTTGGAAACTGTTAACATGGTCTCATCCCACAGGCCAAGTTTTGCAGCCCTTTGCTATCCTTATCTATAGTAGACCAACTCAAAGTTCCTAACTGCCTTTTATAAAAGAGCTTGGAACTCCATGGTTCCTGGCAATGAGTGCAAAAATTTGACATTTCTATTAGCAAGAAAATATGAGAAAATATTTCTTGTTTTACCTTGCCCCTTCCCCTGAATTCCTGTCTTACCAAAGGAAAAAAAAAAAAAAAGAGTTAAAATCTAATGCATCTCAACTAATGTGGGCAACTAGCAGTTTTGCTTTTTTAGCCAAAGAACTCTACCCCCACTGCTGCCCATTAAGTAGTAAACAGGCCAAATAAGGAAATGATTAATCTTGCCAAGTTCACTCACCATAATTTGGTTGGCAAGCTTTAGCGAACATGGTATAATAGAATTTCAACACTGGAAGAGATTTGAAAAGTCATATAGTCCAACCATCCAACGGATGCTTAAATGTCGTCCTCTGTGCAGCAGTGGCTCTGAATCCTGGCTGCACATCACAACATCACAATAACTGCAAACACTTGTTCAAAATAAAAGTCATTGGGCCTCACTTCCGTGAGATTCTGATATAGTAGGCCTGGGATGGACCTGCTTATTTTGAATAACACCCAGGCGAATTGATGTAGCCACTCCACAGAACAGTGCTGCAGCCTTTGGGGAACAGGCCAAGTATCAAAAGCCTTTGCTTGGTCTTCTGCAGCACCTGGTCCTCACTATCTTCCAAAGTATCCGAATTTGGGCAGCTCTGACTGTTGACAAAATGTGTCCTCAGTCTCCGTGGAAATATTTCTCCTTACAACTTCTACCTATTGACTCTACTGCTACCCCTTGGAATGACACAGAGCCAGTCTAACCACCGGTGAGCCTTCAGGTATTGGAAGATGGCACTCATGGATCTCTTCTGAGATCTCCTCTCCAAACCCAACATCTTCCTACTCTGTAAGAGCTCCCTTATGGCTGGTTCTGACCTTTTTCCCCAGTGGATTTCCTCTCCTGAGGATGGATCTGACTTCGGGATTTTAAATTCAGTAAATCTAAATTCTAATGCAAGCTCTTCCTCTTACTAGCTGTATGGTTTGGGGCATGATAGTCAGCTTTTATGACCCTCCACTTAGTCATCTGTAAAGTGGAGATGATGCTACTGATTGCAGGGTTGATTGTGGGGCCAGCACAGAGCCTGTCACACAGCAGTTCCCCAGGTCAGTCTCCTTCCACCAAGTAGATATGTGAAAATATTATATATGTGGCTCACATTACATTTCTATTCAATAATGCTAATCAAAACATTATATTCCAAGAGAAAGTTGCTGTCCAAGACAGAGTCAGAGCAGAAATCTCATGGAAGTCTTTGGAATTTCTGACAAAATTTCAGGGAGTGTGGAACAAGGGTTGAGCTGGTCATACCTACGCCAGTGATTCTTTTGTTTTTGTTGTTTTTTTTTTTTTTTTTTTTTTTTTTTTTTGAGACAGAGTCTAGCTCTGTCACCCAGGCTGGAGTGTAGTGGCACTATGTTGGCTCACTGCAACCTCTGCCTCCTGCATTCAAACGATTCTCCTGCCTCGCCTCCTAAGTAGCTGGGATTACAGGCACCCGGCTAATTTTCGTATTGTTAGTAGAGATGGGGTTTCACCATGTTGGCCAGGCTGGTCTTGAACTCCTGACCTCAAGTGATCCGCCTGCCTCGGCCTTCCAAAATGCAGGGATTACAGGCGTGAGCCACCTCGCCCAGCCGCCAGTGGTTCTTAAACCCTGTTGTATGTTAAAATCACTTGGGAAATTTATAGAAATCCTAATGTGGCGCTCCATTTCAATCAGAATCTCTAGGGGTGGGACCCAGTAGTTTTAAAACTTCCAAGGGGATTCTGATGCAGGTAGGGTTGAAAACCAGTGATCTTGACAGTGCTTCTCCTATCAGCCTTCCATGCTGGCTGTCCTGCATTCAAACATCCTGAGCACACAGCCCACAGCCCAGGGTCCTCCACGCTCCCTCCTGAAGTTATATGGTAGGTGTTCAGTTTTCCATAAAGCCGCCTTGACACATGTAGCTTGCCTCCTATCCTCTGCCCCGAAGTTGTTGATGCTTGATTTATGGACTATCTTGTGTTATTTATTGTGGGGGATACATTCTAATAAATACATTGTTAGGTGATTTTGTCATTGTGCGAACATCAGAGTGTACTTACACAAACCTTGGTGGCATAGCCTACTACACACCTAGACTGTATATAGCCTATTGCTCCTAGGCTACAAATCTGTACAGCATGTTACTGTACTGAGTACTGTAGGCAGTTATAACACAATGGCATTTGTGTATCTTGACATAGAAAAGGTACAGTAAAAATACAATATAAAAGATTTAAAATGGTAGACTTGTATAGGGCACTTACTGTGAATAGAGCTTGAAGAACTCAAAGTTACTCTGGATGAGTCAGTGAGTGAGTGGTGAGTGAATGTGAAGGCCTAGAACATTACGCTATTGTAGACTTTACAAACACTGTATACTTAGGCTACATTAAATTTATTTTAAAATTTTTTCTTTCTTATACAATAAATTAACCTTAGCATATATATATATATATATATATATATATATTTTTTTTTTTTTTTTTTTTTTTTTTTTTGAGACAGAGTCTTGCTCTGTCACCCAGGCTGGAGTGCAGTGGCGCGATCTCAGCTCACTGCAACTGCCGCCTCCTGGGTTCAAGTGATTCTCCTGCCCCGACCTCCTGAGTAGCTGGGATTACAGGGACGTGCCACCACTCCTGGCTATTTTTTTTTTTTTTTTAGTAGAGATGGGGTTTCACCATGTTGGCCAGGCTGGTCTCAAACTCCTGACCTCAAGTGAACCACCCCTCTCAGCCTCCCAAAGTGCTGGGATTACAGGCGTGAGCCACCGTGCCCAGCCAGCTTAATATAATTTTTTAACTTTATAAACTTAAAAAAAATTCAACTTTTTGACTCTTTTGTAATAACAGCCTAAAACACAAACACATTATACAGCGTACAAAAAATATTTTTATATCTGTATTCTATAAGCTTTTTTCTATTAAAATTTTTTTTAACTTTTAAAACTTCTTTCTTAAAAATCAAGACACAAGAACGCACACTCTCCTAGGCCTGCACAGGGTCAGGATGATCAATATCACTGTCTCCCACTTCCATATCTCGTCCCACTGGAAGGTTTTCAGGGGCAGTAATATGCATGGAGCTGAAAACGCCTATGATAACAATGCCTTCTTCTGGAATACCTCCTGAAGGACCTGCCTGAGGTTGCTTTACAGTTAACATATTTCTAAGTAGAAGGAGTACACTCTAAAATAATGATAAAAAGTATAGTATGGTAAATACATAAACCAGTAACCTAGTCATTTATTATCAAGTACTATGTGTTATTCATAATTGTATGAGCTAGACTTTTAGTTGACTGGCAGCGCAGTAGGTCTGTTTACACCAGCATCACCACAAACACATGAGTAATGTGTTGTGCTATGATGTTACAATGACAATAGCATTACAACAGCTTTGCGTCACTAGATGATAGGAATTTTCAGCTCCATGATAATCTTATATATGGAGACCACTGTCATACATGCGGCCCATTGTTGACCAAAGCGTTATGTGGCACATGATTGTAGTTGTTTATAGTCAGCATCCCTTCTGATTGGGTGGTCTGTGCCATTTTTGAGCATTGCCTCTTGGAACAAGGTATAAGAAAGACAGAGCCCAGCTATAACTTTAGGAATGTCCGTACCCTCAGGAATATCTGTATCCTTAAGAAGGGCAACAGGGTTGCTGAGTACAGGCTAAAATAACGATAAAAAGTACAGTATAGTAAATATGTAAAAAAAACAAGTATTATCTATTGTTTTCTTTTTTGTTGTTGTTTTTTATGTATTGTGCATAATTGTATGCATAATGCTTTTATATGACTGGCAGTGAAGTAGGTTTGTTTACACCAGCATCATCACAAACATGTAACACATGTAACTATAACACAGTTAAGTCACCTGCAACATCACTAGGCAATAGCCATTTTCCAGCTCCATTACATTCTTATGGGACCACTGTTATATTTGTTCTCCCTCACTGACTGAAATGTCGTTATGTGGTATGTGACTGTACAACATAAACTCTTCATTGTTTACTTTGTGGCTTCTTTGCATGGCAGTCATCTGAACCTTGTTCCTAAATTCGGGGACTTCCCCACTGTTATGGTCTGAATATTTGTGTCCCTCCAAAATTCATGTGTTTAAACCTAACCCCCAAGGTGATGGTGTTAAGAGATGGGGACTTTGTCACTGCTGTATGTGGAAACTAAATAAAAAGGAGATGGGGATTTGGGGAGGTGATTAGGTCATGAGGGCTCCACCCTCGTGGATAGTTTAAGGGCTTGAGGGAGGCTTTCTGCCCGTTCTGCCATGTGAGGATGCAGTCATTCATTGCTGTCTATGAGAAACAGGCCCTCACCAGACATGGCGTCTGCCAGTCCCTTGATCTTGGACTTCCCAACCTTCAGAACTGTGAGTGATAAATTTCTATTGTTTATAAATTACCCAGTTGAAGGTATTTTGTTACAGCAGCCTGAATGGACTAAGACACCCACTGTATATGTTTGGGGATTGATAGGGTGTATCACTTACCACAGAAGTAAAAAAGAAGGCAGATTCTTGCTTCATTCCTGCCCCAAACATGAGTTTGTGGTGGACATGTGTCTCAGTATGGCAAATCAGATGCCCCTGCCCAGGGCTTTGACGCTCACAGTGGGAGGCAAAGAAGCAGAGAGAGAAAACTATCCCTTCAATAAATCCTTTTCCTGCTTAAGTCTGATTTAGAGCTGGTTTCCACTGCTTTCAAGGTTAAGATGTTCAAGGCTGTGCTGGGAAGGCAGGTTGCCATGCAATCCCAAAGTGTGTGTGCTCGTTAAATCTACACCTCCTCTGAGAGCCCAGGGTAGGTCACCAGCCATCTCATTCCTCCTGGGACTCAGGGGATTTCCTGGAATATGGGACTTTCCGAGATAAAGCTAGACATACTGGGCAAACCCAGGTAGTTGGTCAACCTAATCTGAGCCCCATGGACTTAAAAGAGCTTTGGTGTTCCAAGTCAAGGCTGTCTTGGCTCCAAGTCAATTCATTAATATGTCCTGGAGAAAAGGAGGGATCCCAGGAATGCCTTTTCCAGAGACAGCTTCTGAAATCAAAGGCCCTCTGAGGAAATGCTTAGTAGGAGTCACTGATTTTATAAGAGTGACTCATTCAGAACATTTCGATGTAAGCAGAGGTGGATTTACCAGCGAGCTACTGAAACTTGAGCTTCAGAGGCCCTTGTTTGCCCTTGGAAGCCATGGTAGGGGCCCAATGAATAGTCACAGGATCATATGTTTTTGTCAATTTTACAAAAGTAAGATTTTTTTTTTTCTCTGCAGTAGGTTAAGATGCCTGTCTCTTTCTCTTCTGACTTCCCCTCCTATTAAGTGGTGGACGTTGGCATGTCCAAGTGCATTTCTGAAAATTCTGCTAAGGGGTCATTCAGTTTAGAATACATTTAGTTTGGATTTAATGGGATGTGTGCCTGAAGTCACTGTCACTTCTTTGTACAGTTGTACAGTTTAAGCTATTGCTGGCAGGGGAAACGCACATATCCTACCTTGAGTATTTTATTTGATGCCAAAATGCTTCTTTAAATTTTATTCTATTTTATTTTATTTAGAGACAAGGTCTCTAAAAAATATGTTTCCTGGGCTGGGGTGCACTGGCTATTCACAGACATGATCATAGCTCACTGCAGTCTTGAACTCCTGGGTTCAAGCTATCCTCCCAAGGAGCTGAGACTACAGACACGCACCACCATGCCCGATTCAAAGTGCCTCTCATATCCACAGGGAAGAAATGCTGAGTTATCCATAAACTTCAAAGCCTGAGCATGGCTGTGGGAGGCAGCTAATAGACAACTCTGCAAAGAATGGGAATCATTTTGAAAAGAAGCGTGGAGCTTTCACAAAAGAGAAGAGAGCTAGAGCAATAAACAATTTCTATCTACACAAAGAGGAGCAGACACGTTCCTGTCTTGGACCCTTTATTTTGGACTCCGGTTGGTCTGAATTGAAACTGCCTTTTAGTTGGGAGCTACAGAAAGGCTGGGACCTTGAGATCACAATGGATGCTTGTTACACGTGAGATGAAAGTTTGAGGAGGAGTGTACATCAAAAGATGCTGCGTTGATGACGTCAGAAATTATATGCTGAGAGAGCCTGTTGCAGTGAAGAAGGTGGGGTTTGCCTCCCGCAGGTGAGGCCCTGCTCCAGCCCCATGCCCAGTATTACCATGGCACTCACAAAAACACCATTTATCCTATTCTTTGTTTTTTGCTGCCTGGGAACTCCTCGAAGGCAGGATCTTGTTGATGATGTTTGTATCAGCAGCACCTGGCAGAGTGCCTGGGCCCAAAAGTAGACTCCCAAAAAATGTTTGCTGAATTTAATGACAACATCTTGCAGGTTCTGTGACCACCATGACATCCGGTGCCCTGCTGCTTAATAAAGGTGAGTAAGAATGAGGTGCTCTCATAATAAGAGACTTACATAGAAAACCAGCTCAGGGGATTCCAGGACCACAGCTCCTTTCTCCTCCAGGCCCAGTGCCAGGAAGTGTGGACAGACAGCTCTATGTGTCTGAAGCCAGGGATCTGTGGGGGTTGCAATAAAGGCAAAAGTAGCAGGATTTGTGCCCTCTTGTAGAAGCCAAGGAAAGAGAGAAAAGTGTTGTGGGAGAACAAGCAAAACAAACAAATAAAACTCCACTGAAAGTAAATCCATGTCTATTATTACAGTCACACCTTTAAGTAAAATTATACATAAGGATGTAAGCACAAACCAGTTTTAAAAATTCTTAGAGCAGTGATCCTTAGATGGGTAGGTTGAGGCATCCCAGTACCAAGAACGCCCCTCAGGTGCACCACACAGTTTTACTCAATGCATGAAAACTGTTTCAGCTGCAGCTGGGAACACATATATATATATATATATATACTGCTCTGACGAGTCTCTTCCAGGTGAAACACTGATTACTGAAGTTCAGGGAATGGGGTCTAGAGCTGGGTCTTGAAAACAAAGAATGGAGTGTCCTGGAATTTGGGAAGCTTTGCCCTGCGAGTATGTAAAAAGGCACCATGAGGGCAGTGAGAATTCCAAAGGACCACCAGGGGTATGGGTGGGGATAATTATGTGGGCAATTAAGCCCATGGAAGTATGCTGTCAGATGAGAAGTCCCTACCCAGAGTGAGGGCTGCCACTTGGGATACATTCTTAGTGTTTCCTTAACTTCAACTCTTTAACTTAGCTTCTCTGGAGTTTTTGTTTCTTCATTTTTCCTTTTTTAATCCTCACATTCGAAATAATTTTAAATTTACAGAAAAGTTGCAAGAATAGCACCCAGACTCACCAGTGTTAATAATTTGCCACATTTGCTTTATCATTCTATGTATCTACATTTTTTTTTCTGAACTATTTGAAACTAAGTTGCAGACATCATGTCCCATTTACCCCTAAATATTTCCACCTATGCTTCCTGAGAACAAAGACATTATTTTATGTAACTACAGGACAGGGATCAAAATTAGGAAACATGGCTGGGCGTTGGCTCATGTCTGTAATGCAGCACTTCGGGAGGCCGAGGCTGCAGGATCACTCGAGCCCAGGAGTTCGAGAACAGCCTGGACAAAATAGCAAGATCTGTCTCTACAAAAAAAAAAAATGAAAAAATTAGCCAGGCATGGTGGAGCAGTGCCTGTGATCCCAGCTTCTTGGGAGGCTGAGGAGGGAGGGTCGCTTGAAGCCAGGAGGTCAAGGCTGCAGTGAGTGTAGCCACTGCACTCCAGCCTGCCCGACAGAGCAAGAGCCCTGTCTCAAAAAACAAAAAAAGGAAAAAACATGGATACAGTGGTTTCAATCTGTAAACATATACCGGCTTTGCATTCAAATTTTGCCAATTGTCGCAATATCTCCTTGTACTTAGCGGTGCTGCCCAGTGAAGCTTTCCACAGTGATGGCAAGGGCTGCTGAGCGCTTAAAATGTGCCCAGTGCGACTGAGGAAGCCCATTTTAAATTGTATTTAATTTTTATTAATTCCAATTTAAAGAACCACATGTCCCGCGAGGCTAATGTGTTCACATAGTGGACAGCGCAGCTCACTATCCAATTCCCACCCCACCTCGCCCCCTCTTCCTGGGTTTTAAATGAATAGCCTTGGCCCCGGGAGCCCTGGCAGCGCCTCCTCCTCAGCAGTCTCGGCCGGCAGATGGGTTTCTTTCCTTTAGCCAGCGCAGACTTTTCTTAAACAAATGGACAGAGTGGTCCCCATTTATTAATAGAAGCTGCGCGACTGCACTTGCAGTGTGGCGGGCCTGGCTTCTCTTGCGAAAGCCGAAGCCTGGCGGCAGCGCGGCCCGCAAGCGCGGAGCTTCTGCCGGTGGAGGTCCGAGCTCGCAACGCTCACCCAGGAGGCCGCGCCCGCCCCGCAAGGCGGCAGGAGAGCCAAGCCCGGGCACCACACCTGCGGCATCGGAACGAGAATCCTTCCTCCAAGTCTCCTCCACTCCCTCAGGCGAATTATGGCAATTCCCTGCTGTGTGGCCTTGCCCTTGGAAGTGGAAGTGAGTGAGAGTCACGTTTGGCACCGGGCGGGTGGGAACCGCACCCCTCAGCAGTGCCTGGAGCGATGGGTGGCGAACTCTGCTCCAGAGACCTGCTGGGGATCCTGGCCATCCGCGTGTGCCTGAGGCTTGCGAGGACGCCTCTGAGCACTAGCCCAGAACGTGGAGGTGTGGGTGTGGTTTCCTAAATGAATATTTACTTATTTATTTATTTATTTATTTATTTATTTATTTATATTTTTTATTTTTTAGGGAGAATGTGTGTTTTTTTGTTTGTTTTTGAGACAAGTTCTCAGTCTGTCACTCACGCGGGAGTGCAGTGGCACAATCAGGGCTCACTGCAGCCTCCACCTCCTAGGCTCAAGCTATCCTCCTGCCTCAGCCTCTGAAGTAGCTGGGACTACAGGCTGCAGCACCACTCCCGGCTAATTTTTGCATTTTTGATAAAGACGGGGTTTCACCATAGGCTGGTCTTGAACTCCTGACTCAAAGTCATCCACAGGTCTCGGCCTCCCAAAGTGTTGGGATTACAGGTATGAGCCACCACACCTGGCTTTTCTTTTCTTTTCTTGCTTTCTTTTTCTTTTTCACTCTTTTCTCTCTCTCTCTCTCTCTTTCTTTCTCCTTTGAGAGGGTCTCATTCTGTCACCCAGGCTGGAGTGCAATGGTGCAATTACGGCTCACTGCAGCCTTAGCCTCCTGGGCTTAAGCAATCCTCCCACCTCAGACGCCAGAGTAACTTTTTTTTTTTTAATTTTTTGTAGAGATGGGGGTCTCACTATGTTGCTCAGGCTAGTCTCAAACTACTGGGCTCAAGCCATCCTTCCACCTCGGCCTCCCAAACTGCTGGGATTACAAGTGTGAGTCACTGCACCGAGTAAACTTTCTACTTTAAAACAGTTTTAGATTTATAAAAGTTTTGTGATGATAAACAGAGTTCCCATATACCCGGCACCAGTATTCTCTCTTAACGTCTCATATAAGAAAGGTACATTTGTCACTATTAGTGAATCAATATGGATACATTATTATTAAGTAAATTTCGTACTTTATTTCTGATTTCTTTCATTTTTACATAATGTCTTTTTTTCTGTTCCGGAATCTCATCCAGGATGCCACATTACTTACATTTAATGGGTTTGTCTCTTTAGGCTCCTCTTGGCTGTGACAGTTTCCCAGACTTCCCTTGGTTTTGATAACATTGACAGTTTTGAAGAATATTGGTCAGGTGTTCTGGAGAGTGTGCCCCAGTTAGGATTTGTATGATGTTTTTATCATGATTAGCCTGAGATTATGTGGCTTTGAGATGAAGACTAGAGGTAAAGTGCCATTTTTATCACACATCATATCAAGAGTACATACTGTCAACATGATTTATCACTTGTCATTGTGATACCTGGCTGGAGGTAATGTTTGTTGGGTTTCTCCACCGTAGAGTTACTTTTCTCTCCCTTTCCATGCTGTGCTTTTAGGAAGGTAGTCACTTTGTGCAGCTCACATTCAGTAATAGGGAGGTAAGCGCCGCACCTAGAGGGCAGAGTATTTGCATAAAATAATTGGAATTCTTCCACATAGGAGATTTGTTCTTATTTATTTATTTATTCAGTCATTCATTTATACTAGTATAGATTCATATGTATTTATTTTGTATTTTGGGTTATAATCCAATACTACTTTATCTTATTGCTCCAATTGTTCCGGCGTTGGCCACTGGGAACCGTTTCAGTTGGGTCCTGTGTCCCTTCAACACGCCCCATCTTTGTGCAACTGTTTCTGTTTCAGCACTTCCTTATGTCCTGACACAAGATGCTCCAGGCTTATCTTATATATTTCATGCCCCAGTCCTAGAATCAGCTATTTCTCTAAGGATCCCTGGTTTGTTTGTTTGTGTGTTTGTTTGTTTTTAATTGGGGAATGGTATTAAAAATCAGGATCTGGCTGCTAGGTGTGCTTGTTGCAACTGTAATATCATAAGCCCTCTCTGACAGAGCAAGGAAATGTGTGCATTCCATGTATATCTCTAGATATTTCTTTATGTAACTAGCTGTATCTATATTAAGCTAAACATGAATTCATACTAATGTCTCCAATTCCAATCTATTACCATGTAGATTATTCTAACCTCCCGCTCCAACAGTGAGAAACCTGGTTTCTACCATCCATTTATTTAATTGTTCAATTCTGACATATATGTATTGCAGTATCAGAAATGTTAATCCATACCCCTATAGAAACAACTTTATTAACTAGAGCACAGTGCTATGTAGTTGCCTTTGTAGTCTTGTAGATTCCACTCATTTCCAAAGCTACCTGGGGCTGGGCGTGGTGGCTCACACCTATAATCCCAGTACTTTGGGACGCTGAGGCAGGCGGATCACTTGAGGTCAGGAGTTTGAGACCAGCCTGGACAACATGGCAAAACCCTGTCTCTACTAAAAATACAAAAATTAGCCGGGTGTCAGGGCGGGCACCTGTAATCCCAGCTCCCCAGGAGGCTGAGGCAGGAGAATCACTTGAACCTGGGAGGTGGAGGTTGCAGTGAGCTGAGATTGTGCCACTGCACTCTAGCCTGAGTGACAAAGCAAGACTCTGTCTCAAAACAAAAACAAAAACCAAACAACAACAACAACAAAAAAAGCAAAGCTACTTGGGTCAGTACTTTTCCCTCCAGCACTGTCCGTGAGGTTTTTCATATATTTGTAATACAGTTAGTTTGATTTGTCATATTCTACCTTCCATCCTTGTATTTCCCAATCTCCTAAATTACATTTTTGAGTCTACAGCATACATTAAGTTTTACTATTTTTTTTTTTTTTTTTTTAGAGACAGGGTCTCACTCTGTTGCCCACGCTGGGTGCAGTGGTGTGATCATAGCTCACTGCAGCCTCAAAACTCCTGGGCTCAAACAATCTTCCCACCATGGCCTCCCAAAGGGCTGGGATTATGGGCATGAGCCTCAGCACCTGGCCAAGTTTCATTCTTTGTACTGTAAAGTCTTGTGGATTTTGACAAATGCATAGTGTCACATATCAACCAGTACAGTATCCTACAGAGACGTTTCACTGCCCTAAAAATCCCCTGTGCCTCACTCAGTCAGACCTCACATCCCCTGCGCACAGGCAACCACTGATTTTTTACTCTCTCTATAGTTTTGTAATATAATTGGATTAATACACAATGAAGCCTTTTCAGACTGGCTCCTTTCATTTAGTAATATGCATTTAAGATTCACCCATGACTTTTTGTGGCTTGATAGCTCGTTTCTTTTTATTACTGAATAATATTCCATTGCACGGATATACCACATTTGTTTATCCTTCACCTATTGAAGTACATATTGGTTGCTTCCAATGCTTGGAGAGTATGAATAGAGCATCTATAAATATTCATATGCAAGTTTTTGTGTGGGCATCAGTTTTCAAATCACTTAGGTAAATACCTACAAGCACAACGGCTGTGTTGTATGATAAGCCAATGTTTAGCTTTGTAAGAAACTGCCAAACTATCCTTGAAAGTGGCTGTACTCTGTTGCATTTTCACTAGTCATGGATGAAAGTTCCTGTTGCTCTATATTCTTGCCAGAAATTGGTATTGTCAGTTTTGGTTTTTGGTTTTTGTTTTTGTTTTTAGCCATTCTAATAGATGTGTAGTGGTAAGTCATTTTTTTAATCAGTTATTTTTTAGATGTGGGACTCTATGCCCATCAAAATAAAATGGCTTATAAGATTAAACTACATGGAAATAGGATATAAAAAGAATCAGAAAACAAATTAAGTAAAATGAACAGAAAATGGGTATTGCCAGATAGCAGGAGTAGCTTATCATCATACTTCCATATTAAATTTAACTTTATGTTGCAAACACAGTTTCTTTTATCATTGAAAAGGAAGCATACATGGTTATTTTGAGAGACAAAATTTTTCTTGGATCTGAATTTCAGTAGAAATGTACCTTGTGAACTTTAAACATAATAGACATTGGGTATCACAAAAGATGGCATCTTCAACCAGTTTTACAACTGTTAGCAACATGCTTCACCCAGAAATTCCTTATAGCTGCTTTCCCTTCAGCCCCTACTGCTGCTTTCTAAGAGTTACAGTTTGCTAAAATGGTGACTAAGAATCTTAGTGAGTCTTTCACTTAAGAATTTTAGAACAGTCATGACAATCTGCACATGTTAAACCCTGAGAGATACTTATGACATTGAATGAAGATGGTGTAGACACCATCTTACTTGGTGATGTAGTTTCTCCCAACTGTTCTCAAAATCTGTTAAGATTCTTCTGTATTGACCAACAGGAGAGTAAAAACCTTATTCGCTGACACCCCAGCAGGTTTTCCTACTATAGTTCTAACTTGGAATTTCTTACTTTTCATTTTGCTATTCTTTGGAAAAGAGTCTGACTTTTTTTTTTTTTTTCTTTGAGACAGTATTGCTCAGTTGCCCAGGCTGGAATGTAGTGGCATGATCCTGGCTCACTGCAGCCTCTGCCTCCCTAGTTCAAGCGATTCTCCTGCCACAGCTTCCTGAGTAGCTGGTATTATAAGGTGCCTGCCACCACACCCAGCTAATTTTTGTATTTTTAGTAGAGATGAGGTTTCACCATGTTGGCCAGGCTAGTCTTGAACTCCTGACCTCAAGTGATCCGCTTGCCCGGGCCTCCCAAAGTGCTGGGATTACAGGCGTGAGCCACCGTGCGTGGCCGAATCTGACTTTTAATACATTTTTTTGAGGTGTACTGCTGGATAGGGGCTCCTAGATTTGAAGGAATCTCTGAAATTGAGATCTCCTCACTCTAGATTTTATTTTGTGATGGCTGTGTATACAAGAGTTATTGCTGAGCAATTACTGTTCACCTAACAACTGTGGAATGGAGCCACAGGTCTGGAATGAATAAGTACAAGGAGCCATAATTCCTTTACCTGGAATTAAAGGGAGAAAAAAGGGCCTTCATAATATTTCAAGTTAATTTCCACAGTATCGTTTGAAGACAGGAGTGCAGTGGAAGGAAATGCAGTGGACTGACAGGCTTATTTGTCTATCTCTGCCGTGAGATGCAGAAAAGAAAGTGAAGACTGCTATGTGCCCTCTTTTTATAAAGCTGCTATGCAGAGTGCACTGTCAAAAAAAAAAAAAAAAAAAAGAGCAAAGAGTGTCAGTAGCTATTTAGACAGAAAGACAATATGCTCTTTCCAGAGTGTCCATTTACACCAATTTGCTGTGAAACTTTCCAAAGCTAATGAGATATTAAATGTGTTTTGTTGAGGGAAGAAGCTGATTAGTCTTTGGTTTGATTTTTAATGTAATTGGCAAGGAAAAGTACACAGCTTAAGTTTTGAAGGTAATCTCCATCCAGAGCCCTGTGAAAACATGATTGGGCTCGCGAAGGCCATGGAGACCTGTACCACTTGGCTGGGAACTCAACTGCAGCTGTGAAATGTAACTGCTCCTCTGGATTGGGAACTTTTCTGGTGTTTATAGGGAGGCCCTCACCCCTCATTTATATTCTGGAACACTTTATTTTCCACAGATGGCTGTCATGGCTTTCAAAGGCAGTTCTGATTCTGGTAAGGGTTCTAGAACTTGGAGCTTTTCAGATAACCCTTATACAGGGTTCTATATGTACACTCACAACACAATACTTCCAGAACACTTCACTTCTGACACTATCTATTTGGAGTTAGCATTAGATCCTACAAATGAAGGACTCAGTCCCACAGACTGCCCTCACTGCAGATGCCAATTGCAAGTCCAGGTTGTCAACATCCAGCTGTAAATCGGAGGTTCCTACAACCCCTAAGTTTCAATCATTTGCTAAAAACAACTTGCAGATCTCAGGAAAACATGTTTACTGGATTATTATACAGGATATTACAAATGATACAAATGAATAGCCAGGTGACGGGATAAATAGCATGAGTTCTGGAAGGGTTCCAAGCACAGGAGCTTCTGTCTCCGTGGAGTTGGGGTGCAGCACCACCGTTCTGGCACATGAATGTGTTCACCAACACAGAAGCTCTGAACCCTGTCTTTTAGACATTTTTATGGGGGCTTCATCATGTAGGCATGATCAATTATCAATACAATCCCCAGCCCTGCTCACCTTCCTGGGGGATGGGGCGTGGGGCACTGAAAGTTTGAAGCTTCTAATCGTGGCCTGGTCTTGCCCATGACCAGCCCCCGTCCAGGAGTACATCCAGAGTCACCTCATTAGAGCAAAAGATGCTCCTCTTACCTGGGAAATTTCAAGCGATTTAGGAGCTCTTTGCCAGGAGCCAGGGGCAGAGACCAAAGACATGCTTTTTGTTTGTTTTTTGTTGTTGTTTGTTTCTTTTGAGATGGAGTCTTACTCTGTTGCCCAGGCTGGAGTGCAGTGGCACTATCTAGGCTCACTGCAACCTCTGCCTCCTGGGTTCAAACAATTCTCCTGCCTCAGCCTCCCGAGTAGCTGGGACTACAGGTATGTGCCACCATACCTGGCTAATTTTTGTATTTTTAGTAGAGACAGGGTTTCATCATGTTGGCCAGGCTGGTCTCGAACTCCTGGCCTCAAGTGATCCACCCACCTCGGCCTCCCAAAGTGCTGGGATTACAGGTGTAAGCCACCACGCCTGGCCTCAAATACATAATTTTTTTTAACGTCCACACCCTTTATGCATGATTTTGCCAGTAATCAATAATTAATATATCAAACTTACAGATAACCAGTATAGAACTATATGTTATGTAATACACAGATTATGAGTTGGTTGATATACAGCATTTGGTTTTATGGATCCTAGGAAGCTTTAAAATCAATGTGAGTTGTTTATTTACAAACAGGACCAAACCAAAATCTTTTGTTCCCCTTGGGACTAGAGAAAAGGGCAGAAAAGTCAAATGGTTAGGTCAAGAATCAAGAATCCTGTGGGCCTGTGTTCAAATTCTGGCTCTACCACTCACTGGCTGAGTGACCTATGGCAAATTGCTTCTCGATGTCTCAGTTTCCTGTGCATAAATTGAAGCTAATACCAATACCCACTTCAGAGTTGTTGTGAGGATTAAATGAGATAATACAGAAAGTATTTACCTTAATGAGTGTCAACCAAAACCAAACAAACTTGGTTTGTGACATGGAAAAGGAAAACTGTTAAGTTTATTCCTTGGTAAAATTATTCAAATGGACTGATAGTAAATTTTTTTAAATATGTTGACAATCTCGTTGTCAGCTGACTGTCTTTGAGGCCATGAGGGATCCCTGGGAGTGCAGTGTATGTACCAGCCAGGAGGAAAGGGTAAGGCTTTCCTTCCTTGCTCTCAAAAGGGAAGGAAGCTGTATTAGACTGTTCTCACATTGCTATAAAGAAATACCTGAGACTGAGTAAGAGCTGTAATTGGCTCAACCATTCCACAGGCTGTACAGGAAGCATGATGCTGGCATCTGCTCAGCTTCTGGGGAGGCCTCAGGAAACTCACAGTCATGGCAGAAGGCGAAGGGGAAGTGAGGCACTTCACGTGGTCAGCACAGGAGGGGCAGGTGCCACACACTTTTAAACAGCCAGATCTCATGAGAACTCCATCACGAGAACAGCACCAAAGGGATGGTTCTAAGCAATTCGTGAAAGATCTACTCCCAAAATCCAATTACCTCCCACCAGGCCCCACCTTCAACACTGGGTATTACAGTTCGACAGAAGATTTGGGCAGGGACACAAATCCAAACCATATCAGAAACTTTGAGATACCTTTCAACTGTTGAGTCATTTCAAACCGAGGCCGAGGGGCTCACAGAGAAGGAGTCTCGGGGCCAGTTAGCCAAGCCCAGACCTGGTGCTGCATCGAATCGCTTCTAAGCTGACAATTGGGAAGTGAGGACAATTTGCTCAGTGACTGACTAACGTCATGAAGGTGTTGTTTCCGTACATATTGAGGTTCAGCTAAAGCAGACATTAATATTGGTAATTTTATCAGAAGTAGATATTTCAGATATCATCAATGTTTTAAGTCCCTAAATGATAATATTTTTATTGTTTTTACAGTTCCGAATGACTTCTGGAGAATAGTAAATGTGTCCCTAAACATAGGATATAATTTTACCTAAAAATTTCATATACATGTTGTGAGATAAATTGTGTTCCCCCAAAAAAGATATGTTCAACTCCTAAGCTAGTACCTATGAATGTGATCTTATTGGGAAATAGGGTCATTACAGATGTAAGCAAGTTAAGATGCTCAGTATGGTGGACCCTAAACCCAATATGACTGGTGAGCTGATAAGCAAAGGAGACATAGATAGGCACTCAGAGAGAATACCATATGACAACAGAAGCAGAGATTGGAGTGACACGGATACAAGTCATGGAACACCAAGGATTGCCAGCAATTCCAGAAACTGAAAGAAGGACATGGGACAGATTCTGCCCAAGAGCCGTCACGGAGACAGCATGGCCCTGCTGACATTGATTTTGGACTTCCAGCCTCCAGAGCTGTGACAGAATAAGGTAATGTTGTTTAAAGTCACCTGCCTTGTGGTACTTCCGTATAGCAGCCCTAGAAACTAATACACACTATGTTAAGATTATTTTGGTGCTACATTTTAATGATTTTTAAAAACTATGATTAGGGCCACGCACAGTGGCTCATGCCTGTAATCCCAGCACTTGGGAGGCCAAAGCAGGTGGATCACTTGATGTCAGGAGTTTGAGGCCTGCCTAGCCAACATGGTGAAACCTCGTCTCTACTAAAAATACAAAAATTAGCTGGATGTAGTGGCTGCATACCTATAGTTCCAGCTCCTTGGGAGGCTGAGGCAGGAGAATCGCTTGAACCTGGGAGGCAGAGGTTTCAGTGACCCAAGATCTCACCACTGCACTCCAGCCTGGATGACAGAGAGAAACTCCGTCTCAAATTAATTAATTAATTAATTAATAAAATAAAATAAAAACTATGATTAGGAGCTTTCTGTGACTCTCCTTTTCCCACCCCTCCCTACTATCTGAGAGTTGATGACATTTTCTGTTTTATTTCTTCCGTGTTTAATTGTATAGTCTCTGAGAACTAGATTTGATCTCAAGGACAGGAAAATGAAAAGGAACTCATCATGACTTCTGGGATGGTTAATATTAAGTGTCAACTTGATTGGATTGAAGGATGAAAAGTGTTGTTTGTGGGTGTATCTGGGTGTTGCCAGAAGAGATTAACTTTTGAGTTGGTGGGCTAGGAGAAGACCCACCCTCAGGAAGACCCACCCACAGTGTGGGCGGGCATCATCCAATCGGCCCCAGCTTGGCTGGAAAAAGCTGGCAGAAGAAAGTGGAAGGAGCTGACTGGCTGAGTCTTCCAGCTTTCATCCTTCTCCTATGCTGGATGCTTCCTGCCCTGGAACATCAGACTCCAAGTTCTTCGGCTTTTGGACTCTTGGACTTACACCAGTGGACTTACACCACTGAAGGCCCGAGAGCCCCTGTCAACTTCCCCTGTCAACTTTGAGGGTTGGGGACTCAGACTGAACCACTACTGGCTTCCTTGCTCCTCAGCTTGCAGACGGCCTGCCGTGGGACTTCACCTGGTGACTGTGTGAGTCAGTTCTCCTTAATAAACTCCCTTTCCTATATACATCTATCCTATTAGTTCTTTCCCTCTAGAGAACCCTTACTAATACAACATCCAACTTCAAATTGCTTTTTTTCAACCATAAACCTTGACTGGAGGTCAACCAAGTATTGGGTACTGTTCCAGGCACTTTAATTAAAAAGATAAAGTAAGGCACAGTTCTTGTCCTGAAAAATATCTGATTCTTAGGCTGAAAACAGACACACAGTCCCAAAACACTGTGATGAATGCTTTAAAGGGGTTTTTAGACTTCAGGTACACCAGAATCACCTGGAGGGCGTATTTAAACCCAAATGGGCTGGGCACAGTGGCTCACAACTGTAATCCCAGCATTTTGGGAGGCTGAGGCAGGAGGATCACTTGAGCCCAGGAGTTCAAGACCAGCGTGAGCAATATGGCAAAACCCCTTCGCTACAAAAAATACAAAAATTAGCTGGACATGGTGGTGCACACCTGTAGTCCCAGCTACTTGGGAGGCTGAAGTGGGAGGATTGTTTGAGCCCAGTAGGTTGAGACTGCAGTGAGCTATGGTCACGCCACTGCACTCCAGCCTGAGAAACAGGGCTAGACTTTGTCTCAAAAAAATTTTTTAAATAGGCCAGGTGCAGTGGCTCATGCCTGTAATCCCAGCACTTTGGGAGGCCGAGGCAGGAGGATCACCTGAGGTCAGGAGTTCGAGACCAGCCTGGCCAACATGGTGAAACCCCGTCTCTACTAAAAATACAAAAATTAGCCAGGTGGGCACCTGTAATCCCAGCTACTTAGGAGGCTGAGGCAGGTGAATCGCTTGAACCAGGGAGGCGGAGGCTGCAGTGAGCTGAAATGGCACCACTACACTCCAGCCTGGGAAACAAGAGTGAAACTCTGTCTCAAAAAAATAAAAATAAATAAATAAATAAATAACCTAAATGAGTGGGCCCCAACCCCAGAGCAATTGATTCAGAAAGTCGTGAGCAGGGTCTGAGAGTTTGTGTTTCCAGCCAGTTCCCAGGTGCTGCTGTTGCTGCTGCTGCTGGTGGTGGTGGCTGGGAACCACACTTCAAGAACCTCTGCTCTGAGAGAACAGTTTCAAATGTTAGAGGACTGGCATTTGAGCTGGCTTTAGGACAAGGAGTGAGGTTGGGTGTGGTGGCTCATGCCTGTAACCCCAGCAATTTGACAGGCTGAGGCAGGTGGATGGCTTGAGCCCAGGAGTTCAAGACCTTCCAGGCTCAAGCAATCCTCCCACCTCAGCCCCCACAAGCAGCTGGGACTACAGGCATGTACCACTATGTCCAGCTAATTTTTAAATTTTGTGTAGAGATGGAGTCTTACCATGTTGCCCAGGTTGGTCTCAAACTCCTGGGCTCAAGTGATCTCTATGTAACTATATGTATATTTCTATATATCTATATAGATATATGGATATATACACATACATACACATATACGTGTGTGTGTATATGTGTATATATATATATAGAGAGAGAGAGAGAGAGACAGAGAGAGAGAGAGAGAGATGAAGGAATTGGCTCATGTGATTGTGGGGACTGACAAATCCAAATCCAAAATCTGTAGAGCAGCAGTTTAGGTAAGTGTTGATGTTGCAGTCTTGAGTCCGAAACCCACAGGGCAGGCAGCGACTGGAAACTCAGGCAGGATTTCTATGTTACAGTCTTGAGGCAGAATTCGCTTTTGGAGAAACCTCAGTTTTTTTTTAAGGCTTTCAGTTGATTTAGTGAGTCCCACCCACGTTATGGAGAGGAACTGGCTTGACTCAAATTCTACTGATTTTAATGTTAATCACATCTACAAAATACCTTCACAGCAACATCCAGACTAGTGTCTGACCAAACAGCTGGGCACATAGCCTAGCCAAGGTGACACACAAAATTAACCATCACATGCCTCTTCCCTTCATGTACCCTGGCTGCCCAGATATTCCATCAGTCTCTGGAGCCTTAGGGGCTTTGTTCTTTCTAGTCCCTTTGCCTGTGATATGTTCCCCTTCTTTATTTAGCCGGGGTCTCAGGTTAATAATCATACCCTAGAAAAGCCCTGATTGATTCCCGTAGTTTAGTTAGGATCCCCTGGTGTGACCCTACCCAGCTTCCTATATTTTTCTTTCACATCCTTTGTATACTTTAAAAAATGTGAACATTTATAAAGAATTGTTTCGACTTTTCCCTCTTGGACTGGAAGCCCCTCATGGTATCCTACTCTTCCTATAGTGCCTGACACATAGTAGGTGCTCATCAAAACCTTGGGGCTTCTCTAAATGACGTACAGACTTGGAAGCCTTCTCAGGGAGTCTTATGTACAAGTAAGGAGACTCATGAGAGTCAAACAGCAGGATTTAGGCCCAGGTCTTCTAACACCAAGTGAGATATCTTCTCCCTGCACCCTCCAGTTTCAGGGCAGAACCCCAAGTGTCCCATTCTGAGCTGGCTGACTTATTTTGCCTTACTAAGAAAGCCAGAGAGCCTCTCTGACCTTCAGTCTCCAAATTCACAAATGAAATCCATGTGGAGAAGGAGCTTCTTTTCACAAGTTAATATGGTAGGACCAGTGGATCAAAGGTAGATATCAAGAGCTACAATCTCACGCCTCCATACCTCCCATTCCACCCCATCTTATGAGAAACTTTTCAGACTAGATACTAAGGAAAGCAACTATGTATTAAATGCTCGCTATGTGCCAAAGACAGTTGTAGTGCTTTGGGGTATATCTTCTCACTTAAGCTTCACCTATTTATGTACTAATATTAACCCCATTTTACACATAGGGAAACTAAGACATGAAAACTTGAACAAATCTTACAACCAACTGATGGTAGATCCAAAATTTCAACCTAAATGGTCAAGATCCACAGGCTGTGTTGTTGTTGTTGTTGTTGTTGTTGTTGTTTTGTTGTTTTGTTTTGAGACTCTCTCTCTGTCTCCCAAGCTGGAGTGCAGTGGTGCCATCTCAGCCTTGATCTCCTGTGCTCAAGCGATCCTCCCACCTCAGCCTCCCAAGTAGCTGGGACTACAGGTGTGCACCACCATGCCCAGCCATTTTTTTTTATTTTTTGTAGAGATGGGGTCTCATTTTGTTGCCAGGCTTGTCTCAAACTCCTGAGTTCAAGTGATCCTTCCGCTTTGGCCTCCCAAAGTGCTGGGATTACAGGTGTGAACCACTATGCCCAGCCTCAGCCTTTGTTCTTAATCACTTTGCCTTAGAAGAGATGACCCTTAATGTGTCTAAAGCAGTCAGGCCAATGAAATCAAATGTGAGCCATAAAATGTGAGTCACATATGTGATTTTAACTTTCCTAGTGACCACGTTAAGAAAAATGATTTTTTTTTTTTTTTTGAGATGGAGTCTCACTCTGTCATCAGGCTGGAGCGCAGTTGGCACGATCTCGGCTCACTGCAACCTCTGCCTTCCAGGTTCAAGCGATTCTCCTGCCTCAGCCTCCTGAGTAGCTGGGATTACAAGTGCACACCACCACACCCGGCTAATTTTTGTATTTGTAGTAGAGACAGGGTTTCATCATGTTGGCCAGGATGGTTTCGATCTCTTGACCTCGTGATTCACCCACATCAGCCTCCCAAAGTGCTGGGATTACAGGCATGAGCCACCGTGCCCAGCCCGAAATTATTTTTAAAAATTTTATTTAACCCAGTATATATTTAAAAATCTACCATTTCAACGTGTTCAATATAAATAATTATGAGATAGTTTACATTGTTTTTTCATACTCAGTCTTTGAAGTCTGGTGAGTATTTTATACCTCCCAATTCGGCCCAGCCACATTTCAAGTGCTCAGTAGTACTTGTGACTGGCACCTACCATATGGCAGCTGGACTGAGCATGTCTAAAGGAACTCTCGGTGTAACCCTTAGACGCTGAAATAACCAGGCTGCTCTTACTCCCTACCCACAATAAAATTCCCACTGTCCCAGCCAGGGACCGCGAAGCTCTGCCCCCTTTAGGATGCCAATCAGTTATTGGAATACCTGAGCCTGCCTCTCAACTCAGTCTTGGGTGTTGGGGGGTTATGACCATCTTCATAAACTGCAGTTATCTTTCACCCCATGGACAAGAATCCAGAGTCCACAGTCCCTGTCACGTAGATTGGGATCTTGGTTTGCCAGTGGTGAGGCGGCCAGTTCTGTGCACTCACCCTGAGCCTCTCACTCCCTCTCTGCCTGGAATGAGTCCAACTTGGTGAGTCAGGGCATGAGTTATGAGTAATCCAGAAGGCCCTGAACAATTGTCTTCCTGACTTTTGAATCACCCGATCCTCTCTGGGATCAGATCAAGTTGGGGGAGTTGGTTCTGTTGGTTGGCAGGGACGGGCCCCCTGCTGAGATGTCTCATCTGGTCCCTCCTTTTTCTCTTGGCTCCCTGACAGTTCAGGCATTTGGCAGAGGGAACTTAAATTTTCTGGAATTGCTTTTGCAGGGAATTTATCATGAACTCACCAGTCCCTTCACGTGGCTTCCATTCTCTCAAGGTTTAGTTCATTGGTTTGGGGGTTCCCCTCCCTACTTTTTTTCCCTTTTAAAAGCTCTAACCATTAAAACATAACTTAGTAAGCTAGAGAGTGGTTTAAATAAAATGAAAAATCGAAAGACAATTATGGTTATGGTGTGTTGTCAACTTCTCACTTGTGAGAGACCAGTCTTTCCACCTGAACCCTCACCCAGAAAATTCTGCAGATTCTACTTTCAGGCCCCTCTGCCCACAGTATTGGCAGAGACTTTTATACACTGGTGCAAAATTTAAAATTCTTCCAGGAGAAAGAAGTGCTCCAATCCTAGAGGGACTCTCATGTTGAAATATAACAGTGGAGTTAATTAGCATTGCAGGGCTCACAAAACTGCCTCCAGGGGCTCCTTCTCAGATTTAAATCAGGGCTGTGTGTGAGATGGAACAGCTCCCACAGAAAGACCCCTTCCACCAACAGCTCTGACCACCGTTTTTTCATCCTTCTCCTTTGGCTCTGCGAGGAGGAACAGCTGAGCCTGGATCGGTGGGCAGCATTTACCAGCTGCATGCTAATAGTGCCCAGGGCCCCTTCCCAGCCCACCTCCTGCTTTCCCCTCAGCACTTTGCTTCTGAAGCCAGATCTCCTTAACCCTTTAAGTTCACACTTATCCCTGTCCTAGAGTGGCAGCAGTTGGGTGAGCCTGGACTTTTCCAGGTTGGGGAAGAAGTCAGGGGGGGCCTTTGGCCCAAGCACTCCTTTCAGCTCAGCCTAAGAAAGTGCATTTTCTAAATGACCCTGCCATTTTTTTTGTATCCTGGACATGAGCTAGATATCTGCTTCATAGATTCTCTGCATGCGTTTCACAACCTTGCCTGGTAGGTATTCTAATCTCCATTTTACAAAGGAGGAAACTAGGACTGAGAGAGGAGGTGGTGTTTCTAAGTTGAACCTGCATGAAAGATGGTTCTAGGATCCCAACCCAGGTCTGTCTTGCTCCAAAGCCCCATGCCAGGAACACTGTTCCCCACCCATCCCCAGGCCGAAATGGTGGAGATGCTGCTGCACTATTACTGCTACAAATGCTAGTGATTATAATAGGAGCAGCAAATACTTTGTAACAGATCACATTTTGCAAAGATGGGTAACTAATTAAACATTACACAGAAGGCCCTGGTCAGAGCTGTTAGGGGCTGGTGGGAGGTGTCTGCTCTGCACAAGCTATCCCATCTCACATATAGCCTCGATTTAAATCTGAAGAATGGCCTGGGTAATATAGTGAGACCCTGTCTCTGCAAAAAATGAAAAGTTAGCCAGGTGTGGTGATGCATGCCTATAGTTCCAGCTACTGGGAAGGCTGAGACAGTAGGCTGAGCCCAGGAGATTGAGGCTGTAGCGAGCTATAATTGTGCCACTGCACTCTGGCCTGGGTGACAATAAGACCCTGTCTCTATAAAATAAAATAAAATAAAATAAAATAAAATCTAAGAGCTTGTTCAGGGGGATTTATGAGCCATGCTGTGAAATATATGAGTATAGACATCTGTATTGATATCTATTTCTAAACAGGCATACCTCAGAGATATTGTGGGTTTGGTTCCAGACCACACCAATAAAGTGACTATCACAATAAACTGACTCACACAAATTTTTCGGTTTCCCAGTGCATATAAAAGTTGTGCTTATAAGGCCAGGCACAGTGGCTCACGCCTGTAATCCCAGCACTTTGGGAGGCCGAGGCAGGCGGATCACAAGGTCAGGAGATCGAGACCATCCTGGCTAATATGGTGAAACCCCGTCTCTACTAAAAATACAAAAAAAAATTAGCCAGGCATGATGGTGGGCACCTGTAGTCCCAGCTACTTGGGAGGCTGAGGCCGGAGAATGGTGTGAACCCGGGAGGTGGAGCTTGCAGTGAGCTGAGATCGTGCCACTGCACTCCAGCCTGGGCAACAGAGCGGGACTCCGTCTCAAAAAAAAAGAAAAAAAACAAAAGTTATGCTTATAATATACTGTAGTCTATTAAGTGTGTAATGGCATTATGTCTAAAAAAAGTATGTACCTTAATTTAATTATTTATTTATTTTCTCAGCCTGGTTCAAGGGGGAATCTTAACTTTAAAATTCTTTATTGCTAAGAAATGCTAATGATCAGGCTGAGCATGGTGGGTCACACCTGTAATCCCAGCACTTTGGGAGGCCGAGGTGGATGGATCACCTGAAGTCAGGAGTTCAAGACCAGCCTGGCCAACATGGCAAAAGCACATCTTTACCAAAAATACAAAAATTAGCAGGGCATGGTGGCATGCACCTGTAATCCCAGCTACTTGGGAGGCTGAAGCACAAAAATCGCTTGAACCCAGGAGGCAGAGGTTGCAGTGAGCTGAGATTGAACCACTACACTTGCAGTGAGCTGAGACTGAACCTGGGCAACAGAGCGAGACTCCCTCTCAAAAAAAAAAAAAATGCTAACAATCATCTGAACCTTCAGCGAGTCATAAACTTTTTGCTGGTGAAGGGTCTTTCCTCCATGCAGATGGCTGCTGACTGATCAGCGTCATGGCTGCTGAAGGCTGGAGTGGCTGTGGTAATTTCATACAGTAAGACAACAATGAAGTTTGCTGCATTGATCGGTTTGTCCTTTCATGAAAGATTTCTCTGTAGCATCCAATGCCGTTTGATAGCATTTTACCCACAGTAGAACTTTGTTCACAATTGAAGTCAGTTCTCTCAAACCCTGCTGCTGCTTTATCAACTAGGTTCATATATTAATCTAAATCCTATGCTGACATTTCAACAATGTTCACAGCATCTTTACCAGGAGTGTGTTCCATCTCAAGAAACTACTTCCTTTGCTCATTCATAAGAAGCAACTCCTTATCTGTTCAAGTTTGATCATGAGATTGCAGCAATTCAGGCACATCTTCAGGCTCCACTTCTAATTCCAGTTCTCTTGCTGTTTCCACCCCATCTGCAGTTACTTCTTCCACTGATGTTTTGAACCCCTTCAAGACATCCATGAAGGTTGGAATCAACTTCTTCCAAACCCCAGTTAATATTGATATTTTGACATTCTCCCAGGAATCATGAGTATTCTTAATGGCATCTAGAATAGTGAATCATTTCCAGAATGTTTTCAATTTATTTTGCCCAGATCCTTCAAAGGAATCACTGTTTATGGCATCTACAGCCTTACAAAATGTATTTCCTAAATAATAAGACTCGAAAGTCAAAATCGCTCCTTGATCCATGGACTGCAGAACATATATTGTATTAGCAGGCACGAAAACATTCATCTCCTTATACATCTCCATCAGAGCTCTTGGGTGACCAGATGCATTGTCAATGAGCAGTAATATTTTGAAAGGAATCTTTTTTTCTGAGCAGTAGGTCTCAACAGTGGGCTTAAAATATTCAGTAAACCATGCTGTAAATAGATGTGCCATCCAGGCTTTGTTGTTCCATTTACAGAGCACTGGCAGAGTAGATTTAGCATAATTCTAAAGGGCCCTAGGATTTTCAGAATGGCAAATGGGCATTGGCTTCAACTTAAAGTCATCAGTTGCATTAGCGTCTAAGAGAGTCAGCCATTCTTTTGAAGCTTTGAAACCAGATATCTACTTTTCCTCTCTAATTAGAAAAGTCCTAGATGGCATCTTCTTCCAAGAGAAGGCTGTTTCATCTACATTGAAAATCTATTGTTTAGTGTAGCCACCTTCATCAGTTCTCTTGGCTGGATCTTCTCAGTAACTTGCTGCAGCTTCTACATCAGCACTTGCTGCTTCACCTTTATGTTACAGAGATGCCTTCTTTCCTTAAACCTCATGAACCAACTTCTGCTGGCTTCCAACTTTGCTGCAGCTTCCTCACCTCTCTTCAGCCTTTTCCTCTCTTCAGCCTTCACAGAATTGAAACAAGTTAGGGCCTTGCTCTGGATTAGGCTTTGGTTTAAACGAATGTTGTGGCTGGTTTGATCTTCTATCCAGACCACTCAAACATTCTCCATATTAGCAGAAAAGCTATTTCGCTTTCTTAACATTTATATGTTCACTCAAGCAGCACTTTTAATTTCCTTCAAGAACTTTTCCTTTGCATTCACACTTTTTAACTGTTTGATACAAGAGGCCTGGCTTTTGGCCTGTCTCAGCTTTCAACATGCCTTCCTCACTAAGCTTCATCATTTCTAGCTTTTGATTTATTATTACTATATTATTATTACATAGTATTATATTATGTTATATTATTATTAATAATAAATCCTTTTCCTTCATGCAATTAGCTTTTGATTTAAATTGAAAGATGTGAGACTTTTCCTTTCATTTAAATACTTAGAGGCCATTGTGGGTTATTAATTGGCCTAATTTTTATATTGTTGTATCTCCAGGAGTAGAGAGGCCTGAGAGGGAGAGAGATGGGGGAATGGCCAGTTGGTAGAGCAATCAGAACACACACAACACTTATCAATTAATTTCACTGTCTTATATGAGTGCAGTAAATGGTGCCCCAAAACAGTTACAATAGTAATATCGAAGATCACTGATCACAGATCACCAAAACAGATATAGTAATAATGACAAAGTTTGAAATATTGTGAGAATTACCAAAATGTGACATGAAGACATGAAGTGAGCACATGCTGTTGGAAAAATGGTGCCTATAGTCTTGTTCAATGTAGGGTTGCCACAGACCTTCAATTTTTAAAAAACAAAACAAACCACAATATCTGCAAAGCACAATGCAAAATCTAAGAAGCACAATAAAACAAAGTGTGTCTGTATATAATCAC
This sequence comes from Homo sapiens, assembly GCF_000001405.40. Lineage (NCBI taxonomy): Eukaryota > Metazoa > Chordata > Mammalia > Primates > Hominidae > Homo > Homo sapiens. The sequence continues at coordinate 23,690,999 of NC_000003.12, forward strand.
CAATCTCTCATGTAAAGGGTTATAGATCTATCTCCTATCCTCCTATACTGTGACAATGTGACTAACACCCGTCCCCTGAAAGGTAGAGCCTATCTCCCCTCTGATATGGTGTGGCTCTGTGTCCCCACCCAAATCTCATGTTGAATTGTAATCTCCAGTGTTGGGGGAAGGGCCTGATGCAAGATGATTGGATCATGGGGGTGGATTTCCTCCTTGCTGTTCTAGTGATAGTATGTGAGTTCTCACGAGATCTGGTTGTTTAAAAGTGTGTAGCACTTCTCTCTTCTCCTTCTCTCCTGCTCCACCACGGTAAGACGTTCCTGCTTCCCCTTTGCCTTCTGCCATGATTGTAAGTTTCCTGAGGCCTCCCCAGCCATGCTTCCCATAGAGCCTGTGGAACTATGAGTCAGTTAAACCTCTTTTCTTTGTAAATTACCCAGTCTCAGGTAATTCTTTATAGCAGCGTGAGAACGGACTATTACACCCTCCTCTTGAAACTGTGTGTCTTATAACTGCTCCAGGAAATAGAATATGGCTGTGTGGCTCTTGAGGTTAGATCATAAAGGACTCAGGGTCTCTCGCAGGCTGCATTCATCCTCAGTGTTTAACCCAGGGAGGATCTGCTTCCAAGCTCACTCACATGAGTCAGGACCTTGCTGTTGGCTGCAGACATCAGTTCCTTGACACGTGGGCCTCTCCATATGACTACTCACAACATGGAGGCTTGCTTTTCCCACTAGAGAGAGAGAGAGAGAGAGAGAGAGAGAAGCTGCAGTCTTTTAACAACCTAATCTCAGAAGTGACATCCATCACTTTGGCCATGTTCTATTTGTTAGAAGCCATGTCACCACGTCCAGCCTACACATAAAGGTAAGAAATTATACAAGGATATGAACACCAGGAGCAAGATGCCTGGGGCCGTTTTAGCGGCTGCCTGCCTGCACCACAGCTTCCTTTTTTATTTATTTTTTTCTTTTAGAAACTGGGTCTGGCTCTGTCACCCAGGCTGGAGGGCAGTGGCAAATCATAGCTCATTGCAGGTTCGAACTTCTGGGCTCAAGCAGTCCTCCCACCTCAGTCTCCCAAATAGGTGAGACTGCAGGTATGAGCCACTGAGCCCAGGCAACAGCTTCCTTTATTGATCCTTTCAACTGGGCATTGCTGTGCCCATTGTACAAATGCACACACTTAGGCACACAAGGCTAAGAGATGGGATTACACATGGTAAACAGGTAGTGGAATACATTTCAGCATAAATGTTCTGGCTGCTTTGCCTCCTCAGGAACTTCAATACCAGGAATGATGTGCTGCAGAGGACACAGGTTCCATTCATGTATTTAAAACTCTCAATAACTTTTCTAAACTTACTATTTAGCTAAAAGATTCCAGGTTTGTGAAGTCCTAAGCCTTCCTCTCCTCTCTATTTTGAGGCTGCAGGACCATGGAAAACACTGATAGAATTTCTGGGCCCTTCTCCACCCTGACTGCACTTGTGGAGATCTGAGAAATACTGTTGCCCAGACCACACCCCAAATCCATAATATCAGAATTTCTGGAGGTGGGACCCAGGCACCGAGATTTTCATTAAAAAAAAGAGAAAAAGTTTCCGCAAATGTCTTTTTGTCTTATGAAAAAAAAACTTAAAAAAATTTAAATAACTTAAAAGCTCCCTCAAATGTCTTTGTCCTGTGAAAAAAAAAACAATAAAAATAGAAAAGATTTTAAAAAAATGCTCCCCAAATGATTCCAATGTGCATTCAATGTGATAGCATCACCAAAGATCTCAGTAAAATGTAGAATCAGAATGACTCGGCAGGTCTGGGCTGGTGTCTAGAATCTACACCTCTAACAAGTACCCTATTGATGCCGGAGCCACGGGTCTGCGGACCACATTTTGAGGATCATCGTTTTAGGGCAGTGGTTTGCAATCTTGGCTGCACACTGGAATCAGCGTGGAAGCTTGAGAAATGCTGATGTCTGAAGTGCAGTCCTAGAAGTCTGTATTCCATTGGTCTGGGTTGAAGCCTCAGCATCAGGAGGCCCTCAGGTAATTCCAGCATGCAGCCAAGGCCATGAACTGCTGCTCTGCCTGCCTACTGAGGTCTCCCATCACTGCTTCCCTAAGTCTAGCCCCTGCCACCCCCACACCCAGCCTCCACTCCCAAACTGCATCTTCTCCCACCCCCTTTCCTCCCTGATGCTCTTCCCCACATATGCAGCTGTCTTTAGTGTGGTTTAACAGCAGCAAGGTAGGCTGCCATGTCCCCTGACGTCTTTCTCCAGGTGCAGAGAATTCCACCATGAGCAATTCATCTCTGTGTGTTAAGCATCACTCTGTCCTTGGGGGCCTGTTAAGAATGTAACATTCCCTTGGGAGGCCGAGGCGGGCGAATCACGAGGTCAGGAGATCGAGACCATCCTGGCTAACACGGTGAAACCCCGTCTCTACTAAAAATACAAAAAAATTAGCCGGGCGCGGTGGCGGGCGCCTGTAGTCCCAGCTACTCGGGAGGCTGAGGCAGGAGAATGGCGTGAACCCGGGAGGCGGAGCTCGCAGTGAGCCGAGACAGCGCCACTGCACTCCAGCCTGGGCGACAGAGCGAGACTCCGTCTCAAAAACAAAACAAAACAAAAAAAAAAACAGAATGTTAACATTCCCAAGAAGGGTAGCACATTAATCACATTTCTAACAAATCACAAAATGCTCCTACCTGGCTTCCCTAGTCTCTCTCATCCAATCTCCAAAATGTAGCCAGAAGGCTCTTTCTAAAATGTAAAATCAAATTACACCCTTGCTTAAACCCTCCAGTAGTTCCCATTGCTTTTTTTATTTTATTTTTTATTTTTGAGACGGAGTCTCACTCTGTCACCCACGCTGGAGTGCAGTGGCACAATCTTGGCTTATTACAACTTCCTCCTCCCAGATTCAAGGGATTCTTCTGTCTCATCCTCTCAGATAGCTGGGATTACAGGTGTGCACCACCATGCCCAGCAAATTTTTGTATTTTTAATGTATTTTAATTTTGTATTTTCACCGTGTTGGCCAGGCTGGTCTCAAACTCCTGACCTCAAGTGATCTGCCTGCCTCAGCCTCCCAAAGTGCTGGGATTACAGGCGTGAGCCATTACGCCCAGCCCCCATTGCTTTCTTTAGGGCACTCCAGCCCATCTCTCCCCTTCTGCAGCCATCTGTTACCTTTACCACCTTTAGCCACCTGTTACCTTTACCAGCCACATTCTAGTCACTAGGTCCTAAGCAGTTCCAGAACCTGCCCTGCTCCCCTGGCCTTTGCTCCTGCTCCTGCCTCTGCTTCTGAGGCCAACTCCTCCTGCAAGACTCGGCAAAACTGGCCTTACCGAGGAGCTTCCTTGATCCTCATCCCCCAAACCCAGTAGTGAGATGAGGAGAACATCCTCAGATGGCAGGCCCAGGAGCCTACTAACCTGCCCCTCTGTGTCCACAGTGCCTAGCCCTGTACTCACACAATGCTTGGGAAGGAAGGCAGGGAGGGAGGAAGTAAGCTGGGAGCTTAAATGGAGAAGAGGGAAAATTACAAAAGGAAGATAAAGAGAAGAAAAAGGGGAATGAGATGCCTTCCCGGCAGACATCCTGCTTCTGTGCTTTATTGGGTCATTTCATTCTGGACCTTCAGGATGACAATTTCTTCTTTGCAAAGCATCCTATAGGTGACAGTGCTCTGGCCTAGGCTCCAGGTTCTTGCAGGGTCACTTGAAAATGAAAAGATGATTCAACAAAATTCCTTGACGAACACATCCTCTCTGTCTGATAACTCTCAGAAAACCCCAGTCGGCCAGCCACGGTGGCTCATGCCTACAATCTCAGTACTCTGGGAAGCTGAGGTGGGAAGATCACTTGAGGCCAGGAGTTCAAGACCAGCCTGGGCAGCTTAGTGAGACTTCATCTCTACAAAAAATTTAAAAATTAGCCGGGCACAGTGATGCGCACCTGTAATCCTAGCCACTTGAGAGGCTGAAGAGGATTACTTGAGCCCAGGAGTTCAAGTTTACAGTGAGCCATGATCACACCACTGCCCTCCAGCCTGGGTGACGGAGTGAGACCCTGTCTCTGTATACATACATACATAAAATGAAAGACCCCAGTCCTAATTCAAAATAACCTAATTCAAAATAATGACTCGGGAAATAAAAATGTGCACACCCTTAAGATTATTGACCCCTGATCTTTGGGGGCTATGTCTCTAGAAGGCTGCTTCTCTGCCAGCTTGGAGTTGGATCCCAAAGGAAGATGAAGTTAATGTTATTTCCATTGTGACCTTTCTCTCTTCTCTCCTCCTCTCCATTCTCCCTTTTCTCTCTCTTTGTACATTCCACCCCTTCTCTCTCCATAGTGCTGGCTTCTTTTCAATGTTTCTTGGTATAATTTGATTAAATTAGAGCCTTAGCCTTGTTTTGTACATACCCACATGTCCAGCTTTGAAAATCCCAGCCTGGAACATACCCTGTCCTGCCTAGGTCAGCCGCCCTTGGTCTGGTTTTCTGCCAAAGCTACCCATGATGGATGAGAGGGGCATTCTCGCCACTCTCACTAACACACTGGGTGTGTGGGCTGTTCCTAGAGAGCCTGTTGTAATGCAAGTGAATGAGAGTGACGTTGAATCCCCTCTAATACAGAACAAAAGCCAATCATTTGATAATTATGATGTTTTAACTGTCCTTAGTAATAAACAACTAGTTACTTTCCCATAAAATGAATCGAGGTAGGCCAGGTGCAGTGGCTCATGCCTGTAATCTCAGCACTTTGGGAGGCCGAGGCCAGCAGATCACTTGTGGTCAGGAGTTCAAGACCAGACTGGCCAACATGGTGAAACCTCATCTCTACTAAAAATACAAAAATTATCTGGGCATGGTGGCACACGCTTGTAATCCCAGCTACTTGGGAGGCTGATGCAGAAGGATAACTTGAACCTGGGAGGCAGAGGTTGCAGTGAGATGAGCTGAGATTGCACCACTGCACTCCAACCTGGGTGACAGAGCAAGACTCCATCTCTGGAAAAAAAAAAAAAAAAAGAAGAAGAAGAAGAAGAAGAAGAAAGGCAGGGTGCGGTAGCTCACACCTATAATCCCAGCACTTTGGGCCAAGTTGGGAGGATCCCTTGAGCCCAGGAGTTCGAGACCAGCCTGGGCAACAAAATGAGACCTGTCTCTACCACAAATACAAAAATTAGCTGAGCAAGGTGGCGTGCACCTGTGGACCCAGCTACTCCGGAGGCTGAGGTGGGAGAATCACTTGAGCCCAGAAATTCAAAGATGCAATGAGCCATGATCACTCCACTGCCCTCCAGCCTGGGTTCCAGAGTGAGACTCTTCTCAAAAATCAAAAAAAGAAAACAAAAAAGAATCACAGTGTATTCCATGTATTCTAAACCAGAGACCTCAAATATGCATATAAAACACCTTTGAAAATATTAATATAATTAATGCTATGCTTCCTTTCATGAAGATGTTTAGGGACTTACTAGGGATAGACATTACTTTTTTTTTTTTTTTTTTTTTTTTTTTTTTTGAGATGGAGTTTTGCTCTTGTTGCCCAGGCTGGAGTGCAGTGGCGTGATCTTGTCTCACTGCAACCTTCACTTCCCGGATTCAAGCGATTCTCCTGCCTCAGCCTCCCGAGTAGCTGGGATTACAGGCGCCCACCACCACACCCAGCTAATTTTGTATTTTTAGTAGAGACAGGGTTTCACCATGATGGTCAGGCTGGTCTCGAACTTCTGATCTTAGGTGATCCTCCCGCCTTGGCCTCCCAAAGTGCTGGGATTACAGGCATGAGCCACCGCGCCTGGCCAACATAAATTTAAAAATGCAGAATTTCTGAAATTCTAGCATAAGTGGAGTAGATGGTGTGATTTCTTATCATAGAGCACCATGCAGGACATACTGGGTGCTCGGAAATAATAAAAGAGTTCATAGATTGAGAGAGTGGAAGGTGGGAGTTGCCCAGCTGTCACACTGCATCGTCATCTGTTGCATTTCCAGCTCACCTCTGAGCTCCTTGGACTGGAGTATAGTGCCTGACACACAGTAGGAAATAAATGTTTATTGAACTGAATTGCTTGTCTAATGGCTGAGCCAATAAAGCAGATGTAAAAAGAAATTGCCCCACTCTGAAAACTCCCTTTGGATTTTTGCCAAAACTCTATTTCAGCACATTCTGTTAGGATTAAAGATACATTTACTCACAGGAAAAAATAAAATGGAAAGTCACTCTCTTTTTTCTCATTGTGTTAAAAAAAAAATCTTTTGAAATCATCCTCTGCCATTTCTTATCCATCAGCATTACATTAATAAGATATGTTGCTGTGAAAATACCTCCTTTAAACACATCAAATGGATTAATGTTGGCACTTTATCAGGTACAATTTCTGTTTCTATAAAACATCTTTAGACACATAAAAACTACTTAAATGAGAAGGAGAAAACCCTTCCCTTTTCCCATCATTCAGTTGACTCTGCGGGAAAAGCTGACATTTCTAGAGGCTCCGGTTCTGTTCCCTCCTGTAGGAGCCATTGCATTCTGAAGAGCCAGCTTCTTGCTGTGAATCCCTCTCTCGTCAAGGGCTCTAACAGCCTGGGGAGTCGGGCCGGCTGATTAACAGGGCTTTAGCCAGCAGGCACCAGGTGGAAGGAGGAGAGGAAGGTAGCAAAGGAGGGGTATGGAGCTGAGCGGGATTCACGCCTTGCAAATTGCTTGGAAAATTTTTCCAGTTCCTATCCTTGGAGGAAAAATAGGGCAGAAGCTAACTTGGGGTCATCCCGATGGACACCCAGAAACGCAGTCCAGCACACCTGTGTAAACCATTATTTCCTGGCACACTCCCCACCGTGTTATTAATTCTTAGCTTCAGATGCACAAGGAATAACTAGGCTAGTGGTTCTCAAACTGTGGTCCCTGGACCAGCAGCATCACCATAACCTAGAAACTTGCTAGTGTTTTTTAATTGAGTGGATGCTACGGACAGAAGCCATCATATATCTGTCACATGCCTTGTTTCTTTAATTATCAAAATAACCCTTTCAAATAGATATTAGGCCATCCTTAGGGACTGAACTGTGCCCCACCCCCATAAGTTGAAACTCTAACCCCCAGAACCTTAGACTGTAACTGTATTCAGAGCTGAGGTCTTTAAAAGGGTGATTAATTTAAAATGAGGCCATTAGGGTGGGACCTAATCCAATCTGACTGGTGTCCTTATAAGAAGAGGAAATTTGGACACACAGAGAAACTCCAGGGATGTGTGTTCACAGAGAAAAGGCCATATGAGGACACAGAGGGAAGGTGACCATCTGCAAGGCAAGGAAAGAGACCTCAGAAGAAACCAGCCCCTCGATCCTGGAATTCCAGCCTCCAGACTGTGAGATACAAATTTCTGGGCCAGGTGCGGTGGCTCACACCTATAATCCCAGCACTTTGGGAGGCCGAGGCGGGCGCATCACCTAAGGTTGGGAGTTCGAGACCAGCCTGACCAACTGGAGAAACCCTGTCTCTACTAAAAATACAAAATTAGCCAGGCGTGGTGGCGCATGCCTGCAATCCCAGCTACTCGGGAAGCTGAGGCAAGAGAATCACTTGAACCCGGGAGGAGAGGTTGCAGTGAGCCGAGATCATGCCATTGTACTCCAGTCTGGGCAACAACAGTAAAACTCCATCTCAAAAAATAAATAAATAAATAAATAAATGTAAATAAATTTCTGTTGTCTAAGCCACCTAGTCTGGAATTTTGTTATGACAGCCTCAGCAAGCTAATATAATGGGCAATAAACTGTTTCTCTGGAGAACCCTGATCCAACCATTTTTTACAATCCAGACAATCAAGATAGCTATACCTAACTCTTACCCAATACTCACTGTTAGGTACTTTGCAAGTGCATGTCATTTAATTGCCACCATATAGGTCCCATTAAAAGCCTCATTTGACAGATGAGGCACTGAGTCTTAGAGAGAGGAGAAATCATTTGCCCAGTTCGGCCCAGCTGGCAAATGGTAGAGGAGGGTTTTGAAACCAAGCAGCTAGAGCCCAAGGTTTGTGTATGAACCACGATTCTCCACTGCCTCCCCTGCTGGCACACCTGTGTGAATACTTCAAGTTCATTGTGCAGTATTCTGTAGCAATTCATGGGCATCAGTGTCATTCTTATCCCACTTTTACAGATAAGAAAACTGAGGCTTAGTAAAAATGAAGGGAATGCACTCAGCTTGCAAGTTACAGAGCAGAGAATTAAGCCAGGGCCCTTTCCTTTCACTGAACAGACTTCTACCAGGGAGTCTTATTTGCTCCCAGGTACATTTGTGTTTTCACAGGACATTCCTGAAAGCCTTCAGGAGAGTACATCTTTGAGGGAAGAATTTAACAAGAAGGAGGAGAGTGTCATTAATAATATAATAATTATTAGTGTAATATATCACACGTCTTCTGTGAGCCCAGCATTGTGCTAGGGACTGGATTCTCTCACACATTTTGTGTCTTAGTTAGACACAAAATGCCATGGCATCTACAGTCTCTGCAGCCATAGAAAGGGGCAGTTAGCCAAATAAAGGAGTCAGGTTGCCAGATAAATCCTGACTCCCCAACTCACAAGCTGGAAGACCTTGGACAATTTACGGAACCTCCACATGCCTCAGTTTCCTCATCTGTAAAATGGGGGTGATTGTGATAATAACAGCTTCTGCCTCGTAGGCTTGTGAAGAGTAACTGGGTTAACACAGGCAAGGGGCTGAGAATTGCACCGGGCCAGTGGCAAAAGCTTTTGTGAGTATCTCCTGCTATTATTATAAGATGGACTGAAACATGCACATGCCTCTGATTGCTTGTCAAAAAAATGTTCAGGGATCTTCATTTCAGCCTCAGGTTGTCGAGAACTGTTCCAACAACTAAGGATGAGCTCTATGCAAGTCCGTGTAAGTTCATTTCTGAGTGCAATGGGGAAGAGCAATGGGGAGAAGATGGTTTTACAATGTGCATGATGTGTCCATAATTATTGCTTGCCAAACCCAGCCTTGACAATGATTAATAGTAAATAGTATTCTGTCTATTAAACCACAAATATCCCCCAATTTTCCCTGTCACTTTTCTGCCAAGCCCCTGTCAAAATGCTCAGTCTCATTAATAACAATAATGATAATGATAATAACATGAGTTGCCCAGTATATGTTAAAATCATAAGCCAACAGTAACAACAGAACAATTTGAAGGTTTATTTTGCAGGCATCATGTTTGTTAGTGATGTTGTTATTGACCGTAACGGAAGAGCAGGTCCGTACTCTCAGTGAAGAGATAAGGGCAGAGAAACATTTAGACATGCACAAAGGCCCACATCCAACGATACTCATTATTCATTGCAGCACTGGCAGTAACCTCAATGTCCATCAAAAAAAGACTGAGTGAATAAAATTATGGGACAACCGTATGGTGGAATGAGATGCAGTTATAGAAAAGAATGAGATGTATGTAGTCATACTGATACAGAACTCTCTGAGATAAGTGATACATAAAAAGACAAAACACTTTAAATGGGTGAATTGTACAGTATGTGAATTATATCTCAATAAAGCTGTTATTTTGTTTTTAAAGAAAGTCACAGAAGTATGTTGTGTGCTACCATTTGTCATTTTAAAAGTGCCTGTATGTAAGTACCAATGTCTGTATTAACTATCTTGGTGGATAAGCAAGAAACTGAAACCTCTGAGAGGGGAATGACAGTTAAGAGTAGGAGGGGGAGTTTATTTTTGCTGTAATCCGTGTGCAATTATGATTTTTTGTGAAATCATGTTAAAGTAGTTCCCACTCAATCAAGATAGTCATTCTGCAACACAGAGAAAAGGAAAGGAGGAATAAATATGTATTGAATGATACAGAGTGCTGGTCACTGTTCTAAATCATGCAATCATGTACGCCCACAAGATACGTATTATTGGTTATTATTATTCCCATTTTACAGAGGGGCAAAGTAGCTTCCCTGCACCGGGTCTCACAAGTGGGAGGTTCAGCCACTGAAATCTGCTGAAATTCACCAGCTGCTTCTCCAGCTTCTTTCGATTTCTGGAATCTTAGAATTTGAGACTCGCCAAAGAATGGTCCTCAAGATAAAGCAGGCTAAAGTGTTCAAAAGGTAAAAACATCTCACAAGTAATTACCTTTTTTGTATTTATTTATTTTGGAGACAGAGTCTTACTCTGTCACCCATACTGGAGTGCAGTGGTGTGATTTCAGCTCACTGCAACCTCGGCCTTCTGGATTCAAGTGATTCTCCTGCCTCAGCCTCCTGAGTAGCTGGAATTACAGGCATGCACCACCACGCCCGGCTAATTTTTTTGTATTTTTAGTAGAGACAGGATTTCACCATGTTGGTCAGGCTGGTCTTGAACCCCTGACCTCAAGCGATCCACCCACCTTGGGCTCCCGAAGTGCTGGAATTATAGGTGTGAGCCACTGCACCCGGCCTTAATTTGTTAATTTTTAATTTTTGTGGGTACATAGTAGGTGTATATATTTATGGGGTACATGAGATGTTTTGATACAGGCATGCAATATGAAATATACACACCATGAAGAATGGGTATCCATCCCCTCAAGCATTTATCCATTGAATTGCAAACAATCCAATCACAAGTAATTCTAAAACCCCCGCTGAAATGTGACCTGCTATATCTGCCAAGTTTGCTTAGGAAGCCACACTCCTGGACCCTGGCAGGCTGTCTGGGCAGCTTCCTCACAGCCATGAATCCATCTGGGCCTCCCCTGAGCCCCCTGTGAACAATGGGTGGGGGGTGCCCAGACTGTTGAGAGGAATCTTCTTGCCAGGACCACAAAGAAGGTTTGCTTGAAAACGTACGGTAGCATCATGCCATTCACCCGTCCTCCCCCGGGGCCATAAACAGGTGTTTAATTACAAGGCAGGTGGGAGACTTCAGAACCAGGGGTCAGCCATTCCATTGTTTGTGGAACTTCGTTACCAGAGAGCCACTAGATTGCACCGAAGATTGGCCGTGCACCTGGCAATTTGTGTTTCTCTGCTTGAGCTGAGTTGCTACACTGTTGAGAAGGAAACTTTTTTCTTGAAAAAGAGAAAATGTCAAGGGGGATAGCTGGCAGTGATTCTGAGAAAGTATAGTTTATCACTCAGCAGCAATGTTTAGCCAGTTCTGAAGGAGAAACATGTACTGGGCTGGGATCATGGAGTCCTAGCCTAATTTCTAGAACTGACATTCCTGGAGGACCTACTATGTGCCAGGTACTTTACACGTGATGTCATTGAGTCCTCAGCCCTGTAAGGAAGTGTTAAGGAAATTGCTGCTTTCAGCAAGCAGATCACCCAGAAGCTCCCAGGTTGATTCCAGACGGAGAGGGGCACCTCCATCAAAATTCCTTACTCCTGACTCACTGTTGTCACTGGCATCCTAGCATCTTTAGAAGTGGGGCTCCTCTGATCCTCAGCCTTCCTGTTACTCCTGTGTAGCTGAGACAAGCCTAGAATGTTCAAATAAGAGGGACTCAGTCAAGAAATGCAAAAGGAAAATAGAATTACAGGAACCTAGAAACTGTGGCTTACAGGATGCAACCTATTTGATGGAACTCATAGTCACTTCTATAGAAAAAGATGGCACCTACTGTTTTCCCTTCTGTTCCCTCTTGGGTCCCCATTTGTTCATTCATTCATGCACTCACTTGCTCAAACAATATTTATTAAGGAGCTACTATGTGCCAGATACTGAAAATATAGCTTTGAACCAGACAGATAAGTCCCTGCCCTCCTAGAACTTTCATTCAGCTGGGGAGACAGATAAACAGATGTATAAATACATACATAAAATAATCTCTGATGGGGACAGGTAGTATTGGGAAAATAAAGTAAGGTGATGTGGTAGAAAGGAATCTTTGAAAGTCTTTACTAGCCAGCCATTTAAAAGCAATGTTCTCACAATTATTATACACACACATGTATATATGTGCACATGTACACACACACATATGTATATATGTGCACATACACACATATAGTCATCCCTCAGTATACTCAGGAAATCAGCGCCAGGGCCCCCACATACACCAAAATCAGTGAGCCCTCCATATAAGCAGGTTTCACATCCCTCAAATACTGTATTTTTGGTCTATGTTTAGTTGAGACAAATCCATATATAAGTGGGCCCATGCAGTTGAAAGGCATGTTGTTCAAGGGTCAACTGTACATGTATACATATATACGCATGCATGTGTATGTATACATGCATGCATATATATGTAATTATATCTATTTTATAGATGGGAAATTGAGGCTCAGACAGGCTAAGTGACTTGGTTAAAATCACAGTGGCAAAGTTCCCTCAAGTTTCTCTATAGAGCCACAGGTTTTCTCACTGTATCCTGGTGCCCAGATTGTCTTGTTAAGGGTATGCTTGGACCCCTCCAGCTCTGTGAAATGCAACAGGCTGGATTAGCCTATGGCATCCCGCTCACCTAGGCACAGTGGCATAGAGCCTCTTGATGGTGACAACAGCTGCTGAGGATTTGTGTCATCTGAAAACCGAAAGGCCTCCAGGGAGACTGAATAAATCAGAGACCTATAGATAAGGTAGGGATGCTTAGCTAGGGCCTTAAGCACAATCCATGTTCAATAAAAGTTGGTGATGCTCCTATGTTCCCTGCTCAGAGCCATCTACTTCCACCCCTTCCTCCCTTCTCATAACAAAATAACAGATCGTGCTTTCTTAACCTCAGAGTGGCCCATCATAGGAAGCACAGTGATGTCCAAAGGCAGAAATTCAACCCAACCCAACCCATCGATTCTCTCTCCCAGGAATCTGAAACATGAGTGGGGGTCTCCCAGATTTCCCAAGTGCCTGGAATTGTGAATGAAGGTCTGAAATGTCCTACAATATTTATCATTCCTGTCCTTGCTAAGACAGGAATTTTCTTTAAATTACAAAAGCTACCTGTCATATAGTTTAAGCAAGCCAAAGGCAGTTTCTGTTGCTTGCAACCAAGAGAGTACCAAATAATACATAAAGCTATAGTGTAGTGGTCAGTCTAGCAGACAAAAAAAAAACCAATACATAATCACAAAATGTGATAAAGTACCAGGACAAAAAAAGAACAAGGAGCTTGGAAAGACTAACAAGGGAGGCCAGTTTTAGACTGGGTGATCAGGGAAAAGAGTTTAGGGGGATTATATTTAAATTGGAACCTTAAATATAGGGAGTCAGTCATTGAAAAGAGTGGAGGAAAGACTATTGAGGCAAACAGAAAGCATGGAAAAATATCCTGGAGCCGGGAAGAGCTGGCTCATTCCAGAGACAAAGGAAATGAGTGGGGCTGGAGCCTGTGGAGAGAAAGTTCATTTCTGAGAGGATCCAGTGCAGTTTTCCTCCTCTTGGTTGAAGTGGTGGATGTCTACAGTTTTTTTCCTCAAAAGTGGGCAAAATGCATCTTAGCATTTAGCTGTACCATTGTGTGTGTGTGTTGCACAATAACATGGAATCTCAATTGGGAACAGGCAAGTTTCTTTTCTTTTCTTTTTTTTTTTGAGACGGAGTTTCGCAATTGTTACCCGGGCTGGAGTGCAATGGTGCCCTCTCAGCTCACACAACCTCCACCTCCCAGGTTCAAGAGAGTCTCCTGCCTCAGCCTCCCGAGTAGCTGGTATTACAGGCACATGCCACCACACCTGGCTAATTTTGTATTTTTAGTAGAGATGGGGTTTCTCCATGTTGGTCAGATTGGTCTTGAACTCCCGACCTCAGGTGATCCACCCACCTCGGCCTCCTAAAGTGCTGGGATTACAGGCATGAGCCACCACACCCAGCCTTCTTTTTTCTTTTCTTTTTTTTTTTAAGATAGGGTCTTGCTCCGCTGCCCAGGATGGAGTGCAGTGGCATGATCACAGCTCACTGCAGCCTTGAACTCCTGGGCTCAAGTGATCCTCCCACCTTAGCCTCCCAAGTAGCTGGGACCAACAGGCACGTGATACCACACCCGGCTAATTTATTTTTTATAGAGGTGAGGTCTACATCTCTACAGGCTGTTGCCCAGTGGCTGTTGCCTGGGCTCAAGTGATCCTCTTGCCTTGGCCTCCCAAAGTGCTGGGATTACAGGTGTGAACCACTGTGCCTGGCCAAGTTATTTTTCCATATCATATGATTTTAGCACCTGCTTACAGGAACCACTGGTAGACTAAGAACTTAATTTCTTCAGTATTAACTTGGATAAATCAGATAATAAAAAAATGTGTCCTGGGCTTTGGTAGATTCTCGACAGCCTGGGCATATAGCGGTGTGTGTAGTAGGTGGTGGAGGAAGATGGGAATGTGTAGAGGCAGGATGCTGGAGAGAACTCTTTCCTACCTGCACCCTCCCTGCCCACTCCTGGTCAGTTCAATGCCTGGGGACGTATATTAGTTATCTGTTGCTGTGTAGCAAATGACCACACATGTAGCAGCTCAAACAACATCCACTTATTAGTTTACAGGTCTGTGGGTTAGGAGTTGGGCACAGTGTGGCTCGGATCTTGCTGAAGGCATCACAAGGCTAGAATCCAGGTATTGGTTGGCATGTTTCTCACCTGAGCCTCATGATCCTCTTTCAAGCTCACTGGTTGTTAGCAGAATCCATTTCTTTATGGCTATAGGACTAAGGTTTCCATCCACCTCTCTTCATTGGTAGTTCACAGCATGAATGTTTGCTTTTCTCCAGCCAGCTGGAATGTGTCTCACTGTACCCCTTTTGGCTACCAGGTGGAGTAAACTCTCTGCATTTAAAGGGCTCATGTGATTAGGCCACCAGATGATCTCCCTATCTTAAAATCGACTGATTAGTAACTGTAATTATATCCCCAAAATCCCTTTCCCATATAAAGTAATATAACCAGCTGGACGCAGTGGCTCATGCCTATAATCCCAACATTTTGGGAGGACAAGGCAAAAGGTTTGCTTGAGGCCAGGAATTTGAGACTAGCCTGAGCAACATAGCAAGACTTCATCTCTATAAAAAACAAAAAGTTAGTCAACTGTGGTGGTGTGCTCCTGTAGTCCTAGCTACCCAGGAGGGAGGTGGGAGGATTGCTTGAGCCCAGGACTTTGAGGCTGCAGTGAGCTGTGATCATGCCGTTGCATTCCAGCCTGGATGACAAAGTGAGACCCTGCCTCAAAAAAAAAAAAAAGGTTACATAACCACAGAAGTAACACTCAGGGGTGGAGGTCATGAGCTTTCTTAGAATTCTGCCTGCCACAGACTGTCACAGCTGTTTTCCAACTCCCACAGTCTCTACTCTGTACAGTGACTTAATGGAAGGATCTAGTCTCTTTAAGCATTCAGCTAAAAAATAACTTCCTTTCCTCCTTACCGCCCCCATACCTATTACTCATTGTATTAATTCCCTTTGGCTGCCATAACAAATTACCATGACTTAGTAGCTTAAAACAAACAAACAAACAAAAAAAACACACAGAAATGTAAGTCTGGACATGGAAGCTCACCTTGGTAATCTCAGCACCTTGGGAGGCCAAGATGGGAGGCTCTGAGTTCAAGATCAGCCTGAGCAACACAGCTAGACGCTGTCTCTACACAAAACTTAAAAATAGTGGCTAAGGCGCGGTGGCTCATGCATGTAATCCCAACACTTTGGGAGGCCGGGGCGGGCAGATTACCTGAGGTCAGGAGTTCGAGACCAGGCTGACCAGCATGGAGAAACCCCATTTCCACTAAAAATACAAAATTAGCCGGGCATGGTGGCGCATTTCTGTAATCCCAGCTACTCGGGAGCATGAGGCAGGAGAATCACTTGAACCCAGGAGGCAGAGGTTGCAGTGAGCTGAGATTGCGCCATTGCACTCCAGCCTGGGCAACAAGAGTGAAACACTGTCTCAAAAAAAAAAAAAAAAAAATTAGCCAGGCATGGTGGCTCACACCTGTAGTCCCAGCTACTCAGGAGGCTGAGAAGGGAGGATCTCTTGAGGCCAGGAGTTTGAAACTAGCCTGAGCAACAAAGCAAGATTCCTCACTCCCGCCTACAAAAAAATTAAAAAAAAAAAACAACATAAATATATTCTCTCACAGTTCTAGAAGCCTGAAGTCTGAAATAAAGGTATTGGCAGGGCCACATTCCCTACAGCAACTCTGTGGAGGTTCCCTGCCTCTTCCAGCTTCTGGTGGGGACAGGCATTTCTTGGTTTGAGGCTGTATCATTCCAATCTCTGCCTCTGTCTTTACATCACTTTCTCCTCTGTGTAGGTCTGTGCCCAAACTCCCTCTGCTTCTCTGCTATAAAGACACACATGATTGCATTAGGGCCCATCTTGGTTATCCAAGATAAGCTCCTCTCAAGATCCTTAACTGCGTCTTTTGCTGTATAATGTAATATTGTTTGCCATACAAGGTAATATTTACAGGTTCTGGGGATGTGCATATGGTCATATTTTTTGGTGGCCAGTTTTTAACCTACCATACCTACCATTCCCCACTCTCATAATCTGGATACCAGTATCCAGTTGTCAGATGGCAAGTGTTTGTGACATCTTTCCCTGTTGCTCACTCTGGGATGCTGAAGAGGCTGTGTTTTTCTCATTGCCAAAAAAAGAAATAAAAAATTTATTTGATACCAAATGTGACGTCTTATGCAACGACCCAATCCTCGCAATTATGCAACCACCCAATCTTCGCAATTCCCAAAGACATATCACCTCAGGTTGTAAAACTCTCTTTTTGTGAACCTCTATCTTGTCTCCTTGAGACCAGCTTTGAACCTGGAGAGCAAATGTCTGCGTAGACCATGCAAGCAAGGTCTTCGCCAGGTTCCTGGATACCACAGGGAGACTTGAGGACTAGACCCTTATGTTTTGAAGGTTGTTTTGTTTGTTTGTTTGTTTGTTTGTTGAAATGTAAAACCAGAGCTAGCTACAGGTCTCTCCTGCCTTTTTTTTTTTTGCATTTGATACTTTTTAATCTAAAATATTCATTGTGGGCCGAGTGCAGTGGCTCACGCCTGTAATCCCAGCACTTTGGGAGGCCGAGGCAGGCAGATCACTTGATGTCAGGAGTTCGAGACCAGCCTGGCCAACATGGTGAAACCCTGTCTCTACTGAAAAAGAAAAACACAAAAATTAGCTGAAAGTGGTTGTGCATGCCTATTATTCCAGCTACTCAGGAGGCTGAGGCAGGAGAATCACTCGAACCTGGGGGGCAGAGGCTCCAGTGAGCCGAGATCATGCCACTGCACTCCAGCCTGGGTGACAGAGTGAGGCTCCATCTCAAAAAAAAAAATTAAAAATTAATTAATAATTAATTCAATATTTATTGTGGTTTAATTTAAAGGTTATTTCTTAAGAATAAAAAAGCCCTAAAATTCAAATGATGCCTATAGATTATTTTTCAACTCATTTCACAATTTGTGATTTGTAAGTACTCTTAAAATGTGATAACTTCTAGTTAAATTTGGGATCTGATTATCCATATCTACCACCTGGAAAGTTTCTGTATGAAGAATTGTAAGAATAATGAGAAGAAATGGGTCTACATTGATTAATCACCGTGTTCTACAAAAAGCAACACACTCCCTATGTAGATCTTTGCAAGGAATTCTGGAAAATATGGGCTACTACCTAAAATGAGGGCAGAATAATCTTTAGAAAGAATGTTCCCTCTCAGTTGCAACTGCCTGTTAGTTTACCTGACATGGTATCATTTTCAATGCTCAAGACATATTTATTTTTATGACAGACTTTAAAATATTGTTTGAGAAACATATCATATAAAAAGAGTATATATAATATATATGTGCCATTCAAGATTAATAATAAAATGAACATAAAGCATTTTTTAAAAGAAAGTAGCAGTAAGGGTAGAAAGGCTTAATATCCCCGGGGTATGAAATATTTGACATTCTCTTGTGGAAATGCCAACACACAAATTATCCCTGTTCATTTTTTATTGCTGTAGCTCTATATTTCCTCACATAATGCTGTGCAAACATTTTATCAGAAATGGTAGAGGAAAGAAAACCCATTGTTAACCATACCTGATAAAGTAATTTGGTTGCTGATAAAACAGCCTTTGCAGTTGGATGGTTATGTTGTTTTCTATATTGAACAAGACGCAAGAATAACATATTGAGGGTGGTTATAAAGAAGCAAAGTGGAAGTTAAAAAAGCCATATGCCGTAATATTTTTACCTCCCTGATTTCTTCCATTTGAATCCCATCATGAAAATATCCAAGTGGTGGCCAGGCACGGTGGCTCACGCCTGTAATCCCAGTGCTTTGGGAGGCCGAGGCGGGCAGATCACAAGGTCAGGAGTTCAAGACCAGCCTGGCCAAGATGGTGAAACCCCGTCTCTACTAAAAATACAAAAATTAGCCAGGCGTGGTGGTGGGCGCTTGTAATCCCAGCTATTCGGGAGGCTGAGGCAGAGAATTGCTTGATCCCAGGAGGCAGAGGTTGCAGTGAGCCGAGATTGCATCACTGCACTCCAGCCTGGACGACAGAGCGAGACTTCGTATTAAAAAATAAAAAGAAAAGAAAAGAAAATATCCACGTGGCATAGCCCACCGATAATCAGAGACTTTCACACAGTCCACAAGGTGCTGGGATCTGATAGGTCAGGAGCAGGTGAGACAAAGAGGGAGGACACAGCTAGGGTCTGGCTCATATACAAATCAGATCCTGGTTCCCTTCTGTCTGAAACCCAGGCTGTGTGGGGAATCAGTTAAGGGGGCAGACTCGGGGCCAGACCACCTGAGCTGGAAGCCTGGCTTTCTGCCACTGATGCTATTTGGATGTGGGAGAGTTCTCCTCCTGTGCCTCAGTTTCTTCACCTGTAACAAGACGAGGATAGTGATACCAGCCTGCCTTTATTGTGAAGATGAAAAGAGTCAGCATATGTAAAGCCCTGGGAGAACACTGGGCCACAGTATGTGTGAGTTTGCGGGATTAATAGTTACAGGATCCCCAAATCCTTACCACACCTAAAAGACATGGCCTGCCCAGGCCCTGACTTCCTCTCCTCTCTTCTCATTGCACTCCAGCTTGACTGGCCTTCCTTCTTTACCTCGAGCTTGTCAAGTTTGTCCCTGTTCCTTCAACCTGCAATGCTCCTCCAGGGCCCCTCAGGCTTCAGTTCAGTCACCTCCTCTTTACCCAGCTATCAACCAAACCCTGCCCCCTCCTCCCACCTCCAGCTGCTCGGTAGCACCTCACTCAGTGTTACTTCCTTCATTGAGCTTATCACTGTTTGAAGTTATTGCATTTATTTATGTACTTATTAACTGTTGTCTCCCCAGCAGGTGACCAATTTGTCCCAATTTGCCCAAAACTTTTCCAGTTTTAACTCCCATGTGCTGAGACTCCCTTCAGTTCCAGGCAAACCAGGGCAGTTCTGGTCACCCTACTCGAGTGTAAGTTCTCTGAGGTCAGAGATTTGCCTTATTCACCTCTGTCTCTGGTCCCTAAACAGTACCTAGCACATAGTAACACCTCGGTACGTATTTGTGGAATAAATAAGCGAATAACTAAGCAGCTGGATGAAAATGGAGACATAACTGAGGAGTCTCGCCGTAAAACTACAGTCGTCCCATTTGTTATAAGAAAGACCTAGTAGTTCTGCTTTCATCATTTGCAACACATCACAATGCCGAATGAATCCCGTCAATGCTTTAACTCCTAAGACTGGCCGCCTGCTTCCTGCCCTACTCACTGATGTTTATATTCCTGTCTCCATAGTTACTGAGATGCCTCAGAAGCCAGCAGCTGGGTTGCATCCCAAGCTGAATACGCACAAGTGTCTGGAGACCTGGGGTGATCAAGGCCAGGTGGAAGTTTTGGAGGCTGACACTGCTGCACATGTCATTTCCTCGTGGACCTAATGCCCAGAGCCAGCTTGTCACAGAATCAAACTTAGCTTGTCGGAACTCTGAGCTCTTCTTCAGCCTGCAGGCTGTAGACACGGAAAGAACTGACAAGGAATTATTCTAAACAAGAGCAAGAAAGGTTGGAAGGAACTGCCATATAGAGAAGAAAACAGAGACTACCAGGTATTTCAAAATAAGTGGGGGAAGAAAGGGCAAAACTAGATTTCTCTTTCCCTATGATGATAAAGAAGTGCTATAGCATCTGGCTTTCTTGTTAAGGGAAATACACACATAGAGGTGCAAAGGAAGTCTGGGATTCATCCTATACCTAAGGAAACTATGTGTTAGGATGATCTGGTGAACATATTATGGGCAAGTATCTCTCTTGTGTGATAGTGAGAGTTGTGTTTAATTTTCTCCATTTATTAAGTGGGGATGGCAATTTCTACCCTGACTTACTCATGAAGATGTAACACTATTATATGGTAATCAGCTTGATCCTATGGGTTGAATGAAGAAAACTGCTCCCTCTCAGGGGATGTGTTAAATGGGTCGGGTCATTGCAGTTGAATGAATAAATCAATTTCAGTTGACAGGTTGGTTTCCCACTGCTCCAGAAGTTTTTGCAACAGGGGGCATTTACTTTCTCTTTATCCACAGAGAAGCTGGAGCTCAGAGCTATTTGAGGTCTTCTAAAGAAATAGCCTAAGAAATTATTATTATAACTTAACATTGATATGCATTAGATTAATCCTTTAAGCCACCAGGGTAAAATATTTTAGAATCTGGCCTTGTAAAGGAGAGGGGAAGATGCAAGCATTGAACTGTGCACTATAGGAGGAAGATCCCTCAGCATCTTGGGACTTTGTTAGGAACACAAAGTCTGATTTCTCCTCCAAGGAAGTGGAGGCTCAGCTTCTCGTCTCACACTAAAACCTGACTTCTCTCTCCCTACAAGCCCTATTCTTTGGGGTGATTCTCACTCTACAACTTTGCTTGTCCTGGTGCCTACATTTTCCTGGCCTCCCAGGGGCCATCACTGAAGCCCTGTATGGTCCAGCTCAAACGTTGCCTCCTCCATGAGACATCCCCAGGCCTCTGCTGCCAAGCAGCATCTCTCCAAATCCCTCCTCCAACTGCCGCTACTTCCATGCTAGTCCTTTATCGGTCTCTTCTCACATAATAGCGATTTGTAGATCTCCTTTCCTTCTAAACAGCAAGCTTCCTGAAGCTAGATCCAGTGCATTATTAATTATTGTATTCCCCTGGAGCCTCACTCGGTAAGATGAGCATGGTATGGGGCTCAATAATTATTCACTCAGTTGAATCCAAGTGGAAGAGTCTATGAAATCTACAAGCAACATCTGAGTGAGAGCCTGGGTCAGGAGAAAACAGAGTACTGTCAGGGGCAGAATTAGTCAACCTTGGTCCTCAGATGAGCGAGCTGTGGTTTATGCCAAAGCTGATCTGCACCAATGACCACATTGTGCCTGTTTGGTTTTCATGGTGTCATTTATCTAGAGGTGCAGAATTTTAGCTGGCCATCGTCCCTTTTGGGAACCTAACATTGTACCAAGGCCATCATAGGAGTCTCGCTTGGTATCCGAGTCCCGGGAAGTGTCCACGAGCAGAGTCTACATAGGTTCTATTTGAATGTCAGGGGGAATGAAACCAGAAATGAAAGCAAATTAATAGCCATAGAGATTTGTTTGATCACAAGAAATTACACGGAGGAAAAGTCTCCTATCTCCATGGAAAAATTTACACCCTTCTCCAGCCAGCTGTGTGAGTCGAGGAGAGATGGGGAAATTTGTAATCATTTGCAAGTTTGCCCAGAGGATGAGTTATGTCATTTTTCCTGCAACAATCTGTGCTGCTGGCTGACAGCGTGGAATTTCCTCCTGGATTGTGTTGGCGACTACTCATGAAAATGGCCAATTAGGCTGTGCAAAGCCAGAAACAGTGGCTTGCCGGAAACTGTTAAAGAGAGGGATGAGGCAGAGGATAAACTGAGTTCCCACATCGTGGCTGTTTGAGCATTCTGACCTCTTGCAGTGTTTGGTTTACTCAGGTTTCATCCAGCCTCTTGGTTTCACTGGCCACTGGCGAGCAGGACTGACCTCTTGACAAACAGTTCTTAGTCGCTTCCAGAGCCCAGGGCTGCAGCCCTTCTCTCCCCAACCCCCACAGAACATTTCCCTTGCAGGCACCTGGGAGACAGATGGCGCAATAGCCTGGGGAAACACTTCTTGGATCCAAGCTAAAGGGATGTAGGTTTCAGATTGTTTAGAAGGATGCTCTCTATAGAGCCACAGGCTGCTGAAAGCAGGCAAGTCAGAGCCTCCCTGATGGATCCCTGATTTTAGTGTGGTTGAATAATAAAGCTGAAAGGAACTTCTCCCAGTCACCGGCCCATTCTTATGTTTCAGGCAGGTTTTCTCTGACTCAGTCCCTCTATAAGAAGCTACCTGAGAGACCTAAATTAAGCCTGCCCTATAAATACATTTACTGCCTAGTGCAGAGCAGAGAAAATGACTTGTTTTAATATCTCATCTTTTCTAGCCCAGGCCCACTTTTATGCACAGGTGCTTTCTGTGTAGTTTGACTCTTACAAATCTGTCAGAATGAGGTTGCCAGATAAAAAACAGTATGCCCAGTGAAATGTGTCATGCAAAGAAACAATAATTTTTGAAGTACTTCCCAAAGATTACATGAGACATACTTATGCTAAGAAATCAGTTGATGTTTATCTAAAATGTAAATTGATCTGGGTTCTGTATTTTTATTTACTAAATCTAGCAATTCCAGCCAGGCAGATGCTGGACCTTTTTATTACTCCCCATCATCAGTCATCTGTTAATTTATCTTGATGGCAGGAGTTTCTATGACATGGTATATCAGCTATTTCCACAAAAATGCTGTGTAACCAACCACCCCAAAATTCACTGCCTTAAAACAATAATTACTTATTCTTGGGGATTTGTGGGTTGGCTGGAAGTCGGCTGGTAATATGGGCTGGTTGGGCTTGGGCATATCTGCTCTATGTGTCTCCCTTCC
Organism: Homo sapiens; assembly: GCF_000001405.40. Classification (NCBI taxonomy): domain Eukaryota; kingdom Metazoa; phylum Chordata; class Mammalia; order Primates; family Hominidae; genus Homo; species Homo sapiens. Next base: position 23,713,927 of record NC_000003.12, read on the forward strand.
TCTTCCGAGACCTGTAGTGCAGCAGAGGCAGACCCAATGCACAAGCACTTTTCAAACCTTTGGCGACATCACACAAGCGAACATTCCATTAGCCCAACCAAGTCACAGGGTCAAATGCAAAATCAGGACACAAAACTGTAAAGGGTGGGATACAAGGAGAGGTAGAGAATGGAACCAAATAATCTCTCACACTGGGAAAAGACCACTGTGGAAAGCCAGGCAAGCCTAGGGTCTCACCGCACTTTGCCATCAACCAGATATGAGACCTTTGAAAAGTCACATCATCTCTCTGAACCACTGTTTCCTTATCCAGAAAATAGGGCTGTAGTGAGGTTTACAGTTTACAGATTTACTTATAATTGAGCTCCTCTTCAAAGGGCTGAGACCTCTCCTTCCTCTACCTTCCCCAAGCCACCACATGCACTGCAGCACTAAGGGCATACAGAAGTTCTGGGGTCTGCTGGGCCCTTCAAACACTGTTTGGCTACACAACCAACCTTCAAAAAATGGAGTGTCTGTGGCCATGGTCTCTAGCAGCCAAGGAGGATTTCCAAATGGTGAAGATCACCTCTGACTTCTGACTAAATGTGGCAGATTGAACATACACATTAACTCTGCCCTCTCCCCACACCCTACTAAAATGACAGCAAATTTAAATCCATGAGGACAAATGACAACAAATTTCAACCCATGAGGAAATTTAAACCCATGAGGACAAAGAGAATGAGAAGAGTTGGCAGCAGATGAGCAATGTTAATAAAATTGTGGAAAGGCAAAAGAACATGGAAAAATGATAGCTGACTTAGCAGAACTGAGAAACTGAAACATACTTCCTATGAATCGAGGACAGATTTGCTCAGCAGAACTAGAAAATCTCAGAATTTGGAGGACCAAATACTTCTAAATGCTAGTGTAGTGTGAGGGCTAAAACCAGGATTGATTGAAAGTTTAATTGATATGAAATTAGACATCCAGATTCCCTCTTCCATATTTTTGACTATTATGAATAAATCTATAAACATCTATGGGCAGATTTTTGTGTGGGTGTGGTTTCAACTCCTTTGGGTAAATACCAAGGCACACAATTGGTAGATCATATGGTAGAAGTATGTTCAACTTTGTAAGAAACTGCCAAACTGTCTTCCAAAGTGGCTGCACCATTTTGCACTCCCACCACCAATGAATGAGAGTTCCTGTTGTTCTACATCCTTATTAACATTTGATGTTGTCAGAGTTTTAGATTTTGGCCATTCTAATAAGTGTGTAATGCTATCTCATTGGGTTTCTTCGTTTGTTTGTTTCTTTGTTCTTTGAGACAGGGTCTCACTCTGTCACCAAGGCTGGAGTGCAGTGGCACAATCACAGCTCATTGCAGCATCGACCCTGGGCTCAGATGATCCTCCCACCTCAACCTCCCAAGTAGCTGGCACTACAAGCATGCACCACCATGCCTGGCTAATTTTTTTGTAGAGGCAGGGTTTCACCATGTTGTCCAGACTGATCTTGAACTCCTAGGCTCAAGTGATCTGCCCACCAAGGCCTCCCGAAGTGTTGGGATTACAGGCGTGAGCCACTGCACCTAGCCTTGTTGTTTTATGTTTCAATTCCCTAATGACATATGATGTTGAATATCATATGCTTATTTGCCATCTTAATAACTTTTTCGGTGATGTGTCTATTCAGGTCTTTTGCCCATTTTTAAATTAGATTGTTTGTTTTCTTATTGTTGGGTTTTAAGTGTTCATTGTTAAATTTTGGTTAACATTACTTTATCAGGTATATCTTTTGTAAATATTTTCTCCCAGTCTGTGTCTTATCTTACCATCTTGACAGTGTCTTTCACAGAGCAGAAATTTTTAACTTTAATGAAGTCCAGCTTACCAATTCTGTCTTTCATGATTCATGTCTTTGATACTGTATCTAAAAAGTCATTGCCATACCCAAGATGACCTAGATTTTCTCCTATGTTATCTTCTAAGAGTTTTACAGTTTTGCATTTTACATTTAGGTATACAATTCATTTAGAGTTAAATTTTGTAAAGGATGTAAGGTCTGTGTCTAAATTCTTTTTTTTTCTTTTGCACGTGGATGTCCAATTGTTCCAGTACCATTTGTTGAAAACACTATATTTGCTTCATTGTATTGCTTTTGCTTTTTTGTCAAAGGTCAGTTGACTATATAGATCTATTTCTTGGCTCTCTCTTCTGTTCCATATATCTGTGTATTCTTTGGCCAATACCACACTGTCTTGATTACTACAACTTTATAGTAGTTCTTGAAGTCAGGTAGTGTCAGTCCTCTGACTTTGTTCTTTTCATTCAATATTGTGTTGGCAATTCTGGATCTTTTGCTTCTCTATATAAATCTTGGAATCGGTTTTTCAATATCTACAAAATTACTTGCTGGGATTTGATTGGGATTGCACTGAATCTATAGATCAAGCTGGGAAGAACTGACATCTTGACAATATTAAGTCTTCCTCTCCATGAACATAAAACATTTCTCCATTTATTTAGTTCCTCTTTGATTTCTTATATCAGAGTGTTGTAGTTGTATTAGTCTGTTCTCACATTGCTATAAAGAATTGCACGACAAATCACCTGAGGTCAGGAGTTTGAGACCAGCCTGGCCAACATGGCAAACCCGTCTCTACTAATACAAAAAAAAAATAGCTGGGCATGGTGGCACATGCCTGTAGTCCCAGCTATTTAGGAGGCTGAAGCAGGAGAATTACTAGAACGTGGGAGGTGGAGGTTGCAGTGAGCTGAGATCGCACCACTGCACTCCAACCTGTGCAACAGAGCGAGACTCCATCTCAAAAAAGAAAAAAGAAAAAAAAAACTGCCTGAGACTGGATAATTTATAAAGTGGTTTAATTGATTCACAGTTCACATGGCTGAGGAGGCCTCAGGAAACTTACAATCATTGTGGAAGGCACCTTTTCAGAAGGTGGCAAGAGAGAGAAGAGCAGCAGAGTGATGGGGAAAGAGCCCCTTATAAAACTATTAGATCCCCTGAGAGCAGCATGGAGAAAACCGCCCTCATGATTCAATCACCTCCACCTGGTTCCTCCCTCAACATGTGGGGATTACAATTCGAGATAAGATTTGGATGGGGACAGCCGGGTGCAGTGGCTCACCCCCGTAATCCCAGCACTTTGGGAGGCTGAGGTGGGCGGATCATGAGGTCAGGAGATCGAGACCATCCTGGCTAACACAGTGAAACCCCATCTCTACTAAAAATACAAAAAATTAGCTGGGCTTGGTGGCATGCACCTGTAGTCCCAGCTACTCCGAAGGTTGGGGCAGAAGAATCACTTGAACCCAGGAGGTGGAGGTTGCAGTGAGCTGAGATTGTGCCACTGCACTCCAGCCTGGGGGACAGAGCAAGACTCCGTCTCAAAAAAAAAAAAAGAAAAAAAAAAAGAGATTTGGATGGGGACACAGAGCCAAACCGTATCAGTAGTTTTCTGATATATAGATCTTATACATATTTTGTTAGATTCATACTTAAGTTTTTAATTTTTTAAGTATACTAATGTAAATGGTACTGCATTTTTAATTTCAAATGCCCCTTTTTAGTAGCTGGTATATAGGATAGTAATTGACTTCTATATTTACTAATCTTGTTTTCTACAACCTTCCTATAATCACTTTTAGTGTCAGGAGTTTTTGGTTGATTCTTTCAGATGTTCTGTATAGTTGATCATGTCAACAGTGAACAAAGACATTTTATTTACTTTTTCCCAGTCAATATGCCTTTTATGTCCTTTTCTTGTCTTAATGCATTGGGTAGGACCTTCTGTAATGATGTTGTAAGGGGTGGTGAGAGGGGACATCCTTGCTTTCTTCTTGATCTTCATGGGAAAGCTTCTAATTTCTCACCTTAATGGTGAGAAACTAGAAGCTGTAGCTGTACCATATTAGCTGCAGGCTTTTTGTAAATATTCTTTATCCAGTTAAGGAACTTCCCCGCTAATCCTTGTTTACTAAGTTTTTATCACAGATGAATGTTAGATTTTGTAAAATATAATTCTGCATTTATTGTTATGAACATGTGATTTTTCTTCTTTAGCCTGTTTGATTTCATTGATTTTTGAATGCTGAACCAGGCTTGCATGCCTAGAATAAATTCCACTTCATTGTATTGTAAAATTCTTATTATACATTGTTTGATTCAATTTGCTAGTATTGGCCAGGTGTGTTGGCTCATGCCTATAATCCTAGCACTTTGGGAGGTTGAGGCAGGAGGATTGCTTGAGCTCAGGAGTCCGAAACCAGCCTAAGGAACATAGTGAGATCTCATCTCTACAATACAAATAATATAAAATAAGTAAAATCAATTTGCTAGTATTTTGTTGAGCGTTTTTGCCTCTATATTCATGAGATATATTTGTCTATAGTCTTCTTTCTTTATAATGTCTTTGTCTTGGTTTGGTATTAGGCTAATGCTGGCCTCGCTGAATGAGTTAGGAAGTATTTCCTCTGCTTCTGTCTTCTGGAAGAGATTGTACAGCATCAGTATAATTTCTTCTTTACGTGTTTGGTAGAACTAAGGCCAGGCATAGTGGCTCACACCTGTAATCCTAGCACTTTGGAAGGATGAGGCGGGCAGATCACCTGAGGTTGGGAGTTCAAGACCAGCCTGACCAACATGGAGAAACTTCGTCTCTACTAAAAATACAAAATTAGCCATGGGCATGGTGGCACATGCCTGTAATCCCAGCTACTTGGAAGGCTAAGGCAGGAGAATTGTTTGAACTCAGGAGATGGAGGTTGTGGTGAGCCGAGATCGTGCCATTGCACTCCATCCTGGGCAACAAGAGCGAAACTCTGTCTCAAAAAAAAAAAAAAAAAAAGTTTGGTAGAACTCACTTGTGAACAAATCTGGGAATGGTGTGTTCTATTTTGGAAGATTATTAATTATTGAACTAATTTCTTTACTAGATATATGCCTATTGTTTGTTTATTTATTTTAGAGACAGAGTCACATTCTGTTGCCCAGGCTGGAGTGCAGTGGCACAATCACAGCTCACTGCAATCTCAAACTCCCAGGCTCATGCAATCCTCCTGCCTCAGCCTCCTGAGTAACTGGGACTACAGGTGCATGCCACCATGCTCAGCTAGTTTTTAAATTTTTTTTTTTTTATGAGATGAGGTCTTGCTAAATTGCTCAGGCTGGTCTCAACCTCCTGGCCTCAAGCAATCCTCCCACCTTGGCCTCCCAAAGCTTTGGGACTACAGGTATAAGCCACCATGCCCAGACAATAGATATAGGCCTATTTAAATTGTCTATTTCTTCTTGCATGAGTTTTGGCAGATTGTGTCTTTCAGGAAATCAGTCCATTTTATCTAGTTTATAAAATGTGTGGCCATGGAGTTGTTCATAGTATTCCTTTATTATCCCTTTAATTTTCAAGAAATCTGTAGTGATGTCCTGTCTTTCATTTCTGATATTAGTTATTTGTGTCATCTCTCTTTTTTTCTTAGTCTGGCTAGAGGCTTATCAATTTTATTGACTTTTTTCTTTTTCTTTTTTTTTTTTTTTGAGACGGAGTCTTGCTCTGTCGCCCAGGCTGGAGTGCAGTGGCACAGTCTTGGCCCACTGCAACCTCTACCTCCTGGGTTCAAGTGATTATCCTGCCTCAGCCTCCCAAGCAGCTGGGACTACAGGTGTATGCCACCACACCCAGCTGATTTTTGTATTTTTAGTAGAGACAGGGTTTCACTATTGTGGCCAGGCTGGTCTCAAATTCCTGACCTTGTGATCCACCTGCCTTGGCCTCCCAAAGCACTGGGATTACAGGCGTGAGCCACCACACCCGGCCTTGATCTTTTTTAAAAGACAATTTTGGTTTCACCGATTTTCTCTATTGATTTCCCGTTTTCAATTTCACTGATGTCTGTTCCAGTTTTTATCAAGTCTTTTCTTCTGCTTTCTTTGAATTTAAATTACTCTTTTTTTCTAGTTTCCTAAGGTAGAAGCTTATATTAGTGATTTAGATCTTCCTCTGTTCTAATACATGCATTCAATGCTAAAATTGCCCTTTAGGCACTGCTTTTGCTGTAACTCACAAATTTTAACAAGTTGAATTTTCATTTTCCAAACATTTTTCCTAATATTTTTAAATTTCTCTTGAGATTTCTTCTCTGACCCATGTATTATTTAGAAGTGTTTTGTTTATTTTCAAGTATTCTGGGGTTTTTTTGGTTATTGATCTCTAGTTTAATTCCATTGTGGCCTAGTGGTACACGTGGTATGATTCCTTTCTTTCTTTCTTTTTCTTTCTTTCTTTCTCTCTCTCTTTCCCTTTCTTTCTTTCTCTCTCTCTTTCCCTTTCTTTCTCTCTCTCTCTTTCCCTTTCTTTCTTTCCTTCTTTCTTTCTTTCTTTTTCTTTCTTTCTTTCTCTCTTTCCCTCCCTCCCTCCCTCTCTCTCCCTCTCTCTTTCTTTCTTTCTCTCTCTCTCTCTTTCTTTATTTCTTTCTTTCCTGGTAGAGACAGGGCTTCACCATGTTGGCCAGGCTGGTCTCGAACTCCTGACCTCAAGTGATCCGCCCATCTCGGCCTCCCAAAGTGCTGGAATTACAGGCGTGAGCTAAGCCACCATGCCCGGCCTGATTGCTATGCTTTTAAATTGGTTAAAGTGTGTTTTATAGCTCAGAATATGGCCTATCTTGCATGTTCCATGTAAGCTTGAGAAGAATGTGCAGTCTTCTGTTGTGAGATGAAGTAGTCTATAGATGTCAACTATATCCAGTTGATTCATGACGCCATTGAGTTAGAAGTTTTAATTTTTTACAAATAGAATATAATCCTATATTGCATATATTATTTCTGCAAATTAACATTCCAACGAAACAAAAACAATAGATAAAGTGTTTAAAAAGCAGTAAAGGGCAAGAACAGAAGGTGTTTGTGGGAAAGAACCCTGTGATCATCGCCAACAGCTCATCTACTCTTTCTGCCTCATTCTGCCAGCCTTGTCACTCCAGCTGAGGGTGTGGCAGCCAAAGCAAGCCTAGGCCACGGACTCACTGTACTGACCACAGTCTGTGAAGAGGACATGCCAAGGGATGGGCTTGGGCTGGGAAGAGGATAGTGGAACTGGGTCTGTGAAACACTCCCAAATGCAAGTGCAAACTGCTAGTGATAGATGACTGAAGTCCAGCCAAGCCTATTCAACTGTGATTATTATAAAAGGCATGAAGTTTACATTCAGGATTTAGGCTTATTTATTTGATTAGCAATTGAAGACTTGGCCTTGTGTTCTTGGCTGGGCTCTAAGCATGTCAGCTCACAGAACTAAAAGCACCTATCGAGAAAAGAAAAACAAAACAAATGAAACTACTTTCTCAGTCTTCTCTTAGCCAACTGTCATTGAATACATAGTGCTTCTTTGAGGCATTTAATTTGTTATACCACTCCCTCTTTCCTAATGGAGATAGGCTATAAGGAATCTCAAGCTCAAGAGAAAACCACATCAACCAAAAGATATCTCATAAATGCATTTGGAAAGTTCAATGTAAATAAATTAATGTTGCTGCAAGTGGTTCTACCCAGCACTTTGTCAAAAATTATTTTCTTTGTTCCTTTCTTGTTATTTATTTGTATTTATTTATTTATTTTGCAGGGGGTACAGAGCCTTGCTCTGTCGGCCAGGCTGGGGTGCAGTGGCACAATCTTGGCTCACTGCAACGGCCATCTCCCGGGCTCAAGCAATTCTTCTGCCTCAGCCTCCTGAGTAGCTGGGATTACAGGCATGTGCCACCACGCCCGGCTAATTTTTGTATTTTTAGTAGACACGGGGTTTCACCATGTTGGCCAGGCTGGTCTCAAACTCCTGACCTCAGGTAATCCACCCATCTCGGCCACACAAAGTACTGGGATTACAGGCATGAGCCACCGCACCCAGCCTGTTCCTTTCTTTAAGATAACCCTCATTCTTCAAATGGAAGGACTTCACATCTGACTAGGGATTTGTACATTGGCCCATTAAATTAAAGGGTGAGGGCCAGGCGCAGTGGCTCACATCTGTAATCCCAGCACTTTGGTAGGCCAAGGCAGGCAGATCACCTGAGCTCAGGAGTTTTAGACTATTCTGGTCAACATGGTGAAACCCTGTCTCTACAAAAAAAAAAAAAACACACACAAAAATTAGTTGGGCATCGTGCCAGCTACTTGAGAGGCTGAGGTGGGAGAATCACTTGAGCCTAGGAGGCTGCAGGTTGCAGTGAGCTGAGATCACGCCATTGTACTCCAGCCTGGGAGACAGAATGAGACCCTGCCTCAAAAAAAAAAAAAAAAAAAATTAAAGGGTGAGGTGCTGGGGAAGTCTGCAGCATTGTTTTCCAATTGTTAATATGTTCCATTAATTTTCCCAAGGTGTTCAAAATGAGTTTCTAGATGCTATGCCTACATGCAGTGTACAAATTACAGTGTTTAGGGGAATGTTGACATTTGTTATACTAGTTGTGTGACACTTCTCAGTGAGTAAACTCATCTAATCATTTGTAAATCTCAGAACTGTTGACTTCTGTATTCAGAAACAATTTATTTATTAACTCTGAAAAATGTTCAGTTGTTTTCAGAGAAGAGTTCAGTCTTATATGTAATTATTCTGGAGAAGAGCAACATTTCTTTAAAATGTTTGATACAAGGCCGGGCGCAGTGGCTCACGCCTGTAATCCCAGCACTTTGGGAGGCCGAGGTGGGTGGATCACGAGGTCAGGAGATCGAGACCATCCTGGCTAGCACGGTGAAACCCCTTCTCTACTAAAAATACAAAAAATTAGCCGGGAGCGGTGGCGGGCGCCTGTAGTCCCAGCTACTCGGGAGGCTGAGGCGGGAGAATGCCGTGAACCCGGGAGGCGGAGCTTGCAGTGAGCGGAGATCGCGCCACTGCACTCCAGCCTGGGTGACAGAGAGAGACTCCGTCTCAAAAAAAAAAAAAAAAAAAAAAAAAAAAAAAAAAAAATGTTTGATACAAATATCAAATGATTCTCCAAATATATGTTGGAGAATATAATTTCCCTTTGAAAATGTTTTCTGAAGACTGGAAAATTAACTTGCATAATGTCTCCATCCAACAAGTCATTAATTTACAGCCTTCCAAACACGTTTGTCTGAATCTTAAAAGTAACTGGTTAACTTTCATTTTTCCTCTCATAACTGTGACAAAATCCCTACTCGTGGCTACCAATGGCTGGAGGATGCACTTCATACATTTCTCAGAGTCTACATGTATTTAGATCTACACAGAAAAATTGAAAGATCCCAAATTTTATTTCCGTGTAATACCACAAAGCTTCTTTTGGGTGAAACAGTGCTTTTTCTGGTGGTCCTCTTGTAAGTGCAAATTTGCCTGAGAGACTGTGTAAGCAGATTGCTGTCCTACCAGTTTGCTTTCCTTAGCAATGTCCAGGATGACAGATGGACAGGGCCTCGCTGCTTCATGGATTATTGTCAGTGAACAAAGGAGAAAAGGCAAACTTTGGCTTATGAATCAACTGGCTGCATGAAACAGGAAAACCTAAGAATTACCAAAAATAATAGTAGCCTCTTTCTTCCTTCTCTAAAGAAAGTTTCGAGGCAGGCATGCCGGGAGCGGTGGCTCAAGCCTGTAATCCCAGCACTTTGGGAGGCCAAGGTGGGCGGATCACCTGAGGTCGGGAGTTCGAGACCAACCTGACCAACATGGGGAAACCCTTTCTCTACTAAAAATACAAAAATTAGCTGAGTGTGGTGGCATGTGCCTGTAATCCCAGCTACTCGGGAGGTTGAGGCAGGAGAATCGCTTGAACCCGGGAGGTGGAGGTTGTGGTAAGCCAAGATCGCACCACTGCACTCCAGCCTAGGCAACAAGAGCGAGACTCTGTCTCAAAAAAAAGAAAAAGAAAGTAAGTTTGGAGGCAGGCATCCAGGGTTGGTGGGACCTAGGTTTCATCAGTCTTTCTGCTGCTGCATTCTAGCATATGGCTTCCATCCTTCAGATTGCTTCATGGTCCAAAATGGGCTTCTGGAGTTATAAGCCAGAAAAAGAAGGAAAGTAAAGAAAAAGAGAGGCCTTCCATGCTAAGTTAGCTCTCTTTAGACTGCCTTCCTGAAAGGCCCACTGAATTCAGCTTTCTGGGCCACAAGTCACATGGTCATATCTAGCAGCAAGGGAGGCTGGGAGATTAATATTTTATTTTTGGTCACAATGTGGCTAGCAAGTAAAGAGGAAGTAAGGAGAAGTAGAGAAGTGATACTGGAAGTAGCCACTAACCATCTCTGCATCTGGCAAGACATGAAGGCAGGACTAGCCTTGGAACAATGTCTGGGGCTCAAGTTTTTCTAGGCCCTTAAGAGAATGCTTGCTCCAACTAGGCTTTTCTGCTCTGTTTAGGCTTTTTCTGGGTAGAGGGCAATCCTAAGGACTGGAATAGCCTAGTTCTCACAACTGTGTTTATTTGTCCAGAAGCCTCAGGCCCAAAATCAATAAAAATGCACAAGGATCCACTGAGCACACTTCATATGGGCTGCACTGATGTAGACATAACAGTGGAGCCAGGGTGATGGGAAGCTCTTTCCTGAGTGGCTTTCAAGCTAAGAGGGTAGCTTAGAACCATGTTTCTCAAACTACTTTCTTCCAGTTTATAGCAGACCACTATGTGTTCCTACTGTGATAACCATAGGAGTTCAGCAATACCCAGCCTCGTCTATTTCTTGTTCAAAAAGATGAGTCCTCTAATCATACACTTGGGTGTCACAATGTCAACTTGCTATATATATTTTATATATATATATATATATATATATGTTCTATATGCCTGTTCTCAGTTTCTCGGGGGAAAGGATCAACCTCATCCATTTGGGCGGCTATAACAAAAATACTATAAACTGAGTGGCTTATAAACAATATTTATTGCTTACAGTTCTGGAGGCTGGGAGTCCAAGATCAAGGCACTGGCAGATTCGGGTGTCTTGTTCATAGATGGCGCCTTCTTGCTGCGTCCTCATGGGGAAGAAGGGGGTCTCACTCTGTTGAGGGCACTACTCCCATCATAAGGACTCTGCCTGTGGGATCTAATCATCTCTTAAAGGCCCCACTTTCTAATATTACTGCACTGGGGGATAGGTTTCAACATACGCATTTTTCAGGGGGGGACATTCAGACCACAGCTCCCATTGAAACAAACTCCTCAAACTTTTCTAACTTTTCACTTGTGGTTTCAAATGACGTTCGAGACCTGTGGGTGTCAGGTGGAGCCTGAAGTCAATTTGTTATACAGACATGTTTTCATTATAATGATATTGGTGGGAAGACACTGTGCATCAGTTGATGATAAGAAAAAATCACATTTTAAAAAAAAGTTTAATTGAGTTATAATTTACATATACTAAAATGCATAGCTTTTGAATGTATATTTTGATGGCTTTTGATATATATGCTTGAGTAATCATCTCCTTAATCAAGACAGGTAAGCAAGGACCAGGCTGGGGGCTCATGCCTGTTACCCAACACTTTGAAGGGCAGAGGCAGGAAGATTGCTTGAGGCCAGGCCTTGAAGACAAGCCTGGGCAACATAGTGAGACCCTGTCTCTACAAAAACATTTAAAAATTAGCCTGCTGGTGGTGTTCATCTTTAGTTTTAGCTGCTCTGAAGGTTGAGGTGGGAGGATCACTTGAGCCCAAGAGCTTGAGGTTACAATGAACTTGATTGTGACACTGCACTCCAGCTTGGGCAACAGAGCAGGACCCTGTCTCTAAAAAAAGAAAGAAAAAGGCCAGGTATGGTGGCTCACACCTGTTATCCCAGCATTTTGGGAGGCCGAGGTGGGCAAATCACGAGGTTACGAGTTCAAAACCAGCCTGGTCAACATGGCGAAACCCCATTTCTACTAAAAATACAAAAATTAGCCAGGTGTGGTGGTGCACACCTGTTATCCCAGATACTTGGGAGGTTGAGGCAGGAGAATTGCTTGAACCTGGGAGGCGGAGGTTTCAGTGAGCCGAGATCACGCCACTGCACTCCAACCTGGGCAACAGAGCAAGACTCCTTCTCGAAAAAAAGTTTTAAAAAGAAATAAAGAGAGAGAGAGGAGGGAGGGAGGGGAGGGAGAGAGGGAGGGAGAGAAAGAGAGAGAGGAAGGAAGGAAAGGAAGGGAAGGGAAAGGGAAAGGGAAAGGAAAGAGAAGGAAAGGAAAGACCCGGCCAGGCACGGTGGCTCACGCCTGTAATCCCAGCACTCTGGGGGGCTGAGGTGGGTGAATCACGAGGTCAGGAGTTCACAACCAGCCTGACCAACATGGTGAAACCCCATCTCTACTAAAAATACAAAAATTAGTTGGGCATGGTGGTGCATGCCCGTAATCCCAGCTACTCAGAAGGCTGAGGCAGGAGAATTGCTTGAACCCGGGAGGCAGAGCTTGCAGTGAGCTGAGATTGCAGCACTGCACTCCAGCCTGGGTGACAGAGCAAGACTCTGTCAAAGAAACAAAAGAAAAGAAGAGAAAGGAAGACAGAAAGAAAGAAAGGAAGGAAGGAAGGAAGGAAGGAAGGAAGGAAGGAAGGAAGGAAGGAAGAAAGAAAGAAAGAAAGAAAGAAAGAAAGAAAGAAAGAAAAAAGAAAGAAAAGAAGGAGGAAGGGAGGGAGGAAAGAAGGAAGGAAGGAAAGAAGGAAGGAAGATATGGAAGCAGAATGGTGGCCATGATAGCCAGAATCTGCTAAGGAGTATGTAATAGATCACTTGCCAAAAAGAGATAGGGAATACTCCATCACCCCAGAAAGCACCTTGATGTCCCTCTTTAGGCATCTCTCCTGAACTTGTGTGTCTGCTCCTGAGGCAGCCAGAGGTACCCACTGTTCTCAATTCTGTCGCCATGGCTTGCTCAGGTTTTTTCCAGAACTTCTAGAACTTCCCTAGAATTTCATATAAGTAAAATTGCAGTTTGCAATCAACAAACTCTTTTTTTCTTTCTTTTAAAAGATGGGGGTGTCACTATGTTGTCCAAACTGGACTTGAACTCCTAGCTCAGGGGATCCGCCCTCCTGAGTACCTGAGACTACAGGTATGCACCACCACACCCAGCCTCACCAAACTCCTTTGGTTCCGGTTTCTTTCATTCAACATAATGTTTTTGAAAATCATTCATGTTTCTATATGAGTAGTTGATTTTTGTTTTGATTGCTGAGTAAAATTTCATTGTATGAAACACCGCACCACAACTTGTTAACCCACAAATAGTGCCTTGCATGTATTGAAACTTCACTATTGCCAGACACTGTGTTAAGCACTTCCCAATGTCTCATAACCACCAGAGGAAAGGTGTTGTGATGGCCCTTTGTGGAGGTTTTGCCTTCTTCTGTTCAGTATCAGATCTCAGTCTTATTAGCAGCTGGATCTGTCTTCCTGTGTGGTTTTGGTGCAAAGTAAAATGCAAGAAATTAGATCCTCCTTCTTGATGGGAGTGACCTTGGCCTGGCCAGTCTGATGCTGTCTTCAGGAACTCTGGAAGCTAAGTGAGTGACATAAGGACCCAATGCAGGGGGAACTGCAGGGCACAAAGAAGATTCTTTCTGCCACGTGACCTCTGCCGTGACTCCTGCCTGGCCTTCTGAGCAGCCTAGCTTCCTGCCAGTTTTCTACTCCTCCAGGCTTCCCTCAGTTCCAATAATTTCTTTTTTTTTTTTTTTTTTTTTGAGACAGAATCTCTCTCTGTTGCCAAGGCTGGAGTGCAGTGGCGTGATCTCAGCTTACTGCAACCTCTGTCTCCCAGGTTCAAGCAATTCTCCTGCCTTAGCCTCCTGGGTAGCTGGGATTACAGGCATGCACCACCACACCCGGCTAATTTTTGTATTTTTAGTACAGACAGGGTTGCGCCATGTTGGCCAGGTTGGTCTTGAACTCCTAACTTTGCGATCCACCCGCCTCGGCCTCCCAAAGTGCTGGAATTACAGGCGTGAGCCACTGCGCCCAGCCTCCCTTTTTGTTTAATGTAGGCAGACTTGGTTTCTGTACTTGCATACTAGGCCATTACTGATATACTAGGTATTATCCCCATTGTACAGATTAAAAAATAAAGCCCAGGGTCAGTGTGGTCAGTGACTCTCCTGGGGTCATACAAGCTACTAGGTAGCAGGATAAATAAGGATTAGAACCAGGCCGGGCATGGTGGCTCATGCCTGTAATCCCAGCACTTTGGGAGGAGGAGGCAGGAGGATAGCTTGAGCACAGGAGTTTGAGACCACCCTGGCAAAAATGGAAAAACCGTGTTTCTATTAAAAATACAAAAATTAGCTGGGCATGGTGGTGCGTGCCTGTAATTCCAGCTACTTGGGAGGCTAAGATGAGAGGATCACCTGAGTGTGGGAGGCGGAGGTTGCAGTGAGCCAAGATTGCACCACTGCACTCCAGCCTGGGAGACAGAGTAAGACCTTGTTTCAAAACAAAAAACAAACAAACAAAAAAAAAACACAGATTAGAAGCAGTCAGTCTTACTCCATGCAAAGGGAGAGGCAACATCACAACTGACACTGATAACCCTGGCCTCACTCCAGTGCTGTGACTTTGTCCCCATCCTTTTGCACCCAGGGGACAACATGGGCATGCTGGCATGAGGAGAAATGCACAGATCCCTTTCACAGCTGTCCGCTTCTCCCAACAAGGCCAACCAGGGAGCTTGAGATTGTGCCATCTCAAAATCTCTCCCCTCCAACCAGCTGAATCCTCCAGGCAACCCACTCACTTAACCATTTCTCTCTTCTAAGGGAGCAGAAACAAGAACCCAGCCCAGCGCGTGGGCTTCTGTGCCTTTTTCTGTGGCTTAGCTGAGCATTACTCTTAAATCCTTATTCTGATCTTTGTTTCATGTTTACAGAAGTGGATTCTTTTTATTCCTTTCCCCTGACAGGAATAATCCCTTTGGAATTTAAGCTTTTAAAGAGTAGCTCCTTGTGTTATTTGAAAGGCAGCCTAGGGGCTGCCCCTTTGCACACAGATCTCCTCCTTGCAGGAGGAGGTGTGGCTGGCCCAGGGCGGTGTGGGGACACAGACCTGAAGAACGTGAAGTGCATGACAAGCTCAGGCAGTCCTGGGGAAGGGAGTTCTCAGCTCCTATCTGGCCTCTCCCTCCCCCAGCTTTCCCCCATTCCTAGACCAGTCTGCACCAAGGGCAACCCTGAAACAGGAGAGGGAGGTAATGGGGGGAGGCTGTCAGCAGGAGGGGAGGAGTGGGCAGAAGATAACACTGACTTGTCACCTGCAGCCAGGGAGAGGGAGGGTGATGCCACAGTCGGCCCACCCTGGGACAGAATCTCACCTTTCTTTTTTTTGTTGTTGTTGAGATGGAGTCCAGCTCTGTAGCCCAGGCTGGAGTACAGTGGTGCAATCTCAGCTCACTGCAACCTCCACCTCCTGGGTTCAAGCGATTCGCCTGCCTCAGCCTCCCAAGTAGCTGGGATTACAGGCATGCACCACCACGCCCAGCCTTTTTTTTGTATTTGTAATAGAGATGGGGTTTCACCATGTTGGCCAGGCTAGTCTCAAACTCCTGACCTCAAATGATTCGCCTGCCTCAGCCTCCCAAAGTGCTGGGATTACAGGCATGAGCCGCCGCACCCAGCCAACCTCTCACTTTTCAAGGTCCCCTGGCTATTGAAACATGAAGACACCCTAGAGGAGGATTACAGACTCTAGGGGGCAAGTGAAATGCTGTCTGGATCCCTATCCACGAAGGAACTGGCACCCAGCTGCTGGGAGGAGGCCTGTGGTGGCCAGCCTCAGCCAACAGCCTTTTCAGAGATTGCCTCTACCGCAGAGAGCCACTTCAACCAGGTGACAAGGACAGCAAGAGAAAAAAAGCCTGGTCCTATCAGCTCAGCTGAGGACAACCCTGAAAGGCCATTTAAAACTCCCTGTGAGCGCAGCGCAGGCTGCCACTGGGCCACATCCCAGCCTACTTCTCACCCTGCCCACTCCTGCTTCCTTTTGTCCCCCTCCATGGCTGGTGATCCAAGGGTGGTCCCTAACTAGTATCTTGTCTGCTAACTCCATTGGCTTCCATAACATTCCTAACACATAAACATGCAATGCAATAGTCTGTACTTTTACATGATAATTGTGATTTTTTTAATGCTGATTCACGGTGTGTGACATCAATGAATTTTTTTCAATACTTGGTGCATATCTCTGTGTGTAGCCTTTAGTGACACAAAGTTATATGGGTTAGTTACTATTATCCACTTTTTTTTTTTTTAGAGACAGTTTCTCACTCTGTCCTACAGGCTGGAATGCAGTGGCGTGATCATGGCTCACTGCAGCCTTGAACTCCTGGGCTCAAGTGATCCTCCCACCTCAGCCTCCCAAGTATCTGGGACTACAGGCACATGTGACCACACCTGCTAATTTTTTTTTTTTTAATTTCTTGTACAGACAGGTTCTCACCATGTTGCCCAGGCTGGTCTGTAACTACTGGCCTCAAGCTGTCTTCCTGCCTCAGCCTCCCAAAGTGTTGGGTTTACAGGTATGAGCCACTGCACCGGGCCACTATTATCCTCTTTTACAGAAGAGCCAACCAAATAACAGACAGGAAAAATAACTTCCCCAACGTGACCCATCCTACGGTGGAGCCAGGATGTGACCCCAGGCAGGCTGGTTCCAGAATCTGCGCTTACAGGGCTCTACTCACCTGCCTGCCATCACTCTACATCTCTGGGCTGTTTCTACCTACCAGGCTGAGCCATGAGGTCAAGGATTGTGTCTCAATCTTAAACACTGTCGGGGGCAGGAGGGTAAAAATAAGTCTAAGAATATGAGAGAAAGGAATAACATGAACTTGAATATAAATGGCAAATCTCAAAGTAAAAAAAAAAGTTTTTTTTTGAGACAGAGTCTCTCTCTGTCACTCAGGCTGGAGTGCAGTGGTGCCATCTCGGCTCACTGAAACCTCCGCCTCCCAGATTCAAGAGATTCTCCTGCCTCAGCCTCCCGAGTAGTTGGGACTACAGGTGCCCGCCACCACACCTAGCTAATTTTTGTATTTTTAGTAGAGAGGAGGTTTCGCCACATTGGCCAGGCTGGTCTTGAACTCCTAACCTCAGGTGATCCACCTGCCTCGGCTCCCCAAAGTGCTGGGATTACAGGCGTCAGCCACCACACCAGGCCAAGTTAAAATTTTTCAAAGTTAAAAACATGACTCATAAGATGAACACATACCAAACATTTAACTGATGCTATAGCTCCCTAGGGCTGCTACAACAAATCATTACCCAGCAGGTGGCTCAAAACGACAGAAGCATGTTCTCTCACAGTCCTGGAGGCCGGAAGTCCAAGATCAAGATGACAGCAGGCCTCACTCCCTCCAAAGGCTCTAAGGGAGAAACTTTCCCTGCTTCTTCCAGTTTCTGGTGGCTGCCAGCATTCTCTGGCCTTCTTGGCATGTGGCCACATCTCTTATAAGGACACTTATCATTGAATTTAAGGCTCACATGGGTAATCCAGGATGATCTTATCCCAAGATCCTTAATTTAATTGTATCTGCAAAGGCCCTTTTTCCAAATAAGGTGACATTTCAAAGATTTGGATGTGGACATAATTTTGGGGGACCACCATTTAACCTACTACACTCATTAATGAGGAAATCAGCAGGGTGGTAAAGTTAATTCAAGGGAAAATTTGAGGAACAGGAGTTTATCTAGTCAGTCAGCAAAGGCATGCTGAAATAACTTGGCACAAATTGAATGGTTACTGTCTCACGGGACAACTACACTGTAACCTCTGGGGTTATCTTTTCCCACAGACAGAAACCTATTTGGGTAAAAATCTGTAAGTTAACATGTGACTTCACAGATTCTGGGCCCTAATCAATAGTAAATCAAACAAGGTACATTTGCTAGATCAACATTCCTCAATAGAACTTTCTGCAATGGTGGAATGTTCTACATCTGTGCTGTCCAATACGTTAGCCACATTTCAAGTGCTCATATATGGCTCAGGAGCTCTTGAAATGTACTTAGTAGGACTGAGAAACTGAATTTTAAATTTTATTTAGTTTTAACTAATTTAGATTCAAATATTAATAGCACCAGGCATGGTAGCTCTCATCTGCAATCCCAGCAATTTGGGTAGCCAAAATGGAGGCTCACTTGAGTCCAAGAGTTGCGGACTCGCCTGGGCAACATAGTGAGACTCCATCTCTACAAAAAAAATTTTAAATTAGCAGGGTGTGATGGTATGCGCCTGTAGTCCCAACTGCTCAGGAGGCTGAGGTGGGAGGATCACTTGAGCCTGGGGAGGTCAAGGCTACGGTGAGCCATGATTGCACCACTGCACTCCAGCCTGGGTGACAGAATGAGATCTGTCTCAAAAGAGAATAATAATAAAGAAAGAAATATAGATAGCTACAGGCAGCTAGCTAGTGGCTACAGTATTGGAAGGTGTGATCCTATAGATTTAAATAATCCCTACCAGGACCTAATAGACATGCTTGAATATAATATTGGAAAATATGCTGTTGCCTTATTTTCAAGTTTTCGTAATTTTTCTTAACACGTTAACAGCAGACCTCAGATGAGCAAAGTATGGGGAGTGGTGAGGCCTGCGGAAAACTGACAATTGCGTGTCCATGTAATTAGAAAAACACTTCCAGTTAGTTCCAATCAATCATTGCCCTGTTGTCAGAACTATTCATTTTTTAGAATATGACAGATGTGTGGGGTTTTATGCAAAATATCTTAATATTTAAATATTAGCCAAAGATTGGTAATCTCTGCTCTAGAGGAAATTGGCGCATGCTAATTAACCTCTTACGATCTGCTTCATTCCTAGTTACTCTTGTTCATATGCCATACTATCCAGCGCTGTGCCTCGTACACGTTAGACTCCCGTCCTCAGCAGTACAATTCATTTCAGTTCAACAAATATTTATTGAGCACCTACTGCATGCCAGGAACTGACCAGGAAGCAGGTCATTATAAGAATTAATAAAGTGCCTCCTTGTTTTCACAGGCTCCCATTCTGATCGAGATACCACACAAAGTCCTTTGTAAAGTAGGGTGATGGAGATCAAGGCACCAGGTGTCTGGGGAGTCAGGATGGCACTTGGCTCCAGTTGGGCAATTGAGGGAGGAGAAAATGGCAACCGAGCTGAACCTTGAGTAAGAAGAGTTGTTTGGGTGAAGTGAGATGGAAAGAGCATATTGGGCAGAGGCACTGCTGGGTGAGAGGGGAGATGCATCTATGGGCACAGCATGGCATATGAGGGAAACCTCAAGCAGTCAGTGTGACTAGAGCTTAAAATCTGAGGCCAGAATGGCCAGACGCGGTGTCTCACACCTGTAATCCCAGCACTTTGGGAGGCTGAGGCAGGCGGATCACTTGAGGTCAGGAGTTCAAGAACTGCCTGGTCAACATGGTGAAACCCTGTCTCTACTAAAAATAAAATATTAGTAAGGTGTGGTGGCGGGTGCCTGTAATCCCAGCTACTTGGGAGGCTGAGGCAGGAGAATCGCTTGAACCTGGGAGGTGGAGATTGCAGTGAGCTAAGATCAGGCCACTGCACTCCAGCCTGGGCAACAAGAGCGAGACTCCGTCTCAAAAAAAAAAAAAAAAAAAATTGAGGCCAGAAGAAATAGGAGGTGAAAGTAGGGAGGAAAGAAGGGTGAGATCATAGAAGGTATTATAGTCTATAATGTGAAGGGTGTTTTATCTCTGGCTTATCAAGACCATGAAATGAATGAATAGATGAATACATTCATTCAACAAATATTCTCCAAAGCTTGGCATTGAAGACACTGGAACTACAGGTAACAAAATTTGTAGAGTTTTCTTCTCATGGGGTTTATGTTCTAGCTGGGAGAGAAAAATGATAAACAAGTAAATAAGTGCAAAAATAAGATAGAATTCTAACCTGGGCACAGTAGCATGAGCCTGTAGTCCTAGCTACTTGGGAGGCTAAGGAGGGGGAATCAGCTGAGCCCAAGAGTTCAAGGCTGCAGTGAGCTGTGATTGTACCACTGAATTCTAGAATGGGCAACAGAGCAAGACCCTGTCTCTATTTAAAAAAAAAAAAATGGCTGGGCACAGTGGCTCACACCTGTAATCTCAGCAGTTTGGGAGGCCAAGGCAGACAGACTGCTTGAGCCCAGGAGTTTGAGAACAGCCTGGGCAACATACTGAAATCCTGTCTTTACCAAAAATACAAAAATTAGCCAAACGTGGTGGTGTGTACCTATGGTCCCACCACCTACTTCAGAGGCTGAGGCAGGAGGATGGCTGGACTGCAGCGAGCCGAGATCGTGCTACTGCACTCCACCCTGGGTGACAGCATGAGACCTTGTCTCAAAAAAATAGGGCCGGGTGC
Organism: Homo sapiens; assembly: GCF_000001405.40. Taxonomy (NCBI): domain Eukaryota; kingdom Metazoa; phylum Chordata; class Mammalia; order Primates; family Hominidae; genus Homo; species Homo sapiens. The sequence continues at coordinate 23,734,267 of NC_000003.12, forward strand.
ACTGGCTCACACCTGTAACCCCAGCACTTTGGGAGGCCAAGGCAGGCAGATCACGAGATCAGGAGTTTGAGACCAGCCTGACCAACATGGTGAAACCCCGTCTCTACTAAAAATACAAAAAATTAGCCGGGCATGGTGTCACACGCCTGTAATCCCAGCTTCTCAGGAGGCTGAGGCAGAATGGCTTGAACCCGGTAGGTGGAGGTTGCAGTGAGCCGAGATTGCGCCACTGCACTCCAGGCTGGGTGACAGAGCGAGACCCTGTCTCAAAAAAAAAAAAAAGATAAAATTCTAGATAGAATTCTTCAGCCTTAAAGAAAAGGAAATCAGAATGTTGGGGGGAGTGGTTTAGAGCTGGGAATCAGAGGTAATTAGGTAGGTGCTCAGCAAAGGTGGTATGTGACCTGGACCTGAATGTTGAGAAGGAGATAGTTGTATGATTCAGATTCTAGAAGAACAGCATTCCAGGTTCTTAATCCTCAGAATCATTCAGTAATGTTTATAGCCAAATTTAAAATCTAAATAGGAAAAAAAATAGCATTTGAAAACAGAAGAGAGAAAATTCACCTACAATCTTACTACCTTAACACCACTTCTATTTTTAGTCAGAGTGTATTTCCTTTAATCTGGGCCCGCATGCATATGTTTTTTGTATCATTTATCATAATCAACTGTATATACAGTAGTTAGCTCTTTTCACTTAAAATTATAAGCATTTTCTGTGATAACCATTATATTCCCGACCATTATAATTTTCCATTTCTTCATATTTGTCCATCCAGTGGCTCTGACATATACAGGAGTTAACCTTTTCCCTATTGCACATTTAGGTTGTTGTACAAATTGATGCATATGAGCATAGGCATCTTTACATACACGTATTTTTCCTCTGCTTTTGTATAACTTTCTTAGGATAGACTTCCTGAAATGGGAGATTTCTGTGTCAAAGGGAACACTTAATCTTAGAGGTTGTGATACAAGTTGCCAAATCTTTTTCCAAAATAAATAGGAAAAGAGATAGTGGTAGAGAGACAGAGAGATGGCGGGGCCTCAGGGTGGGGGGTTGGAATATGAGTAGGCAAAAATATGAACCATTATGCTCTGTGGGGGTAGGGAAGGATATCCTTGTCTCTTTTGCTTATTGTTGTATATGCAGTGCCTGGCACACGGTAAGAGCCCAATAATGGAGTAAGTTCAAGTTTTGCAGCTCAAGATTGATTTGCAGCTGAATTTGTTGTTGTGCTCCAAAGGAGAGAAATTTGCTAGGCAGGAGCAAACATTTTACATCACTCTGCTTTTGTAGCTTTGGCTTGTGATTAAAAGAACAAAAACAAAATAGATGTTTATGGAGATTCGACCGAGAAGGCAGGCTGAGCATATGTTTAAGCCTCCCCCTCCAATTCCTAGAAAACACTTAAAAGGTACATATTCTCCTGTTACAGATCCATTTATATGTGTGTGTTCACACATCCCACCCAGCCCCTTCCCCCAGCCAGTGGATCCAGGCCATGGTAAACAAATCCAGTACTCACAGCGATAAGCACAGCTTTAGGCTGGGTTCTTATAAATAGCTTCTGAGATGACTTGTAGGAAGCTGACTTATTAGAAAATATTCACAATAAGAATGGGTAGGGATATGGGGAATTGGGACCAGGAAGGGAAGAGAACATCCAAGGTGTAATGGCAAACAGACCCCTCAGAGGATAACCCTGGCTTCATACAAGGAGCTCTGGAGATAGTACAGGTCACACCACAGAGGTGCCCCCATCAAGCAGTGAGGGGCCTGGAGGATCCACATCTCCTGTGCTCATCAGTACATAAACTGTCCCGGGGGACATAAGCTCCCAGGCCCTTCTGGCTCTTGGTGTACACTGGCAAAGTGCCCATCCATCAGGCTGAGGCCTGGACCTCGACAGAGGCACAGATGCTGGCTGTTGGAGTAAAAGCATTCGGGAGCCTGTTTAGACTAAAGCGTTAAAGGGATTTGGGGGAAGGTAGATGGAGCCCTGCCAGCTCCTGCTTCAAGCTCACAACAGGAACCACCGTGAAAACTAACCCCATGAAAGGAGACATCAAATTTTACAAATGAAAGAACAAGCTCTGAGAAAAGAGTTAATTGAAAAATATAGAAAATGACTCTAGAATAAGTTTAACCTGTATCTTCATGGACAGAGAAGCAGATATTACATCTGCTGAATCAGAGATCTTGAAAATTAAGTCTTCGATCATAGACATTTTTTTTTTTGAAAATTAAGTCTTTGATCATAGACATTTTTTTAAAAAGTAGATGGACTAAATAGAATAAGAGAACAAATTAGTGAGCTAGAAGATTGAACTAAAGAACTCCCTGGAAAGAGATAAAAAGTATGAAAGAAAAGTTAGGAACATGGAAAATAATTTCATAAATTCCCATATCCGGCTAAGATTTCCAGAATGAGAGAACAAAGAGGATAGATAAGATAAAATACTTTGGGCCGGGCGCAGTGGCTCACGCCTGTAATCCCAGCACTTTGGGAGGCCAAGGCGGGTGGATCACCTGATATCAAGAGTTCAAGACCCGCCTGGCCAACAGGGTGAAATCCTGTCTCTACTAAAAATACAAAAATTAGACAGGCATGGTGGCACAGATGTGTAATTCCAGCTACTCGGAGGCTGAGGCATGAGAATCGCTTGAACCCAGGAGGCGGAAGTTGCAGTGAACCGAGATTGCACCACTGCACTCCAGCCTGGGTGACAGAGCCAGACCCTATCTCAAAAAGAAAAAAAAAAAAAAGAGAGAGAGAGAGAGAGAAAGTACTTTATTTATTTATTTATTTTGAGATGAAGTCTCGCTCTTGTCCCCCAGGCTGCAATGCAGTGGCACGATCTCGGCTCACTGCAACATCTACCTCCCAGGTTCAAGCGATCCTCCTGCCTCAGCCCCCCGAGTAGCTGGGATTACAGGTGCATACAACCACTCCCAGCTAATTTTTTGTGTTTTAAATAGAGATGGGATTTCACCATGTTGGCCACGTTGGTCTCGAATTCCTGACCTCAGGTGGTCTGCCCGCTTCAGCCTCCCAAAGTGCTGGAATTACAAGCGTGAGCCACCACGCCGGGAAGAGAGAAAGTACTTTAAAAGATAACAGAAGAAAAATGTCCCAAGTTAGTGAAATATATGAGCCAATTAAAGTCTCCAACAAGACCAAGCAGGACAGATGAAAAATGCTGCATAAATAGTGGTAACATTGTAGTAAAATTTCAGAACACCAAAGACAAAGTCCTAAATATTTCTGTGAGAAAAGCAGATCATGCACAGGCAAAGAGAAACAGAGAGGGAGAATGGCACACTGACCTCACACTTCTCATCAATAGTTGATGGAAGATAGTGAAGCTAGATCTTTAACATTCTGATGGGAAAAGGTTGTCAACATAAACATCAAATGCAAATATTAGTCGCCTGGGAACGAATACAAGCATTTCAGAAAAGCAAGAGTTCAGAAAATATACCATTCACAAACCTTGTTTGAAAGGATTTTGAAAGAATGTATTCTAACAACATGACAAAATTTAAGAAGAGCAACAGCATGGAGAAGCAATAGAAAATGGTAAGAGGAAATAAATTGGTAGACTGTAATGTTAAGAAAAGCAGGCCAGGTGTGGTGGCTCATGCCTGTGATCCCAGCACTTTGGGAGGCCAAGGCAGGAGGATTGCTTGGGGTCAGCAGTTTGAGACCAGCCTGGGTAACATAGCAATACCCCTGTCTGTATAATTAAAAATACATAAATAAATAAAACTGGACATAGTGGTGTATGCCTATAGTCCCAGCTACTCAGGAGGCTGAGGTGGGAGGATCATTTGAGCCCAGGAGCTCGAGGCTGCAGAGAGATATGATCATGCCACTGCACTCCAGCCTAAATATCAGAGCAAGACCCTATCTCTAAAAAAGGAAAACAAGGCCAGGCGCTGTGGCTCACGCCTGTAATCCCAGCACTTTGGGAGGCCGAGGTGGGTGGATCACCTGAGGTCAGGAGTTTGAGACCAGCCTGGCCAACATGGTGAAACCCGGTCGCTACTAAAAATACAAATCCCAGCTACTCGGGAGGCTGAGGCAGGAGAATCACTTGAACCTGGGAGGCAGAGGTTACAGGGAGCCGAGATGGCACCATTGCATTCCAGCCTGGGCGACAGAGCAAGACTCCATCTCAAAAAAAAAAAAAGGGGGAAAACAAATATTAACCGGGATTCCCATTTATTAAACACTGTGTGGGCCGGGCATGGTGACTCACGCCTGTAATCCCAGCACTTTGGGAGGCGGAGGCAGGTGGATCACAAGGTCAGGAGATCAAGACCATCCTGGCCAAAGTGGTGAAACCCCCATCTCTACTAAAATTACAATAATTAGCCAGGCGTGGTGGTGTGCGCCTGTAGTCCCAGCTACTCAGGAGGCTGAGGCAGGAGAATCTCTTGAACCTGGGAGGCAGAGGTTGCAGTGAGCCGAGCACTCCAGCCTAGGCGATAGAGCAAAACTTTGTCTCAAAAAACAAAACAAACAAACAAACAAACAAAAAAAAACCACTGTATGAACACTTATAATGTGTGTGTGTGACAAATAGTAACTTCGTTTATGATGATCTTCAAAGAAAGTGTCAACCAAGCAACATTTTCAAATGGATAACCTCTGTAATTTTTTAATGAACTTCACTGAAAATTGGAAAATGCCCAGAGACAGGTCCACCACAGTCATGATATGTGACTCAATTAGTATGAAACTGTGAAATTAGGGTCTGGGTGGAGCCACACACCTGAGTTATTTGTCATCTGGACTAAAGGTCTTTGTCCATTGGAATGGCATCCCGTGTATGGAATGGCATACACGCCCATTGATGTACATTCTTTCTTCTCAAACCACAGGTTCTCTTATTTTGTGAAATTTTTGGTTGACTCAGAATAAATTTGTATAATTCGCCCTTCTGGTCTTTCTATTAGAGCACTTAAATTATTCCACTGAAACATACCAAAAGCTTTCAGACCTTTAGCATTGACTGGGAAGTGATTGAATAACAAATGAACTCAAGTCATCAGGGAAACTCTTGTTTAAAAATAAAGGACTCAGCTGCTTTTAAACAGTTTTGCTTCAGCCCCCACTTATTTATCACACCTCTTAGAAGTTTAAAACTATTTGCTTTTCTCTGATTGATTTGATCCTTGGATTTAGCTGTCTTCTTCCACGGCAGGCAATGCGTGGAGGGTAACCCTCTTTGTTCAGGAGCCGTGTCCTCTGGTTAAGACAGTGCATTTTTGCTTCCATATCAGGAATTTCAGTGATATCCATTCTCCTCAGGGATTAGAGATTGTTAATTACTTTCTGTTTAAAAAAAAAAAAAAGGGAACCCGCAGCACTGCAGCTTGGCAGGTTCTCTAAAAATAGAGGATTTAGGTTATTTTTAAAAACCCTCATTGAGGGATCATGACCATGAGTCACATTTATCTCCAGAGTTTGCCTGCTGAAGGAAAACCACATGGTTCTGTGGACATTTAAACCCTCCCTGAAACACTGCCACCTCTACAGAACAAACAGTCCCATCTACCCATCCATGAGGAAATGGAGAAGAATTTGTGCCTGTGGAATTTGAGGACCCAATTTAGTTTAAAATAGATATTTCATGTCCAGAGGCTGTGAACTGTTTTCTAAGCACGAGCTCTTACTAATGTTTGTCATGCTGCTGTATGGCTCATTTTACTTATTGTTAGGTTTATTCTTTTCCTTTTTCAGAAATATTCACAATCTAATGAAGAAATATTCATTGAGGAAGAGCTCTATGGCCTGGGAGGTATCAGTCTTCTCCAAGACATCAATTTTACTTGCTTACAGAACATAAAAAAGAAATTTTATGTGATAAATGCATTAATCTACAGCTACTTATGATTAGGCTGTTCTGGCTAAAATGGAATACATTATCTGTAAGACATCTTTCATACTCCCAAGGCACTTTAAAATAATGAAAACATATAAAATAATATCTAAGTAATTAAAGTAATGGCAAATAAAAACTTAGCATTATATGGAATTGCCTATCGGAGTAATATATCTCTTTTTATAAGCCCTTTGTGATATTGCTATTAATTTTTAAGTAACAAAATATTGCTCTTGAACCAAAAATGGGATATTAACTAACATATACACTATTAATTGCTTTACAAATGCAAAGTGCTAAATTCCAGCTCATAAAAATAAACCTTTGAGGATATCTAATAAAATCTACACACAGTGCCTGCTTCTGAATCATCTAAGGAGTAGAGGAGACTCCTCATATTGCTTCATAAAAAAAGAGACACTGTGTCCCTTCTGTGAGTGGATTTTTCTGCCTCAGGAAGCCTGGTATTGTCCACCCTCTCTCCCCACCTGGCAGTCATTCTTTCCGTTCACCCCTCCCCTTCCTTGATGACTCAGGTATTTATTCACATCCCCCTTTCTGATAATGAGTCCTCTAAGCCACAAAGTAAAACCAGCATCTTTCAAAACATTGTCACTTTTTTTTTCAGTTTAGTTTGTTTTGTTTTGTTTTGGTTTGTTTCAGACAGGGTCTCACTCTGTCACCCAGGCTGTAGTAGTACAGTGGCACAATCATGGCTCACTGCAGCCTCCACCTCCCGGGAGTGATTCTCCTACCTCAGCCTCCCTAATTGCTGGGACCATACCTGACTAATATTTTGTATTATTTTGGTAGAGGTGGGGTTTCACCATGTTGTCCAGGCTGGTCTCAAACTCCTGGACTCAAGCAATTCTCTCACCTCAGCCTTCCACAGTGCTGGTATTACAGGCATGAGCCACTGTGCCCGGCCATCACCTTCTTATAGATGGTATTCTGCCCCAGACCAGCCTGTTTTCTCGGCAACCTCCTACTGTCGTGATGTTTCCAGTCCTGTGTGTCCCACAGAATTGACCTAATGCCAGATTTTTCTTTATTCACCAGAATGTGATTGATTCAGCACGTCCTGGATTACTTAGTCCCAAATGAACTCATTTCCCTGGGGACCACACCCAATGCCCCTGTGTACACACCACTTATGCCAGGAGCCTTGGGTGCGTCATTTAAGGAGGCACTCGCTCTTGGATTCATGTAAGTTTAGGGTTAGCAGTTGCATAATTCAGAAAGCGAGTGCTTCCTTAAATATGGTGCCCTTCTTACCTGAGCCCTAACTTATTCACAGTCCAGCTTTTCCAGCCCTCAACTTGTTTTACTGAAAATATCAAGCAACAGGTAGAGAGAGGAGTTAAAGTGAACAATTACTTAAAAGTGGGTACAAGGGCCCTCTTTCCCACCATACTTTGCAAGGAGCTCTTCTTCTATTTCCTGAAAATAGTATCCTTGGAACTGACAGAATGGACTCCTCAGCATTGGAAATGAATTCATTTTTAGCATATGAACTGTTTCTTGGCAGCATTTCTGTAAACTATTTGGAGGGAAATCGCATGCTAGGTGTGTGTAAAATCATGAAATCATCTAACATTTTTAGGGTTCCCTGTTTTTCCATTTAGAGAGTTTTAATGTATATTCATTATAGTAAAATTCCAAGGCTGGGTGCAGTGGCTCACGCCTGTAATCCTAACACCTTGGGAGACCAAGACGGGAGGATCCTTGAGCCCAGGAGTTCGAGACTAGCCTAGGCTATATAAAGAGACCTTGTCTCTACAAAAAATTTAAAAATTAGTTGAGCATGGTGGTGGGCACCTGTAGTGCCAGCTACTCAGGAGGCTGAGGTGGGAGGACTGCTTGAGCCTGGGAGTTCAAGGCTGCGGTGAGCTATGATCATGTCCCTGCACTCCTGCCTGGGCCACAGAGCGTGATGCTGTCTCAAAAACAAAAACAGAAGATTCTGAGAATTCCTGGAAGAGGAAAAAGCAGTTTGTTTAAATTTGTTGTAACCAGCATTTGAACACAGAACCCCTTGAGGTGGGGGACATCTGTTAATGCCATACAGAAGTGGTATTCTGAGAAACTGCGTTAGGGAAAGCATGGAGTAGACTGAGCATTGGATTTAGGATGGGAGACTTGGATTCTAAGCCTGTTCAGGAATAATAGGACTCAGCACTCTTATTCACTCTGTTACCAGATCTATACATAGAAGGATTTGGATCAGGCTAAGGACCCTTCCAGGTGTCAGATGCGAGTGCTCTGTAACTCACCTCTGTTTTTCTTTCACTGGTGACCATCCTTCCCTGCTGGGTCATAGGAGGAAAAGAAAAACAACAACAACCTTTGTATACAAATATGCCAGCCCAACTTGGTTCTCTTGTATTTGGCTGCAGATCAAGAACAAACTTTCAAGTGGCATTTCGAGAGAATCCAGGAAAGCAGTTTCAATCTGGAAATTTGCTCTCCTTAAATATTTCAAAAACACATTTAGGTAAAATCAAACAGCGGAGTAACTGAGTGCCACCCCCTCTGCTAACCCAGAGGCTGAGAAGTTTCTCAGGGGCCCCCGGCATAGAAATCCAATATCAGAAACACCTACCAATATTGTAACACCCACCAATACTGTAACACCCTAAATCTTTCAGTAATTTTGCCAAGAATTAGGCTTTGGATTCTGCACCAGAGTTTAGTGACTTCAGTTAATTCCAGCTTCAAGCAAATCTTGGATGTTAACCCTGATTGTCAGCCTAATCTTTATTCAAATATATCAATACTTTGAAGGCCAACATAAAGACAAATATTTGCCTCTTGTGCTAAAGTAGCCAACTTTTAAACAATAAACAGACTGAGTGAATCACTAATTACCATTTTTAATCATTTTTGTCCCACGTTTTGAGAGATTTTTGTCTAGCAAACTATATTTACTAAGCAATTAATTTGTTTTCCTTGTAAAAAATTAATCCAAAATGCATACCACTTGGCTGTCTTCCCGGGCAAAAGCAGACGCTTGTTATTTGAGTTATATTTATTCATTCCGTTTTTTAAATTTTTATTTATTTTGTCTTGCTGTAGCTTATATTTAAGTAAATGTACAGAACTTTGAAGATTCCGTTTCATAAAATACCTGATGAATACCACTGGACGCTTGCGCTGCGCTGCTCCGGCTTCTGCTGACAGAGGCTTAAAGAATGGAATTCAGGCACATTTTAATTCATTCACTCACTTGGTTTTCAGTGGACAACTGTGAGACCTTTCCTCGGGAGAGCTCGTGTCCACTGAAATTTCCTATCCTCGGTGTAATAAACCTGTCACCAAGATCCTAAAAAATTGGTAGGGAGCGCTTATTAAATGCAGGCCGGTGGTGCGCCGCCATCCACGGCCCCACCCCCCGCCGCCTCCACATGTCGCTGTCTGCCCCGGGCACCCTGCAGGCTCCGGTGGAAATACCTTTCCACCTGCCTTTGAAGAGTGGCGGTTGGGCTGGCAGTTCCCCAGAGCTAAGAGACCTCCCCTCCCGTTCCCTAAGACAGTAGGGTACAGTTATGAGCCCTCTGGGATTTAGGCTTATTTTGTGTCCAGGGATTTATTGACTCATCTGTCCCCCCAAATCGGTTATTTTGGGGGGTAGATGAGTCAATATCCAAGTGTCAGGGAGATACTAAGGATAGATGCAAAGACAGACACGTGGCGGAATCAAACAGGCCAATTTCACCACTATTGGAGTGGGTTGCTACTATTTCTGAGTTAGCAGCATCCTGCTGCCACCCTGGCTTTTCACTTTTCCCCTCATCCCACTCCTCACCTCCAATGCAGGCTTGTTAGGCTGCTTGGCAGCAGCTCATTGCCCCAGGGGAAGGATGGTGCCTGGGCAGAGCAGAAACTAAGGCATCTTCGAAGCTGAAACCTCTGGAGCTGACAAAATGTTTGCAGAAGCAAGATGTTAGAGGGATTGACGTTTGGGGGCGAGTTTCTCTAGGGCCAGAGAGAGGGGAGGAAGGGGATGGGAGGAAAGAAGCCATGGGCTTTGCTTCCTAGCAGAAACCCGGGTAGGCACAAAGCCCTGAACAGGTTGGTGAAATTTAGGGGCTGAGGGCACTGTTGTCCTGCTTCCCCTGGAGCCCCACATAGGCAGGGAAACCCCACAGAGGAAACAGATCTATGGTGCATCCAGGCAGAACAGTCTTAGTTTCTCCAAGATTTCCACCCCATGGGAAGGCACAGAAACAGCAGAATGGGGCCTCCACTCCAACACAGGACCCAGTGCGCAATTTGGTGTCTCTGATGACCTCAGTAGAGTTATGACCAAGGACTCCCTGAGCCCCCCCCATACCTTGACAAATACATAAGCCCCCTGAGGAAAAGGAGAAATGACTTAGATTGAGATTCCACCACTCTAGGAAGACTGGAAATCTAAAACAGAAATTGGTGAGTTGTTTTAAAATTTTTGTTTTGAAAATTAAGTTGTGTTTATTTTCCATCAAAGTTATGGTATGAGATTTCTATCCACCACCTGCGGATAAGGGGAACCCAAGGTGACCTTGCCTTAGAGCACAGGCTGGAACTTCCAGAGTTCCCTTCCCCCATCATCCCAAATAGATGAAACCCTTGCCCTCTTAGAAGTCAAGTGCATCCGTCCCTAAATGCCGAGAGGTCACCTCTCAGCAGTCACTGTCAATCTAAACCTGGGGCTTAGGGTAAAGGCAGGGTGGTCCGATGCCAAGGACTTAATCCCAAAGACCAACCATACATGACCTTGAGAAAGACCAGAAAAGGATGACTAACTCTCCAGCTTGGACCAGTGTTTGGATGCAAGTGTATACAGGAAGCCGAGAGAAAATGAATGGGAAAATCTTCTGCCTCTTCCCCTTTAACTCAGGTTCCTAATCCTTTATTTTCTTCAAGTTTCTAGTGGCAACAAATTGGGGGGATGAGAGAAGAAAGGTTTAGTTTGCCCCATCTTTAACCACATTATTCCTCTTTATTCTACAAAAGTAATAAAAATCATGCACCCACACCCATACCTTAACAAAGTATCAGAGTTACACAGAGTAAGCTTATCTTTTTACAAGAATGGGAAACTGAGCGGGGCCCGGTGGCTCACGCCTGTAATCCTAGCACTTTGGGAGGCCGAGGCAGGTGGATTGCCTGAGCTCAGGAGTTCGAGACCAGCCTGGGCAACAGGGTGAAACCCCATCTCTACTAAAATTTAAAAAAAAAATAATTAGCTGGACATGGCGGCGTGTGCCTGTAGTCCCAGCTACTGGAGAGGCTGAGGCAGGAGAATTGATTGAACCCGGGAGGCAGAGGTTACAGTGAGCTGAGATCGCACCACTGCACTCCAGCCTGGGCAGCAGAATGAGACTCCATCTCCAAAAAAAAAAAAAAAAAGAGGAAACTGAATCCCACAGTTAATAATATAGTTTAACTAAAATCCAGTACTCAACTGATATGTTTGGGTAGACTGCTTTTCTTTGAAGAGGAAAGAATGCTTTAAAACCCAAAGGTCTTAACTTTCAGATTTTGCCTAGGTCATTCTCCATTGGCTATACAGCTGCTAGCCTCCCACCTCTGTCCATGATACCCCTCGGTTGTTCAAAGACTCAGGTCAAGACATGAAAAAAAATGTGGTATGGATCTGGTGCAACTCTGACATAAATTGTTGTCAAATTGACCCATCTTCCGGTAGTGGAGGTGATTGGAAATTGGAAGTTCCCAGCATTGATTCTTGTTCATTTCCACTCTGACACTAGCCTTTTCCCATTTTCTTTTTTTTTTTTTTTTTTTTTGAGACAGGATCTTACTCTGTCCCCCAAACTGGAGTGCAGTGGCATGATCACAGCTCACTGCAGCCTCGACCAGGGCTCACGTGATCCTCCCACCCCAGCTTCCTGAGTAGCTGGGATCACAGGTGCGCGCCACCATGCCGGCTATTTAAAAAAAAATTTTTTTTGGACAGACAGAGTCCCACCTTGTTGCCCAGGCTGGTCTCAAATTCCTGAACTCAAAAGATCCTCCTCCTGCCTCGGGCTCCCAAAGTGTTGGCATTACAGGCGTGAGCCACCTGCCCAGCACCAGCCTTTTCTTATCTTAACCAAGCCTCGCTTCCCTCAAGTCATTTAAAATAGGGGAACTTTATTCATAAGACTCCAACGCTCAATAGCCCACCCAGCTAATAATAATAATAATGATAATAAAAAGTCTATGTGGAAACCTGTGATAATCCAAATAACTAATTCTAGCCATTAATTTCAGCCTTCTCCCTCACTGGGAGATTCGAGAGCTGCGAAACACCAAGAAATAAATCACTGAGCTTCGCTTCTCACAGTCTACCGTCTGGTGAAGGTGCTAATGAGCAATGATGTGCCCCACAGGAAGGAAGAAATTAGGGAAGGAGGAGAGGGACAAGAGCACACAGGGGCTGGGAATCCAGCCCTTGGTGACTCAAAGTTGCCTAGACTTTTAACCAAATCTGTTTAGGTTTTACTTCTCCAGGTTTCATTAGCCATTAGAAATGCAAATTAGTTAGATTCCTCCAGAAAACATTACCCTGCTTCCCCCATCTCCGGCCCTCCCTTCTCCCCCTCCCCTTCCTTCCTGCCTTTCTTCCTTCCTTCCCTCCCTCCCAGCAGCATTGTTGAGCATTTATAAAGTGACCGTCACACCATCGGTTTTACATTGCAATGTCAGGGGCCTGAAAGTAGATATAAACTGCCAGTTTTTCCAAGGCTGCCATCAAATAATTGAGCTGTGGCCTCTAACTAAATTCCAGGAGGAAAAGATTTCTCAAAGCTGGGCTAATTCTCTTTGTTTATAGCTATTTTATGTATTTATATATTTGTTGTATATATACATGTGTATATATATATATGTTTTATATATGTAATTTTTTGGCTCTTTTTTTTTGAGAGGGGGTCTCACTCTGTCACCCAGCCTGGAGTGCAAAGGCTCAATCTTGGCTCACTGCAACCTCCACCTCCCAGGTTCAAGCGATTCTCCTGCCTCAGCCTTCCAACTAGCTGCGATTACAGGCGCTCGCCACCACGCCTGGCTAATTTTTGTATTTTTTAGTGGAGACGGGGTTTCACCATGTTGGCCAGGCTGGTCTCGAACTCCTGACCTCAAGTGATCCGCCCGCCTCAGCCCCCCAAGGTGCTGGGATGACAGGCTTGAGCCACCGCACATGGCCCCATATGTAATGCTTTATATATAACAATGAGAATTCTTATATTATGTCCATTTGAAAGCTTGACCTTGTCTTTTGAGACGGGGTCTTGCTCTGTCACCTAGGCTGGATTGCAGTGATGCAATCATGGCTCACTGCAGCCTTGAACTCCTGAGCTCAAGTGAACCTCTCACTTCAGCCTCCCGAGTTGCTGGGACTGCAGGCATGCATCACCACACCTGGCCAACCTTGTCTTTTTCATTATAGACACTGAAGAATGAACAAAATGTAACTGCTTTTCCAATAAGTATTTTCTTTAAAAACAAAACTCAGTAAGAGAAAGAACATTAAATGCAGATTTCTTCAGGTGACATAAGTTGAAGGGCCCCTATACTTGAGTAAGTTAGAAAGTGCAGAACTATAAATGCATATGATACAAGAGGCATGTGGCAATTTTGCTCCTGAGTTCCCATGTGGGAATAATGGGAAATTTGCCTTGCTGTAGAAAAACCTATGTTTTGCATTCCCAGATATCTATTTTGACTTCCACTCTAGCATTTTATTATCAGCAGCTGTAACTCTGAAAATGTGTTAGAGTGATGTTTTGCTTAAACAGAATAAAAACTTGCTTCACCAGAGCATAAGAAAAAAAAAGTAATTCTGTCCAGTTTTATAAGCTGAAGCTGTATTAAAGTGATTGATTGCTACTCTGAATGTCTTTTTCTGGGCCTCTTGTAACCCTAATAACATTTAAACCATTAAGTGTAAGATAATTGCCTTCTGAAAAGAAAGGAAAATGCGGGGAGTGTTTGCTTGTCTTCTTCAATTCAGTACCAAAGAATAGTATTGGAAGTAGGTTCTGGGGTTTTCAGTTAACATTATATTTTGTACACGTATCACTTAGACTATCAGATGAAGAAGATCTAATTCTGGTAGAATGTGACAGCAGAGAGAAATATAGGGCCATTGTTAGGCAAACCAGGAAATGTGACCCTTCATCTCCACCTTCCTTCTCAACCCTTCCTTGTTTATTATGAAGTACTAAATATGACAAATATATAAAATATCTGCAAGCTGGGTAAACATTAAAAAATTAGGTAAGGGTGAAACGAAAGAATAAGAAAAGAAAGTATGGAAGGTTAAAAAAAAAAAAAAAAGAAAGACATCAAATGGCAGAGCAGAAAGAGTTTCAGGGTCCATGAGCCTGCATGAGAATCCTAGCTGCCCCATTCAATAGGTGTATGGCCTTGGACAGTCACTTAATCTCTCTGAGTCTCTGTTTCCTCATCTGAAAAAATGGACTAGTAGTATTTACCCTACTGGGTTTGTTACATATAAAGCACATGGTTAGTGCTCAATAGATAGTTTTCCCTGATTAGCCCACATAAGTTAAGGTTTACAGCTCAATATGTTATCACTTTTCTTGGGTAATTTTGTGCTTTCACATCTTCATAAGAATGTCTGGTGCTTTAACTCAAAAGAGGAAGCCCGGTGGGAATTTCCTACATTGTGGCAGATCAATTGCGAAAGATGTGTTTGTGACATCAAGAGCTTTCAGGGAATTTATCCAATCATGCCACCAAGATATTTCTTCTGGTGCAGTATTTAAAATAAGATCCACTCTGAATCTAGGGCTTTCTGTGTCACCCAAAAACTCCTGGTCTTTTTCCGTTGGTGACATCATTGTTTGTGCTGTTATTAGAGCAGATGGTGGCCTGGGACTTGGCACTCAGAGAAATCCAGGGATGAGGTCTAAGAGGAATGACCTGCTCTTCTCTTAACATTCTCAAGTGGGTCAGAGTTAGGGTGGCTAGAGGTTTTTGTTTGCCTGGGACAGCGCCTGCATACCCCTGTTGTCCCTGAGTAATTATTAACAGCACCTCCCTTTTTGCTCCTAAAATTATCCTAGTTTGAATGATAAATTATAGAAATACCTCAATCATCCGTTCTATGGGAATACTGGGCAAAAATGAAAAAAAATTAAAGAATTACCTGAATCAGAATGTTTTTTATTAAGTTGACTTTTTTAAACTAAACTTTATAGTAAATAATTCAGAATGATGTTTATATGAATAAGGATAAGTCACAAAAAGGAAAATAAGAAAGTTCCCCAATTGATAGGCTCTCAGATGTTTAGATTTCATCAATTATAAGAGGCACTACCAAGTCACACACCACTAAGAAAGAAACAGACCCACCGTATTAGTTTGTTAAGACTCTCATAACAAAGTACCACAGACTGGTACAGAAATTTAAATTAGCGGGGCGTGGTGGTGGGCACCTGTAATCCCAGCTACTCAGGAGGCTGAGGCAGGAGAATCACTTGAACCCTGGAGGTGGAGGTTGCCGTGAGCCGAGATCACGTCATTACACTCCAGCCTGGGTGACAGAGGGAGACTCTGTCTAAAAAGAAAAAAAAAAATTATGTGTTCACAGTCCTGGAGGCCAGATGTGTGAAATCAAGGTGTCAGCAGGGTTGTTTCCTCAGGGAGCTTTCTTCTGGCTTGCAGATGGCACCCTCCCACTGTGTCTTCACATGGTCTTCCCTCTGCATGTCTGTGTCCTAAACTCCTCTTCTTCTAAGGACATCAGTCACTTCGGGTTAGGGCCCACTCTAAGGACCTCATTTTAACTTAAGTACCTCTTTAAAGACCCTGTCTCCAAATACTGCCACATTACGAAATACTGGGTGTTATGACTTCAACCAATGAATTTTATTGGCCAGGTATGTGGTGGCTCATGCCTATAATCCCAGCCCTTTGGGAGGCCAAGGCAGGAGGATCGCTCAAGGCCAGGAGTTTTGAGACCAGCCTCCCGGGCAATATAGCGATAACCCACCTCTTAAAGAAAAAAAAAAAGCTAGGTGTGGTGGCATGAACTTGTCGTCCCAGCTACTTGGGAGGCTGAGGTGAAAGGATCAATTGAGCCCGGGAGTTTAAGGTTACAGTGCACCACTGCACTCCAGCCTGGGCTAGAGTGAGACCTCTCATCTCTAATATATATATATTCATACATATATATATATATGAATTTTGTAGGGATATAACACTAATCAATTCTGACATGCCATGGGTTGTTAGAGATGTACCCTGATGTCAGAGAGATTAAAATGTAAATGATGGGCTGAGAATGGTGGCTCACGTCTATTAACCCAGCACTTTCGGAGGTCCAGGCAGGAGGACTGCTTGAGCCCAGGAGTTCGAGACCAGCCTGGGCCAAGTAGCGAGACTTCATCTCTAACTAACCATAATAATAATAATAAATAAGCCGGGTGTAGTGGTGCATGTGCCTGTGGTCCCAGCTACTTGGGGAGGTTGAGGTGGGAGGAACTCTTGAGGCTTGGAAGTCGAGGTTGCAGTGAGCCATGATCACCCCACAGCACTTCAGCCTGGGAGACAGAGTGCAACCGCGTCTCAAAAACAAACAAACAAAAAAGTGAGTAACTGGATCTCAGAGCTGATAAAAGATGTGCTGGTTTGGAAGGGGGAGAGTCCCTTCTCTATGCTTTGGTGATGGTGGACATAGCAATTTATATACCTGTTCCTTTGAAACCAACACTTTCTCCCCTGCACTCTCCAAAAGATCTGGGATAGGAAGGTAGAGCTCAGCTGCCCAGATTGCTATCTTGATTGCTTCCCCTCCCTGGTGCCTCGCTTCCTGCCAATTCTTCTTTTGTAACAGTGCCCATGACTGCCCCTTCCTCTCTCCCTACCCACACCCGAATCAGCCCTTAGCTCATACCTGGACAGTTTCCACAGCCTCCGAACCGGTCTTCCCACATCAGTCCCCTTCTTTTCCCTCCTGATCCACCCTCACACAAGAATTGATCTGCAAAATGACTCTCAAAACGGCAGCCTTGGTCGTGCCACGCCCCTTATAGAAAGCCTTGGCTAGCTGTTCATTCCGCAAGGGTAAAGACCAAAGATGTCTTGGCCTAACCTTCAGGCCCCCTGTGCTCAATCTGGCCCCCAGACTCTCGTGCAGCTGCATCCGCTGTGCCCCTGCCTCTTACCACAGCCAGCATTCCCACCTCAGGGTCTTACACGCTCCATACCCCTCCTCTGGCAGGCCTGTGCTCTGGGCCTGTCTGAATGCTACCATGTAATTATTGCACGTTGTTATTTATGTCTGACTCCCCAGCTAATAGCTATCCAAATTATCAAGACTGTAATGTACTCCATTAACCGCTCTGGCTGAGAAAGGAGTTGTTTCTCCTTGGCTCCTCCAGAAAGAATGAAAAGTATTTCCCCCACCCCCTCCCATCTCCCTCCCCTGAGAGAAGGTAGCCGGGCCTTTGTGTCCTGGAAGTCTGACTTCCCTTAGCCCCAAGGAGAGTTAACAGCCTTTGTGTGTGTGTGTGTGTGTGTGTGTGTCTGTGTCTGTGTGTGTGTGTGTTTTTCTGGGGGAAAAAGGAAAGCTGCCTGGTAGGATGGATTCCCCCTTTGCTTTCTGAGACGGAAAGTTGGTGTGGCTCAGGACATCTTTGATTTGGCCTGCGAATTATTTTATATAAATTTAAAATATTAGTTGCAATTTTCTAAAAGTGAGAGATTTCCCATGAAAATCTAAATCTCTGGGTTCTCTGGAAAAACTCAAAGGTTTCCCATTTCTGGGCCCCTATTTTCACATGGCAAAAATGGGAAGGATCCAAGTCCAGCTGGTGCCTTTAGGCAGGCTATGTGCTTTCCATTCACCACAGTCCCCACCACCCGCTAAAGTCTAACACCACCTGCAACATTTGTTTGTGTACCTGCCGGTTCTTATATGTGTCGGAGTTTTCAACCCCTGCTTAGACGCATCAGATGGTTAATCTGAGACATTTAACAGAAAGGAGATGGTGGCCATGAGCTTTAAGAGTGAAAGAGAGCATGGCTGCCCTATAGGTCTTGAGAACGTGAGCCTGCTCTAAACTACCCTCCCTAGGGGGCAGGACCAGGGATAGAGATGGTTGGCTGGGTGCCTGCAAGGACTAGGCTGTGAGTGCTGTCACCTTGAGAATGTCAGGGAAATCCTCCACAGCTGAGCTGGACCCAGAGGGACTGGAGCCACGCCCAGAACTGACCACAGACATACCGATCTTCAAAGGAGAGTGGGCCAGGAGTAACAGCATCAGGGACCACACCAACCAAAGACCAGGCCTACCTCCATTCCCTGCCTGGCATAAGCTCCACAGTTCTTTTTTTTTTTTTTTTTTTTTGAGACCAAGTCACGCTCTTGTTGCCCAGGCTGGAGTGCAGTGGCGCAGTCTCAGCTCACTGCAACCTTTGCTTCCTGGGTTCAAGCAACTCTCTGGCCTCAGCCTCCTGAGTAGCTGGGACTACAGGTGCCCACCACCACTCCTGGCTAATTTTTGTACTTTTAGCAGAGAGAGGGTTTCACCGTGTTGGCCAGGCTGGTCTCAAACTCCTGACCTCAGGTTATCTGCCCACCTCAGCTTCCAAAAGTGCTGGGATTATAGGCATGAGCCACCACAGCTCTTGTACAGCTTAAGCAGAGTGCGGTGAAGGGCATTACACTGCAATACAATGATTCCAGAAGGGGCCGTTTGTATCATAGTCTTTGGCATAACTTCTCCTGCAGTTGTGCAGTATACAACCTGAGTGCCATACATCTGGTGGCCCTGACTGGGCACACTGTGTGTGTGTGTGTGTGTGTTTGTGTGTGTGTGTTTAAAGCTTCTCAAATTGACTGATTTAAACTTCTCACCAACCCCGAGAATGGGGGTCTAGAACTTTAATTTTTAAAAATAAATTAATATATCTTACTCCTCAAGTGTGGTTTATTAATCGAATTGTCATAAAAACATATACTTCTCAAAGACAGAAAGCATGTTTTGTACTTCTGTACTCCTCCACAGTGTTTTGAAAAATAAATGTGTTAACTCTGAATGTAAATCTGAACACCGAATCTCTCTCCCTAGTAAAACTTAATTTTTTCCATTTTCCTGTTGTGACTGGTCCAAGTCAAAACTGGCTTGTGTCACCCACACTCAAATTAAAGCAAAGCCACTTTAATATTTTTATTATTATTATTATTATTATTATTATTTTTGAGATGGAGTCTCACTCTGTCGCCCAGGCTGGAGTGCAGTGGCACGATCTCGGCTGACTGCAGGCTCCGCCTCCCAGGTTCACACCATTCTCCTGCCTTAGCCTCCCGAGTAGCTGGGACCACAGGCGCCCACCACCACGCCTGGCTAATTTTTTTGTATTTTTAGTAGAGACAGGGTTTCACCGTGTTAGCCAGGATGGTCTCGATCTCCGGACCTTGTGATCTGCCGGCCTCAGCCTCCCAAAGTGGTGGGATTACAAGCGTGAGCCACTGCACCCAGCCTATTTATTTATTTATTTTTTTACTGTAGATTCTGATTCAATAATTCAGAGATGAGGCCTGAGATTCTGCATTTCTACTGAACTCCCAGGTGAGGCTCATTGACCCTCATTTTGTGCCAAGGACCACACCTTGAGGTGCAAGAGGCTAGAAAGCTGAGGTAGGTGCCTTTAGTTCTTTTTAAACAAGCCCAGCACCTGCTTTGCATTAAAGCTATAGTAACTGCTTGAATGAAAATAAATAAATAATTAATTAAATTGTGGTAAAATAAAACATAAAATTTACCACCTTAACTATTTTTAAGTGTACGGTGACATTAAGTATTTTCACATTGTTGTGCAACCGTCATCACCACCCATCCATAAAACTTTTTCCATCATGGCAGGGCATGGTGGTTCATGCCTCTAATCCCAGCACTTTGGGAGGCTGAGGCGGGTAGATCACCTGAGGCCAGGAGTTCGAGATCAGACTGGTCAACATGGTGAAACCCCGTCTCTGCTAAAAATACAAAAATTAGCCAGATGTGGTGGCACATGCCTGTAGTCCCAATTACTCAGGAGGCTGACGCAGGAGAATTGCTTGAGCCTGGGAGGTGGAGGCTGCAGTGAACTGAGATCTGCCGCTGCCACTCCAGCCTGGGCGACAGAGTAAGACCTTGTCTCAAAAAAAAAAAAAAACTGTTTCCATCTTGTGAAACTGAAATCCCATACCCATTAAACAATTACTCTCGTTCTCCTTTCCCTTCAGCCCCTGGCAACCACTATTCTACTTTCTGTCTCTATGAATTTGACTATTCTAGGTACCTCATATAAGCAGAATCATACAGTGTTTGTCCTTTTGTGACTGGCTTATTTCAGATGATAATGTCCTCAAGGTTCATTCATATTGTAGCAGAATCTGCTTTTTTTTTTTTTTTTTTTTTCTCCTGAGACAGGGTCTCATTCTGTCACTCAAGCTGGAATGGAGTGGCACCATCTTGGCTCACAGCAGGCTTGACCTTCCGGGCTCAAGCAATTCTCCCACCTCAGCCCCCTGGTCCCCCACTCCCCTCAACCCAGTAGCTGGGAGCACAGGTGCGAGCTACCATAACTGGCTAATTTTTTTGTATTTTTTGTAGAGGGTCTTTACCATGTGGCCCAGGCTGGTTTCAAGCCCCTGACCTCAAGCAATATGCCACCTCAGCCTTCCAAAGTTCTGGGATTACAGGCATGAGCCACGGCACCCAGCTAGAATCTGCATTTTAACAAAATCTTCGAATTGTGTGTATGCCCATTACAGCCTGAGATGCACAGCTCTACTAGATTACTGGGGCCAATACAGCGGAGATAAGAAAGTCCAATACGACAGTCCTGGAAGAAACTCAGGTTTCCTTACTCCTAGAGCCACCACTTGGGGACCATTTCCATGGTCATATTTGTGGAGCAATTTTGGTTTCCTGAGATCAACCTCTTGGGCTCCAATCTATCAAAAAATGAATGGCTAAACTGGCCTCTGAGCATCAAAAGTTTGAGGCCTACAGGAGTCCTGCTTGCAAAAGAATAACTTGTAAAGCACTCAGTACCACTGGCAAATAGGTATCTGTAACTGGACTATGTAGAGTTAGTAGCTCATTTAGGTTTCCACTAACTTAATAACACATACACTTACATGGTGCCAGCCATGATTCCAAGTAGTTATGGAATATTAGCACCTTTAACCCTCATAACAGTTCCAGAAGTAGGAACATTTTTAATCCCAGGTTTACAGATGTGGAAACTAAGGCACAGGCAGGTTAAGTAACTTGCACAGGGTGATGTGGCTGGTGAATGGTAGAGCTGGGATTTGAACCCAGGAGCTACACTGTGCCTCCTCTCTGGCAATTGCTTGACCAAGTCTTCTGTTGAAACTGAACTATAAGGAATTATGCAGATTGTGGGTGTGTTATGGGGAGGGAACCTACATTTAACCATAGACATTAGTTTATATGTAGGAAAAAACAACAGAAGCTAGAATGTCAGAAAGTAAGTGGGAAACCCTCATGACATGGTGGATTTTTTTCTCAGTAGAAAAAAATTTTTACTGCAGAAGAAAAATGTCTCAGCAGAAGAAAATTTGGGGTCCATGCCTACATTACTAAATACTTGGACTCAAATACTCGGACTGGTTTTCCTCCTCCCTTCCTAACGACACCTCCTCTGCCTCTTTCACAGGCTCTTTCCCCTTAGCCTTCTCCAAAGGCTTTCTTTCCTCCTTTTCTAATCTCAGTTGTTTTCTTGGCTTCCAAGCAAAAAAATCCCAAATCCATGTTGCTTGCTGTGATCTTTCTTCCTGGTTCAAAATCATAATTCATTGCTTCCTGATGTCAAAGCAAAAATGTCACAACAAGATCTCAAATTCTACATCTGGGAAGATGAACCACATTGGCTGATACCCTAGAGATGAGAGAGGAGCCCAATGTCACAGCCAGACTTTTCTTATATTCAGCACGCCCCAAACAGCACCTGCCACCTGCCCCTCCCAAGCTCACTGCCACAGGCCCCATCTCATTCCTGACCCCTGTCATCCTCTCTATGAAGCTCGAAGCCTTCATTATCTTTTCCTCCTCTCTTTCTCCATATCTGAAGGAGTCTCCCTCCTCAACTGGTCTCAAATCTGTCTTCTGCTTTACATGTTGTCATTGTCTAAACTCAAGCCCTTCCCACCTGCCTCCAGTCTCCCTGACCCTCATCTGCCTTCCCTCCTACACCCACCCCTACACACAGCTGACAGGCATTCTCCCAAACACAGATCAGCTCACACCACTCCTTGGCACGGCCTCTCAACTCCATCTCTGGACCTTGGGTGAATCTGCCAACTGCTCAGTGAAAATGACCTCCTTCTTTGCTCTTAAAAAAAAAAAAAAAAAACTGAAACTTACAGGAAAGTTGCAAGTACAGTACAAACATTGTTTTTGTTCCCAAACCATTTGAGAGTAAGTTGCAGACCTGACCTGATGCCCTGAAAATTCTAGTATACATTTCCTACAAACAAGGACATCCTTCTACATACACAATACAACCATTTTTAAAGTTAGGAAATTAACACTGATACATTACTACAAATCCTTGGGCCCCTTTCAAGTTTTGCCAGCAATCCCCACAATGTCATTTTTATAGCAAGTGGATTCAGTTCAAAATCCCGTGTTGCACCCAGCTGCCATGGCTTTTTGGGCTCCTTCAGTCTGGAACAGCTCCTTATTCTTTCTTTAATTTTTATGTCCTTGACTTTTTTTTTTTTTTTTTTTGAGACAGAGTCTCACTCTGTCGCCCAGGCTGGAGTGCAGTGGCACGATCTCAGCTCACTGCAATCTCCCACTTCCAGGAGTTCAAGCGATTCTGCCACCTCAGCTTCCCAAGTAGCTGGACTTACAGGCGTGTGCCACCACACCCAGCTAATTTTTGTAATTTTTTTTTTCTGAGACAGAGTTTCACTCTGTCGCCCAGGCTGGAGTGCAGTGGCACGATCTTGGCTCACTGCAACCTCCACCCTCTTGGTTCAAGCAATTCTCCTTCCTTAGCCTCCTGAGTAGCTGGGACTACAGGCACCTGCCACTGCACCCAGCTAACTTTTTGTATTTTTAGTAGAGATGGGGTTTCACCATCTTGGCCAGGCTGGTCTTGAACTCCTGACCTCGTGATCCACCTGCCTCAGCCGGCCACCCAAAGTGCTGGGATTACAGTAATTTTTTTTTTAGACAGAATCTTGCTCTGTCACCCAGGCTGGAGTGCAATGGTGTGATCTTGGCTCACTGCAACCTCCGCCTCCGGGTTCAAGCCATTCTCCTGCCTCAGACTCCCAAGTAGCTGGGATTACAGGCACCCGCCACCAGGCCTGGCTAATTTTTTTGTATTTTTAGTAGAGATGGGGTTTCGCCCTGTTGGCCAGGCTGGCCTCAAACTCCTGGCCTCAAGTTAACTACCCTCCTCGGCCTCCCAAAGTGCTGGGATTACAGGCGTGAGCCACTGCACCCAGCGTGTCTTCTGACATTTTTAAAGACTATAGGCCAAACATGTAGAATGCCCTCAATTTTGGTTTTCTCTTGTTTAGATTTAGACAGGAATATTGCAGAAGTGAAGCTGGATTCTTCTTATTGTGTGGGGTACAGTTTCCATTCATCCTATTCTGGGGGATGCTCACTTAGACCCCTTGATAAAGTGGTGTCTGTCAGACTCATTGCTACAAAGTGACTCTTTTCCCTTTCATAAGTATTTTGTGGAAATCCTTGAAACTATGTAAATATTTCATTCCCCATCAAACATTTAATTGAATTTTTATTTATATCAGAATGAGCTAGTGGTTTCTTTTTTTTTCTTTTCTTTTCTCTTTTTTTTTTCTTGAGACAGAGTCTTGCTCTGTTGCCCAGGCTGGAGTGCAGTGGCACCATCTCAGCTCACTGTAACTTCTGCCTCCTGGGTTCAAGCAATTCTCCTGCCTCAGCCTCCAGAGTAGCTGGGACTACAGGTGCGCAGCACCACACCCGGCTAATTTTTGTATTTTTAGTGGAGATGGGGTTTCACCATGTTGGCCAGGCTGGTCTCAAACTCCTGATCTCACGTGATCCTCCCGCCTCGGCCTCCCAAAGTCTGGGATTACAGGCTTGAGCCACTGCGCCCGGCCTATGGTTTCTTATTTTATTCATTGTGTTATATATAATCTGTTACTATCGTTACTTGTTTGCTCTGTCTGATATCTCAGCCATCCCACTGATGGAAAAGACTTTTAACCACATTTCTGTCCACAGAAATCTGTGTTTATTAAAAAAAAAATGTGCTGCATTCCTGTACAAGGGATGGTTGTTATCTGAGTATTTGTTACCCAAGTGCCTACAGTTATGACTTGCTTATGAAGCAAAAATTATTATAATATGAAACTATTTGCTAAGGGAATATGACACAGCCTATACACAAATAAAGTCTCTTCCTATTCCACAGCCGTTCTCACCCATCTCATTGACACCTCTGTGGTTTGTAGCACCTCCAAAATTATCATTCAAATTCAATGCAGATTGGTTCACAAAACGAACTTGCAAATCTTGCAAAGTCTCAGGGTTTCATGGAGTTCATGAAAGTAACATAGCAGGACTGCTCAAAGCCTTGAGACCAGATAACAGCTACCCAGGAGAAAATAGACCAGGGGGAGAAGACAATGTAAATGACAAGGGTTCAGAAAACTCCTTTAAAAATTGATAAGGCTGTCAAATACCTTTGTGGGGAAAAAAAATGACCTTCTTTATGAATGTGAAATAAAAGTCAAAAATGAAGTGAAGGATACCATTCAATTTTGTCAGAAAAAAAAGTTTAGATTCTTTGTTCTAATAATTAGCACATAGCCTAAACCATGATCTAAACTTTGTTAGAAGGTGAAGTTATTTTCAAAATTTTTTGTGTCCTCTTTTTTTAAATTAATTAATTTATTTATTTATTTTGAGACAGAGTCTCATTCTGTCACCCAGGCTGGAGTGCAGTGGCGCCATCTCGGCTCACAGCAACCTCTGCCTCCAGGGTTCAAGCGATTCTCCTGCCTCAGACTTCCTAGTAGCTGGGATTACAGGTGCCCGTCACCACGCCCGGCTAATTTTTTTGTATTTTTGGTTGAGACGGGGTTTCACCATGTTGGCTAGGCTGATCTTGAACTCCTGACCTCAGGTGATCCACCCACCTCGGCCTCCCAAAGTGCTGGGATTACAGTTGTGAGCCACCGCACCTGGCCAAGGTGTCCTTTTTTTCAAAATAAAATGCTAATCTATTTTTTTCCCCTCTATTTACTGTAAAGTTTCAGTCCCTTCAGTAAGTAGGTTTAATTTAAATGACTTTATCTTGGTGTCAGTATTCTGCAGGTCAGGACCCCTCCCTTGCATACAGTAGGAAACTTAAAGCTGCTGTGGCAAGAGGGTGGGCCTGTCCCCTTAGATGCTCCTTGCTCGTGTTAGCCATCTCCCAATCCTATGAGCCCCTCTCTCTCTCCTTCGCTTCCTCTGGCCCCATGCTTGCTTTTTACTTTCTGATCTCACTTTCCTCACTTATCAGAAGAGGAAAATATCCCAGTCCAACCAACTTCACAACAAGTCATTCTTATAGTCAAATGAGTTCATGGATAATAATAGTAGTCATGGCTGGGTGTGGTGGCTCACGCCTATAATCCCAGCACTTTGGGAGGCCGAGGTGGGCAGATCACCTGAGGTCAGGAGTTCAAGACCAGCCTGGCCAACATAGCAAAACCCTGTCCTTATTAAAAATACAAAAATTAGCTGGGCATGGTGGTGGGCGCCTGTAATCCCAGATACTAGGGAGGCTGAGGCAGGAGAATCGCTTGAACCCAGGAGG